>NC_000022.11:46209564-47459564 GCF_000001405.40 Homo sapiens
ATTTTTTCTTCTGCAATATCTAATCTGCTCCTAATCCTATCCAGTGTATTTTCCATATTAGATATTGTAGTTTTCATAACTAGAAGCATGATTTGGTTCTGTTTTCACCCATGTATCTATATAACATGTCCAGTCTTTCACTCAGCTTCTTAAACATTTAGAATATGGTCAGAATAACTTTTTTTGCTGTTTTGTTTTAGAGACAGGGTCTCACTTTGTTACTCAGGCTGGAGCGCAGTGGCATGATCACAGCTCACTGCAGCCCCAACCTCCTCGTCTCAAGGAATCCTCCCACCTCAGCCTCCTATGTAGCTGGGACCACAGGTACACACCACCACACCTGGCTAATTTTTAAATTTTTTGAAGAGACGGGTCTCACTTTGTTGCCCAGACTGGTCTCAAACTCCTGGGTTCAAACAATCCTCCAGCCTTGGCCTCCCAACGTGTTGGGATTACAGGCATGAGCCACTGTACCCAGCCCAGAATAACTTTTTAAAAATGTCTTGAGGCCGAGGTTGGGAAATAATCTGAGGTCGGGAGTTCGAGACCAGCCTGACCAACATGGAGAAACCCCGTCTCTACAAAAAATACAAAATTAGCCAGGCACAGTGGCACATGCCTGTAATCCCAGCTACTTGGGAGGCTGAGGCAGGAGAATTGCTTGAACCCGGGAGGCAGAGGTTGTGGTGAGCCGAGATCACACCATTGGACTCCAGCCTGGGCAACAAGAGCGAAACTCCATCTCAAAAAAAAAAAAAAAAAAAACTCTTAGCCACAATTTCTATCATCTGTGTCACTTCTGAGTCCCTTTCTATTCAGTTATTTTTCTCCTTGTCATGGGTCATATTTTTCTGATTCTTCATGTGTCCTGTAATTTTCTTTTCTTTTTTTTTTTGGAGATGGAGTCTTACTCTCTCACCCAGGCTGTAGTGCGATGGCACAATCTTGGCTCACTGCAACCTCCACCTCCTGGGTTCAAGTGATTCTCCTGCCTCAGCCTCCCAGGTAGCTGGGATTACAGGTGCTCACCACCATGCCCAGATAATTTTTTGTATTTTTAGCAGAGACGGGGTTTCACCATGATGGCCAAGCTGGTTTTGAACTCTTGACCTCAAGTGATCCGCCCACCTCGGCCTCCCAAAGTGCTAGGATTACAGGCATGAGCCACCGTGCCTGGCCAGTTGTTCTCATTGGATGTCATATGTTGGGAACTTTATTGGGTGATGGATATTTTTGATTTCCTATAAATATTCTTGAACTTTGTTCTGGGATGCAATTAAGTTACTTGGAAAATCTTTGATCCTTTCAGGTCCTGTTTCTCAGCTTCATTAGATGGGACTATCACAGTGTTTGTTTTAGAGATAACTTTGCCCCACTGCTGAGGCAAAACCACTTTGAGCTTCACCTGATGCCCCATGACTTCAGTGATCTTCCACTGTGGGAGGCGAGAGCAGGACTATATCCAGCTCCATGTGGGCCCCAGGCAGCGTTCACTATCATCATTTCAGGTTGCTACTGAAGTATCCCTTTTTCAGGCTCTCAGCTGGCAGAGCAAATACATATATGTATACATACTAACCTATGTCTATACAGGAATCTATCGGTATTTCTGTCTGTGGCCATCTGTAGCTGTATGAAGCCAAACATGAGTGTGTGCTGATGTCTCCAGCCCTCATCTGTTACCAGATGGATCGTTCTAGCCTCCTCCACTTGCCTACCTGTCAATTCACCATTCCTTGAGTTCATGGTTCATTTTCAGTATACCTGCACAGTGGTATCAGAACTGTTAACCCACACCCTGTGGGAAAAAAACTCCATCAGCTAGAGCACAGTGTTTACAGCCAGATCCTTTTGCCTTTAGTCTTACAGATTCCAATCATTCCAAATTATTCGGTGCAGCGCCTTTCCGCACCTGCACCCACTTTTTCCCCTGAGATTGTTTCCTACATTCGTAGCACAGTTAGATTGTTTTGTTACATTCTGCATTTCACCCTGGGATCCTCCAACCTCCTAAGTTATTTTTGTTTTATTTGCACACATTAGGTTCAATCTGAACTATAAAGTTCTGTGGGTTTTCACAAATGCGTAGTGTCATGTATCCACCACTACATTTTCCTTCTCTCTCTTTCTTGCTTTCTCGCCTTCTTGTCTTGCTCTGTCACCCAGGCTGGAGTGCAGTGGCACAATCTCGGCTCACTACAACCTCCGTCTCCTGGGTTCAAGCCATTCTGCTGCCTCAGCTTCCCGAGTAGCTGGGACTACAGGCACGCACCACCACCCCTGGCTAACTTTTTGTATTTTTACAAAATACAAAAGACGATGTTTCACTATGTGGGCCAGGCTGGTCTCGAACTCCTGACCTTGTGATCCACCTACCTCGGCCTCCCAAAGTGTTGGGATTACAGGCGTGAGCCACCACACCCGGTCTCTCTCCTTCCTTTCCTTTCCTCTCCTTTCCTTTTCTTTCTTTCTCTTTCCCTCTCCTCTCTTCTCCTCTCCTCTCCTTTGATGGAGGTCTCACTGTGACACCCAGGCTGGAGTACAGTGGCAGCATAATCTCAGCTCACTGTAGCCTCAGCCTCCCAGGGCTCAGGTGATCCTCCCACCTCAGCCTCCCAAGTAGCTGGGATTACAGGTGCACACCGCTGAGCCCAGCAAATTTTTGTATTTTTTGTAAAGATAGGGTTTCACCATGTTGCCCAGGCTGGTCTCAAACTCCTGAGCTCAAGTTATCTGCCAGCCTCGGCCTCCCAAAGTGCTGGGATGACAGGCATGAGCTACCGTGCCCAGACCACTGTTAGATTTTCATATGAATAGTTTCACCACATCAAAAAACCCCATGCTTCACCTATTCAACCCTGCCTCTCCCACCCCCAGCCAGCTCAGAAATGGTTCTTTTTACCATTGCTATAATTTTGCCTTTTCCAGAACGCCATGAATTTGAAATCATATAGTATGTAGCCTTTTCAGACTGACTTCTTTCATAGCAATATGCATTTAAGAGTCATCCATGTCTTTCCATGGCTTGATATCTCATTTCTTTTTACACTGAATGAGTTCCCACTGTCTGTTTGTACCACAGTTTGTATATCTATTCACCTATCTAAGGGCATCTTGGTTGCTTCCAATTTTTGGCAATTAATAAAGCTGGCCATGCACAGTGGCTCACACCTGTAATCCCAGCATTTTGGGAGGCCAAGGCGGGCAGATCACTTGAGGTCAGGAGTTTGAGACCAGCCTGGCCAACATGGTGAAACGCTGTCTCTACTAAAAATACAAAAATTAGCCGGGCGTGGTAATGGGCACCTGTAATCCCAGCTACTTGGAAGGCTGAGGCAGGAGAATCACTTGAACCTGGAGGCAGAGGTTGCAGTGAGCTGAGATCGTGCCACTCCACTCCAGCCTGGGTGACAGAGTGAGACTCTGTCCCAAAAAGAAAAAGAATAAACTGCTGTATACATGTGTAGGTTTTGTGTGGACAGAAGTTTTCAAATCAGTTGGACAAATACCTAAGAGTGTGATTCCATCATACAGTAAAACTGCTTTGCTTTGTCAGAAACTGCCAGAATGTCCTCCAAGGGGGCTGTCTCATGTTGCATTCCCACCAGCAATGAATGGGGGTTCCTGTTGCTCCACATCCTCACCAGATTTGATGATGTCAGTTTTGTGGATTTTAGTCATCCTAGTAGGTGTGTGGTGACACCACATTGTTGTTCTCATTCTCAGTGCCCCGATGACATATCATGCTGAGCATTGTTTCATATGCTTACTTGCCATCTGTATATCGTCCTTGCTGAAGTGACTGTTCAGATGTTCAGATCTTTTGCCCATTTTCTTTCTTTTTTTTTTTTTTTTTCCTTTTGATACGGAGTCTTGCTCTGTCGCCAGGCTGGAGTGCAGTGGCACAATCTCAGCTCACTACAACCTTTGCCTCCCGGGTCCAAGCGATTCCCCTGCCTCAGCCTCCCAAGTAGCTGGGACTACAGGCACGCACCACCATGGCAAGCTAACTTTTTCTTTTTTTTTTCTTTTCTTTTTTTTTTGAGATGAAGTCTCGCTCTGTCACCCAGGCTGGAGTGCATTGGTGCGATCTTGGCTCACTGCAAGCTCCGCCTCCTGGGTTCACGCCATTCTCCTGCCTCAGCCTCCCGAGTAGCTGGGACTACAGGCGCCCCCACCACGCCCGGCTAATTTTTTTGTGTTTTTAGTAGAGACGGAGTTTCACCGTGTTAGCCAGGATGGTCTTGATGTCCTGACCTCGTGATCCGCTTGCTCCGGCCTCCCAAAGTGCTGGGATTACAGGCGTGAGCCACCACGCCTAGCCCCCATTTTTCAATTGAGTTGTTTGTTTTAAGACCTCTTTGTATATTACCACATGTGTATTGAAAATATTTTCTCCCAGTCTGTGGCTTGTCTTTAATTTTCTTAGCAATGTCTTTTGCAGAGCAGAAGGTTTCATTAGCTTTCATAGATTCCAACTTATATTTTCTCTTTCATGGATTGTGCATTTGGTGTTGCCCACACAGATTTTTATACTGTATTCTGGTGCCATTTACTGAGTTAACAATTGCGGAAGAACTGGAAGAAAGGAAGCAAACAAAACGAGTTCTGCGTGGCACTGTCAGTGCGGGGGCATGGGGAGTCCTGCAGGGTGAGGTATGGGCGGTATGGCAAGGCGCGGGCCCATAGATGTGCAGGTCTGGAGATGTGTGCAGCGGAGATGTGCGGGCCCGAGATGTGCGGGTCCGATGTGTGGGTCCGGAGATGTGCGCGTACCCAGAGGTGCAGATCGGAAATGTGGGGGTCCGGAGGAAATGTGCGGATCAGGAGAAGTGCCAGTCCCGAGATGTGCGGATCGGAGATGTGGAGGGCTAGGAGATGCGTGGGTCCGGAGATGCGCAGATCAGGAGATGGGCGAATCGGAGATGCGCGGGTCCGGAAATGTGCAGAGCGGAGATGTGTGGATCAGGAGATGTTGGGGGGTCAGGAGATGCGGGGGTCCAGAGATGTGGGGGTCCGGAGATGTGCGGGTCTGGAGATGTGCAGAGCAGAGCAAAGATGAGCTGATCGGAGATGCCCAGGTCCGGGGATCCACGGGTCCGGAGACGCGCGGGTCCGGAGATGCGTGGGTCCAGAGATGTGCGGGTCCAAAGATGTGCAAATCTGAAGATGTGTGGATGGGAGATGTGCAGGTCCGGAGATGCGCGGGGCGGAGATGTGTGGATCGGAGATGCTCAGATCGAAGATGTGGGAATGAGGAGATGTGCGGGGCGGGATGTGTGGATGGGAGACGCGCGGGCCCGGAGATATGCGGGGCGGAGATGTGCGGGTCCAGGGATGTGTGATCTGAGGTGTGTGGGTCCGGAGCTCGGGGTCAGCTCAGCAGCAGTGAGAGCGAGCATGCTGGCTTTGGGAGCACAGCACAATGGCAGCTGTAGGAGTGCAAGAGGGTGTGACCCAGAGGCAGGGCCCGGCCCCGCATGGGTGTTCTGAGGTTTATGCCTCAGCACTAGAAGCCTCGTATGCGAAATCACATCCTCATAGACCCGGTTCAGACACAGGATAGTGATGCCTGGACTATTCATCCGTCTCTCCTCTTTTTCCCCAGACACGCTTTCACCAGCTTCGAGCCCCTCCTCGGTGACTTATCCTGTGGTCCCCGGCAGCGTGGACGAGTCTCCCAGTGGAGCATTGAACATCGAATGTAGAATCTGCGGGGACAAGGCCTCAGGCTATCATTACGGAGTCCACGCGTGTGAAGGCTGCAAGGTAGAGGGGAGCTGGAACAGGGCCTGGTGGCCGCCACCATCAACTACTTATGGTCACTTTTATAGCAAATGGCAGTCATTACTGAGAGATTGCAGAAAGTCCCGGATAAGAAACTGACTTCAGGCCAGGCGCGGTATCTCATGCCTATAATTCCAGCACTTTGGGAGACCGAGATGGGTGGATCACCTGAGATCAGGAGTTCGATACCAGCCTGGCCAACATGATGAAACCCTGTCTCTACTAAAAATACCAAAAAAAATTAGCCAGGCGTGGTGGTGGGCGCCTGTAAGCCCAGCTACTCGAGAGGCAAAGACAGGAGAATTGCTTGAACCCAGGAGCCAGAGGTTGCAGTGAGCCAAGATTGCGCCACTGCACTCCAGCCTGGGCAACAAGAGTGAGACTCCATCTTAAAAAAAAAGAAAGAAAAAAAGAAAAAGAAAAAGAAACTGACCTCAGTGATAGATTAGCCTCTCTTTATAGCACAGAACCCCTGAGAGCGTAAGCCCTGTTGTGAACTGCGTATTTGAGGAATCTAGCTTGTACGCCCCTTATGAGAATCTAATACTTGATGTTCCAAGGTGGAACACTTTCATCCTGAAACTATCCCTCCCCACCCCCATCTGTGGAAAAATTGTCTTCCATGAAACCGGTCCCTGGTGGCAAAAAGGTTGGGGATTGCTGCTTTAGAGAGTCTAGGACAAATGGTTCCTCTGTGCTTTGTAAATACTTAGAGAAGTGCATTCTTTAAAAGAAAATAAGTCACATTGGACCGGGTGCAGTGGCTCACGCCTATAATCTCAGCACTTTGGGAGGCCGAGGCGGCTGGATCACCTGAGGTCAGGAGTTCAAGACCAGCCTGGCCAACATGGTGAAACCCTGTCTCTACTAAAAATACAAAAATTAGCCAGGTGTGGTGGTGGGTGCCTGTAATCCCAGCTACTTGGGAGGCTGAAGCAGGAGAATTGCTTGAACTCAGGAGGCGGAGGTTGCAGTGAGCTGAGATCGAGCCATTTCACTCCAGCCTAGGCGACAAGAGTAAAACTTCATCTCAAAAAAAAAAAAAAGAGAGAAAAGAAAATAAGCCACATTAAGAACATCACTTCATTCGAATACAAGACAGAGAGCTGTTACCGTTGATCTCTGGAGCCTCCCTGAAGGCCAGGTGGGGCAGGTGTTCTCATGCTCCTGCCAGGGAAATTGGCCATCAGAGACACAGAGTATCTTGCTTAGGGTCCCACAGCCCCCAGCAGCAGGGACTGGAACCAGAGACTGGCTGCTCCTGCTCCCCAGCAGTTCCTTCCTGCACATCAGGGGCTTCTCCACCTGATTCAAGCGACAGGAACCCCCTGTGCATCTTCATCCTCCTGCTGGCTCAGCCTGCCCTAAACAGATGTGACCTGGGCCAGGAGTGCATGAAGGCAGGCCCTGTTGTCCTGCATGCTGCCAGCTGGACTGGTGGCCCTTCCGTGTTTGTCAGCGTGGTGATGAGGAGAGCTCCTGTAGCAGCGTCCCTTTAGGGTTGCACAGACGTGCTCAAGTCTGGCGCCTTATGTACGTGATATGTGGGAGATCATCATCTGAATGTTTGGTTTGAATCAGAAATCCCTTCTCACGGTGCACGCTGCAGGTGTTCACTAACTTGGAAAATGCCACCGCCTTTCTGGCACAATGTACCATCTTGGAACACCAGCATTCTGCCCTGAGCCAGGCCTGGCCTCAGAGGCCTGGGCCACAGGGAGAACCTCACAGCCAGGACACTGTGGCACTCTGCTGTCTAGAAGCCTGTCTCCCCACCCTTCCCATTCTAACCCCATGCGTTCCTCAGCCTCCCCACTGTGCAAGCCTAGGTAAGGACATTATGAAGACGTCAGCCTGCCTCTCACATTCCCCTGCACACTGCTGTCCCTCTCCCGCGGGCCAAGCAGACCCACTGTGGCAAAAATATAGAAGAATGACTTAAAAGCAAAGAGAAAAAAGAACCCAAAGCAAAAATGAACTCCTTCGCATGTTTTCTAACCATATACCTTTGAAAAAGCTCCTTATAAAGTGGCCTTTTCCTTAGGGCCATGATTAATTATTCATTTAGTTTTGTTTTTTATGGACTATTTAGTAACATTGTTTCTTGCTGGGTAGAGTTTAAGATGCTTTTACAAAGCAAGAAAATTGTTTACAAACAGCTGGCTTCCTTTTATTATAATTTTTGTCTTTGAGGGAGTTAATATACTCTTACAAAAATTCTTAGAAAGTCTTTAGTCACAAATATGGAAATGTCACAATGCTGGGGATAGTTACATTCATATACATTGTAACAAGGCTGAGTAACTCTTTGGAAAACTATAATTGTGTTTTCCCAAGTCAGATGAGGGCATTTTGAAATGACTTCGAATGCTGCCTCATTTTATTGTTTTTCACATTAAATGTAACGACATTTAAAGTTCTGTATTTGTCCTAATCATTCCAGACTTCTTAGAAGAACTATTTCTTTCTTTTTTTTTTTTTTTTTTTTTTTTTTTTTGAGATGGAGTCTCACTCTGTCGCGCAGGCTGGAGTGCAGTGGCACAATCTCAGCTCACTGCAACCTCCGCCTCCTGGGTTCAAGTGATTGTCCTACCTCAGCCTCCTGAGTAGCTGGGACTACAGACTTACATCACCATGCCCGGCTAATTTTTGTATTTTTAGTAGAGACAGGGTTGCACCATGTTGGCTAGGCTGGTCTCGAACTCCTGACCTCAGGTGATCCACCCGCCTCAGCCTCCTAAAGTGCTGGGATTACAGGCATGATCACCATGCCTGGCCTGGAATAACTTTTCTCTAAATTTTGTTCATTTAAAAAGAAACAATAAATGAGCAACAAAAAAGGTGAGTAAAGCAAGTGCGCTGGTTTCTCAGTGGCCCAGGTCTTTAAATCCACTGTGTATTACCCTCACAGGGCTTCTTTCGGCGAACGATTCGACTCAAGCTGGTGTATGACAAGTGCGACCGCAGCTGCAAGATCCAGAAAAAGAACAGAAACAAATGCCAGTATTGTCGATTTCACAAGTGCCTTTCTGTCGGGATGTCACACAACGGTAGGTAAGGTGGCCCTGCACATTTTCCCAGTTCGTTCCTCAGTTCCCCTTCCTTGCTCCAAGGGAACAGATCAAGCTATGGATGAATGTGCTTCAACATTTCACACCCAAGTCATTTTGTAATCAGAGTGGCCTAAGAAAATAAAAGTCGCCCAGGCGCGGTGGTTCACGCCTGTAATCCCAGCACTTTGGGAGGCTGAGGTGGGTGGATCACCTCAGGTCAGGAGTTTGAGACCAGCCTGGCCAATATGGTGAAACCCCGTCTCTACTAAGAATGCAAAAATTAGCTGGGTGTGGTGGCACATGCCTGTAGTCCCAGCTACTCGGGAGGCTGAGGCAGAAGAATCGCTTGAACCCGGGAGGCGGAGGTTGCAGTGAGCTGAGATTGCGCCACTGCACTCCAGCCTGGGCGACAGAGGGAGATTCCGTCTCACAAAAAAAAAAAAAAGAAAAAGAAAGAAAGAAAGAAAATAAAAGTCTCCCAGGTGCGGTGGTTCACACCTGTAATCCCAGCACTTTGGAGGCCGAGGCGGGTGGATCACTTGAGGTCAGGAGTTTGAGACCAGCCTGGCGAACATGGCAAAACCCCGTCTCTAATAAAAATACAAAAATTAGCTGGGCATGGTAGTGCACACCTGTAATCCCAGCTACTTGGGAGGATGAGACAGGAGAATAGCTTGAACCCGGGAGGCGGAGGTTGCAGTGAGCTGAGATCGCACCACTGCACTCCAGCCTGGGCGACAGAGTGCGACTCCGTCTCAAAAAAAAAGAAAAAAAAAGAAAAAGTCTCAAATAGCTGAGATTCAGTGGTGCATTGGACTCGCTGTTAGAAACTTCAGTGGTAAGACTTTGATACAGAATCGAAAAACCAAGTGGAAGGCACCAAAATGACAGAATGTTCACCTCGTCCATAGGAAGGGTGTACCACCTCAAACATCTCACCACGTTATGAATTTCCTTCTAGCCAATCATTTAATAGTTTCAGAACATGCTAATTGTGATGTGAATGTAAGTCGTTCATAAGAGTTGCATGTCTACCTTCTGGAAAAAGAAGCAGTTATTATATAAACTCATCCCGAAGCCCCGTTCACCTCCTTCACTCAAAGGTTGATGATGCACCTGATAGTGGTGTGCACCCTACTAATGAGACGAACGATGGTGTCACCTTCAGCCTGCACCTGTTAACGATGGTGTCACCTTCAGCCTGCACCTGTTTAAACATCTACAGTGTATGGAGTTTGAGTTTTTCATCTCTCCATAGTGGAAAGCCGAATAGTAATGAAGGATGGGTCTGAACTGCCTGTGAATTTTCATTCCTGGTTTAAAGTCCTGGGGGAGCCCCTCGTCCAGCCCTGTCCGCGCAGTCATGACCTCACTGCTCATGCCTGTGTTTCCCCCTCCAAACCCTAGCGATTCGTTTTGGACGAATGCCAAGATCTGAGAAAGCAAAACTGAAAGCAGAAATTCTTACCTGTGAACATGACATAGAAGATTCTGAAACTGCAGATCTCAAATCTCTGGCCAAGAGAATCTACGAGGCCTACTTGAAGAACTTCAACATGAACAAGGTCAAAGCCCGGGTCATCCTCTCAGGAAAGGCCAGTAACAATCCAGTAGGTGTTTGCGGCTGTTCTGGGTTCTCTTGGCAACATGGAACCAGTGTCGTAGAGGACGATTAAGGACACATGTGTTGAATGTTGAGAAAATTATATTTATCCCACAGTTAAGCAAAGGACAGCGAAGATGGAAACAGTTCATTCTGAGACTCTGAGCTGTAGCTTAACAACAACTCCTTTCTTCTTGCTTGGAGCCACCTCAAAGCTCTTAGCAACTAAGTTATTATACTGGCTATGTAATTAATACACTTAAAAAAAACCTTAATAGCTTACCAAGTACTAAGATGATTTCTTAGGAGCATTTTTTCTTAAATAGAGATAGGTTCTTGCTCTGTTGCCCAGGCTGGAATGCAGTGGTGCAATCATAGTTCACTGCAGCCTTGAACTCCTGGGCTCAAGCAATCCTCCTGCCTCAGCCTCCCAAGGAGCTGGGACTACAGGTGTGCACCACCACACCTGGCTATGTTTGATGTTGTTGTTGTTTTGTTTTGTTTTTGTTTTTTGGTAGAGATGAGATGTTTCCCAGGCTGGTCTCAAACTCCTGGCCTCAAGTGATCTTCCCACCTCGGCCTCCCAAAGCACTGGCATTACAGGTGTGAGTCATGGCACCCAGCATTAACTGGATTTAAAAAAAAAAAAACTGACCAGGCAAGATGGGTCATGCCTGTAATCCTGGCACTCTGGGGAGGCCAAGGTGGGCAGATTGCTTGAGTCCAGGAGTTTGATACCAGCCTGGCCAACATGGAGAAACCCCAACTCTACTAAAGATACAAAAATTAGCTGAGCAGGGTGGCACACACCTGTAATTCCAGCTACTTGGGTGGCTTAGGCATGAGAATTGCTTCAACCCGGGAGGCAGAGGTTACAGCAAGCTGAGATCATGCCACTGCACTCCAGCCTGGGTGACAGATCGAGACCCTATCTCAAAAAAAAAATAGAATAATAAAATAAATCCCTACTTTGAGGTGTATTAGTCTGCTATAAAGAAATCCCTGAGACCTGGTAATTTATAAAGAAAAGAGGTTTAATTGGCTCGTGGCCCACAAGGCTGTACAGGAAGCTTCTGCTTCTGGGGAGGCCTCAGGGAATTTGACTCATAGCAGAAGGTGAAGTGGGAGTAGGCGTCTTGCATGGCAGGAGCAAAAACAAGAGACACACACTTTTCACCCATCAGATCTTGTGAGAACGCTATCACTAGAGTAGCACCAAGAGGATGGTGCTAAACCATTCATGAAGGATCACCCCCATGATCCAGTCCCTCCCGCCAGGCCTCACCTCCACCACTGGGGATTACAGTTCACCATGAGATTTGGGTGGGGACACAGAGCCAAACCATATCATAAGGCTAGAAAAGGAAACCACTTACTTCCCACTCAAAATGTGCTCTTGGTCCTTTCTCCTAAAACTACTCCCTCCCTCTCAGACAAACATGCCTACATTCTTTTTCCGCCTTCAGTGAAAAGACAGTGACATCTTGGGGCTTAGAAAGGGCCACTTGTAAGCCAGGCGTGGTGGCTCACGCCTGTCATCCCAGCACTTTGGGAGGCCAAGACAGGCGGATCACGAGGTCAGGAGATCAAGACCATCCTGGCTAACATGGTGAAACACCATCTCCACTAAAAATACAAAAAATTAGCCGGGCGTGGTGGCGGGCGCCTGTAGTCTCAGCTACTTGGGAAGCTGAGGCAGGAGAATGGCGTGAACCCAGGAGGCAGAGCTTGCAGTGAGCCGAGATCGTGCCACTGCACTTCCAGCCTGGGCGACAAAGCCAGCTGTGTCTGGGCGCGGTGGCTCATGTCTGTAATCCCAGCACTTTGGGAGGCTGAGGTGGGTGGATCACTTGAGGTCAGGAGTTTGAGACCACCCTGGCCAACATGGTGAAACCCCATCTCTATTAAAAATACAAAAAATTAGCTGGGCATGGTAGCGGTTGCCTGTAATCCCAGCTACTTGGGAGGCTGAGGCAGGAGAATTGCTTGAACCTGGGAGCTGGAGGTTGCAGTGAGCTGAGATCGCACCACTGCACTCCAGCTTGGGCAACAGAGTGAGACTCTGTCTCAAAAAAAAAAAGAAAGGAAAAGAAAGGACCACTTGTTATAGAAAGCCTGTCTTTTAAGGTAGCTCTGGACCTTTTCAGAGGCAGCCAAATTGCCCCTCATGGTTCGTCCCCCACATCCCCGCCTGCCTGGCCTAAGTCCTCCTTCCCCCTCCCCAACAGTTAAATAAGTCTTTGTCTCCATTACAAAACAAATCTCAGAGCTACCTTCAAAGAAGAGCCAGCCCTCAGTTGGTGAATGAAGATACTTTGACATTTTCCTATGAGCATGGTGAAACAGGTTTAATTTGTATTAAATAGCTTGAAGCAATCCTTATTGGGAATTACAAGGTGGAATTTTAGTCACAGGAAAATAAAGCATTTCACAAGCTACTTACTTTCATGAACAAACCAAACCTCTTCTTTACTGAGTCCTTTAATTCTTCAGTGAATTCTCCAATTAAATAGGCCGAGACATTTTAGAAGTTTCCAGCAGACACCCACACTAGGCAGCTCCAGAGGCTTGTCCCAATTAGAACTTTCCTGGATTACGAGAGTGAAAGAAAAGGTAACTTTTAGCTTCGAGTCTCTATCCTGGATATGATTAGTACAGCCCAAAATTGGGATGGCTAAAACTTTTGTTTGCCAGCTTATATTTCTCCCTTGGATTTCAGAATTGAAAGCAGGCTGGGCACAGTGGCTCACACTGTAATCCCAGCACTTTGGGAGGCTGAGGCGGGAGGATCACTTGAGGCAATCCAAGAGTTTGAGACCAGGCAACACAAGGAGACCTCGTCTCTACAAAAAATGATTTTTTAAAAAACTAGCTGGGCATGGTGGCATGTGCCTGTGGTCCCAGGTACTTGGGAAGCTGAGATGGGAGGATGGCTTGAGCCCAGGAGTTCAAAACCAACCTGGGCAACATGGCAAGACCACATCTCTACAAAAAATAAAAACATTATCCAGGCATGGTGGCACATGCCTATAGTCCCCGCGACTTGGGAGGTTGAGGAGGATGCCTTGAGGCCAGGAGTTCAAGGCTGCAGCGAGCCACGATCGCGCCACTGCACTCCAGCCTAGGCGACAAAGCGAGACTCTCTAAAAAAAATTCGAAGCAGAGTTAAGTTGTCTTTCTTCCTAACAACCTGCCCCCACCATGGGGTGCGAATGGGACTCCTGGAGTCCTCCTGCACCTCCCCTTGGAGACCACCAAGCTCTAGGAACCCCATCACCCTCAGCTGAGGGTCACATGCAGCAACTAGCAGGCGGGAATCTGTTTGCATTTTGGCCTTAAAGAAATAAATAATAGGCCAGGCGCGGTGGCTCATGCCTGTAATCCCAGCACTTTGGGAGGCTGAGGCAGGTGGATCACCTGAGGTCAGGAGTTGGAGACCAGCCTGACCAATATGGTGAAACCCCGTCTCTACTAAAAATACAAAAATTAGCTAGGCATGGTCGTGGGCACCTGTAATCCCAACTACCCAGGAGGCTGAGGCAGGAGAATTGCTTGAACCTGGAAGGCAGAGGTTGCAGTGAGCCGAGATCACACCACTGCACTCCAGCCTGGGTGACAGAGCGAGACTCCATCTCAAAAAAAAAAAAAAAAGAGGGCCAGGCGTGGTTGCTCATGCTTATGCCTGTAATCCCAGCACTGTGGGAGGCAGAGGAGGGCGGATTACCTGAGCTCAGGAGTTCGAGACCAGCCTGGGCAACATGGTAAAACCCCATCTCTACTAAAATACAAAAAATTAGCCGGGCATGGCAGTGTGCGCCTGTAGTCCCATCTATTCGGGAGGCTGAGGCAGGAGAATGGCGTGAACCTGGGAGGTGGAGGTTGCAGGGAGCCGAGATCACACCGGTGCACTCCAGCCTGGGTGACAGAGTGAGACTCCATCTCAAAAAAAAAAAAAAAGAAAGAAATGATAGATGAATAGTTTAGGATTGGGGTTCACAATTTGGTTTTCTGTAGAAAAAGAGAACCGGGCACTCTTCCGAGAGTCAGATGCCCTCTTCCACCCACACCCACAAAGCCAGAGCACCGCAGGTACCAGTTTTCAAGGCAACCTCCAACCATCATGTGACTCTTTGTGTTTGATCACACTGTTTGCTCCAAGCCAGGGTTGCGTCCCACCCCATGTCCTTGTCTGCGCACGGGACGCTGGAGGCACGGCCCCCTCCTCCCTGCCTAGCCTGCTGACGGGCTTTCCAGAGCTGGCTCCTTCAGGTGCAGGATACCCTCTCTGCTTAGTCTGGGAAAAGGCCCCGTTGGCAGGATGCCCACCACCAGGCCACACTGCCTGAATCTATTGGCAGAGCTCTGGTTTTGTGGCCAAGGTGGGTAGTGGAAGACCATAGCCTGTGTCCCTTACACATCTCAGAAAGCAACCCCATCTGTGGGCAAGAAATCTGTTAGGGAGACCAAGCAGCGGCCTGGAAACACCTTGATCTCTGCCCAGTGGCCCACATGCGGTCGCCGTTTCATCAGTTTCCAGCCTGGGTGACCTCACAGCCCCAGCCACGCCCCACAGAGCCTCAGGAAGGCACACTGACCTCAGGGCCGGCGGCTGACTTCATTTCTGTTTGGGGATGAGAGGCGGCACAGTAAACTGTCCAGGCCAGTAAACTAATGGATTCATACGAACCGTAATGAACGTGGGCTGTGTGCTGGGGAAGGCAGGCTCGCCTCCTCCCTGCAGGGGCTGCTGGGGTGAAAGCAACCCTGAAATGTTCAAAGCCTTGATGGGGAAGCACGGGGGATGGATAGATTTTAATTTCAAAGCAGCCCTCTGGTTTGCTATAAGCGGGGGACTGAATTTCTCTTTGCAGTGGCCAATGCCTTTCTTCTGTCAAGATCAGCTCGTGGCCTTCAGATCAGATGACGCAAAGCCCCATGGCTGAGCTGGAACAGGCTAGAATGCTGGGGGGGGGCCTGAAACCGGTGGGGGAGTTGTGGGAGGCCTAGAATCAGCCAGGAGGCTTGGGTCGGGGTTGGAACCGGCCAGGGTGCACGGAGGAGGCTGTGGGGGCAGGGGGAGGCCGCTGCATGGAGCCGCATAGATGCCATTGCTTGAGGAAAGGTGGGCTTTAGCTGAGGGAAGGAGTGAGGGGTGGATGGAGAATGTCTGTGTCCATCTGGACACTGGGACTGTTTGAGCCCCTGAGATTTCAGAACCGTGGGCCAGAAAATGGTCAGGGCCCTTGGTGATGGGGAAGGGCGCCTCTGGGGAACTCACTGCCCCTTGATTTGAGGGTAACAGGGATGGAAGCAGAGTCAGGGGGCTGAGGGAGGCAATAAAAATGGGTGCTTTTCAACAGTGTCTAAAAACATAAGATGTTGACCTGTCAGGGGTTGAGAATGTCGTCAGAAGACTTTGGAGGAAGCAACAGAAAATGAGACTGAGGGGCTTGGGCAGAGTCAGTGCCTTCTGTGTGATGCACGCTCATGCACAAATGCACGCACATACCCACACTCACACATCCGTGCACACACGGGTACACACACATACACGTGCACCCACATGCATGCTCACACACATGCACCCACAGTCACACATCCATGCATGCATGTGTACACAAACACACCCACACATACACATGCACCCACACGTGTACACAGATGCACCTCCACCCCCATACATGCACATGGACACACACATGCACCCACACGCACACAAGCATCCATGCTCACATGGGTACACACTCACACATCCATGCATGCACGTGTAAACACACACACCCCCACACATACACGTGCACCCACACATGCACACAGACGCACCTCCACCCCCACACACGCACACACACACATGCACCCACACATGGATACACGCACACTCACACATGTACCCACACCTGTGTGTACACACACACATGCATGCTCACACACATGCACCCAGGCACACACAAATCCACATTCACCCATACAGTCACACACATGCATACACACACATACAAACACATGCATTCACACAGATGCATACACACACACACTTACAAACTACACATGTGCTTATACATGCTCACATGCATGTATATGCACACACATACCCTCACCTTATGCACACATGTACCCACACACGTACCCACACATATACAAGCATGCACACATATATATATATACACATGCTCACACGCATACCCACACTCACATGTGTGCACATATGCTCACACACACGTGCACACACATGCTCACACACACACTTACTGTTGCTCAGGCTTAGCTGCTTTGGGCTTAAGAAGCAAACTGCACCTTCCAAAAAATGAGTGTGGTGTTCAGTTAAACAACCAAATAATTCTTTAGCACTGAATATGTGGACTTTAGAAATTCAAACTATAAGGTGATAATAACGTTGTCCTGCTACTTTTTAATCTAACAAACATATCAGAACTGACACTCAGTTCAAATGAAGAAAGTAGGAATTGGGCGTGCCGTGTTATTTTTTCAAAGATTCTCCTATTGCTCCAAATTGTTGGGGATTATCTTAAAGTCTTTGAATAGCTTCAGTTATGGAAGATTTTACCCTCTGAGAATAGAACTGAATTTTAGACAAACCATGAGTCCATTGTAGCTAGACTGGCATGCAAGTTGGGATTAAACAGAGTAAAACGTCTTGTTTAAAAAAATAAGAAAGGCCGGCTTGGGCAACATAGTGAGACCTCCTCTATGAAAAGTTAGCTGGGCATGGTGGTGTGCGCCTGTGGTTCCAGCCGCTCAGGAGGCCGAGGCAGGAGGATGGAGGTCAAGACTGCAGTGGACTGTGGTTGCGCCACTGTACTCCAGCCTGGGTGACACAGCAAGACCCCGTCTCAAAAAAAGAAAACAGAAAAAAGAAAAAAAAAGTTGAGCAAGGAGACTAATTTGTGACATGCAGCTGAACATGGTTTTTAAGACCAGTTTTGAAAGAGGAATTCCAACATTATTCTTAACATTTCAGAAGCCTGGGCATAAGGGTGACCTCCAGGGTGCCGTGTTATAACAGGACTGCTCCTTTCAACAGCTATGACCTTATACCATGTCTTGGGGTGTTGCCTGCCGTGTGACAGTCCAATATTATACCTACTACTTAAGTTTTCTTTAGATTAAAAAATGTGCTTCATATTTTATGCCATTTCTACAAATGTATAGTAAAACATAACCAAGAGAGCTTATTAAATAATTTCATCCAAAGCAGTTCTACCAGTGCTTCACATTTATTTTTTATTTATTTATTTATTTTTGAGACTGAGTCTCACTCTCTTGCCCAGGCTGGAGTGCAGTGGCGCAATCTCAGCTCACTGCAACCTCCCCCTCCTGGGTTCAAGCGATTCTCCTGCCTCAGCCTCCTAAGTAGCTGGGATTACAGGTGCCAGCCACCACACCCGACTAATTTTTGTATTTTTAGTAGACACGGGCTTTTGCCATGTTGGCCGGGCTGGTCTCGAAATCCTGACCTCAGGTCATCCACCTACCTTGGCCTCCCAAAGTGCTGGCATTGCGGGCATGAGCTACTGCGCCTGGTCCACATTTAATTTTTTGCAAAAAGATGACAGCTGCTAACAGAGATGAATTCTCATGAGTGATATCATTGAGCTTCGTAGGCCACATGAGTGTGTGCCGGGACCAGTGTGGCAGCAAGCGGGGCGTTCTGCTCTCGGCATGGAGTGATTGGGGAAAATCTAGGCAGCTTCCTGCCTCACGCTGTTTAAAACCTTTATAATGTGCTTTATTTCATTTATTTGAAATGACTGCCTGTCGTGTCAGATATATTCATAGTCAAGCTTGAGTATAAAAGGCATATTCCAAAGTTAAATATAAGCTGCTGCATAGATTTTTTTGTAAAATGATCTCACCAAGAATGTTTATCCATAAAGTTTAGCGAATTTGCAAGTGTGTTTTTCAACAGCATTTCTCTTTAGCTTTAATAAACATTGGTTTCTTCATGGTACCACTCATTTTGAATTCAGTGGTCTCCAGTTCTCCCTGCTAAATGAGGCCCACTTTCTAAAACCAAAGTGATAATTTTATAAAAATGAAATGAGATATTTGTTACCACAGAAGTCCTCATTTACGAGAGTACATCCCCATAGAACTAGTCCACGGTGAGCCTCAGGGGCATGCAAGCTGTTTAACGATGCCCCCAGCCTAGAAAGGCCCAGGCTTGGGTGTTCATGCTCCGCTGTTGCCTTCTTGAAATTCATAATCATCTTTGAACAAGGGGTCCCGCAGTGTGTGGTGGCTCACGCCTGTAATCCCAACACTCTGGGAGGCTGAAGCGGGTGGATCACCTGAGGTCGGGAGTTTGAGACCAGCCTGACCAACATGGTGAAACCCCATCTCTACTAAAAATACAGAAATTAACCAGGCGTGGTTGGTGGGTGCCTGTAATCCCAGCTACTCAGGAGGCTGAGGCAGGAGAATCACTCAAACCTGGGAGGTGGAGGTTGCAGTGAGTCGAGATCACGCCACTGCACTCCAGCCTGGGCAACAGAGCGAGACTCCGTCTCAAAAAAGAAAAACCAAGGGGTCCCACATTTGCATTTTTGCTCTGGGTCCTGTAAATTACGTAGCCAGGCCTGCATTTGTCCTGGGAGATGCTCTACCAAAAAACAATAAATAACACCAAGCATTCTGTAATCAAACACTGTAGGAACCCCTGCTTATCCTAGCCTCATTCTCATTCTGGAAGACTGCACATTTATCATGTTAAAGACTCAGCTAGGGAGGCCCAACTTCATTCAACTCAGTGTTTCTTATTTTTTTAAAACAGAACTCATTTTTTAAAAAAATTATTGGCTGGGCGTGGTGGCTCACGCCTGTAATCCCAGCACTTTGGGAGGCTGAGGTGGGCGGATCACGAGGTCAGGAGATCGAGACCATCCTGGCTAACACGGTGAAACCCCGTCTCTACTAAAAATACAAAAAAAAATGAGCTGGGCATGGTGGCGGGCGCCTGTAGTCCCAGCTACTGGGGAGGCTGAGGCAGGAGAATGGCATGAACCCGGGAGGCGGAGCTTGCTGTGAGCCAAGATCACGCCACTGCACTCCAGCCTGGGCAACAGAGCGAGACTCCATCTCAAAAAAAAAAAAAAATTATTTAACACCTTTATTTCTGCTGAATGTACTTTAGAAAGATTGAGTGATTTGAATAAAGTGACGGTGGCCTAAGAGTCTATTTTCTGGAATTGAGGGAATACTGCCATCGATCCTTGAAAAATATTTATTTAGTTCCTCCTAGAGGCCGGGCACAGTGGCTCACGCATGTAATCCTGGCCTGCACTTTGGAAGGCTGAGGTGGACAGATTGCCTGAGCTCAGGAGTTCAAGACCAGCCTGGGTAACAAGGTGAAACCCGTCTCTACTAAAATACAAAAAATTAGCTGGGCGTGGTGATGTGTGCTTGTAATCCCAGCTACTCGGGAGGCTGAGGCAGGAGAATTGCTTGAACTCAGGAGGCGGAGGCAGAGGTTGCAATGAGCTGGGATTGCACCACTGCACTCCAGCCTGGGCAACAGAGCAAGACTCTGTCTCAAAAAAAAAAAAAAATTATCTAGCCCCTCCTAGAAATGTTAATTCCTTAAATCTGAGCTTCAGCTTTCTGTGAAGCAGAATTATCTCCAAACTTTAACAAACAATGGTCAGAACTGTTTTTAAGGTCTTGGAGAGAGATCATTTTCAGTCTTTATTAATCGGACTTGAGATTATTTAGAAACTTGGCTCTGAATATTGTATTCAGAATGTTTTCACTCATTTGTGAGTAATTTTTTAAATATCCCCTTTCCTCAGATGCAGAATCAGGGCTTTTTGTCCAGCATTATGTTGCAAGTCCTGGTTCTGTTGAAACATTCCATACCATCTGTGTGATGGTTATCGGCACCTCCACCGGTGCCCTGAAGACAGTTTTGTGCTGTGAGTCCAGAAACAGGAAACACTTCAGGCTGTGTGTCAGAAGCATTGTCAGTGGTTGTGTTTTGCCCACTGGCAGGGGGCATTCTTTAAATCCTGGGATGCTTCTGCGCTTTGGGCTCCACTGTTCCAGCAGTGATTAGAAATAACGCTGTAGGCCGGGCGCGGTGGCTCACCCCTGTAATCCCAGCACTTTGGGAGGCTGAGGTGGGCAGATTACCTGAGGTCAGGAGTGCGACACCAGCCTGACCAACATGGTGTAACCCCGTCTCTACTAAAAATACAAAATTAGCTGGGCGTGGTGGCGCATGCCTGTAATCCCAGCTACTCAGAAGGCTGAGGCGGGAGAATCGCTTGAACCTGGGAGGCCGAGGTTGCAGTGAGCCGAGATTGTGCCATTGCACTCCAGCCTGGGCAACAAGAGCAAAACTCTGTCTCAAAAAAAAAAGAAATAACACCTTAGCCCACTGCATTATTGACCTGTGTCTGCATGAGCTGTGGACCACATTATAATCAGAGAGATCTCTCAGATGTTGTCACTTTCCTGCTCTACCCGCAGATGTAAATTTCAGCCAACAGCAGTGTTTGTGCTCATTTTCCCCGGCTCTCCCACACATGTAATCCCTTCTGAGCATGTTGGCTTCAAATAATATGGCCAGCCACCTCTTCCACCACGAGATCTTCAGGAAATGGCAGGCCACTGGGTTTACATGCAGATGGCATGGGAGCACACAAGGCACGGCTGTGGGGAGTTGGCACTTGCTCCAGAATATGGAGCACCGAGTGAAGGTTTCAGTTTCCTGCACTGAGAGAAACAAGGGCATTCCGAGGCTTTTCCACTTTATCCCTAAAGAGTTTCACAACGCTTGTTTGCCGATTTCTACATAGATGCCACCTTTCTGAGTTGTATGTATTTACATGCCAAATGTATTCATTGAGCAGCGTTAAATAATGGTGTTCACCCCTAAAGTGCATATACTGGTAAAATTAAGAATGATCGTAATTAAGCCTCTTGCAATAGTCATTAGTTCAGAGAATATTTAAGAATATTAAAGGTGCTTTGCTAATGTCCTCGTTAGTTTTGTTTTGACAAAATCAGTACTTCAGTTTCTTGTTTCTTTTTTTTTTGAGACGGAGTCTTACTCTCGCTCTGTCGCCCAGACTGGAGACTGGAGTGCAGTGGCACGATCTTGGCTCACTGCAACGTCCACCTCCCAGGTTCAAGCGATTCTCCTGCCTCAGCCTCCCGAGTAGCTGGGGTTACAGGCACACACTATGCCTGGCTAATTTTTTTTTTTTTTTTGAGACGGAGTCTCGCTCTGTCACCCAGGCTGGAGTGCAGTGGCGCAATGTCGGCTCACTGCAAGCTCTGCCTCCTGGGTTCACGCCATTCTCCTGCCTCAGCCTCCCGAGTAGCTGGGACTACAGGCGCCCGCCACCACACCCAGCTAATTTTTTTGTATTTTTAGTAGAGACGGGGTTTCACCATGCTGGCCAGGCTGGTCTCGAACTCTTGACCTCAGGTAAACCACCCACCTCAGCCTCCCAAAGTTCTGGGATTACAGGCGTGAGCCACCATGCCCAGCCCAGTACTTCAGTTTCTTAGCGATGAAATCCACCCAATGTCAGGCGATGACTATTATTATTTTACTGATTTATACTGTTTGTTCTCTATTAATGTCTTATTTTCCCCAACCGATTTTGAAGTTGAGTAAGGACTATGTTCCGCGGGTATCTTGAGTCCTCTGAGGCACTGAGCTTGGTGATTTGGACGCAGGAGCTGCTCATTAGTGAGCTGATAGCTGGGAGCATAGCGCATCCCACATCACCTGACTTACCTTGGTGTCCTCCTTTGTAGCCTTTTGTCATACATGATATGGAGACACTGTGTATGGCTGAGAAGACGCTGGTGGCCAAGCTGGTGGCCAATGGCATCCAGAACAAGGAGGCGGAGGTCCGCATCTTTCACTGCTGCCAGTGCACGTCAGTGGAGACCGTCACGGAGCTCACGGAATTCGCCAAGGCCATCCCAGGCTTCGCAAACTTGGACCTGAACGATCAAGTGACATTGCTAAAATACGGAGTTTATGAGGCCATATTCGCCATGCTGTCTTCTGTGATGAACAAAGACGGGATGCTGGTAGCGTATGGAAATGGGTTTATAACTCGTGAATTCCTAAAAAGCCTAAGGAAACCGTTCTGTGATATCATGGAACCCAAGTTTGATTTTGCCATGAAGTTCAATGCACTGGAACTGGATGACAGTGATATCTCCCTTTTTGTGGCTGCTATCATTTGCTGTGGAGGTGAGTGGTTGATTTAATCTGCTGGTATCATGTCACTGACAGGCTCCTGTCTTGAAAAATTTGACAATGGGAAATCCAGTACCAGCCTGAGCTGTTCCAGTGGAGGGGACACTCACATGGTGGGAAGACGTCTGACCCCCAGTCACTGCTGAGAATTCAGTGGGAATTATAACAATATTGTATAATATTATAGTATATATTGTTATTATCTATAAATACATATTTAATATTATGTAAATGTATGACATTTTAATCATAATATTAGCCAGGTGTGGGGGTGCACACCTTTAGTCCCAGCTACTTACTCAGTAGACTGAGGCAAAAGGATCTCTTGAGCCCAGGAGTTCAGGTTGCAATGAGTTATGAATGCACCACTGCACTCTAGCCTGGGCAACAGAACAAGACCTATTTCTTTAAAAAAAAATTATATATTTTGCACAAATATATATATAGAGAAAAAGAGGTCGGACATGGGCCTGTAATCCCAGCCCTTTGGGAGGCTGAGGTGGGTGGATCACTTGAGCCCAGGAGGTTGAGACCAGCCTGGGCAACATGGCAAGACCCCGTCTCTACAAAAAAAAAAATAGAAAAAATTAGTCAAGTATGGTGGCATGTACCTGTAGTCCCAGCTACTTGAGAGGCTGAGGTGGGAGGATCACTTAAGCCCAGGAGACAAAGGTTGCAGTGAGCCAAGGTCACGCCACCACACTCCAGCCTGGGCGACGAAGAATGACCCTGTCTCAAAAAAAAAAAAAAAAAAAATTATACACACACACACACACACACATTTCGTTTATATTATATCTAATATTATAAACAGATATAATTTATATATTATGATATTCCTGTATATATTATATAATGATGTTGTATTCATATTATAGACAATATTGTATGAAGTGCTATACAGATGTCAGTATAGTTGCTGTCACAGTTGGTTATGTTGATGAAAAGTATATTTCCTAATGCAAAATATAATATCAGTCAGCAGCCAAGTGGCAGTGACTGCAAGGTTTGCTTTGCCCGAGGAAGCAGATCCCAGGGAAGGCCGATCTGGTCCTCTCTGTGGAAGCTGGCTCTGCAGCCTCCACATTTTTGGCTCGGTGTCACGTTCCTTTAAATAGCCCCATCTCAGGTCTAGGAAGGTCATCCACCTACTGCAAACTCGGCTGACCTTACCCAGGGTTGGTGGAGACAGATGGGGTCTCCCACACTGCCTGCAGCCATACTGCGCCTGGGGGATTGACTCACTGTCAGCATGGAGCTGACTCAGCCCTACCAGCCGTGCCCGTTACTGTGTGGCTGGGCACAAGTCAGATGAAGGAAGTCCTTGCGCTCTGGCATAAAGTGTACAAAGACAAAGCAGTTATGCATAATTTGTCCTTTAGTATGGTCAGGATGTAGCATTGTGGGTAAAATGCAGTTGCAGAACTATTTATATGTAGCATGATCACAGTTTTATAAAGGAAATTATAATCCTATATCAATCCTATGTATATAGAAAAATGTCCAGTGAGATATATGTTAAACCTATTATGGTGGGATTAAAATTATGAGGGGGGATTTCTATTTTTCAAAAGATTCCTCCTTTTTTTTTTTTTTGAGACAGAGTCTCCGTCTGTCACCCTGGCTGGAGTGCAGTGGCACGATCTCAGGTCACTGCAACTTCCGCCTCCTGGGTTCAAGTGATTCGCCTGCCTCAGCCTCCTGAGTAGCTGAGATTACAGGAACATGCCAGCACACCTGGCTAATTTTTGTATTTTTAGTAAAGATGGGGTTTCACCATATTGGCCAGGCTGGTCTCAAACTCCTGACCCCGGGTGACCCACCCACCTCGGCCTCCCAAAGTGCTGGGATTACAGGCATGAGCCACTGCACCCGGCAATAATTCCTCTCTTTAGAGACTTAATAGTTATAGCCCCAGCCACTCTGGAGGCCGAGGCAGGAGGATTGCTTGAGCCTAGGAGTTCCAGTCCAGCCTAAGCAACAGAGCAAGACCCCATCACTAAAACAATACAAAAACAAGAATTTTAGAAATAAAAACTTAATAATTACATTTACAACCAAAAACAATGAAGATGTTTAAATCCTCATCACTAGCAACCCTGTTAAGAATCATAGTAATGACTGGGTCTGTAAGGGAGCACCGCCTGCTGAACATGGCTCAGGGCAGTATTTTCTGGACCAAGAATCAGGTCTCATGCTTTGAGACTGTCCCAGGATGTCTAGTGCCAGCTACCCCAGGCAGGTCATCTGGTGTGAATGTTGACTCTTCCTGCACCAAGTCTCAGACCTGCCCCACCCTCCTCCCCACTCTGGGTCTCCTGATCTTGGCTCACTGCAATCTCCGTCTCCCAGGTTCAAGCGATTCTCCCACCTCAGCCTCCCGAGTATCTGGGATTACAGGCGTGAGCCACCGTGCCTGGCCTACAAAACCTAGTTCTAACACAATCACTCCTTAAATATGGTGGAACACTTGAAGCTTGATATCTAGTTTGGATTCAAAAGCTTCATTTCCCATATTATGCAAAACTGGTGGTTGTGATCTCCAGAATGTACTGTTCCTCCTACTAGCTCTAATTTTTCTCCCTGACAGGTGGTCATCAGGTAAATCACAAGTGAAAAGGCCGCACCATAAGGTGTACTTAGGGCACTATTGCCGCCTAGTAGTATGAATATTTAGGAAAGAGTACTGGTCCTGTCTGTCCCTACTTCACCTATTGACTTTGGAAAAACCTATGTCTATCTTCCAGTCAAGTTGACAATATCTAAAGGCAGCTCAGTTTTTTTCTAAGAAAGGCCACATAAAATAGGCATGTTTGGTTCCTGAAACTGATAAGCAGTTCTTGGGTGATTATCACACTCAAACCTCTCTCTCTTCTTTCGAGACTAGATCGTCCTGGCCTTCTAAACGTAGGACACATTGAAAAAATGCAGGAGGGTATTGTACATGTGCTCAGACTCCACCTGCAGAGCAACCACCCGGACGATATCTTTCTCTTCCCAAAACTTCTTCAAAAAATGGCAGACCTCCGGCAGCTGGTGACGGAGCATGCGCAGCTGGTGCAGATCATCAAGAAGACGGAGTCGGATGCTGCGCTGCACCCGCTACTGCAGGAGATCTACAGGGACATGTACTGAGTTCCTTCAGATCAGCCACACCTTTTCCAGGAGTTCTGAAGCTGACAGCACTACAAAGGAGACGGGGGAGCAGCACGATTTTGCACAAATATCCACCACTTTAACCTTAGAGCTTGGACAGTCTGAGCTGTAGGTAACCGGCATATTATTCCATATCTTTGTTTTAACCAGTACTTCTAAGAGCATAGAACTCAAATGCTGGGGGTAGGTGGCTAATCTCAGGACTGGGAAGATTACGGCGAATTATGCTCAATGGTCTGATTTTAACTCACCCGATGTTAATCAATGCACATTGCTTTAGATCACATTCGTGATTTACCATTTAATTAACTGGTAACCTCAAAATTCGTGGCCTGTCTTCCCATTCACCCCGCTTTTGACTATTGTGCTCCTTTATAATTCTGAAAACTAATCAGCACTTTTTAACAATGTTTATAATCCTATAAGTCTAGATGTATCCAAAGGTGAAGTATGTAAAAAGCAGCAAAATATTTATTTCAAAGACTTCACTTCTGTTTCCTGAATCTAAAGAAAGACAACATGCTGCTTTTTAATCATAGGATGGAGAATTTTAAAGAACTGTTTGGGCCAGGCACAGTCGCTCATACTTGTAATCCCAGCACTTTGGGAGGCCGAGGCGGGTGGATCACAAGGTCAGCAGATCGAGACCATCCTGGCCAACATGGTGAAACCCTGTCTCTACTAAAAATACAAAAATTAGCCGGGTGTGGTGGCACATGCCTGTAATCCCAGCTACTCGGGAAGCTGAGGCAGGAGAATTGCTTGAACCAGGGAGTTGGAGGTTGCAGTGAGCTAAGACTGCACCACTGCACTCCAGCCTGGTGACAGAACGAGACTCTGTCTTAAAAACAAACAAACAAAAAAAAAATCTGTTAGATAAGCTATCAAAATGCAGCTGTTGTTTTGTTTTTGGCTCACTGTTTTCGTGGTTGTAACTAATATGTGGAAAGGCCCATTTCCAGGTTTGCGTAGAAGAGCCCAGAAAACAGAGTCTCAAGACCCCCGCTCTGGACTGTCATAAGCTAGCACCCGTGGTAAGCGGGACGAGACAAGCTCCCGAAGCCCGCCAGCTTCCTGCTCCACTCAGCTCCGTCCAGTCAACCTGAACCCACCCAGTCCAGCTGTCTGTGGGAATGGTGGTGTTCTTAGGGACAGACTGACACCTTACTTGTCAGTGTTCCTCCGGGCCCCATTTGGCAGCTCCCGTATCTTTTGTTATGTTGCTTTTAAAGATATGATGTTTTATTGTTTTAACTCTTGGTGACAGTAGATGCTCTCTGGAGCGCAGACGAGGCACATGTGTCTTCATAGCCTGGGCTGGGTGGGAGCCAGTCACCCTGCGGATCGAGAGAGGGGGTAGAGTCTTCTTCAAATGGCAGTTTTACTTCAAATGGCAGATTTCACAAGAGTTGGTTATTTTTTACAATGGTTTAGGTTGTTAAGTCTCCTTTGTATGTAAGGTAGTTTTTTCAACATCTAAAATTTTTGTTTTAGCCTTCAAAACCAACTTACCAACCTCAGTCCAGCTGGGAAGGCAGCGTTGATTATGGTAGTTTGTCAAGAATATATGGACCTGGAAACACTTTCTCTCTCTGTCCACCTGGTAGATAAATTGTCCTGTTGAGAATTTTTAGATCTGGACTGGAACTGCCAGGACCACCGCCTCCAGGGAGTCGCTGGGCACCTGGAGGTATCGTCGATGCCTCTCCCCCATCTTTAGAAAATTTGGCTCTTCTGAGGTCATTATTATTTTAAGAATGATTAGGATTGATAAGGGTCCCATGACCAGCATTATGAAAATGCGAGAGTGGGAAGGACACAGTGTGAGACTTCCACTAGAAAAAAGTGAAAGTTAGGGTTAGGACATCCTTTTTTAAAAATTACAAATTTAGTCCGTTTTGGTTTTTGTAATCAGGCTAGGCACAGTGGCTCACACATGGAATCCCAGCACTTTGGGAGGCCGAGGTGGGAGGATCACTTGAGCCCAGGAGTTCGAGACCAGCCTAGGCAACATAGCAAGACCCTGTCTGTACACAAAATTTAAAAATTAGTTCATCGGGGTGGCACACATCAGTAGTCCCAGCTACTCTGCAGGCTGAGGTGGGAGGATTGCTTGAACCCAGGAGGTCGAGGCTGCAGTGAGCTGTGATCTCACCACTGCATTCCAGCCTGGGTGACAGAGTTAGATTCCACCCTCTCCCACCCCGGCAAAAAAAAAAAAAAAAGATGCAATCAAAGGGGCTGTTGGCCAGCAATGGCAGCAGCAGCGGCGGGCAGTCTGCCCAAGTGTCTTAGGAACCAAAAGCAAATAAAAGTGTTTCCATATATGCCACCAGCCAAGTGGCCATCCTAATTCAGAAAGAAGCTAGCCTTTGAGTGTCTGTCATGGTGCATCCGTTTCAGTATTATTTCCTAAAATGAGAAGCCCCTGTGTCAACAAGATCCAGGGGCTGGAGCCCAATGCCAAGCCTGTGTTGTCCCCAGCGACCCTGCAGCTGCTCGCTCTGATGTACCCTGTGCCATTCAAGGAGATGTGGTCCAGGAAAGTGAGCCTCATGGTTTTCAGAGAAGTCATTGTTCTGTTTACATTTTCATAAAACCTGTTTAAAATAGCTCCCCGTCTCAGGCTTTCAGCAGTAACAGTGAGCTGACTGGCAAGTTCGATGTTAGCTCCCGGGACACTCAGCAGCGATGGTGAGCATTTTGGTTTCCTTAAGGCCCAGCAAGACTTCCAGGGACATCTCTGGTGAAGCCAGAATGGAGACACCCGTGACCTCAGGCTGAAAGTCACTCGACATTGGTCTCTTGTGTTGATAGGGAAGGAAATCAGGCATTCCTATTTCTTTAAATAACAAAACCACTAATTGCCACTCAATGCTGGAATATTTTGGGTCACCTAATCATAGATTTCTCAGGGCATCAATACTCAAATATAGGCTGATTATGCCCCAGTTCAAATGGGAACTATTAACAGAGTGCATTTCTTGCTTGCTGGGTTTCAACAGACATCAGCCAAAAGAACAAAAGAGATGTCAGGACAGATTCCAGGAGTGTCGGAGCACATGTGTGGCACCCGCTCCCTCTGGCAGCGAATGTAGGAAGTCGCCAAATTTACCCACTCTTCAACAAGTCATTGTTTAAACACGGTTTTTCATTTTCTCAACTTTTAATAGCAAAAAGTGCCAAAGTCCTCAGAGACCTAACAGCCTTGGTCTACCGTGCTGACCAGGGTGAAGGCACGGCGAGGGACTCCTCCCAGACGTGCCTCTTGTGTGCCAGCTGGCTGTGGCTCGGGAGCAGACGCAGGCCTCTCCATTGTCCAGGGGAGCCTGGCGGCGCATCCCTCCTCTCCCACCTCCTGGCACTTCCAGCTGGGTGTCCCACATGTTGGATTCCGTCCCCACCACACTTCCAGAGACCGGAGAACTGTGCAGGGCCTAAGGCCGTTTGGATGAATTGTCAAAACAAGATGCTTCCAGTTACAGCGGCAGGAGCGGGACTGGGAGCACGGGCTGACGGCTGCTGGTGCCTTTCTTCCCACCTCGCTTGCCTGTTTCCGCTTGACCCTTCCTCCAGCTCCGATGAGAAGAGTATAAAGCATCTTCCTAACGGGTGTGTTTGCTATACGAACATAATGGACGTGAAGTGGGGCAGAAACCCAGAACTCAGCATTCAAGGATGCCCAGGAGAGCTGTCCCTGTTTTAAAGAGCTGTGTTTTGTTTTGTTTCGCATTTAGAGAGCAGACAAGGCACCCTTCTGCTGCGCTGATACGTTTCTTACACTGGGCCATTTTAGACCCCCAGGGAAACAGCCTTCCTGGAGCGTTGTCTGGAGGTTCCAGGGACAGGGCAGCCTCCCAGAGCCGAGCAAGAGCTCAAGGTACAAATGAGAGATTTGCTATACCGTGAGAAGTCAACAACTTAGCCACCACTTCCCCGCAATGGACCATGTAACAAATACCTCAGCAGGCCCTGCAAAAGGCCATGCTAGAGCTGAGGCGCACAGCCTGTGGCCTCTGTAGTTAGGGCAGGTGGGATGGAGACTCCTTGAGTGCACACACCTGAGCCTGCCCACACACAGGGGAGCAGCATCTCGTATGACGTCTGGAAGGAACTTCGGTTGTGTAAAGGGAGCCTTGAAGATACGTGCAAAAGGTGCTACCCCAATTTGGTGAAACTGACATTGGGCACGTCTTGGGCTTAGGAGAAGCGGCCGATGGTCCCGGCCTGCAGTGACAAACCCCCCTCCCCGCACCGCCCCCAGCACCCCCTCTCCTCTTCACCTCTTCCTGCTGGCCACGAGGAAGCCACTTCCTCAGAGAGACCCTACCAGATGCGGATGGAAACAGATGCACCAAAGCAAGCCCTGATGAAACCGCGACTTCCTAAGGTCTGTCTCCTCTGAACTTGCACCTGGGCCTCTCTGTGTTTGGTTCCAAGCACTTCCCACCTCAAACTCCCATTTTCAAACCACTGTATCTCTGCGCACATCTGCTACTTACCAGCCGCATACATGATGGAGGGTTTTTTGGTCCTGATCCAGTGGCCACACCTGTCTTTGAAATGTCTCACTGAACTCCAGTTTTAAAATAGATTCATTGCTTCAACACAGCAAGCCCAATGCACCCAGCTAAGACTGGCTTGACCGACAGCCTGGCCTTTGGTGGGGGGCTTCCTGGGGCCTGGGGAAAGCTGGCCACCTTCAACAGCTGGTACCTCTTCAACAGTGTGGCCTTTCAAAATGCAGATGCCACCAGGAGAACATGCCCACAGCTCACCACCTATGGATGCCATGGCTCTGGGCAGCTTTCAAAGCAGGTTCCTGTGGTCTCCTCAGCTGTTTGAGGGGGTAACAGCAAATCAGCCTCCATTTTAAAATGAAAACACCAGCCTCCAGATGTAGGGCCTGCTGGGTGTTGCTAGCCGCTGGTCCCCAGGCACGGTGCACTTTCTCCACCTCCTGCAGCCTCCCTGTTGTTTCTAGACTCTTGCACCTGGTGAGTGCAAGGATAGGTGACCCAGGGGCCTGCAGCCTTGTCCTCAGCTCCCATCTCCTGGACTGCCAGCCTCACCCTCTGCAGTTAGCATGGTTGGCCTGATGCAGGGATCCCGAGGGATTACTTTTTAGACCTTCTTTCACATTCAGAAAAGTAGTATAGATTCAGGAGAGGCAAGAAAATTATGCTGTCCATAGAAGTCACCCATGAAGACTGATGCCACCACCTGAAGGCTCATGATTGTTAAAAATGTCCACGGGAACCTCTCGTCCACAGGAGGTTTGTCTCAACACTTCCCATTTTTACGGCATTGGCATTGCCAAGCATGGGGAAGTATCTGCTCTTCTCATGTTAAAAGTGGCCCAGCTTTTCTTAACTCAGTCCAAGCTGACTTGTTTAGCTGCACTGGAATTTCTTACCAACCAAATATTTGCATCGAGCAAAGGGGGCTGTGTGCACCTCCCTAATGGCAGCGATGATGGCTGCTGTCATTCAAGCCCATCTTCAGACGTCACAGTCTGGAAGTGAAATGTCCACAAACATCTGTGGCAGAAAAGGCTATACGGACCACCCAGTTGTGCTGCAGCTTTACAGAGCAAGGAAGGGTTGTGGCAAATAAATGATTAACCTGCCTCGACTGTGCTGAGGGCAACAAAGGCCATCTCACCAAAGGATTATTCGATGCCATTAAATCATCCCGTGACCTTCCTGCTTCCGAGTCCATGGCCTTTGCCCAGGGCATGTACTCCCCTGAGAGGCCTTCTGCCTAGAAAGATCTATGACTGGGTTCCAAAGTTGAGGCCTAGGTTTTTGCTGGGATTTAGATATTTTCAGGCACCATTTTGACAGCATTCAGGAAAACGGTTATTGACCCCATAGACTAGGGTAAGAATAAAGGCAATAAATTTGGTCTGACTCAGAATATAGGAGATCCATATATTTCTCTGGAAACCACAGTGTACACTAAAATGTGAAATTGAAGGTTTTGTTAAAAAGAAAAAGATAATGAGCTTCATGCTTTGTTTAATTACATAATGATTTCCATTACGCTATTTCTGTGAAATGCAGCAGGTTCTTAAACGTTATTTCAGTGGCATGGGCTGGAAGCTTATCACAAAAAGCCATGTGTGTGGCCTTATCAGAACAGAAAGAGACAGGCTGGTGCCCAAGGCTGCTGCCTGCTCCACCTTTTGCCAGCTCTGGACATCTGAGGACGTCCCGGCAGATCTGGAATGGGGCCCTCAACTGACCATTTGCTTCTCAGAATTTCAGTTTGAGACATGAGAGGTATAATCAGTTACTTTTCTCCCCCCAGAGAAACCCTTTTGTGAGGGGAGAGGAGCTATGGTATGTGGTTCAGCTGAAACACATACAACTGCATCCTTTTGGAGTCCTTTGCCAACAAAAACAGACCAACAGACCAGATGGTGTCCATGTTCAATATCATGTCTTGATGGACGCAGCTGATGACCTCAAATACTTGAGTGGTCTCATGGCTGTTAGATGGATTATTTGAAAAAAAAAAAAAAAAAAGAGAGAAAAAATAATTGATTTTTACATCAGAGATAGCAAACTAAGACCTGGGGAGGGGGGTCAGCTTTTATTTTATTTTATTTTTTTTAAGTTTGCTAGTTGGGTCAAATGTGAGGAGGAGGGAGTCTACCTGCCACCTCTTCTCTTGCCCCTCTTCTGCCCACACATCCAGCATCCAAAATCCATTCATTTAATGAATTGATAAAGTGCCGTGCAAACTGGTGCACAAACAGGCCCCCAGTCCACGCAGCCTGGCTCCTAGGAAAAGTGGTGACCGGGCGTGGGGGGGCATGCCGCAGCCCTGGGACACAGTCGGGCACCTTCCCCGGACCCCCAGGCCTTGGCTGTGCCTCAAGTCAGAGAGGGTCAGCCTTCAGGCCCCGGAGACGAGTGACTGGCCGATCATTTCACAATAAAATCACTCACTTTTGGCAACTTCACTTTTTTTAAGGCACAGTCAGTTCCTTTTCTCATGTACCTCACAAAAGATGAAGACCATGTAGTACTCTTTTTGGTAAAGTTACAGTGTTCATGTTAAATATCACTTTTTTCTACATTGTGTGGTAAAAAGAACTACGTTAATAGCTATATCTTAAATACTGTGATTTGACTTTTTGAAAAATATCCTAATACAAATATTTTACTAACTTACAATCACTCATTTAATAAGAAACATTTGGATTCTTTTGAAATCAGTGTTAATTGACTCATATTCTTAAAAGCCTGGCTCTTGACCCTATTGGAAACACAAAGGAAGCTGAAATCAAACATCTAAAATACACTGCGTACACGTGTGCGTGCACACACACACACACACACACACACACACAGCTCTTCATTTCTCCTGAGCCATGCAGAATTTACTTTCAATGTGGAAATCTGTTCCCTTTACCACACTGTATATGCACAGAGCACAAGAGAGGCTATCTCTAGTCACTTCCACCAGCGAGGCCTTAGACTCCGTATTAGAGGCCACCGATTTCATACAACAGTGTTTCGCTAAAGACCCTTCACTATTCTTGTTTAGTAAATAGCTGTCTGCTCTTCAGGGAACTGTTACCTATGGGTTATTACCAAAGAACGCTGGCAATTGGAAATGTCCTGATGGAAATTCTTTGCACGTGCCGGTTCTCTGGCATCCTCCAGGTGGCCCAACCCAAAGCAGAAAGCAGAAACCACAGACCCCGTGAGTCTCCCCATACCTTGTTTCCAATAACTTGGCAAAACTTCTTGGTGCATATTGGTTACACCCTCTGGGATTCATAATGCCATTAGGCTAAAACCCTAAGAGAGAGGGTTGACAGAAACACACGCGAGAATGAGGCAGATCCCAGAGCAAGGACTGGGCCCAGACTCTCCACATGTGCTCTACTAGTGAGTGCCTTATACTCTCAGTATTTTGGGGCTTACAGCTTCTTATTTGTGCTAAAAAGGTGCAGTTCCAAAGTAGGAACTGCCACACAGGCCCCAGCATCCTCTCTCCAACTTCATACCTCTCTCCTGGTGGGGGGAGCGGGCATCCAGGACCTCCGGAATCAAGGATGTGCAGAGAAGAGCGAAAGTAATTTTTCTAGTCACATGAACTGATTGGTTCCAGGCAATTAGAAAATGGCTATAAAATAACCTTAATTTTAAAAAAAAATCTTGGGTCTTCGTTTTCCTATTAGGAGACTGAACTGACCACATGTATTGATTTATATCCTGAATATATGGGAACTTCTGTGTTTGGGATGTCCTACTGTAAGACTGATGAATGTACAGAGTTAATTTCAGGGTACAGTTTTGCCTTAATGGTTTTAAAAAATAAACTATTTTTTAAAATTTTTTGGTGAGTTTTGAGTGATGCTGCGAGATGGACTGTTTGGTCTAAAAGAACCAAGTCCCCAGCTGTGGGGTCCGCCCTCCGCCAGAACAGTCCCTGCGCCCCTCATGGAGGCTGTCTCCACCTGCACAGTCCCTTTTGTGTCCTTCAACATACAGAATGGATCAAGGACAATCTGGCTCCGGAATACGACATCCTTTCGTCTGAAGTCACATACAACGGGAACTTTTAAAGCAGTGAGCATCTTAAAGTCCATCAGTGCACAAGTCAGTAAAAACTCTTTATTCATTCCTTCATGTGACAGTTGGCCTTGAGTAGTTACAAAGACAGAGCAGTTCCTGCCTCTCAGAATTCTAAGCAGACATTCCAGAGCTCACAGATCAGTGTCCCACCAGCTGCTACCCTGGAAGCTTCAGGGAGATGGGGAGCCTGGAGTAGGGGGGTGCTGCAGGAACCCCCGGCAGGCAGTGGGGCCAGGCTTCACAGGCACCCAGGGCTGAGTGCGAGATGGCAGGGGGCAAGCAGGCAAGCAGTGGGATGGTCTTGAGGTGTGGGGTGAGGGCAGGAAGCCCACGGTATTCCTGACTTGGAGTCGAGGGAGACAGAACGGAGGGGCCCGAGCTGAAGACAGAGTCTGAGGGAACTGGAGAGGCTAGAAGCCAGCACTCAGCTTCCCAGGAGACCCCAACTATTGCCGGGCCAAGTGTCCAGGGAGAACGTCGGGTATCCAAATGTTTCAGTGGAAGATTCCTTTTCCAAACATGAGCTGGTTCTTTGGGTTTTTAATTATAAACATAATACATGGTCAAGGTTAAAAACATTTTCCAAGCACCACATAAGGATATGAAATAAAAATTCTATCCCCCTCTAGACCTTCCAGACTGGGTCCAGAAGGAGCTGCTGTCAGTGATTTTCCTTACAGAGAGACCATTGCAGCCACCTACAGTGCACCATGGCCCCGACACAGTGTGGCATCTCCCCCCACACGCACCTGCACGCAGCCTCTTAGGAGCTGCCCTGCTGAAGGAGGTCATCCCTCTCAGTCACATCTGAGCAGCACTCACTCAGGCCTGGGCCCTGAGGGGCATGTGGGGGGACCTGGCCGGGTTCCTGGCTGTGTCTTGTCTGGCATCTGCCTTTGGACTACCCTCTTGCTACAGCTCCCTGGGCCTGTGGCTGCTCCAAGCTGGACTCCAGCTCCCCTGGGCTGCAGTGCTGCTCCCAGTGGTCCAGAAACAAGGCCAGGCATGGCGGCTCCCAGCTCAGCAGCATCCCTGGCGCAGGCTGGCCCAGGAGCTCTGTGCAGGGTGCCGCCCGATGACCTAGCCCCAGTTGCACTCACGTCCGAGAACCGGGCTGGCTGGGGGTCCTCTTTGATGGAGCTTTCCTTTTCTCCAAGTCTTGCCGAATTTCCTGAGGAAAAGCATTGATGTTCTCCCGGACACAAGGGAGGCAGAATCTCTTGGAGTAGAATAAACTGCATTCCTTAAAGAAGTGGACAAGGATGGAGGCTTGAGTATCCTGGGAACATGGTGCAGCTCCTCCCAGGGGCCAGCCCTTCCCACACTTGGGGGGCTGGGCTGGGGCCCCAGCATGCACAGTGTGGGCAGGTGGCCAGAGCTAGACCAGCAAGAGGGAGAGCCAGGCCTGAGGGCCTGGCAGGGTGTCCAGGAGAAAAGCAATGCAGGCCTGGGCTACCCTGGGTGGGAACAGCTGGGATGGGACAGAAAGACTCTGGGGCCTGCTCTGCTCCATCACGGGGCAGTGACAACAATGGAAAGCTGGAGCACAGGCCATGCCCCGAAAATCCCAGAGTCCTCCCGTCCCAGCTATCGCAGCACGAACAGTGGCCACCTGGTGCTGGGAGCGGCAGGGGACAGGAAGGACAGCCCCACAGACCAAAGACGCCATGGACGAGCCAGCTAGTCTGGGCAGGAGGCCAGAACCGTGCAGCCATGTCCGCTCTCCTCTCTCTTACACACTAGAACTCCCGAGATTCATCACGGTGCACAGCACGTGGCTAAGGATGACATTCCCCAGCCCCCTCTGTAACTGGGCATCGCCATGTGACTCAGGCTGGTTAGGGGCGTCAGCAACTGTGTGTGCCACCTCCTGGTCATGCCCTTTGAAGGCATGGACTGTGCTCTCACGTCCCTTCCCGCTGCCTGGGATGCAAATATGATGGTGGGAGCTCCACAGCCACAAGGGACCCAAATAGAGACTCTGCTGAAGACAACAGGGGTGCCCTTCCAGCCAAGGCCACCAGTTCTGGACTCTTACATAGGAGAAAGTAAGTAAATAACTATTTGCTTTACTTAGGCCACTCTTATTTTTGGTGTCTGTCTGTTCTTAAAGCTTAGTGTGCTCGCAAACATAAGGCTGCCCTCCTGCAGTTCTTAGAAAAGACCCTTCGCCATGGAGATCCGCTCACTAACAACCTACTGTTTAAACAAAGAAAGCTGCAGACTTGTGGTACCTGCGTGCGCCCCCCACCCCCGCCACCCCGCTGCTCACGAAGAGCAGCCCAAGGCCAAGGTGTTGCATTCAAGACCTCCACCTCCCCACCTGGCCCACCCACCTTTGCAGTCTTCCTTTCCCAGCTTCTCCTGGACCACCAGCTCCTCCATGAGCCTCAGATACTCCCATGCCACACTGCGGAGGCTCCTCCCACCCTGGCCCATCTCGTCCCCCTGGCTATTGATACAGCTCCCCTTTGTGTGTGTCAACCTGTGGCAGATGCTCAGGGACTTCTCAGACTCTGGGGTCACTCTGAGTACACTGGGCACGCTGTGAAAGCCATGCTGCTCCACTTCCATCCGTCCTTGGGTTTACAGCTACCCAGGTGAACCTGGCCCACCCAGCCTCTCTGAAGCTCAGTTCCCTCATCTATAAAATGGGTGGAATATAATACTGCTTTACCTGACTAAGGGGCAGGACTGAATGAAGCCTCAGCAGTAAAACAGGTCCCAAGCACAGGACCTGGCACACAACAAGTGCTCATGAAAGGACAGTCCCTTCTCCTGGAGATCCCTCCAAGAACATCTAGAAAGTAAGTCACCATCCTGGTGAGAGGGCGCACAAGGACTGTCTGCACTGTTGGTGGGAAGGGGAGGAACCCTGAGGGGCCACTGGGGTGGGTGCAGAGCCACCAATTACCTATTTCCATTCCTACACCAGGCTGAGACCCTCTAACTGACCCTAGCTTGCCCTCTCACCTCTCCCCTTCATCAGCTGAGGGGCCCCATCTATAATGGGGTGAACCCGCTGCTCCCTCTCTCCCAGCCCTCCCTACCCAGGGAGAGCTCCAGGATAACCACAGCAAGGACAGGTGGCCCCAGCCCACGCTGCTTACCCACCGGGCCCACACACACCAGCCTGCTGCACAAACTGCAGCACGAGCCGAGGACCAGGAATCTGTCCTTGTCGGAGGTGAAGGGATCCTTCATGACATAGCTTTCCTCCAGGAGGCTGCAGGAGAGTGAATGCAGCGTCAGAACAGCCCAAATCTCTGCCGTCGGAAAATCAGCCATGACCTATGGCCAGGCAGCAGCAGCCTGCACCTCTGCAGGGCCTGCATACCTGCGTGGGCTCATCAGGGCAGGGGACTAGGCCACCCGTGCTGCAGGGCAGTGACAGAAAGGATCAGCAATTGGGGGCCACACTGGCACTGAAATTGAACCTGCTCTCACCTCTGTAACAGCCATGGTAGAGAGAACCCCTTGTTCTCAGCCAAAAGCAGGGCTGCTGCAACATGGGCCCCCAGACCCTGACTGATTCACCACAGTGGGGGCACAAGGCTGCCACCTGAATACCCCAGGCCTCCCTACACCCCAAGCCACACCCTCACAGCCCCTGGAAGCCAGCTGGCCTCATGCTACACATCAGAATGAGACCCCAGGGTGACATGATGACACTCAGGCTCCTGGTCAGCAGAGGGACGACAGCCAGAAGGAAAAAGCCATGCCCCTGCCACTGCATCCCATGTGAGTAACACACCGGCCAGCTTTCCAACAAAGTGGCATTTGATGAAGGACAAGCTGGAGGTCAAGAGATAAGCCCCCTGACCCACTGGCTCTAATCCAGGTCTGCAGGGGAGACAGGCCTCCCATTAAGAAAGTGTCATGGCAAGGGTGCAGCCCCAAAGGGGGAGGCCACCACAGGTCCCCCAGCTGCTGAGCTGCTCCCCCACAGCTAGAGCAGGTATTGGACTCTGGGCTAGGTGTGGAGGAAGGTTCTGGAAGAGTCAGACCTCAAGCCTTGCCCAGGCCTCCAGAGATTACACCAGAAGCATTCAGAGCCTGGCCAGGGTGGGGTCTAAAGCTCCACACCTGAGACAGTTGTCAGACCTAGGCACACCACCCACCAACCAGCACTGGGCACAGGCCTCCCCGGCACTGGCCCAAAAGGCATGCACTCACACCATCGACTGGGTGTTGGGGGGCTTCTGTCCCACATAGCTGTACGGAGCTGTCAAGGTACAGAGTTCACACTCAAACACTCCCAGAGGACGGCACTCTACATGGGACGCCATCTGCAAGATCAAGAGATGGGGTGTCCCTGGGTCACAGGCTTTCTCAGGAATCCTGCCCCTTTCCCAGCTATGAAGACCCTAACCATATAGTCCTAGCACAGTTTCTTGCCTCCCTACCGTACCCTTTTCTCTATCCCCAGCTGAAACAGGTTTTCACCGGTGCCCAGAGTGACAGGATTTGCTGTCCATATTCCAATGGTTTAAGGTTTTTGTACTGCTAGAGAGAAGGATCCAGACAGGATCAAGCCAGAGCACCCATCTCTTCTTCCAGGTCTGCACCACGGTAAAAGCGTTCCGGTCTCCTGCTCTGCCCCATTCTTTACCACAAGCCCCCAGTGAACGCTGGTGGAGAAGGGCCCAGAGTGGGTGCAAAATCTCCTGTTTCTGCTGCTCCTAGAAGCTCTATGCCCTCACATTAGTCCACACGTGGTGTGGACATTAGAACTGTTTTCTTGGCCAGGCGCAGTGGCTCATGCCTGTAATCCCAGCACTTTGGGAGGCCAAGGCAGGCGGATCACGAGGTCAGGAGATCGAGACCATCTAGCTAACATGGTGAAACCCCGCCTCTACTAAAAATACAAAAAATTAGCCAGGCGTGGTGGCGGGCGCCTATAGTCTCAGCTACATGGGAGTCTGAGGCAGGAGAATGGCGTGAACCCAGGAGACGGAGCTTGCAGTGAGCCGAGATCGCGTCACTGCACTCCAGCCTGGGAGACAGCGAGACTCCATCTCAAAAAACAAACAAACAAAAAAACTGTTTTCTTATCTGCTTGTATGGAACCCCCTTCTCATGTTCATGGTTGGGTCTTGGAGGCCTCTCTTTCCTTAGATTTCTGGCTAAATGGCTGCCATCTGATGGGTTCATCAAAAGTTACAATTTTGCTGATTACCCAGCTCCTTCTTTGACTATGGAATCAAGTACGACATTATCAGCTGGCCCCTAGCTCTTGGCTGTGACCTCCCCTCGCCTGAACTGAGCGTGGTGTATAAAGGCGTATCAAATGCGATGGCTTTCCCCACTGGGTGTCCCCAGATGCAACTCCAGGAAGCATGGGTTACCAGTGACTTTAAAAGTTAAGTCTGGCCCGGTGTGGTTGCTCATACCTGTAATCCCAGCACTCTGGTAGCCAGAGGCGGGCGGATTACCTGAGGTCAGGAGTTCAAGACCAACCTAGCCAACATGGCGAAACCCCATCTCTACTAAAAGTACAAAAATTAGCCGAGCATAGTGGCGGGTGCCTGTAATCCCAGCTACTTAGGAAGCTGAGGCAGGGGAATCACTTGAACCTAGGAGGCGGAGATTGCAGTGAGCCGAGATTGTGCCACTGTACTCCAGCCTGGGCGACAGGGCGAGACTCCTTCTCAAAAAAATAAAAATTAAAATTAAATAAAATAAAATATTAGCCGGGCGTGGGGGCGGGCGCCTCTAATCTCATCTACTCAGGAGACTGAGGTAGGAGAATCGCTTGAGCGGGGGGTTGGGGAGCGGGGGCTGGGGGGGCGGAGGTTGCGGTGAGCCGAGATCGCGCCACTGCATTCCAGCCTGGGCGACAGAGCGAGACTCTGTCTCAAAACAAAAGTTACGATCGATCGCGGGTGTGCGTGAACCTGATCCCGCTTCTCTTCTGCACGCCGGGGCGTCCTAGGCCCCTGCCGAGGCTCCTGGGGGCGGTGCCTGTGAACAGGGACGGCTGAGAGGGTCCGGGGATGCTGGTGGTCCCCGCGAGCCTCCGCCTGCCCTCTCTCGCCCCAGCGCTGCCCGAGGTCAGGGGGGACAGTCCCGTGAGGCCCACACCCCGCTTCTCGGTCCCGTCCCCAAAGCTGAGAGCGGCTGCGCCGACTCCTGGCGCTTGGAACCCAGCAGGCCACGCCGGCGCGGAACTCAGTCCCGGCGAGCGGGAGGCACCCTGAGGCAGCGCAGGGAAGGGCCACAGCACGCTCGCCCCAGTCACTCTGCCACCTCGAACTCACCGCCGCCCTCGTCCCACGGCTCCGCGTCCAAGGCGCCTGAGCGGCCCCGCCCCACCGCGGCCCGGCCAACCCCGGTGCAGCCGCAGACGCAGGCGCGGAGCGGGAGGCGGGACCTCGCGGTGGTTTTCCGCCTCTGCCTTGCTTTTCCGGTCGCCGCGGTCCTCTGCGCGGGATGTGGCTCTGAGCTTCGGGGTAGTCCGCGAGGCTGGGTTCCGTGCTGAGGGGCGTCGCGTCTGGCCGTGCGCTGCGGGAGCGCGCGGGCCTGGCCCGCTGTCCTGGCCGCTGCGAGGCGCTCAGCTTCTTTCTGAGTGTTCCGCCGGGTTCGACAGGGTCGAGGTCGCCGGCGCGAGGCTCCCGGATAGCTGAGGGGCGCGAGGGCGCCTCCAGTCTCCCACCTGCCCTCCCGCGCCGCGGACTAGGCTGCCAGTCTACCCCACCGGGACGTCTGCCCCCGCATGCAGGAGGGGGTGTGTCGGCCCAACGGGGTCTCAGGACCTGTCCCTGCTCCTCCAAAGCCCACGTCGCCTGCGGCGCCCCTCGGGTCTGCGCCGCGTTCTCCTTTAGCCTCCCGGGCCTCTCCGCTGCCCCTCGCCCCCAGGCACCAGCCACACCTGCTTCCTTCTGTTCCCGCCCGTGGCCTCTGACACGCCGTGCCCTGGACCCGAAATGCCCGCCCCACTCCTGGAGCCTCCGGTGTGTGAGAGGCACCTTTCCTTGGGGTCAGGGGCCCGGACTCTGAAGCCGGCCTGGCTTTGCCTGTGGGCCCCGATCCTCCCAGCTCGAGTCCCTCGCCCCAGCCGCCGCGGGCCTTCACCTGTGCTTTGGGGACGACAGGATGGCCACCCTCCTTCCCCCAAAGATTTGAGGGTTTTGCTCCACGCGGGAGAAGGTCTGCCTGTGCCACCAGCCGGCAGCCTTTCACATGCTGTTGCGTTACGGGGCCCTCTGTGACCTTTCCCTAGGCCGAGGGGTGCTTCGTCTCTGTTCCTGAGAGACCAGAATTTATTCTTGGTTTGTCAAGCCACATCTGTAGGAATGTTGCCCAGTTGCAGCAGGCTGGGGTCTGGGACTTGCTCCTTTGGCGAATTGAGAAGTAAGGATATAGAAGGCATTTTAGCACTAATGGAAACCAGAACCACTCTTAGACCTGGGCAAGAGGGGCCCCAGAAATTAGCAAGCGATTAGCAAGCAGCTGGATTTCGATGACCTCCACTGTACTTAGAGCAACGGCATTCGATTCGTTGGATCATTTCAAAGATGACATACTGGGTTGTTTGTTTGTTTCTGGCGGTGTCTAAAGATGGAACATCTTGAAGCATTTTGAATTTGACCTGTGGCTACCCTCAGATACAATGATGGTAACCCCATGAGTGCTGTTAAAGCAATTTGACTTATTGTAGACAGGTTAACACATGAGATGCGTTAAAAGAGTTAAGTGAAATAATAGGCAGCATTCAAAGAGCAAATCGTGGTCTTTGGCAGAAAATAGAGTTAATTTTGTATTTGAGCTGTCCAGTTATTACAATTAGAAAACGTTTTAAAGAATCCAAAAGGATTTAAAATATTGCATAAAGTTTTAGGAGAAAATGGTTTCCAAAAAGCAACTGCATATGAAATAAGCACTAAAATGACATTAAAGTACAATGTAAGAAAATCGGAACTAGAAGCATTTGCTGGAGTCTGAAGAAAAAGATTTATGGATGAATGATTCTGAAACTAACTTCTATAGAGACAATTTTCCGGCGATGGTAGATCAAGGTGTAGATTGTACTGAAGAGAGAGATTCAAACAAAGTGAGTAATCTACCGCAGTTTTCAGTTTTCTTGGTAATACCCCAACAACGTAAAAGAAAAACGTAAGAAATCCTGTATGGATCTAAATGTAAGAAACGATGATAATGGTGAAATAATAACATTATTTTATATAATGAAAATATTGTGTAATATTTTCTGCAATCATAATTTTTCATATGCACCCTTTCTACACTGTTTAAACATGATATCAACAGTCATGATTCAGTTCTACATATAACGCTTTAAGAATTTATTCATAATTCGTTACCACTCAGCAGAGTCAAGTTTCTCCCAATTGAAATAACTAAAAACTATCTGAAAGTATACTGACTCAGGAAAGTTTGTCTAATTTGGCACTACTGTCAAAAGAATGCAATTGCGTGAAAATCTTCATTAGTCATTCTTCTGAAATGAAGACAAGAGAAACATTTATAGAAGAAATAACATAATTTATGGATTATGTGATTATGTATGTCTTTATTACCCATCCAAGCATTAGTGGCCCATCAACATAATACCTAGAGATACACAATAAAAATTAGCTATCTTTAATATTTTGCCAATTTTCAGCTATATTAAAACCATAGTTTTACACATAATTTTGAATTCTGTTTTATGAAGGTGTATTTGTCCAGGTAAGTGGATATAAATATTTTATGTAACAGTTCGTAAGCTTTTAAATATTTAGACATACAGAGATTTGTAGTCCTGCCCTAGGCCCCACAGATGCTAGGGGTGGGCTTGCTGGGAAAAATGCATATATGTTGTGGCAATACTTATAAAATGTTGTATGGATGTAATCTTAAAAGATTATCACAATATCAGATATTGTACATTGTGTATTTAGGTGAAGACTGTGAAAGAAAATCTGAAAATCAGAAGGAATTGAATGCAGATGAAAATCTAGAGCTAAAATATTGCTAATAGCAGCAAAAGGGGGTACTGTGGAAGAATAACTTCTTATGTACCCCACTTCACTGAATATCCTATTCGCCCCGTTCTCCATTTCTGCCAGTAACATGGAAGTCTAAAGGCTTGCATTTTGTTTCTAGTGCTAACTAATGAAATTCCAGAAGCAGGCCTTAAAAATGCAAAGTCTTCATAATTAACAATAAGTGTTGAGATAGTTGAAGGGCATATATCCCCTTCTCTGTACCTACAGCAATTGAACTTTCTCTGCATATAAAACTTGTTTTTATTAAATATTAAATACTACTCTTGAGTATTTAATAAGGGGCTAAATTGAGAACAAAACCAGGAATATCCATCTTCTTGTTCTGTGCAACAGAGACAGTGGGAGGGTATTCGTGACTATAGCCAATTATTCTGGAATAGTCCTACCCTATCCCTGGAAGTATAATGAGAACAAGAGTCTTAAAAGACTCCTTTAGGCTGGGCGCGGTGGCTCATGCCTGTAATCCCAGCACTTTGGGAGGCCGAGGCGGGTGGATCACTTGAGGCCAGGAGTTTGAGACCAGTCTGGCCAACATGGTGAAACCCCATCTCTACTAAAAAAATAGAAAAATTAGCTGGGCGTTGGTGGGAGTGTGCCTGTAGTCCTACCTACTCGGGAGGCTGAGGCACCAGAATTGCTTAGTCCCACCTACCTGGGAGGCTGAGGCACCAGAGTTGCTTGAACCCCGTGGGCAGAGGTTGCAGTGAGCTCAGATCTTCCAGCCTGGGCAACAGAGCAATACTCCATCTCAAAAAAAAAAAAAGACTCCTTTAGAAATTGTTGCTATGGGCCGGGCGCAGTGGCTCACGCTGTAATCCCAGCACTGGGAGGCCAAGGTAAGTGGATCACCTGAGGTCAAGATTTTGAGACCAGCCGGGCCAACATGGTGAAACCCCATCTCTGCTAAAAAAAAAAAAAATGCAAAAAATAGCCGAGCGTGGTGGTGCACACTTGTAGTCTCAGCTACTTGGGAAGCTGAGGCAGGAGAATTGCTTGAACCCAGGAGGCGGAGGTTGTAGTGAGCTGAGATCAAGCCACTGCACTCCAGCCTGGGTGACAGCGAGACTCCATCTCAAAAAAAAAAAAAAGAAAGAAAAAAAAAGAAAAAAGGACACCTCCAACCCAACACACACACAAATTGTTGCTCTGTCCTGTGAAAATGGCCTTCAAAAGAAACCTGAATTTTTGTTACTTGACACCTTGTCCTCCTGATAATGGTATAATTGGCATCTCTTTGTTTCTAAACTGTATAAATACCTGTCATCACTCTAACAGATTAGAAGAAAACCCCTCGTACTCTCTTTCCCAACATGCCTGGAAAAACTCCTGTGACTGCTGGATTTCTCACTTTCACCAAGAAATTGAGATTCTTGTCTCATTTGGCAGGCCCCACAGCAGCTGTCCCTGGTCGTCACTCAAACCACCTCCAGTGGTTGTTCCTGGGCCTCCAATGACTCCCTACCGCCTCTGCCCACGTGGCCCCTGTGGTTACAACTGTGGCCCTCCCTGACTCATTTGTAATTCATTCTCCCACTGCACAGCTCAGGCTGTGTTGGTGGGAAACCCTTCTCCACCCCTGGTGCTTTCTTCCTGGGAAGGGTGGCCAACTAGCCTATCCTGACCCCGCTTAACCCCTGGGAAGGGTCAGGGACTTCAGTGGATTACCAAACTGGAGGAGAAGGCCTGGGAATGCCCACCCACAGACAGCATGTGTCTGCCTCGCCCTCCTGCCAGCAGCCTCTGCTGCCTTGAAGGGCAGGCCTCTGCAACTTGCCTGCAACTGGGTCTCGAACTCCCTCATTCTGCAGTTCAGTGGGCAAGTGCATTTGACCCAACTGCAACCAGCCTCTATCAGTAAAAAGTAATCATTTGGACACCTGCTGACCCTTTTTTTCAATCCGTTCAGAAGTCAGGTGGTTAAGAGAGGTGCTATCTCAAGAACATGCGCCCCAGTCGGAACCAGTGGGCCAGTGTGGGCCAGGCCACTCCCATGGCCTTCCCACCAAGGGAGTTAGAAAATCCCCATCTGACTTTTTTTGTTGTTTGTTTTGAGATAGAGTCACGCTCTGTTGCCCAGGCTGGAGTGCAGTGGTGAGATCTCAGCTCACTGCAACTTCTGCCTCCTGGGTTCAAGTGATTCTCCTGCCTCAGCCCCTTGAGTACCTGGACTACAGGTACCCACCACCATGCCTGGCTAATATTTGTATTTTTAGTAGATACGGGGTTTCACCATGTTGGCCAGGCTGGTCTCGAACTCCTGACCTCAAGTGATCCGCCCACCTCGGCCTCCCAAATTGCTGGGATTACAGGCGTGAGCCACTGCGCCCAGCCCCCATGTGACCTTCTGACCCTTGCTAACTGTGTGCAGCCTTGGGTGAATCATGAGACCTTTTCATCTTCCCACCTGGCAACAGGTGAGACAGAACTACATTCTGCCCAGGTCTAGGCATCCCGTTGAAGGAAACGATGGAAGGAATCGACGTGTGTCTGCAGGGGCCTAGTGTGCTATGGCCATTTCAGTGCAGCTGAGGATGATGGACACCGAGGTGTGTATAAAGCAGCCACCCATCTCATTTGGTTGTCCCCCTTTTCTGGGACTCCACTTTGAGGGCAGCAGCTATGTGTGTATATGCCCCTCACACAGAAATCACTGCAAGGCTCAAAGAAGAAATCTCACATTTAATTCTGATAAAGCTTAAAGTGGCATCTACATAAATGAACATGCTTCTGAGTGAAAATAGTACAGCTACCAGCCCTTGTTTCTCTTAAGTGATAAACCACATTTTCCTTATTCCTGAATAGTCCAGCACGCTATTAATAACCAAATGCCCAAATCTTAGATGCATATGTTGCTATATTCAGCATATAGACATATTTCAATGTGAACCCATATGTACCTTTTTGTTGTTTAACAAAACATGTCTCTTGGTCAGAAAATGTTACTGAATTTTACTTTAACTACCAGTAGCTTTAAGAATAAATGAGAAGCACCACATCTGCATTCTCAAGCATGAAGCAAGTCCTGGAACTCCCCACGAGGCCCTAAGCCCAGGGGGAACAAGAGGAGGGGAGCCCTGGTCTACAAAGGGGCCTCCCAGTGAGGCCGAGGAGTTTGGGGCTCTGTCAGGAGCAACAGGCCATTAGCTTCCAGCATGGGTCAAGCGCAGAAACACCCAGACAATGCTCCACCCTGGCCAGGTCCCTCTCTCAAATCTGGTTCTCAAAACCAGTGGCTCTGCCTTCTCTAAACTGCAGGCACCAAAGAAACAGGGTTGCCCTTGTACGGGGAGTCACATAACTCCCCTCTAAAGGGAAATCAGTCCAGGAATCCCACACTGTGATCCTGCTGTCTCCCCAGATGCTACACTACACTCCCAACTTTTACACTCCCAAGAGCAGAGGACAAGATTGGGGATTCTTCCAAATGTAGGGGATGTGCCTTGTGAAGGACATGAGTAGAAAGCATGACTAGGCCACTGACACTCCCTAATCCCCTTAATCCCACAGACTCAGCAGTTGGGGGAACGCTTGCTTGTGACTCATGAAACCATCATTCATCAAACAACAAGGTAAACCATTTTCTTCCCGTTGATGTTTCTGGTCTTCAGCCCCAGATAACGGTGGCTGTTCTTCTCTGGCTGCCCATACAGCATGTCAATAAAGAACTCAGGCTCATCTTTGGCCTTAGATTGCGAGGTCAGAAAGCTGAACATGGTTCTCAGCTTACGGCACAAATAGGTCATTGCTTCCACTTCATCCGATGGCTCCTCATACACGGGCTGCTTCATTTCCTCATATGCAGACAGAATTACAGCCTGAAATAAGTTGATCAAGACGCAGATCATCACCAGCATGAAAGATGAGAGGAACAGGACCCCCAGAATCCTGTTATTGGAAAATTCAGTGTTCTGGAAAGCTGAGACACAATAGGAAAATACTGTCTGAGTGGAATGAATCAAGTTACTGTAGTTCCATTCATGCTGACCAAACACCAGGTAACCAAAAGCCATGTATACGAAGAAATACACGGACACAACAAATGCCATGTGGCAGATGCCAGGGAGGGCAGCCTGGATGGCCCTCTGAGCCAGGCGCACATCGTAGAAGAATCTGGAATACCTGAGGGTCTTCAAAATTGTCAGAAATAACAGGAAACCCAAAATTATCCTCATAATGTGATCTACCTGAGAAACTGCATGAAAGGGAATGAAGTCTTCTGGGTTCGACAAGTAAAACCGAATTATGCCAGTGGCCAGGAAATGTTTCCTGAGAAAGAGCACAATCAACACAGTAAATATGCACTTTAAAGCAAAGTTGAGCAAATTATACACACTTCTCACATAGGAGGCTCTTTCTTGCATAATGATACAACCCTCATCAACAACGTAGGCTAAGAAAAAAATGAGAATGGCCACATACAAGTAGATTTCTGCTGAAGCTTTTCTGTCAAAATCAGCAAGTGAAAAAGAGTGCAGAGATATGCTTGTGTTGACAACTCCTAACTGAGAGACTTCAAATATGACCGAAATGCTACAGAACAGATTTATATCTGGATTAAAAGTTGTTAATTCCAAAACCACAGCCCATGTCTTCTCATCCAGCCAATTGCTTTCTTGAAGTTCTTTGAGCCTCAGTGTGGAATTAAACCGCTGCTGTTCTGGAAAAAAATAGAGTGCATATCCTCCAGATCCATAGGTGTGTAGTAGTCCATAGGAATAATATAGCCATTGCGTTCCTTGAGGCTTATAAGTAAATCCATTGGTACTCTCATCTATAGCCTGCTTATCAACTTCATTCCAAAAGCCAGAATAGTTTTTTGTGTCTTCTGGGTCAATGCCATATTTGGGGTGACAATGAATTTCTCTTCTGATGCTGTTTTGCACAAACTTTTCGGCAGGTAGACACATTTTTTCACTAGATTTTGCTCTCACTTGCCTCATCAATGGAAGGCCAAGGATTTTAGACGAGCTTTCAGGAAGAAATGTTGGATTCAGGTCATTGTGTAACAAAGGCAACAGCACGCTGTTTAGCCATCTATAGATGTCTTCCAGCTTAGTCACAGTAGCAAGATCCATAGAGAACCGATCACGAATAAACTGGTTATAGTAAAAGCAGTCAGTGTGACGTAGTAAGACGATAAGGATCAACAGAAGGGCTAGAAAGATAAAGTGAGTTAGAATGTAACTCAGAAACAGGAGTGCTCTTCTCTTGATCCTCTTCTTTCTTTTGAATATTCTGATTTCATCTTCTGTAAGGGGTTGGTACATCCTCGTGCCTCGGATTCGGACGATCTGGTCATGTATCCTCTGCATTTCTTCTGGATGCATACGCATTCCATCCAACCTGATCTCAGTATATTTATACTTGGTTGACCATGAAAGGTTTTTGCAATACTTGGGTTTATTCGTTCTGAAGCCTGACAGGAGTATAATTTTAGATGGCTGCACCAGAAGAACTGACTGACAGAATGAACAAAAAGATGCAAAGAGCCATTCTATTGACTTGTCATAGCCGTAAGTCAGTCCATAAAATACAATGAAGAATGAGGATATGCTAGAAGTAGCAAAAACCAAAAACCATGCAACATAAACACACCACCAAGGTAGGACGATCCGGGGCTTTTTCTTAAGCTGCTGGAGATCCTTTTGGGAAGGGTGCTGTTCGGAATGGACATCCTGATCATCTTCTATGTTGTTATTGGAATTTGTATTTGGCCCGAGGGTCTCCGGGGTCTTGATTTGTGCTTTCCTATGCCTGTGCTTGGGTTTGGAGGTTGCCTTAGGAGAAGCCTTTGGAAGCCTGGGCTTTCCTTTAGATGCAGGTTTTGCAACCTCCCTGGGGTGCACCTTAGCAGTTTCGTAAGCATGCCACTTTCTCAAGTATTCTTCCCAGTGCTCACTTGCTTCTGACATTAGAGGATGCTTTTGAGGAGATACCTCCTTTAGATCCGCTTGAGGTTTCCTCTGGGAACAGGTGAACAAAAAAGTTATTAATAATTGCACAGGGATTGTAATTAAGACACTTTCAATTCCTATCATCATTGATCTCATGTATTTCCTCTCTCTTGACTCAGTTTGTTCTTGTCTATTTAGATTAAAGAACATAATGTTACAAAGAAGAGAGCTAAGCAACATTGCTAAACAACAGGACAATCTCTGGAGCCTATTGAATGTTTTAGCAACAACACTAGCAAAAATAGAGAACCACATGTGGTTTTTCCGGAGATTACTACTCACATCTATAAAGAAAAAGTCTTTTCTAGTCAGACGCTCATCTGGATGGGTAACGTGAAATGTTCTGTCCAAAGTGGTATCAACAGAAAGCCATTTCTGGCATATGAACAGCCAAATGTGCCTGCTAAACAGATTTTCCACTTTGATTCTACTTAAATACCAGCTAGGCGATCGACCCTCGTTGTTGTGCCACACACGGATGGAATGGATGTCCCCCAAGTCACTTTTTGTCGTTAGGAGGAAAGTGTTGATGCTACCTCGGTAGAGAGTTGTGAAATGTGGATGGCTTAAACAATGCACGTCGCTGGTACTCACAGTTCCTCTAAGTTGCACAAAGACATTGGCCCTGGTCCCAGACCCCCAACGACTTCCTGTAAAAATAGTCACCAAGTAGCATAAATTATCATAAGGATCATTATCTGGTAGAACTATCACATGCCCCCGAAGATGCTGGTCCATTTCATCCCTGTATAAAGCCCAAAAAGCTAGGCCCACGTATAAGAGAATAATGAAAAGCACAGTGAAGAGGGTCACGGGGTTTTGGTGAAGGCTCTTGATGATGTTTAACCGTAGATCCACAGGATTAGGGATCACAATCACCTTGGCCATCACATAGTGGGTATGCAGGTGAATGCCCGTGAGTCCGATTGTGCCCAGCTGCCGCCTAGCCCTTACTACATTCTTGCAGATGCAGTGCACCTCATACCAGCTGGTCTTCTCACCAAGAATGCAATAACCCTCTCTCCATTCACTCTGGATCCCATACATGTCCAAGCACTGGACGCTGAAAATAGAAATTCTCACTAGCTTGTCATTGAGCTTCATGACAAAACGAGGTGCCTGCAGAACTATGGATACAGTACAGTGGGGAGAGTGGCTGTGCTGAGCTATGAGTTGCAGCAGGGACACAGGGAGGCAGACTACACGGGCCTTCTTCACTGTGCAGGCTGGGTCAAACAGGGCACTCTGGCTGGCAAATGGAGGGATGTCATGAGGCACCAGGAAGGTGGCGACCAGCGCTGTGGGAGTGATCTGACTGCCTGTGTACACCAACACTGTGAACAGCACCATCACTTCTGTTACTATGTGGACCAGAACCTCCCTAAGCACTGTGCTGTCCACTTGAAAGCTAAACCCACCTGTCGTCTTCTTCAAGGACCCATCAACCTCGCTGTTGGGTCCCACTGTGAGATTAAAAGCTGCAAAGGTCAAGTTTTTCCTGACAAGGTACACTTCCGCTACATCAGGTGTGATCTCTAGCACACTACCGTTATCTGCAACTCCTGTCATTCTGAATCCAGACACCTCCACCGAAGTGTTTTCCTGATCATTTAACCAAGGAAAGAGGTCATTTGTGAAATCACAAAACATTGTAGAAATGGGACCATTTGCAGACAGACCAGGAACACTGCTCACATTGAGTGTTGGATAAAAACAATTTCTGCAGTGTTTCTCATTTCTGAAGAGCTGGTTGATACCCCACTTTTCAACTTTCTTGACATACATGTTGAAATTGGGGGTTCTCATTGAGGTGGTTTTGTTCCCTGGCACTTTATTAGCCAGTATTGTGTCTGATAGAGATTCTATTACATAGAAAGGATCTTTAACTACTTGGTGAGGAGAAGTCATTTTAAGAATATTAGACAAACTCATTAGTATTCCAGTACTCACGATTTCTATTTGTTCAGATCGAAAGCGTTTATCTTTTTGCTGATACTCTTGTAGGGCTTGATTTGCTTGCCATACCCTCATGGTGGCACGTTTCTGAGCATCCCAAGTGAATTCAGAGGGTTTCTGGGTTAATTTGGTAATAGTCATGACTACCTGGCCAATTTCTACCAAAGTGCTTACAGGAAGAAGGAAAGACTGATCGATGAGGTGTTTTCGGAGATTGACTCTGTCATCTCGGAGAGGTAATTCAGTTTTCATGTTATTCAAAACGGAAGCTACTATATACAGTAAGTAACCTGCAGGTAAAAAATCCTTCTTTTGAATCAAAGTAGACAGCAATGAACTTGGTCCCACGGTGAAACTGAGTAACTGATTCAACACTGTCTTTGATGAATTTTTGTCAGTGGGAGCCTGTGCGGTGGCATGCAAAGTCACCTGAGAAAAAGCTCCTAGAGAATCATAGACCTGGGCATATATCTTCAAGCCATATTGACTAGCCAACATACCAACAGGGAGAAAGGAAGGGGGTACTGTGGACTGAGGCCCCAAGTACAGGATGGTCCCCAGGGTGTTCTCTTTTACTGAACTGATTTCACCAACACTGTGCAAATCAGAAACAATTATTTTATATGTAAGAGGGACGTGCTTATCCCTAAAATTACTACACTGGACAACAAATTTAGTAATAAGTGCAATTCCTTTAGCTGGATTAATTTTGCATTCTCCGATCTGAGGGCCATGGTTAATAATAAAAGAATGCCTGAAGACCGAGGTCACTCCACTCCAACATGCTAGATACAGAGAAATCGAAAACTCAGCTTCCAAAAAATGCCGAAAAGCAAAAGCTTTTATAGACAGATAAGCACCATTCCTTCCTGTTACAGTTTCCCCCATCCAATCAAATAGCATCTCACCACCTGAAGAAGACAAAATTGACCATTTATAGAAATCACGGCTTGCACAATTTGTGCAATTTAGGAACAAAGAAAATCTATCAGAGACAATGAAGTTTCTCTCACAATTTTCGATACATGTGATGTGTGCTATGGCTTTTGGTCCTTGGAGCACGTGGACCCTCTTATCAGAAAACGCTGTCCTAGAGTCCTTCCGAATCACCATTCTGAAGAAATACACGTGGTCGCCTTTAAGTGTTTCTGGCAAAAGTGTCAGTACAGGGCCCGAGGCCCAGGGCCATTTCAGATTGGCCTGCTCGGGGTGACAGACTTCCTTGCTCCCCAGGATTATTCGATCCCCACCGTAGTTTCTGGGATCTGTGGTACAGTACCAAAAGAACTGGAGTCCCTGTAACGGGCTGTCCGCATCTGGGTCCGAGGACGTGGACCCGTCCAGAATCAGCTGCTCTGTGAAATTAGCTGTTATGTTGGCATCGCCAAGCATCACCGCCTGCAGGGAACTCCTGACGATCCAGACATAGACGGCGTCCGAGTCTTTCACCTCGGGCATCTTGGGGTTCCCTGTGGTGATGGACACCGTGAAATTAAACACATACACTCCCCACTGTAACGAATTATTGGGGATGTGAATGAACAAGGGGCTGTTCCTGATCTCGAGCTGGGGCAGATCCAAGGGCTGCGTCCAGTCGGGCGCCTGACCCACGGCGGGCACGGAGAACACCTGCCAGTACTGGGCGATGGCGCGCGCGGCCGGGCAGTCCAGCTGCACCGAGGCGTTGATGGTGGCCTCCGCCTGCATGCTCAGGCGCACGGGGGCGCCCTTCTGGTCCGTGTTGATCCTCACGCGCTGGATGACGCAGGCGTTTATCTGACAGGACACGGACGACTCGACGGCTCTGTGGCTGGACGAGTTGACGGCCTGCAACATCACGCGCGCGGGGCCGTCTGTGGGGCACTCGGTGCGGGCCACGAAGCCCTGCTGGGGCCGCGGGCCTGGCGCGGCGGAGCGCGGGGAGACGCGGGCCGCGGGGGAGGCCGGGCGGGCGGCGCCGGGTCCGAGCAGCCGCAGGCGGAAGGCCCAGGCCAGGCGCCCGGGCGAGCGCGGCAGCCGCACGGACCACGTCAGGGAGAGGCGGCCGCCGCGCGCGGAGAGCTGCAGGTCGACGAGCGCGAGCGCGGGCGCGGCCGGCCAGGGCAGGCGTTGGGCGCTGAGCAGGACGCGCAAGTCGAGGCAGTACCAGCGCCGCCCGGTCCCGCCATGGGGGAAGCAGAGGCTGCCGCGGCCGCTCAGGACAGCGCCGCCCGCCCGCACCGCGCTGGGCCGCAGACTGAGGAGGGCGCGGCCGCCGCGCACCCCGAGGCCCGGGGCGCCCCTGAGGAGGCCACCGGGCGCCCCGGAGACGGCGGCTTGTGCCCCGCGAGGAACCGGCGGCAGCGGGAGGCGGCCGACGCTCAGGCTCAGGCCCACGCCCAGAAGGAGGAGAGCGGGCCCAGGCCTCATGGCGCCGGCCCAGGAGAAGCTGGGAGAGGCCGCGAGGCGCGCCCAACCGCCACCGGGGTCGCGGGGATAGTGAGGGTCTTGGGGACAGTGGGGGTCTCGGGCGTCGAAGGGCGCTGGCAGAGGGGTCCCAGGGACAGAGTCCCAGAGAGCAGCTGGGACCTCGGAGCTTGGGGTCAGTCGGCACTGGGGACTTCTTGGGTACCTCTTCCCTCTCCGTCCCCAAGTGTGTGCAGGCCCAGGGTCAGGATGGCTCAGGAGGGCAGTTCAGCCCCGTGCAGACCACAGAGCTGACCACGGAGAAGGGGCTTCAGCAGGAACCCTTGGGAAAGCCAGTCACAAAATGGGAGATCAGGAGGGAACCGTGAGATCCCTGGGCGCCCAGGAAGGTCTGACTCTCGGTTTCTTACTTTGGGGTCGCTTTGCTCTTTTCTTTCTAGTTGGTTTGGGGGTTTTGTTTTTTGTTTGTTTGTTTGTTTGTTTGTTTTTTGAGACGGAGTCTCTGTCACCCAGGCTGGAGTGCAATGGCTTGACCTCAAGTGATCCACCCACCTCGGCCTCCCAAAGTGCTGGGATTACAGGCATGAGCCACTGTGCCTGGCCTCATTCTTTAACTCTGTCCATTTTTGCTGTATATTTTGGGACTTGATTGATGGATTGAATGATTTTAGAGACAGGGTCTTGCTCTGTTGCCCAGGCTGGAGTGCAATGGTGCAATCATAGCTGACTGTAACCTTGAACTCCTGGGCTCAAGGAATCCTCCTGCCTCAGCCTCCCATACTACAGGTCTACACCACTACACCTGACTGATTTATTTTTTATTTTTGTAGAGATGGTGTCTTGCTGTGTTTCACAGGCTGGTCTCAAACTCGTGGTCTTAATTGGCCCTCCCCTGTATTAGTCCGTTTTCATGCTGCTGATAAAGACATAACCAAGACTGGGAAGAAAAAGAGGTTTAATTGGACTTACAGTTCCATATGGCTGGGGAGGCCTCAGAATCATGGCAGGAGGCAAAAAGCACTTCTTGCATGGCAGTGGCAAGAGAAAATGAGGAAGACGCAAAAGCGGAAACCCCTGATAAAAGCATCAGATCTCCTGAGACTTATTCACTACCACAGAACAATATGGGGGAAACTGCCCCTGTGATTCAGTTATCTCCCACCCGGTCCCTCCCACAACATGTGGGAATTATGGGACTATAAGATGAGATTTGGGTGGGGACACAGAGCCAAACTATATCATTCCACCCCTGCCAAATCTCATCTCCTCACATTTCAAAACCAATCATGCCTTCCCAACAGTCCTCCAAAGTCTTAACTCATTTCACATTAACTCAAAAGTCCACAGTCCAAAGTCCTGTCTGAGACAAAGGAAGTCGCTTATGCTTATGAGCCTGTAAAATCAAAAGCAACTGGCTGGGCGCAGTGGCTCACCCTGTAATCCCAGCACTTCGGGAGGCTGAAGCGGGCAGATCACCTGAGCTTGGGAGTTTGAGACCAGCCTGACCAACATGGAGAAACCCCATCTCTACTAAAAATACAAAATTAGCCGGGTGTGGTGGTGCATGCCTGTAATCCCAGCTACTCGGGAGGCTGAGGCAGGAGAATCGCTTGAACCCGGGAAGCAGAGGTTGCGGTGAGCCAAGATCGTGTCATTGCACTCCAGCCTGGGCAACAGGAACGAAACTCTGTCTCAAAAAACAGAAAAAAAATCAAAAGCAAGTTAGTTATTTCCTAGATACAGTGGGGTACAGACATTGGGTAAAGACAACCATTCCAAATGGGAGAAATTGGCCAAACAAAGGAGTTATAGGGCCCATGCAAGTCTGAAATCCAGTGGGGCAGTCAAATCCTAAAGCTCCAAAATTATCTCCTTTGACTTCATGTCTCAAATCCAGCTCATGCTGATGCAAGAGGTGGGTTCCTATGGTCTTGGGCAGCTCCGCCCCTGTGGCTTTGCAGGGTACAGCCTCCCTCCTGGTTGCCTTCGTGGGCTGGTGTTGAGTGTCTGCAGCTTTTCTAGACTCATGGTGCAAGCTGTTGGTGAATCTACCATTCTAGGGTCTGGAGGATGGTGGCCCTCTTCTCACAGCTCCACTAGGCGGTGCCCCAGTAGGGACTCTGTGTGGGGGCTCTAACCCTACATTTCCCTTCCACACTGCCCTAGCACAGGTTCTCCATGAGAGCCTTCCCCCTACAGTAAACTTCTGCCTGGCATCCAGGTGTTGCCATATATCTTCTGAAATCTAGGCAGAGGTTCCCAAACCTCAATTCTTGACTTCTGTGCAACTGCAGGCTCAACACCACATGGAAGCTGCCAAGGCTTGGGGCTTGCAATCTCTGAAGCCACAGCCCGAGCTCTACATTGGCCTTTTTCAGCCACAGCTGGAGCAGCTGGGACACAGGGCACCAAATCCCTAGGCTGCACACAGCTTGGGGACCCTGGGCCCAGCCCACAAAACCACTTTTTCCTCCTGGGCCTCCAGGCCTGTGATGGGAGGGGCTGCCATGAAGACGTCTGACATGCCCTGGAGACCTTTTCCCCATTGTCTTGGGGATTAACATTTGGCTGCTTGTTATTTATACAAATTTCTGCAGCTGGTTTGAATTCTCCTCAGAAAATGGAATTTTCTATCACATTTTCGGTCTGCAAATTTTTCAAACTTTTATGCTCTGTTTCCCTTTTAAAACCGAATGCTTTTAACAGCATCCAAGTCACTTCTTGAATGCTTTGCTGCTTAGAAATTTCTTCTGCCAGATACCCTAAATCATCTCTTTCAAGTTCAAAGTCCCACAAATCTCTAGGGCAGGGGCAAAATGCTGCCAGTCTCTTTGCTAAAACATAACAAGCATCACCTTTGCTCCAGTTCCTCATCCCCATCTGAGACCACCTCAGCCTGTACCTTATTGTCCATATCACTATCAGCATTTTGGGCAAAGCCATTCAACAAGTATCTGGGAAGTTCCAAAATTTCCCACATACTCCTGTCTTCTGAGCCCTCCAAACTGTTCCAACCTCTGCCTGTTACCCAGTTCCAAAGTTGCTTCCACATTTTCAGGTATATTTTTGGCAACACCCCACTCTAATGGTACCAATTTACTGTATTAGTCCATATTAGTACTCAGCTCAAGTGCAAAATTTAAGGGTGGAGGGGCACCAAAAACTCAATAATCAAGACAAATTCTCTTTTATTGAGGTAAAGTTCACATAAAAGTAACCATTTATGGGAGGCTGAGGTGGGAGGATTGCTGGAGCCAGGAGTTCAAGGCTTCAGTGACTTATCATCCCTATCCCCTCAGTCCCTGGTCACCACCAATCTTCTTTCTGTCTCTATGTTTGCGTATTCTGGACATGCATGTAAATGCACTAATACAAGTGTTACCTTTTGTGTCTGCCTCTTCCTTCAGTATGAATGAACCTTGAAAACGCTGTAGGAAAGGTGTGTCTTCTTTGGAGAACTGTCACCTCAAATTCTTTGCCCACTTTAAATTTGGGCTGTTTGTCATTTCGCTGTTGAGTTGTAAGAATTCTTTTTTTTTGAGACAGAGTCTGGCTCTGTTGCCCAGGTTGGAGTGCAGTGGCACAATCTTGGCTTACTCCAACCTCCACTTCCCGGGTTCAAGCGATTCTCCTGCCTCAGCCACCCAAGTAGTTGGGATTACAGGCATGCACCACCACGCCTGGCTATTTTTGTACTTTTAATAGAGATAAGGTTTCACCATGTTGGCCAGGCTGGTCTTGAACTCCTGACCTCAGGTGATCCACCTGACTCAGCCTCCCAAAGGGCTGGGATTACAGACATGAGCTGCTGTGCCCGGCCAAGATTTCTTTATGTATTCTGGATTCTAGACTCTTACCCAATATATGATTTACAAATGTTTTTTCCCATTGTGTTAATCTTTTCAGTTTCCTGAGTAGTGTCCTTTGATTCAGAAAAGTTTTTAATTTTGACGAAGTCCAACTTATCTATTTTGTTGTTGTTGCTTGTCCTTTTGGTGTTACATCTAAGAATCCATTGCTAAATCCAAGGCCATGAAGATTTACTTCTGTTTTCTTCTAAGAGTTTTATCTTTACAGCTCTCACATAAAACAAATAATACTTCAGTGCAATATTTCAAAAATCAAAACTAATGCAAAAAGTCCATGATGAACAAAATAGCATTTTAAATAAAGGCCAGATCTGCCCGTGCACTTGGTTCTACGCCCTTGATTCGTGCACCCTGGGGCGGGGGCAAATTAAACTAGGGGAGCCCATTGGACTGGGGCTGGTGTGTGGCTGATGGCAGAGTTCAGGCCGGGCCAGACCGGGCCAGTCCAGAGGGAGAAGCCGCTACTGCAGGAGACAGAGCGATTTTTCCGCTGCAAATCCTTGAGAAGGGAGGATGGAGGCGGCGGGACGACCCAGTGAAGCCGGCCCCGAACGCCAAGTGAGTGTGTGCCGTGCGCGCGCGGGTAGCTGCCGACCGCAACGACATAAACTTGAAAGTGACCGCTGTCCCGGAGCTCCCTGCTCCCAAGGGACCCGTCGCGTTGCAGAGTTGTCCGGTCGGGCCTCTGGGGCGGGCCCGGATCCTGGACCAGGGCCAGTCTGTCCGAAACCCACCAGTGAGCGAGCGGGAGAGCGCGGCCGCCCCGCCCCGCCCCTTTCCGCGACCGCCCCGCCCACTCCCAGGAAGGCCCGGGTGCCCAGAGCTCGCGGTGGACTCCGACCCGGCGCAACATGGCCGCAGCCTCGCCTCTGCGCGACTGCCAGGTACACGGAGGCTGCCCCCAACCAGGTCCCCCTCGGGCCCCGGGTCCTGGGGGTGGCCCGGTGCTGGCGGAATAACGGGAGACATGGCCCGGGCGCGGGGCGTGGGGTGAGCCCTGGGCGCACGGGCGCGTCCGCGGCAACGCCTGGAAGGGACCCGAGGCCCTTCTTGTAGAGTCCCCACCGAGGGAAATAAGGGACGCCTGTCAGGGTACTCGGGAGACCCCAAGACCTCCTAAAAAACGTAGCTCACTGGGCATGGCTGGGGACGCAGGGAAGCCCGCAAAGGTAAGGGGCTCCTTGGAACCGGCCCAGGACTGGGAGCCTGAGCCCATTTTACAGATGAGGAAGGTGGAGGTCAGAGGGGCCAGGAGACGTGTGTGTGTTGAAGTTTGAAGGGCTCCTGGAGAGAAGGCACTGCTATTCCCTTCTTGCCGTCTGTAGGCCTGGAAGGATGCGAGGCTCCCGCTCTCCACCACAAGCAACGAAGCCTGCAAGCTGTTCGATGCCACGCTGACCCAGGTATGCCTGCCGAGAGAGGCCGCGGCCCCTTCTGTGGAGGTCTAGGGGAAGGTTTTTTAATTGGGGAAAGCTGTTTTTTTGTTTTGTTTTGTTTTGTTTTGTTTTGTTTTTGAGGCGGAGTCTCGCTCTGTCGCCCAGGCTGGAGTGCAGTGGCGCTATTTCGGCTCACTGCAAGCTTTGCCTCCCGGGTTCACGCCATTCTCGTCCCTCAGCCTCCCGAGTAGCTGGGACTACAGGCGCCCGCCACTGCCCTCGACTAATTTTTTTTGTATTTTTTAGTAGAGACGGGGTTTCACCGTGTTAGCCAGGATGGTCTCGATCTCCTGACCTCGTGATCCGCCCGCCTCGGCCTCCCAAAGTGCTGGGATTACAGGCGTGAGCCACCGCGCCCGGCCATGGGGAAAGCTTTTTAAATTGCGCCATGACCTTAGCAATAGATGGCAGCACATCTGTGCACTTTGTACTGGAGGACGTGGGAGGGTGGGGACATATCTCTGCCCCCCCCCCACAGCGTCCTAAAAGGGCCTCTGCACTCTCCCTTCTTCCCCAGGACTCTGAGTGGTGGGTGGACAGCGGTGGGTGCAGTGGGGATGTTTTTTGAGGATGCTGGCCTCCCCGGGCCTCCCATTGTGGCCTGCTGAGGGTCTGATGCAGGGCTCGGCTGCTTAGGACGTGGGATCCTGTCCTGGGATGAATCTGTGAGTATACTGCCTTCACCTAGGCTGTGCCAAGACCTTCTGCCACATTACCAGTCATTTCTCTACCAATGAAGGGTCCTATAGTTTTAGAACTAGGAGAAGTCTCAGAAGTAAGATCCAACTAGCTTCCTTGACAAGTGGGGAAACTGAGGCTCAGAGTTGAACCTACTTGACTTGAAGGTTGTCCATGAATTACAGGCAGAACCAGGATGAACCTGGGCCTAACTGCACTGATAGAAACCTAAGCTGACCTTGGCGTGGGTGGTGAGGCCCCTGCATACTGACTTCATCCACATAACAGGAGGACTCAGGTAGCTCTTAGAAGCCTACGGGCTGAACAAGAGAGGACTGATGGAATGCTGTGAGCTGCGCCATGGGTGCCTCTCCTGTTCCCAGCCTGCCCTGCCAAGGGACTCTGCTGTGGGCATCTGAGTTGTTTGTTTATTTTGTGTTTGACCTGGCTCACTTGCCCTTCCTGTATCTCGCCGGCCTCTGTAGAGTACTCGATTTGTTTTTTGTTTGAGACGGAGTCTTGCCCTGTCACCCAGGCTGGAGTGCAATGGCGCAGTCTTGACTCACTGCAAACTCTGCCTCTCGGGTTCAAGCGATTGCCCTGCCTCAGCCTCCGAAGTAGCTGGGATTATAGGCACGCACCATCATACCCAGCTGATTTTTTGTATCTTTAGTAGAGACGGGGTTTCACCATGTTGGTCAGGATGGTCACAAACTCCTGACCTTGTGATTCCCCTGCCTTGGCCTCTCAAAGTGCTGGGATTACAGGCGTGAGCCACTGTGCCCGGCCCCTAGTACTCAGTTTGTTACACACCACATCCCCAATCAGTGGCAGCTCATCCTCCCAGCCTGGGTATATTTTGTCCCGTGTATTGGTGTCTCTGTGCTGTCCTGTGTTAGAACTTGGCTTCTTTAAATCTCTGTGCCAACCCTCCTGTATCTTGTCAAAATGCTTGCGTAGCTTATAGTCTCAGCTATTTGGGAGGCTGAGGCAGGGGGATTGCTTGAGCCTGGGCGGTTGAGACTGAAGTGAGCTGTGATTGTGCCACTGTACTCCATCCTGGGCAACAGAGCAAACCCTGTCTTAAAAAAAAAATACACGTACTAATTCTGTGTAGATGTAGGTTAGACAGCTGAAAGGGCATATTTTAAAATCTAATGTGTGATTATAGGTCTAGGACTTTTTTTAAAACAGGCATTTGAGTAAAGGACCAGGTACAAATACAGCAAATTGTTAAAAATGATGATGCGCTGGGCGCGGTGACTCACGCCTGTAATCCCAGCACTTTGGGAGGCTGAGGCAGGTGGATCATCTGAGGTCAGGAGTTCAACACCAGCCTGGCCAACATGGTGAAACCCTGTCTCTACTAAAAATATAAAAAAATTAGCCGGGCATGGTGGCATGGGCCTGTAATCCCAGCTACTCGGGAGGCTGAGGCAGAGGAATTCTTGAACCAGGGAGGTGGAGGTTGTAGTGAGCTGAGATAGTGCCACTGCCTTCCAGCCTGGGTGACAGGGCAAGACTCCATCTCAAAAAAGAAAAAAAAAAAATTAGCCGGGCGCAGTGGTGCACACCTGTAATCCCAGCTACTAAGGAGGGATTCTCCTACCAAGGCAGGAGAATTGCTTGAAACCTGGAGGCAGAGGTTGCAGTGAGCCAAGATCGTGCCATTGCACTCCAGCCTGGGTGACAGGGCAAGATTCTGTCTCAATTAAAAAAAAAATGATAAAATGAGCTTTGGGTAAGTTTTATCTTTCAGCTTTTGTGTCTTTCTAACTCTCTAAAATAAATGTTTTCTGTGAATATTTTTAAAACGAATGAATAAGAAGCAGGAATATTCCTATCGTGACCAACTTCAGGGCTCCTCTTAGGGCAGAAGAAGCCGATGTGGAGCAGGTCACCTGTCAGGAGGAACCTGCCTTTTCTTTCTTTTCTTTTTTCTTTTTTTTCTTTTTTGAGACAGAGTCTCACTCTGTCGCCCAGGCTGGAGTGCAGTGGCGCCTGGGTTCACGCCATTCTCCTGCCTCAGCCTCCCGAGTAGCTGGGATTACAGGCGCCCACCACCACACCCGGCTGATTTTTTGTATCTTTAGTAGAGACGGGGGTTTCACCGTGTTAGCCAGGATGGTCTCGATCTCCTGACCTCATGATCCGCCCACCTCGGCCTCCCAAAGTGCTGGGCTTACAGGCATGAGCCACCACACCTGGCCTTTTTTTTTCCTTTTCTCTGTCACCCAGGCTGGGGTGCAGTGGCACGATCTCAGCTCACTGCAACCTCTACCTCCCAGGTTCAGGCGATTCTCCTGTCTCAGCCACCCAAGTCTCAGCCGCCCAAGTTGCTAGGACTACAGACATGTGCCACCACGCCTGACTAATTTTTGTATTATTTGTAGAGACAGAGTTTTGCCATGTTGGCCAGGCTGGTCTCAAACTCCTGCCCTCAAGTGATCCACCCGCCTCAGTCTTCCAAAGTACTGGGATTACAGGCGTGAGCCATCGCGCCCAGCCAGAACCTGCCTTTTGATGTTTCTTTTTTGGAAATGCAGCATCCCTAGCCCTAGAAAGTGTGCCTTGGGTGATGTGTATTTCATTTCTTCGTATGAAGAAAGTTATCAGCCAGGTTATGCCTTCTTTGGGTTAGAGTCCAGAAAATACTCAGTGTTCTACAAAGAAAAACAAATCTGGATTTATTTTTATTTTTTGTTTTTTGAGACAGTCTCTCTCTGCCATCCAGGCTGGAGTGCAGTGGCACAATCTTGGCTCATTGCAACCTCAGCCCCCGGGTTCAAGTGATTCTCATGCCTCTGCCTACCAAGTGGCTGGGACTACAGGCATGCACCACCACGCCCCACTAATTTTTCTATTTTTAGTAGAGATGGGGTTTTACCGTGTTGGTCAGGCTGGTCTCGAACTCCTGACCTCAGATGTTCTGCCCGCCTCGGCCTCCCAAAGTGTAAACCTGGATTTAGAGCCACCTTTGTTAGAATGATCCAAGGGCTCCGTGAGGACTTGTTTTGCTTTTCCCATTTCAGTATGTAAAATGGACCAATGACAAGAGTCTCGGTGGCATCGAGGGCTGCCTGTCAAAGCTCAAAGCAGCAGATCCAACCTTTGGTGAGTAACGCCTTCCCTGGGTGGAGGAGCCCCGCTTCACACATCCAGCCCCTCTCTTTCCTTTACCACAGGGACACAGTTGGGATGGGGAAGGCAGGTTGGGTGGCAGCAACCAGGGTGGCATTTGCACAGAGGGAGAGAAGATGACAGCTGCCTTTGTGTCTGGAAAAACAGTCACTCCCATAAAGATGCCAGGTTCTATCAGAAGGCATTTTTCTCATCTTTTCTTTAATTACCATCAATTCGGGAATGAAGATGCTGATCTCATTTCTCAGATGAGGAAACTGAGGGTTGGCAAGAGTAAGACTGTACTTAAAGCCACCCAGCTGGTGGTTGACCCCTGGGATTAGATAAAGCTTCCTGAATCCAAGGCCCAGACCCCTGGAACATGAGAGGTGGCTGCTGCAGCCTCCGTCAGGGGACCAGTGAGGCCTCATCCAGAGTGGCCAGGGTGAGGTGGTGACAGAGGCTGGCATCCAGGCAAGCCATGTGTACAGCGGGCATGGGGAAGCCAGCACAGTGCATTGCAGGTGGGTGGTCCCGTGGTGCGGCAAGGTTCCGGGCCTGGGAGAAGGTCTGATGAGGGGACAGGGCTCTTGTCAGTGCGGCAGGGACACCCTTCTCACCCTGCTGCAGCCTAGTCAGACTTAAGGCAGGGGACTTGTACTGCCCTGGAGAAGACAAACAAGGAAATAACTGGGGGAGAACGGGGGAGCCAAACCCAGTCATGGGGAGCCAGGAGCCAGGGGTGGGCTCGGACTCTCTGAGCAGACCTTGAGCCCTGATCAGGGGGCTTCGACCACCTGAATCATCAGCTGGGCTGGGCTGGGCTCGACCATCGGAATCACCAGCTGTTTTCCAGGGTCCACATGGGTGGTCCTAGCACACTATGGTTGGGTCCTGGGTCCCAGGCCTGAGCCAGTGACCAAGTTCCAAATGCCAGTGGACACCCTGGCTCTCCCACAGTGGGGCCTGGGGGCCTGCACTCCTGCCAGCAAGGCTGCTGCGAGGGCCACAAGGCACTCACCCCCACCCTAACTTTTAGCATGTGTGAGCAGCACAGATGGGATCATGACTTCTGTGCTCCGGGGCCTCCTTGGTCCAGCCCCTTATGAGCAGCATCCACTGATGCCTCCCGGGAGCCGTGTGCTGGCTGTGGCGGTAGTGTCAGCTGATGAGCCTGCAGGCAGCCTCTAAGTGGCTCATCCATTGAAGGGGGAAGGTGCTTTAGACACTGGCACTCAGCAGAATGCCCTCACTAGAAAAATGTTCAAGGGTGCCTTTAGGCTTGCAGTTCCCTCCATGCTTGACAAGAGCCGAGGCTGAGTTCTAGACAGTAGGCAGGGCCACAGTGCCCAGCCTGCTGCTGCCTGGCTGGCCCCTCCTGGGACGTGGGGTGTCTCTGTGACATGTGGAGTCTGGGCTGGGATGGGCTGAGCTGGACCATCTGAACCACCAGCCGTTCTCTAACCTCCCACCAGTGATGGGCCACGCCATGGCTACTGGCCTTGTGCTGATTGGCACTGGAAGCTCCGTGAAGCTGGACAAAGAGCTGGACCTGGCTGTGAAGACAATGGTGGAGATTTCAAGAACCCAGCCGCTGACAAGGCGGGAGCAGCTGCACGTGTCTGCAGTAGAGACATTTGCCAATGGGTGAGGGGCCTCCCTGGGCTGGGAGCTGGCACCCTGAGGCTGAGCTGGGGGAGTGGCAGGGTATCCCTTTCCTGATGCCCTTGGGACGGGGGCGGGGTGGGAGAATGCTTCTCTCCCTGCCTCCTGAGATGCTCTGATGGAAAATCGCATCCTGTCTGCTTCCCTATTCTTGGTGGAGTGCTGAGTGAGGAAGCAGTTGGTGAAGATTCCCAACTTAGTGTCCAAAGTAACTTGCTTTGTTTCATTAAGTAAATTATATATTATTTTCCTTACAAAAATAATAGGGTCACACTACAGAAATTACTAGGTTAGGGAAGAGAGAAGAAAACATGCTTCTTCTAGTGAGAAATAAACAATCAAATCAAATCTTCACCCATAAGTTCCTTGCTCTTGCACTGACTTTCACATCATCCCCCCGCTGTTCCTATGCTGGTTCCCTCATTCTCCGGGACAGCCCCCATGTCTGCTCAGGCAGGCGAGATGCCCTGCAGAGTTAGGCGACCCTAGCCGATTGTGCAGGGACTCAGGGATTCCGAACCCTGAGACTGGGGAGGTGCGGCCTGGTCTTCCTGGTAAGTCAGCCCAGGTGTGGGTTCCACCTCAGAGACTTCCTGTGGCTGTCTCACGGTCTCCACTGGGATTATCTTTGGCAATTTGTTAAACCAGTTTTTTTTTTTTTTTAAATTGAACTAAAGAGTAAAAGTTCCCACTGGGTTTTCAGTTTGTTTTCTGATTCACAACCTAACATAGAAAGTGATTTTTTTACATTTATTTATTTAGAGTTTTGCTCTTGTCGCCCAGGCTGGAATGCAGTGGCGCAATCTCGGCTCACTGCCTCCACCTCCCGGGTTCAAGTGATTCTCCTGCCTCAGCCTCCCGGGTAGCTGGGATTACAGGCACATATCACCACACCCTGCTCATTTTTGTATTTTTAGTAGAGATGGGGTTTCACCATCTTGGCCAGGCTGGTCTTGAACTCCTGACCTCGTGATCCACCTGCCTTGGTCTCCCAAAGTGCTGGGATTACAGGCATAAGCCACCGCACCCAGTCAGAAACTGATTTTTAAAAAAACACATCCATGTAGACCATGACACTGGTGAGAAACAATGCCTCTTACACTCCCTGTGTGGGTGGACTATGTGTTCAGCGTTGGTGAGAAATCTTTCTCGGTTTCCAGGAACTTTCCGAAAGCCTGTGAACTATGGGAACAGATTCTCCAGGACCACCCGACAGACATGTTGGCCCTGAAATTTTCCCATGATGCTTATTTTTACCTGGGCTATCAGGAACAGATGAGAGATTCTGTTGCTCGAATTTACCCCTTCTGGACACCTGACATCCCCCTAAGCAGGTATGTGCCAGCTGGAAATCACATTATTTCTGTTTCTTAATCTCTCTTTTCTGCCCTAAAAATATGGTGACTCTCTTGGCCCTGTCCTAAAAATAATGGGACCACTGTTGCTATTCTCCTAGTTCCTTAAAGTTCAAAGGCCTCATTTTCTTCACTTGATTTTCATCCCACCTGTGAATGAGGTAGTACCATTATGTATCAGTCAGCATGGGATTGTTTTTGCTGCAGTAATAAACATCCCCTGGTTCTTCTTCCCCAAAGCTTATTACAGCAAAGGTTTATTTTTCACTCATACTACGTGGCTACCTTAGAAGGGCTGAGGGCTCTGCCACCATGTCCTTGTCTCCATCTGGGATCCCAGCTGATGAAGCAACTGCCCTCTGGACATACCTGTCACTAAGAGGGAAAAGCAAGCTTTCCTTGGGGGGCTTACAATGGCAATTAAAGGTTTAGAATGAAAGGATACCCTGCCACTCCCAAGTCATTGGCCAGAACTGATCACATGACCTCACCCACCCACAAGAGACCAGGAAGTACAGTTCTACCGTGTGCTTGGGAAGAGAAGAAGGCCTGGAATGTGCATGAACAGCCCCAGTGACCACCACACAGGACTGACTTCACTGCAGCTTCATTACAGAATAGTTGTGAGGTTCGGACAGGTTAATAAGCTGTATTATTTAGTCAGCACTCTCCAGAGAAGCCCAGAGAGCTCTGAGACAGAGAGAGAGATGGAGATTTATTTTAAGGAATTGGCTCATGTGAGTGTGAGGGCTGGCAAGTTCAAAATCTGTAGGGCAGGGCAGCAAGCTGGAAATCGCTGCAGGAGTCAGCATTAGTCTTACATCTGGAGGCAGTCTGCAGGCAGAATTTCTTCTTCTAGGGGCCTCCGTCTTTCTCTTAAGGCCTTTAACTGATTGGATGAGGCCCACCCACATGGAGGGTAATCTGCTTTACTCAAATCGCATCTAGAAATACCTTCACGAGACTGGGCACAGTGGCTTATGCCTGTAATCCCAGCTGTTTGGGAAGCTGAGGCGGTAGGATTGCTTGAGCCCAGGAGTTTGAGATAAGCTTGGTCAACATGGCAAGACTCTGTCTCTACAAAAAGAAAAAATAAATTAAAAAAGTTAGCCAGGCATGGTGGCATGTGCCTGTAGTTCCGGCTACTCAGGAGGCTGTGGCGGGAGGTTCCCTTGAGCCCAGGAGTTTGAGGCTGCAGTGAGCTGGCGATCATGCCACTGCACTCAGCCTGGGCAGCAGAGCAAGACTCTGTATCTAAAAGAATATATATATTAAAAATATATATATTAAAAAAATATATATAAAATACATATATTAAAAATATATATTAAATATATATTAAAATATATATTAAAAATTATATATTAAAATATATATATTAAATATATATATATATATAAACATATATATATATAAAAAATACTTTCACCGCAACACCTAGACTGGTGTTTCGCCAAACAGCTGAGCACCACGGGCCAGCCAAATTGACAGATAAAAATTAACCGTCATGAAACCTAATAGTACCTGACACACAGCAAACATACAATAAATAGCTTAAGTGTTGAGGATTAAATGACCCCAGTAAACAATACATATATATACATACACACACACACACACACACACACACACACACACACACATACATTTTAAAGATAACTCTGGAAGCCAGTGCTTAAGAACATTGCTTCAATGAATAACAAAAGCTAGAATCAGTCTTCTTGCAAAGTAATGAAGCTAACATCTTAGTCTCAAACAGAAGCCCTATTGCCCTATTTTGTTTTCACTTAACCCCGAGAAACCACAGGAAAGAAAACTTGTTTCATGTGTGACCACCCTAGATACTCGGGTGCGCAGTTGCAGATGAGATTGGAAGTGTGGGCGGGACGCAATGGCTCATGCCTGGAATCCCAGCACTTTGGGAGGCCGAGGCGGGTGGATCACCTGAGGTCAGGAGTTTGAGGCCAGCCTGGCCAACATGGTGAAACCCCGTCTCTACTAAAAATACCAAAATTAGCTGGGCGAGGTGGCATGTGCCTGTAATCCCAGCTACTCAGGAGACTGAGGAAGGAGAATTGCTTGAACTCAGGAGGCGGAGGTTGCAGTGAGCTGAGATTGTGCCACTGCACTCCAGCCTGGGCAACAGAGCGAGACTCTGTCTCCAAAAAAAAAAAAAAAAAAAAAAAAGAGAGAGATTGGAAGCGTGCAATTATTCAGCAGTGTCTTCTAGCCCATCCTGGGCTGGGCCTGGGCTGAGGCTGAGTTGGACAGACAGGTCCCAGCCTGTGGGAGCTCCAGGTCTGGGGAGGACCCGGCCATTCACTGAGTGCATTCCAGGCCGGGCAGGGGACTGTGTACAGCACTGCAGAAGTCAAGGAGGAGCTGTTGACAGCCCACAGGTCACGGAGGCTTCCCAGGGAGGTGCCCCTGGGTCATGCCTCTGGGTGGATGTCACCATGCAGACAGGAGCGGGAGGAGACCCTTGTTACTCTCAGTGGAGACCCGTGTTGATTCTTAGAAGGTGGGATGCTAATTGAGGAGCAGGGCCGCTCTCCGTGCTGGGCTTGGGGATGATTGTGCGGATGTAATGTTCACCTTGCCCCTCACCAGTCAGAAGCATGGAATTGCTGACAAGCACAGAGCTTGGCGTGGGGTTGGAGGTTGCATCAGTCTCCTGCGGTTGCTGTAGCGAAGGGCTGCAAACTGGGTGGTTTGGAGCAGCAGACAGGTACTCACAGCTTTGAGGGCCAAGAGTCCCATCTAAGGTGTCAGCAAGGGCAGTGCCCTCAGAGCCTCAGGGGTGGGTCCTTCCTGCCTCTTCCAATTTCTGGTGGTGCCCAGAGTTCCTTGAAGTCCCTTGGCTCGCAGCTGTATCACTCTGCCTTGGTCTTTACCTGCCGCCTTCCCTCGGCATCTGTGTCTTCACACGGCCCTCTTGTAAGGACACCAGTCATTGCGTTAGGGCCCACCCTAATCCCGTATGACCTCCTCTAAACTTATTACCTCTGCAAAGACCCTATTTCCAAAAAAGGTCACATTCCCAGTGCTGGCAGTTAGGACCTCAGTGTATCTTTGCGGGGACACAGTTCAACCTGCTACCCATCCATCATTTTGTATTCTGAGATCTTTTTTTCTGTTTTTAGCTATGTGAAAGGCATCTACTCTTTTGGCTTGATGGAAACCAACTTCTACGACCAGGCAGAAAAACTCGCCAAAGAGGTAAGTGGGTCCTTCCTAAGGTGCCTGACCCCTCAGGGAGTAGCCGTTGGCTGGACCAGGGCATATGAGGGGCACCATTCGTGTGTGACCCCGGCGAACCCCATCCCTGGTCTCACTTCCTCAGAGAGACTGGGGAGCTCATGTTAGTGTGAGCAGCTGCCGCCCGCCAGGGGCTGTCATTCACCTGTGGCCCCCCCAAAGTCCCCAGAGCCACGTTCCTTGGCTAACACTGGATCCACGTCTACAGATGAGGTTGATGGGGTACGGGGAGCCTGTGGTCAGCCTGCTCACTTAGGGTTGCACAGAATGGCAGGTCTGGGCTCCCACCAGCTCTGCCTGGCTCCGGAGCCCACACTGCCCTGCTGGGACAGGACTTTGTAGGAGGAGAAGTGTAAATAAGCGTTGGCTCTTCCTTCCTGAACTTCGCATTTCTAAGCATCACTCACGGCACCAGAGGTTCAGGGAGCTGAGTGATGATCGCCAGTCATGATCATTGCTGGGTGCCCATGTGTACCTGGGCCCAGGGCTGGGTGGCAGGCTGCAGCTGTCAGGCCTGGGGCGCGAATGGTCTCACGCTCTGGGGGTCCCTCTCCTCTACTCCTCTTCTTGCAGGAGTGGAAACTGAGGCCCATGGAGGGGCTGCCATGCACAAGGGAGTGACAGCTGCTCCTGTGCCCGGCTCTGTGTGGCACTTCATGTGTGTCTGCTTGCATCCACACAGCTCTGCCCACGTGATGTCCAACTCCTTGTTGCCCAGATGAGGGGCCCAAGGCTCAGAGGCCAAGGCTAGAGCCTGCCTAAGACCACATGGCTCAGAGATGGCAGAGCCGGATTCTACCCAGGCTACCTGGCAATGGCTGTCCTTTCAGCTGCCTGCTCCAGGCCCTGCCTCCCAACATCCTGGCTGGGGTTCTTCCCCCAGTAGTTGCCCTAGTCGGCCTGCAGCATCCTCTCTGGGAGACAGCATTGGGGCCCAAGGGTCGCTGCGCTCTCTGAAGACTGCTCTGATTACAGAATCCGAGACTTGAGGCTTGAGTGATGTGTTCTTTGCTTTAACTCTGAGTCAGGGCAGGTGGGGGACCCGAGTGGCTTTCTGACAGTCTTGGTTCCATGGCCTGGGTGACCAGACAGCACCATCCAGGGGTCAGCTGTAGGAAAGTCCCTTGGAGACCATGGTAGCTGGGCCCTCCTGTGGGTGGCATCCATCTGGGCACCTGAGAGCTCCTGGGACATTTGGAGAAGCTCTGGACAAGGGTAGCTGTGGCAAACCAGATGTGGCAAGTCCCCCGCACTGAGGGTGGCCAAAAAAACATGCAAGCCCATGCCTTGCAAGGAGCAAGAAGTGGTGGATAGGGTCCCCTCCCTTCTCCATTGCTCCCCTTTCGCCTCCTGTCCCTTGTGTTGCAGGCACCAACTCTTTGTCTTCAACACCAGCACCCCACAGACAACTACTGGGCAGGAAAAGCAGGCTGTGATGGGGCCAGGAGTGGTAACACATGGGCTCTGTGTCTGCAGCCCCAGGCTGGTGAGGGTAGGAGGAGCCAGGGCAGGAGCAGGCAGGCGGCAGGCACAGGCACAGCCACAGAGCTTGGGGACCTGGAGCTCCATCCAAGTGGCTCAATGGGTGGAGGCTTAGGGAGGAGGCGGCAAGCCAGGGCTCCAGGAGCCAGGGCTGTAGAGGGGCAGGTGAGGACTGGATTCTGCTGGGCCTTGTAGCCTGGGAATGCAGTTTGGACTCCTTCCCACGGAACCATGGGAGGGCTCCAAGAGAGGGAAGATGCCAGTCAGCTCATCAGAGCTGGTGACAGCCACCACCCTTCACTCCTGCCATTCGTGAAAGCAGCATGCTTAGCAGGGTCCCGTCTCGGGGCCCCACGCCCGCCCTGCTTAGACTGTGCCCAAGTGTCCTGTACTCAGAGCCCCTGCCCAGGGGTGCCCACGGTCCCCTACAGACACACTTTCTTTCCCTCTGTTCCCACATGGAGTGGGCTGGGCCCACAAAAGCTGAGTGGTGGGCAGGGAGGCAGGGCTTGCTGGGGCCGACCTCCTGCCAAAAGCCTCACAGGAGGTGCTGGGCCAGGGCAGAAGAGCTTGGGGCTTCTGGACCCCTATGAAAGGCGTGGGGAGACTGAGGCAGTGGGGCTGGCGGGAACTCATGATTTGGCATGGGGGACCTGGGCACAGGCCAGGCAATGGGGCTTCTGTGAGCCTCAGTTTACTGCTCCATTTTCTAAGCTCTGACTGTGGCTGAGTAGATGCTTAGCAAACATGAGCTGAACACATAAATAGAAGAAAGAAACGGCTAGGAGGGGAGGATCATTCCATGAGTCCTGCCTGCCTCGCTGGTCGCTGTCAAGCTCACAGGTCATGGGAGCGGCTGTTGTCATGAACTGTGATAACCTCAGAGCCAGCTGTTTCTGCACCCAGAAAGCCACGTGTCCTCACATATATGGTAGTGGGAAGAGGCAGTCACAGCCACTGGAGGACTTGATAGTTCACACCACGTTCACATGGGCAGTAACCACTTCTCTAAGAGAAAGGCAGCATCCGTGGCCTTCCAGGCAGGCGGCAGCTGAGGCCCAGAGAGGGCGGGTATGTTTTGCAAGCACCTCAGCTGTATGCAGAATGCTGTGGGCTTGGGTCTGAGCCCTGGCTTTAGAAAGATCCTGCTGCTGTCCAGCTGGGTGAAGTCGCATAGCCTCCCTAAGACTCAGCTTCCTCATCTGTGAACTGGGCAGTGAGACCCATGAGCTGGTGTGCCCGGGCAGGCAGGAAGTGGTGCTAATTGTCAGTGTTTTGAGTCAGAGCCCCGCCCCCCCACTTGCTCCACCCCGTTCAGCCCAGGCCCCTCTTGCCCCTTAGAGACCTGCCGTCGCCTGCCCCGGCAGCCTGACTGATCTGCTTTATCTGGAATCCTCTTCCCCGCACCCTGCGTAGGCTTTATCTATTAACCCGACAGACGCATGGTCGGTGCACACCGTCGCTCACATCCACGAGATGAAAGCAGAGATCAAGGATGGGTTGGAATTCATGCAGCACTCAGAGACCTTCTGGAAGGTATGATGCTTGTCAATGGGTCACCTCCCTGGGAAATTCAGTGCATCCCCTTGAGTCAGGCCAAGGCTTTATGGACAAGAGTTACAGGGCATGGCTTAATTCTCGGGGTTCCCTCTCCTCCTCCACCTGCACCTGCCTCAGGTGTTTGGCTGCTGAGCAGAATGCAATCAAGATTCCAGTCCCCACCCCAGGCCCATACCTTGCCCTAGGGACTCCACTGAGGGTCCAGCCCAGACTTCTCTGTCCTTACAGGGCCTGGTCAGGAGGAGCGAGCAGCCTCTTCAAAGCACATGAGCTGCACCATGACGGGGACCCTCTGTGGGATGTGGAAACGCAGAGGAAGCATTAAACTCAACTGGGCTTGGGGGGACAGTGGCTAGGGAAGGCATCCTGGAGGGGGCAACCTCTGAGTTGGCTACTGAAGGATGAGCAGGTGTGTGCCACACAGAGGGGGAAGATGGAGGGCATCCTAGCCCGTCACTAGCTTGAGCAAGGCCTCCAAGGCCTACAGTGGCCTGTGAGGGAGAGGAGAGCTGCTTACTTTGGTGTCCTAGAGCCCAGGTACAAGGCGGACATGGGCTGTGCAGGAGGCCTTGTCAGTCCCTCTTTCCAGGGGAGGCAAGGTGGTGTCCAGGCAGAGGCAGAAACGCCTGCAGAGGCCTCAGGGAAGGAAAGGCTAGCACCATGGTGGAGGTGGGCCCTCTGGACAGACGGGGCTGCATCAGGTGAGCCTATTGGGCTCAAGGGAGATGGGGCCTCCCCTGGGACAGGGACACAGCGTCGCTCACTCAGCGTTTACTGAATACCTGCTTTGTATTTGGGGCAGCAAGAAATCAGGGAAGGGTGTGCACTTGGCTCCCAAGCAGGGGCCATGCAGTCTGAGCCTTGCTGCGGAGGATCCTCGGGCCTCCAGATTCGGCTCTGTCAAGGGGGCAGTGGTCAGGTTCCCTTCTCAGGGACACTGAGGTTTGTTTGAGGTTTCTGAGTGCTGGGCACTCTAGCTTGTTGAGGATCACGAGTCCAGTCTCCTGAGCTTGGAAATACCCTAGCAGGGGCCAGCTCTGAGCCCAGCACAGGTCCTACTTTAACACTGCTTCATACTGAGGGCAGCCTAAGGTAGCCACCCACATACCACCCACTCCCCTGGCTCTCGGGGCTTTGCCAGCACCTGTTGGAGTGTGGCCCTGGGCCTGTTGATCTCTGCAGGTTTTTGTTTTTGTTTTTTTTTGAGACAAGTTCTCTCTCTGTCGCCCAAGGTGGAGTGCAGTGGCACAATCAGGGCTCACCGCAGCCTCGACCGCCTGGGCTCAAGCGATCCTTCCACCTCGGCCTCCCAAATAGCAGGGACTACTGGTGCGTGCCACCACACCTGGCTAATTAAAAAAATTTTTTTTTTTTAGAGAGACAGGGTCTCTTCCCTATGTTGCCCAGGTGGGTCTTGGACTCTTGGGCTCAGTTGATCCTTCTGCCTCGGCCTCCCAAAGTACTGGGATTACAGGCATGAGCCACTGTGCCCGGCTGATCCTTGCAGTTTTATCCAAGTGCCCTGAGCTGTTTAGGCACCCATGGGCCTCGCACCTCCCTGTGGAGTGGTTCTGTTAATCCTTTTCTCAACTTCACATGTGAGGAAGGCAAAGCTGGAGTTGCTGAAGTAACTTCCTCTGCACCGGTCCTGGGGCTGCTGCTCCCCAGCTCAGGCGAGTAGGTTGGGAACCTCCCCTAGCCTCAGTTTCCTCCTTGGTAAATGCAGCATAATTTCTTCACCGCCCTTCGGAATGGAAGAAGATTATGTGGCCTGGAGGCACCTAGTGCAGAATATTGTTTCCTGCACTCAAAGATGATGGTTTCTGTGGCTAGGCGCGGTGGCTCATGCCTGTAATCCCAGCACTTTGGGAGGCTGAGGCGGGCGGATCACCTGAGGTCAGAAGTTCGAGACCACCCTGGCCAACATGGTGAAACCCTGTCTCTACCAAAGATACAAAAATTAGCCGGGTGTGGTGGTGCACACTTGTAATCCCAGCTACTCAGGAGACTGAGGCAGGAGAATTGCTTGAACCCGGGAGGCAGAGGTTGCAGTGAGCCAAGATCGTGTCACTACACTCCAGCCTGAGCAACAGAGCCAGACTTAGTCTCAAAAAAAAAAAAAAAAAAAAAAAAAAAGATGATGGTTTCTGCATTAGCACAAAACAACATTTGTTTTTTTCCCATAGGCCTTCAGACTTTTCATAAATTCTCTTTTTTTTTTTTTCTCCAGGACTCTGATATGTTGGCTTGTCATAACTATTGGCACTGGGCTTTATATCTGATTGAGAAGGTAAGGTGACCATCTGTTTGCACTGTCTTATCCTATAAAGATGTCTAGAGGGAGAAAGATTTTTCTAGCTTTTGCTATGTATTCACATCCGTTGGAGCCCTGATGCAATGGAGCATTAACATTTCCAAAGAGCACTCTAGGCTTCAACCTTTTTAGGGATTTTTTCACTGTGGAGGCCTGGAAATCACATCTGTGGTGTATAACTTGCAGAGACCATTCAGAGCGAGTGCCTGTGGCTGGAGTGGAGAGCCAAGCCCCAACTCCGCAGGGTGTACCTGCCTGGGCCATGAGATCTTCCAACGGGAGCCAGGCTATGGGGCAGCTGCTCAGGACACCCTTGACCCCAGTGATTCCGCCACAGGGTTCCATGTACAAGACTGTCACTTGCAGTGCTCCTTATCGTGCACAAAAGCTAGAAGCTCCCTGAATGTCCATAAAGTGAGAAATGCTGAGAACATGAGGGCCTTGTCATGACATGAGAATGTGATGATACAGTGTCTGGAAGACAGCACAGAACCCAGCTAAATGTACAGGAGAGGAAACATATGCAGAAAAGAAAAAGGCAGCTGGGCACAGTGGCTCATGCCTGTAATCCCAGCACTTTGAGAGGCCAAGGCAGGCAAATAACTTGAGGTCAAGAGTTTGAGAGCAGCCTGGGCAACATGGTAAAACCCCATCTCTACTAAAAATACAAAAATTAGCCGGGCATGGTGGCGCCTCCCTGTAGTCCTGAGCCTGAGGCATGAGAATCGCTTGAACCTGGGACGCGGAGGTTACAGTGAGCCGAGATTGTGCCACTGCACTCCAGCCTGGGTGACAGAGTGAGACCCCATCTCAAAAAAAAAAAAAAAAAAAAAAGAAAAAGGCTAGAAAGAAATACATGAAAAAGCTTGCAGCAGTTAGTATGAGCAATACCTATATTAACTTTCCACTAGGAGAGAGAATGCTTCCACAGCAACTGTTTCTTCAGTGGTGGCGGCACAGGTGCTGCTGTGCTTTCTACACTGGGGAACCAAAGCCCCGGTTGGAAGCGGGTTCACCTTCTCCCATCCCGAATGCCACCAAGACACCGTCCGTCCACCTCTGAGAGGAGGTGGAGGCCGGAGACCATGTGCTCAGGGGTCTTTGGCCTGGCCGTTCTCAGTTCACGTGCCAGCATTACACTTTGCCTTCTCCAGGGTTTAATAAGGAGAACTTTATTCTTCCAGGGCGAATATGAGGCCGCGCTGACCATCTACGATACCCACGTAAGTTGCATTCACACCGTGTTTGGTTTGTTGCAGCATTTTGCCTTTGAGTCTCAAAGAGACCAGATTTTTGAGTTCATCAGGATTGTCCCAGCCAGAAAAACAGCTGGAGCAAGAACACATTTCTTGTGTAAGGCCTCATGGGGTTAATTTTGCCAAGAGCAATGTTGTAACCCTGCCTATGATGGGGACAGTGGTTGGCCCTGCTCAACTCGAGGGTGCTGATAGATTTACACATCTAAGGGCCTCACCTCTGCAATTGTGGACTCTCCTCCAGCCCTTTCAGATCACTTTTCTTTGGTAAGACAACTGGTCTACCCATAGGAATTTTTTTTTTTTTTGAGACAGAGTTTCGCTCTTGTTGCCCAGGCTGGAGTGCAATGGTGCGATTGGCTGGAATTTTTTTTCTTTGCTGTGATAAAATAAAAATAACATAAAATTACGTGTACAAGGCCGGGTGTGGTGGCTCACACCTGTAATCCCAGTAATTTGGGAGTCCGAGGCAGGTGGATCATTTGAGGTCAGGAGTTCAAGACCAGCCTGGCCAACATGGTGAAACGCTGTCTCTACTAAAAATACAAAAAAATTAGCTAGGCGTGGTGGTGGGCACCTGTAATCCCAGCTACTCGGGGGGCTGAGGCACGAGAATCACTTGAACCCAGGAGGCAGAGGTTACAGTGAGCCAAGATCACGCTACTGCACTCCAGCCTGGGTGACAGAGTGAGACTCTGTCTCAAAAAAAAAAAAAAAAAGTGTATAGCTCTGTGGCATTAAGTGCATTCACATTTTGCAACCATCACCACCCTCCATTTTCAGAACATTCTTCATCTACCCAAACTGAAACCCTATACCCATTAAACACTAACTCCCCATTCCTCCTCCCCAGGCCCAGGCATTCTTTTGAGAGGGGGAAAAAAAAAAGCCTGAAGCCTGACTCACAGCTCCCAAGGACCCCAGGGATGGCTTCATCAGAAAAGCCTGGGACCACAGAAATGCTTGTGATCTGGGGATCTAAACATCAGAGAAAAACACACAGTAAATTTCCCTTGAAGTAATCCTTTCTACACGGTCAGGAAGCTGTAGTAAGAAATGAAGGGTGGGCCGGGCACGGTGGCTCACACATGTAATCCCAGCATTTTGGGATGCTGAGACAGGTAGATCACCTGAGGTCAGGAGTTCGAGACCAACCTGGCCAACGTGGTGAAATCCCATCTCTACTAAAAATACAAAAACTAGCTGCATGTGGTGGTGGGCACCTGTAATCCCAGCTACTTAGGAGGCTGAGGCAGGATAATTGCTTGAACCCAGGAGGCGGAGGTTGCAGTTAGCCAAGCTTGCGCCATTTGCACTCCAGCCTGGGCGACAGAGGGAGACCCTATCTCAAAAAAAAAAAAAAAAGAAAGAAAGAAATGAAGGGTGACATACACCGTGAGCTCGAGGTGGGCTCCTCAGCAAAGCTGAGTCTAGAAACGTGATCGGGCAGACAGCCCTCCCACCAGTGTGGTCTGAGGCCCAGGGGTGGGAGGTGGCAGATGCTTTGGGCCTGGCCTGGGCCCTGGGTATGCAATGCAGTGGGCTCTTTCTTCAGGTCTACCTGGTGACCCCTCTAGTGCTTGGAGCAGTCTACACCCCAGGCAAGGGTGATGGGCCTGTCAGTTGAGGTGATGGGGACAGTGGCAGAGGGCTTGCTCTATGCAGGCCCCACCCCACCTGGACAGGCTGACCCTGGCTGTGCCTGCAGCCCCATCATCTGGGCCACCCGCTGAGCCCGCCTTGGCCGCCCTGTCTTCCAGATCCTTCCCAGCCTGCAGGCCAACGATGCAATGCTGGACGTGGTGGACAGCTGCTCCATGCTCTACCGCCTGCAGATGGAAGGTAGCCATCCCTGCAGCCCCACTGGCTTCTGCCTCTTCCTCCCACATCATGAGGAGAGGGTGCTGTGGCCTAGGCCCAGGGTTGGGCAAGAGCTCATGGGTGAGCCGCTCCAGACCCCTCTGCAGGCCTGGCCACTGCCTTGGGTACCGTTCTGCAGCTGCCTCCCAGCTGGCCCAAAGCTGGAGAGGGTGTCCAGGCCACACTACTCTTTCTTCCAGTTCCCACCGCTCCTCGATGTGGACGCCTCCAGCTCTGCACCCAGGGCGGCACCTGCTGTGCTGTTCCCATGGCTGGCCTGCCTGCCAAACCTTCGGGGCACTGGTAGCACCTGGCCACCTGTCTCGATGCCACCTCCTTTCCTAAAACATGAGAGAGTTTCTCAACTCCCTGGGATTGTAGACAGGTTTCTCAACCTTGTCATGCTCTGCAGGTAGCCTGGAGGGACCAACCACAGCTCTGGGGGCTCTTGAGGGCTCTAGCCAACCACTGGGGTGCCAGATGGTTCTCCCCTTGTCTCAGGCTCAGCAGAGTCACCCTGGAACCACAGAGGCCTGGGCTAGGCCCTGGGTCAGCAGTACGATGAGGGCTGAGCAATTCAGGGACCTGAGGGAGGGCATGGCAGGCTGTTTCTAGAGATTCAGAAGGCTTCCTAGTGGAGGTGAAATGTGAGCTACTGAAGCATATGTGGGGCTTGCTGGGCAGAGACAAGGGAAAGAGTTACTCTCAGAGAAAGCAGACCATCCAAAGCTACCGGGACATAGAAGCCAGCAGCCTGCTGCGGGACAAGGGGCTGGAGGGCAGGCTTGATGTGGTCAGATGGGCCAACAGCAGGCTGAGGGGCACAGGAGCCAGGGAGCCCACCTGTGGGAAGGGCAGGCTGAGGCTGGAGACCCAGAGAAAAGTGGGGAGCCTGGGGGATCCTTGGGGAGGTCGGGGGATCCATTGGGAAGCCAAGGGTTGTGTGGGAAGGCCGGGGGATCCAAGAGGCCTAGGGTTTGTCAAAGCGGCCAGAGGCTTTGTTTAATAACCTTTGACACTTTTTAAAATGTGCTTCCTACTTACGCGTCTATGGCCTCTATAATTAGACAGTCCTGATAGAGGCCTAAGCACAAGGCCAGACGCTGCCCGTGGCCCTGCCCACCTCCCCGGCCTCTCACCTGGGACAGGGTCATCAAGGCCTCCAAGGGAAGCGCCGTGAGGGAGGCCCTTGCACGGGACATGCCCCAGAGCCTCACTCCAGGCCCTGGGTCTCCTCCCCATGTCCTCAGGAGTGTCTGTGGGCCAGCGGTGGCAGGATGTCCTGCCTGTGGCCCGGAAGCACAGCCGAGACCACATCCTGCTGTTCAATGACGCACACTTCCTGATGGCATCCCTGGGTGCACACGACCCCCAGACCACACAGGAGCTGCTGACCACCCTGCGGGACGCCAGCGAGTATGCAGAGGGGCCTTCTCGGGGTGGGGGTCCTCACCCTGCCGAGAGGGTGAGGGGGTGCTAGGGCCATGCTGAGACCTGTTCAGTGCCTGCCCCGCCTGTGAGTGCAGCAGGGGGGATGCCCATGGAGGCAGCTCCCAGGTGTGCACCCCTATAGATGTGCATCCCCTGGTGCAGACCCCCAAGGTGTGTACACCCACAGCTGTACAACTGGTTGCCCCAAGACACAGAGCTGCCTCCATCCCCAGGGTGGGTATGAGATCCGCAGGGTCACAGGGCTGCCTCCCGTGGAGAGGACACAGTGAAGCCCTGAAGCCAGAGACACCTGCTGCTTACAGGCCCTGAGGTCCTGGACGAGGTGCTTCTGTGCTCTGAACCTCAGTTTCCCCATCTAAATCAGGGCGATGCCTGGCAAGAGCTGGTGAGGGCTGACCTGGAGGACCTGGGCTGCCCTGCCCATTCCCTTCCGGGGGTGATGATTGCCTTGGCTTGCAGTGCCAGGCCTTTGCCTGTATTATCAGCAATCCTGACGGTTCTGTTAGATTGGCACTGTTATGCCTGCTTACAGATGAGCAAACTGAGGCTGGAAGGTGGGGGACCAGGTAGCTGGAAGTGGGCGAACTCCAACCCAGCTCTGAGCTCAGTACCCTGTCCTGTCCCCTCGATGGGCTGCCCCGCCTGTCACCTCACCTCATCAGTGTGGCATGTGTCAGGCACTGGACCAGGGACACCTCGCTGAGGAAGAAATGGCTCTGCCCTTCCCGGATGTTCTGTGATGGGCAGGCAGCTGAGGGCACCGTCTTGGGTTCGCAGATCCCCAGGGGAGAACTGCCAGCACCTCCTGGCCCGAGACGTGGGGCTGCCCCTGTGCCAGGCCCTGGTGGAGGCTGAGGACGGGAACCCTGACCGCGTCCTGGAGCTGCTCCTGCCCATCCGCTACCGGATCGTCCAGCTCGGTGGGAGCAATGCCCAGGTGAGCCGATGGCCGCCAGCTGGGGTGCCTAGGGCCTGGGCCAGGGAGTCTGGGCGCCCCGCAGCCCCCAAGTTTCTCCCATGGTGTTGGTGCCAACAATGTGGGTGTGAACGTGTCTCTCACACTCCCGCCGTGTAAGTTCGTCGTTGAGGGTGTGGCATCAACACCACTGTCTCCCTGGAGAGCAGGCAGCCCGCGGTGGGCGGGGGCTCGCCTCCCCCATCCTGAGGTACAGGAGACTCACATGCCCGATTGACATTTCAGAGAGACGTCTTCAACCAGCTGCTGATTCACGCGGCCTTAAACTGCACCTCCAGCGTCCATAAGAACGTAGCCCGGTGAGCTCCTGGCCCCTGCCCAGCACTCCCGACCTTCACAGGCTCTCCCTGCAGACCTCAGGAGTGCCTGGAAGCCCCACCACCCTTGGCCCGAGATGCTCCTGCTTCTGAGGCTGTGAGGTCGGGAGGCTGTGGGGAATTTGGTTCTCCTTTGTTAGCAGGCTCAGTGTGACCAAGTGGAGCCAGCCCCACCCCAGGCCCAACCTCCCACCCTTCCCAGCCCACTCCCTTTTAGCCTTGCTAAGCTACCTGGGTACGTAAACACGTCCTGCTCTTTCAGGCTCCTGGGCCTTTGCACGCTTGGAACACCCTTTCTCCTTTTTTGCACCTGGCCGACACCTAATGCTCAGTTAGACCTCAGCTCATTTCACCTGCCTGCCTGTGCTGGGTACCGAGAGGGAGCAGTGAGCAGGCACACCAGTCACTGGCTACCAGGAGCCCATCTGTAGTCGGGGGAGCGACAGGGAGCAATCAGTCCCACAGACACGTAAACTCGCACTGAGGGAGCAGCAGCTGAGGGCAGACCCGAAACCACAGTGGGTTTAGCCAGGCCAGGCATGGGGCTGGTAGGAGGGTGGCGTGGCTGGAGGGTGAGTGTTAGGGTGGCATGGCTGGAGGGTGAGTGTGTTAGGGCAGCGTGGCTGGAGGGTGTTAGGAGGGTGGTGTGGCTGGAGGGTGAGTGTTAGGAGGGTGGCGTGGCTGGAGGGTGAGTGTTAGGAGGGTGGCGTGGCTGGAAGGTGTGTTAGGGTGGCGTGGCTGGAGGGTGAGTGTTAGGAGGGTGGTGTGGCTGGCAGGCGAGTGTCAGGAGGGTGGCATAGCTGGCAGATGAGAGTGCTGGGGGAACTCCAAAGAGCCCTCACCATTGCCAGCAGCCTTGGTGCTTCCATGGCCCAGCTTGCCTCCCTCCACTTAGGCTGCTGAGCTCTTGGCCAGCAGCTGCGTAGCCCGTGTGCCTGAGCGGCGAGTTTGACACCTCTCCTTGCCCATGTCCCTGCCACCCTCAGACATAAGTGAAAGGAAGAATAGAGGAGTCATGGGGTGCCTGGTGGGGAAGGTGTGCTGTGAGAGCAGGTGGCAGCCCGGGTCCACAGGAGGCCCTTGGCTGGTGACAAGCCCAGTGGTTTAGGCGCAGGTGCACCAGCGCAGCTCCCTCCAGGCAGGGTTACCCAAACTGAGCTGTACAGGTTCTGTGGTACTCATGAAACAGGTCTGGCTGGCAGCACTGGAACCGCCTAGAACTGTAAAATGTCTTGGACGCATGCTCCCCGCTTTCCCCTTCCATGGCTGTAGACAAAACCATGCGTGTTTCTTTGGTGGTCAAGCCCCCTGGGGAGCTCAGGCTGTGGTGTGGGTGGGAGTTGGTGCCTCTGGCAGCAGCGGTGGGGAAAGTGGCTGTGTGGACAGGAGGGCTGAGGATGGAGCTGGGGTGACATCTGTGGGGCAGTGCGGCAGTGCCGATGTGGCCTTCTGCGGGGCCCAGTGGGGGAGGGCAGGGGGAGAGCAGGCTGCACAGGGAGCCGACTGCATTAGGAGACGTGGAGGGGGCCTTCTCTCCAAGTCCTGTCCTGCTACCAGGCAGCATCCATGGGGCCATCAGCACAGCTCACCAGCCCCCAAGGTGGGAAACCTTCCACCCACAGCCATGGTGCCCCCCACAATGAGTTCCCGGCCCCAGCCCCTTCACACCACCCACGCCCTCTAGAACCACTGTTTTCAGGTGTTTGGGGGCTGTCTTAGTCAGTTTGGGTTGTTATTTTAAAAGTGCCACAGACAGGCCGGGCACGGTGGCTCATGCCTGTAATCCCAGCACTTTCGGAGGCCAAGGCGGGTGGATCACCTGAGGTCAGGAGTTCAAGACCAGCCTGGCTAATATGGTGAAACTCCGCCTCTACTAAAAATACAAAAAATTAGCCGGGCGTGGTGGTGGGTACCTGTAATCCCGGCTAGTCGGGAGCCTGAGGCAGGAGAATCGCTTGAACCTGGGAGGTGGAGGTTGCAGTGAGCCGAGATCGCGTCATTGCACTCCAGCCTGAGTGACCGAGGGAGATTCTATCTCAAAAAATTAAAAAATAAAAGTGCCACAGTCTGGGCGGCTTGCACAGTAGGCATGCACTGTCTCACAGTTCTGGAGGCTGGAATGTCCAGGAACAAGGCCTGGCTGGGTTCAGTTTCTGCTGAGGCCTCTCTTCCTGGCTTGTGGACAGCCACTTTCTTGCTGTGTCCTCACATGACCTTTCCTTTGAGTGCTAATTCTTTCACGTCTCTTCTTTCTTCTTTCTTTTTAAATTTTTTTATATTTTTAGAGGCAAGGTCTCACTCGGTCATCCAGGTTGGAATGCAGTGGTGTGATCACAGTTCACTGTAAACTCAAACTCCTGGGCTCAAGGAATCTTCCTGCCTCATCCTTCCATCGTGCAGGGATTACAGGGGTGAGCCACCACACCTATCTCTTCTTATAAGGGCACTAATCCCATTCACAAGGGCCCCACCCTCATGACTTAATCACCTCCAAGAGGCCCTGTTCTTAATACCATCACCTTGGGCATTTGGGCTTCAACATATACATTTAGCCTGGACACAGACATTCAGTCCACAGCAGGGTCTTTACCTCAAACCGTACCTGGGTCTTCTCTCTTCAAACCTGGGTTTTCCCCACTGCCACCTGTTGTGCCCCATCTCGGGTGTGGCTTCCTGCACTGGAGGTCTGTGCCCTCCCATCCTCACCTCTCCCCAAACTGAGGCCAGGCCTCCTGCCCCTGGGCCTTGGCCCTTGCTGTTCCCTCAGTGCCGCAGTCTAGCCTGCCTGTGTTCTGCCTTGGGACCAAGGGACCACCAGGCCCCACATCCCTCTAGAAGGTTCTGTAACAGGACCTCTGTGTCTGTTTCCACAGGAGCCTTCTGATGGAGCGTGATGCCTTGAAGCCCAACTCGCCCCTGACCGAGCGGCTCATCCGCAAGGCAGCTACCGTCCACCTCATGCAGTGAGCCAGCCTGGCCGCCTCCACCCTGCAGAACCTCAGTGGTGGCGTCACTGCGTCCAGTCAGCTGCTCCACCGGGTTAGGGTCAGGAGACGGCCAGAGCCTGTTTGTTAGGGCTGTTAGAGGGTGATCTTCAGTTTTACAGGAAGTGGGTCACGGGTTAATTTTAAATGTGATTCCGAATCTCCTTTCAGTCCTCGAGAAGGGCCAATGAGCATTTTTCAGCAGTCACAGCCAGTGTGAGTGCTGCTCTTTCCACCTGCCTTGCAAATTCTGTTTCCCAGGGGAATGTGTCTACTGCCTGGTGGTTCAAAGGTTGGAAGGCAGGGCAGAGGTGGGGGCTGATTCTGCTGGGACAGGTCTTCCAGAGGCAGCCTCCCCCCACTGCCTGTCCCCGTCCCCACCAGGCTGCCCTTGGGATGGACCTTTTCATTCTTTTCTTTATATTCTAGACAGTCTCTGTTGTCTCATTGTGTTGCTGTCCCATTTTTCAGGTGAGGGTACCGGGGTAGGGGAGTGGCCTGCCCAGGGTCACACTATGAGAGGCCCCCACCTGCTGCCTTTGGACGCAGCCCCCTGCTGCTGCATCCACCACCCTTCTTACAGATCAGCGCGCACATGGGGTCCTTCTGCTGTCTCTGGGGCGAGTCTTGGAGCCCCCTGGGGGGCTCTGTTGGTGCTGATTTGGACCCGTTTCTCTTTTTAAACTGCACATCATAACAGGGCTTCATGTCGAGCATGATTTTAATCATAAATGCACTTCTGAGGTGCAAGGATTGAGCTCAGAGCTGCTCTGTTGTGGCAAAACCCAAAGTGCTGTGATGTGTGGCTGTGACAAGCCTGGAGCGGGTCCTGTGAGCGCCGCCTCTGTCTCCTGCTTCCCCACTGAACGCCTGCTGAATGTGCCGCTGACTCAGCTGTGCTGCTTTCAGCCCTCCTGTGAGGGGCGGTCCCAGTGCACAGATGTTTTTCAAGTTCCTCAGTTTGTACTGAAATTAGGGATTCATCAGGGCAGGAAGCAGGCAGGCCTCTCAGAAGGGAGAGGAGGCCTCCAAATCTATTGAGTCCCCACAGTTTGCTCAAGCCCAGGCAAATTTCTGTGATTAAAATGAATTCATCAGTTCCTCCAAGTCTTTGAGCATCTGTGGTGCAGGCCTGGGGCTGGGTCCTGGGGAGATGGCTTCTCCTTGAACTTAAGGTAGGTGGGGCAGGCCAGGCGCAGTGGCTCACGCCTGTAATCCCACCACTTTGGGAGGCTGAGGTGGGTGGATCCCCTGATGTCAGGAGTTCGAGATCAGCCTGGCCAACATGGTGAAACCCTGTGTCTACTGAAAATACAAAAATTAGCTGAGCATGGTGGCACACGTCTGTAATCCCAGCTACTCGGGAGGCTGAGGCAGGAGAATCACTTGAACCTGGGAGGCAGTGATTGCAGTGAGCCAAGATCGTGCCATTGCACTGCAGTCTGGGCAACAGAGCGAGACTCCCATCTCAAGGGAAAAAAAAAAAAAAGTAGGTGGGGCATCTAGTCAAGAAAATGGGAGGTCGGGCGCAGTGGCTCACGTCTGTAATCCCAGCACTTTGGGAGGCTGAGGCAGGTAGATCACGAGGTCAGGAGATCAAGACCATCCTGGCTAACACGGTGAAACCCCATCTCTATTAAAAATACAAAAAATTAGCCGGGCATGGTGGTGGGCGCCTGTAGTCCCAGCTACTCGGGAGGCTGAGGCAGGAGAATGGCGTGAACCCGGGAGGCAGAGCTTGCAGTGAGCGGAGATCGCGCCACTGCACTCCAGCCTGGGCGACAAAGCAAGACTCCGTCTCAAAAAAAAAAAAAAAGAAAGAAAGAAAAGGGGTAATTATAGTAGTATTTCCAGAGAGGCGCCTTCTCTACCCAAGAACTAGGGACACATCCTAAGGGGAGCCTCCTTCCCCTCTCCTGGTTCCAAGCAAGAAGACATGACTTGGCTGTGCAATTGGGAACCCTGGTCCCTCCTCCAGGAAGCCTTCTACCCGCCAACCCCCACTGCAGGCTGGTGAGGGTGCTGCCTCTGTGCCCCTCAGCCCTTGGCACTTGCCCTTGCTCTTGCACCCCTGCCATGACCTCTCCAGGTCAGGGACAGCATCTGTCCCCAGCATCACCTGGCACATGGCCTGCACTGAGTAGCTGTCAGTGAAAGTTGGTGAATGAAGGCATAAATAAATGAAGTCAAACTCTGTATTAGGCCTTCTTGCATTGCTATGAAGAAATACCTGACGCTAGGTAATTTATAAAGAGGTTTAATTGGCTCACAGTTCTGCAGGCTTTTCAGGAAGTATGGTGCTGGCATCTGCTTCTGGTGCAACCTCAGGAAGCTTAAGATCATGACATAAGGTGATGGGGAGCCAGTATATCACATAGTGAGAGCAGGAGTAAGAGAGAAGGGGAGGTCTTAGACTCTTAAATAACCAGATCTTGTGTGAACTAAGCAAGAACTCATCACCAAGGGGATGGTGCTGAACCATTCATAAGGGATCTGCCCTCACGACCCAATTACTTCCCACCAGGCCCCACTTCCAACATTGGGATCACATTTCAACATGAGATTTTGAGGGGACACACATCCAAACTACAGCAAATCCTATTGGGGGCAGAAATGAATCTGCCATACATAGGCCACACCTACTATGTGCTGACATGATACAGGGAGAGGAGTATCAGGAATGACTGTTGGGGATCCCTCTGCCATTCTCCCATGAGCAGACATCCCCAGGATGAGCTGAGGGGAATGCAATGAGCAGGCCAAACTCTTTCCAAGCTGTTTGACCACACCCACCTACCCCAGCACTCTCAGCCCCTGCCTGGTGCCCTGTGCTGAGCTGGGTGAGGCTGGGGAGACTGGTGAGTGAGGGCTGCCCTGCCCTTTTTGAGCCCCCAGTCTTCTGGTGAAGGAACATAGCAACATGGAGTGATTGGTATGGATGATGCAAAACCAGGGACATGGGACCCAGAAGTGCCCGAGCCAGCCTGGAAGGCCTCTGCCCTGGGCCCCGGGTGGCTGTTTGCTGCACAGCTCTCCCCACAGCCTGCCCCAAATAAACAGCTTATCTTCGTCCCTGAAAATGGTGCTCTCGAGTTCCATCCTTTTCAGAGCGGGTCCTCCCAGACTCCTCTTCCTGCATCCTCCTCCATCCCGCTTAGTGACACTTTGCCGTGGGTGGAGCCCCTCATTTGATCCTCAAGCCCCCGAGGTGGGTATTATACCTCGTTCGCAGGCAAAGGCTCAAGCGAGGTCAGTCTTAAGTTGCTGCCCACTGACCCGTCTACCAGTCCTGTCCTTGCGTCTCCATGGCTCAGGTCAGGGTTATCCTATCTGCTTCCCACCTCTCTCCAACACATGCACTCCCCAAGGCAGGCTCCATCACCGGGCCCCAGCCCCTGGCTCTCTCCTCCAACGCAGCTCCCCAGCCGGCCTGTAAAACCGAGGACAGGCTCCCGCCACGCCCTCGGCGGTCCTCAGGCCTTGGCGGTTGGGGAAGCCCGCCAAGGGCGACGGTTCCCCTCCAGCCCCACAGGCTGTGCAGCTCCGGCAATGAGTCTCCCTCAGGTCTCTGGGTCAGCCGGCGCCCCAGTGCGTGCCTCGGGGGCAGGGATCCCGGCTTTTCACTACTGTTAGTAACAGCTCGCGCGCGCTGCTTCACAGCAGGTGGGTGAGCCTACTTTTAGTCTTCCCATCGACACCCTTAGATGGCAGTTTTAACTTTCTCCCTACACACAAGGAGCTGCTATACATGGTTCCGGCTTGACGCGGATACCTAGTGACACTTGGCGGCCAGGCCGGGCAGACTTCCGGGTGGGTGATCCCTGGCGCTGTGCGGAGCCATTCGCTGCGCTGAAGCAGTGCGCATGCGCACTGGACGCTTCTTACCAGCGTCCTGACTACAATACCCAGGACGCACCCAGCCCGCCGCCTCTCGGAGCCCTTTTCAAACCGACCAATCGGCAACCCGCGTCTCCCGGCGCCGCGTTTAAATCCGTGCCGGAGGCGCGTCCTGCATCGTCTGCCGCTTTGGGTAAGGTGGGGTCAGGGTCGGGGGCGAGGCTTGCCCGGTGGGCCCGGTGCGGCGCGGTGCCCGCCGTTTTCGGGACGGGGAGGGGCCGCGCCCCGCCAGGAGCCGGGCCTGGGCTCGAGCAGGGGTCACTGAGGCCCCTCGCGCCGTGGTCGGGGATGCCGGGAGGTCTAGGGCTGCCCCCCAGGCAAACAGAGCCCCCAACACTCTGGCCCAGAAGCCGAGAATTCCGTTATCTCGTCTGATGGCGTTCGGGCTGACTCCCGGCCTGGCGGCACTCGGGCCCTGGGGTCCCCTGGGATGCGATCATTTCAGAGCGGCCCCCGCGCCGCCTCTCCCAGACCTGGCCGCGGCCTTCAGCTCTCTCTGCCTCTGTGAGCCGAGGGCTGAAGGAAGCCGGAGCCCTGGGCCCTGACACGTACTCACTTTCTGGCCCCGTTCCACCCTGCAGTGACTTCTGACAGCTCTCTCCATGGAAGGAGGCGGCGGCCGCGATGAGCCTTCAGCCTGCCGGGCAGGGGACGTGAACATGGATGACCCTAAGAAGGAAGGCAAGTCCTTGCTGCTGCGGCGCTGTTGTTGTTCAGGATGTTCAGTAGAGATGGAGGGTGATTTAATGTTTCCCTGAGAAATTCTTTCTCAAGTGCTCGACTTGTACTCTGCACCTGTGAAACACATGACATCTGCCTTCGTTTTCTGGTTTTCTTTCACCTCCTCCCCATTTTAAGTTTCATCACAGCCAGGATTCTCATCCGTTTTATTTACCGCAGTGCTCCCATGCCCTGAACAGCACCTAACACTTTGTGGGCTCTCAAATATTTATTGTATTGAATTCGATGTTTTCTTTTTTGTTTGTCGCTGGTTTCTGTTTGCTAAGACTTATTTAGGATCTTTGAGACCATGTTAATGAGTAAGCCTGGCCCCAAACCCCTTTCTTCTTGTGTCTTTGACTGGTTTGGGTATCAAGGTGAGGGTACAGCTTCACAGAATGAGTTACAGGCCACACCCTCTTTTTCTCTCAAAGCGTTTTTATTTATTTATTTATTTATTTATTGACGGAGTCTCGCTCTCTCACCCAGGCTGGAGTGCAAAGGCGTGATCTGTACTCACTGCAACCTCTCTCTCCTGAGTTGAAGGGATTCTCCTGCCTCAGCCTCCCTAGTAACTGGGATTACAGGCACCCGCTGCCACACCTGGCTCATTTTTGTATTTTTAACAGAGACGGGGTTTTGCCATGTTGCCCAGGCTGGTCTCGAACTCCTGAGCTCAGGCAATCTGCCTGCCTCGGCCTCCCAAAGTGCTAGGATTATAGGTGTGAGCCACCTCACCCAGCCTCACAAAGCATTTTGACATCCCTTGGGTAGTTTTCTCACACTACCCAAGGATCCTTTCTTTTTGAGACCAAGTCTCACTCTGTCTCCCAGGCTGGAGTGCAGTGGCATGATCTTGGCTCACTGCAACCTCTGCCTTTCGGGTTCAAGCGATTCTCCTGCCTCAGCCTCCCGAGTAGCTGGGATTACAGGCACCCGCCACCACACCTGGCTGATTTTTGTATTTTTAGTAGAGATGGGGTTTTACCATGTTGGCCAGGCTGGTCTCAAACTCCTGACCTCAGGTGATCCACCTGCCTAGGCCTCCCAAAGTACTGGGATTACAGGTGTGAACCACCGCGCCTGGCCCCAAGCATCCTCAATGCCTCCATTTTGCAGGAACTGTCCTGGAGACTTTACAAATCAATGTTGCATCTTCATATCTAGCAAGGCGCTTGCCTCTGCACCCCTCTCCTCCTTCCTGTCATGTCCTTCCTTTCAAATATGTCCTTTCCACGTGCATACTGCACCCCCTGCTCCTTCTTGAGGCCTTCCCCACTTCCGTTGACCTGACTTCATTTCCTTACTTTTCCCCTGTCCACTACTGGATCATGCGCATCCACATACAGATAATGTTCCCTTGTCTCACTTGTCGCCACGTCTCCTCCGTTGCCTCTCCATTGCTGTGTTTCTCCTTCCAAGCCAAACTTTGAGAGCTTTCTCACTTGTTATGCCATTTTTTTCCGCCTCTCAATCCCTCCCATTCCGGCTTCTGTCCTTACCACTCCATTCAAGCTGCTTTCATCAGTCGTTGACGACTTCCACATTGCTGAATCTCTTTTCACTTTTCTATCGCCAGTCAGCTTTTCAGTAACATTCGTCCTTCTGGAAACTTCCCTTGCTTGGAGTCCAAGACGCTCTTGGTTTTTTCCTCCTGCCTCTCTGGCTGGTGTATCTTTTCTCTGTCGGGGGCTCCCCCTCTGCTGTCTTCTGAGGCTGATTTCCCCAAGACCTGCTCTGGGACCGCTTTGTGCTTTCGCCCTCAGGGCGGTCAGCATTCCAATAGCTGTGCAGCGTATCTGCTCTCTGCGGCACCCACGTTTTGTCTTGAGCGCAGCCTCTCCTCCGAGCTCTGGGCTTGTATATTCACCTGCCTATTTGGCGTCTTCACATGCACGTCTCATCTCAAACTTGGCATACCCCCTCTGCATCTGCATACCCTGTTCTTTTTGTCTTTCTCATCACCCATTTTATTTCTCCATTTCACCCAGCTGTGCAAGCTGAGAACCTCCTACATTCATGCCATCACCAGCTAACGTCTTCTCCACCTTCAGAAGATATCCTGAATCCATCTACAGACTCTCCATCTCCATCCACATGCTGCTGTCTGGGTCTCAGCCACGCTGTCTCACCGGCTTCTACTTCCCGTTGGCTAATATGTGCATTTGTAATGTCAGGGGATATTATCTGCTTCCTTTCGGATACACTTTCTACACAGTAACGTCACCTTTTAAAAACACAAGTTAGATTATAAAGCTCTTTTCTTTTCTTTTTTCTTTTTCTTTTTTTTTTTTGAGACAGAGTCTCACTGTTGGCCAGGCTGGAGTGCAGTGGCGTGATCTCGGCTTACTGCAACCTCCGCCTCTTGGGTTCAAGCAATTCTCCTGCCTCAGCCTCCTGAGTATCTGGGACTACAGGCGCCCGCCACCACGCCCAGCTAATTTTTTTTTTTTTTTTTTTTTTTTTAGTAGAGATGGGGTTTCACTGTGTTAGCCAGGATGGTCTCAATCTCCTGACCTCGTGATCTGCCCGCCTGGGCCTCCGGAAGTGCTGGGATTACAGGCATGAGCCACTGTGCTCAGCCTTTTTTTTCTTTTTGAGATGGAGTCTCGTTCTGTCACCAGGCTGGAGTGCAGTGGCGACATCTTGGCTCACTGCAACCTCCGTCTCCTGGGTTCAAGTGATTCCCCTGCCTCAGCCTCCTGAGTAGCTGGGATTAAAGGCATGAGCCACCGTGCCCAGCTAAGTTTTGTATTTTCAGTAGAGACGGGGTTTCACCATGTTGGTCAGGACGGTCTCGAACTCGACCTCAAGTGATCCGCCTGCCTCAGCCTACCACTGTGCTGGGATTACAGGCATGAGCTACCACGCCAGGCCTAAAATTCTTTTCTTAAAGCCCGGTAATAGTTTCCTATCCCACTTTGGAGAAAATAAAAGCTCCTTGCCATGGCTTGCAAACCCTCTGTGATCTGACCCAACTTGTGTTTTCACCTCTTCCAGCCACTCTGACTTCTGACCCGTTCCTCTCACACACGCTTTGATATTTTCTCAGAGGTGTTCCCACCTCTACATGTCTCTCACCGCACTGCCTGAGGCACCCTCCAGGGTGGGCTGCATGTACCCCAAGCCTGCCTGGCACCTAGCGAAGGATGTGGTCTGTTGTGGGTGCTCATGTGTTTGCAGGATGAGCAAGTCAGCCAGCCCGGGACCCCTCGGAGCCAGTCACAGAGCCTGGAGCAGAAGACTGCTTCCCTGAGTTCTGGTCCTGGATTCTTTTTCCACGCCAGACCATTAGAAGTTTCTGAAATTGACTTCCTAATTTAGAGGTGTAAAAAGTGAAATGTCTGCCTCTCTATATCTCTAAGTCACCTACTTGCCCTTCCAAGGGCCATCGATGTCATCAGTCTCTTGGGTATCCTTCCAGACATAATTTGTGCAGGTGCAAGCCAACACGCATAGAGTGTTGCATCCCCCTTTCCATATAGCATGGAGAGCCCTGTCCTGAATCTTGTTTTTCAGGCTTAATTTATCTTGATGAATATTGTGTATCAACACATGAAGAGCATTACTAGCTTTTGTACCTATATAGGGTTCCACCTTGGGGATATGTCATTCATCTCATCTGCTGTGGGTGAACATTTAGTTTGTGCCTAGAGTCTTGCTGTTACCAATGATGCTGCAGTAAATAACTGTGGACACCGTGTAACTGCACAACACATTGCTTTCCACACCTGTGAGTGTCTGTAGGATACACTTGCAGAAGTAGACTTGCTGGGTCGAAGAGGGTGTGTGTTTCTTACTTCGATAGGTACTGCCAGGCCCTCTAGAGAGCTGTGATAATTTACACCTTCCCCAGCAGTGTAGAAATTGTCTCTTTCCCCACAACCTTGCCTATAGTTCATACATCTTTGAGTTTTGCCAGTCATATAGGCGAAAACTGCATTCTCAGAGCAAGTTTATTTTTAATACTTTTTTTTTTTTTTTTTAAGACAGAGTTTCCCTTTTGTCCCCTAGGCTGGAGTGCAATGGTGCGATCTCGGCTCACTGCAAACTCCCCCTCTCAGGTTCCAGCAATTCTCCTGCCTCAGCCTCCCAAGTAGCTGGGATTACAGGCACCTGCCACCAGGCCTGGCTAATTTTTTGTATTTTTAGTAAAGATGAGGTTTCACCATGTTGGCCAGGCTGGTCTCGAACTCCTGACCTCAGGTGATCCACCCGCCTCGACCTTCCAAAGTGCTGGGATTATAGGTGGGAGCCACAGCGCCCAGCCTCATTACTCTTATTTTTGAGTGAGGCTGAACTTCTTGCCATCTATTTAAGAATGTTTCGGCCAGGTGCGGTGGCTTGCGCCTGTCATCCCAACACTTTGGGAGGCCAGGGTGGGCGGATCACCTGAGATCGGGAGTTCCAGACCAGCCTGACCAACATGCAGAAACCCCGTCTCTACTAAAAATACAAAATTAGCCAGACATGCTGGTTCATACTGATCCCAGCTACTTGGGAGGCTAGGGCAGGAGAATCGCTTGAACCCAGGAGGCAGAGGTTGCGGTGAGCCAAGATCGCGCCATTGCACTCCAGCCTGAGCAACAAGAGTGAAACTCCGTCTCAAAAAAAGTAAATAAAGAAAAATAAAAAAGAATGTTTTGTTTTATTTTCTGTGAACTTTATCTGTTTGTATCCTTTTTCTATCTTTATTAGATTATTAATTTTTTATTACTTTATAGATATGCTTCATGAATTAGCCCTTTATGAACTGAGTTGCAAATATTCTTTTCCCCATTTCTTGTTTAACTTATTGTGATTTTTGCCACACAGAGATGTTAAAATTTTAATGTTTGAAGGTCAATCTTTTATTTTTTATTTATTTATTTTCTGAGACATGTTCTTGTTCTGTTGCCTGGGCCTGAGTGTAGTGGCGAGATTGTGGCTCACTGCAGCTTTGACCTCCCAGGCTCATGCGATCCTCCTTCCTAAGCCTCCCTGGTAGCTGAGACTACCACGCCTAGCTAATTTTTGTATTTTTTGTACAGACAAGGTCTCCCTATGTTGTCTAGGCTGGTCTCAAACTCCTAGGCTCAAGCGTTCCTCCCACCTCAGCCTCCCAAAGTGCTGGGATTACAGATGTGAGCCACTGGGCCCAGCCGACCAATCTTTGGTAGCTTCCAGTTTAGTGTCATAGTTAGAAGTCCACACTCCCAAGTTACAAAAGTTTCCTCATAGCTGATTCTTGTTTGTTTAGGGCTTTGTTTTTTTTCCATTAAGTCCTTGATTTGTTTGGAATTAGGCCTGATGTGGTGTGAGGCATGGACCAAACTTAGTTGGCATTTTTCCAGATGATTATGTAGTTTATTTTAATACCATTTTTTCACTTTCCCTCTTTTTTTTTTTTTTTTTTCTTTGAGTTGGAGTCTTGCTCTGTCACCCAGGCTGGAGTGCAGTGGCGTGATCTTGGCTCACTGCAAGCTCCGCCTCCCAGGTTCATGCCATTCTTCTGCATCAGCCTCCCAAGTAGCTGGGACTACAGGCACCTGCCACCACACCCGGCTAATTTTTTGTATTTTTTAGTAGAGATGGGGTTTCACCGTGTTAGCCAGGATGGTCTCGATCTCCTGACCTTGTGATCCACCCTCCTCGGCCTCCCAAAGTGCTGGGATTACAGATGTGAGCCACCCTGCCCGGTCTACTTTCCCTCTTTATTTGATATGTTACTTTTATGATATGCCAAGTCTTCTTTATATCCATTTTGCATATTTCTTGTTAGGTTTGTTTATCGTTATTTTGCATCTTTCGTTGCTGCTAGAAACGAAGTATTTTCTTCCATGTTATCTTCTCACTGTTCTTTGTAGATATGAAAGCTGTTGATTGCTCTGTAATGATTTTGTCCTTAGCCATGTTCTTTTATCCTTTTACTACTTATAGTAGTTTCCAGTTGATCTTCTTGATTTGTTTCTCGTGTCTATAATCATGGCATCTGTGCAGTGTGATCATGTTACCTCCACATTCCTTCCTTTGCCTGACTGTGTTGCTTTATGTGTCCAGAACAGTGTTAAGAATTGTGCTTGGAGATGTCATTGCCACGTGCCTGGCTTTAATGGAATTGCTTCTGTGGTTTTTCATTAAGTCCGATACTGGGTTATGGGTTAATTTCCAAGTAAATGGTAGTCGTAGGTGTGCTATTCATGAGCATTTCTATGTGTTTGTCTTCTGGGCATGTAATAGAATTGTACTCCCTGTTCACTTGAAATTCAGTTGGCTCTGGTGACTCACTTGGCCAGTGAAATGGGAATGTTGTCGTGTGTGTCATTTCTGGGTGGAAATCTTCAAGAACCAGTGTGGAATTGGTTCTTTTCCTTCCTGCCATGGAGACGAGCGGTGTTCCTGATGGTGGAGGCTCCATCAGTTGGGGTCCTGGAGTGAGGAGGCCAGGGAGCAGGGCCCCAGCCTACCCCTCTGCAGACATATAGTTTGAGTGAGAAATATACCTTTGTGGTTTTTGGTTTGTTTTGAGACAGTGTCTCTTGCTCTATTGCCCAGGATGGAGTGCAGTGGCTTGATCATAGCTCACTGCAGCCGCAAGCTCCTGGGCTCAGCATCCTGAGTAGCTGGGACTACAGGTATATGGCACCATACCCCGCTCATTTTTTTTTTTCTTTTTGTAGAGCTGGGGTCTCGCTATGTTGCGAGGGCTGGCCTTGAACCCCTGGGCCTCAAGTGATCCTCCTTGGCCTCCCATAGTGCTGGGATTACAGGCACAGGCCACCATACCTGGCCTACCTTTGTTGTTTTAAGGGTTGTTACTTCAGCATGTTAGCCTATCCTAACTGGTAAGATCAATTTGTTCCTGTCTTTAGAAGGAATACTTCTGACGTTATCCCACTGAACCTAATGCTGGCTTTGGGTTGAGATGGGGATTTCCTTATATATCTATTACTTTTTATTAAGAGCCTCTAAAATCAAGAATGTATGTTGTATTTTATCATATGCCCGTTCAACATATGTGCAGACGATCATGGTTTTCTCTTTAGCTCTAGTAATAAAATGATTATATGAGTAGATTGTATGAAATGAAACCATCTCACAGTCATGAAATGCAGGGAGCTTGGTTGTGTTATGTTATTACCACTTTAATGTTTGCAGGATTCTTTTTGCTGGTATTCTTGTTAAAGAGTTTGATGTTAGGCCAGGTGTGGTAGCTCATACCTGTAATCCCAGCACTTTGGGAGGCCAAGGTAGGAGGAATGCTTGTTCCCAGCAGTTTGAGACCAGCCTGGGCAACATGAGGAGATCCCATCTCTACAAAAAATACAAATATTAGCCAGGGATGGTTGTGCGTGCCTGTAGTCCCAGCTACTCGGGAAGCCGAGACAGGAGGATCCCTCGAGTCCAGGAGTTCGAGGCTGCAGTGAGCTATGATTGTACCACTGTACTCCAGCCTGGGTGACAGAGCGAGACCCTGTCTCAAAAAAAGAAAAAGGATTATTATGCTGATGTAAGTAAGGCTGGTCTTTACTTTCTTTATTGATCACTTTCTAGGTTTTTTGGTAACATACTTACTTGCCTCGTGGAAGTAAGTTGGAAAGTTTTTTTTCTTTTAATCCTCTGGAGTGATGTAAATAGTATTGGAATTATTTGTTCTTTAATGTTTTGATACAATTATCCTATGAATCTAGTTGGGACGCTTTTTTGAAGAGGATAGCTCTTTAATAAATTTCACCAGTTATTTTATGATTATTGAAGTATTAAGATTTTCCCTGTCTTCTGGAGTCAGTTTTATAAATAAGTACATTTAGACAATTTAAATAAAAAATAGACTGGATGCGGTGGCTCACGCCTGTAATCCCAGCACTTTGGAAGGCCGAGATGGAGGGATCACGAGGTCAGGAGATCGAGACCATCCTGGCTAACATTGTGAAACCCCGTCTCTACTAGAAATACAAAAAATTAGCTGGGCGTGGTAGCACGTGCCTGTAATCCCAGCTACTCGGGAGGCTGAGGCAGGAAAATCGCTGGAACCTGGGAAGCAGAGGTTGTAGTGAGCCAAGATCACACCACTGCACTCCAGCCTGAGTGACAGAGTGAGACTCCATCTCAAAAAAATAAAAAGAATATACCAAGTGCAGTGGCTCACGCCTGTAATCCCAGCACTTTGGGAGGCTGAGGCAGGTGGAACACAAGGTCAGGAATTTGAGACCAGCCTGGCCAACATGGTGAAACCGCATCTCTACTAAAAATACGAAAATTAGCCCGGTGTGGTGGCGCGCGCCTGTAATCCCAGCTACTCAGGAGGCTGAGGCAGAAGAATCTCTTGAACCTGGGAGGCGGAGGTTGCAGTGAGCCAAGATCACCCCACTGCACTCCAGCCTGGGCAACAGAGTGAGACTCCATCTCAAAAAAAAAAGAATAAATAAAATTATATTTTCCTAGAAAATTATCTCTTTCAGCCAAGTTCTTAGGTTTATGTGCATGAAGTTGACAGATGTGCTTATGGATCTTTTCATTCCCTCTCTGTGTGGTTATTTCTCTTTTCTTTCTTTTGTGCATTTGTTCTGACTTCTCCTTGATTAGGTAATTAAGAATAATTGATTAATCAGGACCAAATTAGGATATTAGTATATTTTCAAATTTTATGATTTTTGAGAAGCATGCTGTGTTGTTATTTTTATTTATTTATTTATTTTTTTGAGACAGAGTCTCACTCAGTCACCCAGGCTGGAGTGCAGTGGCGCGATCTCTGCTCACTGCAAGCTCCGCCTCCCAGGTTCACGCCATTCTCCTGCCTCAGCCTCCCGAGTAGCTGGGACTACAGGCACCTGCCACCACGCCCGGCTAATTTTTTGCATTTTTTGTAGAGACAGGGTTTCACCATGTTAGCCAGGATGGTCTTGATCTCCTGACCTCGTGATCCGCCCGCCTCGGCCTCCCAAAGTGCTGGGATTACAGGCGTGAGCCATTGCGCCCAGCCTGTTTTGTTTTGTTTTCTGAGACAGAGTCTTGCTGTGTCACCCAGGCTGGAGTGCAGTGGCGCAATCTTGGTTCATTGCAACATCTACCTCCGAGGTTCAAGCAATTCTCCTGCCTCAGCCTCCCCAGTAGCTGGGATTACAGGTGCACACCACCACGCTCGGCTAATTTTTTTATTCTTTATTTTTGGTAGAGATGGGATTTTGCCACGTTGGCCAGGCTGATCTCGAACTCCTGACCACAAATCATCTGCCTGCCTCAGCCTCCCAAAGTGCTGGGATTACAGGTGTGAGCCACCTTGCCCGGCCTTCATTGTTTATTAAGATAAAAACATTTATGGGAGAGCTTTATAAGCTTTACAGTATTGAGCAAATACTGTATTTCAGTGCATTTTGATAAATATTTGCTAAGTGTCCAGGCCCTTAGCTGGACATTTGGGAATTTGGGTTAGTGTTAGACACTGTTATCTTGGAGGAGCTTATAGTCTAGTTGGGGCCATAGAAGGGTCAAGAGGCACTCACAGAGGCTAGTGCAGTGGTAGAAGTGAGGTCCAGGCACTGCGGGAGCCTTGCGGGGAGCTGGAGGAGGGAGCAGGTGCCCCTGCAGAGGGACCCACTAACCTGGAACTTGTGATCTGTTTTAGAGGGACCTGGGCAGACAGGGCCATGCCAGCTGTGATAGAATTATGGATGGGGTGGGGTACAGAGTAATTTCATCTGAGGATTCAGGAAGGACTCCAAGAAGCAATGGCGGTCAACGAATTCTTATAGAGTCCCTACTCCGTGCATTTGAGTAATATTAAATTCATTGTTGAACTATGAATAGATGTTTTGTAGCTTGTAAGAGGGGAATTTAATTCTAGGGGAGCTGAGGAAGGTGGTCTTTTGAAAATGTTCTATACCTGGAAAATGACTTATCTCTTCTTGAAAAGCTAGTTGAATGAGTCAGTGAATGCATTTTAGATTATATCTTAAAAGTAAGGACCTAAGCTTTTGGGTGGCTTAGTGAACATAGAATGGCTGATGTAATTTCTTTTTTTTTTGAGACAGAGTGTCTTTCTGTCACCCAGGCTGGAGTGCAGTGGTGCCATCTTGGCTCACTGCAACTTCCACCTCCTGGGTTCAAGCGATTCTCCTGCCTCAGCCTCCGAGTAGCTGGGACTACAGGTGTGCGCTACCATGCCTAGCCAATTTTTGTATTTTTAGTAGAGACGGGGTTTCACCATGTTGACTAGGCTGGTCTTGATCTCTTGACCTCATGATCTGCCCGCCTAGACCTCCCAAAGTGTTGGAGTTACAGGCATAAGCCACCGCCCCCAGCCGGCTGATGCAATTAAAAAAAAAAAAAACTGGCCAGGCATGGTGGCTCACGCCTGTAACCCCAACACTTTGGGAGGCCACGCCAGGAGGATCACTTGAGGCCAGGAGTTCGAGACCAGCCTGGTCAACATAGCGAGACTTCGTCACTAGAAAAAATTTAAAAAATTTTTTAAAAAGGAAAAAATATAACTTAGAGCCCCCTATGAAAAACTAAATTAGCATCATGACAGGATACACTTTGGGGAGTGAAATTTCACAGTACCTTTATTTAATTCCAAGCCATAGAGCCTGGTAATATTTTTCTCTTTATCAGCTGTGGCACTAAAATAACAGTGGATTTTTTCCCTCTAGACATTCTTCTTTTGGCCGATGAAAAATTTGACTTCGATCTTTCATTGTCTTCTTCGAGGTAAACAAATGAGTTTTCTTCCCTTGCCTTGGGCATAACCACATTCAGTAAAGTCTTTCCTTTAAATGCCAGTGTTATGAGTTATTAATCATTCTTTTTTTAAACAAATAGTGCAAATGAAGATGATGAAGTCTTCTTCGGACCCTTTGGACATAAAGAAAGATGTATTGCTGCCAGCTTGGAATTAAATAATCCGGTTCCCGAACAGCCTCCGTTGCCCACATCTGAGAGTCCCTTTGCCTGGAGCCCTCTGGCCGGGGAGAAGTTCGTGGAGGTGTACAAAGAAGCTCACTTACTGGCTTTACACATTGAGAGCAGCAGCCGGAACCAGGCAGCCCAAGCTGCCAAGCCTGAAGACCCTCGGAGCCAGGGCGTGGAAAGATTCATACAGGAGTCAAAATTAAAAATAAACCTCTTTGAGAAAGAAAAGGAAATGAAGAAAAGCCCCACGTCTCTTAAAAGGGAGACATACTACCTGTCAGACAGCCCCTTGCTGGGGCCCCCTGTGGGTGAGCCTCGGCTCTTGGCCTCCTCCCCGGCCCTGCCCAGCTCTGGTGCCCAGGCCCGCCTCACCCGGGCGCCGGGGCCTCCGCACTCTGCTCATGCTTTGCCCAGGGAATCATGCACTGCTCATGCTGCAAGTCAGGCAGCGACTCAGAGGAAGCCCGGGACCAAATTGCTGCTGCCTCGAGCGGCCTCTGTTAGAGGAAGAAGCATCCCTGGGGCTGCGGAGAAGGTAAATGCCACAGCAGAGCGCCTGCCTGGGGAGCCCCCACTCCTTGCCCCTCAGCCCTCTCACAGAAGCCACATGCGGAAAGCCTCAGAGGTGGCGAGTCTCTGAGGCCTACAAAACACAGGAATGCGGAGTCCAGGAAAAGCAGTTGCCAATAGGGAGCTGATGTGGGGGTGGCTTGGATAAGTTGGGTTGACCTAATATTTCCTCCTAAATTCTGTCTGAAGTTGTTCCTTTTGTTTTGTTACAATGCTGGATATACCACACAGTAGGGATTTCATTTGCTTTAATAAGCAACCTCTTCCAAAAACTCCCCTCCTCTGCAATGGCTGCTAGTCAGCCTCCTTGACCGTGCCTCAGTTTACACTGCATTCCTCCTGGGCACTGAGTGAGGTGAGCTTTCCTGGGAGGTGGCAGTTGACAGGGGTGCCTTTGGGTGCAGTCTGCCTACTCTGGGACACTGAGGGTCCTGGAGGTCTGGGGGAAAGCTGGGTGTGAGCACAGGACTTGCTGCCAGGGCTGCCCGATCTGGCTCTTGCTCGGGAGAGGCCACAGAGAGGAAGACGGGGCGGGTGGGAGCCCCGGGGCCCACCCTGCAGCCCGTTCCCAGCTCTGCCCCCTCCCCTGGGCAGCACGTACAGAGGAATGACCCTGGGTGGGGCTGATAGGAGGTGCAGGCAAATGCAGAATGCTCAGCAAGGGCCCAGAAATTCCTTTACCCCCACCAAGCCCATCTCCTGAGCCACATGACTCCCTGTGGTGAGAGCCAAGGATGGAAGGCAGCCGAGGTGCAGCCGCCACGCCACACACTGCCCTTGACAAGGAGGTATGCCCGGCACTGCCACCCCCAACAGCTGGGGCCTGCAAACTCCTTTATTTGGAGCCCGTTTGGGATGTAGATTCCTACCGTGATGTTTCTAGAATGAGAGTGGGATGGGTCCTGCTGTGTGGAGCACACGTGGACTCGGGACAGGGATTGTGCATGTAGCACGCGTGGACTCGGGGAGAGAGGTGGTGTGATTTGGGCTGCTCCAGACCCATCGAAGTATCTCTTTTGATCTCCTGGTCCTGGGTGGTGAGCTGGGGTCCAGAGAGCTTGTTCCCAGTGGACAGGGCACTGTCCGCACAGCTGAGATGCACTCATGCACACGTGGGAGCCCCACCATGTCCTGCATGTTTCTCTGGGAGAAGTCACTTCTAGAGTGGCTCATGGCACATGCTCACTCCTGTGAGGAGTCATTAGCAATGGGTGGACCACTTGAGTGTAACACCTACTTACAAGTGTGCTTGACAGAGAACTGCTAGGATGCCTAAAGGAAGAAGAAAAAGAAAATAACAGGTGTTATTTTGAGGATGAGGATGTTGTGGAGGATGAGGAGAAGGCTGAGGATGTGGAGAAGCTGGAAGCTCACGCATTGCTGGTGGGACTGTGAAATGGGGCAGCTGTTGTGGAAACAGTTTGGCAGCTCCTCAAAAAAATAAATGTAGAGGGTCCCATGGGACCCAGCAATTCCACTCCTTAGTACACAGACCTGAGAGAATTGAAACCATATCCACAGAAAAATCCACATGCAGATGTTCGAAGCAGCATTATTCATAACAGCCAAAAAAGTAGGACCAACCCAGGCATCCAGCAAATGATGATTGGGTAACGAAAATGCAGTCTATCCAAACAATGGTTTATTTTTGGCAATAAAAAGAAACACTACTGGGCGTGGTAGCTCACACCTGTGATCACAGCACTTTGGGAAGCCAAGGTGGGCGAATCACCTGAGGTCAGGAGTTTGAGCCCAGCCCGGCCAACATGGTGAAACCCCGTCTCTACAAAAAAATACAAAAATTAGCCAAGTATGGTGGTGCACACCTGTAATCCCAGCTACTTGGGAGGCTGAGGCAGGAGAATCGCCTGAACCCAGGAGGTGGAGGTTGCAGTGAGCCAAGATGGCACCACTGAAAACATTTTGCTCAGTGAGAGAGGCCATAACAAAAGGTCCCATGTCGTATGGTTCCATTTATATGAAATGACTATGACAGGCCAATGACAGAGGCGTGGTTGAGTGCTTCCCTAGGTGGGGCTGGGGAGGATGAGGGAAAGGGGAGAACCGCTAATGGGTACAGGTTGTTTTTTTTTTTGTTTTGTTTTGTTTTGTTTCTGAGACAGAGTTTTGCTCTTGTTGCCGAGGCAGGAGTGCAATGGTGCAATCTCGGCTCACTGCATCCTCTGCCTCTCGGGTTCAAGCAGTCCTCCTGTCTCAGCCTCCCGAGTAGCTGGGATTACAGGCGCCCGCCACCACGCCCGGCTAATTTTTGTATTTTTAGTAGAGACAGGGTTTCATCATATTAGTCAGGCTGGTCTCAAACTCCTGGCCTCAGGTGATCTGCCCGCCTCGGCCTCACAAAGTGCTGGGATTACAGGCGTGAGCCACTGCACCCGGCCGAGTACAGGTTCTTTTTTGGGACACCACTATATTTTAAGATTAGCTTGTGCTGGTTGTACAACATAACAGATCTACTAAAAACCACTGAAGTATACTGTTTAAAATAGTGAATTTTATGTTATGAGAAGTATCTCAGTTTTTAGAAATGCTATAAAGGGAAAAAGTTACTGCTGCGTCTTTACCACTCTGAGCTTCTATTGCTGTTACCTTATTAACTCTCCTGTTATAAGGGGGCTATTTATGTAAGTATAAATTAGTTCCATGAATGCCCTTGTCCCTAAATATGTCAAGAACTTATTTTTTGACTCTGCTGGCCAAAGAAAATGGCTTTCAGTACTAGACCAAGAAGATTTATTGCAATTGAGCAGCTTCTCTGGTAGAGATGACCATTTAATGGATGAGTCCTTTCTGTACAGCATTTTAAAATTTGTGTAACTAGACCAGCTTTCTCATTATCATTCTTAAATAAGGATCCTGACTGGGGAATGGCTTTAGAGAACCTCTCTCCTATTAATGATCTGTGTAGGTATCATTTGATGCTGTTTTTAATGAGGAAGCAAAATCCATCATCACTTATGTCCATAGTGATTTGGTGGAGGATGCGAACTGCTTGCCCTGTTCCCTTCAATCTGGCTGATGAATGGAGGGGCATGTGTAGCACTGGGGAAGATGGGGCCTAGGCTCGCTCTGAATGGAAGCCTGAGTATCTCTGTACATTGTTAAGCACTAGACAGTTCTCACAGTTCAAATTAAAATTTTCAGCCCAAGAAAGAGATTCCAGCTAGTCCTTCCAGGACAAAAATCCCAGCTGAGAAGGAATCCCACCGGGATGTTCTCCCTGACAAACCTGCCCCGGGTGCTGTCAATGTGCCGGCCGCCGGAAGCCACTTGGGCCAGGGCAAGCGGGCGATCCCTGTTCCAAACAAGGTGAGTTGGCTGCTGGGGCCCAAACTTGTGGTTGCTGGGAATGAGGTGGCAGCTGTGTGTACAAGTGCTTTGGATTAAAATCCCAGCATTTTGGGAGGCCAAGGTGGGAGGATCACTTGAGCCCAGGAGTTCAAGACCAGCCTGAGCAACATGATGAAACCCATCTCTACAAAAAATACAAAAATTAGCTGGGCATGGTGGTGAGCAACGGCAGTCCCAGCTACTCAGGAGGCTGAGGTGGGATGATTGCTTGAGCCCAGGAGGTCGAGGCTGCAGTGAGTCATAATCACGCCACTGCACTCCAGGTTGGGTGACAGAATGAGACCCTGTCTCAAAAAAAAAAAAAAAAAAGAGGTGGAAAAGTTGAAAATACACCCACAAGAGGCAGCCTGCAAAATACATGCAAAGAATACTGGCTTCGCAGTGTGCACTGATGGCTAGCCTCTGCCCTGGGAGCTGTGTGGGTTGGGAAAAGTCAGCGTCTCGGAGCCCCAGTTTGTAGGTGGGGATATTCCGTTTCCCTCATGTAGAGTTCTTGAACAGATGACATGAGATGTTGATGTTTTGAAAACAGCAGCTGGGTGCAGTGGCTCACACATGTAATCTCAGCACTTTGGGAGGCTGAGGCGGGAGGATCACTTGAGCCCAGGAGTTTGAGACCAGCCTGGGCAACATAGTGAGGCCCCCATCTCCATTAAAAAATAAAAATCAGCCAGGCATGGTGGTGCATGCCTGTGGTCCCAGCTATTTGGGAGGTTGAGGTGGGAGGATTGCTTGAGCCCAGGAGGTCAAGGCTGCAGTGAGCTGTGATCATGCCACTGCATTCCATTCCAGCCTGGGCAACAGAGTGAGACCCTGTCTAAAAAAAAAAAAAAAAAAAAGGAAAAGAAAGAAAATTGCGGTTCCTCACAGGCATGGAGACTACCAGCCACATCTTTGCCACTTATTTTCTGGCATTGGCGGTAAACCAAGCTGTGTGTACTGGCAGTTCTTGTTAGAACTGCCCAAAGCTGGGCCCTGCAGCTGCTGACTCATGGGGTCTGGGTTGGGGCCCCAAATCTGCATTTCTGCTAGCTCCCTAATGTGGTCCTCATGCAGGGGTTTGAAGACTACACTTTGAGAAGTGCTGCTTGACTTTTTTCTTCTTTAAATTCAAGATGATAATTATTAGATTATTTTAAAATAGTAAAAACACCAACTTTTGTTGTTGTTGTTGTTGTTGAGACGGAGTCTCACTCTGTCGCCCAGGCTGGAGTGCAATGGCACGAGCTCAGCTCACTACAACCTCCACCTCCCGGGTTCAAGCAATTCTCCTACCTCAGCCTCCCGAGTAGCTGGGACTACAGGTGCCTGCCACCATGCCCAGCTAGTTTTTATATTTTTAGTAGAGACAAGGTTTCACCATATTGGCCAGGCTGGTCTCAAACTCCTGACCTTGTGATCCTCCGGCCTCAGCCTCCCAAAGTGCTGGGATTACAGGCGTGAGCCACCGTGCCCAGCCAAAAACCCCTTACTTTTGCAGACACAAGTAATAGGTAAATAACGAGATCTTTGCTGATTCTGTTTTTTCACATTTTGCCCCAGTTGGGGCTGAAGAAGACCCTGTTAAAAGCACCCGGCTCTACCAGCAATCTCGCAAGGAAGTCCTCCTCGGGGCCTGTTTGGAGCGGGGCATCCAGTGCGTGCACATCCCCAGCAGTGGGCAAAGGTGAGGCAGCCGGCATCATGCTTGGACCCACATCTGGCCAGGTGAGGCCTGGAGTGCTGCTCAGGCCTTGGAGACTGTTTCTGCAGAACCACTTAGGCTTGGCAGGACGTCCCGGAGGGCGTGCTGTGTGCGGTGGACCAGGCTGTGGACTGAGTTGCTGTACCTGCCCTCAGTGCCTCTGTCCCATGAGGAGGGCACACTCAGATGGGTGGCTTCAGTCTACGGGGTACACATGGCCAGAAAGCATGTATGATACCCCGTGCCTGAGAACATGGACACTGGAATCACCCTCATGTCCATGTCATGAGACACCAGTTTTAAAATAGGACTATTCCAGATAATGTAGGGCATATGGCCCCATAACTCCTGGGTGCCTGTTTAAATCCATGCTCCCACACCTGTTTGAGGTCAAGCCACATTTCAACCTTGCCAAGCCACAGCTGCCATCTAGTGGTAAGGGAAAGCCTTCGCCTTTCTGCTCTTCAGAGCGAAATCCTCTTCGAGGTGCATTGGCCATGTGGCGTCTCGGGGTCGTTCAGGGCAGCATGGTGTGGATTGTGTTCACAAAATGTAAAAAGTGGGCCGGGCGCAGGGGCTCACGCCTGTGATCCCAGCACTTTGGCAGGCCAAGATGGGTGGATCGCTTGACCCCTGGAGTTTGAGACCAGCCTGGCCAACATGGTGAAACCCTGTCTCTACTAAAAACACAAAAACTAGCCGGGCATGGTGGCGGGTGCCTGTAGTCCCAGCTACTCGGGAGACTGGGCCACGAGAATGGCTTGAACGCGGGAGGCAGAGGTTACCATGAGCCGAGATTGCATCACTGCACTCCGTCTCAAAAAAAAAAAAAAAAATGATAAGTGTGAACTCTCTAATCAGATTGATCTGATCTGGAATTCTGACTCTGCCATTCTGTGATTAAGAGAGGTTTGTGTCCTTATCTTTATAGACTGAGGTGATGACCTCCTGAGATCAAGCAATCCTCCCACCTCAGCCTCCTGAGTAGCTGGGACTACAGGCACATGCCACCACACCCGGCTAATTTTTGTGGGTTTTTTTTTTTTGAGATGGAGTCTCACTCTATTGCCAGGTTGGAGTGCAGTGGCGCAATCTTGGCTCACTACAACCTCTGCCTCCCGGGTTCGAGTGATTCTCCTGCCTCAGCCTCCCAAGTAGCTGGGACTACAGGCACCTGCCACCACGCCCGGCTAATTTTTGTATTTTTAGTAGTGACGGGGTTTCACCATGTTGGCTAGGATGGTCTCGATCTCTTGACCTCGTGATCCGCCCGCCTTGGCCTCCCAAAGTGCTAGGATTACAGGCACGAGCCACTGCGCCTGGCCCACATTTTTGTGTTTTTTGTAGAGAGGATGGTCTCACTATATTAGCCAGGCTGGTCTCGAACTCCTGGCCTTGAGTGATCTCTTGCCTTGGCCTCCCAAAGTGTTTGGATTACAGGCGTGAGCCACCACTCCTGGGCTAAAGTTTTTCTTTAAGAATCCTTTACCAGATCGTCTGCGTATATTGGTAGCTCAGTATGTATTACCCTAGTTTATCTGGTCTTCTATTTTAAATAGTGCTTATGGTTAATATGACGCAGCCTCCTTGTAATTTTAAAGGAATCAACCAGTAACAATTGCGTCTTTTTTCCTTGTTCCCTGCCCACCTCTGTGACCAGACAGGTGAGACATGTGACTAGACTATCCCCTTCCATCTGCTCAACTAATGTAGATTTCTCCTGCCAACATAATCAACGAAGATAGGAGAGCTTGAATTTATGCATGCTTATGTACATGTTAGTAATTATTTTGAGAATAAGTACCTTAGAATACACTCAGCTAAGCTAAAAGCTGCCTGAGCCATCCTGTGTTTGATGATGTTGCCTGAAGGGCTTATAGAATATTGTTAATGTGTCTTATGTTTAAGGTAGATATGCTAAAGACAGCATAACTTCTGTGTGTTTGTTAAATAGCTTCATACTTTTATAATAATGTGATTTTTGTGTGTATACCTTCTAGCTAAATCAAGTGAATTTGCAAGTATTCCTGCAAATAGCTCCCGGCCTCTGTCAAACATCAGCAAGTCAGGCAGAATGGGACCCGCCATGCTGCGGCCAGCTCTGCCTGCAGGCCCTGTGGGGGCATCCTCCTGGCAGGCCAAGCGGGTCGATGTTTCTGAGCTGGCAGCGGAGCAGCTCACGGCACCCCCCTCAGCATCCCCCACCCAACCCCAGACTCCGGAAGGTGGCGGCCAGTGGCTGAACTCCAGTTGCGCTTGGTCAGAATCTTCTCAATTGAATAAGACTAGAAGTATCAGACGGCGAGATTCCTGTCTAAATTCCAAGACAAAGGTTATGCCTACTCCTACAAATCAATTTAAAATTCCTAAGTTTTCTATTGGTGAGTAATAGATACATTTTAATGTGTCTTTAAAAAATACTGAAGAAATTGCATTTAAAGTTTTAAACAATTATTGATGGCATTGATGGTGTTTTTAGTTCTTTCCTCCAACAGTGCTTTCAGGTGTGACCCGCTGTCTTCTCGCCCACGTTGTTTTGGGGGGTCACTGGAGGCTCCCTGAATGTCTTACGTTCGTTCCTGTGTGTGTGACACCCCAATGCTCGTAGGCTGCTTGTAAGGTTTTCTCTTTAGTGTTACTGTCGGGAATTTGATTATTATGTGCTTTGAGGTGGCTTTCTTTGCCTTTATCCCGCTGAGGGTTTCTTAAGCTTCTTTGATCTGTGGGTTGGTTTTTTTCAGCAAATTTGGAAAACGTTGGCCATTATTTCTTCAGCTATCTTTTCCTCTTTCCACTTTATTTCCTAGGACTCTAATCACATCTATTTCAGGCCTCTTGACGTTGTCTCACAGGACACCGAAGCTCTGTTCTTTTTTTTATTTCAGCCTTTTTTCTTTTTCTTATCTTTTTTCTTTTCTTTCTTTCTTTTTTTTTGTTTTTTGTTTTTTGAGACGGAGTCTCGCTCTGTCACCCAGGGTGGAATGCAGTGGCGCGATCTCAGCGCACTGTAACCTCCACCTACCGAGTTCAAGCAATTCTCCTGCCTCAGCCTCCCGAGTAGCTGGGATTACAGGTGCCCACCACCACACCCGGCTAATTTTTTTTTTGTATTTTTGGTAGAGACGGGGTTTCGCCATGTTGGCCAGGCTGGTCTGGAACTCCTGACCTCAAGTGACCCACCCATCTCGGCCTCTCAAACTGCTGGGATTATAGGTGTGAGCCACCGTGCCCGGCCCAGCCTTTTTCCTTGAGCTACAGTTTGGGTAGTTTCTGTTGTCAGATATCATTTCTTCTGCAGTGCCTAACAGCTGTGAAGCCCATCCAGTTAACTTTGTTTCTAACATAATAGTTTCCCCTTATTTCTTCTCATGGTACTTGGGTTTTCTTTTACATCCTCGTGAGCAAATTGATAATGGTTTTAGGGTCTACGATTCTTCTCATACCATCTTCCCCATCATTTTGGGGTCTGTTTCGACTGACTAATTTTGTTTCCGGGTTTTGGCCTCATTTTCCTGCCTCTACATTTTTCACAAGTTTTTCTTGGTTGTTGGATATTGTCAGGTGTACACTTTTGAATGTCTGGATTTTGTTGTCTTTCTCTGAGGAGTTGGGTTGGGCTTGGCAGGCAGTTAAGGTGCAGATCATCCTTCCGAGGCTTTTTATGCTTTGAAGTGGTGGGTCTAGCATAGCCTTTCCGCCTCCCGCCACCGGCGTCCTTCCCAAGGCCTCTGCTGCACACCCGTGTGTCCCGCAAGGCCCGCGAGACCCCTGCACTCCTGCTGCTGCAAGATGACACCTTCTCGGCCCTGTGAGCTCCGCTCGTTGCTCCCTGGTAAGACGGCGGTTTCTCGGCCCTGTGAGCTCCGCTCGTTGCTCCCTGGTAGTTGCTCTTCTCTTGACCTTGAGGACTCCTGCCCTGCACCTGTGCACTGCCTGGTGCTCAGCCAGAGACTCGAGATTCCCTTGGGTTCCTAGAGCTCGTTCTGTCGGAGTAGCCCCCTCCTCTCTAGTTTCTGGCCCTCAGATTGCAGCCACCTCAGCCTCCTGAGCTCCAGCCACTGCCTTCTCCAGTCAGTGAGGCCACTGGCCCCAGCAGGTGTCTGGCCATTAGTGGGTGGGTGTTTGTAAAGTTTTCATGAATTTCTTGAACAATTGTGTGCAATGCAGAAAGTTCTCAGAGCTGACTTAAGGTGAGAGGAGCGTCCTGGCCTCCTCTGTCAGGCAGATCTGCCCTCTGGGTGCTTGAGGATTTTAAGTTCTGGCAGTGCCGGCCAGCACAGGCAGCCTGCAACTCCCAGAAACTGCATTCTGAGTCCTGCTGTAGGAACAAGCTGTTCTGCTGAGTGTCTTCTCTGTGCTGGAATGCTTTGGGGGACAAGGGACATCATGATAAGACAGACCTACTCTCACAGAATTTCTGTTTAATAGGAAAAGATACGAAATGTTATCAGATGAGCAGGCCTGCAGATCCTAGCACAACAAAGGGACTAAGGGAAGATGGTGTCCTGGAGCTGGCATGTTTGGGGAGGAATTTGCATCGGGTGGTTCTTTGGCAAAGATGGTCAGGAGGTGACACGGGACTGAGATCTGAACCAGGAGACTGAGGCAGCCGGTAGGAAAGTGCAAGGGGGAGCACTCCAGGCAGAGGCAACGGCAGGAGTGCAGAGGTCCTGGGGCAGGAAGGCGTGGGACGTGCTCTGGGAGCAGCATGGGGGCCGGAGGGTGGGAGTGCAGCCGCTGCGGTCGGGATTCTGCGTAGACGTGCGACAGCTGGTCAGTACTCCTTGGTGTCAGGGACCCAGGCTTACTCCATCCTGTGCTGCCGTGATGAGCTTCTCATCCTCATGGTCTAGTGTGGCTGCACCGGCTCTGGCCCTCATACCTCCCGGCAGGAAGCCTTCTTCTAGGTGAAGAAGAGCAAATCCCCACCTTTCAAGGACCCTCACTGCAAGTTGTCCCTGTGACTCCGTTTGTGTCCCATTGAGTACGACGCTTCCCTGCACAGGATGCTAGGACACGTTGTCTTTATTCCGCACACAGCTGAAATTTCTTACTGAGAAGAGGAAAGTTGCTGTTGAACAAAAACTAGCAACCTCAGCCAGTCAGTGACCGAGGGGCAGGGTAAGAAGAGATGAAGATGGAGGGGCAGCCCGAGGCCGGCTCCCAGAGCGCCGCGTGACCAGAGCGGACCCTGGAGTACCGTCAGTGCAGGAGGACGTGCATAGGAGAGATCAGAGCAGAGCGACTTGACCTTCAGAAGGTCCCTCCACAGAGGGAAGAGCAGAGTCTCTGGGCCGAAGAGTGGTGGGGAGGGTAATGCGGACCTGGCCCTCACTGTGTTGGGGAGGAAGCTAGTGCTGGGGAAGGAGGCTGGAGCGCTGCGGTCTGCCTGACGTTCTGGTAGCTTAGGGCTCATGTGGCAGTGCAGAGAGGGACTCGAGTGTCCCTGAGGTTCTGGCGGAACCTGGGTGCTGCCACTCATGTGACAGGAGGGCTGGAAGAGGCAGCGGGCAGAGTCCACGGCCCCATTTTGGAAGTAGTGAGGGTGAGAGGCCACTTAGGCTGCAGCTGAGGGGTGGAGCAGGCTGAGAGCTCAGAGGAGAAGCCACAGCTGGAGACCTCAGTGTAGGTTTCAACAGCAGAGAGCTGAGTTTGTAGAGATGGGAGCTGTGAGCTGGGCACGGTGGCTAACTCCTGTAATCCTAGCACTTTGGGAGGCCGAGGTGAGCAGATCACCTGAGGTCAGGAGTTCGAGAGCAGCCTGGTCAACATGGTGAAACCCTGTCTCTACTAAAAATAGAAAAATTAGCCAGGCATGGTGGCGCATGCCTGTAATCCCAGCTACTTGGGAAGCTGAGGCAGGAGAATCACTTGAGCCAGGAGGCAGAGGTTGTAGTGAGCCGAGATGGTGTCACTGCACTCCAGCCTGGGCGACAGAACGAGACTGTCTCAAAAAAAAAAAAAAGAAAGAAAGAAAGAAAAGAAATGCGAGCTGTGATTGGGTGGGTTCTGCAGGGACACCCTACGGCCCAGGTCATGTGGAGGTGTGTTCAGTAGTGTTTGCTTCCCTTCTGCCTGAATGCCTGGAGCCAGGACATGCGTCTGCCATGTCTCTCCTGACCACGTTGGCACAAGTGTTGGCTGGTCTCCTGGCTGTCGGGCTGCTTGATGCCACAGGACTTCTGCTAATCCCAAATCCCTGTTGGCTTTGCCCTGTTTCCCAGAGCGTGTCCCTGCGGTCTCCTTACGCACCTCTCAGATGTGCATTTCACCTTCGGCAGGCGGTTCCTCCTCTCTCCACAATGCTGGGAACAGGACTGTCTCTTGCACGCCTTTGGTCATTCATCAGGGTCAAAACTGGTCCCACAAACTCAGCACTGGCCGGAAGAGAGGCCCCAGGGGAGCAGCCACGCTGTTGGGAACACACAGCTCTGGGAGGCACGTGGTGGTGTGCACTTTTTGGCTGAGAGCACTGGTGGTGTTGCTCATTGGCTGTGACACCAGCTGTCACCGTGGAGGAGAGGTGAGGGCTGAGGGCACTCACAGCGTGGGACCACATGAACGGTGCCCTGTAGTGGAGGCTTTCATATGTGCACTTTCTCAAAATACTCGAGGCAAGCAGCATTCTTTGTAAAACAGTCCAGTTACAAATGTTGCTATTTACTATGAGTCCATGCTGCCGGGTCACCCAGAGGATTGAGACTTGGAATTCTGGCTGTGGGCTTTGCCTCCCCGGTACTGGGAGCTGCAGTGGAGACGCGCCGTCCAGGTTTAGGGAAGAGCTGATGTGGGCCTGGGAGGCGTGCGTGCTCAGGCAGCCCTAGGGCAGTCGTGAGGGTGTCAGGAGATGGCTTGTTCGTGTTCTGTTTCATAAGAATGACCTTCCCGTGCCACCATGGAAGCTGCTGAAGAGTGCGCTCCACCCAGCTGAGGGAGAGGACAACCGAGAGGAAGGGGTCTCGGGAGAGAGGGAGCCAACACGGGAGGCGGCAAGGGAGAGGGAGGCGGCGAGGGAGAGAGAGGTGGGCTTGCCTCCACACCCGCCAGGAGTGACCAACTTGGGTCTCACAGAGACCTCTGTGAATGGTGCGGGGTCAGTGACCCAAGAATGTTCCCAAAAGACAGGGATTATGGGATGACTTAGTCACAGACCACCCCACTCCATACAAGAAAACAAACACCAGCCTGGGCGACACAGTGAGACCCCGATTCTACAAAAACATTTAGCTGGGCATGGTGCTGGGCACCTGTAGTCCCAGCTACTTGGGAGACTGAGGCAGGAAGATTACTTGAACCCAGGAGTTCAAGGCTGCAGTGAGCAGTGATCAAGCCACTGCACTCCAGCCTGGGTGACAGAGCAAGACCTTGTTTCTTGTAAGAAAGAAAAGAAACAAACAAACTGAAAACGGAGGTGGAGAGAGGGTGGGAGCATGTTTGACTCAGCTGTGTGCGAGCTGCGCGCCTCTCCAGTGCTGGGGTGAACATGGAGGCCTGGTGAACGCACAGGTGGGGGCGGTGGGGAGGTGTGAGGGGCAGATTCTTAACTCTTGTAACAAACGGAGTTTCTGAAGAATGCGGAGGTAGCAATGTGGGTGCGTGATTTAGAAATGAGTGAAGGGAGACATCGCAAGAAGCTTCCAGCACGCTGGAAGCAGAGCTGGGTGTGGTGGGAGACTTGTTTGTCTCATAAAATTTTAACCTTCATTTTTAAAAACTGTGCATGAGTCACTTTGATAGAGGTGATTTTTAAAAGAATAGGAGAGGCTGGGGCAGTGGCTCACGCCTGTAATCCCAGCACTTTGGGAGGCCGAGGCGGGCAATCACTTGAGGTCAGGAGTTCAAGACCAGCCTGGCCAACATGGCAAAACCCTGTCTCTACTAACAATACAAAAATTATCCGGGCGTGGTGGCGGGCACCTATAATTCCAGCTACTCAGGAGGCTGAGGCAAAAGAATCACTTGAACCCAGGAGGCGGAGGTTGCGGTAAGCCGAGATCATGCCACTGCACTCCAGCCTGGGCGACAGAGAGAGACTCTGTCTCAAAAAAAAAAAAAAAAAAAAAAAAAGAGCAGGAGAGAGGAAATGTAAGTGCAGGCAGCCTTTCTGAGGAGATCTGGTTTAAAGCGGGGCAGGGACGTGGGACAGGAGCTTGGGTGCAGGCGCAGGAGGGCGGGCATAGGCTTGTTAAGATGGAGGGCCCAGCAGCAGCTGTGCTGTTGCCAGAGAGAGGGGCTGTCTGTGGGGGCAGCAGCCTGGACCCTCGCCTGGCCTCCTGGAAGCACCTGTGGAGAAGAGGCCTCAGCTCCAGGCCCCACCCTTCCCTCTTGGTGCTGGGGTAAGGGGCTCTGAGGGACAGCCTCTTTTCCCATGGCTTCCCAGACATAGCAAGGTGTTCCAAGGGGGTCCTGGTGCCTGAGGCTTTGGAGGCCCCAGAGCACATGTGCTGATACTCAAGTGCACACTGGGATTTTCAAGGAGCCAGTATAGAGGAGGAGGAACCATGGAGCCAGTGTCTGGGGGCGTGGTGGCGGGACTGGACCTCTGGGGCCTGTGTTGGGCCTTAGCTCGGTAACTGGTGACCCCTTTGCCCTCTGAGCCTGCTTTTCATCCTGTTGTGAATATCAGATGAGATCATACACATGGAAATGCTTGTCAACTAAAACAGCACAAACACAGTGTAATGAATTATTATTATCCCAGTAAAGTCATGGTTCGGGAAAATGAGGGAATGTGGGCTCTGTTGCGCGTGCCTGGGAAGCTAAACCCCTGCGGTGTTGTTCCTGTGGGCAAGTGTCTAGCGCATGCAGGTGCCGTCTGACAAGTCGACTTCGCTCTGTGAAGGTCGTGCTCGGCCCTGATGGGATATACAGCCAGGGTGGGGCGGCGCAGTGAAGATGGCTCTTCTCTTTCTCCCCCGTGTCCATCCATCAGACCACAGCCTTTGCCTGGGCAGGGGTCCCCGTGTAGGGGTGAATGCCTCTCATGTGGCTGCCTGCAGCAGGGTGGCCCTTTGTGTACTTGTCTGAGCCAGTGCCACCTACACTCAAGTTGGGACAGTGGAGATACTCGGAGAATTGCCCATTCGGTGACGATCCCCCAACAGTAGGTCTCCCCCTGATCACTTTACCTGACCGCACACTTCCTTTCTTGGACTTAGGTGACTCCCCGGACAGCTCAACACCAAAGCTTTCGCGGGCACAGCGGCCGCAGTCGTGCACGTCAGTTGGCAGGTGAGTGACGTTGGTCCGCTTCCTCTCTTTATTGCTGTAGAATGACTCACGCATCTGCTTACCTCAACCATTTGGTAACCCTGCAGCCTGGCCTGCGCATCTGGCTTCCACGCCAGTCTCTTGGGTGCAGGCCGAGCTCCTGATGTGTACCAGCCCCTTTTAGATCTACTGCAGACTTAAGACATCTGAGACTTCCGCGATGCAGTACGGCAGCTCCCAGCCCTGGACTGGTGTGGTTGCCATGCCAGGCTGCACAGCAGAAGTCCCTCCAGCGCTCTTAGGACTGCCCGTGCCCAGCCCACCCCAGGGGTTCTGATTTGGTTCATCTAGGCTGAGGCCCAGCAGCTGGATTTCCTAAAGCTCCTGGGTGACTGTGACTTGTACCGCAGTTGAAGAGCACTGGCGTGGCACCTTGATTCTGACTTGGCTTTTTTTTTCTTTTTGAGATGGAGTCTTGCTCTGTCGCCCAGGCTGGAGTGCAGTGGCACGATCTCGGCTCACTGCAAACTCCACCTCCCGGGTTCACGCCATTCTCCTGCCTCAGCCTCCCTAGTAGCTGGGACTACAGGCACCCGCCACCACACCCGGCTAATTATTTTTGTATTTTTTTTAGTAGAGATGGGGTTTCACCGTGTTAGCCAGGATGGTCTCGATCTCCTGGCCTCGTGATCCGCCCGCCTCTGCCTCCCAAAGTGCTGGGATTATAGGCGTGAGCCACCGTGTCCGGCCTGACTTGGCTTTGAATCCCAGCTCCACCACTTCCTGGTCTTTGATCCAGTTTAAGTTCCCGAATGTTGCTGACCTTTTTCCTCACGTCAAGTAGGGATGGCCCAAGCTCAGCTGGGGCCACTTGCAAGTCTTTTGGTGACTCTGGGCTTTAGTTTCCTCCTGTGTGAGCTTGAGACACGCTTCGCGAGGTCGAACTAGCCAGTCCCTCACGTGCTGCGCATGGTGCCATGCTAAGCTGCCGTCCCTCCCATGCATGGTGGTGAAGAGCAAAGACCAGAGCCAGGCAGCCACTGGCCACCTCACTTGCCTCTCTGTGCCTCAGTTTCCTCACCTCACCCAGGGTTACTTTGAGAATTACATTTATTGGAATTTTTCTTTTCTTTTCTTTTTTTTTGAGACAGAGTCTCACTCTGTCACCCAGGCTGGAGGGCAGTGGCACGATCTCAGCTCATGGTAAGCTCCGCCTCCTGGATTCACGCCATTCTCCTGCCTCAGCCTCCCAAGTAGCTGGGACTACAGGCGCCCGCCACCACGCCCGGCTAAGTTTTTGTATTTTTAGTAGAGACGGGGTTTCACCGTGTTAGCCAGGATGGTCTCGATCTCCTGGCCTCGTGATCCACCAGCCTTGGCCTCGCAAAGTGCTGGGATTACAGGTGTGAGCCACCGCGCCTGGCCGGAATTTTTATTTTCACTGGAATTTGTGGTGGGGCTGCCAGAACTTAGCAATAAAGGGAGGAGGGTGGGGAATCCTAGAACTTCGCGGAGAGCAGCAGCTGGGGTTGACAGCAGTTGCTCTCTGGAGTGATTCTGTTTCTCTCTTGATTTCAGCCTCGTTGCTTTTCTTCCATTTAAATAGGCTAGAGTCAGTCTGTTTTCAGGCTCCTTTTGAAGAACGTAACAATTGCCCAGAATAGAGCAATAGACAGGTCTCCCTGGCCTCCCGAGGGGCCATGGTGGTGGGATGTCCTTGACTCATTTTATTTTAAAATAATGTCTTTGTCCTTTTTGGGCTACTATAACAAACGTTCTATCGACTATGTAGCTTGAACAACAAACATTTGTTTCTCACAATTCTGGAGGCTAGAAATCCAAGATCAAGGCACCTGCAGATTTGGTGTCTGGTGAGGGCCTGTTTCCCGATTCACAGCTGCCGCCTTCTCTGTCCTCACTGGGTTAGGGGTGAACAAGTTTCTTTTATGCTGATTTATTTATTTATTTATTTTGAGATGGAGACTCGCTCTGTCACCTAGGCTGGAGTGCAGTGGCGCGATCTTGGCTCACTGCAACCTCCGCTTCCTACGTTCAAGCAATTCTCCTGCCTCAGCCTCACGAGCGGCTGGGACCACAGGCACATGCCACCACACCCGGCTCATTTTTTGTATTTTTAGTAGAGATGGGGTTTCACCGTGTTAGCCAGGATGGTCTTGATCTCCTGACCTCGTGATCCACCCGCCTCGGCCTCCCAAAGTGCTGGGATTACAGGCGTGAGCCACCCGCCCGGCCTATGTTTGTTTATTTTTTTGAGACAGGGTCTTGCTCTGTTGCCCAGGCTGGAGTGCAGTAGTGCAATCATGGCTCACTGTAACCTCTACCTCCTGGGTTCAAGTGATCCTCACACTCCAGCCTCCTGAGTAGCTGGGACCACAGGTATGCACCAATGTGCCCTCTTTTATAAGGGCACAGATCCCATTCCTGAGGCTTTGGCTCCATGACCTGATCTCCTCCTAAAGGCCCCACCTTCTAATGCCATCACCTTGGGGGCTAGGATTTCAGCACATGAATCTGGGGACACAGACATTCAGTCCACAGCAAATGCCAGTTGACTCAGCCTCTTCTTCATCAACAGCAACACAAGAAAGCAACAGTTAGGCAAGACCCATGGGTAGCCCGAACCACAGGTATTGCCAGGGACGTGAGGGGTGTGAGGACCAAGTGCCCAGCTTCCTCTTCACTCATTTGTGTTCACATCTGATTCAGGCGACCTTAAGCCTGGGTATGAGTGGGCGTGCAGGGAGACCTGCTCCCCCATTCGCTGGCCCACCAGACAGGCTGCGGCTCTGACTTCCTTATGGCAATATCTATGACACCAACTGAAAGATGATTTGCTCAGTCTCTTCTGAACCTCGTGTGAAGTGACATTTAATGGTAGCATCCGTAAAGTGTAATCACATTTGATCAATTTTCTTTTGAGTTGCCTGTGAGGAAGGGCAGTGAAGCCATTCCCACTGGGAGCCCGAAGCCCACGCCAGGATGGGTTGGTAGCAGCTCGGAGCCTTGCCCGCCTTGGGGCCTGTCCCAGGAGAGCGGAGCTCACACGGGCTCCCTGGCTTGGCTCTTCTGGGCTGAAACCAAAGCCCTCAGCACTGCATTAGCACAGGCTGAATGATGAGATCTTACTTTTTCTATGTCATCTCAGCTCACGACACTGATGTTGTGTTTGCCAGGGTCACTGTCCACAGCACCCCGGTTAGACGCTCATCTGGGCCAGCACCACAAAGCCTGCTGAGCGCATGGCGTGTGTCAGCCTTGCCCACACCCGCCAGCCGGCGCTGCTCTGGCCTTCCACCGATGACCCCCAAAACGATGCCCAGGGCCGTGGGCTCTCCCCTGTGTGTGCCAGCTCGGAGACGTTCCTCTGAGCCCCGCAAGAACTCTGCAATGAGGTAAGACACGAAGGTGGTAATAAATTGGTCTCAAATTCCTAGGCTTGCTGTCCCAGACAGTGACATACCTTTTTCTTGCCTTGCTCCAGGTTTTAGTGAAGTAAATAGTATTTGGAAAGTTTGTTTGTTTTTTTTTTCATTGCAAAGAGAAAATGCAATAGACATGAGCATAGAGGAAAATTAAAGGTATTACAAGGAAATACTGCGTGTAATTCTCTGATAATCAATTTGAAAACCTAATGGTTTTCTAAAATTTGCAAGTTATTGGCCAGGTGTGGTGGCTCACGCCTGTAATCCCAGCACTTTGGGAGGCCGAGGCAGGCAGACTGCCTGAGCTCAGGAGTTTGAGATCAACCTGGGTAACATGGCAAAACCCCATCTCTACAAAAAATACAAAAATAAGCTAGGTGTGGTGGCGTGCACTGTAGTCCCAGCTATTTAGGGGGCTGAGGTGGGAGGATCACTTGAGCTCAGGAGGTTGAGGCTGCAGTGAGCTGAGATTGCCCCGTTGCACTCCAGCCTGGGGGACAGAGTGAGACCCCGTCTGTAAAAATTAAAATAAATAAAATAAATAAAATAAAATTTATCTAAATTGACCCAGAACACATGAAGTAAGCCATAGCTGGAGCTCAGAAATGATTAAAGATTGAAAAAGGCACCTGATTCCAATGAAGTCACACCTCAGTCGTGTATAACCTTTGAAACAGATCATGCTAGTGTGTAAAGTTAACTATCTTAGCCGGGCGCGGTGGCTCACGCCTGTAATCCCAGCACTTTGGGAGCCCGAGGTGGGCAGATCACGAGGTCAGGAGTTCGAGACCAACCTGGCCAACATGGTGAGACCCTGTCTGTACTAAAAATACAAAAATTAGCTGGGCATCATGGTGGCATGCGCCTGTAATCCCAGCTACTCAGGCGGCTGAGGCAGGAGAATCACTTGATTCTGGGAGGCAGAGGTTGGGGTGAGCCAAGATCGCACCACTGCACTCCAGCCTGTGCAACAGAGACCCTGTCTCAAAAAAACGAAAAACAAAACAAAAAAACATATATAATATCCGTGTATTTATACACAAATTACACATTTTTATATATCTTATATGTTTCTGTGTATGTACATCTACCAACAGTAGGTGTTGACACTGTGTGTATCTATGTAGTTCTATGATAATGCAGAAGACTCTGGAAGAAAATATGCTGGCATGTGTGTGCATTACAGAGGGAGAGGGAAAGGCATGGAATGCCAAAGAGAAAATGAGAAACAAGGCCTCACTGAAAACACCAGATCTGATATATAAATAGGAATATGTGTTTAACTATCTTGTATGTTTGTAAGTGTAAATGTAGAAACAAAATTCTGCTTGTTTTTGGAATTTTCTTATGAAACCTCTGAAGTATTAAAAAGAAGGTACTGTGTGTTAGTTGATGGACCTGCGGCTTTGCTGGGTTTCCGGAAGGAATTCAGTTTTGCGTGGCAGGTACTCGAGGACCTGTGGGCAGCAGGCAAGCCCAGCAGCGCCCGTGCAGGGTCCTGTGGGAGACGCCATTGGAAAGCTGGTGTGGGCAGCCTGTACCTGGGGCCTCAGCCCTGATCAGGGCACTGGGCAGCAGGGGAGGGGGCATCTGGGGCAGAAGGAGCCAGCTGCATACCCACCTAGGCCTAGGAGAAGCCCCCCACTAGCTGCATGCGAGGAGGAGCTGGCCGTGGCTCAAGGAGGGGTCCCTGTGTGTGGTCTGGGCTCCCTTCAGGAGGTGACGGGCGTGCGCATTACCTTGTGTTTAGTAACTAGAAAGGAAGGGGCTAACATCAGCCCCTGGTGATGCTGGACAGCTAAGATTTGTGAGCTGAGAGGAACTGGAGAGATCACTGAGCCCCTTCCATACACAGGAAACTGGGGGTCTGGAGGGTGAAGGCCCTAGAGCCGGGACGCACTCCACCCAGGACACTGTTCCTCCAGAGTGACTTGCTTCCCACATCAGCCAAGTGAACGAGCATTTTAGAGACATTTTCTCATAAGTTTTTTTCCTTCCCACAGAACTGAACCAACAAGGGAGAGCAACAGAAAGACAGATTCCAGGCTGGTGGATGTGTCCCCTGACAGGGGTTCTCCTCCTTCCCGTGTGCCTCAGGCACTTAACTTTTCTCCAGAGGAAAGCGATTCTACTTTCTCCAAAAGTACTGCCACAGAAGTAGCTCGGGAGGAAGCCAAGCCGGGTGGAGATGCAGCCCCTAGTGAGGTGGGCAGAACGGGCGCAGCTGGGTTCTGTTAGCTGAGATTCCTGGAGGCTGCTCGGGAAGCCCGTGGAACCCAGGGCTGTGGCTGGCGGAGTTCCCTGCCATGCTTCATCCTGGGGCCAGTGCCTCCGTGCCAAGCAACCCAAAGGGAGGCAGTCAGGACTTCCAGGCCTCCAGGGGAGAAAGCCCTGCATTTGACTAAGGCAAGGGTCAGGGATCAAAGCTGAGGAAGCGGGAAGCAGGGTGGCAGGAGCTGGTGGCTGCTGGTGAGCGGGTATGGACAGGGAGGTGGGCAACAGTCAGAGAGGCACGGCCCACCCCATACAGAGCCTCCTTCCACCAAGGCCCCGCCTGATTCCTTGGCTTTCCAAACCGCCAGCCCACCTGGAACATGAGCAAAGCTCACATTCTCCCAAGATGGTTGCCAGAAAGATGCTGGACTCTGCTCTTAACCTTGGTTTTGTACCCAGGCTCTTCTTGTAGATATCAAACTGGAACCACTCGCGGTCACTCCAGATGCTGCAAGCCAGCCCCTCATTGACCTTCCTCTCATCGACTTCTGCGATACCCCAGAAGCACACGTGGCTGTAGGATCTGAAAGCAGGCCTCTGATCGACCTCATGACAAACACTCCAGACATGAATAAAAATGTGGCCAAACCTTCACCGGTGGTGGGACAGGTGAGAAGTGGCAGGTGGTTCATGTTGACTCAGCCCTGGGTGTCCTCAGTTCTGGGATTGTTCATCCTCCCAGGGCCATCGTGGGACCCTTGAGAGTGGCTGTTGAGTCTTCTCAGCTACACACCTCAGGGCAGGATGCACCTTTGGCAGCCTGAGCTTCTCAAAGATCAGCTGCCTCTGAGGTGCCCTGCCAGGACCCTGCCAGCTCTTGTTGGACAGGGACCGCCTCTCTCCTGCCCATAGACCCCAGGGCCAGATGTGGGACAGAGGAATGTGCATGGTGGGGGCCTGGGCTTCTCCGTGTGTGTCCTGTCTCCTTCCAGCTTCTTAGACGTGGTGGCCCAGAGTGCTTTTCAGTGCACCCGAGCCAGGATGAGCGAGTGGCTGTGATGACCCACGCAGCCAGTCCTCTGTGCAGGGAGGGGAAGGGAGGCCCTAGCCGGATCCACGCTCACCTCCTCCACTCTGCTCTCTTCCAGCTCATAGACCTGAGCTCCCCTCTGATCCAGCTGAGCCCTGAGGCTGACAAGGAGAACGTGGATTCCCCACTCCTCAAGTTCTAAGCCGAACCAAATCCTTTGCCTTGAAAGAACAGCCCTAAAGTGGTTTTCAACCCTCAGAAACAAGCTTTAGGCTGGTCGCAGTGGCTTACACTTGTAACCCTAGAACTTGGGAGGCTGAGGTGGGCGGATTACTTGAGCCCAGGAGTTCGGGACCAGCCTGGGAAATATAGTGAAACTCCTGTCCCTACAAAAAATACAAAAATTAGCCGGGTGTGGTAGTGCATGCCTGTAGTCCCAGCTACTTGGGAGGCTGAAGTGGGAGGATGGCCTGAGCTCAAGGAGATGCAGGCTGCAGTGGGCTGTGATTGTGCCACTGCACTCCAGCCTGGGCACCAATGTGAGAACCTGTCTTGGAAAAAAAAAAAAAGAAACATGTTTTAGTAGAAGTTTTATTTGAAAAAGAAAAATAAGCATAAATATATTCCCAGTGCTGGAGAGGGTGGGCTGAGGGACTGGGGCCAGCACGGACCACCCAAGGCCTCTGCTTCCCGCCGCCACCCTCCTCGCTGCCATTCTCTGGGCTGGAATGTGAAGCCTCAGTCACTCTAAATGAAGAATTTTCTTTTGAATGTTTTGTATGTAAAATAGCAAGTGGCTATTTTTAAAGTTAAGTTTGTATAAATAGTTAGATATTCTAGATTTACATTAAATTGTAAAATAAATGGACTTATTGAAGCATATCTTGATTTTTAAGCTTATCTTGATTTTCAAACATGCATAGCTATTTTTATCACTCTAATCAGTAAGGCTACTATCTAGACTCGAATGCTTTCATACAAGTGATTTTCAAAAATTAGTCAATAAAAATTGATGTCAGTGCAGGCCCAGGCCCGCCCCCAGATACACTAGTTTCTAGGTCTGGGGCCAGCCTAGTAATTGTTACTAGGCACACAGGTGATGCTGACTCGATGGCCTGAGACACACCCCTTGAGAAGAAGCTGCTCTGGGGAGACGAGGGTATGAGTGGAAAGAGGATGGGCGAGGAGGCCGGGCTTACCTGGACACTAAGGTGATGGACGGCGTCTGCTGGGCAGGCCTCGGGGAGGACCCCTCAGCTTTGCTCTCAGCAGGGGCCCGACAAGCTCAGTGGGCAGTGGCAGGAACTGAGTGCCACTGGAAAGCCCATTCCCTTTATTTAGAAAACGAGCTCCAGGAAGCCGCTACTTTGTGTCCATTTCTCTTGAGGAAACTTACCACCTTGGTTGAGCGGCTTCATGGCAGACAGCAGCGAGCCAGCGGCCGGACTCTGTATTTCGGACCCCACTCCAGTGCTCCCTGGGTCATACCAGGATCTGCCTCTGTCCACAAAGATGAGGGAAAATGATGACTGTGCTGTGCTCTCTACTTCCTGCGGTTACTGCGTGATTCTAAAGCTGCCACTCGGAACAGCGAGTCCTCTGCCGTCGAGAGCAGGGAGGGGTAGGGTGGACAGGCGATGCCGTGGAAAGACGTCTCGGTGGAAACTGCCATGGTGGAAAGGTGGCGCGCTTCTCACGGCTGAGTTGCTGCGCCTGCAGACGGAAGCTCCCCACAGGCAGAGCTGCTTGGATGTGTGAGTCATGAAGCCAGAGAAGCCCCGCTCCATGAGCAGTGACTCCCCAGGTAAGACTTTCAGCCAGTCCTGCGCTGGCCAGAGTCGCCGGGCCCGTGGGAATCACGGCGGCTCCACGTCTCCGGGACAGCAGGGAATCCCAGGGGCCTGGTAGTGACACCGGAGGGTCCTCAGGGAACCTCTGGTCTGGCCCTCATTTCCCAGGGGTAGAAAAGGAAATCTGAAATTGGATTAAACCATGCAGCAAATATTTACTGAGGCTCTGCTATGGGTCAGGCTGTTTTCTGCTGGGTGCAGCGGGGTGCAGCGCTCAGGTACCCCTTCCCTCTTAGGGCTTCCCACTGGGTAGAGGAGGGAGATGTTCAGCTCCCAGCTCATCTGTAACCAAGCTGTGCCTCAGTTGTCTCCATTCAGGCCCTGGGGGTGAGCCCAGCCTTTGGCCTGTGGCCCCAATCCCGCTGCTGGGGCTCCTCCCCCCTGTGCCCTTCCCCTCCCCGGTGCGGCTTCAGTGCAGCCAGGCTCTCCTTGGTACCCAGGCCAGACAGAGTGATCTGACTTTAACTCTCTACAGACAGACAGGAAGAGGGCCCAGGAGCAGGAGCTGGACAGAGCAGAGCTGCTCCTGTCCTGAGGCTCCAGGCCCATTCCTTTCTGTCTGGGTTTCTCCACTGGGCTCTTCCTGCCGAAGCCACCCAGTCTGAGCTCCCCCACTCCCTCTCCTGGTACACAGGCCCTTGGTTCACCCCTCAGAGGGCTCCGGGTGGGAAGATGCACAGTTAGTTGGAGACTGAAGGGCTCCGTGGCCCCAGGAGGGCCAGCCCCTTTCTCCATAGGATGGCACCGAACACCTCAGCTGCCACTGGAGGGCCACCCTCCCAGGTCCAAGACGTCCAACTTCATGTGATTTTTTACCACATTTCATTAATTTTGTGGAGCAAATGTCTTCCCATTTTACATCTCTGAAATCCACGTCTCTGACATTGCTGTTGGCAGGCGGCACCTGGGATGTCGTCATCCTGGCCATAACTAGCCTGTAGTGGACCTGGGTGATACACAGGGGCCTCTTGGAGCTACGGAGTACCTAAAATACCATATAGTTAACCAAAAAGTAGCAGAAAATATGTGAGCATGGATCTCAGCCATTTTGCGGGTTGGCTGCAACTGGGACTTAACCTGCCATAACCTTAGATCAGCCTGCCACACCCAAGGAGGGCCTGCCCCCAGACCCAGACTCAAGTTTAGACACAGCCTAAACGTGTACCTCTAAATCTGCACAAACTCAGCTGCCCAGATACTGGATTTCCTTATCTCTTCCGGGAAATGCAAGATGAAATTGCCCTCCTGTTGGGTATTTTCCTGATCCTTTATTCTGAAAAAGTGGTCATCCTTTTCCCCACAGGCCCTGTGACCTCCCTCCTGTCTTGCAGCTCCTCCTGGCACCAGTCCCCAGGGCTCTCCTGTTGGTAGTTCCTGCTTTTCTTCTTGGAAATTCCTCGTGGACCTCGAGATCTTTACCCTAAAATAGTTCTGTTGAATTTCACCCTGGCAATGTAAATTGATAGCTTATCTTCACAGATGCCAGACAATGGACAACTCACCATCAGTCCTCTGCTCACCTGAGACAAATGCATGTCTGATTGCTTCCTCTGCCCTATTGTTTATGTGAAAATGCAGATTCACTGAGCCAGACTAAGGCATCAGTGACTGTTCCTCTACCTGCCTCTCACATGGAGATTGTGTATTCAGTGAAAGGCTGATCAAAGACCCAAAGGAATGCAACAGTTTATCTCTTATCTACCTATGACCTGCGAGCTGCCCACCACCCCCAGTTGTTGCGCCTTTCCAGACAGAACCAGTGTACATCTTACACGTATTAATTGATGTCCTGTGTCTCCCTAATATGTATCAAAGCAAGCTGTGCCTCGACCACCTTGGGCACATATCCTCAGGACATCATCCTGAGGCTGTGTCACTGGCATGTCCTTAACCTTGGCAAAATAAACTTTCTAAATTGAAACCTGTCTCAGGTACTTTGGGTTCATACCACAAGGGAGGGTTCTCATGCACATGTGCCTAATAATAACAACTATCACAAAAGACTGCAAAAACCACAACTTTACACAAAGGCTATCGTAACCTTCCTCAAAAAAAAAAAAAAAACAAAAAACTTCTGTTGCAAGGACATCTGCCCAGCAACTGCTTGTCCAACCCTGGAGTGCTGTCACCCTTGTTATTGATCTTTGTAGCCAAAGAATTATCTCAAAACAATGATGTGATCCTCATTTTCCCTTTAAAAACCTTTGTCTTCCTAGGCCGGGCACTGTGGCTCACGCGTGTAATCCCAGCACTTTGGGAGGCCGAGGCGGGCGGATCACAAGGTCAGGAGATCAAGACCATCCTGGCCAACATGGTGAAATGCCGTCTCTACTAAAAATACAAAAATTAGCTGGGTGTGGTGGCATGTGCCTGTAATCCCAGCTACTCCGGAGGCTGAGGCAGGAGAATCGCTTAAACCCGGGAGGCGGAGGTTGCAGTGAGCTAAGATCACGCCACTGCACTCCAGCCTAGTGACCAAGTGAGACTGTCTCAAAAAAATAAATAAATAAAATAAAAACCTTTGTCTTCCTTTACTTCCCTGAATACCCACATAGCTTATTGTGGCATGCATATTCCCATTGCAATGCCCTATTCACAAATGAACATCTTTTTCGTTCAGAGTCTCCCTGTGCTTTAGGTAGACCTTGTCTAGATGCTAACTCGTAGAGAAGAACTCAGCTTGAATATCACCCCTGGGGGATGACCTCCATTCTCTCCTCCTTCCTTTATTCAGCGAGGTTATGAAGCACCTGCCCTGGGCCAGGGGCTTTTCTGGGCATGGAGTAGGAGTGGACAGAACACAAAACCCCTGTCCAACACACCTCACAGACATTAAGGATTGAGTGCTGAGTATGCTTGGAGTCAAACTGTAAAAGATTTGAAGATATTTATTCATGTCATAGTCCCAGGAGATCCTGAGAACACGTGCTCAAACTGGTGGTGCTACAGCTTTTGGTTTCGTACGTTTTAGGGAGACATAAGCCATAAATCAATACATGTAAGATGTAACATTGGTTCCGGAAAGGTGGGACAACTCGAAGGTGGGGTGGGGCTTCCAGGTCATAGGTGGATTCAAAGATTTTCTGGGCCGGGGGCAGTGACTCACACCTGTAATCCCGCCACTTTGGGAGGCTGAGGTGGGCGGATCCCTTGAGGTCAGGAGTGAGAGACCAGCCTGGCAAATACGGTGAAACCCCGTCTCTACTAAAAATACAAAAATTAGCTGGGCTTGGTGGCGGGCGCCTGTAATCGCAGCTACTAGGGAGGCTGAGGCAGGAGAATCGCTTGAATCTTGGAGGTGAAGGTTGCAGTGAGCCGAGGTCGCGCCCACTACACTCCAGCCTGCGACAGAGCAAAACTCCATCTCAAAAAAATTTAATTAATTAAAAATTAAATTAAATTAAAATACTGTAAAATACTTCGATATCTTTCAGGGCCTGCCATCTGTCATGTCGGTATCCTATTGCTACGGAGAGTCCGCCTAGACAGTCTTAAGTCTGTTTTGACGTTAATGCTGGTCCGAATTCCAAAGGGAGGAGGAGGGTCTAGTGAGGCGGGTCCCACCCGGCCTTTCCCATCAGAGCCCGAACTCGCGGTTCAGGTTCCCTCTAGGACGCCCTTGGCCGAGAGGAGGCCTCCAATGGCTGGCTGGGGGGCTTAGAATTTTATTTTTGGTTTACAGCGCAGAAGAAGAGCAGTGAGGCCGGGGCGCGGGTGGGGAGGGCAAGGCGGCGGCTCAAAAAAAAAGCCAGCCCCTCGCGGCCCGACAGAGTCTCGGCGCCCCGCGGGTCGGTGGAGCCTCAGGGGTGAGCGCAGGCCGGAGACAGGGGAACCCGCCGCGGGACAGGGGAAGGCCGGACGGAACGCGGGTAAGCTGCCGCAGCTTCCGGCCGGGCCACTAGCGCGGACCCTACGGCCGGGGCGGGACTTCCGGCAAGGCGCGGAAGCGGCGGTAGCTGCAGCTGGCGAAGTTGGGCGACTGGCGGATGCAGGCCTTGCGGCACGTCGTGTGCGCCCTGTCCGGCGGCGTGGACAGCGCCGTGGCCGCGCTGCTGCTGAGGCGGAGAGGTGAGGCGTCCGAGGCTCCCGCCCCCCGCCGAGCGAATGTGTCCCCGGAAACCTGTCCCCGTCCGTCGTGGCGTTGTGCACGTCTCCTCCCTCCCTGGGCCGCTGGTTGCGCGCGGGTCGGCAGGAGGATACCCCGTCCTCTGACTTTGGTTCGGAGGCTCCTCGCCCTCCACCTGTGTAGTCGGAGGTGTGCGCGACTGCAGCTCCGACTACCTGGGAGCAGTTCCGCGCCCCTCTCCACCCACGCGCGCCCACCCACAGTGAGAAGCCGGCGGGCCGGGGTGGGGTGGGGAGGGAAGGGTTTCTCACGGATCTGCGGCGTCCACATTCACCTGTGAGACCGTGGACACTGGTGAGGGGAGCTGGGATCGCCGGGCCGGGGGCCTGACCTCTGCACACGCTGTGGCCGCCCGGTGGGAGGTCCTTGTCCTCCCCACTCAGCAGACTGGACAACTGCCGCGCGGCGGGTCTGCTTGTTCAGCGTCTCCTGTGTTCTCCGCTCGCTGGAGGACAAAGTTTTCTCCAGGAGCATTTGCATTTCTTCCGGCATCTAAACGGAGCCCCACGGGTGCTTAGCATTCCTCGGGCCCGGCGCTGAAATGAGCACTTGTTTAACTTCACCTGTGTGGCTCCCCGCGGGAGGCCTCATTCACAGAGTCACGTTTGTGGAGCTCTGCTTTGCGCCATCTTTGGCTCCTGACCTTGGGCAAGTGAATTAAGCCGTCCCCTGTAAAATTCGGCTAACACCTGCCTCACGGGGTGACTGGAGGGATTAGATGACATAGTACATACTGATGAGTACGTGCTCAGCACATACGAGGTACGCAGAAAACAGTAGTGGCTATTAGTTTATATTGTTAATAACCATAGCTATTATGGTAGGTACAGTAAGTGCCAAAGAGAAGGGTAGGCGGACCATAAGCAGAAATAGTTGTGAGGAAGGGAGAGTGGAGGAAAGCATCCTAGAGATGGAGGTGCTCAGCTGAGTCGAAAGAAGAGTAGGATGTCACTAAGCAGAGACTTGGAGGTGGAGGCGGCCCTCCCGGCACAGTCAGCAGTGCAAGCAGAATCACAGAGGCCTGCAAGTGTGGGCTGGTTCTGGCCAGATGGAGATGGAAGGAGAGGAGCCTGGAGCACGTTTAGCCCTGATTATGGAAGATGCTATACCAGGGGCTTTAGACTGTTAGGTAGACATTAGTCTGGTTGATCTGGGATAGGGGTGGTCTTTCGCGTGTGGTGGTGTAGTTTTGACAAAGCTTTGTCATCAAATTTCTGTTGTTTTGGGTACTATATGAAGCCTTCTTCAGCAGTCATTTGCCCTGTCTTTCATTACATTCAGCCTACCTAAACGAACCAGCTTTCTCATACAGGGTCTGCACCTGTGTAGTTTGCTAAGGTGGTGTAGGGCTAAAGTTGGCCTTTCCAATATTTGGGTGAATATTTTGTTACAATCGAAAAGGTAGAAAATAGGTCATAAACTAGGTGGTACAGCTCTTACAAAATATCGAAAATTTTAATTATCTTTATATCTGATCACTTAGAATCTAAGTCTTAGATAGTAACTAGAAATAACTTTTGAAAAGAGTTTCCTTTTTTGATAACTGAATGGTGCTTTGAAAAATTTTGTTGAGTTTCGACTATTCCTTCGTGTATTCCACACACACTGGCTGATCCCCTCCTGCTAGGTATTGTGCTGATACATAGATGGGGACACAAAGATGAGAAAATACCACCTCGTTAATCTTGGGGACTCAGGCACCAAGATGGAAACCGGATCCCTGAAGCCACATGGCAAAGCAGGGACTGCCCGGCAGGCCAGGCACAGAGGCACAGGAGCACAGCGTGTGGGGAACTTCTCAGAGCTCAGAAATCACTGCCGTTTTACCGAAGGTTGATTTATGTATTCTCTTTAATTGACCTTCCCGCCCGCAGGTTACCAGGTGACAGGGGTGTTTATGAAGAACTGGGACTCACTGGATGAACATGGGGTCTGTACTGCCGACAAAGACTGTGAAGATGCTTACAGAGTTTGCCAGATCTTAGACATCCCTTTCCATCAAGTGTCCTACGTAAAGGAGTATTGGAATGATGTGTTCAGGTGAGTGCGGGTCACAGCACAAAGGAAGCTTCCTCACACTGTGGATCCTTGCAGTGGAAGGATCCGGTAACCAGCCAGACCGACGCCTGTGCTGCAGCCCAGCGCTCTCCCTCCACGGTGGTGCTGAAGACTGCAAGAGGCCTCAGCCACCCTCGGGGCTCTGTGTTAGAGGCGAGGCCTGGACCCCACAGCACACCCAGCTCTCTCACTCCTGTCATTTTGCCACTTGCCTGAAGTCTCTTTAATGCTTTCTTGGACCTTGAGCTGTTTCTGTTGCCCAGTTAGGATAGGGGAGCTAAGGCTGAGGGCTCCCCTGGAAGGTGAGCACCAATGCCTGTGTGCTATGTGGGTCAGCGATTAGGGGATTTCTGAGAAAGAGGTGATACATGGCCTGTGCCTCTGAAAACAAGAAACAAACAAAAACTTTTCTAAAATCCAATATAATCTCAATAATTAAGTGCTGTGTGCTAGGCGTGTGCCACATCTAGGAACATTAAGATGTCTTCACTGTGACCTGGCTCTGTAGGAGTTTGCGGTCTAGTTGGGAGGACATTATCTTCACAAGAGGTGACAGTGATGCGTGGCACGCAGGAAGTACCAGTGATGCTATCAGTCACTGAACCCAGAGGAGGGAGAAACTTGCAGTGTGGAGTAATCAAGAAGGCTTCACCGGAGAGGAGGGGTTGCAAACAAAGTTGTAGAGAAGGGACTCCAAATGGGGTAACGAGAGCAGCGTGAAGGGGAGAAGAAATGCTGATTGTGTATTTCAGGACCGTTGTAAAGTTTGGCTGGACTTTTGTTCCTGCAGTGGAAGGAGTGTAGGGCTCATCCTCTGGTGAGCCCTGACTGTGATGAATGTCGGGCAGTTGTCGAAGGCGTCTGACACAGCAGGCCATGTGCGCGGGACAGGCTGCCCCTGCCTGAGTGGGCTTTAGGGGCAGAAGAGCCTTGGGTTGAGTCCTGACTGTAGCTTATTATATGACCTTGGGCAATTTACTTGACTTTGTTTTTTTAATTGAAAAAAATTCTCTTTTTTTCCTGCCAACAAAGACCCAGAAGAGATACTTGACTTTTCTAAGCCCCAATTTTCTCATCTTTAAAATGAGGATAACACTGATGCCTCACAGGGTTATGAAAGAATTGAGATTAGGTTCTAGTATGTATGCCTGGTATATTAGTAAGCAGTCAATAAACATAGCTGTTTTTCTTTTCTATTTTTTTTTGAGACAGAGCCTCGCTCTGTTGCCCAGGCTGGAGTGCAGTGGCGCAATCTTGGCTCACTGCAACATCTGCCTCCCAGGTTCAAGCGATTCTCATGCCTCAGCCTCCCAAGTAGCTGGGATTATAGGCATGCACCACCACGCCCGGATAATTTTTGTATTTTTAGTAGAGACAGGGTTTCGCCATGTTGGCCGGGCTAGTCTCAGACTCCTGACCTCAGAAGATCCACTCGTCTCAGCCTCCCAAAGTGCTGGGATTACAGGCGTGAGCCACCACGCCAGCCTGCTATTTTTATTTTCATTATTAAAAAGATGAGTCTGGGGAGCTAAGCTATGAGGACGCAAAGGCATAAAAATGATATAATGGACTCTGGGGTGAGGGATAAAAGACTACACATCGGGTACAATGTCCACTGCTTGGGTGACGGGTACACCAAAATCTCAGAAGTCACCACTGAAGAACTTATCCATGTGACCAAATACCAGCTGTTGCCCAAAAAACCATTGAAATAACAATAAAACGAAATTTAGAGAGATTAAGTAAATTGACTATGGTCACCTAAATAATCAACGGAAGAGCTTGAATATGAACCCTCTGTGACTCTATGCTATAACATATGGGTGTCGTATATATTAACAACATGGACAAAACTGATGGCTGAATTTTCCTGGGGAAAGTTACCTGTAGAATGCATGATAAATGCATTAAAAACTTATCTGTAGAATGCATGATAAATGCATTAAAAACTTCTGCAGTTTTCTCGGGGACATAAGAAAAAAAAAAGAGTGTGGCGGCCAAATACAGGATAAATCTGGGGGAAGACCAAAGGCAGAGAGTCTCAGGAAGTGCTGTTGCTGGAGATTTGGACTTCATGGGGAGGGAGTGTGGGAGTGGAAGGTGAGGGCTGGCTTGTTGGACCCAGAGGACAAGTCCACCGGGCAGTAGATCTGAGGTGCTTGTTAAACACAGACCTGGACCGAGGTCTGGGGGCGGCCCTGGAATCTGCTTTAATAAGCACTTCAGCTGTGCTGGTGGTGTGGGGGGTTGTCAGGGTCTTTCTTTGAGAAAAGGTGTGATGCGGCTTAGGGACTGATGTGTGTGGGAGACCAGAGAGGAGAGGAGTCAGCAGTAGTTTCAAGATCAAGGCTGGGTGGCTGGGGAAAGCTGGTTTAGGGGATTCCTCATGAGTACTGTAGAGTTTGAGGGGACAACAGGGAATCCAAGTGAGCTTACACTTCACCTGCCAGCACAGCTTTTTCAGAACGTACGAGTGGATGCGATTTTTGAAGTTTAGCTCAGCTGAGGCCAGATAGGAAGAGTGACTTGAATAGTATGGCAAATTAGGAGCGGAGCTGGGATTAAACCCCAGAATTAGGAGCGGAGCTGGGATTAAAACCCAGAATTAGGAGCGGAGCTGGGATTAAACCCCAGAATTAGGAGCGGAGCTGGGATTAAACCCCAGAATTAGGAGCGGAGCTGGGATTAAACCCCAGAATTAGGAGCGGAGCTGGGATTAAACCCCAGAATTAGGAGCGGAGCTGGGATTAAACCCCAGAATTAGGAGCGGAGCTGGGATTAAACCCCAGAATTAGGAGCGGAGCTGGGATTAAAACCCAGCTTTCCAGGCCAGTGCTTGCTGCCGCCTTCTGGCGCTGCTTGATAGGGACTGAGAGAAGGAGGCGGCCGGGTAGAGTCTTTTCCCATCTCTGGGGCTGCCCCCGAGGTCGCCCCTGGCTCCAGCCAGCCTGCCCTCTGCCCTCGCCCAGTACCAGCTGCCCGTGGAGGCATTGGTCTTTCCGCTGAAGACTCACTTCTCTAGTAGGGCTCTCTAGCTCAGAGATTTCTTTTGCATTCTTTCATTCAAGACCCACTGGCCTTCAAGGATCAGAGTCCAGATACGTTTTAGCTGCTGAGTCTTTTAAATCTGTCTCCCTCCCGAGGCACATGAAAGGCTTCTCTTCTTTCCAGTTAGAGAAGAGGCTGGGCTACTCCATTGTTTTTGCTAATGCCAAAACACACGCCTTCCCATCTGCTGTTTACGAAAGGGTTAACAGTGTGTCTTTTCAGAAACTGATTTTAATGTTCAGCCTCTTCAACATTTATTGATGACTGTGATATAGAAAGTTTGTTGGGTCTAGGACACAGACACAGATTGCACCTTAAGTAGTTTATAGTTTAATGAGCTTCCTGGTAACTTTCTAATAATTAAAGCAAAATGGAAAGAGTGTAATAATATCAAGTGTTGTTGCAAATGTGGAAAAACATGAGTTTTTATGAACTTCTAGGGGGACTGAGAAGTAGGAAAACAGTTTGGTGCCTGCTAAAGTGGAAGATATCCAAGGAACCTCTGACCCTGTGCAGATCTGTGATATGTCTGCAAAACACAAACCTCTTGATCAGCACTGGTTTTTTTTTTAACCCTTGTTGATTAATAGAGAGTTTTAGGTTAAATGAAAAAAATCACTTATACCAAAAATACACCCATTTTTAAACTCCCAAAATAGGCATCATAACCCTCTTGAAGTGAATCCTCGAAGACTATGAAATTCTTGGTAAGTTTTGCTGGTATCATGGCATCTTTTTCCCATGTTCAGTCAGTCTGTTAGAGCAGAAGTTCACTGAATTAGGATAGCCTGATCCACTTTAAGCACCCAAGAGTTTGCTAGTTCTCAGAAGTGTGTGTTTGTCACCTGAGGATAGTATTTTTGGTATATTTGCCCAGTGACGCAGCATTCCAGGCTGAGATTGCAGAATGGCTCATGGAGCCCTTGTGTAGGGAAGCCTCTGACTGTGTTTCTCCTCTGTTCTCATCACGGCAGTCATCCTCACGGAAGAAGGCTTCTGTGACAAAGGTGTGGGGGGTTTTCCCCATACAGCAAGCAGTGGACACCGACTGGGTGTCCTCTGATTCAGTTCCGATACCATCTACTTGGAGATAGTGCTGGATCCCAAAGGTTGGGGGTTCAGTCCCCCAGACGGACTCCCCCCACAACAGCAGTCGAAAGTATGGGCCTCTAGAACTTATGACCAACTGGCTTCCAGTTGGGATTCCCATAACTTCCTCTTTGGGTTCAATTATTAATAATTTGCTGGAGTGGTTCACAGAACTCAGAAAAACACATTTACCAGTTTATTATAAAGGATGTTGCAAAGGATACAGATGAAGAGACGGGTTGGGTGAGGTATGGGGAAAGGGTCATGGAGTGTCCACACCCTCCCTGGGGACCACCCTCCAGGAGCCTCCACAAGTGTAGCTGTGCAGAAGCTCTCTGAACCCAGTACTCCTGGGTTTTTATGGAGGCTTCATGACATCGCCATTCCTTCCCCCAGGATATACAGTGGGACTGTGTCTGGGGAGGGTCTTAAGACCCACAGTCAGAAAGGTAGACGCTTGTAATCCTAGCACTTTAGGAGGCTGAGGCAGGAGACTTGCTTGAGGCCTGGAGTTCAGTATCAGCATGGGCAACATGGCAAGACCTCATCTCTATAAAAAAAGAAAAGGTTGCAGTGGGCCAGGTGCGGTGGCTCACGCCTCTAATTCCAGCATTTTGGGAGGCTGAGGCGGGCAGATCACTTGAGGCCAGGAGTTGGAGACCAGCCTGGCCAACATGGTGAAACCCCGTCTCTACTAAAAATACAAAAATTATCTGGGCATGGTGCTGCGCACCTGTAATCACAGCTATTCGGAAGGCTGAGGTGGGAGAATCTGCAAGGGAAGTCTAAAGGATTTCATTTCCACTGTCACTCAGGCATCTTCTCTTCCTCACCTAAGCCCTGCTGTGTTGGAGGAGTCCCAGAGGCAGGGTTTTAGTGAGACCCTCACGGCCACTCCCCACTCCTGACCCCATAAGCCCTGTGAGCCTACACAGAGACGGTGGCTCCTGAGCCGTAGTGGCAGAGAATAACACCTTGTCGGGTGGCCCATGCAGCAGGTTATAAACAAATGTTCGATGACTGACGTTCTCCTGTTTTGCAGAAAATTATAGTTTTGGTATGACAAGGGGAAATTACATTAAACAAGCAATTTAGTGAACTTTTTTTTTTTTTTTGAGGAATGTTTCACACTTGGAACTGAAGTCATTTTCTTTTATTCTAGTGACTTTTTGAATGAGTATGAAAAAGGAAGGACTCCCAATCCTGACATAGTTTGCAACAAGCACATCAAATTTAGTTGCTTTTTTCATTATGCTGTGGATAATCTTGGTAAGTAATTTGGGTTTAAAACATTTTTTTTTTTAAAGACAGGGTCTCGCTCTGTCACCCAGGCTGGATTGCAGTGGTGCGATCATGACTCACTGCAGCCTCGACCTCCTGGGCTCAAGAGATTCTCCCACCCCAGGCTCCTGAGTAGCTTGGACCACAGGCATGCCACCATGGTGGCTAATTTTTTGTGGAGATGGTGTCACAACTGTATTGTCCAGGCTGGTCTCAGATTTCTGGCCTTAAGCAGTCCTCCTGCCTCGGCCTTCCAAAGTGCTGAGATTACAAGCGTGAGCCCCTGTGCCTAGCCTGTTTCTTCTTGTGGAACCTCCTGATACTGAATTGCTTGCTTAGACCACCTCTTGATGTCTGTGGCTATGCTTTATGAATTTTAGGTTCTTCTTCCTGTCCCCTGCCATTGGGGTCACCATAATGAGTTTCTGAAGTTCTGGCTCAGGCTTCTTGGTTTGCTCTGTCCCACTGCAGCTCACCCTGTTGTGTGTTGCTACGAGATACCATTGTAAGCCAGGGGCCCAGTAGTGTCGGCACTTTCAGCAATGATGTAGATTAGGCTTGCAGATTCAATATGTCAGCAACCTAAAGCTGAGTTGATGATAATGATGAAAGTTAGTTTGTGGAGTTAGGAATAAACAAATGCCTACAAAAACAAAAAATCAAAAAGAAAAATCTTAAATTTCAACATTGGGCTAACACCAAAAACATGAAACTTAATAGAGATAAATGCAAAGTTTGCTAACTAGGTTCAGTAATTCTCCTAGGACAAGATTGGAAAGACCTAGCTTGGTTGCCATTGAATCTTCTGCCATTGGTTGCAGAAAATCTGGGGGATTTAGGTGCCCCCAGGCTGACTGAGCCAGTAGTGTGATGTCTTTTGTCAGAGCCAGCACAGACGGAGCTCACCTTGATGATCATAGAATGTCTAGGAAGGGGTGATGCGTCCCCTGTGGTCCGTCCTGGTTAGACCGTATTAGTTATTCAGGAAAAGAGTGATAGACTGATAGAATGTGAATTGATTTTTATTTTCAGGGTATCTGGAAATATGTCCTCCCTGAACTGTTGAAATTACTTTGGGTCGTAGTGGCAGTGGTCAAGCGTGTGAGTTAGGATGACATTCTTTGTGTGACACCAGCAGACAGTTAGGACTGGCAGGAGAAAGAGTTCCCTGAGGTGGAGGCGCAGGCAGCTGTTCAGGAAGGGAAGGCTTGCCTTTGGAGAGCATTAAGCTGTCACGAAAGCTTTTTAGGGAGCCCCTAGGTGGCTGGCTGTCAGGCACGCTGTGGAAGGAACTTCTGCAGTGAATGTTTCCACACCTGGAAGAAAGGCATGAACCGTGCAGCACAGGATGAGAGGACATGACGCCCAGACTTCTGAACTCACCGCGCTTCTCAGAGGCATCCTGCGCTTTTTCTAGTATAAGTGCTGTTCTTTGAGGACACAGATGTAAAGTGGATTGTTTTCTCTAGGAGAACCTCAGTCAAGATGAGATTATGTGTCTCTAAAGTGCCTTTTTCAGGTCGTTAATATGCAGCAGCTAATTCTTGCTGTGTCTTCTGTTTACATGGAGCTAGTGTGGCTGGTCCAGGATGGCTGTGTCTTCTGTTTACACTGAGCTAGTGTGGTTGGTCCAGGATGGAATCCATTTTGCTGCACCTTTCATAAAAGTCTCTTGCAATACTAAATATCTGTAATTTTTTCTTTTTTTGAGATGGAGTCTCACTCTGTCTCCCAGGCTGGAGTGCAGTGGTGTGATCTCGGCTCACTGCAACCTCCACCTCCTGAGTTCAAGCAATTCTCCTGCCTCAGCCTCCCAAGTAGCTGGGATTACAGGTGCCCACCAACATGTCTAGCTAATTTTTGTACTTTTTTTGTAGAGACGGGGTTTCATCATGTTGGCCAGGCTGGTCTCAAACTCCTGACCTCAAGTGATCCACCCACATCGGCCTCCTAAAAGTGCTGGGATGACAGGCGTGAGCCGCTGCGCCTGGCCCAAATATCTGGAATTTTTACACAATGAAAAGGTTCTGGATTCATATGCACCTTGTTAGGCTCTTTGGCTTTGTGTAATATGAAAAGAAGAAACAGTGTGCTGGATGATTCTTCACTCTGATGAAAATAATACATATTTATTACAGAAAATTTAAAAGAGGAGAAACGACACCTATAATTTCACTCTCAGAATCAAAGGAATAGACCTGAGATTTTTCTTCAACTGTTTCTGTACAGTAAAAACCGTGGAATCATGGTGTTACATCCTCGCCCTGCTGAACAGTGCCGGGCATTTTCCCGTGTTAGTAAACATTCTCTGTAAGGACCCCCATTGTTACGGCAGTGCATTGTCATTCACTTCACATTCTCCCAGTGTTGAACATTTTGGTTCTTTTTTTTTTTTTTTTCCTCCTGAGACAGCATCTTGCTCTGTTGCCCAGACTAGAGTGCTGTGGTGCAGTCTTGGCTTCCTGCAGCCTCAACCTCCCAGGTTGAAGCAATCCTCCCACCTCAGCCTCCCAAGTGGCTGGGACTACAGGTGTGCCCCACCACGCCTGGCTAATTTTTGTATTTTTTGTAAAGGTGGGATTTCACCATGTTGCCCAGGCTGGTCTTGAACTCCTGAGCACAAGCAATCATCTGCCCGCCTCGGCCTCCCAGAGTGCTAGGATTACAGGCATGAGCCACCGCGCCTGGCCTCCCTTCGTATTATCACAAACCCTGAAAGGAATATTTTGTGTTTAAATCTTTCTGTGCCTTTCAGACTGTTTCCTTAAGCCAGAAATTAACTTTGGAAAGGCTCTTAAAGGTGCAATAACACTTTAAGTAGCAAGGTTGTATCAGCTTAAGAGTTCAAGGCTGCTTGTTTGATGAAATTGGATGTGTGCGTCTGTTCCCTGGGATCTCTATGTTTGGGTGCAGGGTGGATTGTGCAGCCCCTCAGCCTAAGACTTGGGGTCTATACTCTTCTTTTGTGCCTTGGTTTATGCTGATCAAGGCCTGCAAGTATGAGTCTAAAACCTGATCCTTGTGTTCTAAAAACCTCACAGGGGCAGATGCCATTGCCACAGGTCACTATGCAAGAACTTCCCTGGAAGATGAAGAAGTCTTTGAGCAGAAGCACGTTAAGAAGCCCGAAGGGCTTTTCAGAAATCGGTTTGAAGTTAGAAATGGTAAGTTCATGTGCCCAGGTCAGAGCCAAATTCTTGTGAACAGATTGAAATCTTTGGAGGAATGACAGTGGGTTGTGCCTGAGGATCACTGCCACCCCTCCCTCTGTGCTCCAGAGTAGCTTGTATGGGATTCACATTTGAAAAGGTGCAGTTACCAAGAGGACATTTTCCCGGAGGGCCTGTGATTGGGTAGTAAACAGTGTCCCTGCCGGCCATGGTGAGGGCTGGTGGAAAGTGACATCAGATACTGATAATCCAGCTCTCGACACTGTGTGGTGATTTGAATGTTCCAAAAATATCTGGGTAAATATTTGACAGTGATAATTGGGGTGCTGTCAGTCTAGCCAAGGACCTGTACTTAGCAACAAGTTCTCAAGGGCGTGCGGTTCAGGCAGACTTTCAACGTGCTGTGAGCACAGGACCTGCTGTGGATCGCATGGGCTCAGCAGTCAGGCTTTGTAGCCGTATTTACACGTTAGTTTATGCGTGTTAGGGAGCCAAGTTTCACCTTTCTAGAAAAAAGTCAATGGCAGACAGTGAGCTGGGAAGCTGCTGGCCTGTCCTGGTGTACATTCGTGTGTAGAAAAGAGGAATTCCCTGTATTGTTGAGTGAAAAACCAAGTGGGGCTCAGAGCCGTGTTTCCGCACGGAGCGTCCGTCCATCAGTGGGGACCCCTGAAGGGCAGCCTTGCTCTTTTGTCCGGAAGTTCAGATGTTGGAGGGAGCCTTGTCCCGCCATCTGGGGAATAGGGGTCTCTGGGGCTGGGGCAGGGCTTTACATACACACATTTCTTTTTTAATTATTATTATTAATTTTATTTTTTTGAGAGAGGATCTCACTCTGTCAACCGGGCTGGAGTACAGTGGCCCGATCTTGGCTCGCTGCAGCCTCCACCTCCTGGGCTCAAGTGATCCTCCCACCTCAGCCCCACCAAGTAGCTGGGACCACAGGTGTGCGCCACTATGCTCGGCTTTTTCATTTTTTGTAGAGATGAGGTCTCGTTAATGTTGTCCGTGCTGGTCTTGAATTCCTGGGCTCAAGCGATCCTCCCACCTCGGCCTCTCAAAGTGTTGGGATTACAGGTGTGAGCCACCAAGCCCGGCCTCACACGTTTCACATCACTCCTCTTAGCAGTCCATGAGGTGTATGCTCTCATCCCGTTTCACAGATGAGGAAACCGAGGCCCGGATGAAGCCATCTGACCTGGGTCCCTCGGGTGGCAGAGCTGGATTTCAGTGCACTTCCGCTCACTCCCCAGCCCCTGCTGCTTCTGCTGGGTCAGGCCCCAGCTGAGTTCTTTCCTCAGCGTTGCTGAGCCCATCCTGAAGGCTGCAGTGATGGGGCAGGGCCGTGCTTGGTCAAGGGAGCCCTGAGTGTGCCAACAGTCGTCTGCCGCCCTCTGTTCCCTCCTCGCCTTCCTTCCTTATGCCACAGGGTGATCAGGTAACTGTACTGACTTGAGCCCAGAGAAGAGCAGCCCACTCCCGTAAGACAGCCCCCCATTTCAGGAAGACATGGGTTTGAATGCAGATAAGACAGCCCCCCATTTCAGGAAGACATGGGTTGGAATGCAGAGTCCTGCCACTTGGGAACTCCAGGGTGGAATTCACCAAGTAATTGTGCATTTACGGGGCCTGAGGAGATGGAGGGTTAATTTCCATGTTGAATAGATGCGCCTGCTTACCTCCTAGAACATTACCTCCTAGAACACTGTGTGCCCTGCAGAGCCATCGACCTTTATTATAGGCCACGTGCCCTCGGAAACTTGGGACAGTACTGATGCGTTCTGTTGAGTGCGTTTGGCATGTGGGAATTGTGATGGTGCACAGTGTCTTGGCCTTCACTGGGTTTTGTAGGCACACTAAGGTTTCCATTTCATTCTTCTTCAGTTGCCCTGGCCCAGCCTGGGTCTCTGGGTAGAGCACCTGCAGGGGCAGTGGACGGCCTGGGCTCAGGGTCGGTCAGCACCTGAGACCAGCGCTCCTAGGCCTGGCCTGTGACTGGGCTGATTTTCCCCCACACAGCGTGCTACCACCGGCCTGGCAGAGCCAGCACGGCAGCCGGCGTGTCAGTGAGGCTCCAGCACAGGCAGCCTCCTCCAAATGTTGTTCATTCCTTTCTGTGCTTTTTCCTCTATAGCAGTTCAGTTAGGGTCGCCAGCTTGCTTTTTTGAAAATCATAGATTTTTAGTTTGTTTTAAAATGACGCAGAACTAGGAGAAAATGCAAATGGCTCCTAGTTTTCTGAGGCTTTTACACACATGCAGTGTTTGACTGCAGTTAGTTTGGGATTGAAAGTGGACTCTGAGGCCAGGTGCGGTGGCTCATGCCTGTAATCACAGCACTTTGGGAAGCCAAGGCAGGCGGATCATGAGGTCAGGAGTTCCAGACCAGCCTGGCCAACATGGTGAAACCCCATCTCTACTACAAATACAAAAAAAAAAGTTAGCCGAGTATGGTGGCACATGCCTGTAGTCCCAGGTACTCTGGAGGCTGAGACAGGAGAATCACTTGAACCCAGGAGGCGGAGATTGCCGTGAGCCGAGATGTGCCACTGCACTCCAGCCTGGGCGACAGAGCGAGACTCCATCTCAAAAAAAAAAAAAAAAGTGGACTCTGGAAAGTGCTCTGCTTCCGTGGCGACTGGTCGGCTGAACTTGGTCTCACTTGTCACTCAGTTCTGCTGTTTGTACCTGCCAAGTAAGGGAGGGGGACTCGGGAGGCTGGGCAGCCTCCAGCCCCACCGCCTCCACCTGCATCACTTTGGGCGAGTCATATGTGATGAACTGGGCCGGCTCCAGTCTCCCCTCTGTAACGTGGGGAGAATTCTCCCTCTCACGGCTAACGTGGGAATCGGCAGATGGAAAACACTAGCTACGCAGAGTGTGTACTGTACACGTGGCTCTGCCAAGCCAGGAAGGGTAGGTGTGCTGTCTGACCGTCACGGCATGTGGCGTGCTCTGAGTGTAACTCGAAAGGAGAAGTTTATGAGAAAGATTGAAAGAAGCCAGAAAACTGACGTTCGTCTTAGTTTTTTGCCATTGATCATTGAACTCGAGAGTGGAGAACTGGACGGTTCTAAGCCAGGTTTACTCACACCTCTGCTCCGTTGCCTTAAAGCCAGAAATGGTTCTTTACAATCACATAGGGAATGTCGGAGGAACTGCAGGGTCACCTAACAGATGTCAGCTGAGACTCTCAACAAAAAAACGTTTTTACCAAGAAAGCTAATGCCTTCACAGGTAGGGCGCTGCTGGAGGCATGTGCTGGCCGCCGGGCAGTGAACCTGGAAAGTGTAGAGTCCTTGAAACCACTGTGGCACGAACACATCCTGTGGTTGTTGGAAGAAGGCACAGCTGACACTATATCAGTGGAATTTTCTGCCAGCAACTAGCTTACTCCATTTTCCAAGATTTGGCTGAATTTATTTTAGGTGTTTTTTTTTTTTTTTCTTATCACTTGAGAACATTTTTTCATGTGATGTTTCATCTTTGAAAATATTATAATCTGAAGTATGAGCTGGAATAATTTCTTTGTCATGTAAAATCCTTGTTTTTTTTTTTGGAGGTGCGAATTTTTCTTACATTAACCCGTGGTGGTCTTTTCCCTAGTAGTTGCTATTGAGTGTTGATGTCTGCCTCTGACAGGCTAGGGGTAGTCTGTCTAAGTGAACAGAAGGACATTGTTGAAAGTGAAGTATCATTATTTTTATTCCTGCATCGTCTTTTGTTCTTTATTCTTGGCAGCGGTAAAACTCCTCCAGGCAGCTGACAGCTTTAAAGACCAGACCTTCTTTCTCAGCCAGGTTTCCCAGGATGCCCTGAGGAGAACCATCTTCCCTCTGGGGGGATTAACGAAAGAGTTTGTAAAGAAAATCGCTGCTGAGAATAGACTTCATCATGTGCTTCAGAAGAAAGAGGTACGAGTGAGCAGTTGCCTTTGATTAGTGCCTGTTTCCCTTTCCCGACTGCATGGCACGGAGCAGCTGGACCTGTGGGTCCCGCACCACTTCCCCTTCTCCAGGACCTAACATCAAAGGCGGGCCTTGGAGCAATAGATGGAGGAGTTTGCTGAGGCGCACGGTACAGGGCTCTGCTGACATCGGGAGCAGCCTATACGAGACTCCTTGCTTTTTTCCTCTCCTCTGCCCCTATGTGGTAGGCAGCTTTCCCCACAGCCTTAGCAGCTGGTGGGGTGCTCTTGGGATGGCCTGCCTGCCAGGTGAGTGCCAGGCAGTGTGATGCAGCCCCGAGACCCCTGGAGGGGCAGGTGCTGTGCCGCCGTCTGCACACTCATGTGCCCTGTCACCCGCTTGCCCGGCACAGACTCGTTCGGTGCCATCTGTTCGGGCGCTGTGCTGCTGGGCCGCGAGGAATTGGTGACGCGCACACAGTTCCATCTTCGCCTCCATGGAGCCCGCCCGCGAGTGGGGGACACAGGCAGGAGGCCAATCAGTGTAAACCTAGAAAATGTCTACGGAGGGAGGTGTAGGACCCTGGGTGGGAAGCACCAGTGGGGTCTGAGAGTAGGGAATGGAGATGCCAAAAACGGCCTCAAAAGAAGTCACATGGAACCTGAGACCTGAAGGAGGAGAGGATCCGGTGTCCCAGAGAGGGCTGGGAAAGTCCAGATGAGGGAACGGCAGTGCAAAGGCCTTGAGGCGAGGAGAAGCCAGGGAGCCGCTGTGGGGGTGCCTGCCTGTGGCCCCAGCTCCTCAGGAGGATCGAGCGCACCCAGGAGTTTGAGGACAGCCTGGGCAACACAGCGAAACTCGTCTCAAAAAGAGAGAACCCGGAGTGTTGGCGGAACTAGGATGAAGCCCGTGGGAGGGCCTTGGGGATGGAGGGCGAGGGCGCTGTGGGATGAGCCTCACCTCTTCAGGGGCCAGTGCGGTGGGAGCTGTTGCTCCTTCGTGTCTCTTCCTGGTAATGGAAACGGCCATACCTTTCATCAGAGCCATCTTCCCTGAAGAGCACGCCCACCGCCCGTCCTCCTCTCCTCTTGTTTTCCGTTTCCGGTGTCGCTCTGTGGTGGGAGCCGCAGGGATGGAAGGGCAGTCTTGAGAGACACAAACCAGAGTAAACGATGCAGCCCCTGATGGGGCCACGGTGGAGAGCGCACGCCACCCAGGCTCCCCAGCTAGGGCAGATGTGCTTGAGGAAGGCGCCTCTCTCCTCTGACTCCCCTGGAGCCCTCCCCTAAGGCCTTAGCTTCAGGCCTGGCTTTCCTGCTACCTGCCCCTTCTCTGGTCCCTGTCTCTCCCCCACTCCTCGCAGGACAGTGGCCTGAAGGACCTGACCGGGTTCTGCTTTCTTCCCCGGGGCAGCTGGTGTGAGGGTCTCCCGCGCAGGGTCAGACCCCGCGGGCCGAGACAATGAGGCGTTCTCTAAGGCTCTGGCATCGTGTGCGCCGGCTGTGACTGGCGGCCGAGGGTGCCGGTGGGCAGCCGGGCCCCTACCCTGGAAGCAAAGTGTGGGGTGAGGCCGGGAGGCCCCAGGGCCCGCTCAGGACGTCTGGGTACAGCTTGGGCCACCGCCACTTCTGCTCCTCTCACGGCTGCCGTCTTCTCATTTCAGAGCATGGGCATGTGTTTCATCGGGAAGAGGAATTTTGAACATTTCCTTCTTCAGGTGCGTGCTGCTCTTTGACACAAAGAGATGGGGCTGCGTGTCTGCCCTGGGCCTAGATCTCCGTCGGTAATGACATGTTTGTTTTCCAGTATCTGCAGCCTCGACCTGGTCACTTTATTTCCATAGAAGACAATAAGGTTCTGGGAACACATAAAGGTGAGGTGCAGACTCTGCCACTTGTCATCTGAAATGCCTAGAGCTGTGGCGTTTCAGCTCTGGGAGACTAGACCAGAGTTCCTGTCGTCCCTTCCACTTGGCTGGAGAATTGTAGAAGGCTCTGTGGGGCGGCCGGGGGCGGGCACGGCCTAGGGTGGAACAGTTGCCTTGATGGTGGCTGGGTGCACTTCCAGATGTGGCCTCAGCTGAGATGCTGGAGTTCATGAAAAGCGCGCCTCTGACTTGGAAGGACTATACTCTGTGAGTTACGTATCAAGTCCCTGTAAAAAGAATGATTTCCTTCCTGTGTAAGGAAAATGTTAAACTACACAAAACTCCACTCTGATTCAGGGAGTAAGGTGGACGTCCCGGCATGGTGTGAATGATTAAGGACCACATGCAGCGATGGGATCAGGCGTCCGCGCTGGCCAGAGTGCTGCTCGCTCATGTGCAGACCCTTACTGCGGTGAGGCCTGCGTGAGCCTGTGCTGTGCCTGGTGTCAGGGGACAGGCTCCGAGTCAGTCACAGTGTGCAGTCCTGCTGTGGGGACAGAGTGCAGCCATTGTTGGGTTAGTACAGTGGCGGGGATGTGCCTGCCGGCGTGATGATCAGGCAGGTCTTGACACAGCACAGACCTGAGCTGTGGGACTGGCCAGGAGAGCCAGGCTGCAGCTCAGGTGTAGGGCGTCTTGCAGTGAATTGCACTTGGAGATCTTCCACCTCTTGTGGAGGGGAGACGGCAGGCGGAGCCGGGGCTAGGCATTCCTGAGACAGGTGGAGGTGACAGCTTTGCTTGGGACAGAACTGCCAGACAGGATTGCCCATGTATCTGCCAGCCCTGGCCCCAGCAGGAGCCAGTTGGATGACTCATGGCTTCCACCTGCAGTTCACTTCACTGAAGAAGGCTGCCGGCCCAGGCCACGTGGTAAATCCCATGAGGTTCTCTCTGCCTGTGTGCCCCACTGCAGGGGAGGGAGGCAGTGAGTTTGCCATCTGCTGTGTGACATTGTGAGGGTGCGCAGAGCAGCTGGGGGTAGCCCTGATGCAGTTACTGCATTAGATGGACACTGTGAAGACGTGCAGCTATGTCATGGGCTCAGCAAGAAGGGCCCCTGGCGTCACACAGGGCACCCAGCCGCATCCTGGGCCTAGGGTCAGGGGCTCCTACAGCTGGAACCTGCACCTTCTGGGGCACAAGGTGCCTTCTTTGTGGCCACCACACCCCATGTCCAGCCCAGGCCTGGACAATGATGAGATGTGCTCAGGTGCTTGGTCAGGGCTGGCTTTGGTGGTTGGAGAATCGTATCTTCCTAGTGAGTTACACCATTGCTGGGCCTGCTCTGGGCTGCCCTCCCAGCATCTGCCTTCATGATGAGGCGTGACATGTGGGCTGTAACTTGTTGCCCAGCCTCATGGAGAAACTGTCTTTCTGTAGGTTGGTTCCTGTATACCTTGGGCCAGAGAGCAAACATAGGTGGCCTGAGAGAGCCCTGGTACGTGGTGGAGAAGGACAGCGTCAAGGGTGACGTGTTTGTGGTGAGTGGGCCGGCCTCTGAGACAGCACTGGGGCTGGTTCTGGCAGGGCCAGCAGTGCTTCCAGACCAGGGCTTGAGAAGGCCTCCAGCAGCCGTGGCTTCCTGGAGGCTGTGACTAACTCTGTTCCTGTCCTTGGTCCCCTGCCTTTCCTGGGACTGGCCATGGTGGCAGGAGAGTTTTAAGGTATTCATTAGGCTGAGTTGTATGCTGGTCTCTTAATCATCCCTGAACCCCGATACACAGATACAGTTTCTCCAATTTTATGAAAGAGGACAGCGACGCCCAGAGCTTGGGTGGCTCATCCGGTGGAGAGGGCATGGCCTCAGTGCCAAGGATGGTGCCCACCATGGTAGGATCCAGTGAGTTGTTGTCAGGCAGGTGCAGATGGCCAAGCCAGGATCAAACCAAGCCTTCCACCACAGTGGGGACCTTACCACTGTGACCCTGGCCTCAAAGCAGGGCCGCTCAGTGGCGGCAAGCTCACCCCACCTTCAGGGGACCTTGCCAGTGTCTAGAGGCATTTTTGGTTGTCACAGCTTGGGTGGAAAAGCAAGGACGCGGGTGCTGCTGCATCTGTGGGTCAGGCCGGGGATGCTGCTTGCCGTGTTCAGCACAGCCTCTTCCCTGAGTGACCCGGCCTCCACCTTGGCGCGTGGAGCTGAGAAGGCCCACTCTCAGCACCCTGGCTGCCGGCTCATGTTCTGGCACGAATGCTGGGGCGCCTTCTCTTAGACGGAGGCGGGGGCCAGCAGGCCCCACCCACCGATTCCAGGACATCTCCTTACTAGGAAGACCTGTGGGGAGAAAAGCCTGGCTGCGAATGAATTAAATGATCTAGATTTCAGTTTGCTGTGAGAAGACCAGAAGGGTTAACCAACGGCCTCCTGTCCCTGGACGGGTCTTGGTGCCTGCTTAGAACCCAAAGCCCTTAACTTCATGCTCCTCGTCCTGCTTCAGGGGCGGGGCTTGGCACAATCCCAGGAGGTGCCAGGTCTCAATGGCCCGAGGCCATGGGTGGGTGACAGGGAGCAGGGGCCTCAGAACCAACCTAGGGTATCTGGGGCCCCCCAGACCAGGGCCAGTCCTGGGGCACCTGTGGGAAGCCAGCAGCTACCAGTCCCTCCTTTCTCCTCAGCCATTTGGTGTGTGGAGGAATTCCTGGGGTGGCCTTGAGAGAAGAGCCCGTGGTGTGGCTGGCCCCTGTCCCTGCGAATAGAAAAACCAGTCCTCGAGGGGGGCCGTGCTGCTGCCCCACAGGTGGTTGCAGGTAGAGGGCCTGAGTCAGACTTGAACCTGCAGCATTCACTGTCATGGGCTCGGATCTCACCCCTGCCTCTTGCCCACTCTGACATGGTACTTCCTTCCTGGGCCTTAGTCTCCTCATCTGTAAAATGGGGATTCAAAGGCCCGGCGGGTGATGAGATGAATTTCTGTGGGTAGAACACTTCGAGCGGTGCCAGCACCGTTACCTGTGTGTGTGTGTGCTGGTAGGACAGTTGTTCCCAGGGACCACACTGAGGCCGGCCTTGGGGCCAGGTGCCCCTCGGCGTCCCCACCTTCACATTCCATTCTGCAGGCCCCCCGGACAGACCACCCAGCCCTGTACAGGGACCTGCTGAGGACCAGCCGCGTGCACTGGATTGCGGAGGAGCCTCCCGCAGCACTGGTCCGGGACAAGATGATGGAGTGCCACTTCCGATTCCGCCACCAGATGGCACTAGGTGACTGACGGGAGGGCTCCTGAGGACGGGCCCCTTGAAGCTGAGCTTCCTGAGGCCAGATTTGGGCCAGGGATGGGAGACCCTGGGGTAGGAAAGTCCCGTTGTGGAGATCATTTGGAGATTACCTAAAGTATTTAGAACTCCCGTGTCCTGTGCCTGCCCTGAGCGAGGCCTGGGGGTGCTGGGAGCAGATGCAGGCAGGCCCCGGCGTGTTGGGCTGAAGCAAGTGTGTACACTGCCCCGCAGTGTCCTGCTGCGTCCAGGGCCCAGGCTGGTGCCCTGCCCTTCCCCTCTAAGCAGGGGTTTTTGACCCCGTGGGCTGGTGCTCCTTTCTCCCTGGGGGCCTGAGGTCGACCAGGAAAGGCCTGTGCCCCCTCCAAGGGCCCCTCTCTTCTACCCAGTGCCCTGTGTGCTGACCCTCAATCAAGATGGCACCGTGTGGGTGACAGCTGTGCAGGCTGTGCGTGCCCTTGCCACAGGACAGGTGCGTGGGGTGTGGGGGTGAGCCCGGGGAGGACTGTACTGCTCTGCACCCTGCCAGGGCACCCGGGTTACAGAGGAAGGGGCTGAGGCCCAGGAGTAGGGTGTGCTCGGGTCACACAGCTGGTGAGGGCAGAGTGCCACCAGCCCTGCCCTGGGGGCTCCTCCCACAGTGACAACTGTGAGAGGATTTCCACTCTGGTGTCACCAACCAGCCAGTTCCTGCTCGGGCCCTGAGAGGCTCAGCTGCTGCCCGGGCCCCAGAAGCGAGGACAGAAAATGGAAGGGGCATGAGGACAGTGCTCAAAGAGGCAGAGGGTCGGGGCCCCTGTGGGCCGAGTGTGCAGGAGCTCCCAGGGTGGGCGCCTGGTGGGTGTAGGCCTGAGGAATCTCCAGGGGCAGGTGGTGGGAGGGAACCTGGGGTGAGGGAAGCGGAAGCATCCTCTGGCTGCCACCATGCTCCTTCCTGTCACAGCTCCACATTCCCAAGGGGTGCAGAGACCTGCCAGTCCCTTGGAGTCCCAGGAGAGGCCCCTGTGACTGTCCCACTCAGGGAGAGGTACCCTGAAGACCCTCCCTAGTGAAGCCACTGGGTGCCCCAGGCCTCTCCTCTCCTGTTCAGCAGCAGCAGCAGCAGCAAAACCCTGCTCCCCTGGGAGCTCAGTGCCTGGTGCTCCGAGCACAGGCCAGGCCCCATAGGGGAGCACTCTGCCCCTGCCTGCCCTCGGCTGGCTCCCTGTGGCACCCCTGATGCCAGGGTCTCTCCCCTACAGTTTGCTGTGTTCTACAAGGGGGACGAGTGCCTGGGCAGCGGGAAGATCCTGCGGCTGGGGCCGTCTGCCTACACGCTCCAGAAGGGCCAGCGCAGAGCTGGGATGGCCACTGAGAGCCCCAGTGACAGCCCAGAAGATGGTCCAGGCCTGAGTCCCTTGCTCTGACAGAGATGGATCTGCTAGAAGGAACCTGGAGAGCAGGACCCATGGCTGGGCGGCTGGTGAGCAGTCCAGGTGCCCAAGGGCCAGCTTGCTGCTGCCCAAAGCAGAGGAAGCCGGGCTGGCTGAGGGTCCGAAAAGCCTGCAGGGGCCCGGCGAGCCCCAGGAAGAGCCTCAGCTCCAGGCTGGGGCTCTGGCTGCTGGAGCATCTGCTGGCTGGTGGGGTGGCCCGAGTTCCCCTTCACCGCCCCCAGGGAGGGTTTCCCACCTCAGAGTACACCGAGGGGACCTGCAGAGGGGGCTGTCGGGACAGCGTGGAATAAACATTATTTCAAGGACACATAGTCTGATCGCTGCTTCCACTGGGGCCCAGGGGGCTCCACATCACTGACTCCCTGGCGTGGAAAGGCAGGTGGACTGCAGACGCAGCCATGGCAACCTGCGTACCTCTCCCTGAGGTCCCAGCTGCTCCATCCTCTGCCCCCGTATCCCTGCTCCTGGACTCCAGAGTAGGTGCCTGCGATGCTGACCTGTGTCCTTGGCTCTCTTCCTCTTGCTGGGCTTGAGTCCTTCGTAGCGTGTTGTTGGTGCCTCAAGACAGGTTCCTGCGGGGACCAGAGGTGCATTCCCCTTCTCTGGGTGGGAAGGTTCCAGAGGCAGCCAGGTGGTGCGCAGAGGGCCTTGCCCAGATGCCCTGAGTTCTTGCTGGTGCGTCAGGGTGGGGGCTGCCATGGGGCCCACTGTCCATCCTGACCCCTCCTCCCATCTCCCCACTGGGTGTCCCCTGACCTGGGGCACCCTTCCTTCTAGCCTAGGCCCCCACGCAGCAGGGAGTGTCCTGAGGGTGAGGAGTGGGCCAGAACCCCGCAGGCCAGGTGAGGAAACGGGGCCTAAGGTGGAGCCGTGGCCCTTGCTGGGCTGGGGTGGGGAGGTGGGGGGTGTGGGGTCAGTGCTGCCCTGGCCAGGGGCAAGCCCCAGCTCTACCAGGCAGGCAGAGCGCTGGCCAGTGGGACCAGACAGGCCCCTGGGGATCCTCGGCCCAGCTGGGCATGGAGGCCGAGCTAAAGCGCCGCGTTTGTTCTGCCAGCTCAGCCCAGCACGGAGCCTCCCTGGGCTCAGGGGTTCCCTGATTTATGGCTGTGGTCGGGCCTCCAGCCTGGGAACTGAGGGTGGGAGAGCCCTTGTGGTGCCTACTGCTCTGCCCTAGGTGAACCCTCCCAGGTCACAGAAACATGAGTAGGTGGGAGGTGGGGCAGCCAGGCAGAAGGTGGTGTGGGCACCAGGCCAGCAGCGCTAAGGCTGCCCCCGCTCCAACCTCCAGCGGGCTCCACCGTCCTGCCAGCCTCAGGGCCTGTGCATCGGCCAGTGGAGGAAGCGGGGACACAAACCTGCCTCTGCCCCCTTGAGCCCCCAGGCTCCATGGTGACAGCTTCCTGACTGGCAGGGCTCCCCTCTCTAGCAGGCACAATGGCCTGCCCTGCCCCCTACAAGGCCACTGGCCAACTCTGGAGGGCTTTGGTGCGATGTCTCAGAGATTCAGCAGAAACTGTTGGCCAGGGGACCAAGTCTCCAGGCTGCTCTTCTGGCCTCTTTCCTACCCTCCCCAGCACCCAAGGCTGGCACACTCCAGAGGCTGTGCCCCTCAGATGACTTCTTGAAGACCTGGGGGCCTCCAGGAGCACAGGTAGCTAGGTAGCCCCTTCTGCCTGCAAGGGTACCCCCAGTGGCCTGGCCTTAGCCCCTTGCCACACCTATCCATGAAGACGATGGGGGAACATTTTCCAGGCCAAGAGCTGGGTGCCTGTACACCTACACCTACTCCCTGCTTGTGATACAAATGAAAGCAAAGCCCTCGCTCTCCTCTCCCCCTACGTTGTTCCCGGATAATCTCAGTGATACATGGGTCCTAGGATGATGCCCCCTCACCTCACACCTGGGAGGCTCCTTCCCGAGGCCCTGAGCTGGTTTCAAACACCCTGAGCCTGCCTTCTCCCCAGTCTCTGGCTCCCATGTTGCCCTGTGCCGGAGCCTTGCCTGGGCCCAAGCCCCTTCCTTCTTGGGGAGGTTTCTTTTTTTTTCTTTTCAAGAGACAGGGTCTTGCTCTGTTACCCAGGCTGGAGCGCAGTGGTGTGATCACAGCTCACTGCAGCCTTGACCTCCCAAGTAGCTGGGACAACAGGCATACACCACCACACCCAGCTAACTTTAATTTTGTTTTAGAAACAGTCTTGCTATGTTGTCTAGGCTGGTCTTGAGCTCCTGGCCTCAAGCGATCTTGCCTCAGCCTCCCAAAGCACTGGGACTACAGGCATGATCCACTGTGCTAAGTTTTAAAAACTGTAGAGATGGAGTCCTGCTGTGTTGCCCAGTCTGGTCTGGAACTCCCGCCTCAGCCAGCCACTGTTGGGATTACAGACATGGACCACTGCCTGACCCTCCTGGGGGTCTTAACAAGCCTTGCCTCCAGGCTGAGGAGCCCAAGGCGAGGCTGAAGCTGTGACTGAAGCAGCTGCGGTCACCCCTGTCACCTGGGCCGGGGGAGTCGACGCCCTGTGGCTTGGCCGGTGTTTGTGCTGTCATCTGTTCAGGCAGGATCACAGAGGGGCTCGTTCAGCCCTCACCCGTCACGGTCTGCTGCGGATGCTCTGCGGAGCACTTCGTGGTCCTCACATGGACATCCTGGCCTGGCTGATGGACAGGCCTGCTCCGGGCTACCTGGACTGCTTTCTCTCTCTCAGATGCTTCTAGTATTTTCCTGCTAATCATGGCTTTGGGGTTGAGGTAGAAATATTCTATCATGTTAGCCACTGAGCATTCTAGGATGTAAACGTTAGCAGGTGAACTGAGGAGAAAGCAACAACTTGAAAAATGACCTCAGGCACATGGGTGGTTTTTCCTCTCTCAGATTTGACCCGGGGGTGGCCCTAATCTGTGGTCCTGTGCAGCCAGCACCAGGGCAACAACTCCAGAGAGGCCTGGGAAACGGGGGCACTGTGGACTAGAGAGGGTTGGGGTTCCCATTTTTCTCTCTTTGCTGTCACTACTTTTCCTTAAGGGTGAGCCCTGTTTCCTTAAGGGTGGAAGCGTGAGACAGTGCAGGTGGCTAGAGCTCTGGGAGAAACCCATCTTTCTGGACAGAGAAACCAAGAAAAGGGACCCCAGAAGTGAGAAAATGCAAGGCAAATTCCAGCAAGGAGAGTGCTGGAGAAGCAGACCCCCAGATTCTCTACATGTGCTGACACACGTCCCTGCCCACCCCACCTGTGAGTGCAGGCAACGACCCAAAACAGCACAGCCAAGGCCAAGGGCTGACCTGGTGGTGGACCTGCTGCTCGTGGAAAGAGAGACAGAACCAGTGGTCAGAACCTAAACCAGGTTGCCTGCTGCTGAAACAAACACATGAAATGACACTTACAACGAGGGTGTTAACAACCCAGAGTCTAACCTAACATTCCACATGACGAGTGAGGATTCAACTTGCAGTTACTCAGCACACAACCAGGAAAATGCAAACAGAAAAGACGATTTCAGCCCCAAGATGCTCAAACGTTCAAATTATCCCAGAATTCACTGCAGTCCTAGTTATAACCATGCTTCATGAAGTAAAGGTGAACACTCTTGGAATGAGTGGAAAACCAGAAGTACCCAGCAGAGAAATAAAAAGGAACCTAATGGAAATTTTAAAACTTAATTACAGTATTTGAAATAAATTCACTGGGTGAGTTCAGTAGCAGAATTAAGACGACAGAGGAAAAAAAATCAGTGAACTTGAAGACGGAGCACCAGAAATAGCCAAATCTGAAGGACAGACAGAAAAAAGAATGAAGAAAGGTGAACAGAGCCTCAGGGACCAGTGGGAAAACATCAAGAGGTCTAACGTCTGAGTCACTGGAGTCACAGAAGGAGAGGAGAAAGATCAGTGCAAGAAAAGAAAACTGAAGAAATAATGGCAAAAAAAAAAAGTCCTCAAATTTGGTGAAAGACAAAAACTGCCCATCTAGGCTGTGGCAGGCCTACTAGGGAATGGACAAAAAGTTCCGGCACGTTCCACTGGCTGAGGGAGCATGGGACACGGACAGCTCAGCTGCACGTCCGTAAACCGTCCCTTCCACGGCCACCCTGGGCATGGGGAGGGGCGGGGGTGTTTGTGGAGAAAAACCAGCACCGCAGAAGTACAAATTCAAAAATCTTAATTTATTGTAGACTCTTCTCATTTGTAATTCCAGTGTTTTGAACATTAATAAATACACGTTCTGTTAAAAACCTCCAGTGTCTAATCTCTCCCATAAAGTCTTAAGTAATAAAAATAGGTTTACATTTTTCCCATCTCAATAAAACTGACAGTTGTTTTTTGGTAACAGTTCTGATCAAATTAAAAATTACACCTCGTGATGTTGGCTGTGGAGTACGTGGAAAAAAATAGAACAAAAAAATTACACCTCAGGGGGCAGAATCCTGTTAAAGTCATGAAAGGAGACTGTTCGAAGACTTAAAAACCTTTTCGTACTTAGGAAACGCCAGGGGCAAACGTTTAAAGGGACTAGAGTTTTTTATCTTCGAAAGACCACTCACCTGGTAAGGCACATGTATAATTCATTCAGGTGTGAGGACTCTGGGATCTCATTTCATCCTCCTGTCCTGGACCATTTTCAGATACGCTTTTCCTCTCCCATAGGCATCTGCTAACAGTGCTCACATTTTCATCAGGGTCAAGTTTAAAACAGTGTGGACATCTTTGCATTTTACTTGATTTTCATCCTATTTTATGGTTTCTCCTATTTGGAAGCAGCTGTGCTGATCACTTATTTGGGCACCTGATTTGAAGAACAAAGGAAACGCTAAAATCAAACATGTCTGACAGTTCCGGGACCCGTTCCACAGCCCCTCGGGCCACGCTGTGCCAGCTGCCTGCAGTGGGCCCGACCTTGGTGTGAATTTCCAAAAACAGTTTGGTAACCGTTGAAGAGTGTGGCTGTGGCTTTGTCCCTCTGCACAATTGGCCATTTGAAGCAAAATGAAGTAATTGGTCAGACTCCAGAGGGGAGAACCCTGCCTGGAGATCCTCGCAGTCTCAGAGAGTTAGAGAATTGGCAGGAGGTATGTAACGGCCTGGAAGGCCCCACACCTCTGTCCAAATCAGGAACCTGCAACGCTTTAAGGTCCCAGGTCCCACGGGGAGCAGGAGCAAAGGACAAAGCCATCCCCACCTGCAGCTCCCGGGCCACCTGGGAGGCGGTGAGGGGAGGGGGTGGTGGTCACAGAATGACCAGGTGAAAAATGACAGCCGTGTGGCAACCGTGCCCCACAGTGACCTCAGCAGGGCTCCTCACACCTGCCTAGTGCTGCACTGCCCTGTCTTGAATTCACACAGCCGGGGCAGATGGCAGCAGAGGACAAACGCACACACAGCGAACACTGGGGACCCAGGGGGCCGGCGGGGAGGGCCCACACCATCCTCACTTCCTGGCCGAAGGCAGCTGTAGGGCTTCTAGCCGCTTGGTTTTAGCCCCACTGCTGACGTATTTCCCACCTTTGATCTGCTGGGGCACCAGTTTCGTCAACACATGCCAGATTCAAGTACAACTGTGCAATCTTGACAGAGAAGACAGCAAGAGATCATTGCATGGATCTCTCGGGATAACAAAGTCAGCACGAATGCAATATATATACAGGTTGCACCTCCTCAGAGTCCCATACAAATATATAAAAGTATCTCCACCTTTCCCACATAGCGAAGTGATTTTAAGACAAGGGGTGCCTTTGCAAAGGACTGCCCGGGCTGCCAGCCACGGGTCCGCACTGCCATGAGATGCCCGCCTGGGCGGGGCTGGACCGCGGTCTTTGGTCTGTGCCCGGCGTTCCTGAACTCTGGCCAGCCTCTGGGCCCAGTCTGGGGTCCCCTCTCAGTTCTGGCTTTGACTGCAGTCTTAGGACTCAGCGGTGCTGGCCCAGTGGTCCACGCCTCCCTCATGCCTGTGGCCTTTGGCACTTGTCACCAGGTCTGACAGGCCCTGAGCTCCTGGGAGAACCAAGACCTTTGTGTCTGGATGATCAGTCGGGGGGCTGCCACCATGGGGACCGCCACACTCTGGGCCCACTCCACTTCAAGGGCAGTGGCCCCTTGGGCTCCAAGGTCTGAGGGTGATGCCGCAGCCTGTGTGGGGTGACGGGCTTGCCTCACGGTTTCCTGATGGTTCAAATTGAAGTTTCATTACTGATGGTTCAAATTGAAGTTTCATTACTGCCTCTGCGCGTGGGAAGAAGCCAGCAAGCAGGTGAAGGGTCAGTGAGGGTAGCGGCTTGGTGGGGCCCAAGGTTGTCACACGGGGGGGCAGGATCACCCCATCAGGGTAGAGGGGGCGTCTGGGGGCTCCAGGGAGGGCAAGCTCATGTTGGATGAGGCTGCCCTTGGGAGGCAGGAGAGGGGACCAGGACCAGCCTGTGGGCCTCTGTGTTGCTGGTCTTTCAGAAGAGCGCAAGGAATCCACGTTAGAAACCGGCCATCTCTACAGTGACTTTTGGAAGGGGCATTCTGAAGACCTGGCTTCTCCCTTGTGAGTTTGGAGGGAGGGAGGGGCGACAGGGAGAGGTCTGGGGCCAGGACCCCAGCTCCACCCCGCCCCCTTCACCCCTGGCATTCCGGGACCCTCAGTATCCTCAACTGCAAGGTGGGTGGCAGTGGTCCCAGGCGGAGACAATGCTGATCAAACGCAGAGCCCAGCACCTTAGGTCCTAGCATTTTGGGGCTGGCCAGGGCTTCAGAGTCCCAGAGGCCTGAGACGTGTCCCCAGGATAGGGGGTCTGCCCATCTCCGGGGTATCCTCCTGACCTCAGCTGCAGCGCCTCCCCCCTCCCCCATCCCCGCCTGGGCTTCCTCTGCACTCAGGGCTCCAGGTGAGGTGGGTGTCAGGTCCCTGACCACTGCCCCCTCTCTCTCCTGACTCAGGACAAGGGGGAAGTGGGTGATCCCCGCCCTGGAGGCCCAGGCTACTCACTCAGAGTCGGAGCCATCGGCCTGGGCGCTCCCAGTGCGCACATTCATGGCCACCCCGTTGAGGTGGTCACGCCCCGGCTCCCTCCCAGGGCTCTTGACTGTGATGGCGCAGTCGGGGCCGCCAGAGCCCAGGGAAGACGTGCGCGAGGATGTGGGGCTCTGCTCACAGTCGGCCAGCTTCTCCCGGAGCCGGCCCTTCAGCGTCTGCTCCGTCAGCGTCAGCGGCGGCGGGTAGGTGACTTTATTTTTCAAGATGCCTGGGAGGAGGAGACACGGCAAGGTCAAGTCCGGGTGATGCTGCCGGGGGCAGCTGCTGGGCCGTGTGCAGCTGAGCCAGCCTCAGCCCCTGTCCTTCCTCCTGGTTCCCCGGGTCCCAGGGCTAGGCCAGGAGGCCACGTCTGTTCTGCCCAGGCCCTGACTTGCCCCACCAGCCCCAGCCCCACTCCCACCTCCAGACCAGGGACTGGCCCTTCTGGGTCCTCCAGCCTTTCACTGCAGCCCCGGCCTCCCCAGGCACCTTTCCTCTGCTCTGGGGGCTGGCTGCTAGCAAGCCTGGCTGCGCCCCCGCTCTCCTGGTCCGGGGGGTACTCTCCACGGTGACTGCCCTGCTCCTCGCGGTGCAGCTCCACGCTGACCTTGGTCTCCACCTTCAGGCGGGGCTTGCCGCTGGGGTCCTCACTGTCACTCTCAGCCAGGCTCTGGTCGGGCCAGCCGGCCGGAACGTGGTTGGCCACAGCGTCCCCTGAGGCACGAGAGCGGTGCTCAGCAGGCAGCGGCACTGCCACTCGAGCTGCTCCCTTGAGAGCCATGGGTCTGGTGGCTCTGACCCACCTCTCCCCAACCTGCAGGCCTGGTAGGGCTGAACCCTAAAGGTGGGGAAACTGAGGCCCAGGAGGGCGAGTCCTGGCAGCAGGGCCCTTGTTGGGAGCCCCCGCCGCATCTGTACCAGTAACTATACAGGCTAATCCCCCACTGGCAGCCTCACCTGGACCTTGCGGTGACAGTCCACAGAGACCCCCCTGAGAGTTCCTGCCTCCGCTCAGGGGGTTGGCCTGGAGGAGCCCTCCAGAGGCTGTGGGGGAGCCCAACCAGAGTCCCCCCACCCCAGGCTGTCCTTTCATGTGGCTGCAGTGCTGCTGGGCATATCCTGGGAGGAAGGGACCCAGCCATAGCCAAGGCCTGCCCCGAGCCCGCTGTCCACAGCCCAGCCTGGCCCAATGTGCCCCACACACTCACCTTTGGGGGTGCTGTGGACGGCGCCCCTGGCCGGGTCCCATTTTTCCTCAGCTCCCACCCCATCGTCCTCGCTGTCTGACGAGTGTGAGGAGGCGTAAGAGCTGCTCTGCTCATCCAGGGACAGCTCGCTATCTGAGTCGGAATCGTGGCCTGTGGATGCGCGGGGGACAGGGAGGCTCAGGCCCTGGGAGGTGAGGGAGTCCCACCGAGGGCCAAGCAGAGCCACTGGGCCCCTGGCATGCTGACGCTGAGCATGGCGAGGCTGCTAGTGCTTCTTCAGGGGCAGTCTGTCCAGTGACCGAAGGGACGTGGGAAAAACAACCCACGGGGTCCTCCCCCTCCAGGGAAGCCATACCAGGGGGATCCTTGCAGCTCCTGGGCATGAGGGACGCGTCTGGCTCTCCGTGGCTGCCCCTCACCAGCCCAGAGGACACGCCGAGCTTCTGGATCCCTTCATCCCTAGAGAGGCCAGGGAGGGTGGGCTCAGTATCATCCGTCAGGGAACAGGAGGTGCTGGAAAGTTCTCTGGAAGATTCTCTGCCCCTACCCCTTCTGTGTTCCCAACAACAGCACAGACAAAACAGCCTCCCGAGTATGTGGGGGAAAGGTGGTGGGGGGAAAGGTTGGGTGGGGGGAAGGTGGTGGGTGGAAAGGTTGGGTGGGGGAAGGTGGTGGGGGGAAAGGTTGGGTGGGGGAAGGTGGTGGGGGGAAAGGCTGGGTGGGGGAAAGGTGGTGGGGGGAAAGGCTGGGGGGGAAGGTGGTGGGGGGAAAGGTTGGGGGGAAGGTGCTGGGGGAAAGGTTGGGGGGAAAGGTTGTCAGGGGAAAGGTGGAGGGGGAAGGTGGAGGGGGGAAGGCTGCGGGGGGAAGGTGCAGTGCGGGGAAGGTGCGGGGGGGAAGGTTGCACGGGAAAAGGTTGGTTGGGGGAAGTTGGTGGGGGAAAGGTTGTTGGGGGAAGGTGCAGGGGAAGGGAAGGTGCGAGGCGGGGAGGGAAGGTGCGGGGCAGGGAGGGAAGTTGCGGGTGGGAAGAAGGTGCGGGTGGAAAGTTGGGGGTGGAAGGTGATGTTGGTTGAATGGCAGGACACAGGTTGGGGTGGCAGGGGCAAAACCTGAGGGAGTTCGAGAGCCACCTCCCCGAACCCGGAGCTGCGGCCTGACCTGACGATGCTGTCCAGCGAGGCGGTGGACTCGCCCAAGTCTGTGCGCAGCATGTCAGGCCCGTCACCGAAGGTGGTGTTGCAGTTGAGGGAGCGCTGAAGGGAGGGGAGGGGCTGGTCACTGCCAAGTGGTGGCCACCACATGACCACCACGGGGAATGACTCTGTCCCCACGGCAAGCCCCCCACACCCACACCCTGGCTGGGCCCCTGCCTGGCACACAGGAGGAGCTGGCCCCAAGCAGTCAACCCTCACTGCAAACGAGAGCCTCCTGGCAGCTGAGGGAAGCACATCCTGGCCCGCGCTGTGGTCAGGGGCTGCCGCCCTCCCTACGGCCACTGCTTCTGGTCAGGATCCTCGGTGGTCCTGACCCTCTCTTTCTAAGGCCTGGAAGAGCAGGGTTAGGATGCGACCCAGGCCCCATCTGGCCGATTCTGTCACTTTCTGGTTCTGACGCGGCAGCCACACCGTGCACCGCGGGCGGCTCTGCCATCCCCACCGTGAGGGGCATACGGGCCGCAGGACTGGGGCTGAGGCTCGATCACCCTCCCCCGCCCCTCGAGATGCCGCCCAGCCCCCAGTCCCGCGGTGTCCCCGGCGCCTCCTACCGTCAGCAGGGTGGCCCTGGTGGTGGCGGAGTCCTCCAGGTGCAGCTTCCTCCCGCCGAGCACGCCCTTCAGGTGCTTCCGGACCTCCTGGTTGAGCACGCAGTGGAAAAGGAGGACGAAGGGGCCCTGGAGGGAGGAAGGTGGGGTCAGCACCTGCTGCTGCCTCCCTAGGCACCTGCCCTTAGGCGCCCCAGCACAGATGCGCATACAGCCTTGAGTGCACACAACATGTCCGGCCACACGGCCCAGGACACGGCCAGGCCTCCCCTCCTCAGGGACTGCTGCTATCTGGAGGCCAGGTGGGGGAGCTCAGAAACTGAGATGCCTGGGCCAGACCCCCGGTGTGCTGGAGGCAGTGAGGGCCCCGGCTCAGGCCAGTCTTCTGGGCACTCCTTCCACAGTCCTTGGGGCCCCTCTGGGGTCCCCACTGTGTCGTAAGTCCACTTGCTGTGTGGCCCTTGGTATGACTAGAAATGGCCACTTCTGTTCCCTGGAGACACAAGTGGACTTGTGCTGGCCTGGCACTAGGGTCATCGTCCCCAGACACAGTGGGGAGGAGGCACCAGCCCCCGTGCCGGCTGCACAAGGGACTGAGTCCTCACAGCCACAGGAGGCCCCCACGCGGGACCCAGGCAGGGCTGGTTTGGGACCGCAGAGGCCTCCACTGCTTCGCATCACAGCGATGGTGTCACGGCGGCCAGGCAGGGGTCCCGCGGGCAACTCGGCCGTCACCTACCTGTAAGCCGCTGAAGATGGCGAAGAGGTAGTGAAAGCTCAGTGCATCGCGGTTCACAGCCAGCAGCCCCAGCAGCCAGGTGGCGCTGATGAGCAGCAGCAGGAGGAATGCGGTCCTCAGCAGGGAGCTGCGGGAGGGCAGGATCAGGCCTGTGCCCATCGCCACCACCTGCTCCCTTCCTCCCTCCCTCTCTGCACGTCCACCTGTCCACCTGCCTGCCCGTCCGCCCATCTATCTGTCCGTCCACCTGTCCACCCAGCCATCATCCACCTTGCTCCCTTCCTCCCCTCGTAGCCAGGTACGGACTCATCCGGGAACCAGACAGAGCTCGTGTTAGTGGGGGTGGTGGTGGAATACATTAGGAAGCAAATGAGAAAACAGGAGCTGTGAGGACTACACCAGGCCAAGGGGCCTGAGCCATGCCCATGGCTGCACTAGCTCCCGTGAGATACCCTGTGGAGAGGCAAGAGGAAGAGCCCAGGACCTGCCCTTGAGCTGTGACCCTGCAATCAGCTTCCTGAGCTCTGCCTCAGTCTCCCCATGTGTACAAGGGGAAGACAAAGGCGCATCCCCTCCCAGGGTTCAGAGGGGATGGAGTGAATCCGGGTGACAGAGCCCGCAAGGTCCACAGGTCGTGGATGGCACTGAAGACGAGGAACTGACAAGGCCCCAGACCCCCCGTGCACCCCCATATCCGGCCTTCCAGGCCACTCACTGCCTCTCCCTCTCTGCCCTACCCCCCTTCAGACTCGGCTCTCTCCTCCCGGGCCGGGAGCCTCACACTCCTCCTGACACCCAGCCCCTGCGCAAGCATTATCCCTTCGCCCATCCCTGGCTCAGTCCCATCTCAGCTACCAGGTCACCAGGGGCTGGCCTTGTTGTCTGACAGATGCCCCCGTCAACCCCTCCTGACCCTGTCGTGGCTCCTGGACGCTGTGCTGAGTCCTCCCGCGGTGCCACCTGCTCCTTTGGGGCCTCGAAGGTCCCCTCTCCTCCCTAGAACACTGGAGGTTCCCTCTGTGCTGGGCCCCTGTTCCACTGCACCCTCTGACAGTGGGGTGGGGGGGTCTCCTCCCCTCCAGTGGCCTCAGCAACACCCTCACCACCCACCAGAAAGTTTCATCTCCCCCACCCCACCCATCTCCACTCTGGGGATTCCAGACAGCCCAATACTTCTGTGCCAGGCGGGAGGGACTGAGGCCCAGGACTGGCTGCCAGCCCCCTCCCTTCAGCTAACCTCCTCCAGCCCCCTCCCCTCAGCTAACCTCCCCCAGCCCCTGCAGGTGCAACGTGGCAAACCTCTCTGGAGCCCTGGGGCTCACCCAGGCTGCCCCCAGCCCTCCTCCATGAGGCCTACACGCTCTCATGGGGCCCCACCCCGCAGAGACTGGACGTCGGGGTCTCAGGGCCCAGCCGACATGGCTGGCCGGTCAGGTTCAGCCCCACTTACACGATCCCTTTTTTCCCATAATAATGGTGCTTTCTTTGGCAGGAAACCTTTGCAGATAGGACAGAAGTGACTGTGTTGATCTGAAAACAAAACAAGCCGATCAATGTCTTCTCTCTCGTCACTGCAGACCTCCAACTGCCAAAAGCGCCTGAGGCCCTTCGCCCTGTCAGGGAGGGGTGGCTGGGTGAGGAGGACCCGAACCCTGGCCTGTGGGGCGAAGCACACCTGTCCACCCACTGCCCCACAGCGCCCACCACACCCAGCCTGCCTGTGCGGGACCCTCCTGGGTGCTGGACGCAGATGGTCTCATGCGGACACGACGCGAGACCTGAATCCACGATCAGAGGGTGAGGTCCGGGAGGGCCCTGGCGGCTTTGCTGACTGTTACAAGGTGGCCCTTCCTGCCCCCCGTCGGCTGCTCAGAGGAGTTGGTGGCCCCAGCCAACCCAGAACAGCCCTTCCAGCTCATGCATGTTTGGGGCACCCGGACTCCCGTGAAGGCCCCACACTCACGATTATAACAGCTCCGATGGGCCCCGCAAAGCTCCAAATCAGGGTGTCTTGAAGCGACAGCCAGCAGAAGTCGGGGTTCCCGTAGCCCTGGGGGTCCAGGCCGACCGCCAGTCCTGAACACAGCGGGGAGGAAGGGAAGGGTGAGGGCCACGTGCCCAGTGGCCACCCCATGCCAAGGACCAGCCAGGGTGGGGTGAAATGGGGGACTCAGCATCTCCCTTCTCAGAGGAAGGAGCAAGGAGTCCAGGGAGCCAGCCCAGGGCCCCTCCAAGCACAGTCTCTCCGTGTAGGGTCTCAGGCTCACTGGCCCAGGTGGCAGGAGCTGCTCCTGGATTGGCCCCATGAGGCAGGGGGCGTATCTGGGCCGGGGGCTGCTGAGGAAGACCAGAGACCCTGGAGGGTGGCAGTGAGATGGTGCAGGAGGGATCGTGAAGGCAGACGGTGCTTGGGAGGACCCTGCCAGCTGGGCCATGTAGAGGTCAGGAGGCCATGATGGACCCAAGGTGCAAGGGATGAGGCTCCAAAACAGATGGAGGACGGCGTCACCTACAGGGCCATATGTGAGCGGGTGAGGAACGCATATACCCCCATACCACATCCAACCACGTGCACATGCCATACACATGTACATACCCTATACACATGCATGCAGACACACATACCGTGTGCAGACACGCATCACAGATATACACACACACCACAGAGGCACACACCATACACACGTGCACACCACACACACACCCCCGAAACTGCCTCACCACCGAGCCTGCTATACGAGCTGCTTGTTTAGATAGAGGAAGAAATGCTCTGAAGCACAGTTGTCACTCCCAGCCACAGTGTGACAAACCAGATCCGCCTGTCCATGCAGAGCATCAAGGTGACACTTGGGACAGGAGCAACCAGCAGGTGAGACCTGGTCTTTCTGTGCCCCTTGCCCCACCCTGGCCTAGGCTATGCTCCTCCCCACTCTCCTTATTTAAATATTGAAGAGATCCCAGCTCCCTCCTGTTTAACACCCTCCAGCACTTCCCACTGCCCTCTGGAGGAGCCAGTTAACCAGGACCACTGAGGACAGTCAGGGAAGCCCTGGATGGCCGGGGGAGGCAGCAGCCAGTGACCAGTGCCTGCAGCTCAGTCTGAGGCTCCCCGGGAGTTATTTTAAGATCTTGTACAAGACAGACCTAAGTGTTAAACAAAACAAACCGAAACCTGTTTTTAAAGCAAGTAGGAAACGTGAACTATCTGGATTTAGAGTCCAAAGGGCAGAGGCATCGCAGAGACCTGCTCCGCCTGGACATCGAGGTGGCTTTTCGACAAAGCCATACGAGCCCCTTTCTAGGCCATGTTCTTCATCTCAGCGTCTCTCACAGTAAGCACCTAATCTAGGCAAGGTATCGCCTCCCTGTCACATCAGGAAGTGGCGGCTGCCACCCCGCCCAACCTGCCCCCACCTCAGTGGCCCTGGGTGGAGGTGAAAAAGGTTCTTCAGGGTCCCTTAGAGTAAGGGAGATGAGTCACATCAGAACACCCTAGCCAGGAGCCTGCCTGGTTGGAGGCTGGTCAGTGACGTTGCTGTGGAGACCAGGACGGTCCAGCAAGTGACCATGGCACTGGCCCCAGGTGGCTGCTGGGTGCTGCCCTGGGAGCAACACCCCCCCACCCCAGTGCCTCTGGCCTCAGACTGCGTCTAATCCCCAGAACCCAGGGATTACCCAGGAAAAGGGGTTCTTCTTTTTGTGAATAAAGGTAGATTTTTCTCAGTAGGGAGCAAACCAACTTTCTGATTTTAAGCAAAATGTGTGCTGAGGAAGTACTGTTTGTTCTACTCACTGATTCACTAATTCATTCATCCACTCACTCATCCCATCCACCCACTGCACCCACCCATCCATTTACTCATTTCATTGTCATCCATTAGCTACCAATCCATCCACCCACCCATTTCATCCATCCATCCACCCACTCATCTCTCCATCCCTCCAACCATCCTATTCATATCCACTGACTTATCCCATCCATCCATCTACCCACCCATCCATCCACTCACTCACCTCTCCATCCGTCCATCCACCTATTCATCCACTCACATATCCCATCCATCCACCCACCCATCCATCCACTCACTCATCTCTCCATCCCTCCATCCATCCACCTATTCATCCACTCACTTATCCAATCCATCCATCCATCCATCCATCCACCCACCTCTCCATCCCTCCATCCACCCACCCACCCATCTGCTCACTCACTCAGCCCTTCATCCCTCCCATCCATCCACTCAACTCACTCCTCCATCCATCCAGCTACCCACTCATCCATCTATTCACCCATCTACTCACTCGTCTCTCCATCCCTATATCCATCTACCCACCCATCCACTAATCCCATCCCTCCATCCACCTACCCATCCATCTGCTCACTCACTCATTCCTCCATCCACCCATTCACCCCCATCCATCCATCATCTACCCACTCACTCACCCCTCACCCATCCATCTACTCACTCACCCCTCCAACCATCCATCTACTCACCCATCCATGCATCCACTCACTCACCCCTCCACCCATCCATCCATCCTCACTCAACCCCCATCCATCCATCCACTCGCTCCCCACCCATCCATCCATCCACTCACTCACCCCATCTATCCATCCACTCGCTCCCCACCCATCCATCCATCCACTCACTCACCCCATCTACCCATCCACTCACTCACCCCTCCACCCATCCATCCACTCATTCACCCCCATCCATCCATCCACTCACCCCCCATCCATCCAGCCACTCGCTTACCCCCCATCCATCCATCCACTCACCCCCCACCCACCCATTCATCCTCTCACTCACCCCTCCATCCATCCACCTGCACACTCATGCACTCACTCGCTCTTCCCTCCATCCCTCCCATGTGTAGACGTGGAACTTTTGTCTGTTAAGTGCTGCAGAAATAACCCTGAACAGACCTGGACCCAGCTCTCAATGAGCTCACACCTCACAGAAGACGTCGCCCCAGGTGTCTGCGAGTGCCCCTGTGCATGCACTCGCAGTGTGCAGGGCCGAGGCCTCCTCTGCTGGGGGCTGGACAAGCATTGGGGCTGGGCAGGGAAGAGAAAGGAGGGCAGCGTTCCTGCACAGCTGGGGTCTGTTGGAAATCTGTGGTTTTATGCAGGGCCACTCTGTGCATCCTCACCTGTGACAATGGCCGGGATGCCCCAGCCCACGACGTAGTAGAACCGCATGGGCCCCGTGTCGATGTTGCGCACCTCGGTCAGCATGCGGTAGACATGCAGGCTCTCCACGAGGGTCCAGGCAAAGGTGCTCATGTAGATGTAGTGGAGGAGGATGGCAACCACTGTGCACAGAAACTGCGCAGGGAGGGGCCGCTCAGCAAGGGCCCCTGCATCCCAGGCTGAGGTCAGACAGGCATGAGTGAGGGGTGGGGGATGGGAGAGCTCACAATTCGGACCACCCTATGTGTCTGTCCTCAGCTGAGCAGGGCTACATGTCTGGCCAATGGCTGAGAGCCAGGAATTGAAAATCAACATCCACGGAGCAGCTGAGCCAGCAGGTGAGCCAGCCCTGCCTGCCTGGACACAGAAAGCAGTGTGAGAATGACAGAGAGAGACTAGTCTCTGAGGCCATGAACACAAACCCAGTCCCACATGCCCCGGAACTGCACTTGAAGATGTGGCCCCAAGGCAGCTTCACACCCAGTGCTCTGGGCGGGGCGGGGGGGCAGCTTCACACCCAGTGCTCGGGGTTGGGGGGGCAGCTTCACACCCAGTGCTCTGGGGTGGGGGGGGCAGCTTCACGCCCAGCGCTCTGGGAGGGGCAGCTTCGTGCCCAGTGCTCTGGGAGAGGCTGCCCCAGCCAGTGCTCCCAAAGCTGCCGCCAGCTGGGAGAGGATGGCAGGCTCCCCTCTGGGTCCCGGGAGGCTGAACCAGCCAAATGGGAGAATGGGGAGATGGGGGAGAAGGGGGAGATGGGGGAGATGGGGGAGAAGGGGGAGATGGGGGAGATGGGGGAGATGGGAGCAATGGGAGCAATAGGAGCAATGGGAGGGTCCCACCACCCTGACCCCACCCCCAACCGGCCTGCTCTGGACACACTGTCTAATCCTCAGCAGCCATCCCATCAGTCCACCCTACCAGGGGGTCCCAGGGAGATACCCTTTAACAGACACAGAAGCGTAGGAGGAGAACGAGGGCCCCCGCCTCAACCCCAGGCTTAAGGCCACTTTGCTCAGGCACTGGGTCACGGCACCCTAAGGGTGCCCCTGCTGACACATCAGCCTCGAAGGGCCAGCCACCCTCCAGAAACAACGCCCCCGAGGTGGGGAGGGCCCCAAGTCAGCATCGCATCTGTCAGATACGGAACAGAGCAGGAACCGAAGCAGGGAACGCAGGCTCAAGTTATGCCAGAGACAGGCCCTTTGCCTCAGACTGTGGCCTCGGTCAGGAAAGGAGGCGCGAGCGTGTGGCTGGAGAACTCTACACCAAACACCCTGGTTTCCTGAGTGGAAATCACACTGGCTCAGGAAAAGGAAGGGGGTGAGAAGGTTGGTTGGCTGGATGGCTGCTTCAAGTAATGCGAAAAGTAAACCCACGAAACCACCTTTTGAAAACAAAGTGCGAGGGCTGTGCCATCCTGGCTGCAGCAGGGTCGTACCTGCTTCCCTAACCAATGTACCACCTTTTCCAGAAATAGAACAAAGACAAAAGCGGATGCATAATAAATCATTTCAGCCTGCCAGCGCTCTGAGAGATGAAAAACCTCGCCCAGAGATAGGATTGTGGGTTTACAAAAAAACCATAAAGCCCAGGCACTCTGCCAAGCCCCTAGAACGCTGCCGGGTCGCCCTTTCCTTCTCCATGCTCAGCCGTGCGTGGCTGCCGGGACAGCGCTCACTCCGGCAGGCGACGAGTCAGTGTGGGAACCCAGGGGCCGCCTCAGTTTCGCTGGGGTGTTGAGTTGCAGGGAGTGGCCTGCACCGACTCCCCTCTCCCCCATTCACGCCACTCAAAAGCACACTAGAGGGGTTTTGAGATGAAATCCGCACACTTCTCAGAGCCTTCCCAGACCAATGCGCGGATGAGAACGTGCCCATTGCGGGGATGCGCCCGGCTGCGGATGTGAAGAAACCCCTCCGCAGGAGCAGCGACCCTGCCATATGGGCCCCGCACACGGAGCCCCCGCCAGCCCGGGGCCTCGGCCTCGGGAAGCACCTGGGAGGCGGCGGGGAAGGTTGGCCCTGGCTGGTCTGACACACGCCTCGGGGCTCGTCCTTCATGGGCCAGGCCTGGTGCTCCACCTACCACTGCTGGGAAGCCATGGAGGCTTCTCAAGGGTGACCTGCGAGGTGGGGGTGCCTGCCTTCCCTCTTGAGGTAAGAGGGGTCTGGTCCCACCGCTTGCCGTAAAAAAGGAGGAGCAGCTCAGGTCTGCACGTGGCCCTGAGCAGCTCGCCGGAAGGTTCCAGCCTGGTCTTTTTATTCCGTTTCCCTTCCCAGGGCCGGTCCAGCCCCACAGACACCGTCTCCACCCACGAGTTGGAGGCGGCCTCCCTGGCTCATGCGCCACACCTTCCTTGGCCTCTGCAGGTGTCCCATCTCACCCAGACCCTGCCTCTCAATGGGTGGTACCTTCAACTACTCATTCTCCCTTCTGGAGACGTCAAACTCCCCTGACTCCTCCTTCCTGCCTGCTCCATAACCGGTTGGTCCTGTCCCTCCTTTCTCCCCGTGCCCAGTGCCCTGGCTTCAGTTCTGGGTCTCCACCCCACCTCCCAGGCCTGCGCATTATCAGACTGCTCTGATCTTCTGCCCGTCGTCCACCTGCTGCCAGGCTCTTTTTTTTTTTTTTTTTTTTTTGAGACAGGGTCTCACTCTATTGTCCAGGCCAGAGTGCAGTGGCACCATCTCAGCTCACTGCAACCTCTGCCTCCCGGGTTCAAGCGATTCTCATGTTTCAGCCTCCCAAGTAGCTGGGATTACAGGTGCGTACCACTATGCCCAGCTAATCTTTGTATTTTTAGTAAAGACAGGGTTTCACCATGTTGGCCAGGTTGGCCTCGAACTCCTTGACCTCAAGTGATCTGCCTGCCTCGGCCTCCTAAAGTGCTGGGATTACAGGCATGAACCAACGTGCCCAGCCTAATTGTTTCTCATAACGTGCCTGTAGACTATTTTAGATTTTTTCTATGAGATCCTTCATGTTACCTAATAATGACAGCTTTGTTTCTTCCTTTCTGATCTCTATGCTTTTGTTTTCCTTATTCATTGCACTGGCAAGGCCACCCTGCACCACAGTGGTGAACGTGAGTGGGTTCCTGATGTTACAGGGGATGCCTCCAGTATCTTCCCATTGTTATTTATTGCAACTGCAGGTTTTCTGTAGATGTCTTCATTAGATTAAAGTTTCCCCTAGTCCTAGTCTGTTCAAAGGTTTTTCTTTCTTTCTAATCATTAATGAGCATAACATTTATCAAAATTCTTTTGTACATTCATTTCTGAGAAAAATAATATTTTTCCCTTAAATGTACTGGTGAGGTAAATGGCATTCATAGATTTTTAAAATGTTAAACCATCCTTGCATTCCTAAGATAAACCCAACCTGGCCGTGGTTTTTATACTGCAATGCAAATTCTCTAACGGTGAGAGGACTATTTAGTCTTTCTACATCTTAAATCATTTTGTTTTGTTTTGAGACAGTCTCGCTCTATTGCCCAGGCTGGAGTGCAGTGGCTCCATCTCTGCTCACTGCAACCTCTGCCTCCCAGGCTCAAGCAATTCTCCTGCCTCAGCCTCCTGAGTAGCTGGGATTACAGGTGCCCGGCACCACGCCCAGCTAATTTTTGTATTTTTAGTAGAGATTGGGTTTTACCATGTTGGCAAGGCTGGTCTTCCTGACCTCAAGTGATCTGCCTGCCTCAGCCTCCCAAAGGGATCCTGGTGGGATTACACGCATGAGCCACTGCCCTTAAATCACTTTTGACAAGAGTTGTATTTTCCTGGGGATGTACACAAGAATCACTTGAACCTGGGAGGTGGAAGTTGCAGTGAGCTGAGATTGTGCCATCTCACTCCAGCCTGGATTGACAGAGCGAGACTCTCAAAAAAAAAAAAAAAGAAAGAAAGAAAGAAAGGGCCCCCCATCTCCCAATAGAGTCAAAGTGCTTGGGCCTGCCAGTGAATCCCACATCTCCACCCACAGCCTGTGACCAGGCACGTTCCTGAAAGGGCATCTGTGAAGCAGAGGTGGGGGTGGTGAGGAGGAGCTAGCCAGGGTGCTTGGAGTGGCCAGGACAGGACTATGGTAGCTGCTCCAAGCTGCGGCCCAGACAGTGGGGAGGGGAGCAGAGTGGCCATACCGGGTTTTCCGTCTGGTTGATCCCAATCACGAACACCAGCTGAGAGAGGAAGAGCGCCACGGCGAGGTGCTTGTGAATGCTGTGCAGGTTGGAGCGCAGCATGCGGACCAGGCTCAGGAGGACGAAGGCCACCAGCAGGGCTGCCAGTGACAAGGACACAGCGGCATAGGTGACAATCTTCAGAGGCAGGACCTCCCCGTTCTATGGGCAGGAGGGTTAAAGGCAGGAGAGAAGGTAAGGGCCGAGGCTCAGATCTGGTCATTGCATAACAGAGATAAATTACACACTTGCTTATGAAACGATCAAGGCTGGCAGGATCAGGCTGGGCTGGGGAGGCCGAGTGCTCATGGCTCTGGGCCTGGAACTGCCCCTCCTGAGGCTCCTTCAATGCCCTGGGCCCTGGGCATCCCTGGGGCCTGCGGCAGCACGCCAGGCTCCCTCCACTGGCTTGGGGGCCGTTCAGAGACCTCTGGCTTTGGGGCGCCCAGGCCATGGGAGCCTCGGACTCTCACTCCAGCCTCCTTTCTTCTGCCTCAATTTCAGCTTCCTTGGCCCACATGTCACCTGGCATCCTGGCCATGAGACAAGCCCCAACCCCGCCCACATATGAACAAACTCCACTAATCACTGACCCCGTCTCCAGGCTGGGTCCTGCTGGGGAGTGACATTTGCCCATGAGACAGGGGCAGAGGCGGGTCAGCTTCACCTGCATATTGCACAAGAGGCCGCTGCCCTCCTCCAGCCCCGCCTGAGGGCTGACTCACCCTTCCAAGAATGTGACAGAAACCAGGGCCACTTCACATCAAAAAGCCCTCGGAAAGGACAGTGGCCTGGGCCCTTGAGCCACAGTGCAACCCCGGGGAGGGGCCGGGGGAGGCTACCCAGGCCCCTGGTTCTGACTCCTAGACCCCAGGGTCCCACACAGGCCATGGCCAGGCTGGCTCCCACCTCCCTCCTGTCTGGATAACGGGAGGCCAGGACAGCGCTCGGGCCATTCCCCAATTCATCTGCAGCCCACAATGGCCGGCTCACATTCCCAGGCCGCTTAAAATGCCAGAGGTTAAACATTAGCCGCCCAGCCTTTTGTCCTGCTGCCCTGCGTGTGGCCCCGAGGGAGAGCGCCCAGCAGCTGTCACCTCCCTTAGGATCAAAGCAGGTGGGGAGCGGCACCGTCCAACAGACCCGCACTGAAGTGAGGGGCAGGTTCCGAGAGCTCCTCGGAGCCTGAGCTTTGGGTCTGCCATTCCGGGGTTTAATACATAACCAGGGCTCTCTGAAAACCCTTATAATGGGGCTTTGTTATGGAAATCCTCAGACTCTGGCCAATCCTCGAATATGTGTTTTAATCGGTTGATTTGTTTTGTTCCAAGCACTTAGAATGGAAGATTTAGTTTGAGGAGGGGACAGATTTGGGGGCAGGCTCAGCAGGTTTGAGGACGGGCAGGTTTGGCGGGGAGGTGCAGGTTTGGGGGGGAGGGGCAGGTTTGGCGGTAGGCCCAGAGGGCACAGTGGCCACGGGAGGATGCCCACCTCACGCCTGGAGATATCCATGAGCACCGCAAAGCTGGCTGTGTGGCTGCACTGGCAGGCGACATGTGTCCGGTTCCTGGACAGGAGCTCGCAGCCCCGGGCAGACCACCCTCCCGTCCCACCAACGCTGCGGAGAGGACAGAGAAGGGGCAGGGGTAAGACGGTTCCCTCTGCCCATGAGTCTGTAAAGGGCAGCCTTTGCCCAGCCCTGGGGGCTCCCAGGCCATCCTGGCCAAACCAAACAGCAGGTGCCGTGAGTGCTGAAAGCCCAGCGCCCTCGCAGGCTGCTCCCCACCGTGTTCCTCACCAGCCCCCTACACCGAAGACAAGAGCCACCTGGCTGTAAGAAGAGCAGCCTCACTGCCGCGGAGGCAGGACCATGGGAACAGTCTCCCTTCCCTTCTGTGTCTGGTCAGGGCCTCCAAGGAGCACCCTCTGAAGTTCAAGTTCTACGTGCCATCTAGCAGCAAAACTCAAATGGGGCTGTCTCGCGTCCGCCCCGCTGCTGGAACCACTGCCCGGGGTTCACACAGCTGCGATGCGGTCCCGTCTCCTTCTGAGGGCAGACGCTCTCAGAAAGGACATCTCACCTTCCTCTGACACTTTCATCTTCAGATTGCACAATGTTTTATGGGAACTGCCCAGAAGCCAGGGCCCCATTATGACTCCCGTTTTACTGATGGGAAGCCCCAAATAACAAGGTGTTATAAGGTGTGTCTCAGCTTCAGACAGGGCCCTGCCCTCGCAGACTCTGGGAAAAATCACATAACCTCTCAGATCCTTACTTTGCTAATCTGTAAAATGGGATGTTAGCATTAATATGTTTGGCACAAACTTTACAATCTGGGAATAATAAGTGCAACATAAAGCAGAGAGCAGGTCATTAGAGCTGGAGCTAATTGCCAGGACGCAGATGAATGCCCAAGACAGACAGCCGGGCCTGACGTCCGTCGTGGTGGAATGGGTTCCTTTCTTCTCTCTTTTATAAGCCAAGCGCCTACTACATTCCAGGTGCCATGCTGGTTGCTTATTAACTAGAACTTGGAAAGCACAGAAGCAGGAGAAGAATGAGGCTGGGCTAACCGGGCTCGCTCACCATAGCGCCACCCCCAGCACAGCCCCCACTCACGGCTCCTCACTGTGCCCAGGGCAACTGTGATGGGGGCAGCGTTCCTGCTGCACAGACGTCCCCAGATGCACAACGCTCCGCAGATTCAAGCCTGACTCCTGCATGGCGTCTCCCCTTCCCGGCACTCCCTCCCGGTGTGTGGGGAGGCAGTGGGTCTTCCCCTCCCTGACTGTGCTCCCATCCCGGCAACAGGGCCCTTCCCACCACACCCCCGTTCCAGTGCCTTCTTCTAAACAGAGACAGCAAAAGTGAAAACCAACCAGCAGAGAAAAGGCAAGCTCCCTGTAACGATAGAGCAACTCAAATGTCCACACCTCACGTGAACTCTGCAGCTAAAAAGCAAAACCAAAGCACAAACACTACTGGCTCCCAGCAGACGGGAGCCACACTGTGGTGCTGAATCCAGTCTCACGTGTGGGTGAGAATCACTCATTTTGCATTTTTCTAACGACGAAACGCCTTTCCCTCGCTTGCATGGATGCTAGAACACAGATTCTCGCGCACAGATTCTCCTGCGTTCGCCACTCTGTGACTCTCTGACGCTGCTTCTGAAACGGGCCAGATAAACTGTGCTGCGGCCAGGTGTGGCCTCTTGGGGGTGAAGCCAGTCCCCACAGCTAGACTGTGTCAGCCTCTCGGGCAAGACCGTCAGCAGATGGGCTCTTAGGCCAGTCTCTGGGTTCTGTCTCCCGTGTGTGACCGGAATGGGCCTGTCTTATCCGGCGGTGAACTGGGCACTACACTAGTGTTGGCCGCTGCATGTCGGGAGTCCCGCAGGTGAGGGGTCCCCTTCCTGGGTGTCAGCCTTGAGGGATCTCTCTGTGCGCCTGCACATCTGTATCTCCACGTGCAGGTCTGTGTGCATCTGTGTGTGGACATCTAGGGGAGGACTCTGATATTCCCACAGAAGCAGAGCAGGAGGCTCACTGCCCCCACGGGGGACTTAAAGGGGAAACACAGACCACAAGAGACCGTCCTCTTGGGGCGCTCTGCCACTGAGCCCCCGACCCTGCGGGGGCACTCTGCCTTGGCAAAGCCCTCACATGGGGCTCCTGGCGTCACACTTACGCCAGGGAGTGGTTCCAGAACACGCAGACAGGCTTGGTTCGCTCCTCCACCTCCAGCAGGGCGAACTCCACCAGGACGGGCCTCTCCAGGGGTCTCGGGAGCGGAGCCCCCTCGCTGTACACCAGCGTGCTCACCATCGGGGTATTAATGATGGGCCGGTGAGGCAACCTGAGGTCAAGAAGCCAGAGCATGGGGACAAACACGGTGAGGAAACATCTGCTTAAATCCCGCGCACAAATGCCCTGAGGACACGCCATGATGTGTTTCTAGGGGAGACAGAATCACACTCCGAGAGCTCGGACCCACGGACCCCACAGTATCTTCATCCCTAGAGCAGGTTTTATCACTGACAGGGCACACAGAGAGAGGTGTCACCTTTGGGTCAAATTGGGACTTCAGAAATTTAAAAAGAAAGAGAAGGCACAGGTGCAAAGATGTCACAGCCCATAATAGCTAATGGCAGAATCACAGGGGATGGTTTCAGTGTCCAGCAAAAGACACCAAAATAATGGCAGCTCATGGGGATGAATCACCCAGTCACTGAGAACCACGTGAACACGAGGATCCCAGAGCCAGGGAAGTATCTGGGAAATGGCAGGAAGAAGGAGGGCGGAGCCTTGGGCTGCTCCCACCGAGCAGGTTGCAAAGCTGCTTCTGGGACATTCATCCTTTCCAGCCAGGACTAGCTGAGCAGACCTAACCCCGGGGCCAGCAGCAGGCACTACCCATGACAGCCTTGGGCCAGGTGTGTGGGGACAGAATGGGGTCCCTCTGGGCACAAGATGGGGTGTATGCTGGGGAGGGGGCATTTCTGGCACAAACACCAGGATGAGCCCAGGCAAAGGGTGTGCAATGTTCCAGGGTGTGGTATCCTGTGGCAGACCCAGAATCTCCCTCCAAGGACCACCACAAGGCAATGGTCTCTGTCTCTGGGCCAGGGTCACGGTGAAATGTCACTGTGAAGACCTGTGCTTGATCAGGATCAGGATTTTGACCTGTGGAAGCCTCAGGAGCCTCCAGAACGGGCCCTCCCCGTGTGCCCCGTGCCCAGGCCTTACCGGAGGCTGCGACGGTCGGGGTCGTAGCGCTCGGGCAGGAGCTGCCCCAGGGTGCGGTAAATGATGACCAGAGCGACGGCGAACTGGCCAGCGTCATCAGGGTGTCGCCTCCGCCTGCTGATCGGGGCCTCCCTCTCGGTGCCAGGCCCCGGGCGCGTGGTCTGCGGGGTGGTCCTCCGGCCAGCCGGCCTCAGCAGGGGGCCTTCTGCAATGTGAGCAGAAGGTGAGGACTCTGGCAGGAGCACCTGTGTTCCCCAAGACTGCCGTCAGTGCCAGCAGGTGCTTCTCAAAAACCAACAGATGTCCCACAGAAAACAGTACCGTGGGTCCCCAAAAAATCAAAAACAGGACTTATCACATGACCCTGCAAGCCCACTTCTGGGTATACACCCCAAGGAACTGAAGGCGGGGACCCAGATACTTCTATTTTTATTTATTTATTTATTTTTTGAGACAGAGTCTTGCTCTGTCGCCCAGGCTGGAGTGCAGTGGCGCCATCTCGGCTCACTGCAAGCTCCGCCTCCCGGGTTCACGCCATTCTCCTGCCTCAGCCTCCCGAGTAGCTGGGATTACAGGTGCCCGCCACCACGCCTGGCTAATTTTTGTATTTTTAGTAGAGACAGAGTTTCACCTTGTTAGCCAGGATGGTCTCGATCTCCTGACCTCATGATCCGCCCGCCTCGGCCTCCCAAAGTGCTGGGATTACAGCCGTGAGCCACCGCGCCCGGCCTGGACCCAGATACTTCTATGCCCATGTTCACAGCAGCACCATTCACACAGGCCAAAAGGTGGAAACAACTCAGGCATGGGTCAACAGGTGAGTGGATAAGCAACACGCGCTCCATCCGCACAATGGAATATTACTCAGCCTTCAAAAGGAGGGGAAGTCTGACAGTTGCTGCGGCGCAGGTGAACCTAGCGGACATTAGGCTCGGTGAAATAAGCCAATCACAAAAGGACAAATATCGTGTGACTCCTCTTACAGGAGGTCCCTAGAGGAGTCAAATTCAAAGACAGAAAGAACGGTAGGCACCAGGGGCTGGGGAGGAGAGTTAGTGTTTCGTGGGCTAGAGTTTCAGATCTGCAGGCTGGAAAGAGTTCTGGAGATGGACTGTTTAAACATGAATGTATCTGATGCAGTTTGGATGTGTGGCCCCTCCAAATCTCATGTTGAAATGTGATCAGGGTTGAAAATCGGCCTGGTCGGAGGTGTCTGGGTCATGGGTGTGGATCCCCCAGGAATGGCTTGGTGCCCCGCCCTTGGTAATGAGCGAGTTCTCACTCTATTAGTTCCAGAGAGAGCTGGCTGCAATGGAGAGTCAGGGACCTCGTCCTCTTAGTTTCAAGCATGACCCCACATCAGAGTCACCCCTCTTTTTAAGACACATGAGATAACATCATATACCTGACAAAATCCATTTACTAACAACATTTCCAATTTTAAACTGTCCATTACAGAGTTTACCTTTTCACGTCCTTTTTATTTGGGGAAGGTTTTAGTAATTGTCATGGATCTGTAAAAAAGCACCTTAAGAAAATTCAAAATGTTCAAACTGTTTTGAATCATAATCTCAACCCAGGATTGAAGATTTGTTCATACACAGACAGCATTCTGGCTTTTTTGTTGTTGTTTTTTTGCGGGAAGGGGAAGGTGATTCTAAAATGCCTATTTCTATTTAGAAGCAGCTTTCCCCCCAACCAGACAGGTTTTTGCTCTGCTGCCCAGGCTGGGCTGTAGTGGCACGATCACAGCTCACTGCAGCCTCCATCTCCCGGACTCAAGCAATCCTCCCGCCTCAGCCTCCTGAGTAGGTGGGACTACAGGCATGCGCCACCATGCCCAGGTAATTAAAAAAAACTTCTTTAGTAGAGATGGAGTTTCTCTATGTTGCCCAGGTTGGTTCTGAATTTCTGGGCTCAAGCAATCCTCCCTGTGTCGGCCTCCCAAAGTGTTGGGGTTACAGGCATGAGCCACTGCGCCCAGCTAGAAGCAGCTTTTCACTGCACACCAAAGACAACCAGCTCACATACAAATTTCAGTTCTCTTTTCTTTCTGACATTATCAATTACATGGCTGAGTATCCCTCAGCTGAAATGCTTGGGAACATTTTGGAATTTTTTTTTTTTGAGACGGAGTCTTACCAGGCTGGCATATCTCGGCTCACTACAACCTCTGCCTCGTGGGCTCAAGCAATTCTCATGCCTCAGCCTCCTGAGTAGCTGGGATTACAGGCGCCCGCCACCGCAGCTGGCTATTTTTTGTATTTTTTAGTAGAGACGGGGTTTTACCACGTTGGCCAGGCTGGTCTCGAACTCCTGACCTCAGGTGATCTGCCCGCCTCGGCCTCCCAAAGTGCTGGGATTACAGGCGTGAGCCGCCGCGCCTGGCCTGGATTTTGATTTTTTTATTGTTTCATGCTTACGCTCCAATGAGCATTTCCTTTAAGTGTCAGGTTGGTGCTCAAGAAGGTTCAGGTTCTGGGGCATTTCAGATTTCAGGATTAGGATGTTCAGCCTGTACCTGAGCACTTGAACAAAACAACCTGCTGTCACCAACAGGACCTGGCACCAGAGAGCACTCGGAACACTCTGGCCCAGATCTTCAGTGCGCAGGTCCTGCGATGCCCGCAGCGGGGCCCTCCCCTCCCTGAACGCTGGGGACTCCGAGGGCAGCAGCAGGTTTCTAAGCGGTTTTACCTTTTTCTTCAGGTGGTCTGAAGAAGTCGGCTGGGAAGGAGACGGAGGACTCCAGCTCCCTGGGGAACTCTTCATGGATGGTGTCGAATCGCGGGACCCTGGCTCCCGTAAAGTTGAACTTGTCAAAGATGTCGACAGCAAGAACTGGGGGGACAGTTCCTTTAATCAGACATAACTCCCAGGGCTTTCTTGAACCCCTGCTGTTTTCAAAATGACCACAACTGTCACACTGACGCTGGCTGGCCATATTTATTTATTTATTTTTGAGGTGGAGTCTCGCAGTGTCTCCCAGGCTGGAGTGCAGTAGCGCAATCTCAGCTCACTGCAACCTCCGCCTCCCAGATTCAAGCAATATCTCCTGCCTCAGCCTCCCAAGTAGCTGGGATTACAGGCAGGCACCACCACGCCTGGCTAATTTTTTGTATTTTTGGTAGAGATGGGATTTCATCATGTCGGCCAGGCTGGTCTCAAACTCCTGACCTCAAGTAATTTGCATGCCCCGGCTTTCCAAAGTGCTGGGATTACAGGCATGAGCCACCACGCCCAGCCTATTTACTTATATTTATTTTTGAGACAGGATCTCACTCTATCACCCAGGCTGGAGTGCAGTAGCACAATCTCAGCTCACTGTAGCCTCGTCCTCCTGCGCTCAAGCGATCCTCCCACCTCAGCCTCAAGTAGCTGGGAATACAGGAGCATGCTACCACACCTGGCTAATTTTTATTTTTTATTTTTAATAGAGACAGGGTCTCACTATGGCGCCTGGCTGGTTTCGAACTCCTGGGCTCAAGCAATCTGCCCATCTCAGCCTCCCAGTGCTGGGATTACAGGTGTGAACTACCACGCCCAGCTGACTGACCATCTTTAGAACAGAACTGACTTCCAACTTCCTGCATCCCGCCTGTACTTACACCTGTCTACAGTGAGCCTGGAGTGAGGCGGGGTCCTCGACACCCACCCTTCTAGAGTCTCACACCTGAGGGTTTGGAAGCCCTGCCGGACCCCCAAGATCATGGCCCAACATCTCCCTAGCCCGGGACCTGTCCCCTGGGAGCCACGGGTACGTCATCACAGACTGTCTTCCCAAAGGCTCCATTTACAGATGAGGAAACAGAGGCCTACCTGCCGAATATTTTTTTTTTTTTTTTTTTTTGAGACGGAGTCTGGCTCTCTCGCCCAGGCTGGAGTGCAGTGGCATGATCTCGGCTCACTGCAAGCTCCGCTTCCCGGGTTCACGCCATTCTCCTGCCTCAGCCTCCCGAGTAGCTGGGACTACAAACGCCCACCACCACGACCGGCTACTTTTTTGTATTTTTAGTAGAGACGGGGTTTCACCATGTTAGCCAGGATGGTCTTGATCTCCTGACCCTGTGATCCGCCCACCTTGGCCTCCCAAATTGCTGGGATTACAGGCGTGAGCCACCGCGCCCGGCTTTTTTTTTTTTGAGATGGAGTCTCGCTCTGTCACCCATGCTGGAGTGCAATGGCGCAATCTCAGCTCACTGCAACCTCTGCCTCCCAGGTTCAAGTGATTCTCCTTCCTCAGCCTCCTGAGTAGCTGGGATTACAGGCATGCACCACCACACCTGGCTACTTTTTGTATTTTTAGTAGAGATGGGGTTTCACCATTTTGCCCAGGCTGGTCTCCAACTCCTGACCTCATGTGGTCTGCCTGTCCCGATCTCCCAAAGTGCTGGGATTACAGGTATGAGCCACTGTGCCCGGCCTCACAATCATTTTTCTAAGAGCATGGCCAAGGGGGGGCCGGGAGCCCACCTGCTTCACCCCATGGGGGCCTAGCTCTGGGGCACACCCCTGATGGTAGCAGGGTTCCACCCCCAACGCAGCCAGCGCCTTACTCATGTTGGCGGTGACGATGACGAAGGGCCGCAGGTACGTCCGCCGCACGTTGCGTGCCACGTTGCTGAAGTAGCCCTCGAGGCGCCGGAGCAGCTGTGCCGTGCCGCCCTCGCTCCGCTGGATCTGCTCCCACGCCGCCCTGGTGGCTGGGGCCAGGAGGGCGCTGCCCGAGTGGATGACGTCCTGGTCAGACAGACAGCACTCAGTACTCAGCCTGCGGAGGCCTGGCTCGTGGGACGGAGGGACACCTGCCCTGAAAGCCTTTGCTTGCCTAGTGGGCTCATTCATTCATTCCAGCCCTACACTTTAGACTGTGCTCTTTAATATTAGTTGTTTTTTGTTTTTTGTTGTTTTTTGTGTTTTTTTTTGAGACACACTTCCGCTCTTGTCGCCCAGGCTGGAATGCAGTGGTGTCATCTCGGCTCACTGCAACCTCCGCCTCCTGGGTTCAAGGAATTCTCTTGCTTCAACCTCCCGAGTAGCTGGGATTACAGGCACACATGTGCCACCACACCCGGCTAATTTTTGTATTTTTAGTAGAGACGGGGCTTCACCATGTTGGCCAGGCTGGTTTTGAACTCCTGACCTCAGGTGATTCACCTGCCTCGGCCTCCCAAAGTGCTGGGATTACAGGCGTGAGCCACCACGCCTGGCCTAGTTCCCAAATATTTTTTCAAAAAGTTTATCTTAAGAGGAATAAAAAAATGTTACTAAGCTCACAAAGTATATTAAAATCTAGAGAATTAAAGATGCTTCATATTCTTAGCTTAATTTACTAGATGTACAAGCACTGCTTAAATGCTTGGAAGGTCTGTTTGCTAGCCGAACAATTGAAATACAAAACAAAAAATCAACTACATGACATATATTAATTCCATTTAAAATACTTAGGGGAATTTCATGGTCTAAGTTTATAAATAGGATCAAACATTAATCAAAGTTGAATTCAAATAGATAAGGAAGTCTTTTTGTTTGTTTGTTTTGTTTTTGTTTTTTGAGACAGAGTTTCACTTTGTTGTCCAGCCTGGAGTGCAGTGGCACAGTCTTGGCTCACTGCAGCCTCTGCCTCCCGGGTTCAAGCAATTCTCGTGCCTCAGCCTCCCACCACCCCGCCCAGCTGATTTTTTTCATATTTTAGAAGAGACAGGGTTTCACCATGTTGCCCAGGCTGGTCTCGAACTCCTGGGCTCAGGCAATCTGCCCATCTCGGCCTCCCAAAGTGCTGGGATTACAGGCGTGAGCGACCGCGCCCGGCCAGAAGTCATTTTTTAATGTGTGATTTTCATAAATCCTGAACCCCATCAAATAAGCCAGAGAGACTGTGGGTGATTCAAATGTCAGAGGCTGGGACTCTGGCAGAGTGAGCCCTGCCAGGGGTTTTTCCACGTATACCCCAAGACGCTAAGGCAGGGAAGACATGTGGCGATGCCCCTGGTTATTACATCAGAACTCCTCCTGAACTCCACCAACCACGTCAAGCAGTGATGGAACCACCACAACCTGGGCTGCGCAGAGGTCCCACACTGAGGCCGCCGTGGACATGTGGACAGCTCCTCCGAGGGTGACCCTCAGCCTCTGTGCACCCCAGGGTCTGTGTGAAAGACTGGGTGGAGGCATGAGGCTGTGCTCAGGGGCTTGGGGACCACACCCAAGACAGAAACCAGGGCTGAGCACGGTTGCTCATGCCTGTAATCCCAACACTTTGGGTGGCTGAAGCGGGTGGATCACCTGAGGTCAGGAGTTCGAGACCAGCCTGGCCAACATGGTGAAACCCTGTCTCTACCAAAAATACAAAAATTAGCCGGGCGTGGTGGCGGGCGCCTGTAATCCCAGCTACTTGGGAGGCTGAGGCAGGAGAATTGCTTGAACCCGGGAGGTGGAGGTTGCAGTGAGCCAAGATCGCACCACTGCACTCCAGCCTGGACAACAGAGCAAGACCCCATCTTAAAAAAAAAAAGAAATAAAGAAAAAGAAACCAGAAAGGAAACTTGTTTGTGGAGTCACGCATGGAGAACAAACGCCACTGGCCCAACTCTCAGGCTGGGACTCAAATCCCAGCAAGGGGACCCTGCCTGGTCTCTGGCGGCCTTATGCAGACTAGAAGGTTCCATGGGGGCCCTGCATGGACTGGAGGCCCTTTGTGGATGAGGAGGTCCCTGAGGGCTCCGTGGGGATGGGTGGGAGGGACAGGGTGTCCCCCATGGGCTCTGTGTGGACAGGCACTCCTCTGGGGGTCCTGTCTGGACGAAGAGGCCTGCAGCAGAGCCACAACGAAACTTCTGGAGCCCCCGAAAGCAGTTTCCAAATATCAGGCTGCGTGAGTCCCCTCTGCATTCACCCTAAAACGATACTGCTCAGGGGATGACAACTTCCACACACACAGCCAGAGGGTTGAGGCGGAGGTGTGGCCCTCTGAAAGCAGGACCTCAGAGCTGCGGGTGGGAGTGGACATGGGGGCCCACTGCCGGGCCCTGCCCCTTACAAGCTGTGCCTTTGGGCAAACGCCTTAGCTCTCTGTGCCTCTGTTTCCTTACCTGTCAAATGGGTGGACGATACTCCATCACAGGCTGCATGGAAGGGAGAGGGGCTGATGCAGGTGGGCCACTTAGAATCCCTTAGAAGCCACTTAGATCACACTACAGGCACTACCAGGATCACCAGCAAGGCTGTGACCTGCATGTTTCCTTCCAGAACACTCCCTAACGCTCGTCGTCAGTTTAGTCAGGCACTGCACCCGCCAGGGCTCACATTTGAGAAATGAGGATGGGGATCCTGGACACAACCGTCTTCCACGAACTGAGGTAGACGCCCAGCCCCACAGCACCCACCCACGGGCATCCGAGTGTCCCCGAGTGTCCCCGAGCCAGGGTGGCGGCCACCCGCCTACCTCGTGAAAGTCGGCGTCCTGCGTGGCTGCCAGGTCGAAGCCCTGCTGCCAGCTCTCGTGCTGAAGGACGTGGCCCAGCAGCTGGTAGGCCGTGCGCACGTCATTGCCAAAGAGCGTGCCCGTGTGCTGTGTAGCACTGCGCAGCGCCCTCACCAGCTGCAGGGCCCTGGCGCCGTCCACCTGCGTCTCATTGCGGCTCAGCTTCTCATTCTGGAACAGGGAGGCAGTCGTGATGTGTGCAAACCCACTTCGGCCGCTTTCAGTCCCTGCTGTTACTCAGCAACTCACTACTGTCTGGTGCAAGTTTCCTTGTCAGAAAGGAACTTTAAAAAATCCAAAAGCCTGGCTGGGCATGGTGGCTCACGCCTGTAATCCCAGCACTTTGGGAGGCCAAGGCGGGTAGATCATTTGAGGTCAGGAATTCAAGACCAGCCTGTCCAATATGGTGAAAACCCGTCTCTACTCTCTATTTTGAAAATACTCTACTCTATGTCTCTATTTTAAAAATAAAAAAATTAGCAGGGTGTGGTGGTGGGCACCTGTAAGTCCCAACTACCAGGGAGGCTGAGGCAGAATCGCTTGAATCCGGGAAGCAGAGGTTGCAGCAAGCTGAGACCGTGCCACTGTCCTCTAGCTTAGGAGATAGAGTGAGACTCCATCTCCAAAAAAAGAAACAAAAAACAAAAAGCCCAAAAATGAGCACTGCTGACAGCTAGACCATGGAAACGAGGGTCTGGTGGGCCAAAGAGGGCTCAGAGAAAGATAGCGAGTGGGAGACGTGGGAACAAAAGCCATGAAATAGGGCAGGATCAGAGGGCAAATGGAGTCAAATGCAGGGACCCCGTGTTTTCAGAACCAAAGACACAGAGCTGGGTCCTCTGGGGGAGAGAAGTCCACGTGGGGGTGCCTGGCTCAGGTGCCAACACCCCGAAGTCCACAGGAACCTGCTGGCTCCAGGCTGCGGGCCCGTGGGGCTGTCCCTGCGCCATCCCAGCCGCCCCAACACTCCCCAGCCCAGGAGCCTCGGCCCACACAAACTCTCTCACGCATACACGAACACACACGTGCCCCTGCTGAACACACATCCCCGAGGCGCCCCTACCATGGCCCTGAGGTCCACGAAGGAGATGGTGGTACAGTTAAAGAGCTCTGGGGGCAGCCAGCCCTTCTCCCCGCTGCAGTGTCGGACCGCATTTCCTGGGGAAGGAGAGCAGGTGTGCAAAGCCTGAAACTCAAACTGTTGATCAATGCTTGTGTATTTCAATCCACAATCTGAATATACTTAAACCCAGAACACTGCGTGGTGGTTAGAACCCCATGGGGGCCAGGAGGTCGACACCAGCGCCCCTCTTTCATGTCAGGGCCACGGCCGAAGCTGCTCTGACACTGACAACCAGGCGTTTCGGGAGCCCAGCCAACAGGAGCCAGCACTTCCGAGCAAGTCCGTGAGGAAAGAAATCAGCAACACCATCTGCCGGCAGCCACGATCCCATGCACCAGGAATCCATTTCGGCTGGGCCTTTCCTTGCCTCACTGGATTTTCCAGACGCCCCTCACAGAGTGGACACAGTCAATGTCCCCATTTCACAGAGGTAACCCGATGCTATGAACAGTGAAGCCACTTGTCCCGGTGCCCCAGCCTGAGCGGCAGAGCAGGGACTGGCCGGGCCTGACTGGCGGGCGTCCCCACACGCGCTGCACTGTTCATGTTTCTGTTGCGCCCTCTGCCTGCTTTGTGTATTTCCTGGTAGGGAAAAGGCGATCGGATTTCTCCCCAGCACTTTGCCTGCGGATATTTTTTCAACACGAAACATTCCATGAGTCCCCACATCTCGACTGGCTCCTCCCACAAGGACGCCTGCCTCAGTTCCCTACACACAGGCCACGGCGACTCACCAACGGATCCCTTAGGGCATGGCACCGCAGCCGGCTGCCCGAACTTGGTCTGTGGCCACCAGATGCCGGCCTCAAATGCTTTGGGACAGCCATTGTAGATCACTGGGGTAGAGAAGAGAGAAGTCTGCTCAGCGGGGCACGCCACACCCACGACCACAAACAGGCACCACTGTCTGCATGCGCCTCCCTGCAGGAGGCCCTGCTCCCACCAAGAACCGAACCCTAGCATCTCCCCTGCCCCCATCCATGTCAGAGCTGGAGAGGGGTGACCAGGCTCTGACCCACACCCCCTCACGCAGAACCAGGTTTCTAGAAGGTCAAGAGAACTCAGAACACGAGGGAGCCCAGGGTCCCCCAAACACCCAGCGTGCATGCACACACGTGCACGCCAGTGCAGCAGCCTGTCCCCGCGCTGTAACCTGCAGGGTGTCGAGGGGCAACGCGGACCTTCACAGCCGAGCGTGGTGACCTCGGCAAACGGGTTGTCGCAGCGGTTGCACTGGCGGCCGATGACGCCGGGCTTGCAGGCACACTGCCCGGTGGCCATGTCGCAAGTGCGGCTGTGGGAGCCATGGGGGAAGCAGTCGCAGGGCAGACAGGTGTCCTGGGCTAGGAGCTTGTAGTAATTCTCCTGCAAAAGCCAGAGGCAGGGCCTGTGACTTCAGATGCCCGGGAGAGGCCCTACCTTGCAGCGTGTTTCCCGAGCGACGTCCAGACTCCCACCCGGGTGTGTGTGTTGGCCGCCAGCCATCCCACCCCTCATGGCTACCCTCTGCCCACATCCCACACCCAACGGGGGCTGCCTCCCAAGGCCCCACAAGGCCGGACCCAGGAGAGCAGTTCTTCCGGGAAGCACGCCCTCCCTCATGTCTTAACAAGTCTCAACAGTGGGCACCTTCGTATTTGTCCTAAAAAGAATCAGAGATCCAAATGGAGGCTTACGTATGGGGATAGCCCTTGGGCGTTTTTTTAAAGTTGTTTTGAAAAATTAGAAGCCACCTGAACGTCCACCATTGGGTGGGTCAGGGTGACAATCAAGAGCTTGTACTTCGGGTTCAGAAAGTCCTGGGTTCATGCCTGACCCTTGCCGTTTACCAGCTACATTGCCTGGGCTGGTCACCGGGACTCCCCAGGCCCAAGTAGCACCCCCTCAACCCCGCCCCGGAAAACGGGGCAGGCTGTGACCAGGCTGTGACTTGGGCAGACTCGTGAGCAACGTTCAGACCTGTGTGTCAGGTGGGGACTCCGACTGTGTGTAAAATGACAGTGAACGACAGGCCCAGAAGAGATGCTAAAACACTAACAATCACAGCTGGGAGGCGCATGGGGTGACTGCGATCTTTATGGGTTTTTATTACATTTTGTATAACTTTGTTTTTTTATTTTTTTGAGATGGGGTCTCACTGTGTTGCCCAGTCTGGAGTGCAGTGGTGCAGTCACAGCTCACTGCAGCCTCAACCTCCAGGGCTCAAGTGATCCTCCCACCTCAGCCTCCTGAGTAGCTGGGATCACAGGCAAGCATCAGCACGCTCAGCTAATGTTTTTATTTTTTGTAGAAATGGGAGTCTCACTATGTTGCCCAGGCTGGTCTTGAACTCCTGGGCTCAAGTAATCCCTCCTGCCTCGGCCTCCAGAGTAGCTGTGATTACAGGCATGAGCCACCACGCCCTGCCTATAACTTTGGATGAGAAAAAAATCGTAGGCAAGTTTTCGCCAATGCACTCCCCATGTTCTCTCTGCTCTGCCACCCACTATGCCACCACCGCCATCTGGTGACGTGTGGACCGACCCTGACCCAGGAGAGCTGTTTAATTTGAGCCTTTCAGGACACAAGTCCCATTTGCTGTTGGAACCACCGCAGGCACTGGGGGGGGACACTACTGACATCACGAGATGGCATCCAAGGGTGCCCTGGTACCAGCTTCCCTCCTAGGGCCAGCCGCATCTGCAGGAAGCTCACGTCCCTCGCCCAGGCTCCTGTTACCCTCAGACCTAACATTTGGGTTTCAAGTCACTGTGAGCGCCATGGCCGTGGTGTACACGAAGATCCTGAAGGAGGTGATGTATCCTGAGAGGGCTGGGGAGGGGTCCCTAGAGTCTGCACTGAGAACGCGTGTGCATTTCTGGAGACACGAGATGTGAGCTCCGTGCTGCATGCAGGTTAGGACTGACCGCCCTGGACAGGCGTGGGGCATAACGCACTTAGTGACACTTTCTATTTTAAAACTGCTGTCATCATGGGACACCAGCTTGGTAAAGACCAGGAAAATGGCCAGGCACGGTGGCTCACGCCTGTAATCCCAGCACTCTGGGAGGCTGAGGCGGGCGGATCACCTGAGGTCAGGAGTTCAAGACCAGCCTGGCCAACATGGTGAAATCCTGTCTCTACTAAAAATACAAAAATTAGCTGGGCATGGTGGTGGGCGCCTATAATCCCAGCTACTCAGGAGGCTGAGGCAGAAGAATTGCTGGAACCCGGGAGGCGGAGGCTGCAGTGAGCCGAGATCGCACCACTGCACTCCAGCCTGGGCGACACAGCGAGACTCTGTCTCAAAAAAAAAAAAAAAAAGACCAGGAAAATGGCCAACCAGGAGGCCAGGAGGGCCGGGGTGGTGCCATAGATGAGCCAGCCCTCAGAAACGGGTGGGCTTCCCACAGCCATGGGCAGTAGGCCGGGAGGAGGCAGGGATTCCTGTTCCACGGGCGGGGGCTGGCAGGGCTGAACCCGTAGTTTACACGTGGAAAGCAGCCATGGAGTATTCACAGAGCACGGGGGAGCAGCAAGGAAACCAAAAACCACATCTGTACACAAATGTGATGTGAGTGGGCACAGGTGTGTGTGCAGGGGTGTGAGTGTGTACCGACAGGGTATGTGAAGGCGTGTGTGTATTTAGGGGCAGCTGTGCATGTGTGTGAGCAAACACAGCATGCAGGGATCATGGGGGCGGGGCCTCACCTTGCATTGGCACTGGCCGTTGGTCTTATTACAGTCGGGATCAAAGCCTTTGCTGACGGCACAGTGGCAGGGTCCACAGACGGGGTTCCCCCACCAGCCTCTGGGGCACGGAAGGTCGAGTCTGTGGGGAAAATAAGAGGGCAGCTGGAAGGTTTATGTAACTGTGCTTTCTGGAATGAGAAGAGGCCTGCAGGCAGCATGGAGATGGTTGCCCAGGAGGCCTGGCTGGGTCCAGCTCTGGGAGCTTCCCCTTCCACGTTACATGGCCTCAGTCTCCCCTCTACCGGCTCCCAACCTCACCCCCCACCCACAGATCCACCATGCCCAAAGCGACTGGGATGACATCTCTGTCCACCGTGTGCCCCACGTCCACATGATGCCTGACTCATTGGGGCTTAATGACAATGAACCCCCACTGCAAGGCTGGCCTTTCACGATGCAGCCCCAGGCAGACTGAGCTCAGCTGCCTGGCACAACTTCTCAAAGTGGTCTTGGGGTGAATGCCAGCATGAGATGCCCGCAGGAAGCTCCTAAACAGGGAGTTTTGTAGCTTTTGTTGTCCCCCAGGTCCCCTGGCCCCCAGACCCACAGATGCTCAGGGCAGCCATGCCCTGGTGTAGCATGCCCCTTAGGACGGCGGCATGCGCCCGTGCACTCGGAATCCAGCAGAAGCCAGTCCTGCCTCCCTGAGCCTCCCCCGGCAGAGAGCAACAGACACTGAAGATGAGCAACACTGCAGGGACAAAGCCAGGCCTCCGAGGTGCTGGCCGCTGCTGTGCATGAGTCTCCCTACCTGTTCCTGACAGGGCTGCACCTGCGCAGTCACCTGAAGGCCCACCTGCCTGCAACGGCCCCGCCCGAGTGTCCTGCGGGCTCCTGCAATCCCCCCTGGCTAACCAAGTTCCCTCCACCCAGCTGCCAGCCTCTAGCATTCACTCACTTGGCGAGCAAGTATTAAGGACTGTGTACAAATCAGGGTCATAAAGACAACCAGGCCAGAGATAGAGTCTGGCGTTTATGGATGTGTGTGTGCAGCGTGGGGGCCCCAGAACCTTCATCCCCCTGCAGCAGTGGTGACTGTGGCGCCGGGCATGGAGATGCTGGATCAGCCTCTTGGCAACTCCCCCTGCTCCAAGCTGTGCTCCATGCGGCAGGTGGGGGTTCCCTAAGACCAGGTCCTGCCACTTTAGTGCTGGGCCCCCACGGCCTCCACACAGCCGAATTCTGTTCCTGGCTTGCGGGCCCACCTCTGTCCCCACCCAGGCCTCTCTAGATCAGCCTCATCCCCTTACTCCTCTCCAGCTTGGCTCTGTTGCTTTCGCTCCCAGAATGCCCTCCCGCTTCAGCCACACTGGCTCCCACCTCCCTCTCCACTCCCAGGGCACCTCCGCGGCGCTCTCCCTGGCATCACATCTTGCTGATATCCAAGAATGATGTGGTGCCATCTTCTCGTGAGGTCACCAGCTCCAGGGCACAGGCTGCTTCCCACTCATGGGGTCACAGCCGGGATCACAGCACCTGCTCTAGGCTCGGGAGGACAAAGAACGGAGCATAGCAGGTGTCCCTGCACCTGATGGCCACCAGCAGCTGAGGACAATGAGCCACAGGGGCATCACCTCCACGGCGGCCTGGAACCTTGGTTTATGAAGAACCCAGCAGCTCCACCTTGGACAAAGTGACGCTTGTGATGACTACGCACCTGTACCCAGCGATCCCCGTGCAAAGGGTACAGAGCCCAGAGCCCAGAGAGCACGCTGCTGCCTGTCCTAACCACACTAGGATCTCCGCACACATCAGAAATGACTTCAAGCCCAGCGACTCGACAGAGAAAGCATTCTCTGTAAACCACATGCGTCTCCCTGCATCTCATGGGGCCTGTTTGCTCTGGGCCCAGTGAGGACTCCAGGTGAGTCATTTGCATGTTTCAGGTGTGGACACATGATCCAATGGGGTTAGTTTGAGACGTCCAAATTGATTCTCATTGCCCAAGCGTGGTGGCTCACACCCGTAATCCCAGCACTTTGGGAGGCTGAGGCAGGTGGATCACTTGAGGTCAGGAGTTCGAGACCAGCCTGACCAATATGGTGAAACTCCATTTCTACTAAAAATACAAAATATTAGCTGGGCATGGTGGCGGGCACCTGTAGGACCAGCTACTCGGGAGGCCGAGGCAGGAGAATCACTTGAGCCCAGGAGGCAGAGGTTGCAAGGAGCCAAGATCGCGCCATTGCACTCCAGCCTGGGTGACAGAGCAAGACTCTGTCTCAAAAAAATAAAAATAAAATAAAAATTAAAAAAAATTTGATTTTCACTTAATTCATGCCAAATTAAAAAAAAATATGTCCCTGTTACCCAGAATCACACATATCTTTGGGTCAAAATAAGAAAGAGAAGACACTGAGTCGAGGGAACACAGCCACATGGACTCTGAAGGTGCAGGGAGGCACCAGGGGCTGCTCTTACTTGTTCTCACAGTACGGCCCGTAGTGACTGGGCCCACACTCGCACACGTAGCCCTGCGGGGAGCCGGGGGAGCGCACGCAGGCCCCCATGTTCTCGCAGGGGTTCAGGTGACAGGCATCCACACAGTTTATTCCAAGGTACCCTGCAAGGACAGAGCCAGCATTACCTCCACCCACAATCCACGAGACCTTCCACGTTAAAATATCTGGAGCAACCTGTCCCCTCCAGAAGATCTGACTTTCCCTGGTACTCAGCAGAGGGAAGAGGAAGAGTGCCACAGAGTCCCCGAAAACACAGCGTTAGGCGGGTTAGACTTAGTGATGCAGAGAGGAAGGCCTTCCCGGGCTGCCCCAAGGAGGGTGAGAGCCTTGGAACACGGGGCCCAGGCTGCCCCAGGACACATGGGGAATGGCCACCAGCAGAAGATGACTTAAGCACCTCAAAACTCTGAGGCCACCCTGAATGGAGGATTTTCTTAATATGCACTTTTCACTAATTCTTTTATTTATTTATTTATTGAGAAGAGTCTTGCTCTGTTGCCCAGGCTGAGGTGCAGTGGCATGATCTCAGCTCACTGGAACCTTTGCCTAAGAAGCTCAAGTGATCCTCCCACCTCAGCCTCCCACGTAGCTAGGACTACAGATGCGTGCCACCATGCCTGGCTAATTTTTGCTTTTTTTTTTTTTTTTTTTTTTTTCGTAGAGATGGGGTTTCACCATGTTGCCTGGCTGGTCTTGAACTCCTGGCTTCAAGTGATCCACCCACCTCGGCCTCCCAAAGTGCTGGGATTACAGGTATGAGCCACTGCACCCGGCCTTACTTTTCACTGTTTCTTTGCTGATCACCCCATGTGCTGAGGAGAGCGCCTGGGGCACTCTGTGCCTTGAGTAAGGAAGAGGCTCAGAGTCTCTCTCTAGGAGGGGCCCGCTTGTTATAAAATAAAGCTCAGGGCTCCACGGAACCACAGGGAGTTGGCTGGGGACGCTAATGTCTAAACTGAGCCCCCCTCCTGTGTTTCAGCCATAAGAGACCTCCCTGTCACTGAAGGGCCCCGGGAGGGCGGTCCCACCTTTGTCACAGACGCAGCTGTAGTCCTCCCAGGCGTCGTGGCAGCGGCTATTGGGGGGACAGGGGCTCGAGGTACAGGGGTCGTCCACATCACAGCCGTCCTTCACCCTGACCTTGAGTGCGTTGTTCATGTTCAGGGTGGCGACGTTGGTGGGCGTCCCCCCCATCCTCACTCCCTGCATTAAGTAAACGGCACTGGGGCTACAGGAGCCCGGAAAGGTATGTAGGGGTTAAGGGAACCCTGAGACCTCTCTGGTCCCTTGCGAGGCATTCATCTGTGATGCCTCATTTATCTACAGAGCTGGGGCGGGCAGGGTTGTTCCTCTTGCCCCACGGCCTGCTGGCCGGAGTGCAGTGGAGGGCTGGGTGAGGAGCTCAGAGGGCACGCCAGCCTGAGCTCCTGGGGTGCGCGGTGGGGGCGTGAGGAGTGGATGTCCCTGCCGAGGGGGCTGAGAGCTGAACGACTCAGAGCAGCTCCCTCGGCCGTAGCTGGAACCCCTGGCTCCAGGGGACAGGCACGGGGCCCACTTGGGTGACGTCTGTGGTTGGACTGGGTGGGGGTGGCGGCAAGGGGCTCGATTCAGGACACTTCACAAAGGCAGAGGGGCAGGTGGCTGGCATGGCGGTGGGGAGCTGTGGGGGCCAGGGACGGCCCGGATGCCAAGGGGAACCGCAGGGGAGAATGGGTCTGAAGAGGAAACAGGAGCTGTTAAAGTGGGGATGCCTGTCAGACAAATTCTTCACTCGTTGAAAGCTAACAGGTTGACCAACGGAACCACCTATGGTGCTGCCAGCCTCGGAGCTGCCTGTGAGGGGCAGGCCTCCCCCCGCCCCCCACAACCCCCACGCACCTGCATGCAGCCTCGGAATCCACGGCGCACGGAGACCTTGTCTTCAGAGGCGCCTCCGACCACCACGCTCCTTACCGTCAGCCCGGGAAGCATGCCCCCGATATCTGCCTTGTTCTGTGCGGAGAGAGGGGCCGGGGATCTGGGGGCTGCATCCACCATCCTAGAAACGTCTCTCAGATGGGAAGGATACACTGGAAGTCTAAACAGTCACTTCAACAAACTCCGCAGAGCCTGAGGACATCTGGGCCTCCAAAGAGAGAGCTGGGCCCAGCTGGACAGCGAGGCTGGCTGTGATGACCAGGGCGAGGGGACCAGGCCAGAGGATGGGTGTCCATGCCCCAGCCTAGCTGAGGCGGCCAGTGGGGTCAACGTGGGCAACTGTCCCGCCTCCGTCAAGGGCACAACACTAAACCAGCCACGCTGTGACAGAGAGCTTGGCGAGTCAGGAAGACTGCAGTGAACGGAAATCCGCTCACTCATTAACACTGTGGGAACCCAAGAGGGTCTCGGCTGAGATCCAGTCCCAGAAAGGCAGGTGCCTGGAACACACCTATTTACTCCCAGGTCTGTGTTGTAAGATGAGCCTTGGCTCCAAGAGCTCTTGGAGATCCCAGGTCGCCCCTTAAGTGTGTGGGCATTTCACAGACAACATCTTGGGTTACCTGCCTGCAAACTGTGGAAACCTAGTTTGGTTAAGTGTTCCGAACATTGTCTGGGATACCACCACCTGCCTGCCTGGGACATGTGTGGCTCCCTGGTGTCTCACAGGCCTGTCCAGGACCTGGGTCTCACTGCTCTCCCAGTTTTGCTCCCCATCCATGCTCTGAGGGCACGGGCCCCAGCATTGCTACTTCAGTACCCTAAAGACATGGTGCTGAGCCTGCAGGTGTTGCTCAAGATGGCTTTGCTAAAAGAAACCACTGCTGAAGGCACCAACAGCATCATGATGAGAAATGCAGCTGGAGGAAGTCAGCTGCTGACTGCCGGGGGCGGGGCATCCGGATGAAGGAGGTGAGGAAGATGCCAGTGACCTCAGTACAGGGCAGAACAGAAGCCCACCTGCGGGGACCCAGAAAGTGCCTCCCCAAATCCACAAGGTCTCTGGTGGGTCCTGGCACGTCAAGGGGTCATTCTGTTTTTCCCTGGGCCGGAGGAAGGGTCTATCCCCAGAGGAGGTGCAGGTGCCAGCTCACCTGGTCCATCCCATAGTCCAAGGTCATGGTGACCAGGTGCTTCATCTCACTGTCCTCCTTAACATTCTTCAGCTCGATCAGCAGGTGGTGCCACTCCCCGTCGGTCACCCGCAACCCGGACAGCATCACGGACTCCACATCGGAGGGGCCGTGGGACACCTCAAACTGGAGGTAGTTGTTCAGGATCTGGAGCAGGGAGAGCCACACCGACTGATTGGTACAATGACAATGAAAGAGAAAACATTTTGCAGTCACTTAAACAAGGAAGCTGTGAAAGGAGACTGATTATGTGGCACCAGATACAAGATAGGCTTAAAAATTAGGCAAAGTTGGCCAGGTGCGGTGGCTCAGGCCTGTAATCTCAGCATTTTGGGAGGCTGAGGTGGGTGGATCACCTGAAGTCAAAAGTTCGTGACCAGCCTGGCCAACATGGTGAAACCCCATCTTTACTAAAAATACAAAAATTAGCTAGGTGTGGTGGTAGGTGCCTGTAATCCTGGCTACTCAGAGGCTGGGGCAGGAGAACTGCTTGAACCTGGGAGGTGGAGGTTGCAGTGAGCTGAGATCGCAGCATTGCACTCCACCCTGGGTGACAGAGCGAGACTTGGTCTCGAGAAAAAAAAAAAGTTAGGCAAAGTTGGCTGGGAGCAGTGGCTCAGGCCTTTAATCCCAGCACGTTGGGAGGCCACAGCAGGCGGATCACCTGAGGTCACGAGTTCAAGACCAGCCTGGCCAACATGGTGAAACCTGCCTCTACTAAAAATACTGAAATTAGCCAGGCATGGTGGCAGGCACCTGTAAGCCCGGCTACTCCGCAGGCTAAGGCAGCAGAATCGCTTGAACCTGGGAGTCTACTAGAGGTTGCAGTGAGCCGAGATCGCGCCACTGCACTCCAGCCTGGGAGACAAGAGCGAGACTCTGTCTCAAAATAATAATCATCATTAGACAAAGTTGGCTGGGCGTGGTGGCTCACACCTGTAATTTCAGCACTTTGGGAAGCCAAGGCGGGTGGATTGCTTGAGGCCAGGAGGTCAAGGCCAGCCTGGCAAACATGGCAAAACCTCGTGTCTACTAAAAATACAAAAATTAGCTGGGCATGGTGGTGTGCTCCTGTAATCCCAGCTACTTGGGAGGCTGAGGTGGAAGGATCACTCAAGCCCAGGAGGCAGAGGTTGCAGTGAGCCTAGGTAGCACTACTGTACTTCGACTTGGGTGACAGAGTGAGAACCTGTCTCAAAAAAAAAAAAAGTATAGGCAAAGTTGTTCTTTGTTGCTGTTGCCTTTAACACTGATCAGAATTGCTTGTCTTATTCTACGGGAAAAAGGATCAATCGCTTCATGGAGGTCAAGTAAGGGAAGCGCCAAGAACAAGCCCCATTAGGCTTTTAAGTACTGGGACCCAGCTCGATTCAGGTAACTACTGGGCTCCTATTTTTGGATGTAAACATTATACTTTATAAGACAAGATTTAATCCTCTGTGTTTAATTACATGTATGAAAAAAACAAAAATCAGCATTGCAACTGGCCTAAAACACTCATATTTTAAAATAAGGTAGGCCAAGGGCAGCGTGAAAATCTTAGATCTCCTAAGAAAGGACTTGGCAATTTGGACCACCTCTCCTCTTGAAATCACCTACGAACATGAGACAAAATATTAAAGAATGTCTGTTTGAAGACACTGAAGTGGCTCCAGGCAAAACAGAGTTTCAGGCTCACAACCAAGGAAAAGACAGAATCTGCAAAACAGCGTGGCGTGTGCTTCCCTGCAAGGCCGTCAGCTGGTTCTGGAAGACACAGTGGAGGCTGAGCGTGCAGTCAGGTCACGGCTGCCAGGTACCTGAAACCCCTGCCCTCCTTGGCACTCTTCAGCCCTATCAGCAGGTGGTACGACGCTCCATCAGTCGCCTGTGACCTAGAGTCTCAAGATGCCTAAAAGCTTTCTAGGTTCATGGGGCTGGAGGATTAAAAACTGGGGTTCATGGACTGCCAAGGGTTGTTCCTTGGCTTCTGGTTGGAACCCTGAGGGGTTTACACTAACGATAAAAACGAAAAAGAGCCACCTTTGCAGGACTGGAAGCCCAGCTTTGAACCACCTCAGTCTGTGACTGCATTAAACTCTGTGACTTTGGGAGACCAAGGCGGGTGGATCACCTGAGGTCAGGAGTTTGAGACCAGCCTGACCAACAAGGTGAAACCCCATCTCTACTAAAAATACAAAAAATTAGCTGGGCGTGGTGGCAGGTGCCTGTAGTTCCAGCTGCTTGGGAGGCTGAGACAGGAGAATTGCTTGAACTCGGGAGGCGGAGGTAGCAGTGAACCGAGATCACGCCACCGCACTCCAGCCTGGGCGATGGAGCGAGACTCCATCTCAAAAACACACAAACAAAAAAGTCTGTGACTGCATTCAAGTGCTCTGGGAGGGAAAGTGCTCCTAGTGGTTGCCAGAAGCAAACATGGAAGATAATGACATCCCCATCATCCCCATTCTAGTTTCTCTTTTTCTTTTTTTTTTTTTTGAGACAGAGTTTCACTCTTGTTGCCCAGGCTGGAGTGCAATGGCACAATCTCAGCTCACTGTAAACTCCACCTCCCAGGTTCAAGTGATTCTCCTGCCTCAGCCTCCCGAGTAGCTGAGATACAGGTACCCACCACCACACCCAGCTAATTTTCTGTATTTTTAGTAGAGACGGGGCTTCTCCATGTTGGTCAGGCTGGTCTCGAACTCCTGACCTCAGGTGATCTGCCTGTCTTGGCCTCCCAAAGTGCTGGGATTACAGGCATGAGCCACTGCACCTGGCCCCCATTCTAGTTTCAAATGCTCTCTAGTTTTTCAATAAAATGTCTAGCACTCAATAAAAAATAGCCAAGTATACGAGGATATAAGGTAATATGCTTGAAAACCAAGAGAAGCAAGGAAGAGTGGCAACAGACCACAGATTCATCAGACACAGACTCAAAAATAACACTGGGAACCACAAAACTTTCAAGGAAACAGACTCAGTGAGACAATTAGACTTACTTCTGGGTGTAGGTGTTACAGAGATAAGGGTCAAACGGCCATGTTTAAGTACATGTAAGAAGAATCAGAAAACAAGGTTGTAACTAACCTAAGATGCTCATATTTAAAGATAACTTCAAAAAATAGCCTAGATTTTAGAAAAACAACTATTAGCACACTGCTTATATTATACCTGAAATATAAGGATACAGAAAATGTTGAAAGTAAAAGGATAGAAAAAAATACATCATATAAATACCAACCAAAAGACAAATGGTATAGCTATGTTAATATGAGACAAAGTAGACTTAAGGCAAAAGTCCTCACTACAGAAAAAGAGGAATTTCATAATGATAACCAAGTCAATTTGCTGGGAAGATAAATCAGCTCTAAATTTGTATGCACCTAATAACCTGGCCTCAAAATCTATATAGCAAAAATCAAGATTACTAAGAGAAGTAATAGATAAATCTACAGTCAAGGTAGATTTGTAACTAACTTCTCTCAGTAAGTGAGGAGACAAAGACAAAAAAACAATAATTAAAACCAATAGGCTGGCGCGGTGGCTTACACCTGTAATCCCAGCACTTTGGGAGGCTGAGGCGGGTGGATCACAAGGTCAGGAGATCGAGGCCATCCTGGCTAACACGGTGAAACCCCGTGTCTACTAAAAATACAAAAAAAAAAAAAAAATAGCCAGGCGTGGTAGTGGGCGCCTGTAGTCCCAGCTATTTGGGAGGCTGAGGCAGGAGAATGGCATGAACCCAGGAGGTGGAGCTTGCAGTGAGACGAGATCAAGCCACTGCACTCCAGCCTGGGCGACAGAGCAAGACTCTGTCACACACACAAAAAAAACAATAACGATATAGAATATTTGAATACCACGATTAACAAATTTAACCTACTTGATGTATATAGAACAGTACAGATAACAACTGCAGAGCACACAGGGGCATGTGTACAAAACTGGCTAGAGGCCAGGCACGGTGGCTCACAACTCTAATCCCAATACTTTGGGAGGTGGAGGCAGACAGATCACCTGAGGTCAGGGGATCGAGACCAGCATGGCCTACATGGTGAAACCCCGTCTCTACTAAAAATACAAACATTATCTGGATGTGGTGGCAGGCACCTATAATTCCAGCTACTAAGGAGGCTGAGGCAAGGGAATCCCTTGAACCCGGGAGGTGGAGGCTGCAGTGAGCTGAGATTGCACCACTGCACTCCAGCCTGGTGACAGAGTGAAACTCCGTCTCAAAAAAAAAAAAAAAAAAAGAAAAAAAGAAAAAAAAAACTGACTAGATCTGGGCTGTAAACCACATTTCAAAGCTCTGAAACCACATGGTATACATTCTTTGACCTGCAATTATGCTAAAAACAATACCAAAATGATTTACTAGAAAATGCTACATGAGGCTGGGCGCGGTGGCTCACACCTGAAATACCAGCACTTTGGGAGATCGAGGCGGGTGGGTCACCTGAGGTCAGGAGTTGGAGACCAGCCTGGCCAACATGGTGAAAACCTGTCTCTACTAAAAATACAAAAATTAGCTGGGCGTGGTGGCACACACCTGTAATCTCAGCTACTCGGGAGGCTGAGGTAGGAGAATCCCTTGAACCTGGGAGGCAGAGGTTGCAGTGAGCAGAGTTCACGCCACTGCACTCCAACCTGGGAGACAGAGTGAGACTCCATTTCAAAAAAAAAAGAAAAAGAAAAAAGAAAAGAAAACGCTACATGCTTGCTAACCTAGAAATCTACTTCTAAATATCACATCAGTCTAAGATAAATTCATGAGAGAAAACAGGATACAGGTTTTAACTGGCTGTAAAGATTATGTAACTAAAACTGTATTTTGCTTTTTGGTCTCTATTGATAGTTTGGGTTTTTGGTGGGGGAGGGGGGCACACACACACAAAAAAACAGATGCACACCTGGCTAATTTTTGTATTTTTAGTAGAAACAAGGTTTCTCCATGATGGCCAGGCTGGTCTTGAACTCCTGACCTCAGGTGATCCACCTGCCTTGGCCTTCCAAAGTGGTAGGATTACATCCATGAGCCACTGTACCTGGCCTGATAGTTATTTTAAGAAGATAACTTTTCACCTTTTTCTATTTTGTCTTTTTTTTGAGACAGTTTCGCTCTTGTTACCCAGGCTGGAGTACAGTGGTATAACCTTGGCTCACTGCAACCTCTGCCTCCTGAGTTCGAGTGATTCTCCTGCCTTAGCCTCCGGAGTAGCTGGGATTACAGGTATGCACCACCACACCCAGCTAATTTTTGTATTTTTAGCAGAGATGGGGTTTCCCCATGTTGGCCATGCTGGTCTCAAACTCCTGACCTCAGGTGATCCACCCGCCTCAGTCTCCCAAAGTGCTGGGATTACAGGCGTGAGCCACTGCACCCAGCCTCCATTTTGTTTTCTTTTGTTCTATAGAAGTCAGCTTATTAATTTCCTTTGCTTGGCCGTGCACAGTGGCTCGTGCCTGTAATCCCAGCACTTTGGGAGGCTGAGGCGGGTGGATCACGAGGTCAGGAGACCGAGACCATCCTGGCTAACCCGGTGAAACCCTGTCTCTACTAAAAATACAAAAAATTAGCCAGGCGTCGTGGCAGGGGCCTGTAGCCCCAACTACTCGGGAGGCTGAGGCAGGAGAATGGCGTGAACCTGGGAGACAGAGCTTGCAATGGGCTGAGATCATGCCACTGCACTCCAGCCTGGGTGACAGAGCGAGACTCCGTCTCAAAAAAAAAAAAAAAAAAAAAATTCCTTTGCCATCTCTTGCATTGTTCTTGCTTAAAGAACTCCAAAGTGAGCAGATCAGTGATAAAAGTGATGTTATATCTACAAACAAAAGTGATATCCACAGGATGAACCTGTTTTATGGGAGGTAACTGAGAGTGTGTCCCCAGCTCTCAGTCAGAGAGGCATTCAGCAATCTCAAGGTTATCCCACCTGACAAGGTGGGTGGATTTTGGGTGCCCGAGAGCAATTATCCAAATTGCTTGGGCTGTGGGATTACAATGGAGTCTTCTTTGTCCCACCACAGTGGCAGGGGCACAGGAGACATCCTTTGAGGGACAGCCAAACTGCTGCTTTACGGAGCTCACAGGCCCACGGGAGGCCTGCAAGCTGATAATGGCAAGGAGAAATCCCCCAGAACCTTCGGTAACGTGTGGTTGACCGGCCTCTGCGAGCTGCCCTGGGGGCCTTCTGGGTGCCCAGTGGGGTCTGCAGCATCCCCTCAAGGCCACCCCTCCAGCCACCCAGACTTCCACAGGGAGGGCTGGCTGTAGTCCCTGGCAAAATTCCTAATCTGGGGATGAGCCCTCCATGATGTAATTACACAAACAGCACCGGAGTCTGTGGCTTCCAGCACCATTCCTACTGAAAGCGCACTTTTTTCCTACAGAGACCCCACTGCCAAATGACAACTTGCAAGCTCCAGTTCATCACCTGCATCCAACAGCCAATTTAATTTGTTCTGACAGTGAAACCACCACACAGAAAATACCATCCCCAGGCAGCACCGCACTTGCCAAGTTTTGGCCTGGAGCAAGCTTCTGGGGCTGCCTGGGAGACTCATGAAATTACAGGTTAACAAGGGCCCACAGGCCAGCTGTAATCATCCCTGGCGCACACCACACCTTCCAGGCAATCCGAGAGGTCTGTGCTGGAAAATGCTCCCGAGCTGTGATGGGGAGGAACAGGAGGCTCCCTGTCCAGGCCTGAGCCCCTGCCCCACAGCCCCGACCCATCTCCTGAGCCCTCGCTGATCTGCTGAGGGACTGACCTCCACCAGCCTGCTGGGAGCACTCTCGGTCCTGCCCCCGCCACACTCCAACCAGGCACTCATGATGGGGAGGGCATGTGCTGGGCAGTCCCTCTGTCCACCCGCCAACCCTCATGCCAATCTTGGCTATACAGAACTGTTTCTAGATGGGCTGTCCTTAGGAGTGACAGAGAAGGGCCTGTGGCTGTCCCAGGAACCTGGGCAGGAAAAGAACCATAGGGTCCCTAGTGAAGAGCCTCTACGCCTCAGTTTCCCGTGTGTGGAACGAGAGCTTGGAGCAGGCACTCCGTAAAATCCATCTCACCTCTCACCATCTGACCTTAGCCCAGCTTCCCCTGATGCGGGATGGTGTCCAGGACACACTCGGCAGCAAAAGAAGCCCAGAGCCCAACGGAGCAAAGGCAATAAGGCATGGCTCCGCCACGGCACACAGCTGATGGCGGAGGACACGCAGCCCAGACGCCGCTTTGGGAGGGACTTCCTGACCGCAGGAGCGGGGAGGGGGGGTCATCCTGGGAGAACAGGGTGAGTGTTCCCGTGTGGCCGACCCCAAGGCAGGAGAGGAGGCTAACCTAAGGGCAGCATCTCTGTGCGCTGAAGGGAGGTCAGGAGGGAGCCCCAGGCTCACTCTGGTTGGAGATAATGAACAACCAGAAGGAAGTCAGTGCTGCTCTGAGACCATGTGCACCCAGGTCTCATCACATGGGTGCACACACATACATATACAGCCACATGCACACAGACATGCACAAATGTGCACGCATGGAGAGATGCACATACACAGACTGACATGCACACACACTTGCACGGAGATATGCGCACACACACACACAAACTTGGAGAAAAGCATAAGAGTCACATCTGTAATCCCAGCACTTTGGGAGGCGGAGGCGAGTGGATCACCTGAGGTCAGGAGTTCGAGACCAGCCTGGTCAACATAGCAAAACCCTGTCTCTACTAAAAATACAGCAAATTTAGCCAGGTGTGGTGGTGAGCTCCTGTAATCCCAACTACAATGGAGGCTGAGGCAGGAGAATCGCTTGAACCTGGGGGGCAGAAGTTGCAGTGAGCTGAGGTTACGCCGTCGCACTCCAGCCTGGGCAACAAGAGCAAAACTTTATCTCAAAAAAACAAAACAAAACAAAACAAAAAAAACCTAGGATGAAGGAAGGAATAACTCAGTTATGAATCTGTCAAATCAAGACAGAGCGCCCTGCTCAGGCACGGCTCCCACAGGCCACTCCCGTGCCAGGGGATGAGAATTAGGCCTAAGGAGAGACATAAAGGGAGCTTTTTAGGAGGGAGAATTGCCCAGTGAGTTTTCAGAGCTAGACCCTGATCAGAAAGGGTCACAGCAGCTGGGTTTACAGGAGAGCGCCCGTGCCCCGCCATCACTACAGACGAGAATGACCTTCAGATGCACAGGCAGAGGGGCAAGAGGGCAAGCCGAGGGCCGGGCACCCTCCTGGGGAGGGTCCCCATGGCTGCCTCATGCGGCGGAGGTTGTGGCAGAAGGGCAGCCCGATGACAGAAGACAGGGCTCATAACTGTTTCTCAAACAAAGTGTCTACGGAGCATGGAAGATGCGAGCAGAAACCGTGTGGCGCAGAAAACCGGAGGAAAGAGTGCATTCGAATCACCTTCTAAAAGCTGTTCGGAATTTTTATCCAACAAATAAACTTTTGTTTCAAATAAACGAAACAGTAAAGATCAATAAGACAGAGAAAACAGGCAGACAGCGACAGAGCGGGGCTTTAGGCATTTCTGGGCTGAGGCATCTCAAGCTCCCAGAGAAAGTGGACGTGCATTGGTGCCAACCACCACCTGGCTGTGGCTTTTTGAGATGGAGTCTCTGTCTTGTCGTCCAGACTGGAGTGTGGTGACACGTTCTCGGGTCACTGCAACCTCCGCCTTCCAGATTCAAGTGATTCCCCTGCCTCAGCCTCCCAGGTAGCTGGGGTTACAGGCCCCCACTACCAAGCCTGGCTAATTTTTTTTGTATTTTTAGTAGAGATGGGGTTTCACCATGTTGGCCAGGCTGGTCTCGAACTTCTGACCTCAGGTGATCCGCCGGCCTCCGCCACCCAAAGTGTTGGGATTACAGGCATGAGCCACCACCCCGGCCTGCACCTGGCTGCAGCTTTAACTGGTGAGGCTCACTGTTTCCGCCTGAAGGCTCGGCACCTCCCTCAGTTCTGCAATGCCCACGCTCCAGCCAAACCCTCAGGCTAGAGGGAGACCAGAACTGCCGCTGAGCTCTGCTGGGCCCCAGGGTTGGCCCAGCCCCATGCTCCCTCGCTGTCTCCGCCTCCCAGAGGAAAGAAAGGGCTGATATTCCCCTTCCCCCTCTTCGGAGAACCCCAGGGGCGGGCGCCGGAGGAAGGGCGAGTAGCAGGTGCCCGAGTGTGCACCAGGAAGCCCAGCGCCTGGGTCCCTCCCTCGGGCACCCACCTAGCAGGTGCCTTGGTGGCACGGGGCCCCAGTCACCTGGAGGCGAAAGCTGGTGGGCCCACCACTGGTGGCCTCCATCAGAACGCTGTCCTCCTTCCGGGTCCGGAACATGAGCCCCAGGTACCAGGGCACAGAGATGATGATGTTCAGGTCACTCCAGGACACGACGCTCTCACCGCTGAAGAGCTGGGGGTGAGGCATGGCTGCGGACACAGGCCCAGGGACCTCAGGTGTCTCCCGAAATCACACGGCCGCGGACTTGGCTGCAGGGGCGGGGGATGGGCCTGCAGGCTAGGCCTGGGCCTTTTTCACTTTAACACGAAGGTGGGTCTGAGCCTCCCCTCTGTGACGCATCCAGCCCTCACAGTCAGCCACGTGGGCTCCAGAGAAGCGCACCCTGGGACGTGAGCCTCCTTGCTGGGAAGCATGAAGATCTGCAGGCTCCCAGCCACAGATGGGCGTGGTAAGGGGCTCTCAGGCTTGACAGGAGGCAGACGGGGGCGGGTTCAGGATCCCTGGGCTCCGTGGCTGGGGTGCTGGGGCTGGGCTCTGCCGGCCCAGCCTACCTGTCCCACCCCACACCTGAGGGACTGGGGACCCCAGAAGCAGGAGCAGGGGCTCTGCGGAGGACAGTCTCTTGGAGAGGGCGGTGTGAGTCCACAGTAAATGCAGCATATACCACCAGAGGCTGCCGGACCTGGATGTGAAGCCCCCTCACGGTGGTCCCGGGCACATCAAGGAGCAATGCCTCCCAGGCCGCCGTGACCGGGGGGATGGACGACGCCGGCCACTCACCTTGCTCACAGTTCTTCCCGCCGAATCGGAGTGGACACTCACACAGATACATATTCCACCTGTTGACACAGGTGCCTCCATTCTGACACCGCCTCCCATCGCAGAAGTTCCTCCGAGCAGCGCAGCCTGGCAACACAGAGCGTGCGGCAGAGCCTGACTCGGAGGAACCGCCCGGGGTCCCCGGCGCCAGACGTGGCGTGGGAAACCAGGACGGAATGGACCCGGGGCTGGACAGAAGTCAGACCAGGTCTGAACGCCCCTGGCAACGGCAGGAACATGGGAACTAAGAAGGTGCTGAACGCACTGACCACATTTGGAGACGCTGGGACGCCAGGCCATCACGGCAGCCGGCCCGGTCACCTGGTGACACATATGCAAGACCCTAGGATCATGTGCGCCTCGGGTTAGCTGGCTGGGCCAGCAGTGCCAAGGCAACCCCAAACTGCAGATGCAGGAACTGCGGAGATGCACATCTCCAGCCTGGACTCCGGGTTCCATCCCAGGAGCTGCCCACCGCTGGACACATACATTTCTAAGAAAAACACGGCTCCCCAGGGATCTGCAAGCAGTGACCTCTGTGTGGCTGCCGACGTCCAGCCAGATGCCACTGCGGCAGCTCCGACGCCCTGACGGCCACCCGTACCTTCCCGGGTGCCATTGTTGGCGATGAATCCGGCCATGTCCACATTTTTGCCGTCGACTGACAGGTTCCGCATGCAGCCCACGAACTGCCGGTTGTGCACTGGGAAGTCTTCTGGCAGGTTGGGGACACCCCCCAGGAGTAGAGGGCCGGTCAGATCCAGGGACCTGGGTAGGTAAAGCCATCTTCTGTGACGTCAGGGCGGGGAGAGGCGGCCACGGCGGGCTGGGCTCCGCAGTTGCCTCTGTGTAGCCTCTACCACCATAACTACTTCAGAAACCAAGCAGACAGGCGGGGAGAGGCCAAAGTCAGAGGGGGCTCCTGTGTCTGGTGCCGCCACTGCCTCCGTTTGCTCACACTTGTGTTCAGTCCTGACGATCTGGGTGTTTCACGCTCACCAGTGACCACCAAGCCCCGCCCACCCAGGCTGGTCCACACCGAGACAGGATGTGAGCGCAGGGAGCACAGGTCAAGGCCAGCAGGGACTATACTTTACCCTTGCCTCTGAGACCTTCTAGGAAAAGGAAGGGCCTTGAAAGGAGGCCAGAAGAAAATGAGAACCCAGCACTTTGGGAGGCTGAGGCGGGCAGATCACGAGGTCAAGAGATCGAGACCATCCTGGCCAACAGGATGGTGTCTACTAAAAATACAAAAATTAGCTGGGCGTGGTGGTGCATGCCTGTAGTCCCAGCTACTCGGGAGGCTGTGGCAGGAGGATGGCTTGAGTCCAGGAGGTCAAGGCTTCAGTGAGCTAGAATCGTGCCACTGCACTCCAGCCTGGGCAACAGAGCGAGACCCCATCTCAGAAAAAAACAAAACAACAACAAAAAAACATAAGCCTCTGGGACCAGCTGGCTGACACAGTGCTTCACTTAACAGAGTCCTGGAGTCCCAGGTACCAGAATTTGCGGGGACAAAGCCAGTGATCCGTGGAGATGGGGCTGGAGACCGTCTCGGGGTCTGCAAGCTGGCCATCACAACCCTGGGGTCGGCCTGGCCACTCTTGACACATACTTAGGGAGACTTATTCTAGAAGGTCAGAGGGAAGGTGCCCCAACCATGGACAGGATGTCTGACTCTAGCCTGGAATGAGGTCGCCAGGGCACTGCACCCAGAGTGCCTACGTGGGGCCCTGCCCTGGGAAGGCCGCAGGGTGAGCATGTTTGGGGGTACGGACCCCCAGGGCCTCCCCTCCTGGGATGCTCACTTCTTGGAGCCGGTCTGAGTGCCCTGGGCAGCGCAGCTGTAGTTCCCGATGTCCTTTCCAAAGCGCACAGCCATGGTTGTGTCACAATCATCCACTGTCACCACGGCCATCTTTTCCCCGGACGGCCCATGGGGCAGGCCCAGGTGGCCAATATTGGGCTGTAAGAAGAGAAAGCACAGAAGGTGTCAGCGTTTTCTCCACCAGTGCCCTCAGCAGGCGCACCTGTCACTCATAGAGCGAGGAGGACATGGCACAGGGTGGGCGGCACGTAGACAAGGGATGAGGAGCCCCCGGCCTTTAGTTCCCCAAACTAGCTGTGCTGGGCTGCTCAATGCCCCCTCAAGTTCTGCTTCCCAGAATCTCAGAACGTGGCCTGGTCTGGACAAAGAGCTGGTGCTGATGGAATTAGCTAAGATGCGGACGTCCTGGAGTAGGCGGGCCCTGATCCAAGATGACTGGTGTCCTCTTAAGAGGACAGATGCTGAGATGCAAAGGCACACAGGGAGAAGCTGCGTGACCGCGGAGGCAGCTGCTGGAGCAGCTGTTTACAAGCCAAGGGCCACCTGGGCCACCGACAGCTAGGAAAAGGCAGGAAGGGTCCTCCCCTTCAGCCTTCGGAGGAGGCACGGCCCTACCCGCGCCTTGACTTCTAGGCACCAGACTGAGAGAGAATCATGTCTGTTGTTTGAGCCACCCTGTCCGTGGTACTTTGTGATGGTGGCCCCAGGAAATGAAGTTGCAGCCAACACCCAAGTCCTGGGGCCCCTCCTGTGAACACCCGCTTCTGCTCTTCTGGGGGTGTCCTCCTGACCACGGCACCTGGCCAGGTTCGTGCTCCTGGAGTACAGACACCAGGAGGCCACTGCCCGGCCTGCAGACGGCCCCACATCTCCCCTCTAAGGCGTGGAACTCCCTCTCTGGGCCAGGATTGGGTACAAGAGTTCTTCTGGAATCAGTGACCTTGGGTGAAACCTTTCCCTTCTCCAAGAGACTGTGGTTTGCCATCCGGGGACGAGCCCACTTTCCCCAGACAGCCCTCGCAGGTCTCAGCTCCTGGTCAGTCCCTCCCAGGACACGAAGCATATCCACCCAGCCAGCCTCAGACGCCCTTCCAGGAGGAAAAGCAGCACCCGCCCTACACAATCCATGCTGGCCACGGAACTTAAGCATGTGGGTCTCAAAGTTCCAGAAACACAGTTGGTGCCAGCTCCAACCGGGACAGGCAACAGAATGTCTTTCATCTGCACAACCTGGATAACAAGACCTACATCCCACAGGTGGCCGTGACGATGAGCCAGGAGATCGCCAGGCAAGTGCCACCATGCCCCACAATTGGCACACAATGCGCAGCAGAGCCTCCCCCTCCACCCCAGAGAGAACCTTTTCTTCCAGTCCCAGCAGGGTCCCTCCCACCACCCCTATAAAGGATGGGTTCGATGCCTCCTCCTGATAGTTCTGGGGTCAGTTTGAGTTTATAGCATGATACAATCTCATGCTTCTTTATAAAACGTGGAAATAGATCGTTGTAAAAACGTAGAATTTAATTAAATCATCCTCAGTGCCTTTTAATAGGAAAATAACAACCACATAGTTCATTCAAAAATAAATCTTCAGTTTTTAATAGGAACAAAGTATCTATTTTGATCAGGGAAACGAGGCTGAAAAGCAGGACACACAACTGGAAACAGGAGCTCAGCCAGATGGCCAAGTTGCATGACTTCTGGGGACCCTGGACACCCAGGCAGCACGCCCTGCCTGGAGTTGTGCAGTGGGCAGCCTGCACAACTGTATGTGGCCACCCCAGCTGAGGCTTCTCCTCCCTCTTATCCAATCATCTAACGTGAGTGAGACCCATGACTGTACCTCAATTTCTTTTTGTGCAAGATAACGATTTACTATTAGAACACACGTCCTCTCTGTGTTACAGGGAATTGAGGATGATATCAACAGAGATACGTGAGTTTCCCACACGCCCTTGTCTGTAAATCCAAGGGAGGCTTCTACCATGACCCCTGGTATTCGAATGCATGGATCACCTTTTTCATTTTTCTTTTACATCAGCTGATGAAATCACAAGGTCTGATAAGCTGTCTCCTTAAAGACTCCACTTTTGGTTAAGCAACAGGTAGGCGAGTGCATTAAAAATCATCTGTTTTCTCGCTGTGTAACGCGGCCCACTTTGGAAAACGCGTGGAAGTGCCCATTATGGGACGCTTAAATGTGAGATGCGATCCCAGGGAAAGGAGAACCTCCCCTCACTTTGTGAGCCCCACCTTATCTTTACAACTTATAATTTACATTTTTGGGGCTGGGCGTGAGACTACTGGAGGAAGGGCGTAAGTAGCATTTACACTGGGAAGGCTTTCATGACATTAAGCTACTGTTTACAAAACTGCAGTTGCTGTAAACTGCTGCTGGTAATCAATGGCTCAGAGCTACGGATTCAAGCAAAAAACAGCAGGATAAAGAAAGCTGGAGGCAAAAGACAAAGCCAATGCAATCCACGCTTGTTTTTCGAGTGGCACTGACTCATGTGAGACACCCACTGCTAGGACACCTGACTTCAGTCTGGCCTTCGTGAATCAGAGCAGCAGGCACAGGGCGTTTAGGAAACGGTCTCTGATAGACAGCGCCCAGGATGTGCTGCTCGATTCTGACTCCCAGAGACACCCACCGGCGGCCACTGGGTCAAAAGTAACAGCACTTTTGGCGAAAGAGCCGAATGTTCTCAGGTGGAGAGCTGGAAGAACCAGCAGGAGGGCTGCACAGAGGAGCGGGGGGATCTGTGGGGTCTGAGGTCCCTGCTGCTCGGAGGAGAAATCACAGCATCCCGATGGCCCATCCCTCTCCTGTCACCCCTGAATAGGTGCTGAGTGAGGCTCTGGTTTAAAATGCCCGCCTCTCGGCGAGTGTGGGTTTAACGCGCAGGCTAACCGTCCACTCTCCCGCCTCTCGGCGAGTGTGGGTTAAACACGCAGGCTAACCGTCCACTCTCCCGCCTCTCGGCGAGTGTGGGTTTAACGCGCAGGCTAACCGTCCACTCTGCAGTTGAGGCCAGCAAGTGTCACGGAGGCAGGGAGTGCATGGACACGGTGCTGTGGGTGACCTGAGACGCACAGACGGGGGTCCCCAAAGCATTAAACGCAGAACTACTACATGACCCAGCACCACCAGCCCCAGGCGTGTACCCAAAAGAACTGAAAACAGGAACTCAAAAACCAGTTCATGAGTGTTGACGGCGTTGCTATTTACAACTCACAAGAAGTGGAAACCACCTAAATGTCCATCAGTAGATGAGTGGGCAAACTGTGGCCCATCCCTGCACCGGAATCGCAGCCACCGAAAGGCACGAAGCGCTGACACACAACGGTGCGGGGGTCCCGGAACACATCGCGCTCAGTGAAAGCAGCCAGACACGAAAGGCCATGCACCGCGTGACTCCATTCCTACACAATGTCCAGGACAGGCACATCCACAGACACAGAGCAGACAGATGTTGCCAGGAGCTCAGGGAGGAGGATGGGGGGTGACTGCTAATGGTATGGGGTGATGAAAATACTTCTTTTGAGATGGAATCTCGCTCTGTCACCCAGGCTGGAGTGCCGTGGCATGATCTCGGCTCACTGCAACCTCCGCCTCCCAGGTTCAAGCGATTCTCCTGCCTCAGCCTCCCAAGTAGCTGGGACTACAGGTGCCCATCACCACACCTGGCTAATTTTTGTATTTTTAGTAGAGATGGGGTTTCACCATGATGGCCAGGCTGGTCTCGAACTCCTGACCTCAAGTGATCCACCTGCCTCGGCCTCCCGAAGTGCTGGGATTACAGGCATGAGCCACCGTACCATCCAGCCTGGGTGATGAAAATATTTTATTATTTTTTAAAAAGTTACTATTGGTTAACTGATGGCATGAAAACATTTTAGATCTCAATAGAAGTGGTGTGGTACAATACTCTGAATATACTAGAAGCCCCTTTAAAGCTTAATTTTATGCTATGTGAACTTCACCTCAATAAGGAAAAAATTAAAAAAAAAAAAAGATTCCTGGGTGGGCATCCCCCCTCACCAGCCCCCTGCCACTCTCCACCTGAAGAACTTTCGGGAAGATCCTTCCAATTTTTCCCTGACATGGAGAGAAAATGCATTATTTGGCCTTCCTGCCAGGTGGCTATGAGTGATAAAACGCAGTCAGAGAGGTGAACATTCTCCAGGAGGGGTCGAGAGGCGCATGGACAATTACACAGGCGGCTTGAATAGGGATAAGTGAAAACAGCAGCAGATGTGTGTGATCTGGGCTCAGATCATCCATTTTTGTCAAAGGAAGACAAAGTGCGTCTCCGCTGAAAGGCCGGCGTGGAGCACGAGGCGGCGGCAGAGAAAAGACTACGTGGTGGTAACAGCTCCCGACTGTGGGGTGGCGTGTCCGCCTCTGAGTTTTCCAGCCAGGAAAAGCACTTGGTGGCTTGGCTGGGTCACAGCTGACGATGAATGGTACAGGTTGCAGAGGGGGGCGGATAAGGAATGAGACAGACGAACCGCCTCCTCACATTTCTAAGAGGAATTTTTAAAGTTTGCCACATATTTATACAAAAGAAAAAGACAGCGTGGGAATGAAGGGGGCCACAGGGTTGTGTCTGAGTTTTTTCTCAATTCTTGTGTTGGAAAGCGCCGGGCACAGGATGGGCCAAGGCCAGCACGGTGGAGGCCCCAGCGCCCCGGCACCTGCCCTTCCAGGGCTCAGCTGGGTACTGCGCAGCAGCCGGCCAGGCCCAGAGGACCCCCCCCAACCCCTGCACCAACACCCCTTGCAGGAAAGGCAATTCCCAGGCCTCGCTTCCAGGACATAAAGCTCAGTAGCTGGACCTGGTCACTCAGGCCGAGCAAGGCAGGCAGCGCACACAGTGACTGGAGACAGCAGGGGCTGCCCACGGTACCTCTACACCCCTCGGCGGGCAACCCTGGCCAGCACAGGCTCCCTGGGGCAGGCGGAAACAGAGCCAGCAAGGAAAAGCCACATGCTCACTCCTGCAGCCACCTGAGAAAAAACCTACAGTGCCGCTGAGCACTGCAAGGAGTGGCCCAGAAGCGCTAAGCTGTGCAGATCCGGAATCCTGCTCCAGGAGTCATCCCCGGGGTCCAGCCTCTTCTTATTTTCCTTCGAGGTATTTTCTTCCCTGCGTGCAGGCCCTCCTCCTTGGCTTCCACTCAGCCGCTCTACGCAGTGCTGGGAGTTTCTGTGTGCGCACAAAAGCATTTGGTCCTTACGAAGTGCTCACATTTCTCCAGCCTTTTAACCTGCTGCAGACGATTCTGCATTGGGAGGCCGGTGGGGGTACGGTTTCAATGCTGGGGAAGGTAGCAGGGGAAGGCGGTGTGGGGGGGTGGGAGGGGCACGTCTTAGGAAATGAATGAATTCATGCTCTGTGTCAGAAATGATTAACCAACGTTCATATCAAAGAATTCACAGATGGCTGGACCTCAGGAATGTCTGTACAGAGTCAAACTGCAGCGCTGAACGTTCCATGCTGTCATTTCTCAAGATGACAAAGTTCAGGCCTGTCTGGCCGACAAATGCCCCAGGAAATGTGGGCAAGACCCCGTGCCAGTTCTGGCATGGAGACGACAAGCTCTCCCTCGGAGGCAGCCACTGCAGTTCTCCGAAGCTGCTTGGGAAAGTGGTGGGAAGGGTCACGAGGAGCAAATTCACGCAGATGCACGCAGCCTTCCAGAATTCAAACTGGCCTCCCAGGAGCCTCGGACAGGACTTTGCCAGAATGCAAACCTCAGACCGAGCTGCTACTTCCTGGTGGTCCCAATACCCCTAGGCAGGTAACAGGACCCTGTTCCGCCAGGTAGCCACCCTCTACACAGGGGCTGCCGGCTGCTTTTGATGACCTGGCTCGAAGGGTGCGGTATTCCCCCAGGGCTGTCAGCAGCAAACCGTCTGGAAGCCCAACTGAGCCACTGGGCCACCGGGTGGGGAGGGCAGCTCCACACTATCCCAGGTTGTAAGGGGAACTCAAGTTCCTCTGCCCAACTCTGGCTGAGGGGGACAGGTGCTCCTGAATCCCTCACCTGCCAGGGACCTGGGGCAGAAGACATACTCTATGAGCCTAGGCAGACTCTTCTAGAAAGGGGGTAAGTGCATAGCTGCTATCTCTAGGGCTGTTTGGGAATGAAATGAAAGGACGGATCTGAAACTGTGCAGTGTCTGAGCTGGCGTGGCTGATATTACTATCATCCTCATTCTCAACTCAGAGTCCAGCTGGGCGGGCCCAAGGCCGGCGGGGGGCTCACAGGACAGCAGTGTCCACAGCATCCAATGGACATCACCTCCTTAAAGCCAAGGGTCCATATCCTGCCCCTACTTGGGAAAGTCACATGACTTCCCTGCATGCCAGGACTTGGCTGTACAACTGGGGGTAAAAATAGCATCTTCCTCGTGGGACGACATGAATGACATGTGTGAAGTGCTTGCAGCCATGCCTGCTATTGTTACTTCTTGAAAAGATGTGAAGAAAAGCAAAATAACATGCAAGTGGTTTTCTCAAGTTTTGCTGTTTTAATACTTCCCTATATTAAAATAACATAATACAGGGGCTGAACGCAGTGGCTCACGCCTGTAATCCCAGCACTTTGGGAGGCCGAGGTGGGCGGATCACTTGCAGTCAGGAGTTTGCGACCAGCCTGGCCAACAAGGTGAAACCCCATCTCTACTGAAAAAATACAAAAAAAATTAGCCAGGCATGGTGGTGGGGGCCTGTAATCCCAGCTACTTGGGTGGCTGAGGTGGAAAATCGCTTGAACCCGGGAGACGGAGGTTGCAGTGGGCCGAGATTGTACAACTACACTCCAGCCTGGGCGACAGAGCAAGATTCCGCCTCAGAATAAATAAATAAATAAATTAAAATAAAATATAACATAAAATCATAAAGTTGATTTTTACATCTTTAAAGAAAAAAGCAGCAAGTAAGCAACTCGTGCAATTAGCCTCTCCGCTGAACCCGCAGGCTCTTCTCCAGGAGCTAAGACGCAAAGCCACCTGCAGCTTGGAGTTCGGGCACTGGCCCGCCATTTCCTCCATTTATTCAACTATCCAAGAAAGTAATGCACGGTGCTATTAGGCTTATTGTGGGAGCATTAGAAAAGTTTTCAACAAAGGTCAGAACCAACCGGTCACCTAGAGATTCTTAAAGAAATCACACAAAGCCTTTTATTTCTCAGGCAAGGGGGTCTAACCCGTTTCCCCGATGATTCTGGCCAAAGACAAAAGTGAGGAGCTCTGTGCTTTCCTGATGGACGTATACAGTACATTTGGAAACACAAGAACCGTGGGTCCGGAGGCAGGAGTCCCCTGGGCATGCGTGTTCAGCACTGGACGGAGATAAGCTCCTCCTACAGAGCTCCATGATCCCCGTGGTAGTTAATTTTGTTCTGGAAATGATCCAGCAGGGCACCGTGCCAGCCCCCACTGAGCCAGACCCTGGACCAAAGCCCCCAGTTCCATGGGAGGAAGCCAGGGCCATCTCAGCCCTGCTCCTTTGGGGCTCAGCCATCGGGACCAGGTCACCTCTGCGGCCAGGCTACTCCCCCAGGTGTTTTGGGAGCCTGGGAATTATATGGGGATTTGCTCAGAGGGGGGTCTTCTTGCCAATGACAAATGAAGGGCCAAAATGCAGTGAGATACAGCGCCTTCTTGGAAAGCAACACGTTCCTTCTCTTGGGGATTTTATAGGCAAAAAGTTGCTTGGTACAACCTGAGGGACCCTCCTCAAGCACTCAACAAGAAGCTCACTCATGTTCCTCTATGGGTGGGAGGCATCTCAATCCTAATGCTACTCCCAGCTAGAGAAATCCTGACAAGCGGGACAAGGAGGAACGCACACTTCCGAGCTGCAGCCTCCCGGGGCCTGCCTCCTCCACACGGGCACCGGGACAGAGTGCCTGGGATGGGGCCTCTGAGCTCAGCCCCCACAACACAGTAGCCTGAGTGTCCCGGGAAAAACAGGAGAAAACTTCAGGAAGGATGGCAGGTGGGCTACAGTTCCCTCGAAAATGACTTTTCTGAGCAAGCAAAAAAGCTTACCAAAAATGTGTACACTCGCCCACTCACACTCACGTGTGTACACTCACCCACACTCGTGCATACTCAAACCCACACGTGCACACTCACCACTCACACTCAAATGCGCCCTCACCCATGCACATGCACTCATACTCGTGCACATTTACCCACGCTCACGTGCATACCCGCATTCACACCCACATGTGCACTCCCACACGTGCCTTCTCACATTCATGTGCATTTATTCATACGCTCACACGTACACTTACCCAAACTCATGCACACTCACCCACGCACACGTGCACTCACCCTTATGTACACTCACCCACAATCATGTGCATACTCAAAACCCACGTGCACTTACCGACACTCACACTCAAATGTGCACTCACCCACACGTGCGCTCATACTCACATGTGCACACCTACCCACACTCGTGCATACTCATCCACATTCACACTCACATATACACTCACCCACTCAAATGTGCCCTCACCCACACGTGCACTCATTCATACTCACATGTGCACACCTACCCACACTCGTACATACCCACATTCACACCCACATATGCTCACCCACACTCAAATGCACTCGCCCACACACGTGCACTCATATATGCACACTCAGCCACTCATGTGCACTCACGTATGCACTCACCCACTCGTGCACTCATGTGCACATTTACCCACATGTGCATGCTCACCCACTCAAATGTGCACTCACCCACACATTTACACGTGTGCTTCTTCACACACGTGCACACACCCACACACATGCATACTCACCCAGGTGCACTCACCCACTCACGTATGCACTCACACGTGTGCACACGTGGACACACCCACTCACATCATTCATACTTGCATGTGCACACACAGATATACTAGCACACACTTGTGTGCACACATGCTCACCCATACTCGTGCTCATGCTTGCACAATATACTCACCTGTACACACTCACCTTGCACACAGTCTTGCACACTAACACATGCTCATACAAAGTCATGGCCTGCTCCTGTAAAGACCTAATAGTCCCCTCTCTGTCCTCGATCTGGGCCCGCGGGACCCCCTTCCTTAGTCCCCCTGCCTCTTCTTGCCCTGATGACCTTTCTGACCAGCCTCCCTCCCTCCTGGCCTGCATCCCACTAAGGGGTGACATGCTCAGTATCTGTGTGATAAGGTGAAGGTGGGGAGAGGGCTGAATTGGGGGACAGAGCATGGAAGCGCCTGGATAAGACAGGGAGAAGGTGGGGGCCGGGGATGGTCACGGCAGGAAAACGCGACAGCCCTCGGATGGCACGTCCCAGAGCAGCGGATACACGGGTGGGTGAGAGATGCTGGGTCCATGGCTCCGCCTAAACCCGGCCCTCCCATCATCTACTCTGTGCTTCAGTTTCCTCATCTGTGAAACAGCAACAGCACCTCCTCCTCCAGGAGCTAACATGAGGATCACGTGGGGGACACACATGAGCCTGGCACAAGACAGGACATCAGCCAGTACACTTCAGCCACCACCACCCTCCCTGCCGAGGTGCTGGGGGGGTAGAGGCGGGAAAGGCCAGGAGCCCAGAGAGGGGAGGGAGGCAGCCGTGGCACAGTGCATCTCAGAGCCCCAGCAGTGAGGGGTTGGGTGGGGTGGGAAGGATGGGGGTGAGACAGAGGCTGCTGGAGGACAGTGGCTATGATGCCAGACAGGAAGCAACCTCAGCCGGGCGTGAAACTGAGGGCTGCTCCAGCCCTGGGGCGACTTTCCATAACAGGGTTCTGTAACACAAAGGCCCAGGGTGGGGCGGCGCTTGCCTCCGAGAATCACCACGTTTCCATAGCAGGTGACTTTCTACCACCTGACCAGGCCTGTGTTTGGGAACGGAAACCAAGTGACTTATCTGTCACATCACATAGCAGCATCGGGGCAGCCCCCACCTGCCACAGCGCCTGCAAGCAGGGCCCTGCACCACCTTTCTGGCAGAGCTCGCTAGCCACCTGAAGACCCCTCTATCGGCTTCTATGCCCCCATCACTTGGGCTCAAGGAGGCAGGAACATCCTGAGTCCGAGATGCAGGGTAAGTAAAGGCAGTGGCCGCCGACTTCACCAACTGATGGGAGCACGTGCAGACTGCCTTAGCAGAGGCCCCACTAGTGGATTTGACAGAACACCTGCTGGGGCTGGAGAAGCCAGGGAAGCTCACGAAGGGCGTGACCTTTCACGCAGCCACGGAACACCTGGGGAGCATCCCCATCCCCTCCTCTTAAACACGGAACTTCCTATGAGACAGAATCAAAGCCAACAAGGCCCTGAGGGCAAAATTACCAGCCTGCATGGCCACCTCCTTTATCATAAGGATTTTACATACTTTGCAAGGCTTAATTAACTTTGTAAAAGTTTAGCTTCTTTATCTTACATATTCTGTATATCCAATTATCTTTTTGTTTATTTTTTTTGTTTTATTTTTGAGACAGAGTCTCACTCTGTCGCCCAGGCTAGAGTGCAGTGGCACGGTCTTGGCTCACTGCAACCTCTACCTCCCAGGTTCAAGAGATTCTCCTGCCTCAGCCTCCCGAGTAGCTGAGATTATGGGCACCTGCCACCACGCCCGGCTAATTTTTTTGTATTTTTAGTAGAGATGGGGTTTTGCCAGGTTGGCCAGGCTGGTTTTGAACTCCTGACTTCAAGTGATCTGCCTGCCTCGGCCTCCCAAAGTGCTAGGATTACAGGCGTGAGCCACCGTGCCTGGCCCTCAAATGATTTTTTTAAACAGAATATTTAAAAGAAAAAACCAGGGCCGGGCGCAGTGGCTCACACCTGTAATCGCAGCACTTTGGGAGGCCAAGGGGGGGCGGATCACGAGGTCAGGTGACTGAGACCATCCTGGCCAACACGGTGAAACCCCGTCTCTACTAAAAAAAAATAATAATAATAAAAAATAAATAAATAAATAAATAAAAATTAGCCGGGCATGGTGGTGGGCGCCTGTAGTCCCAGCTACTCAGGAGACTGAGGCAGGAGAATGGTGTGAACCCAGGAGGTGGAGCTTGCAGTGAGCTGAGATCACGCCACTGCACTCCAGCCTGGGCGACAGAGCGAGACTCCATCTCAAAAAAAAAAAAAATGGCTCATAGTCCCATGACCCAGATAACTGCTATATTGTTTTTTTAAATACAAAGAACTCAAGTGCATGTAAGAAGGCACAGAAGGGCATAAAAGGAACACGAAATCCACCTCACTTTGCATTCTTCTTCCCATTGGTATCCACCTTTGCTATAAGGGCCACGATGATGCCTCCTGCACTGTACGTCTGGCCTCTGCAATGCCACCTCCTGGCTCTTGCCACCAATGGTCCATGTCTCTACCTAGAGGCTGGGCTTGGCCACATGACCTGGGCAACAGGACATCAGGGCACAAGGACACGAGATAAGGCCTGGAAAGCACCGTGCACTGGGACTCGCCCTCTCTGGCTGCTAGGAACCCCCTGCCACCAAGTGAACGGCCAGGGTGGCCTGCTGGAAGATGAGAGGCCCCAGCTGCCATGGCTAACGGCCAGGTCATATGAGTGAGGCCTTCACACAGCCCTGGCTGAATCGCATAGACCAGAAGAACCAGCAGCCAAACCACTGCATCACCAGGAATAATAAATATCTGATCAAGACTCCATGCTGGCCAGGCGCGGTGGCTCACGCCTGTAATCCCAGCACTTTGGGAGGCCGAGGGGGGCAGATCACCTGAGGTCAGGAGTTCAAGACCAGCCTCAACATGGAGAAACCCCGTCTCTACTAAAAATACAAAATTAGCCGGGCGTGGTGGTGCAGGCCTGTAATCCCACCTACTCGGGAGGCTGAGGCAGGAGAATTGCTTGAACCTGGGAGGCAGAGGTTGCGGTGAGCCGAGATCGCGCCTTTACACTCCAGCCTGGGCAACAGGAGCGAAACTTCGTCTCAGAAAAAAAAAAAAAAAAAGACTCCATGCTTTAGGCAGTTTATGACCTTGAAAAAGCTATCCGATGAGCACTATTAACAAGTATGGGCCGGGTGCGGTGGCTCACGCCTATAATCCAGCACTTTGGGAGGCTGAGGCAGTTGGATCACCTGAGGTCAGGAGTTCGAGACCAGCCTGGCCAACATGGTGAAATCCCATCTCTACTAAAAATACCAAAATTAGCCAGGCGTGGTGGTGGTGCGCACCTGTAATCCCAGCTACTTGGGAGGCTGAGGGCAGGAGAATGGCTTGAACTCAGGAGGCGGAGGTTGCAGTGAGCCGAGATTGTGCCAGCCTGGGTGACAGAGTGAGACTGCATCTCAAAACAAACAAAGAAAAAAAACACAAGTTTGTTGTTTTGGAGAGCATAGGGTTATCCTTCAGAAAAACATATGTATATACCAGCAAACATTGTAAATCTTAAAAAAAAATTTTTTTTTAAGACAAGAGTCTCACTCTTTCGCCCAGGTTGGAGTGCAGTGGTACAATCATGGCTTACAACAGCCTCGACCTTCCAGGCCCAAGTAATCCTCCCACCTCAGCCTCCCAAGCAGCTGGGACCATAGGCACATGCACCACACACCCGGCTAATTTTTTTTTTTTTACTTTGTATTTTGAAGAGATGTATTCTCCCTATGTTGCCCAGGCTGATCTTGAACTCCTGGGCTCAAGCAATCCTCCCACCTTAGCCTCCCAAAGTGCTGGGGTTACAGGCGTGAGCCACCACACCTGGCCTGAAAGTTATTTTGATGAAACTTTCTATTTTGAGACAATTTTAGAGGTACATGCAATTGTAAAACAATAATACAGAGATATCCCATGTACCCCTTACAGTTTCCATCCATGGAAACACCCTGCAAAAAGATAGTATAATATCAAACCCAGGTACAAACACTGACACAGTCCAGACAGAACGTTCCATCACTACAAGGACCCTGCCTGTGTCCTATCACAGCCACACCCACTTCCCTCCTGTCCCCAGCCCAATCCCAGGCAACCACTACTCTGTTTTCCATTGTTATTCTGTCGTATTAAGAATGTCATAAATGCCAGGTGCAGTGGCTTATGCCTGTAATCCCAACACTTTGGAAGCACGAGATGGGTGGATTACTTGAGGTCAGGAGTTCAAAACCAGCCTGACCAACATGGTGAAACCCCTTCTCTACTAAAAATACAAAATTAGCCGAGCATGGTGGTGTGTGCCTGCAATCTCAGCTACTTGGGAGCCGAGGCAGGAGAATCACTTGAACCCAGGATGTGGAGGTTGCAGTGAGCTGAGATCGTGCCACTGCACTCCAGCCTGGGATACAAGGCAAAACTCTGTCTGAAAAGCAAACAAACAAAAAAACACAATGTCATACAAACGGAATCACATAGTATGGTCCTTTTGGGGGTTGCCTTTTCCCACTCAGCAGAGTGAGAAGTTGTTTGGTGCTAAGAAGTATTCCCTGTTCCATGGTACGGACATACCAGTTTGTTTAACCATTCACCCAGTGACGGCCATCTGGGCTGTCTCCCATTTGGGGATATTATGAAAAGCTGCTGTACCACTTGTGTGCAGGTTTCTGTGTCAACATGAATCACATCTATATTCATGAGGAACAGTGGTCTGTGGTTTTGTTTAGTCTGTCTTCATCTGGTATTGGAATGAGGGTAATGCTTCATGAACTGAACTGGGAAGTGCTCTCTATTTTCTGGAAGAGATGTTGCAGAATTGATGTAATTCTTTAAATATTTGTTAGAATTCTCTTGTGAAGCCATCTGGGCCCGGAGATTTCCTTTTTGGGAATGTTAAACTACAAATTCTATTTCCTCAATAGTGTATACAGCCATTCAAAGGACTGACTTCATCTTGGGTGAGTTGTAGTAGTTTGTGTTTTTTGAGGAGTTGGTCCGTGCATCTGGGTTTTAAATGTACACATGTAGAGTTCTTTTTATTAATTATTCCCTTATTACCCTTTTTAACATCTACAAAGCCTATTTTATTCCTGATATTGGCAATTTGTCTTCTCTTTTCCTTATCAGTCACGCTAGAAGTTTTCCCCCGCTTTGAAAAGATTTTGTTAATCTTAAAGAATCGGCTCTTTGTTTCATTGATTTTCTCTATTGTTTTGCTGTTTCAATTTCACTGACTGCTGCTCTTATCTTTATTATTTCCTTCTTTCTGCTGGCTTTGGGTTTATTTTGTTCTTATTCTAGGTTCTTGAAGCAGAAGCTCAGATTATTGATTTGAAACATCCCCCTTTTCTAATGTAAGTATTTAGTGCTATACATTTCCCTCTCAGCACTGCTTTAGCTGCAGCCCACAGCTTTTGTTATTTTGGATTTTTATTCCCTTTAAATTTGTTTTAAAAACCTTCCTTCTTCCCTTCCTCCCTTCTTTTTTGAATAATGAAATATTTCAGTCACGTCTCTATGCAGACCCATCTCCAACTGCTGGAGTCGGCTAGTACCATCAGGGCTGAGTGAGGCAGAGCAGCAAGGCTGGGGAGGGCGCAGCCGGGGAGGGGGCTGAGTGAAGCTGCAGCCTGGTGAGGTTGGAAGGTTGTTTAGATAATGGAAGGTTGAGAAAAATCACTAACTATACTGAGGAAAATGAGAACAAGGTTTCTAACTGGTAAAGAGTTACACATATAGAAGAGGAAAAACAACAAGAATGACCTCTAACTCTGCTTGGGTTGCTGTAACAGAGGCTGAGCGCCTTGTAAACAACATGCATCTGTTTCTCACAGTTCTGGAGGCTGCGAGTCCAAAATCAAGGTGCTGGTAGATTGAACGTCTGGCAAGGGTTCGCCACCCGGTTCCTAGACCACACCTTCTTACCACATCCTCACATGACAGAAGGGGTGAGGGGCGGTCTTGGGGCTCTTTTATAAGGACATTCATTCCACTCGCGGGAGACCCTGATCACCTCCCAAAGGCTGCACTTCCTAATACTATCACCTTGGGGGTGAGGATTTCAATATAGCAATTTGGGGGTGCTATGGTCTGAAGTGTCCCCCAAAGTTCACGTGTTGAAACTTCATGGCCAATGGGATGGTTTCAAGAGATGGGCCCTTTAGGAGGTGGTAAAGTCATGAGGGTGAGCCCCTCAAGAATGGGATAAGGGCCTCAATAAAAGGGCCCATGGGAGTGGGTCCACTGTCTTGCATTCTTCCGCCATGTGAGGACCCCAGACGCTGCCATTTATGAGGAATGGGCCTTCGCCAGGCCCCAAACCTGCAGGTGCTCAGGCTTCCAGCCTCCAGGACTCAGAGAAATCAATCTCTGTGGTTTGTAAGTACCCAGCCTTGTGTGTTCTGTTACCAGGCAGCACGAATGGGCTGGGACGGCATCAGGGGGATGTGAATGTGCAGAGCAGAGCAAACGCAGCAGTGCTCCAGTGAAGTTCATGGCTTCCAATAGGGAGTGATAGATAAATAGGAAAAAAAGATCAATATGAAGTGTGTGTGCATGTATATATGTACACACACACACACCTACACAGACGTCTATGTCCTAGCTCTGCCCAGTAAGAGAGACTGGGAGTGAGACACCCCAAAGCAATGAGCACACCAAGCACCCAGATCTGGATTTCTAAATGCCACCCTCCACTAAAAGAACCAGGCTCGGCCAGGTGCAGTGGCTTATGCCTGTAATCCTAACTGTTTGGGAGGCCAAGGCAGGGAGATCACCTGAGGTCAGGAGTTTGAAAACAACCTGGCCAACATGGTGAAACTCCAATCTCTACTAAAAGTACAAAAATTAACCGGGTGTGGTGGCGCGCACCTGTAAACCCAGCTACTCAGGAGGCTGAGGCAGGAGAATTGCTTGAACCTGGGAGGCAGAGGTTGCAGTGAGCCAAGACAGCAACAAAGGCGCCTGGGCGACAGAGCGGGACTCCATCTCAAAAATAAAATAAATAAAATACACCCTACAACTATGGCTTTTAAAATCTAGTAACAAGATCCTGGGAGCTCCTCCCCTCATCACCGCACAGAACCCCACCGCACTGTTGGCAATGGTTGTTGACGTTCCGCTGTCGGAGGACCTTATATTCTATTAAATACCTTCCAAGTTCGTTTCTGTAAGTTGGATTCTGTGCGTGTAATTGGCACTCAATTAACATGGAAGGGAGAGAAGGAGGGAGGGAAAGGGAAGGCTACGTGGCCTCACCCAGGGGACCACACAACTGTCTAACCACGGCAGATCTGTAGAGCCCAGAAAGGGTCCCATCAAAAAACCTCACCCTGACCCAAGTGTCTGGGTGGAAGTCCTCGAGTTTTTAGAACATGTGCAGAAACGGAGAAGCTCCCCCGACCCCAGGGGTGCTCCGGGGGTACATCTCCCACTCTCCTTGGGACTCTGGGGTTTAATGTGCAGCACAGACCCAAGAGGTTTTGAATGACCTGACAAGCAACAGGTGAGCAATCCCTAATGACAGCAGGACCTAGCGGTCATCTCAAGGTCATGGAAATCTCAAAGCACTTACATCCTCTGCTCAACAGAAGCAGAGGCCGGTCCTCCGGTTTGTTGCAACCGGGCCTCATGCTGTCTTTATAAAAGCACTTTCCGCAGCATGCCAAAGACAGCCCCGCGCCATCTCAGAATCACCAGAACCAGAGGAAGCCAAATTGCCGAGGCAGAGTCCCAAGGACTCCAGCAGCCAGCTCAGGCATGGGGCTTCATTGCGTGTGGTCTAGCCACCCGTGGCCAGCATGGCGATCGCGACCAGCACAGCATCGTCCCCGGCCAGGTGACGGATGCCGAGTGCCCCTTGGAGACCACCTGCTGCCCACGTAGAGGCTGCTGCCTCAAGCTCCGGCCCAGGGTCTCGCATCTCCACCTGAAGCTACCAGGACTCCCGCTAGCTGAGCTCCCGTCTCACTAGCCCAGTGGTTCTCATCCAGGGCATGACCTCAGGGGCCTGACAATGATGAAGACCTCTTGGTTGTCAAAACCGGGTTAGGGGAACAGCTGGAGTCTAGTGACCAGAGGTCAGGAATGCTGCCCAGAACAGGCCTCACAATGAAGGGTCATCGTCCCCAAGGGGCGGCAGTGCCCAGGTGGGAAATCCTGACGCGGCTGCTCACCGCCTCCCACATCTGCTTCATGCGGGATCTCCCAGCAGCTCTGGGCCTCCTGGCGCTCCACCTCACTGCCTCACTGCACAGCTCACTCACGGGTCCCCAGCGGGCCACACTGCCTGGTGTCCATGTCAGGCACTACCTCCCCTGCATGTCCCTGCCTCCCCAGCTGGCCAGGAGACTGTGCTCCAGGCTCTGGGCAGGCTCAGCTGGCTTTAGAAGATGCCCAGGTCAGGTGGACACGAGCCACCCTTGCTTCCCCAGGGCCCCGTTAAACATCTTGCTGGCACGTCTGTGTCCCCGACCCTGCCAGGAGCTCCTGGAACAAGGTGGGGTCTAAACGTGATCCCCGCAGGCAGCCTCAGGGAAGCACAGTAAGGGAATGACCCGCTCAGTGCAGCCCCGAGGATCCCCATCCTTCCAGACGGCCCCTCCCTAGCACTGTCTCCGTGGGGAATAAGCTTCTCCCCACACTTCCCAAACACCCAGGATGCCGAGGGCGATGGAGGAGCAGCAAACACTTAAGCATAATGAGGGCAAAACCGATTCTCAAGTGGGGAGAACGTTTTCCGTCAGGCATGTCCACCCTTTTGAAGTTGTGGACACACCTTCAAACCAGCCTTGAGGGAAAAAACAAACAAACAAACAAACAAAAAACCAGCCTGGGGTGAAGCAACGACTGAAAATGCTCCACTCGGCCCCAAACCTCCCGGCGTGGCTGTGGGCGTGGGGGCTGTGTTGTTCATCTGTGCTTGGCGGAGCGCCACACAAATGTACAAGTGCCTGCCTTTGAAAAGACCGTCCTGGAAAAACGTCCGACTCCAATGTACCCTTTGGTTTTGCTGAAGGTGAATTAGACCAATAAACCTTCTCGTCTAAAATGTCATCAGGCAGAAAGGAAAAATAAACAGACTCTGCCTGCTCCCTGCCTGGGAGGGTTCCCTACCCCATGGCTTCTGGTGGCTTTGGCCAGTGGGGAGCCAGACGGGAGGATAGAGTGAGGGAGGGGAGGGGTGTCAGGAGGGTCCCTGGTTAGCTGTGCCCCTCCTGGGTGGTCCGCAGCCCTCTCCTGTGGCTTCTGACCATGACCCCTTCTTTCTGGGCTCCAATCTGCCCTTTCCCTTGATGCTCTAGGACTAAGGGCCATCGCAGCTCCGCTGGCACTGCCTCCAGCCCTGGGTCCCACACCGCCTCTCATGGATGCCCCATGCCCTGCCCAGCCCTTTGTAAATAACCCTTCCAGGGCTGGTCCCACTGGAGCACCCCATCTGCTTCCTGTGGGGACCCTGACTGCTCCACCAGCCTGGCAGCTCCCAGGCCCTGTACACTGGTGGGTGGGGGAAGGGTCCCCGCAGGTTGCACGTGGAGGCAGTGCAGGAGGCCACTCTGACAGGCAACACCCGGGAGATCATGCTCAGATCTAAAATGCAGGTGGCCCACACCTCAGAGACACAGCCACTCTGGAGGGCGGGGGACAGAGAACGAGACTGAAGAGAGGAGGGTGGGCAGCAGCGGCATGGCCCGCACCAATGCTTCCACCCTCTCCAGACTGCTGTATGCTGAATTTTTTCAAGTATGTTTTCTTCATCATCCCCAAAAATGCAAAAACCAAAACCAGCGAGGTGGTGTGGCAGGTAAATGGAGCGTGCTGGGGCAAGGACACAGCTGGGCGGGGCAGGGGGGATGACCGTCTGCATCAGCCAAGGCAGGCAGGGACGCGTGTGCAGGGGGGTTCCCTCGGCAGTGTCACCCACCACCCTCAAGATCACCCTTGCAGCCCCAGCCCTGAGCCCCTCTCAACTGGTCATGGCCCTGGACACCCCTCATCGTCCAGCCCCAACGCCTCCTCCTCCTGGGGGTCCCCTCCCACCCTGAGCCTGTCGTCTTCCCCAAAACCTTCCCTGGTGGCCCAAGGTCACCCCCAAGGTGGCTGCTGGAGGACAGGACCAGAGGTGACATTGGAGACAAAGTGGAGGCCCAGAGAGCAGAGGAACCAGCCCCCAGAAGATTGTCTTCCTGACCTCAAGCTGGCCCCCGCCACCCCTCCAGGCCCCCACACTGCTCCCAACCTGACTGGTCCTGCCCCCAGCTCAGGTGCACTCCAGAGGAGGCCTCTGCACCTGGGTTTGTCAGAGCTGCCACTCGGAGACTAAGTCACGGAGCAGCAGTACTGTCTCCTTCTCGGGCTGGTGCTCATAATCTCTGCTAACACATCCTAGTGTGTGGCCCCGTCAGACCTCCTAATGGACGCCTGAAGACACAGTAAAAACTGGTTGGTTTCCTCCATCAAATAACCTCAGGCAAGAGAGAGAAGTATCTGGCGCTCGCAGGAAAGGCCTAATCCCACACGGGAGGCTGTGCTCAGGCACCGCTGACAGGACCCGGCCCTAGACACGGAAGCCATGGATCCCGGTAATCCACCGTCCTCTGTGTATCTTCTTACATGAGGCCCCTCTCCTCCGGGACAGTGCAGGTGGCGTCCTGCACGGGGACTTTGCTCCTCTGAGCTCCCGGAAAGGGGCGGCCACAGGCGGGCCCCAGTGAACACTCACTGTGTTCAGAGCCAGGGCGGAGTGTGGACAGAGGTGGCCACAGTGGCGTCCTGGCTGCGAGTCCCTCTGCAACTGCAGACACACTGTTGCTTCTGCCATAGGCAGATGATGATTCTGGAGTGTTGAGCACTGATGGGGAGACCAAGGCTGACTCGACCTCCCCCTGCCTACCCCCTCCCCAGCAACAAACGTTCATCTCTGGACTTGGTCTTCTGATACGTGCAGGAAGGAAAATGCGCCACCTATGCCCTATGCTTCCCTGACGATGGGGCACCGTCTCCAGGGTCCCCTGTGGCCCAGCCCTTGGGAGGCACCACCCCAGGGGGCATTGAGCTCTGGTGTCCAGCCCCAGCTGGCTGGAAGGGCACAACAGGAAGGGTCACCAGGTCAGAGTAGGCAGCGCCAGGCAGCAGGACGCAACGGCCACCCGTGCAGCTCACCCAGGTGAACGCGCTTCACACTGGCTAGCACTGCCCCACACAGCCACAGGACGGCACCGTATCAAGAAAAGACTCGGTCTTTGAAATGGACAATGGCAGCAAATAAATCCGCGTCTGTGAGGGCTACCCTCTTCCTCTTGCTCAGCCCTGAGCCCCTCACCCCACCAGCCCCTGCACCTCTGTCAAGCACATGGTTCTCCAAACATCAGCCAAGCCCCACTAGGGGTGACATCCAATGTGCGGCAGCCCAGACCCTGCCCAGACACCTGCCAGCCTTCTCTCAATATCCCCCCAAACCCCGAGCAAGCACTCAGCTCCCAAACCTCACCAGCACCTCCCATCTGCCCTCCTCCCAAATGAGGCTCAAGCTCCACCTGCCCTGGGTTGGCACTGATGGGACAGAGGACAAAAACTATGGTCTCTGTGCAGGTGACCACTACTTGGAGTCTGTGTGGCACGCCTGGGAGATGATGGGATATTCAAGGCAGATGGGAGGGGCGGGCCAGGGAGGTGGAGGGACGCCGGTGGCCAGCATGGAAAGGAGAGTGAAAGCCAGTGGAGGCGACACTACGACCTCAGGCCCAGTGGCTGGACCCCAACTGCTGGTGAGTCGCAGCCAGGCACAGTGGCTGTGAAAGAAGGAAGATGCTCTCTCCATAGAAGGACTGGGTCGATTCTCCTGGAGGACAGAGGAGCCCTCGTCTGCCAACCAAGCTTAGGCCCCAGCCTTGTGAAGTCCGGGAAGCGGGGCACAGCGGGGGTGGCCAGGCTCCAGGAGGAGCCGGTAAGACCCACGCAGACCCACGAGCAAGCGGGGGCACACCCTGGAGCTTCCCAAGAAGAGAAAAGGGATTTGCAAAATCACAGCCGTGGAAAGCACAGCATTTTGATGCAAAAAACAATGTGTTTCCTTACAAGCCAACGAACAGCAAAATAAAGTGAAACCAAAACCACCCAGCCTTCACGGCACTTCCTTGAAGAGTGTTCTGGCTCGCCAGTTACATCCAGGTACAGTGGACGATTTTGGCTACAGAGCCGTGTATGAACAGCCCAGAATTTCAGCCACTAGTAGACTCTGGCCAAGGTGGCTGCAAATGAATAAGCCCTTTCTGTGTCCCTCCCCCAGCGCAGGAGATCTCCGGGGTCCCTGTGTACCCCCCGACCCAGAGCTCTGGGTGGGACTATGACCCCAGCACAGGGCTCAGGTGTATTTACACAGACCCTCCACAAATGTGCATTTCCTAAACCATTTTTTCCAATAGCACATTTAAAAAAAAATTCAGAGCACAAATGTCTCAAGACAGAAAATCTACCAGGGCACCTTTTTTCCTTCCTTTTTTTTTTAGATGGAATTTCGCTCTGTTACCCAGGCTGGAATACAGTGGCACGATCTCGGCTCACTGTAACTTCTGCCTCCCAGGCTCAAGTGACTCTCCTGCCTCAGCCTCCTGAGTAGCTGGGATTACAGGCACCCGCCACCACGCCCGGCTAATTTTTTAATTTTTGTATTTTTGGTAGAGACAGGGTTTCGCCACGTTGGCCAAGCTGGTCTCGAGCTCCTGACCTCAGGTAATCCACCTGCCTTGGCCTCTCAAAGTGCTGGGATTACAGGCGTGAGCCACTGCGCCTCGCCCCAGGGCACCTTCTCGAGCCGCCCTGGGGCCAGGGGGAAGTGGTGGGGCCCATCTTACCTTGTTGTAGTACTGCACCTGCACAGAGTGCCACCGCCCGTCACTCACACCACTGGGAACCTTCGGTGCCACGGTCGTTGTTGTCTCGCCTGCATGGTGGGAGGGAGACCCAGAGAGAAAACAGGGGTTGGCGGGGCCTACTGGGGACCGAGGATTGCGCTGTGAGGCATCAGGGGGAGACAGGTGCACATGGCCACGTCCTCCCTCCCCTCCCCACGGCACCATGGTGGGAGGCGCCCACCACTCCATCCATTTTCTTTTCTGGTTACAAAAGTAATTCTTGTTCCTCTTTTCTGGTTTTGTTTGTTTTGAGATGGAGTCTTGCTCTGTCGCCCAGGCTGGAGTGCAGTGGCGTGATCTCAGCTCACTGCCACCTCCGCCTCCTGGGTTCAAGAGATTCTCCTGCCTCAGCCTCCTGAGTAGCTGGGATTACAGGCACCCACCACCACACCCGGCTAATTTTTGTATTTTTAGTAGAGATGGGGTTTCACCATGTTGGCTAGTCTAGTCTCGAACTCCTGACCTCGTGATCTGCCTGCCTTGGCCTCCCAAACTGCTGGGATAACGGGCGTGAGCCACCGCGCCTGGCCTTGTTCCTTTTCTAAATATGAAAAAATATAAACACGGAAAACCCATCTGTCTGTACCAGCAGCAGTCACACCTACACCGCACCAGAGGTCGAACCCTTTTTCCTATGCATTGCATCAACGTAGACAAAATCATCAAAACCAATTCCACTTTAGGTCACTTAATCAAATAAATGTCATCTCAGGCTTTTAACAACTCTTAAACCACGTAACACGTCCCATCGTGAGGTCGCGGACGCGTCTCTTGTGCATCTCTGCTTTGGGGTGTCTGTCATTTCCACCCCTTGAGCTCCTGCTGGAGTGGGGCGGGCGAGTCCCTTTGGGGATTCTGGGGCACAACCCTGAGTCAGCAGCAGCAGCTGGGAGGAAGGAGCTTCAGGGGCACCAAAGGACAGGTGCGGTGGGTACCAGGTCCCGGGCAGAGAATACCGTCTCCAGGGAACCAGCAGGAGTTCTGGAAACGGGTGTGGGAGACACTGGCCAGGGGAATAGCCTAATCCCACCTCACAGAGCCCGGAGGGCTATGGCCACCTCTCCCATGGTGGTTGGCTGCTGTTACAGGTGCCTCCCTTTCTTTATTGAGTATAGAAAACAAAGCTCCATCCTCCACCATCACACACATGTCATTCAACACGGGCCAGGGTTCTAGAGACGGAAGCAGCTCTGAGCCATCTTGGTGAACTTCCAGGTGAAGGAGGAGATGGCAGAATTCACTCCTGAAAGTCAAGTGTGCCAGGCTGAGCCTGGTGGCTCACATCTGTAATCCCAGCACTTTGGGAGGCCAAGGTGGGCGGATCACTTGAGGTCAGGAGTTCAAGACCAGCCTGGCCAACACAGTGAAACCCTGTCTCTACTAAAAATACAAAAATTAGCCGGGCATGGTGAAACGTGCCTGTATTCCCAGCTACTGGAGAGGCTGAGGCATGAGAATCGCTTGAACCTGGGAGGTGGAGGTCGCAGTGAGCCAATATTGCACCACTGCACTCCAGCCTGGGTGAAAGAGTAAGACTTTGTCTCAAAAGAAGAACAAAAACAAAAAAAAAAGTCATGTGTGCCAGAAAAACACAGATATACCTGTTGGCAGTCTGGAGAAATGTTCTTTTCTAACAACTGGAATAACATGTTTAATGGCCTTGTCGATATATTTTTTTTAAAAGAGACAGAGTCTCGCTATATTGCCCAGGCTGGTCTTGAACTTCTGAGCTCAAGCAATCTGCCCGCCTTGGCCTCTCAAAGTGCTAGGATTACAGGCATGAGCCACCTTGCCTGGCCAGCCTTGTCCAAAAAAAAAAAAAAAAAATTTTTTTTTTTTTTTTTTTTGAGATGGAGTCTCACTCTGTCACCCAGGCTGGAGTGCAATGGCATGATCTCAGCTCACTGCAACCTCCACCTCCCAGGTTCAAGCAATTCTCCTGCCTCAGCCTCCTGAGTGGCTGGGATTACAGGCAAGTGCCACCATACCTGGCTAATTTTTGTATTTTCAGTAGAGATGGGGTTTCACCATGTTAGCCAGGCTGGTCTCTAACTCCTGACCTCAGGTGATCTGCCTGCCTCGGCCTCCCAAAGTGCTGGGGATTACAGGCATGAGCCACTGCACCCGGCCAGTGTTGACATTTTTAATCTAGAGATGTACCACAATTTAATGATTCCTTGGTTTCTGAAAACATGAACCAGATCGTCCACATTTCCAGCACTATAAATAACACTGTTATGAACATCTTTTTATTATTATTATTTTTTGAGACAGAGTCTCACTCCGTCACCAGGCTGGGGTGCAGTGGCGTGATCTCACCTCACTGCACCCTCTGCTTCCTGGGTTCAAGCAATTCTCCTGCCTCAGCCTCCTGAGTAGCGGAGATTACAGGCGTGCACCACCACGCCCAGCTAATTTTTGTACTTTTAGTACAGAGGGGGTTTCACCATGTTGGTCAGGCTGGTCTCGATCTCGTGACCTTGTGATTCACCCACCTCGGCCTCCCAAAGTGCTGGGATTACAGGCGTGAGCCACCACGCCCGGCCTGTTATGAACATCTTTGTGTACTTTGGATTTCTTAAATAAGACAGCTTCCTAGACCTACAAGTGAGGGATGAAAGGGTAAGCAGCTTGGAGGCGCTGCACAGGGCGAGGGTCGTTTTAACCCACAAAGTATCTGTGAATTGCTCAGAGCTGCCCTTCCTGGGGAGAAGGCCCCACCTGCAGAGAAGGTGAGCTGCACCTGCTCGTCCACGATCTCCAGGGCGATGAAGTCGTGCTTCTCATTGAAGCGGCCGTTGTAGAGAAGCAAGCCGTTCCTTTCCTGAGTGGCAAACCTGTGGGGCCAAGCAGAGGCACATCACAGGATGAAGACCCCAGGGTCCAAAGGCTGCCTAGGAATGACAAGTCCAGCCGGAGGAGGGCAAGCACGTGGGGCTACGATTCAGGAAAGAATGGTGTCAGGCATGCGTCCTTCTCATAGGAGCAGACAGCCCATCAAGCTTGATAAGCAGGGTTCTTTTCTGGAAGCAGCAAACCAGAATCCATGGGGAGTCTGGTTACTACGGCCTGTAGAATGCAAAAAATATCCCATTTGCACAACATGCTACAAGTACGACCAGCGGCCAGGACACCTGTTACTGATGTGTTTGGGCAAAGCACGTGCTGTACATTTTCTGCTGCTGTGAACAGATCCCCCCGTGTGTGCGCCAGGGCATGGGGACCTGGTACCTTCCCAGGCAGGGATGATGCTATGGAAGGACCATTCTTATGGCCTCTCCCCCCGGCACTCAGCCACAATAGCATCTTTTGGCTCCCAAACACAGGTCAAAAAGACCCCAGGGCCTTTGCACCAGCTGCCCCCTATGCCAGAAACAATCTTCCCAGGCTTTGCAGATCACTCAGGGGTCAACCCAGCTGTACTTGCCCTGACTCATTGTACTCTACCTTGCCCTTACCTCCCATCAGCCTATGACATCACTCAGTTAATTTCTGAAATCATGCTGCTGACTCATTGGTTTATAAGAATGTATGATCCATAAGGGGAGGAACCGCAGCTCTCATTCCCTGCTGCATTCCAGAACCCAAAGAAGATCTGGTCCATATCAGTGCTTAATATGGGCTGTTTGAATAAATGAAAGGAAGAGGCATGAACAGACGCCTGAACATGAACAGGCCTGTCAGAACTTAGAGCACGCTGAGCAAAAACCACCTGCTCGGGCAGGAGATCATCAAATTCTCAGAAATCCTTCTCCCACCCAGGGGCCCCGGGCAGGGGGTCTTCAGACCCAAATCACCACAACACCTCCCCCACCTCCCTGGTTTCAGAGAACTTGGCAACCTCCTGAGTGAGCTTGGGACTGGCTCCTGAGCTGGCTGGGTGTCTCCACCATCAGAGATACACGGCAGGAACTCCTTTTAACCTAAGGTTGGTTTATCCATTTTCCTGCAGCAGGAGTCGGCCCGAGCCAGCCTCGAGCATCTGACCTCAGCCTTTTCTCTGGAGTTAAAATTGATGGTTTCGGCTGGCCGGTGGCTCACGCCTGTAATCCCAGCACTTTGGGAGGCCGAGGTGGGTGGATCACCTGAGGTCAGGTTGACCAGCCTGGCCAACATGGTGAAACCCCGTCTCTACTAAAAATACGAAAATTAGCCGGGCATGGTGGTGGGCACCTGTAATCCCAGCTACTCAAGAGGTTGAGGCAGGAGAATTGCTTGAACCTGGGAGGCGGAAGTTGCAGTGAGCCGAGATCATACCACCACTGCACTCCAGCCTGGCAACAAAGCAAGACTCCGTCTCAAAAAAAAAAAAAAAACTGATGGTTCCCAACTGTCGCCCAAACCCCCTCTCTTTAGAATGCAAGCAAGAAATGACGACAAACACAAAGAAGAATACCCACACAGCACACTGATGCTTGGGCAGGGAATGAGCAGGGAGAAGGGATCTTAATGACGACGGGACCAACTCAGTGCAGGCTTGTTTCCTGAGACTCAGCCCCTGGGTCATACCTGATTGCCTTTGGTGGGTTTCACTTCTGTGCGGTTCCCTTTGGACCCAGGTGGGGGCTGGTGGGCGGTGTCAGTGTCAAACAGTCCTGCACGGCCCCCCTGGCAAGCACACGTACACCGCTGGCGACGGAGCAATAAAGAAGGGACCCAAAGCCGAGGGGAGGGTTGGAACAATGCAAGCAAAAAGCAAAAAAAAGGAGAGGCCAGAAAACAGAAACCAAGGCCCAGAGAAGGGGGCCGGGGAAGGAGAAGGAAAGAACAAAGAGCTGTGGGGATGAGAGGCAGCTGGGAACGGAGCCCGGAGCCCACTTGGGAGCCTGGACACTTGGCAAAGAGAAACTAGAAAGAGGAGAAGGGGCTATGAAAGCACCCACCTGAAACAAAAGCAGCTAGGCGCCCCCCAACCCGGCCCCTCACAGCGGCTCTCAGAGGCTCAAGAGGGCCCTGCCCACAGCCCCCACTGCTCCCAAAGTGTCACTGCCCTGGAAGCTTGGGGAGGCACCTTATGATTTTACTTTTAAAGGTATTCCCTACAAAACCCTCGGTGATTTAGGGTCAGCTCTGATGGTTTAGCCACCGTCACACATAAGGGAAACTGTTCATAATTGTCCAGTGCAATAATCTCAGACATACAGAATCTGACAAGCAGCAGCGTAACATTCCCTTGTGCAGACATTTAATTAAACGTTATTGGAGGTGGAGAGGATAGTGGTGGTCACCAGAGGCTGGGGAGGGAGCAGGGAAGGGGCTGAAGAGAAGTGGGTTAAGGGGTACAAACAAAGACACAGAAGGAATAAGCTTTTGTGGTTTTTTTTGAGATGGAGTCTCGCTCTGTTGCCCAGGTCGGAGTGCAGTGGCACAGTCTCAGCTCACTGCAACCTCCACCTTCTGGTTCAAGCGGTTCTCTTGTCTCAGCCTCCTGAGTAGCTGGGATTACAGGCATAAACCACTGTATCCAGCTCATTTTTGTGTTTTTAGTAGAGATGGGGTTTTGCCATGTTGACTAGGCTGGTCTCAAACTCCCAACCTCAGGTGATCCACCCGCCTCGGCCTCCCAAAGTGCTGGGATTACAGGCGTGAGCCACCGCGCCTGGCCTGGAGCTACTCAACTATCAAAGGCCACACACGGAGGACATCAACGTCACGATCTAGAGGGATGGGGTGCACGGAGAAGCTCGCCCCTTTCCTAAAGAGACCCCCGTGTGGCGCGGCGGGACGCACACTCACGTGAGGGAGATGGTGAAGTGGAAGCGCTGTCTCAGGCCCCGGAAGGTGACGAAGGACTGGGGCGGGAAGCTCCTGGTGGTCACCTCACAGTAGGGCCTCTCATACTCGCCAGGAGGACACACGCAGTGGAAGCCGCCGATGAGCAGGTTCACGCAGGTGCCCCCGTTCTTGCACACCCCGTTGGCACAGCGGCCTGAGCGGGCATCCACCTCACAGTGCTCTCCTGGGGGGCGAGAGGAAGATGCCAGAGAGGAGGTTACCGACCAGCCAGGGAAAAGCCAACGAGCCTGTCGCAGACCCTGGACACACCCCAGCCACACAGTCAGCTGCTGAAAGAAAACCCGACTGACTCCAGGACAGGTCTGTGACATGAACAGAAACCCCTGAGTTCTCAAGGACTTGCCCAGAGCCGTGCCAGAGTCGGCTGCACCCAGCTCCTGGTGGGCAAACTAAGGATGGTGGCCAGGGGGTTCCCAAAAAGCACTCTGTGGGGTCAAAGAAATGGCAGCAATGAGCCCTTCCCAGCCTCCAACCCCGTTCTGAGCACCCTGCAGGCTGAGCTGGACTCTTCTGAGGGGAACGCCTAGAAACAGACCAGAGCACCTCAGGCCCCTCCCCACACCTATGCCCGTGCCACAGCAGAACACAGCAGAGCCTCGTCAGAGATTTGGAGCATGCTGCCATCACATGACCCAAAGGCCACCTTCTGAGCAGGCCACCTGCCCTGACTGCCGTCCGCCCTCCCACCCCTCACACAGACCCCTCGCACTGTCTGGCCACCCCTGGATTCCAACCCGGTTCTAATCTGGCCCGTCTCGCCCACCAGCCTGTGAGCTCCTGAAGGGCAGGCACCACCCTACTCTGATGTCCTTCCTAGAGTTTAAACTCTTTTGTGACAGGAAGGTTCTGGAAGCTTTCCCAGAAAACCAGCCAGGCAGCCCACAGCACACTGCCTCTCTCCATCCGCCCTCAGACCAGGAGTGCTAAGAACCTCATCTGCTCGGAGGGTCTCAGTGTTCGCCATGCTTCGACCCAGTTGTTCCTGGACTGGCCGCTGCATCCTCCAGCAACCAGGTGTGTGGCTGGTGACACTCCCGCCCCCGGACAGGGATGGTGAGCCGCAATCTGCACAGCCCATGCTGCCTCCCCTGCCTCCACCACATGGGGAGTTAGGCTAATTTTTTGTATTTTTAGTAGAGACGGGGATTCACCGTGTTAGCCAGGATGGTCTCCATCTCCTAACCTCGTGATCCGCCTGCCTTGGCCTCCCAAAGTGCTGGGATTACAGGCGTGAGCCACCGCGCCCGGCCAGTATGATCAATCTTTAAAATATTTTGCATCTCTGACAAATGGATCTCAACGATCTTTTCATTTGCATTTATCTTTGATGAGGCCAGCATCTTTTCCTGTTTTATTGACAATTGACACTCTCTTTCCTAGAAGCTGCCTGAGTTTGTCTTTCTGCTGGGTTTTTGGTCCTGCTCTTATTGTGTTATAGAAGCTCCTCGTAAATTATGGAAGGAACTATTGTCATTTTCATGGCAATTTCCCCCAGCTTAATGTTTAACATTAGGTTTTATGTATTTGTAGCCCCACAGAAATTTTTTGTCTGTATGTGATCATATTTATCCATTTTTTTCTTCATGGCTCTGGTCATCTTGGGTTGTTAAAAGACTGCCACAGGCCAGACGCAATGGCTCACACCTATCATCCCAGCACTTTGGGAGGCTGAGGTGGGTGGATGTCTTGAGGCCAGGAGTTGAAGACCAGCCTGGCCAACATGGTGAAACCCCGTCTCTACTAAAAATACAAAAATTAGCCAGGCGTGGTGGCGGGTGCCTGTAATCCCATCTACTCGGGAGGCTGAGGCAGGAGAACTGCTTCAACCCGGGAGGCGGAGGTTGTAGCGAGCCGAGGTCACACTACCGCACTCCAGCCTAGGTGCCAGAGCGAGACTTCATTTCAAAAAAAAAAAAAAAAGAGAGACTGCTATAAAGATGGAACTGGGGGGACATCCAATGTGAGGATACTCAGTGCATAACCCAGCATACCCTTCAAATGGCAGCATCTTCCTGGAGCCCAGACCTCGCTGGAGTCCCCAGAGTGGGATGGCTCCACGATGGGCCCTTTGGACAGGCACCTGCAATGTCCCCCCGAGAGGCCTCCAACCACGCTCCGGACGGCCAGTGGGATTCACACAGCCGCTGCCGTGTGGGGCAGCCTAATTTGATGCCAACTCAAACAGACAGAATGAAAACACACTTACGACGCCTCAGTCTGCTTGGGCTGCCATAATGAAGCATGAGAGATCGGGGGCTTATACAACAGACACTTACTTCCCAGAGCTCTGGAGGTTGGAAGCCCAACATCACGCTTCCAGCTGAGGTGGCCTCTGTGGAGGTCTGTCTTTCTAGCTAGCAGACGGTGCCTTCTTGCCGCATAAGGGAGAGGGCTGTGGTCTCTTCCTCTCCTTACAAGGACTCTAATTGCAGCCTGGGGGCCCCACCCCATGACCTCATCTAAACCTAATCACCTCCTAAAGCACCCATCCTGGGGCATAGGGCTTCAATGTAGAAATTTATGAGGGCACCATTCTGTCCAGAGCAGATATGTATGAGACAACTGGCAATTTTAAAAGACTAGTGAACATTAAACTTTATTATCCATTTTTAAAAATAAAGAGATCACGGTGGCTCACGCCTGTAACCCCAGCACTTGGGGAGGCTGAGGCGGGTAGATTACCAGAGGTCGAGAGTTCAAGACCAGCCTAACCAACATGGTGAAACCTCATCTCTACTAAAAATACAAAATTAGCTGGGTGTGGTGGCACACAACTGTAATCCCATCTACTCGGGAGGCTGAGGCAGGAGAATTGCTTAAATCTGGGCAGCCGAGGTTGCAGTGAGCCAAGATGGTGCCATTGCACTCCAGCCTGGGCAGCAAGAGCAAAACTCCGTCTCAAACAAACAACAAGAAAAAAAAGAAATCAGGTGCTATCAAGGGTAGGTGCTGAGGTATACCCCCCACCCTTCCCCTCCAGGACGGGGCTCTGGGGTGTGGGTTGCTGATGGCTCACAGCTGAGACCCTGCACTCAGATTCCGCCTCCCGGCCCAGTTCCACTGCCCTCGCTGGGGCAGCCCCCATCCAGCAATGGGTCAGGGTGGACACAGTGACCATCAGACTGCCCAACGCAGGCCATCCCCGAGGGGCCATCCCAGCTCTGCAGCACGCTGTGGGGTGGCTGAGGCCTTGTATACCTGCAGGGCAGTCCGACCTCCCCTCTGCCCAGGCCAGGGCCCCTCCCTGCCCCCAGCTGTGGCTCCTGAAGGCTCCTGGACACCGGCTGCCTCCTGAGCTGGGGCCTGGAGTCTGTTTCTCAGGGAGGCCAACCTCAGCCACGGGCTGATTTCAGTGAGTTCAGTCGTTTTAGGAAAGCCTGTCAATCCTCCAAGGGAATGCTTCCAATGAGCTTTTGAAGAACAAATGAAACTGATTTATAATCAGCATAACAATCATCAGAGGTAAATGGTGCCTCTGAAGAATCTGAGTTCTCCCTCTGCTTCCCCCAGGCATCTCCCACTCTTCATTACCAGGTTGCAACACCTAAGAATGTGTAACTGGGCCTGGCGCGGTGGCTCACGCCTGTAATCCCAGCATTTTGGGAGGCCAAGGCGGGAGGATCATGAGATCTGGAGATCAAGACCATCCTGGCTAACACGGTGAAACCCCATCGCTACTAAAAATACAAAAAAAAAAAAATTAACCGGGTGTGTTGGCGGGCGCCTGTAGTCCCAGCTACTCAGGAGGCTGAGGCAGGAGAATGGCGTGAACGCGGGAGGCGGAGCTTGCAGTGAGCCGAGATCGCACCGCGGCACTCCAGCCTGGGGGACAGAGCGAGACTCCGTCTCTTAAGAAAAAAAAAAAAAAGAATGTGTAACTGGCTAAGCCAAGGTGACTCCAGATTCCAGTATGAAGCCCTCTCGAGAACGAGGAGGGCTGAAATCGCTGACGTTTTGCTGAATTTCATGAGCATGCACGGCCTCCACGCCAGTAACCCCGAGGGCTCACAGGCACCAGAGCTGACGCCGGGTCAGAGCCAGGCACAGGCCAGGGGGGTGCTTTCCCCTCCACCCCAGGAGTCAGGGCAGGATCCCATCCGCCTGTTCTGCACTGGCAGGGGCTGCCCCCAGGGAAATGGGAACAGAGGGGTTTCCCACCCCACTCAGTTAAAGCAGGCAGAGAGGAGCGAGCCCTAGACCCTCATCCAGGCTCCCAGCACCCCTGGAGGCTAACCCCCCTACCACTCCCCGCTATGGGGGTCAGCCCACCACAGATGCTGCACCCCGCCGCCCTGCAGGCGGGCCATGTGCACACACACACCTGCACACACATTTGCACAATGCTTATAACCTTCCACATGTATTCACACATGCACTCAATTTCCCGTCTACACATGTCCATACACCTGTTCACACACACACACATACATACACATGCGTTGACACACCCTCACAGACACCTCACATCCTGTCACACACAGATGCATACCTGCACACCCAGCTGCACACTCATATGAGCAAGTCAGTGCTCGTGGCTTCCTGGCCTTTGTAAATCCCGTGCGTTCACGGGAGGTGTGACGCTTAAGGTATATTTCTCCTCCTTTGGACACTTCAAATTATCTTGCTTCTACTTTTAAAATATGTGACATTTGGGAGTGTTTGCTTTCCAAGTTCCAGCCAGTGGCCAAGCACAGCACACTCTGGAATAACAAAGCCACCGGGAGAGGCTGGGTGTACTCACCCAACCTCGACGGCAAACAAAGGGCCTGTGGGGCCCAGCCCTGCCCTTCCCACAGCCGCTTCTGTCTGTCCCAGGTAGTAAGAACCCAGGCTGGGCCCGGGGCTCAGACTCTCCCAGAGGAAAGTGAGGCCCAGGCCCATGACCTCCACGTAGCTTCCCGGTCCCACCTGCTCCGGGTCGGAACTCACTCTCCCCTCATCCGAGGGCTGGAAGATTCGGCTTCTCACCTCCAGCCTGGGATTTCCTCTAAAAGGCCCAGGAAAAGGTGGCCAGCCCTGAGTGAAGACAGCGCTTTGTATCTGGAAGGTTTGAATTTGAACTTGCAGACCGGCATTCCTGCTTCCAAATTTGATTTCTAGTGGCCCCCGATATCCTCAGGCTGCCCCGTGAAAGGGAGGCTGACCGATATAAGCTTGTCCTGCCCCCGAGGGGGGCACCTCTGCAGGGACCAGAGATCAACAGGTGGCTGCTAATGCCCGTGAGAGCACAGCAAACCCAGCCGCAGGTGTTTGCCCCTCGCTGAAAAGGTCTTGCTCCTTTAAATATGTGGCAAATAAAACTAATCTCCATGGAATTGTTGGTTTGGTTTGGTTTGCTTTTTTAATGCGGAGTTGTATTTGCTTTGCTTTTTGTTTGTTTTCATTTTCAGAAAGTAGCTGTATGTGTTTCCCGTGGCTGCCGTAACAGATGACCCCAAACTGGAGGCTTAAAACAACAGAAATTCATTGTCTCACAGTCGCACAGGCCAGGAGTCCAAAATCAAGGTATCAGCAGGGCCCAGCTCCCTCTGGAGGCTCCAGGGTGGATCTCTCCTGCCTCTACCAGCTTCTAGTGGCTCCCAGCGTCCCTGGCTTGTGGCTGCATCTCTCCAATCTCTGCTCTGTCCTCACAAGGCCGTCAAATCTCCCTCTCCTTCCTGTTATTAAAGACACCAGGCCGGGAGCGGTGGCTCGTGCCTGTAATCCCAGCACTTTGGGAGGCTGAGGTGGGTGGATCACCTGAGATCAGGGGTTCGCGAGCCTGGCCAACATGGTGAAACCCAATCTCTACTACAAAAATTAACCGGCGTGGTGGCAAGCGCCTGTAATCCCAGCTACTTGGGAGGCTGAGGCAGGAGAATCCTTTGAACCCAGGAGGCGGAGTTTGCAGTGAGCCAAGATCACACCACCATAGTCCAGTCTGGGTGACAAGAGCGAAACTCCACCTCAAAAATAAAAAATAAGGCTGGGTGTAGTGGCTCAGGCCTGTCATCCCAGCACTTTGGGAGGCCGAGGCAGGTGGATCACCTGAGGTCAGGAGTTCGAGACCAGCCTGGCCAATGTGACAAAACCCCGTCTCTACTAAAAATATAAAAATTAGCCGGGTATGGTGGCGCATGCCTGTAGTCCCAGCTACTAGGCAGGCTGAGGCAGGAGAATCTCTTGAATCCAGGAGGTAGAGATTGCGGTGAACCAAAAATTGCACCATTGCACTCCAGCCTGGGTGACAGAGCAAGACTGTCTCTAAAAAAATGAATAAAAAATAAAGACACCAGTCATTGGATTTAGGGTCCACCCTAAATCCACGATGACTTAAGGACCCAAACTCATTACATCTGGAAAGAGCCCATTTCCAACTGAGGTCTCATTCTGAGAGTCTGTGTGGACAAGGATTTTGGGAGCCACTGCTGAATTCACTACAGTGGCCCTCCGTGTTTGTCCTGGAATTGCAATCGCGTACATTCTAGCCTCTGCAAACCCGGTGCCCCGAGAGCAGCAGCGCCTGGCTGGCAGAGCCTTTCCCGTCGATGCTTCGGAGGTGGAAGCGTCCAGGACTCCCCGGGTGCTGTTCTCCCTGCTTGCAGGAGATGCTGCTCCTGGCCTTTGCCAGCTCATCCTCCCACCCAGCCAGGGAGAGGTGGAGTCCTCACTGCAACCCCTCCTGCCTCCAGCAGCCCCCTGCACAGCCACAAGCCCCCTCGCCTCGCGGCCCCTGCTCCTGCCGCACAGCCTCCAGACCTACTTGTCCCTTGCCTCGCGACAGCACAGTCCTCCACAACGCTGGCCTCACCATGTGTCAGTCCCACTGGCTAGACTCCCACTGCTCCATAAAGACCCCAGCCTAAGGGGTCCCAGGGCCCAGCCCCCAGCCACACACCCAGCCCCCTCCACACCATACTCACGAGCCTGTGCCGGCCCCACTGTCTCCCTCCTCCCAGGGCAGCTACAGATGGCCCTGTGCGTACACTGCAGGCCATCCTCCAGCCCCGCGTCCTCTCTCTTAGTCTCTGCATGTGGCTTTCCAGTGCCTGGAGGCCACCCGCATCCCCTGGCTGTACCTGTCCTCTGCCTCGAGCACTCTCCCTCTGGGGAAGCTCGGGCCACCTGCCTGCTTAGGGTGACCCTGGGGGCTCTCATGGACTCAAAATCTCCCCTCTCCAGCAATCGCCCCACCAGCTCCACATCCAGCCCTGCTTGTGCGATGGTTCCCCCGTGTGTTTCTCTCCCCAGCTCTGTGCAGGCAATGACAGGGTCTGTTTGGGGGCCAGTCTGAGACTGTCAGGCACACAGCGAGTGCCGAATAAATGCCTGGTGTGTGCAGGGCATATGCTGAGCACCTGGCAGGGAGGGTCGCAGGGGGTCGGTGGGGGGGAAAGCTGGGTCCATAGCAGGTACTGACAGACACTTGTGAAATGAAGTCAAAAAATGCCAGGATTTCCCCAGTTCCAAGCCAATGACTGATGCCTGCACTTAATCCATGAGTTACAAAACGACATAATTCCCATATTTGATTCAAATAGTGCAGGAAAGGTGTTGATGAAATGAATTAATTTTATAGTTAAAACATCTTTTCTTTTTTTTAATAAAGGACCATGAGAACCAAGAGCAACTGGGTTCTGGATGAACTGGACCAGCCGGGGAAGGTCCTGTCCCTGTGTTCCTTAGGGCTGACTCCTAGCACAGAGCCAATTCAGGATTCCCCTGAGGGTTGGTGGTTAAGCACTTGCAGCACAGCCCTGCACAGAAGATAAAGTTAAGCAAAGCGGGAGTGGATTACAGTACTGTTTATAGGGAGCTGGAGGGGCTGCTAGCATGAGTGGATTACAGCGCTGTTTAAACAAGGTAACTGGAGGGGCTGCTCCCCACCAACCCTCAGGGAGAATCCTGAATTGGCGGCATTTGTAAACACTCCCACCAAGGCTGAGTTGAAAAGAGATGTGATATGACAGATTTTTAATTCTAAAATCATCTGAAGGTAAATAGGTCAAATTTAGTGAGCTCTGTGTCTTTTAGCTCTGTATCTTTTATTTTCTAATAGAGCTTTTATAAGACACACTATTTTCATAAAATAAATGTTCAGCTATGCTGACTATCAGGATTTATCTTTCCTTTTCTAGGAATTCTCATTCAAAATAAATTTGATGTTCTCCTTACACCCTAGGATTCTGCTTGGAGTCAAAGGCTTGCTGAGTCATTCAAACCTGGGGGAAATTCACCCATACTCTGCACACCCCCATCACCATGGCAGCCTCGCCTCCCACACCAAGGATAGAGTCCACCTGGGCAAACCTATTGCTGTGCTCACTCACGCATGCAGCCTGCCAAAAGCTCCCCCTCTCCCCGTAGGAGGGACGCAGGGCTCAGCTTCCTGGCTATAGTACAGAAAAGCTTTTTAAGAGAGTCTTACTCTGTCGCCCAGGCTGGAGTGCAATGGTGCGATCTCGGCTCACAACCTCCACCTCCCAGGTTCAAGCGATTCTCCTGCCTCAGCCTCCCGAGTTGCTGGGATTACAGGTGCACACCACCACACCTGGCTAATTTTTGTATTTTAAGTAGAGACGGGGTTTCACCATGTTGGCCAGGCTGGTCTCGAACTCCTGACCTCAGGTGATCTGCTCGCCTTAGCCTCCCAAAGTGCTGGGATTACAGGTGCGAGCCACCACACCCGGCCAGAAAAGCATTCTTAACGGCAAAAGAAAAGCTCCCAGGAGCCAAGGCCCATCCAGCCCTCATGGCCTCATGCACCTGCCCCGCCACTGGGGACCTGTCCCATACCAGGCTTGGGGCTGGTGCACTGCCCTGCCTGCCCAGAGACCCTAGCACCAAAGCCATCAACCCTTGGCCTAAGGGGCTTCCAGAAAAGCCCTGGCTTCACAGGGCTTCAGCAAACGGCTTACCTGCTGCAGGCGGGGGCTGGGTGCTGGGTGTGCTCCTGGTCTGTGAACAAGGAAGGGGGTGCCCAGAGGGTCTCCACATCATTACATGGAGACTCTGGCAGGGGGCTGGACACAAGCCCAGGGAAGACAGAGGGCATGGGGGTGGGGGCAGAGGGCCCACGCGAGGGGATGCTGATGTGAACCCCTGGCTCAAGAGCTCCAGAACTTACCCCTGGGGGGCTGCTCCAGGAGCTAGGAGAAGAGAGATGCAGGGTCTCAGGGCTCACCTAGAGAGGGGGCACAGCAGGCAGAGAACCTCAGGACCTGGGGGAGGGCTGGGAACGCGCTGGGAACGTGCCCCAGGAGGGGAAGGGCGTGTAAAGATTGACCACTTAAGTTCTTAAATAAATAAAAAGACAATTCCTTTCTGGTCCTAAGAAACAGCTAAGAGCTTTGAACTAGAAAAACTAGAATTTCCAAAGGCCACAATGGTAAAACTCAAGCACTTGATGAAGGCTTAGTTTATGCAGAATTAACGATCAAAATGAAACACAAGAACAGAGAACAAGGAGTGAGTGGAAGGGCCCGGGAACAGGAACACAGGGCAATTTCAAAGTCAGGTCATATCACGCAAATGCACAAAACCTGAAGTCAACTCAAAGCCCCATCAAAGAGCTCAGTCCTAACACTGGATCCTAGGATGCAGAAAGCACAGTCTTGAAGACACAACCCAACAGCGTGGCTCATGTGTCAGAAACTTCACTACCAGAGAAAGCACACAGATAGGAGGCCAAGAGGGGAACGTTACAGGGTTTCTAAGAGGAAAAGGGTATGTCAGAAATGATAAAACACCACACGAATTTGCCCATCTGTTATTCCATTCACTCATCTATCCATCCTTCCATATACCCACCCACTCATTCACCCACCCCTCCACCCTTCCATCCATCCATTTATTCACCCATGAATCCATCCACCCATCCATTGTTCATCCACCCACCCACCCAGCTTCCATCCACTCACCCAGCTTCCAAGCACTCACCCAGCTTCCATCCAACCACCCATCACACATCCATCCATCCATCCGACCACCCATCACACATCCATCCAGCCATCCAACAACCCATCATGCATCAACCCACCCATCCAACTATCCACCATTCATCCATCTATCCACCCATCACACATCCATCCATCCATCCATCCAACCACATCACACATCCATCCAACCACCCATCACACATCCATCCATCCATCCAACCACCCATCACACATCCATCCATCCATCCAACCACCCATCACACAGCCATCCATCCATCCAACCACCCATCATGCATCAACCCACCCACCCAACTATCCATCATTCATCCATCTATCCACCCTTCCACCTACTCACCTGCACTCAGCTGCCCACCTGTCCCTCCACCCACTCATCCATCTAATAAACTGCCAGCGTGGGCCATTCTTTAGGCAGTGGGGTTATAAGAATGAACAAAACAGATCCCTGCCCTCATGGAGTTTCCATCTAGGTAAAAAAATGTCAGATGTTCAGAAAAACCAAAAATACATGAAGAGTTATAGCAGATGGAAAAAGCAGAGGGGGAAGCTTTGAAGGGGTGCTGGCATGGAGGTGGAGGGGAGGGGAGGGGTCAAGCTGAAGAATTCAGGCAGGGCAGCCATCAAAGTAGGGTCAGGACCAGAAAGGGTGGGCACAGCTAAGGCTCCTCGCCAAGCCCTTTCCACCCCATCAGATTCCAACCAAACCTGAGAAAGTACCTCCAGCCTCCAACATACATGGCTCACGTGCTCACACACACTCACATGCACGCACTCACATGCTCACACACACTCACATGCATGCCCACAGGCACACACAGGGGTTCCCACCGCAGGGCAGTGGAGGCAGAGCCCCAGCCCTTTCCTGTTCTGCAACGTGACAGTCCCACACCAGCAAGGCCCCCACCGGAGATAGGAGCTGCACAGAAAAGCCCAGGCGGCTGCAGCCTCAGCAATGGGTCATGCACAGCAGTCCACTGCCAGTCAGGACCCTGCCTCTTCCCGGGGACTTCAGAACCCCTGTGGCATGCAGCCCCAGGCAGAAGCCAGGCCAGCAGAGGCCCCCAGCCACCAGGGCCTTTGTCCAGCAACAGAGCTGTGGGGGAGGACGTGCTACCAACTCGGCCCTGCAAGGCAGGCTGACATAGAGATGGAGGGACAGACAGGGCAGGGCCACATGGCGTCCCAACAGCTCAGGTGACGCTCCCTGACCCTGGGTATCCCCAGGTTCACATTTGGGGATGAGAACATGAGCACTTTCACAGCAACCTCCTCCAGAGGTGAGCACAGTCCACACATGACCTTCCCTACAAGGCAGGCCGCAGCACCTGGCTGGTCAGATGAGTACACGAAGGTTCAGAGAGGGCAGTTACTTGTGCTGGGTCACACAGCTGCATGGGTGGGAGCGGGAGTTAAGCCTGCATCTGCCTTAATGTCCACACAGAGCTTGCAGGGACGGGTCCAGTGAATGAGTGCACCTCACTGCCTTCCCTGGACAGGTGTCCCCTCCGAATGTCCCTATAGGAGAGGCCGACCAGGAGGCGAGATTGCAGGGGCCTCAGCACCCCATTCCAAACCCCCACAGCACTGCTGTCAGGACAGAGGTTTCCTGAGCAAGATCCTGGCTAGTGCCTCAGTTTCCCCAGCTGTAATAAATCCATCCCCCAAGGCAGGGATTTCTGTCTCTCTTGGGCCAGGAGCATTCCCCAGCACTAACAGGCTGATGTGAGTGAAACAGCTCATTTGGTACGGCTGTGAGCTACGCACCTGCGCAAGGGCGAGGTTACTATTACTGGTCCCTGTTCCTCCTGTTCCTCACTGCCTTCCTGAGACAGGAGGCACCCTCTGTTCACCCCTCCATGCCCCACTCCCTCTCCTCCTCCCCAGCTCCCACCGGGAACTGCTGTCTGTCAGCACCCACGTCTGCCCTTGGGTTTCACGCATTGTTTGACTTTCTCACCTCCTGGTGACTTGCTCTGCACCTGGAATCCCTCCTGAGTCACACCTACAGGCGGCCCAGCCCTGCCCCACCTGGCAAGGTAGCCAGGAAAGCCCTCAGCAGGAGGCCCAGACCCCCGCCCCACAAGGAGGGAGCTGGGAAGGGGGAGGCCAGGGGAGCCCGGCACTGCAGAAGCCGCTTGTCCAGGGCTGGCCTTCTCTGCGTGACTGCATTAGTGTCTCTGAAACAAATTCCCAGATGATCTCCAGACACACCCATTTAAAAAAATAAGAAATGCATTCCAGCAGCAAAGAAAAATGATTCCCACTGATCCACTGCTTTGCTGTTTCTTACGGGAGTCACCTACACGCTGAGGGCTGGAAACCCTGCCGAACCTGAAGGATGGGTGCATGTTTGACCGTCTTCTGGTGCTTGCAGCAGCTCCAAGCCAAAGGCTCCAGTAGCATGCGGGCCCAGGTGACCCCAGCCTGGAATCACCCTCGGGGACACAGCCTTTCAGAAGAGGGGCTCCCTACAACCTCCTTCTCCACAACACCGACGATGGAGGAGAGACTAGGAAATAACCCACCCTGTAATGGGCTACACGGTGGCCCCCAAAAGGAAGTGTCCACATAGTAATTCCTAAAATCTGGGAATGTTACCTTATATAGCAAAAGAAGGAATTTTACTTATATGGCAAAAGTGCAATTAAGTTAAGGATCTTGAGATGAGGCAATCCGATTAGCAGGTGGGCTCGATGCAATCACAACATGAATTATCGTAAAATGAGCGCAGAGGGAGATGAGAAGCAAGGGGAAGGGCTGGTGCACAGGGAGGCAGAGCCTGGAGCCAGGCAGCCGCAAGCCAAGGCCTGCAGCCACCAGGCGCCGGGGAGGCAGGGGGGCTCCTCCTAGAGCCTCCAGGAAGCGCAGCCGGCCCTGCCAACACCTTGATTTCGGCCTTCCAGCTGCAGAACTGAGGGAAGGCATGTCTGTTATTTTCAGCGCCCCGGTTTGTGATCACTTATCACAGCAGTCCTAGGAGAACGAGGCCCAGAACACACCGAGGAAACCAGCCAGTCAGCAGGAACCCTCTTCCAGGGTCAATCTCCTGAGGAAGCTGCACCCCAAAGCCTCCCAGCATCTCCTGGAGCCTACACAGACCTGGAGCCACGGGAGATAAAACACTCCTTGTTTGCCAGGGCTCTTATGGCACCGGGAAGACAGCGGCATGAGGACCCAGTGTGCCAAACAAACACAGCGTCTCCTGGGCCCGAGTGGACTCGGGAAGTCCTGGTTGCCAAGACTGGTAGGGGAGGGGCAACCACAGGACTCTGGATACCACAACACCTGGTCCCTGGCACTGGGGGTACACACAGCTGGCACTTAGGGGGCGGTCAGCCCTGCTGATCACCAGGACATGAGGGTCCCTACAGCCCCAGCACCAACCTGGGTACAGAACCCCATCTCGACTCCCCCTGCAGGGCGTTTCCAACCCCCTCAAAACAAACCCAGGGTCCTTCCAAGCCAAGGCGTGGGCCAGGGACTTGGCTCTCTTTAGAAGGACGTTGGTGGCAGCTCAGGAGGCCTCCAGGACCCAAGATGAGGATGAGCCTGGTGGTGGGTCCTACCTAGAGGGGACAGGGCCCAGCCAACACTTCCTGGTCCTGGAGTGAGGGGGACGCAGACTTCACGCCGCCCTTGGCCCAGCACATGCCAAGAAGACAGTGCCACTGTCGGGCAGGCGGGGCTCCCCTGTGCCCTCCAGGCCTCAGTAGTTGCTTTTCTCCAGGGGCCATGGGGTTGGGCACAGCCTGGAAACAGCCTTGTCCAGGGAGGATAGAGTTGAGTGGGGACATTCAGGTGGGATGGGTCTAGGTCTTCCACCCAGGGGAGAGGGCACTGTGCAGCCTGGCGCCCCACTGAGCACTTGGCTCCTGATGGTAGGGAGAGGGCTGGCCCTGCCATGCCTCGGAGGGAGGCAGGTTGGGGGGCCTGGATGTGGGGCCAGGGTCTGGCCATGCTCCTGCTAGACATGGAAAGACGACCGAGGAAGGTGAGCCAGGCAGCTGTGCACAGCAGGGCTGGAAGGGACGTGCCCGGTGCGTTCGTTATCAGCATGCAGGGAAACCGTGCCAACTACGAACAGCAGCATGCCCGGGCTCAGCTGGAATGCTAGCGAAAACCTCACTCATCACGAGAAAAGGCTGCTCAGCACCCCAACGGTTCAAATTCCCCTGGCCACACCAGTGCGGGCCAGGACAGACAGTGCACTAGTGACAGATCAACGTCCAGAAAAAATGAGCACGAATTCTTAATTCATCACTTGGAGTTGGGGGTCACGAACTGCCCTCATTAATACAAAGTCTACCCCCGCTATGTCCAGCCAGCTTCATCTGATAAGTGTAACCCCACCACACCCAGCCCTGGCAGGCCAGAGGTGCGTGATTAACCTGGCCCCTGGCCCCCAGGAGCAGGACAGAGGCGGCTTTGTCTGTCCACACCAGAGAAAAGGCTTGAAAGTGCTGACCGGAAGCGGGTGAGAGAGCAGAGAACACTCGCCCCCGAGGTCGTCTGGGTCACTACTCTCAGGGCAGAGGCTCAATTCGGACTCTCCAGCAGCTCCCAGCAGCCCTGGGTCCAGATCGTGGCCGGTTATAAACAGCAGAGACTGCCAGACCCCCACCACAGCGCCGATGGTGGGACCTGCTCACTACGCATGCCTTCAACAAATATTTACCGGGTGTGAGTGGTCGAGATTGTTTAATTAGGGAGAGGAGACACCAGGAGCAGCCGGGGTTGTTAGCAAAATAATGGACCCCAAAAGGCGTCCACATCTTCATCTCTGAAAGCCAAGGATGTGTGACCTCAAGGCCTAAGGGACTTTGCAGATGTGATTAAGGATCTTGAGACGGGGCAGTCATCCTGCATTACTGTGTGGCCCCAAAGTCATCACAAGGCTCCTTGTAAGCGGTGGGAGGGTGAGGGGCAGAAGGTGCTAGTGGTGGAAGCAGGGGTCGGAGTGAGGTGAGGAAGGTGCCAGGGACTAAGGACCAGGTGGCCTCCAGCAGCTGAGGAAGGCAGAGCAGGAGGCCCTCCCCAGGGCCTCCCGGAGCAGCCCCGCCCACGCCCCTGAATGCAGGGCTCCTGCCCTCCAGAACAGTAAGAATGAATCCGTGCTGCGTTAAGCCCCTCGTGTGTGGAAATGTTACAGCGGCCACAGGAGACTCGTGCAGGGGTGAGCGAGCGTGCCCAGCCCTGCTGTCACGGAGCCCACACTCTCTCTGCAGAAGCAGCATCCCTCCAGTGCACGCACAGACGCCCATGACCCGCAGCCAGCCCGGCCAGGCAGCCTTGTCTCCCCTCAACAGCACAGACTTCGAAGTCACGGGGAACGGCGTGTGCTTTAAACCACAGCGAGGTTTCTATTGCATGCGGCTCGTCTTCAGGCCACTTTTCTAACTGTGGGCCAGACATTTCTGGGCAGATGTTTGTTCCTCACTGACTCACATTCCACACCTAGTTCAGCTCGCCCACCTCCAAGCTGTCCGGGTGGGACGCGGGAAACCCTCTGCTCCTGCGCTTAGCGTTCGCAAAGGTAAACACATCGCAGAAACCTGCCTCCCACCCTGGAGTGGCCCGTGGTCCTCGCAGACACGCGACAGGCAGGCCAGTGAGAAGCGCCAACAGCCCTGGTTCCCAAACTCCTTAGCTCCTCAGCGAAGGAGCACCCACGGCTGAATTGTGTCCCCAGAAAGATACGCTCAGTTACGAACTCCCAGTACCCTTGAAAGTGACCTTGTTTGGAAATAGGGTCTTTGTAGAGGTAATCGACTTAGGATGAGATCATTAGGGTGGGTCCTAATCCAGTGACCGGTGTCCTTACAATGAGATGGAAACCTGGACAGAGACAGACGTGCACGGAAGAACACAGTGTGAAGACGGAGGCGGAGACTGCAGTGATGCATCCGTGAGTCAGATACCACCTGGGGCTACCAGAAACTGGACGAGGCCAGGAGAGGCCCTCTCCTAAAGCCTTCAGAAAGAGCACAGCCCTGCAGGGACCTTGGCTTTGAATTTCTGGCCTCCAGAACAGTAAGACAAGAGACTTTTTTCTCTTTTTCTTTTTTAGACAGAGTCTCGCTCTGTCGCCCAGGCTGGAGTGCAGTGGCGCCATCTCGGCTCACTGTAACCTCCGCCTCCCAGGTTCAAGCGATTCTCCTGCCTCAGTCTCCCAAGTAGCTGGGATTACAGGTGCCTGCCACCGCGCCTGGCTAATTTTTGTGTTTTTAGTACAGACGGTGTTTCACCATGTTGGTCAGGCTAGTCTTGAACTCCTGACCTCAGGTGATCCACCTGCCTCGGCCTCCCAAAGTGATAGGATTACAGAGGTTCTAGTTTTGAATTCCTGACCTCAAGTGATCCGTTTGCCTCGCCCACCCAAAGTGCTGGGATTTCAGGCGTGAACCACTGCACTTGGCTTGAGACAACAGATTTCTGTCGTCTTCAGCCACTCAGTTTGTGCCGATCGGTTACAGCAGCCCCAGGAAGCTCACGGAAGCCGGAGGAGGACTGCAGGGTGTGAGGACCGTGCTGGGCTCCAGTGCTGGTGGGCTGTGCCTGCACACGCCGCACAGGACGCTAATTCTGTTTATCAAAAGCCCCAGCTTTGGGGAAAGAAATTGAGTGGAGAACAGGAGATATCTGGCTACATTGACCCACACCCTGATCCCCCGGCAAGATTTTTATAGAAAACAGTTATCCAGAAATGAAATAATGCCCCAGCTTTACAGCTACGTACCAGGGACATGGCAAATCTCAAAACCTGGACTCTGTACAAAAAGCCAAATGCAAAAGACTTGAGAAGCACCAAGGAGAGAAAAACTTGAAGTAATCCTGAATTATCTGAAAAGCACGTTTTCCCAAGAAAGGATTCTGTTACTGCTTTATTTGAGATTTTAATTACAGGTTATGTAATGAGTTTTATTTTGAATGATAATTAACGCTCAAGTTTAAGGACTAACTGCGACTTTACTAGGAATACTTGGAAGTGAAGCTTTAATCCTGGAAGCCACAGCGAGCACTGGCCCACGTGCAACCCTGCGCTAAGCAGACGTCACTCCGCAGGGTGATGGCACAGCTCGCCATGAATGAGGACCTTATCTGAAAGTGCAGAACTTGCAGGCTGGGAGGGATGAGTGCGTCAGCAGATCACATGAAGATGGAAAGCCCATGACTCTGATAAGAGAACCCAAAATAGGCCGGGCACGGTGGCTCACGCCTGTAATCCCAGCACTTTGGGAGGCCAAGGCGGGCAGATCACGAGGTCAGGAGATCGAGACCGTCATGGTTAACAAGGTGACACCCCGTCTCTACTAAAAAAAAATACAAAAAGTTAGCCAGGCGTGGTGGTGGGCACCTGTAGTCCCAGCTACTCGGGAGGCTGAGGCAGGAGAATGGCGTGAACCTGGGAGGCAGAGCTTGCAGTGAGCCGAGATTGTGCCGCTGCACTTCAGCCTGGGCGACAGAGCGAGACTCTGTCTAAAAAAAAAAAAAAAAAAAAAAAAAAGAGAACCCAAAATAAAACTCACAGCTGGAGTGACGTACACATTTTACAACAGAATCGCAGAAGGGCTAGAATTTATTTTTAAGATTTTCCCATGAGCACACAGGTGATTATGTTTTTACACCAGAAGTTTCTCTGTCCTTGAACCTACACAGATTGTCCTTGGCCCCAGGAGGCCCTCGCAGGGACAGTTGGGGACCATGACCTGGGGCGGGGGGTGGGGGGCTCATACAGGACAATTGCTATTGTCCCAGCCTAGGGAGTTGGTACAAAGCTCAAAGCCAGCAGCACTGAAGCGCTCCCAAGTGGCTACTCACCTACTCGGTTCCTGATTCCCAAACCAAGCTAAGGCCCCAGCTAGGGAGCACCCGACACTCCCGAAGTCCACGTGGCGTGGACGTACAGGGCCCACAGCACTTTGGGAGGCCGAGGCGGGAGGATCAGAAGGTCAGGAGTTCGAGAACAGCTTGGCCAACATGGTAAAACCCTGTCTCTACTAAAAACACAAAAATTAACCAAGAGTGGTGGTGCATGCCTGTAATCCCAGCTACTCGGGAGGCTGAGGCCGGAGAATTACTTGAACTCAGGAGGCAGAGGCTGCAGTGAGCCAAGGTTGTGCCACTGCACTCCAGCCCGGGCAACAGAGCAAGACTCATCTCGGGGGCGGGGAAAAAGATTATTCTCGCAGCCCCTGGGGTCCTAAAAGCAGGTGATCAAGAATAAACTCAACCCTAACAAAGCAGCCCCGGCCCACTGGCGCACACAGGAGGGGCACCCAGGTCTGCCTCTACCCAGACATGAGGTGAGTGAAAGTGACTTGTTGCCGTCCCCCTCCAAGATGTTCAGCCTTGCAGAAAAACCCGCCTTTCCTGTGATATCAGAGCTGCCACTCAGGAATGCGCCCCATGGGAAGACGAAGACGCTACCGTGATGACAAATCACCCGCTCACAGCGCGGACAGAGATGAGGAAGGCTTCCCGGGAATGCCCAGAGGCCTGGAGCCCACACTCCCGCTCACAGCTGTGATGAGCACGAGGGCGGACCCACATGGGAGCTTAGCCAGTGCTCACAGGGGCAGGACAGAGTCAGACATACCTCGGCGTCCCCTAGGAAGGGGCAGAGGAGACAGGGAAGGGAAGTGTACGTGATTGGAGGGTCCGGTTCCTCCTAGCTCAGCACCAGAGGCAGCACAGGCAGCACTCTGACCACAACACAGAATGAGTTTCAGGCCCCGAGGGCATTATCTCTGGCCTACGTGGAGGGGCGGGATGGCCAGCCCTTGTCTCATTTGCACACGGTGCCTGCTGCAGACCCGCGGGCATGTTCTGTTGGGCGGAGGACGCTGCTGTCTGCATCTAGTGCAGAGGGAGGAAGGTGACAATGACAAGCAAACACCACCATGGGGGTGAGGGCTGCAGGGAGGACAGAGGAGTGGGGACAGGGAGGGAACATTCAGGGAAGACCTGGGGGAAGGTGCGCTGGAGGGGCAAGCACCACGGTGAGAGAGGCCAGTGTGTGTCCCGAAGGCCAGAGTGACCTCAGCCTGGGGAGCCGGGGGTGAGGCTAGACCTCTGAGTGCCACAGGCCCAGTGACTGCACTTTATACTGGAGCACCGGTCACCCCAGGAAGGCCTGAACACTGATGTGACAAATGCCTGCTTCACCAGGCATCCTGGGCGCTCCGTGAAGAAGGGATCGTCAGGGCAGGACGAGGGTGGCAGGGAGGGCAGGAGAAGGCCCCACCAAGGTGATAACATGAAAACAGGGACAGGCAGCAGAGAGAAGAACTGGGCTGGGGAGGCAGCGTCATTAGGTCATGGCAAGAGGCTGAACGTGGGGCCAAGGGGCATCCACTGTGAGCCCGTGGGCTGAAATAAGGGATGGGGAGAGGAAGCAGGATCAGAGCAGGGAGTATCTGGAGTTGGTACTGGGGACACCCTCCAGGGGACCAGAGGGAAGAGGCTGGAGGCCCGGGGCATCTGACCCTCCCAGGAGCAGCTGTGAGACTCACCTCTCACAAGAGATCCCCAAGTCGAATCCTGGCCCCGCCCGCCTGGTGCTGCACCTGGGTGTTGACAGAACTGGGATGACAACTGTCCCACCTCCTGGGTTGTCACAGATACATGGGAAAGGCCGAGTGAGAGCAGAGCCCAGGACTTCCGTTCTTGGTCACCAGTAGAGAGTACTGTTCCCAGTTTAGGTTTTTTTTTGTTTGTGTTTTTGTTTTTGAGACAGTCTCACTCTGTCGCCCAGGCTGGAGTGCACTGGCATGATCTCGGGTCACTGCAACTTCCGCCTCCTGGGTTCAAGCGATTCTCCTGCTTCAGCCTCCCAAGTAGCTGGGACTACAGGCGTGTGCCACCACACCTGGTTTTTTGTATTTTTAGTAGAGACAAGGTTTCACCGTGTTGGCCAGGATGGTCTCAATCTCCTGACCTCGTGATCCACGTGCCTCGGCCTCCCAAAGTGCTGGGATTACAGATGTGAGCCACCGTGCCCAGCCGGTTCCCATTTTAGTAATGAGTGAGTGGTCGTAATTGTTTAATTAGGGAGAGCAGACACCAAGAGCAGCACCAGGATTCAAAACCGAGTCCTAAGGCCAGTCCTGATTTAATGAGGTCAGGTTTCTTGTGGGGAAGGAACAGCGGCCTCCCAGCCCCTCAGGTGTGAGGTTAACAGCTGCAAAGCCCCTCCGGGGCCACTGCATACCACCCATCACACTGCCCCTTTCAACCAGCACAGAAGGCGCCTTTCACAAAATGCTGTTAAACAAATGATGCAAGAGGAAGGATCTAAGCTGGTAAACCTGGCCGGCCGTTGACCCTCGAGGGTCTACAGCTGCAGCTCAGAAGCCAGAATGCCTGGGTTTGAATCCTGACCCCACCCTCCACAGTGCCAGCAGGGTCCTTGCCCTCAGCGCTGAGGCCGCTTCTCTGCCGTGGGGCGGCCCTGTGCACTACAGATGTCAAGCAGCATTCCTGGCCTCAACCCACCAGCACCCCCACCCCCAGCTGTGACAACCAAAAATGTCTGATTTTGTCAAATGTCCCTGGGGGCAAAATCACCCCTAGTGGAGAACCACTGGGCTAGATGCTTTGATGTCTTGTACCTCAGTTTCTATGACCCCATTATAAAATGGGATCATAGAGCTGCCTCGAGAAGTCAATGAGAAAATACGTGTAGAATCATCTAGAGCAGTAACCAGCAGAGCAGAGCACCACTAAACATTAGCTACAATCCGGCCAGGCGTAGTGGCTCACGCCTGTAAACCCAACACTTTGGGAGGCCAAGGCAGGCGAATCACCTGAGGTCAGGAGTTTGAGACCAGCCTGGCCAATATAGCGAAACCCAGTCTCTACTAAAAATACAAAAAATTAGCCGGGCGTGGTGATGCATGCCTGTAGTCCCAGCTACCCAGGAGGCAGAGGTTGCGGTGAGCTGAGATCACACCACTGAACTCCAGCCTGGGTGACACAGTGAGACTCAGTCTCAAAACACACACACACACACACACACACACACACACACACACCCATTAGCTACAGTCCCTGCCATCCTGGGGGACAGAGACATGGAAGTGTGTGAACCACACCCAGCATGGGGGTGGACCAACAAAAGCATCAGCAAGGCACCCAGGAAGCTTCAAGGGAGGAAACCTATGATCCATCTGAGGAGGTCGGGAAACTTCCAGAACCTTCTCAGAGCAGGTGTACAGCTGCGGAAGCAGATTTTGAGGGAGGCCCATGATGGGCAGATGGATGGGGAGGAGACACATTTCAGATGAAGGGATGGCAGGTGCAGAGGGGAGACGGAACAGGGCCCTGTGTCTGGACCCACAGGAGCCAAGTCAGAGCCTGAGCAATTTAACAACAAACACAACTACGATGTTTACAAAAAGACCGAGGGGCTGAGAACCGAGGAACACCAGCCCGTGTTTGCCTCTCAGGGTTGTTTAGGACTCTCTGCAGAGCGGAGAAACTGGGAGGCCATCCCAGGCACATCTAAGATGCCGGAGCCTTAAGGCTTCCTGCCCTCGTCCCTTTCGGAGAATGGGATGGCTGCAGACCCCAACCACAGTCCCAACGCCGTGAGCGGGTGGCAGCCCTCCTTTCCCTGCAAAGATCAGGGGAATCCACAGACCCTGGGGCCTTGGACTTCTCTAAGGCCAAAATGGATTTCAGGGACACGGGAGAGCCATCAGTATTTTCTCCAGCATCAAATTTGTTGAGCTTTTCCTGAAATTAATTGCTACTTCCTTCATCCAGCTCCTGCTGTCTCCTGTCCCGCAACACAAGAAGCCAGGGGCTTTCAGCAGCCACTTGGGCCGATTCCAACCTTGCAACCGTGAGGCCCCCGAGCTCGGCTTACCAGGGAGCAAGTAATAAAACCCCTCTGCCGACAGCACCACTTTCATCGTGAATAAATGAGCTCAATTACCTCCACGCAGAAAAAGGAGCGCTTCAAAGGGAAAGAGGGAAAAGGGGAGGAAGAGGGACGGAGTAGAAATAATCAGTCTTAATTAGCCTTATCTCCGAGGGAAATACATATGATAATTTTGGTACCCAAAGAGATTCAAATTAGTCTCATGCCAATCATTACATGTTAGTGGGTCTTACTGGTGATGACAGACTTGGCCGTTCCCCAGTCATTAGTTTTCTAAAAATGACTCTCCCGATGAAAAGAAAACCTGAGAAGCTCAGAAGGTGGGTTCCCCCCAATGGGTCAATCATCTTCAGAGGGGATCTGCTGGCCCAGGGGTCCCCAGGGGCCTCGACCACCCCTGCCCAGTGCAGCCCCAAGCTTCCTGCAGCCTGGACTGGCGGCCTGGAAGGCCGATGCAGGTCTCAAAGCCACGTTAGACGTTACCCTAGGGCTCCTGACTCATCTGACAAAGCCAGAGGTGGTGGGTGCTTGCACAGTCCCCTCTACCCATGAAAAAGCCAACGGCACAGATGAACTTGGTCACCCCCCAGAACAGGCTGGGGGAGGTCTGGCTGTGTGCGCTGGCCTGGTATACAGTAGGTACTATCTGCGGAGTAAAGATGGCGTCCTTGCCAACTCTTGGGAGCGTAACAGGCCCCTTTCCAGGGACCCGCGGCCACGGCTTCTTCATCTGAAGCAGGGAAGTCGACGAAGCGCCCCCCACCCAGGCCACATGGCAGGCACTGGCTCGGGGAAGGGGCGCTGACCGTGCTGGCCACTGCTACATCCAAGCTGGCCCTTCAGAGAGGCAGAGCAGCCCACTCAAGGCCGTGAGGGGCAAAGGGGAGGAAGGGGACCTGGGGAAGCTGACACAGAACAGGAATCCACTGAAAGAGCAGAGGAGGGGGCCTGGTTCAGGCCTGCTCATACCTGGAGTCGTCCCCACCCCCAAACCCAACGCAGGTGTGGGCTGTGGGAGGCGGGGGTCTCCCGCCGCCTCTGCCTGCCTGCCTGCCTTGCCCACAGCCGAGCCCCGGTATAGCCAGGAATTTAGGATTAGCATTCAGTGAGAGACAGCGGGGGGAAGAGCCCCAGACCCAGACGGCACCAACAGACAGCCACAGACTAGCAGGCGTGGGAACACCACGGGGCAGGTGACCACACTGCCTTCCTTCCACCTGCCATATGACCAGAGGGCCACCAACCTGGAGCGCAGGAAGTCAGAGCCGGGAGCACCCTTGCATCAGGCTGCCAACACCCGTGCTGGTGGTTTTCCCTCCACTTCTGATGCAGAGAACCTTGGAAGCCATCCTTCCTCTCTCTCTCTGCTCCCCTGCGCTCTTCCTGCCTGATAAATACCTGCTAATACCTCAAACCCTTGTTATAAGCTCGATAAACTTGTGCTATGTGCTGGTAACGAGCAGCTAACGATTGCTCAGGTGTTTATATTAAACAGATTAATCGAGGACACAGTCGATGGAAGAGTCTCAAAGTTATCTCCGGTATGAACCAAATCCTGCCTAATCCCAGAGAGCTTTCAAAAAAAAAAAAAAAAAGACAGACTATTCACCACTGGGACCATTGTAAACTCGCTTATCAAATGAGCCGTCATTTTGTGGAACAGCCAATCAAAGACCAAAGCAAGATGTGCGCTGAGATGCAGAGAATGTGTGTTTCTGTACCGCTCTCGGGGTGGCTCTTTATTTTTAAAAACCACCGTTGGCTACATTTGGAGTAATTCATCTTGGTGATGAGTCAGGAGGTATCAAGGAAAGAGCATCTTCAGAGGCGGGAGGATGAGTCACGAAATTTCTACGGTGACAGGGAGGCATGAAAAAACAGGATTTCAAGACCCAAATGATTAATGGCTCAATGGTTTCCACCTGGTTCCACTGTTTTACGCTAACCAATTAAGCCTGCAATCTGGAATAAAGTACTTTCACCTGAGGGCCACTTAAAAGCAACTCATGTCATTTCATGCGTTTAGGTTTTCTTTTAAGTGGATCTCACCCTGTAACCTTGTCCTACTGTTCTCCTAAAGCAGGCAGTTAAGTCGGGCAGGGAAAGTGAGTAAGCCGTGGGCTACGGTCAGGGAAGCCCCGAGCTGGCTAAGAAAGTGCCATTGCTGGCCGGACACGGTGGCTCACGCCTGTAATCCCTGCTCTCTGGGAGGCTGAGGCGGGTGGATCACTTGAAGTCAGGAGATCAAGACCAGCCTGACCAACATGGCGAAACCCCATCTCTACTAAAAATACAAAAATTAGCTGGGCGTGGTGGCCTGTGCCTGCAACCCCAGCTACTCGGGAGGCTGAGGCAGAGGAATCGCTTGAACCGAGGAGGCGGAGGTTGTAGTGAGCGAAGATTACGCCACTGCACTCAAGCCTGGACAATAGAGTGAGATCATCTCAAAAAAGTTAAAAAAAAAAAAAAAAGTACCGTTACTGAGATCATCTCAAGGTTCGTGGAGCCCACACCTGGGCCCAGCGCCCATCCTCCAGCTGTTTTCCCCGGAGGGAAGTAAACAGAGGAAACCACCTGAGACCCTCGGCCATGTGACCTGGGGACATGTACACAAAGCCAGGGTGAGCCCGGGCACCTACCAGTGAAGTCCTCGAAGCACTCGCAGGTGTAGCCGCCCTCGCGGCTGCGGCAGCGGCCGTTGGCGCCGCACGGGTCGGAGTAGCAGAGGTCGATCTCCGTCTCGCAGTAGTCGCCGGTGAAGCCGGGCGGGCAGCGGCAGCGCAGGCCGTTGATGGGGTGGATGGGCCGGAAGAGCACGGTGGTGGAGCTGAGGAAGGGCGCGGAGCTGTCGAATCGCAGAACGGACACGCACTTCATGTAGTTCTCGCAGGGCTCGCGCAGGCAGATGTTGTCGTCGAAGGGCAGCACGCGCTGCGTGGAGATGGTGGTCAGCAGCGTCCGATTCAGGTAGATCTGCTCCTGCAGGTCCTCCGACGGGAAGAACTGGCCGCGGACGCCGCCAGGCAGCAGCGCCGAGAAGGTCACGTTCAGGATGTTGGAGCTGACGTCGGTGTCGTTCTGGACGTTGAAGACGAAGACGTCGTCCTTGGTGGTGGACAGCACGGCGGCCACCCCCTCCACGAAGAGGGCCAGCAGCGGGGACAGGAACTTCTCCTGGGACATGTTCTCCAGGCGGACAGTGATGCTGTTGGTCAGCATGTCGTCCGTGATGATGGTGACACGCAGGGTGCAGAAGGCCGTGACGCTGTGGATGCCATCTGCAGACACAAGGAAAGTCAGGGTCATTCAGATGCTGCGGGAGTCACAGGTCCTATAGGCCCCATCCCAGGAGCAGCCTCAGGCATGCTTGGCAAAGGAGAAGAGAGCCTGGGCATCCCCACTCCCCATTCCCCACCCATGACCACCACCTTGACCCTTCCTCCTTCAGCACCCTGGCCCCTGCCCCCCATGACCACCACCTTGACCCTCCCTCCTCCGGCACCCTAACCCCTGCCCTGGCTTCCTAAAGCACAGCTCCGATCACATCTTTCTCTGGCTCCGAATCCCTCAGAGGGCCCCAAGGTGCTCAGCAGGGCACCCTGACGACCACCAGGATTCAGCCCCTCACTGCCTGAAACTCCTCACACGCTTTGGTTCCAGCCACATGAGGACTTGAAGCCCCCTTCTACCTCCTCTGCACCTGCCCTGGCCTCCAGGGATCCCACCCTGCCCAACCTCCCAACAGTTCTTCCTGTCCTCGCAGCTCAGCTCAAACTCTGCAGTGCCTGGCAAGCCCGCCCTGGTCCTGCCCAGGCGACATCCCCACCGACGTGCTGTGCTGAGGGTCCCACTTAGCTCGGCTGTACCCCACGCAACTCCACATGCCCAGCACACAGGAGGGGCCGAGGAGCACCGCTTTACAAAGACACACAGCAGCCTCTCAGCCAGCAGTAAACACATCATCAAGTGAGGTACTTAGGAGTCTGAGGCCAAGACGGTGGAGCACCTTGGTTGCAAAGTCGCATGCATCATCGGTTCCAGGCCCAGAATTGGATGAGACGTTCAGGGGGTGGGTCATGGGTACCAGTGGCTCCCAGGGACGGAGCAGCGGCCCCTGCCCAGGGGCCCTCACCTGCCACCTCCAGGCCCGGGCTCAGATGTGGGGTGGGATTTGCAGAATAGCCTGCCAAGTCCAGGTCCTCCAGGCCTGGCTCGGATTCTGTGTTCCAGGAGCCCCCACCCCATCCCACCCCATGAGGCCCCCTGCCCATGGCCCCCACAAGAGCTCCCACCCTGGTTTCCATGGAGCGTGGGGCCCCTGTCACCCCTCAGAGTCCTGGGCCTCAGTAACTGCCCCAGTCAGGAGGACAGGAGCTGGGCAGGGAGCCAGAGAGGGCCAGGCCCTCCTCCCTCTCATTCTGGGGACTGTGAGGAAGTGTCTGGGCCTTTGGAGGGTGATGAGGCCCAGAGGCCACCTTGTCACCCCGAGCCCGGCAACACACCCGACAAGGCACAGCGGCACGCGGGGATCCCAAGAGGAAACGGAACAAGAGCAGCAGGTGGCTCCGCACCCGGCGCTTTCCCAGCACCAGGAGCCACCAGTCACATCTGGGAGGGACCTGGAGTCAGGTAATTTGTCTAAACAACAAAGAAATGCAACCACTGCAGAAGCCACAGATGCGTGCAGGTGCAGTGGACCCAAGATCCCAAGAGATTCTAACAGAACCAGCACCACCCCCAGTTCACAGGTGAGGAAAACGGAGGCAGAAGCCAAATTTCACACCCAGAAACGCAGGCCCGGCTGGGGATGCCCAGCTCCCACCCCAGTAACGACACTCGGGTCATGCCCTGGGTGCTGTTGCTCTGCCAGGTGGCCTTCAGGACAGCGTGGCAAGTCAGGACTCAGAACATGAAATTAATATTTGTACAACCTCGGTGTGGGGAGGGCGCCTCTGGCTCTGGCATAAACCCAGAGCCCTTCGAGGCTACTCAGTTCTGTGGGCAACTCCCACAGAGCACCTCGGAGCAGGAAGGAGCAGCCCAGAGGGCGTCCGCAGAGCCCAGAGGCAGAGGACCAGTGGCTCTAAGGAGAAGAAGAGGTGGGGAAAACAAATGAGGCCAAAAGGCCTGAGGCAAAGGACATGGTGGGAGACGGCCTCAGAGAGTGCGTTCCTTCCCTCCCCGACCCCAGCTGCTCCCACTCCGAAGGGGGCCTCCACTGCCCTGCCCTGCCCTGGAGCAGGGTGGCCCTGAGACGGCTGGGTCCCACAGGATGTAGCAGGAAACACGTCCTCCAGTTCCTGGCCCAGGCCCCAAGAGGGCTGGAAGGTTCTGCCTCTTTCTTCCTGGTGCCCAGAACCCACACTAGAGAGGGCACATCGGGAAGAAGGCAGCACTCCCGTCCAGGGCCCCGGCCAATGGAAGCCCCAGACCCCAGATGTGACCCACCGGGCTGCTGAGACTCAAGCCACCCCAGGGAGGACCCGGACACCACAGAGCAGAGACCAGCCCCACACTGAGCCTGGCCACACTGTGAGTAGATAATACGACCAGAGTTGGAGGCCACTGGGTTTGGGACGCTTTGTTACACAGCACCAGACAACCAAAACCAATACAGTCGACTCATAGACCAACCGTTCATCAACTTAAAACATTAAACCTCACTGCCCGGCATATAAGATATTAATGTGTTGCTGGGAACCGAACTGTGTCTCCTCAAAATTCTAACCCAAGGGGATGGGTTTTGGAGATGAGGCCTCTGGGAGGTAATGTGGGTCAATGATGAGGTGACGAGGGTGGGGCCCCACCAGGGGATTTGCATCCTCACAGGAAGAGACAGCAGAGAGCTCTCCTCTCCTCCGCATCAGGACGCAGCAAGAAGGCACTGTCTACCAGCCAGGAAAACAAAGCCTCCAGGAACCTGGCCGTGCTGCCTCCCTGATCTTGGACTTGCAGCCTCAAGAACTGTAAGAAAACAAGTGTTTGTTGTTTAAGCCACCCATTCTGTGGTATTTTTAAATGGCAGCCCTAGCAGACTGACATATATTAATTCAATTAAAATAAATTAACATGCTAAACAATGTGTTAAAAATGTGAACGTAAGTTAACATAGTTTTGTCTTACGCAATGCTCATAAATAACTTTAATTTGCTACATCCCGTTTATACATTCCTTTGCCAAAAATAAATTGTAAACATTCAGCGACCCTAAGCTTGAGCAATCATCCTTCTGGAAGCCCAAACACACACACCAAAGACAAAGAAACCACCTAAAGGTCCATCAGCTGGGAAATGCACAACCCAATTAGAGAAGCCACACAATGGACTACTACGCTGTCATGAACATAAGTGTGTCCAAAATATGCGCAAATAAAATGAAAGGGACACGCACAGTGTGATCCCATTTTGTGAGGGGGCTGCTTTACTTATGCACGAACATGTTATATATATATATATATAGAAAACTCTGGAAGGAGCCGGGCGTGGTGGCTCACTCCTGTAATCCCAGCACTTTGGGAGGCTGAGGCGGGCAGATCACAAGTTCAGGAGATCGAGATCATCCTGGCTAACATGGTGAAACCCCGTCTCTACTAACAATACAAAAAATTAGCCAGGCATGGTGGCAGGCGCCTGTAGTCCCAGCTACTCAGGAGGCTGAGGCAGGAGAATGGCATGAACCTGGGAGGCAGAGCTTGCAGTGAGCCGAGATCACGCCACTGCACTCCAGCCTGGGCGACAGAGTGAGACTCCATCTCAAAAAAAAGAAAAAGAAAACTCTGGAAGGATGCTGCAGCGACTCCTACAAAGGATGTAAAAGGATGGGGTGGCAGGGAGTGAACCACCTTTCTACTTTACTGCTCATTTTGTGTTACTCAGCTGTCTTACGATTAGCATGTACCGTTTGGGTTGCTACTTTTTGTAACAAAAGAAAAAGATGAGTCAACCACACCTATGTTCATAGCAGCGCTATTCACAAGAGCTGAAACATGGAAGTGACCTGCGTCCACCGACAGATTAACGGATTAAAACAATGTGGTCTGGCCAGGTGTGGTGGCTTACACCTGTAATCACAGCACTTTGGGAGGCCGAGGTGGGTGGATCACGACGTCAGGAGTTCAAGACCAGCCTGGGCGACCTGGTGAAACCATGTCTCTACTAAAAATACAAAAATTAGCTGGGCGTGGTGGTGCATGCCTGTAATCTTAGCTACTCGGGAGGCTGAGGCAGGAGAATCGCTTGAACCCAAGAGGTGGAGGTTGTGGTGAGCCAAGATCATACCACTGCACTCCAGCCTGGGCAACAAAGCAAGACTCTGTCTCAAAAAAAAAAAAAAATGTGGTCCATGCATACTATGGAATATTATCCAGCCTTAAAAAGGGAGGAAATTCTGACACACGCTACAACATGGATGTACCTTGAGGACGTGATGCTCACTGCAATAAGCCGGTCACATGTGAGGCTGCACTTACAGGAGGTCCCTAGAGGAGTTCGATTCATAGAGGCAGAAAGTAGAATGATGGGTGCCACGGGTGGGGAGGCAGATTGGGGAGCTGTTGTTTAGTGGGTGTGGGGTTTCAGTTTGGGGCCATGAAAAAGTTCTGGAGATAGATGGTGGTGATGGCTGCACAGCAAAGCTAATGTGCTTAATGCCACAGAACCACACACTTAAAAATGGTTAAAGTGGTAAACGTATGTGTATTTTACCACAATTACAAATTTTTTTAATAGGCCAGTCTCAGTGGCTCACGTCTGAAATCCCAGCACTTTGGGAGGCCGAGGCGGCAGATCACCTGAGGTCAGGAGTTCGAGACCAGCATGGCCAACATGGTGAAACCCTGTCTCTACTAAAAATACAAAAAGCTAGTTGGGCGTGGTGGCACGTGCCTGTAGTCTCAGCTACTCGGAAGGCTGAGGCTTGAGAATCGCTTGAACCTGGGAGGCAGAGGTTGCAGTGAGCCAAGATTGCGCCACTGCACTCCAGCCTGGGGGACAGAGAGAGGCTCTGTCTCCCCTTAAAAATGAAAAATCTTAAAAATAGCCTATGACCCACAGGCATTGCTTGGCCATGTGCTGAACACCCCTGGGGTCTGCCAGCCTCAGTTTCCCTCCACCATCATCCTCATGTGGCAGCCAGAGAGGTCTTCCTAAAATATTGACCTCATCACCTTGCTCCCCTGTGGTCCCTAATGGCACCCAGCATAAAATACACACCCCTCTGTCCTGTGGTCTGCGTGATCTGTCCCTGTCATCGTGTGACCGCTCTTCCTGCCCCGGGGCCTTTGCGCATCTCCTGGCTGGAGCACTGCCCTCCTTCTCAGACACTGGCTACACCCCTGGGTCCCTCGATGGAGGACCTTCCATGCTGAGCCCCTCACTCCCATCTGCCACATCCCAACTTCAGTTCTTGTACAAGAGTGGCAGGGCTCTCTGTGTTTGTTTTGTTGTTGTTTGTTTGTTTGTTTGTTTTGAGATGGAGTCTCGCTCTGTTGCCCAGGCTGGAATGCAATGATGCAATCTCAGCTCACCGCAACCTCCACCTCCCAAATTCAAGTGATTCTCCTGCCTCAGTCTCCCAAGTAGCTGGGATTACAGACGTACACCACCACGCCTGGCTAATTTTTGTATTTTTAGTAGACGAGGTTTCACCACGTAGGCCAGGCTGGTCTCGAACTCCTGACCTCAAGTGATCCACCCACCTTGGCCTCCCAAAGTACTGAGATTACAAGCGTGAACCACCGCACCCGGCCTAGGGCTCTGATTTTCTTATTTGTTTATATTTGTTTCTTTCCCCATGAGTCCCTGAGGACCCAGAACCTGTAGGTCTTGTTCCTGCTGCATCCGTCACATCTAGAACAGCTCCTGGCACTCAGAAGCCACTGGATAAACATTTGTGGAAGAAAGGGAGGGAGGGAGGAGGAGGGGAGGGAGGGAGGGAGAGGCAAAGGGGCCAGAGAAGTATGGTGTCACTTTAACTCCAACATCAACATTGACACAAACAGCATAATGAGACTTCATTTTTTCATGTGAGCTATTTTTTTGTGCCTGTTTGACTTTTTTTTTTTTAGGGTCCACTACAATAATACAGATAGGGTACTGTTTACTTCCTCGTGGCAGTTGTTATGAAACATGCTTTTATCTTAAACCACACATGGATGTGTTTGTTCTGGCCCAATACGCAAAGGCCACACTGATTTTAACCAGGAAAATAAGCAGGTACTTGAAAAATTGATTAATGTTTGGGTCTGAGCTTATGTATCATAGTGAGAAGCCCAGGCCTTCTTGGGGTGCCCTGAGCTACTCTGACCCCCACAAGTTGGGAGGAGGCTCCAGCACTGGGGCCTTCCTGGGGGCAGCCCAGGAAGGCACAGCACAGAGAAACACCCCGGAACAAGGACCCATATTCTAGGGACATCCATCTTCACTCAGGGATAAAACGATGACATAACAGACAGAAAATAGCATTAAATATTAACGACTGTGAAGTGTGCTACAGAACACGATGAGTGCCTTACTGTTAATCCTAACATCAATCTCCTTCGAGACCACGGGCCACGGTGAAATTACTTTTTACTTAAGTAGTCTGGGTTGGATTTTGAACCAACCTGCAGCTTAAGCCTTCAGATACACACATCTAAACGCCACCAGTATGGGAATGCTGAGCCAAGCACAGCCTATCCCCACAACGGAATATGACGCAGCTAAACCACACAGTAGCACAAACCTCCATTTCTGGCAGAGATAGATCAAGACAACATGATGTTAGGTTACAAGAAACAGGCCAGGAGCAGTGGCTCACACCTGTAATCCCAGCACTTTGGGAGGCCGAGGTGGGCGGATCACCAGAGGTCAGGAGTTCGAGACTAGCCTGGCGAACGTGGCAAAACCCTGTCTCTACTAAAAATACAAAGATTAGCAGGGCGTTGTGGTGCACATCTGTAATCCTAGCTACTTGGGAGACTGAGGCAGGAGAATCGCTTGAACCTGGGAGTCGGAGGTTGCAGTGAGCCAAGATGGCACCACTGCACTCCAGCCTGGGCGACAGAGTGAGACTCCACCTCAAAAAAACAACAACAAAAAAGGAAGGAGTTACTCTTTCACACAAAACAAAACAAAAAAAATGTTTCTACATGAGCCCAGAGAGCTATCGGCACTGTGGACAGTGGTTCTGTCTGCATTGCTGATTTTGTTTTTTGTTTGTTTTTATAAAACTTAATTTTGAAACAGTTTTAGATTTACAAAAAAATTACTAATACAGCGGGTTCCCAGAGACCCCACACCCAGGCCCCTATTAGTTACGTTATTACATTAGCATGGTAGGTTTGGGGGTCTTTTGCTTGTTTTGAGACAGAGTCTCATTCTGTGGCCCAGGCTGGAATGCAGTGGTGTGATTACTGCAGCCTTGAGCTTTGAGCTCCTGGGCTCAAGTGATCCTCCTGCCTCAGCCTCCTGAGAAGCTAGGACTACAGGAGCATGCCACCATGCCTGGCTGGGTTTTCTGTTCTTGTTTTTTGTAGAGGTGAGGCCGTGCGATGTTGCCCAGGCTGGTCTCACACTCCTGGCCTCAAGCGATCCTCCCACCTCAGCCTCCCAAAGTGCTGGGATTCACGGGTGTGAGCCGCTGCCCCTGGCCTCAGCATTTGTCATAATGAAGGAGCCAGTATTGATAGGTTATTAACTGAAGCCTGTTCTCTCTGCAGATTTCCCTCATTTCCACCCACTGTCCTCTCCTGTCCCAGGACCCCACACCACACTCAGCTCCCCTGCACCGTGGTGGCTTCCAGCCTTCCCTGGGTCTGGGACCTGTACAGTTTTCAGGGGCTGCGGTCTGTGGCCTTCAGGTGATGACGACTTTCTGCCTCACGCTGTCCCCCGTGGTTTCATTTCTGTGTGTGAGTACAGGTCAGTTCACAGTTTGGGGTCTGCTTGATTCCGGGAGGCACGGCACCCACCCAGCACTCTCTCTGCCCGTGCTCCAGGCATTCCTCCCAGGCCTGGAGCGGCTCCGCGGCACCTCAAAAGCGATCAAGTGCCATCCCCTGCTTTCCCGGGAAGGGTGAGTCACCTCATTGTGGCTGAGACATGGGAAGGAGACAGAGCAGACGGCAGAGCGCGAGGCTGCGGGGCCCTCCTGGCAGGTGCTGTACAAACGTGAACCACATCATGGGAAGGAACTTTCTGGGTCTTCATGGAGGTTGGGACCTGTCCAGTCCCCGACTTTCGTGAAAGACTCTGCAGTAAGATAAAGGTTATCTGCAATTGTGTTCCCCATGGTGGGCTCATGCTGTGGGGCAGTGGGGGCAGAGGTCACATCATGGCCCTCAAGGAGCAGGCAGCCCTCAGGGGACAGGGGACAGTGCCGCAGTTCCGAGACTCGGTGGCAGGTGATTGGCGGCTGTGGGTGAAGAGCAGCGCAGCTGATGCTGGACGGCCCCGGGAGACAGGGGAGTAGGTTTCCTGGGAAGAATGGAGTTTGCCACACAAAGTGAAGGGGACAGGCCTCCTGAGAGCACAACGCATGAAAAGCAGCAAAACCAGCAAGGCATGGGGACGGGTGGCATCAGCTCCCGGGGCCGTCGGAGCAAAGGGCCGCCGCTGCATCACCAATACAGGACATTCACTCTCTCCGTTTTGGAGGCCAGGGATCTGAAATTCAGGTGTTGGCGGGGTTTGTTCCTCCTGGAGGCTCAGGGGAGGGTCTGTTCCGGGCCCCTTTCCCTGGGGGCTGGGGGTCCAGCAGTCCTTGGCGTTGCTTGGCTCCTAGGTGCACCCCTCTGGCCTCTGCCTCTGCGCCAAGTGGCTATGGCTCTCCCTGTGTCGTCACGGCTCTGTCTTCTGTTCACCGCACCGGAAGCCAGTACAGCCTCATGTCAACACCTCAATTACAGCTGCAAAGAGCCTATTTCCAAATAACATCCCACTCTGAGGTTCCAGGTGGATGTGAATTTTGGGGGGACGTTAGTCAACCCCGGGAATGCAGAGTAGCGGAGAGACACGGGCACGGAGGCAGGGGGTGGGTGAACCTCCGACTGCTGCCGGCCTCGTGGGCTCTCGGTGCAGGACGGCGGGGGTGGCTGAAGGAGAAATGTCCGCAGAGGGGTGGACAGGACCCACGCACCACGAGGAACCATCGCTGGCCCTTGACAGGTGAGGACACCAAGGCACAAAGAAGCTGAATGTGCCTGGTAAGGTGACTCGGGCTGAGTGGCGGGGCCCAGATTAACCTGAGGCCAAGTCCCCAGTGATGGTGGATGGGAGGGACAGAGGAGATGGTCCAAGAGGACCCTAGTCCTGGCATGGGAGGGTCTGCTGAGGACATGGAGGAGGAAAGGCCAGTTTGTGACCCACCTGGGGCCTTGGAGATGACCCAGTGAGATGGAGCCACAGGCAGCTGGAGACGCAGCCAGTGCCGGGCAGGAACCAGGGGCCACTTATTCACTGTGAGTCTCCGTCACCACCCCATGCACCAAAGCCTGGGGGGCTCCTCCACTCTCCCGTCACCAACGCCCCTCGAGGCCTGGTTAGGGCAGCCCATGATGCCCTCGGGGTCCAGAGTCATTCCCCGTGGCCGGCTGTGATCACATCCACAGAGCGTTGCTTGCTGTCCAGCTGGTAAGAGACACAGGGTGCGTGCCTGTCCTTCCCGAGGCCTTCACAGCAGGCAGGGAGGGCCCTGCTTGGTGGCTCCTGGTGGCTCCCATTCAAAGCCAGGGAACTTTGAAGTGGCTGTGTGCGTCTCTCTCTCTTCTGGGTTTGTTTTGTTTTGTTTTAGAGGCCAGATTGGGGCCAGACAACAGGTGCGATGTGTTGATCCTGCTACCTGAGGGCGTGTGGCTTTTCTCCTTTCTGGGCAACAATCTAGGACCTGCGTCTCACGAATGCAGGTTCACGTCACAGGAACAAGGGGACAAGCACTTTCAGGGTTGGGTGTGCGGCGCATGTCAGGATGTCAAGCCACGAGAGGAAGAGTGAGCCTCGGACCCAGGAGAGCAGAGTCTCATCCCAGCACGAGCGTCTCCAGCAAGCCGGACTGTAGAAAGGCCCACGTGCTGCTCACGATGCCTCGGGAACAAAGTCCTGTGTTAACCTTGCAGTCAAGGTAAAGGGCGCAGCTCTGCCCGGGGGCAGGGCTGGGGAGAGCAGAGCCAGCCTCCTAGTCCTCCTTGTCCCCATCTGTGCCACTGGCTGGACAATGGAGAAGGAGGAGCCCTCCTGACACCCCCAGGAAGCCCACATCTTGGTTTCCCTGGTTTCTCCTCTTTGGAATCCAAGTCCACACTCTGTAACCCCACCACTGCCATCCCCTCGGGCTGCTGCAGGTGGGTCCTCACACATCCTCCCGTTGGTCCCACCTAGTCTTAGCCTCAGACAAGCACCCCCGGCGGCCAGCACCCACCCCAACCCTGCCCCAGTGTCTGGTCCCGATGCCTGGTCCTGACCCCTAGACATTGTGTAAAACTCAAATAAGTGTATTTAATATATCCATTACTTGTAAATTTATCATTTATTTGTGGTAAGAATGTTCAAAATCCTTTCCTCTAGCTATTTTGAAATATACAATACAATATTATTAACCATAGTCATCCTATTGTACAATAGAGCAACAGAACTTATTCCTGCCATCCTACTGTAACTTTGTACTCTTTGACCAATCTCTCCCCAACCCCCTCTTCCTCCTTCCTCACCTCCCCAGATTCTGGTGACCATTATTCTACTCTCTACTTCTTTTTTTTTTTTTTTTTTGAGACGGAGTCTCACTCTGTCATCCACCCTGAACTCAAGCTGCAGGTCCCAGGCAGGTCACTTAACTTGTTGGAGAGGCTGCCGGGATCTGCTAAGAACAGCAAGCCGCTTCTCCCATGGCCAAGCACAAATCAAATGGAAACGCACAGGCAGGCCCTGGGAAGCCCATCAACAGGCAAATGAGGAGCGTGTTAAAAGCTCTGAAAAGCTTCTAGAGCTTCAAATCATTCAAACACAAATGCCATTTTATCTTGCCGCATTATTCTGTTTCAAAGGCACACTTATTCACTTAACATCCTTCCTCGTCTCCTAAATTATAAAATCCTAGAAATGACAAGAATTATTCTGTCACAAGATATGGAGGAGAGCACGAAAGAACCACATCCCCAGGCCCTCAGCATTAGATGAGTCAGGATAAACATTACACATTATTATTACTGAAAAAAACCCAACTTCAGGTAGCACAAGAAATAAGGAGGCCTTAAAAACGACAGACACCCTGACACACGCTACAACACAGATGAGCCTTGAAGACATCACACTGAGTGAAAGAGGCCGGTCACAAAAGGACAAATACTGTCTGCTTCTGCTTACGAGAGGTCCCGAGAACAGTCAAATCCACAGAGACAGAAAGTAGGATGGTGAGTGCCAGGGACTAGGGGAGGGCTGTGGGGAGGTGGCATTGAATTGGCACAGAGTCTAGTTTGGGAAGATGAGGAAGTTCTGGAGGTGGATGGTGGTGACGCCCATGAAACAATGTGAATGCATTTAATGCCACTGAACTGCACACTTAAAAATGGCCAAGATGGTTCGTTTTATAAAGTTTATTGCAATTAAAAATAAAGAAACGAATGGGGGGGGAAGAAACAAGGAGAAATGAAGCTACGAAGATATCTAAAACCTCCTTCTCAATGTCACTCCCACATTTATTATTTATGGTAAAATCACATAATCTTCGATAACACTTATTAAGAAATGTTCTCTCCTGATTTCATGTACAAAATAAAGCTCATATCCTAAGGCAGAAGTTAGAATCTAATTCAGGATTTAATACTATTAAGTTGTTCCATGTTATTCCAACACAGCTCATCATGTCTCTGCTTGATGGAACCTTCTGGAAGCCTGAAATAATAACAGGCCCCACTGTGCCCCAGGAAGGTGTGTTCACACATCAACATAGCCAGCCCAACGCCAGCCTAAAGAAGTTGTGGGCTGAGACGTTGAGCAAGTGCATTCTTGTCAGGAGGCAGAACTTTCATTTAAGAGTTAAGGATTGCTTCCTCACAAAGCTCAACATAGAATTAACACATGACCCAGAATTCTATCCCTAGGTGCAATGCAAAAAAATTGAAAACATACATCCACACAACTTGTCCACAAATGCTCACCACAGCATTATTCACAATAACCCAAAGTGGAAACCCAAACGTCCACCAATGTATGAATGGACAAACCCAGTATGTTCCATTCATACAATGGAATATTATTCAGCCATAAAGAGGAAGTAGGCTGGGCGCGGTGGCTCATGCCTGTAATCCCAGCATTTTGAGAGACCAAGGTGGGTGGATTGCCTGAGCTCAGGAGTTCGAGACCAGCCTGGGCAACATGGTGAAACCCCATCTCTACCAAAATATAAAAAATTAGCCAGGCGTGGTGGTGCACACCTGTGGTCCCAGCTACTCAGGAGGCTGAGGTGGGAGAATCGCTTGAACCTGGGAGGCAGAGGTTGCAGTAAACTGAGATGGTGCCACTTCACTCCAGCGTGGGCAACAGAGTAAGACTCCGTCTCAAAAAAAAAAAAAAAAAAGAGGAAGTACTGACCAGGCTACAACGTGCATGAAACTCACAAACTTTCCGCCAAGTGAAAGAAGCCAGACACGAAAGGCCACATAATCATGATTTCATTGATATGAAACACCCAGAATCCACAGAGACAGAAGCCATGCTGGTTGCCAAGCGCAAGGGGCAAGAGGGACCAGAAGTGATTAAGCTTACTGGGTATGGGGCTTTCTCAGGTGATGAGAATGTTCTAGAACTGCACAGAAGGAGAGGTTGCACATCGTGAATGTAACAAATGCCACTGAAGTGTTCATTTTAAAGTGGTAATTTTATCGTATGTGAGTTTCACCTCAATTTTTTTAAAAGGCAAAAAGAGTTAAGAATTGATTCTTAGTAAAAATTTGTCTTATTTTGGCGTGACATTGTACAAAAGGAGAAAGCGATTCTAAAGGGCATTTCAAGAACCATTTCCTTCAAACCAAGCTGTCGAATGAAGTCAGAAATGAACAGGTTTCTAAGACGTGGAACTACTTCTCCTTCCAAGAGCAGGAAGCCACCTTCCGACCCTGGAGACACCAAACTCCCCCACCTTAAAGATGCTGAGTATGGCTTGGGTAGAGCCAAAGTCGCCATCTGTTTATACCATGAGCTAAATATCATGGGAGAAGCCCACACAGGCCCACCCGCCACAGTGAAGGCACCAGCCGGGACTTCGACAGGGATCAAACACCTGGAGTTTATCAGGAACCTTCTGTTGTCTCTGCTTTGCTTCAAGTCCTCACAGAACAATCTGAAGGCATTCGTTTCCTGAACAGGAATCCAAACGTCTGACCACAAGAAACCCCTTGTTGGGGAGTGCCGGGAACTCCTGTGGGGAGACGCTGAGTGGCCAACGAGCCTGTTTTTTTGTTTTGTTTTGTTTTATTGGCTTTTTTTTTTTTTTGAGACGGAGTCTTGCTCTGTCACCAGGCTGGAGTGCAGTGGCACAATCGGCTCACTGCAACCTCCACCTCCCGAGTTCAAGCGATTTCCCTGCCTCAGCCTCCCAAGTAGCTGGGGCTACAGACGTGGGCCACCACGCCAGGCTAATTTTTTGTATTTTAGTAGAGACAGGGTTTCACCATGTTGGCCAGGATGGTCTCGATCTCCTGACCTCATGATCCACCCGCCTCAGCCTCCCAAAGTGCTGGGATTACAGCCTTGAGCCACGGCACCTGGCCAATGCTGTTTTAAGATAAGAAGAAAAAGGAGGAACCCCCGGGCTTCAGCTTCCAGGACAGGTACCCCATGGCAGCACTGTGGACTCTCGTGGGGGCTGGGTAACTCTCTGTGGGGTGCCAGCCCCCGGGAGGATGCTGGGCAGCACCCCTGGCCTCCACCCACTGGATGTCAGCAGCACCCCCACCCCAGGCTATGATGACCACACATGTCTCCAGACAACACCTGCCAGGGCAGCAGCACACCAGCTGAAAACCCAGCCCTCGGAAATGATCACCCAAACCTCTGGACCCCTTCCGGCCTGAGACTCTCAGCAGGTACCAGGAGCCCGGGAAGCACCGAGCTCAGGGCTCCTTGGCTCAGCACCCGGCTTTGCCAGACCACTCGGGCCTCTGCGCCTCCCGACAGCGCCGTCTGGGGCATTCCCCTGCCAGCTGAGCCCAGAGATTGACACGGGCTGGGCCAAAGGGGAGCCATTCCAGCCTCGCTCTTCCCTGCCAGAACCAGAAAGCCACCTCTCTGCCCTCGTCCTGGAAAAATGGGCCAAATTCCCCAAGGCAAAGATTAAACGACAAAACAAATTTCAAAGAACAAGTGGGCACCTGGTTCTGAGCCAAATGATGCCTTCCAGCATGACAATGCGGCCCTGAGCACCTGCCAAGGGACAACCATATGTTCCCTGGCCCGACGTGTCCACGAGCCACTGCCAGCCCAAGAGAGCTGTGGACAATAAAGATGAGAATTTTTTTTTTTTTTTGAGATGGAGTCTCACACTGTCGCCCAGTCTAAAGTGCAGTGGTGCGATCTCGGCTCACTGCAACCTCTGCCTCCCGGGTTCAAGCGATTCTCCTGCCTCAGCCTCCCAAGTAGCTGGGATTACAGGTGCGTGCCACCATGCCCAGCTAAAATTTTTTTTTTTTTGGTATTTTTAGTAGAGACGGGGTTTCACCATGTTAGCCAGGCTGGTCTCGAACTCCTGACCTTGTGATCTGTCCGCCTCGGCCTCCCAAAGCGCTGGGATTACAGGTGTGAGCCACCGTGCCCAGCCGAAGATGAGACGTCTTAGTAAACACAGCAACGAGCCCAACCCAGCCCTGCAGCAGGTCCTGCTCAGAGCTCTCAGGCTCTTCAGCCACTGCTCACCGCAGGCCCAGGGAGTCAGGAACGACCAGGGCCAGTCTGGAACATTCCAGGCTCCAGGTCTAAAAGTGCTATCCAGCACCCAGCCAGGCTCCTCATCCAGCCACCTCAATGGCCAGAGCAGCAGGTGACCCTCGGCCTCCCTCTGCGTGCCCCTGTGCCACTATCTCCATCTTCCTCTTCTCCTTGCCCGGAGTCTCGCATGCTCACACCTGCGGCTGGTGCAGCATCCGCCGACGGACGCTCCCGGGGTTTTGCTGAATCCTGGGAGCTTCTCTCCCTCCAAAATGACCTGCTGGACTCAGGTCTGTCCCGACCCCCATGCTTGTCAGCAGTGCCTCTGAAATGCTGACTCATCTCCAGGGACCAACCTGCGTCAAGCCGCTCCTACCCCCGAGCCCGAAGGCCCTCCTGTGCAGAAAGGCTGCGGCAGCTGCCAGGGGAAAACTGTCTGGGCCCTGCCCTGGAAGCCCCTACCACTCCAGGTGAGCCTCAAGCAGATGCCTCGTCTTTGGGAAAAAGCTACCCACGGTGGCTGAACCGGCACTGCAGCCATGTCCCCCACAAGCTCATCACGGAGCCAGAGACCACAGCTGCCTCTGGGCAGGAGATGCTGGGTTCCAGGGGCCAGGGATAGTGAGCTGAGACTTTTTGTGGTTATTTGGACTTTTTGGGGGGGGGCCGGGGGTGGGTAGAAAATTAAACCTTATTTATTTTTAAAACCAAACCACTAGGAAAATATATCACAGCCGGGAAGCAGCAAATGGACAGGCTGTCTTATCATTTCAAGTAATAAGCTGGTGAGAATACAATGAGGTTGCTATCAAAACAATAAGGTGCCATGCCGGAGCAGGAACACTGCAAGCTGCGAAAGCCCCAGGCAGAAATGGTATTTGGTAACGGGGGCTGCCTCTCCTTCACTCTCAGGGAGTCAGCTCATCCTAGCCCAAGTTGCTTCCTTTTCCTCCCTTGAATTTCCTGTTGCCAGGGGTTTGTCTCGACTGGACTCTGTTAATTCAGGGGCTAAGTAGGCAATGCTCGGTTTAGGTCTTCATTCCATCTGTTCTACAAAAACCAGGTTTTTCCAAATCCAGTACTTCATAACTCTGTTATAATCAAGTAGCCAAATGCTCCTCTTCTACTGTTCACTCCTATATACTAGTATGTATCACAATCAAAATCCCCTTCTCTTCACGGGCAAAGTGTTACTGCAAGATTGTCCTGTCGTTTTGCTACACACAGCCTCAAGGCCCATCAGCCAGTAATTCTGCTTCCCACAATTAGTGTGTCGTCGCCTGTCATGTTTTTGCATGGTCTCCAAGCTGTGGTAGACGAAATAATGTCTCCCCCTCACCTCCCAAGAAGAGGTCCATGTCTCAAGATGCAGCATGTCAAAATTTTAAGAAAAGTACATCCACATCCTGATGACCAGAAATGGGGATCCTTTCAAAGTTCTTATCCAAATGATAAGGAACCTTTCAAAGTTCTTATCCAAATGAGTTTCCCTCCCAATTCCACATCTTAAAATCAACTTGTATGCCCTTGTATAAATTACACAAAACCAGGAAAACAAAGACACAGAAAACATTTTTTCCCTTCTAAGTGAGTGACCTCATGGATTTTGTTTCACAGCTTATGGAAAGTGATGCAGAAACACTTCTGGTAAACAGGATGTTGGCAACGAAGAGGAAATATCTCTCTGCAAACTCCACCAACTCTAACCTGCCAGCCTGTTGGTACCTGTGTAGTAAGAAGAGTCTGGTGCCTTGGGGGCTCTGGCTTGTTACAGGGGAGATCCTTACTGCCAGGACAAGCACTGGCCACAGGAAATATAAGCTCTAAAACTCTCCTGTAATATCTCTGACCCAATTTAGCACCACTTTTTTCCGTTTCATTTTTTAGGACTAAAACATAAAAGAACCAGTGTCCAGAGGCAAGTGACATATGCTTTACACTTACGACCATCCTTCATTTCTTCATTCATAAACTTTGCTTAAAAGACTAAAATTCCGGCCGGGTCCGGTGGCTCACGCCTGTAATCCCAGCACTTTGGGAGGCTGAGGCGGGTGGATCACAAGGTCAGGAGTTTGAGACCAGTCTGACCAACATGGTGAAACCCTGTCTCTACTAAAAATACAAAAATTACTTGGGCATGGTGGTGCATGCCTGTAGTCCCAGCTACTCAGGAGGCTGAGGCAGAAAAATGGCTTGAACCTGGGAGGTGGAGGTTGCAGTGAGCTGAGATCGTGCCACTGCACTCCAGCCTTCCAGCCTGCGCGAAAGAACAAGACCATGTCTCAAAAAAAAAAAAGACTAAAATTCCCAATTCCTTATAAAAAATACATTATTGCCCTCAGCCCCGATGGCCACTGGCAAAGACTTTTATTTCCCAATGGATGAGAGAGCCTCCTTCACCTTCTCGGTCATAGTTGGGAGCAGGTGCATGTGGTCATCCACACACTTGGTCACACCACCTTCCAGCTTCTGCTTCAACTGAAGCTCCTTACTCCCAGCATCTATTGAATCTTTGGCTTTGTCGTTGCAATGCGTGGTGCACCGGACCAGGTGGTCCTGGAACTTCTCCAGCTCACTGGTGATCAAAGCCTGGGCTTAAGCCAGAGGCACATGGTGGCACTCGATGCACTGGTGCACCTGCTCCGTGGAGGCCTGACTGTCCTCACAACAGCTGGTGCTGCACCAGAACATGAGACAATGCATCTTCCAGATGTTCTCTCTCTCCAGACTCTTCACCATGGAGTCCACCACCTCCTGCACCCGCAGCTGCTGCAGCTCCCCAGTGGCAACCCTGTGCTGCCCCAGTTATTTGAACTTTTCTAAATCTTTTTTTTTTTTTTGAAACAGAGTCTCACTCTGTTGCCCATGCAGTGGCGTGATCTCAGCTCACTGCAACCTCTGCCTCCCGGGTTCAAGAGATTCTCCTGCCTCAGCCTCCCGAGTAGCTGGGATTACAGGCATGTGCCACCAAGCCTGGCTAATTTTTGTATTTTTAGTAGAGATGGGGTTTCGCCATGTTGGACAGGCTGGTCTCGAACTCCTGAGCTCAGGTGATCCACCAGCCTCAGCCTCCCAAAGTGCTGGGATCACAGACATGAGCTACTGCACCCGGCTGACTTTTATAAATCTTGGCCATGGCCATGTGTGGTAGACAAAATAATGTCTCACCCTCACTTCCCAAGAAGAGCTGCATGTCTCAATCCCCAGAAGCTGTGACTGCGTTATGCCACATGGCACAGGGGCACGGCCGCTCACCAGCAACCTTAACCCACGAGAGTATCCTGGAGGATCTGGGTGGCCACAGGATCCTTAAAAGCAGAGGAGGGAGGAAGAGTGGGAGAAAGAGCTTATGGGGACAGAGGAAGTCAGGGGATTCTATGCTGCTGGCCCTGAAGACAGAGGAAGGGCCATCAGCCAGAGCAGAATCTGTTCTGCCTCCCTGGGTAGCTGGAGAGGCAATACCAGATAATGAGAGCAAAGACCTGTGTAGCTCTTGCAATCCTCAGGGGACTCTAGGAGGCAGAAAATCCAATCACCCAGTTTTACTGATGAGGAAACCAAAGCACATAGAGGTTAAGTGACTTGCCCAAGGTCACAGAGGAAGTGGGTGGCAGAGTGGGATTGCATATGCCTGTAAACTCAGCTACTCGAAAGGCTGAGGCACGAGACTCACTTGAACCCAGGAGGCAAAGGTTGCAGTGAGCTGAGCTTGTGCACTGTACTCCAGCCTGGGTGAAAGAACAAAATCCCGCCTCAAAAAAAAAAGAAAATTATCTACAGGGTCCTTCATAGGGAACTCACAAGATGATTCTCTAATCTCCACAGAAGACCAATAGGTCAAGAATAGCCAAGGCATCCCTGGAGAACAGGGGAGGGGAACAAGCTCTATCTGATGTCAAGATTTATAGCCTGTAGACAAGGGAGTGCTGGCATGGAGCAGACCAACAGACTGATGGACAGAAGATGGAGCCCAGAAACAGGTCCACACGCACACACAACAGAGCTGGCAAATGGGAAAGAGGAGCATTCCCACACATGGTCCCAAGCCACTCAGCTGTCTACATAACGGACAAAGTGAAACTGGATCCCTACCTCACACCAAGCACAAACATCAATTCCAGGTGAACTAAGGACTTAAGCAGGAAAGACAAAGCCTATTTTAGCAAGGATCATTCAAAATCATGTTTATGATCTTGAGATAGGTAAGCAATTCTTAAACATGACACACAACACACTATCGTAAAGGGGAAAAAGTATGATTTTGATTACATTAAAAACAAGGACTTTAGAAAGAACCTTATTAATAAATTAATGATGAGACATTAATTAACATAAGCCACAAACTGTGAGACCCGCCTCACTGGGTGTCTAGGGCGCAGTCCTCACAGTTGAGCACACCCTCTTTATGGAAACATGCTATTCCTGACTTTTTTTTTTTTTTTTTTTTTTTTGAGACAGCGTCTCGCTCTGTCACCCAGGCTGGAGTGCAGTGGCAGCCCACAGGTTTTCCATTCAAGGTGCTTTCCCTGACAATCCCACTCTGCCACCCACTTCCTCTGTGAACTTGGGCAAGTCACTTAACCTCTATGTGCTTTGGTTTCCTCATCAGTAAAACCGGGTGATTGGATTTCCTGCCTCCTGGAGTCCCCTGAGGATTGCAAGAGCTACGTAAGTCTTTGCTCCCATTATCTGCTATTGCCTCTCCAACCACCCAGGGAGGCAGAGCAGATTCTGCTACCCCAGTGACAAGGGATGTGGGGCCCAGAAAGGCTCAGGAACTGTGCCCAGGACACACAGCTGTCTGTTGGGGATGCAGGTCGCCATCTTCCTGCCAAGGTAGAGTGAGGCCTGCAGTCTCCACGTGTCTACTCAGCTCTTTCACACCAACACTTTCAGGAGAGAAAAATAATTATTAACTGCAGAGGCTTAATGAGGATATGGAGCTGCAAGGCTTTCTAATACCAATAATTTGTACCTATTTAAGAGCAAAGGTGTAACAACAAAGGCACTGGCACCAACAGGCTCAGAAGCCACATCCCTTGCCTCCAGGTAAAGGAGCACAACTGTCAATTTCACGGAGCACAGAACATTCCCAGGCTCCCACGGGCTCCCACGCTCTGCCCTGGCTCTCAGACTCACCTGTAGGGAGGAGCGCCCCAGGCCTTCCGCCCAGAAATCCAAGGGTACAGGGCAAGAGAAGGGGAGCTGCTGGGGAGAGCCGTTACGACGGTGGGGACGGGTCCGAGGTCTGAACTGGGCACCAGTAAACCTGGCATCCACAGGGCCCACCAGCCCCAGCTGCTCAGTCCCAAGCAAGACCGCTGGGAGGGTCCTGCAGGGGACAGAGTCCCTCCTTCCACCAGCCCAGCCCAGCCCATGGTGGCAGCTGCCTCGGGCCCAGCCCTCCTCAGAAATGCAGGCTGCAGCATCTGCCAGGAACTTGGAGGAGCCACCCCTCCTAGGCCTGAAATGTGTCCCCACTCAGGGGCCCTGAAATCCCTTCCAGAATAATTTCACAGAGACCTCTTTTGAAATGCAAATACCAGGGAGAGGCTATATTAAGCCACTGACCCCTGATAGGGTTAGTGCCTCAAGTTAGAGCTGGGGGCAGCCCGGGACAGCCTGGCAAGGGGCAGCTGCGCTCACATACCACGAGAGCTACCTGGCCCACTCACTGCAGCACCTGTTTTGGCTGGGCATGGGGGTTCTGCCCCAGAGACCCTGTGGCCATCAGAGATGCTGGAGTGAGCGCTCACAGGGACCCCGCCCAGGTGCTGGGGAGGTCCGGCTGCTGCCTGAGGTCTCCAAACACTACCGAAGCCCACCTCCAGGAACAAGGATATCATCCTTGTTACTTCCAGGGACGCCTCCCTCCAATTTAGTGAATGGCGAGCAAATCATTTTCTTTGGGGGAAAAGATCAAATATTGGCCCAGACGTCTATTAATTTGCAACTTGCATTGAAACTGCTGAGAACAGAAAAGCTGAGATTTCGTTTTTCTAGTTAAATATTTGCTGAGAAAATTCCAGTCCTAAATTTCAAGAGACTGATTCAGCATGACATTAGAAGGGTCATTTGAGATGATTAACTAGAGGCTCTCGTGGAAGAAACCTGAGAGAAAGATGACGCAGGCCTCCCCGTGAAAACACTCAGTTTTAGCCAACAGAGAAAGTGTGTGTGTTAGCATCCTTGCTTTTGTCTTGATTGCAGCTTCGAGGTTTTTCTGTAGTTGAGTATTTTAATTTATTTCTTTCAGGCCTCTCTCCCCTGCCACCTCCAGATGGTGAGATTCGTTTCCAGTATTCAAAGACTAGAACAAAAACTCTCACCTCACATTGGGTTCTGCTGGAAGACAAGCCCTCCATCCTGACCTTGGCTCGGGTTCCTCTTCCCAGGCCTTTGTGAGTGGCGCCCCCAACTCCCTCTCCCTGAGGCTAATGAGCTGGATGCCTATTTTGAAACCAGTGAGTAAGAAGATTCAAGCAAAGACTCAAAGCTCCGTTTGGACGGGAGGAGGCCCATGTGCCTGGGAGGCTGCATGCGGGGCCGCCAGGCAGCTTCTGTCTGGCTCATTATGGAGGATCCGGGAGAGAAGTGAACGTCACAAGTAAAGCTGAAAATAAAATCTGGCTGGCTGAGCATCTCCAAATTGCCGAGGAGCAAAAGCTCATCTCCAAGACAGGCGGCCAGCAGGCTCCATGCACCTCTCCATCCACACCTGTGCTGTCTGCGCCCATGGGGTTTGTGTGGCGGGGACCGTTGACGCTCAGGTTCTGCACAGTGCCTCCCACAGTCTGGGGAAATGGGCGCACTGGAGCCATCAGACCCCGCAGAGGGAGAAACAGAACCCTGTTCTGCAAACGTGAACCCGTTTTGTTCAGCATGTCCTGCTTGTGTCGTTTGTCTATGACAGTGATATGTGTCGTGGCCCAAACTAATCTGCTCTTAATATGCTCTAACCTTTCAGGTACTTTTTTTTTTTTTTTTTTTTTTTTTTGAGACTGAGTCTCGCTTTGTCGCCCAGGCCGGAGTGCAGTGGCGTGACCTCGGCTCACTGCAAGCTCCACCTCCCAGGTTCACGCCATTCTCCTGCCTCAGCCTCCCAAGTAGCTGGGACTACAGGAGCCCGCCACCTTGCCCAGCTAATTTTTTGTGTTTTTATAGTAGAGACGGGGTTTCACCGTGTTAGCCAGGATGGTCTCGATCTCCTGACCTCGTGATCCGCCAGCCTCGGCCTCCCAAAGTGCTAGGATTACAGGAGTGAGCCACCGCGCCCGGCCTCAGGTACTTTTTAAAGTCATGCATCAAGGCCGGGCACGCTGGCTCACGCCTGTAATCCCAGCACTTTGGGAGGCAAGGAGAGTGGATCACTTGAGGCCAGGAATTTGAGACCAGACTGGCCAACATGGTGAAACCCCATCTCTACTAAAAATACAAAAATTAGCTGGGCGTGGTGGTGGGCGCCTGTAATCCCAGCTACTCAGGAGACTGAGGCATGAGAATTGTTTGAGCCTGGGAGGCAGAGGTTGCAGTGAGCCAAGATCATGCCCCTGTACTCCAGCCTGGGCGACAGACTGAGACTCTGTCTCAAAAAAAAATAAAGGCTGGACGCAGGGGCTCACGCCTGTAATCCCAGCACTTTGGGAGGCCAAGGCAGGAGGATCACCTGAGGTCAGGAGTTTGAGACCAGCTTGGCCAACATAGTGAAACCCCCTCTCTACTAAAAATACAAAAATTAGCCGGGCGTAGTGGCGCACACCTGCAATTCCAGCTACTCGGGAGGCTGCAGCAGGATAATCGCTTGAACCCGGGAGGTGGAGGTTGCAGTGAGCGGAGATCGTGCCACTGCACTCCAGCCTGGGCGACAGAGCAAGACTCTGTCTCAGAACAAAAAAATTAAAATAAAGTCATGCATCAGGACACGTCCACACAGGATGTCTTCTGAAATGCCTCCAGGCCCATATTCCCCCACCTCTCTCCAACAGTTTCTGTTCTGGCCCCTGCTCCCCACTCATCACACGTTTACTGAGCACCTACTGTGTGTCTGCTCCCGCCCCCTGCCCCCTCCACTTCCTGCCCTCACTCCCACTCCCACTCCCACTCCCACTTCCACACACCCAAGGTCTCAAGAACAGCAGCTCCAAATTCTTCCCATGGCACCTTTGGCTCAGATCTGGAGAGATGGAAGAGCTGACGCTAATATCACATATCCTGCTATTGCATGATTAAGAGATGACTTACAAGTAACAAATTGGATTTCCCTCTTAGAGTACCCCAAGGGTCCTGAAAGAGGATTTCAGTTCTCGAGCTAATTGCAGACGATGTCTGCAATTCATTCATAATTAAAAACTATTTGGTATAATATCTTTTTAAAGATTCTAATCTGCAACCTAAACGCAAAGAAACTCTAATTAAAATTGCTGTCACTCATTAATTCAACAAACATTTGCGGGCCCTGTGTGTACGAGGCTGAGATCTAGGGATGCCAAGAGGGAAAACCACAGTCCTGCCCTCAAGGTGTCCTTGGCCTGGTGGAAAAGACAAATGGGGCCAATTAGCATGGTGAGCCCCACGGGGGAGGGGAGTCCACGGTGCAGTGCAGGTGGGGGGTGAGGGGGAGGGGAGTCCAGGGTGCAGGTGGGGGGTGCGGGGGAGGGGAGTCCAGGGTGCAGGTGGGGGGTGCGGGGGAGGGGAGTCCAGGGTGCGGGGGAGGGGAGTCCAGGGTACAGATTGGAGGTATGGGGGAGGGGAGTCCAGGGTGCAGGTGGGGGGTGAGGGGGAGGGGAGTCCAGGGTGCAGGTGGGAGGTATTGGGGAGGGGAGTCCAGGATACTGACGGAAGTAGAGGGAAGGGTATCCAAAGTGCTGAAGGGGTTGGGAAGAAGGGAGTCCAGGGTGCTACTGGGGGTTGCGGGGGAGGGGTGTCCAGCTGATGGGGGTATATGGGAGGGCTGTCCAGCTGATGAGGGTGTGGGGGAGGGGTGTTCAGCTAATGGGGGTATATGGGAGGGGTGTCCAGCTGATGAGGGTGTAGGGGAGGGGTGTCCAGCTAATGGGGGTGTGGGGAGGGATGTCCAGGGTGCTGACAGGATCAGCTGACAGGGGCGTGAGGGAGGGGTGTCAAGTACCAGTGGAGGCACGGGGAGGGGTCCTGCCCTGCACCTCAGTTTCAGGGGAGGGCTCTGCAGGCTGACAGCAGCTGGGTGACAGCAGGAAGCAGCTGTGGTCAGCAGCCACTCAGGGCTGGCATCCATCCTATTGTCTCACTGAAACTCATGACAGTGGGAGGTGAAGGTGACCCCCAGATAGTCCCCAGAGCCAGTGCTACATGGGAAGCCCTGCCCTCCTGGGGACAGGGGGATGGTCTTGGGGGATGAGAGTCCCACTAAGGAGCTGAGCCCTTCCTGCTCCTAAGCCCGCAGCTTCCCTGCTCGCCTACAGCCGGCGAGTGCAGCACAGGAGGCCACCGTAGTGCCATAGAGCGTGCACCTAGGCGTGCGTGCCAGTGAGCTCAGTGGGACGGTTCGGCAGGAACACGGCTTGAACCCACACCAAGGCTGGACTCGGCACAGGCCAGAGGGAAGCCCCACAGGCCTAGCTGAGGGACACAAAAAGAACAAACGCACCCCCCGCGCCACAGTGGAAAGTCCCCAGAAGCAGCAGTTTCTACGGCACAGCAGTGACCACTCCCGTGCCACAGCCCTGCCCTTTTTTTTTTTTGAGACGGAGTCTTGCTCTGTCACCCAGGCTGGAGTTCAGTGGCGTGATCTCGGCTCACTGCAAGCTCCACCTCCCAGGTTCATGCCATTCTCCTGCCTCAGCCTCCCGAGTAGCTGGGACTACAGGCGCCCGCCACCAGGCCCAGCTAATTTTTTGTATTTTTAGTAGAGACGGGGTTTCACCGTGTTAGCCAGGATGGTCTCGATCTCCTGACCTCATGATCCGCCTGCCTCGGCTTCCCAAAGTGTTGGGATTACAGGCGGAAGCCACCACGCCCAGCCCAGCCCTGCCCTTTTGAGCATGCAGCAGTTGGGGTCACCGTGGCAGTAAGGGACATGTCAGCTCAGACCCCCAGACACACCCACACCCCATGGCAGGGCAGGGCCACCTTCCTGCTGGTCACCCAGACTAACCCAAAGAATAACTGCAATTCAGCTCTTCCAAATGCACGATTATTTCCCGTTTGGAACCCGGCTTGGGGATGGCGAAGTGCCCTTCCTCTGCTTGTAATGATAAGCCAACAAACTGTTCTTGTCCCCAATTCCTCGTCATCACAATCAAAACTACCAGCTGGTCATTGTCCTGGGGCACCTTCCCCCTGGCTCAGTGGGGCAGGGAGATGCCATGCTCTCTGACGAGGGCACTTTTGACTATTAACCCACCCGGCCTTCCCACCCTCCTGTCCTGGCTTGAGAAGAAATTGCAATCCGTCACCACCGTGAAGCACTTGCTGAAGCTGGGGAGAAGAAGGCCCCAAGCTTGGGGGCCCCAAACCTCTCCTGGCGCCCCTCCTAACTACGGGACATCCACTGCTTGGATTCTGAGGGCCCCTGGTGGCCCCAGACTGCCCCTAACTAAGAGGAGAGACATGGCCCACACTTGGACAGAGCTGGGTTTCTCTCATACCAGCTCCTGGGGGCAGCTCAGACTCTGCCAGGAAAACGCCCATCTTTGGCCGTGCACGGTGGCTCATACCTGTAATCCCAGCACTTTGGGAGGCCGAGACAGGTGGATCACCTGAGGTCAGGAGTTTGAGACCAGCCTGGCCAACATGGTGAAACCCCATCTCTAGCGGGGCGTGGTGGTGCACATCTGTAATCCCAGCTACTCGGGAGGCTGAGGCATGAGAATTGCTTGAACCCGGGAGACAGAGGTTGCAGTGAGCCAAAATTGCGCCACTGCACTCCAGCCTGGTGACAGATCAAGACTCCTTCTCAAAAAAAAAAAAGCCCATCCTTCCTGCACTCTGTGGCCTCCAGGTTCCAAGGACAATAAACTCCCAGATCCAGATGCGCTGCCCAGCCTGGTTAGTGGGAAAGCGTCCTCCTGGCCATCTCAGCATCCGCCCCTGCAGTGGGAACACCTAACGTGGCCACCCCACAGGGCTGCACAGAGACCCAGTGAGCCGCTTTCTGAGAACCAACGTTCCCAAGTGCAAAGTGTACACATGTCGACATGGCACTTCTACCTGGAGTGCATGGGTCCTGCTCTCCTCCAGCCATAAGACACACTCAGACACACAGGGTCCTGCCCTCTAATTTCCATCTCATGAGACAGGAGCCAAAAGAGGGATTCCCCAGGGTCACCTGGAGAGGTTTTATTTTTATTTTGTTTTATTTTTATTTTTGAGACAGAGTCTCGCTCTGCCACCCAGGCTGGAGTACAGCGGCGCAATCTTGGCTCACTCCAACCTCCGCCTCCCGAGTTCAACCAATTCTTCTCCCTCAGCCTCCTGAGTAGCTGGGATCACAGGCACCCACCATCTCGTCTGGCTAATTTTTGTATTTTTAGTAGAGACGGGGTTTCACCATGTTGGTCAGGCTGGTCTCGAACTCCTGACCGCAGGCGAGCCGCCCCCCTCCGCCTCCCAAAATGTTGAGATCAGCCAACCGAAACCCACTTTTCAAGCAGGACCTGGGAGGGAAATGTTCTAAGCAGAGTGAGCGTCGTGGAGCCTCCCTCAGGCATGGCTGTGAGCGCCACAGCTGCAGACTCAGGAAAGTGGTGGGTGTGCGGGGACACTTTAAAATACCAGAAAAATCTACAAAACCAACTCCTGCAGCCACCACAGGGTGCAGAGTGAGTTTCTGGTTTTGCCGCTCTTGTGAACAACCACCCACCATCGAGCACCCAGCTGGCCTGGGGCTGCTGCACGTGCCGCACCCTGATCCTCCAGGCAGTCCAAATGGCCAGGTGTCATTTTCGCTGCTCTACAGACCAGGCCTCAGAGGATCAGGAGGTCCAGTGACTTGCCCAAGGCCACCTGAGGGCTGCCTCTGCACCCACAGGCGGGGGATTTTGTTCCCCTACAAGTTCAGGACCTCGGAAGTCAGGAGACGCCTGCAAATGGAGGGCCCCCCAACATCCATGCTCGCCAGGTCTCCTGAGGCAGCTTCTCCACCCCGGGCCCTTGGACATGGCCAGGACACAGAGCAGCATCCCCCACCTCCACCTACCAGATGCCAGTAGCACCGCCCTCCATACTGTGACAACCGAAACATCTCCAGACATGGCCACGTCTCCTAGGGGGAAAAGCAGCCCCATCTGAGTGCCACTATACTAAAGAAATCTAGCCAGAAAGTCACTTTTTTTTTTTTTTTTTTTGAGACAGAGTCTAGCTCTGTCGCCCAGGCTGGAATGCAGTGGTGCAATCTCAGCTCACTGCAAGCTCTGCCTCCCAGGTTCAAGTGATTCTCCTGCCTCAGCCTCCCGAGTAGCTAGGACTGCAGGCATCCACCACCATACCTGGCTAATTTTTGTATTTTTTAGTAGAGATGGGGTTTCACCATATTGGCCAGGCTGGTCTCATACTCCTGACCTTGTGATCTGCCCACTTCGGCCTCCCAAAGTGCTGGGATTACAGGTGTGAGCCACCACGCCCAGCCGTGAGAAAGTAACTTTTTAAAAGTTTTTCTTGTGAACTAGCAGAAAGGAAACATAGTCTCTATTCTCTCTCTCTCTTTTTTTTTTTTTTTTAGACAGGGTGTTATTCTGTCACCCAGGCTGGAGTACAGTGGCACAATCTCAGCTCACTGCAATGTTCACCTCCCGAATTCAAGCAATTCTCCTGCCTCAGCCTCCCAGGTAGCTGGGATTACAGGCGCACACGCCACCACGCCCGGCTAATGTTTGTATTTTTAGTAGAGACGGGGTTTCACCATGTTGGCCAGGCTGGTCTCGAACTCCTGACCTCAGGTGATCCATCTGCCTCAGCCTCCCAAAGTGCTGGGATTATAGGCATGAGCCACGATGTCGCGCCTCTCTATTCTTTTTAATATTTTCAGGTAAGTGATGTCTTTCCAGGCTTCACCCCACGTCTGTTTCACCAGCACCTCGCAAGTGCCTAGCAAAAGGCTGGGCAAGGCTGAGCTAAGACACACAAGGAAACAACTGCCACGAGAAGGCAACGGTCAGGGCGCTGCGACCTGCAATGGCAGAAGCAGGACGTTCCCTCGGGGCTGCTTCCCAGGCTCCAGCAGGTCTGCAGGCTCAGTCATTCCTCCAGGAATGAAGCCGGCCAACATGCCAGATGCTACCAGACAGAAGATCTCCACGTTCACAGGCTAGTCTCATTTCAAAACACAAGTTCCACTTCTCATTGTAAAATTCTCCTTTAAAATATGTCAGCCCTCAATGGTCTCAGTTACGTGTTTCTTATCTATGTACACTAACAACATGGGGCACACTGATACACAGTCCTGCTTTAATTCCCGGCGCAAAGTCTTTCTGGCCCAATTTCAACCAGGGACAGAAATTACCTCTTTTTTCTTTTCCATAAAAATGCACCCCTTTGTTTTAAAAACTGGTAGCTTGTGTTATTCCCACCTGGATATATATTCTTCCAGATTAGAAACAGGCTCTTGGGGCCAGGCGCAGTGGCTCACGCCTGTAAACCCAGCACTTTGGGAGGCTGAGGCAGGCAGATCACCTGAAATCAGGAGTTCAAGACTAGCCTGGCCAACATGGTGAAACCCCGTCTCTACTAAAAATAACAAAAATTAGCTGGGCGTGTAAGCAATCCCAGCTACTTGGGAGGCTGAGGCAGGAGAATCGCTCGAGGCAAGATCCACCGTGCTCGGCCGAAACCCAGGAGGACAGTAGAGGTTGCCAACAGTGAGCCAAGATAGCCAAGATCATGCCACTGCACTCCAGTTTGGGCGACAGTGACTCTCTGTCTCAGAAAAAAACCAGGTTCTTGGTAACAGGACAAAATATTAGAAGGTAGACAAAAAGAGCATGGAAAACATTTAATATTTCTCTGGGAGAGAAAAAGTATGTAAGAGAACAGACTAAACAAAGCACGTGTCTATAATCCCAGTGCTTTGGGAAACCGAGATGGGAGGATCGCTTGAGGCTGGGAATTCCAGACCAGCCTGGGAAACATAGCCAGATCCTATCTCTACAAAAAATAAAAGTAAAAAAATTAGCCAGGCATGGTGGCTCACACTTGTGGTCCCAGCTACTTGGGAGGCTGAGGCAGGAAGATCAGTTGAGCCCAGGAGTTGGAGGCTGCAATGAGCCATGATGGCACCACTGCACTCCAGCCTGGGCAGCAGAAAAAGACCCTGACTCAAAAAATAAAAACAGGCGGGGCGTGGTGGCTCATGCCTGTAATCCCAGAACTTTGGGAAGCCAAGGCGGGTGGATCACCTGAGATCAGGAGATCAAGACCATCCTGGCTAACATGGTGAAAACCCATCTCTACTAAAAATACAAAAATTAGCTGGGTGTGGTGGTGGGCACCTGTAATCCCAGCTACTTGGGAGGCTGAGGTAGGAGAATCGCTTGAACCTGGGAGGCAGAGGTTGCAGTGAGCCAAGATCATGCCATTGCACTCCAGCCTGGGTGACAGAACGAGACTCCGTCTCAAAAAAAAAAAAAAAAAGATTAAAATTTCATTAGTGATATGATTTGGCTGTGTCCCCACCCAAATCTCATCTTGAATTGTAGCTCCCACGATTCCCACGTGTTGTGGCAGGGACCCAGTGGGAGGTAACTAAATTATGGGGGCAGGTCTTTTCTGTGCTGTTCTCGTCATAGTGAACAAGGTCTCATGAGATCTGACGTTTTTATAGAGGAGTTCCCCTGCACAAGCTTTCTCTTGCCTGCCACCATGTAAGATGTGACTTTGATCCTCCTTTGCTTTCCACCATGATTGTGAGGCCTCCCCAGCCATGTGGGACTGTGAGTCAATTAAACCATTTTTCTTTATATATTACCTAGTCTCAGGTATGTCTTTATTATCAGTGTGAGAACACACTAATACCTTACTTCTCCGAGTAAGATGAGATTGTACCCAGCTAAGCAAGCTAGTAAACTGGAAAACAGGTCAAAAAAGAATATTAAGAATGAAACAGATTCAGAAAAAAAGGCAGACACACAATCTACCCTCGCGGAGGACAATTCAGCTCTATGATTTCTTTATTCCTTGTGACTTGACTGGCTACACTGTTAAATATGTTGAGCCTGTTTTCTGGGCTCTCTCTTCCATTCCGCTGGCCTATCTGGCTATCCTTGGCCACTCTTAATGACACACTCTCCTAATTACAGTGGCTCTATAACAAGCCTTGACATCCAGCCAACCAAGTCCTCCCACCTCAGCTCTTCCTCAAAGTGGCCTTGGCTATTCTCAGCCAATTTTATTTACAGATAAATTTTAGAATCAGATTGTCAATTTTTTTCAACTTCCTCTAAATTATTCTGTACCAATTTGATTGGCACTGCACTGAATCTACAGACCAGTCTGGGAAGAAATGATATCTTCATAACATTGAGTCTTCTAATCCATAAACATTGTTAAGCCCTCCATTTATTTAAGTCCTTCTTAATTTATTTTATTTTATTTTTTTGAGATGTAGTCTCATTCTGTTGCCCAGGCTGGAATGCAATGGTATGATCTAGGCTCACTGAAACCTCTGCCTCCCAGGCTCAAGCAATTCTCATGCCTCAGCCTCCAGAGTAGCCGGGATTACAGGCATGCCACCACGCCTGGCTAATTTCTGTATTTTTAGTAGAGACCGAGGTTTCACCATGTTAGCAGGCTGGTCTCGAACTACTGACCTCAAGTGATCCGCCCGCCTCGGTCTCCCAAAGTGCTGGGATTACAGTCATGAGCCACTGCACCCAGCCCTGAATTTCTCTGAGTAACATTTTATAGTGTTCTGCCCATCTTTCATTACATTTATTCTTGGTTATGTTATCTTTTTATACTATTGTAGGTTATATATTTCACTTTTCATTTATTGCCAGCACACAGAAACACATTTTTAAAAACAGTACAATCGTGCATCACTTAAAGACTGGGGAAAACATTCTGAGAAATGCGTTGTTAGATGACTTCATCGTTGGGTGAACATCACAGAGTGTCCTTAGACAAACCTAGCTAGACCCAGCTGGTACAGCCTACTACACACCTAGACTATGGTAAAACCGACTGCTCCTAGGCTTAGACCCAGCTGGTACAGCCTACTGCACACCTAGACTGTAGTATAACTGACTGCTTCTAGGCTTAGACATGGCTGGTACAGCCTGCTACACACCTAGGCTGTGGTATAACCAACTGCTTCCAAGCTACACACCTGTACAGCATGTTACTGTACTGAGTACTGTAAGCAACTGTAATACAAAGGCAAATATTTGTAAGTCTAAACATATCTAAATATAGAAAAGGCACAGTGAGAACATGGTATAACATTAAAAACAGTACACCTATATAGGGTACTTACCAGGAATGAAGGTTTCAGGACTGGAAGTTGCCCTGGGTAAGTGGGTGAGTGGTGAGTGAATGTGAAGGCCTAGGACATAACTGTGCACTCCTGCAGACTTTATCAACACTGAACACCAGGCTGCACTACATTTATACAGAAAATTTTTCTTGGCTGGGCACAGTGGCTCACGCCTGTAATCCCAGCACTTTGGGAGGCCGAGACAGGCAGATTACCTGAGGTCAGCAGTTCGAGACCAGCCTAGCTAACATGACGAAACCCTGTTTAGCCAGGCATGGTGGTGGGCGCCTATAGTCCCAGCTACTTGGAGGCTGAGTCAGGAGAATCGCTTGAACCTGGGAGGCGAAGGTTGCAGTGAGCCGAGATCGTGCCTTTGCACTCCAGCTTGGGCAACAAGAGCGAAACTCCATCTCAAAAAATATATTTTTTTTTCTTTATTTGATACTAAATTAACCTTAGTTTACCATAACTATTTTACTTTATAAAGTTTTTAATTTAAAAAATTTCTTGGCTGGGCATGGTGGCTCATGCCTGTAATCCCAGCGCTTTGGGAGGCCAAGGTGGGCGGATCACCTGAGGTCAGGAGTTCAAGACCACCCTGGCCAACATGGTGAAACCCTGTCTCTACTAAAAATATAAAAATTAGCTGGACATGGTGGTGCAAGCTTGTAATCCTAGCTACTCGGGAGGCTGAGGCAGGAGAATCACTTGAACTCGGGAGGTGGGGGTTGCAGTGAGCCAAGATGGCACCACTGCACTCTGCACTCCAGCCTGGGCAACAGAATGAGACTTTGTCTCAAAAAAAAAAAAAAAAAATTGACTCTTTTGTAACAACACTTAGCTTAAAACACACATTGTACAGCTGTTCAAAAATATTTTCTTGGGCCAAGCACAGTGGCTCACGCCTGTAATCCCAGCACTTTGGGAGGCCGAGGCAGGTGGATCACCTGAGGTCAGGAGTTCGAGTCCAGCCTGGCCAACATGGTGAAACCCTGTCTCTACTAAAAACACAAAAACTAGCCTGGTGTGGTGGCATACACCTGTACTCCCAGCTACTCAGGAGGGTGAGGCAGGAAAATCACTTGAGCCCAGGAGACGGAGGTTGCAGTGAGCCAAGATCACGCCACTGCACTCCCGCCTGGGTAACTGAGTAAAACTCTATCTCAAAAAATATATATATTTTTTCTTTCTTTATATCCTTATTCTATAAGCTTTTATCTATTAATTTTTTTTTTTTACTTTGTGTTAAAAACCAAGACATAAACACACACCTTAGCCTAGGCCTATGCAGGGTTAGGATCATCAATATCACTGTCTTCCACCTCCATATCTTGTCCCATCGGGAAGTCTTCAGAGGCAGCAGCACACAGGGAGCTGTCACCATCTATACTAATAATGCCTTCTTCTGGAAAACCTGAAGGGCCAGACTGAGGCTATTTTACAGTTAACTTTTTTTTTTTAAATGTAAGTAGAAGGAGTACACACTGAAATAATAATAATAAAGAGTATAGTACAGTAAATACATACAGTAAATGACCAGTGACATAATCATTTATTATAATGATCAAGTGTTATGAACTATACATAACCGTGTGTGCTAGAATTTTACACGACTGGTAGCACAGGTTTGCTTACACCAGCATCACCACAAACACATGAGTAATGTGTTGCACTATGACACTATCATGGCTGTGACTGCAAGGAGGCAGTAAGAATTTTTCAGCTCCATTATCATCATATGACACCACCATCCTATATGCAGCCCGTCCTTGACAGAAACATCATTATGCCTCACTTCACTATAAGTATCCAGCAATCCTGCTGAAAGCACTTATTATTTAATCATTTATTTGCATGTTTTATTTTATTTTCTTTATACGTAACTTTATCATCTGTGAATAACAGCAATGTTATCTCATCCTTTTCAATGTTTATAGCAATTCTTTTTCTTGTCTTACTGCATTGACTAAGACTTCCATTACAATGTTGTATACCTGGGACTTAATACAAAGTCTGGCAAGGAGAATCTCTCTCCCCGGGAGAATCTGTCCCAGGCCTCTGTCCCGGGTCTCTGGTAGTAGCCAGAGGAGTTCCTTGGGTTGGGGCTACATCATCCTACTCTCTGGTCTTCACACATTCTCTGTGCTCTATGTCTGTGTATTCTCCTGCTCTCTTCTTTTAGAAGGACTTGCCATTGGAGTTAGGGCCCCTAATCCAGGATGATCCCATCTCAAAAATCCTTAATTTAGTTATATCTACAAAGACTTTTTTTCCAAATAAGTCATGTTACATGTTCTGGGCATTCATATCTTCTGGGGGTGGGGGACACTGTTCAACCTACTACATGGAGTAATCCTTAAACACAATGTTATTCTCACCAGATTCCTATGGGGTTTTCTTTTCTAATTCAACAGACCTTTATAATGTATTTATTGAGCTCACACAGAAGAGAGTACCCATTAGAATAATCTAAGAAAACTATGTAAAAGAACAATGGGAGAAAATGTGCTCCACCACCTCTCAGAATATGCTAGAATGTAACTGTGATTAAGATAGTCTGGTGGGGCCAGGCACGGTGGCTCACGCTTGTAATCCCAGCACTTTGGGAGGCCAAGGTGGGTGGATCGCCTGAGGTCGGGAGTTGGAGACCAGCCTGACCAACATGGAGAAACCCCGTCTCTAATAAAAATACAAAATTAGCTGGGTGTGGTGGCGCACACCTGTAAGTCCCAGCTACTCGGGAGGCTGAGGCAGGAGAATCACTTTAACACGGGAGGTGGAGGTTGCAATGAGCCAAGATCGTGCCACTGCACTCCAGCCTGGGCAACAAGAGTGAAACTCTGTCTCAAAAAAAAAAAAAAAAAAAAAAAAAAAGCGAAACTCTGTCTCAAAAAAAAAAAAAAAAAAAAAAAGATAGTCCAGTGGGATCAGCCACGGTGGCTCACGCCTGTAATCCCAGCACTCTGGGAGGCCAAGGCGGATGGATCGCCTGAGGTCAAGAGTTCAAGACCAGCTTGGCCAACATGGTGAAACCCCACCTCTACTAAAAATACAAAAAAATTAGCCGGGCGTGGTGGCAGGGGGCCTGTAATCCCAGGTACTCAGGAGGCTGAGGCAGGAGAGTCACTTGAATCCAGGAGGCGGAGGTTGTAGTGAGCTGAGATTGTCCCACTCCACTGTACCCTGGGGACAGAGTGAGACTCTGTCTCAAAAAAAAAAAAAAGAAAAAGAAAAAACAACACTCCGGTGGTATGGGATAGAAATAAACATGGACAGGGAGGTGACAGACGCTTCCTCTCCTGTGGCTGTGGAATGAGGTTTATGATAAAAGGTGGCATTTCAGGGATGGTGGGAGAGACTCTTCAAATAAAAGATATTAAGACAACTGGGAAAACTAAGCCTCCGCCCCCTAACATTACCCCAAAATTAACTCAATAAATTAAAGAGCAACCCATGATGGGAAATAAGCCTATAAACCATTAAAGTAAAACATGGGGCCGGGCTCGGTGGCTCACACCTGTAATCCCAGCACTCTGGGAGGCCGAGGCAGGTGGACTACCTGAGGTCAGGAGTTCAAGACCAGCCTGGCCAACATGGTGAAACCCTGTCTCTACTAAAAATACAAAAATTAGCCAGGCATGGTGGCTCACGCCTGTAATCCCAGCTACTCCGGAGACTGAGGCAGGAGAATTGCTTGAGCCCGGGCGATGGCGGTTGCAGTGAGCCGAGATCGTGCCACTGCACTCCAGCCTGGGCGATAGAGTAAGACTCTGTTGCAAATCTAAAAAAAAAAAAAAAAAAAAGTTAAACATGGGAGAGTTTTACACTCCTGGGCTCAGCAATGCTAACCCCCACACAGAAACCACAGAGGAAAACTGAGACAGGACAGGAATTGGCAGACCACAAGAAATACAGACAGCCAGTCAACATCTGAAACGAAGCTTCCTGGCAAAGGAATCAGAGGAAGGTGAAAATCACAGGCTACTTAGTACCCATCAGATTGGCAAAAATCTTAGACAATGATAACATCAAGCCTGTGAGGACATAGACGAACAGGCTTAGATGCCAGTGGCGAGAATATCAATCAGCAAAGCACTTTTTTGGGACAATTTGGTAATGTGATCAAGCTTTAAACACGATAAATCCATCCAATTGTATATATCTATTTTCAGGAAGCCCTGGCACAGATATGCAAAGACTTGTCCCAAGGACGGTCACCACTGAGTCACAAGAGCAAGAAATGTAACATGACCCACACCCCCATCTGTCCCTACCACAGGAGATTTTGCAGAATTTTCTCAAACTGTATCGAGGCAGCTTCCCGCGTGCTCCTGGTCCCCCACCCTTGGGACACCATCTCCCAGCATCCTCTGCTCTCGTCCCTCAGAACCCCAAGCCATTAGGCGCTGGCCCGGGATGGCCCTCTTCTGGATCCTTCTCATCTGTCAGACATAAAACCCCTCCACCGTCTGCAAACCCCTCTCCTAAAAGCCAGAACCGTGCCTCTTCCTCTCCTCCAGAACACGCCAGGCTCCAGGAGTGACCATCACCACCCAGCGGCCGCCCCCACCACCCTGAATGTCCATTTCCACCCCATGCCTGGCTCAAGGCTCAGCGGCGACCTCTCCCGCTTATCTTCCCAAACGGGTTGTTTTCTGTGAGTCCGGACTCTCTGCTCTGATCCCACCCCAGCCCCTGATCCTCCCAGCATGATCCCACCCCAGCCCCTGGTCCTCCCAGCATGATCCCACCCCAGCCCCTGGTCCTCCCAGCATGATCCCACCCCAGCCCCTGGTCCTCCCAGCATTGCTCAGCAGGAAAGCTGGGCTCACGGTGTCTGCAGGACTCAAGGAAGGGACATAACTGCGACAAAACCCTGGCGCCCGGTTTTCAGCACCGCGCTAGGTTTTAACTGCCTGCTGGAGATGACCTTTTATATGGAGCCGCTGACAGCCCCCTCCCCCATGGCGCAGAGATCACATTTACAGCGGTGGCGGTAACCATGGAAACTGGCAGTCGGTGCAGGAGGGCGAACGGTTGATGGGCAACCATGGGGACAATGGCAAGGCTCTGGGCTTATTCAGATGACTGGGGTGTGCTGAATGGGCTCTGAGCACAAAGGCCACTGGGAGCTCTGGGAGCTTCCAAAGGGGGCGTCAATGACACCCATAACTTGTCACAGAAGAACAGAGGCCCGAGCTAGCCCACACCTGTGTTTTTTGATCTCTGGGGGAGTTTACAACAATGACTCTGCAGGCCTTTTGTCAGATGCCATTTTTCTTACTTTATTATAATTATCTGGTCTGTTTTCTGGGTGACCTGGGAGCCTTTGACTGCAGTTTCAGAATGAAGCTCACCACCGTGTCCCCACAACTGGAGCTGCCCGGGAGGCCAGCAGCAGGTCAGGCCACTACATTGCGTCTCTCAGGCTCAGAACATCCCCCATCTGCGGGCAGAGCTGTCCTTGTAAGCACGCCCATGATGGGACCCGAAAATCAGCCCATTTACATGCCAAGTGCTGAGAACCCTGTTTCTAACACCCCTCCAGAGACCCAAAGATCTGAAATGTTAAGATGTTTCCACTAAGAAAAGTTTATTTATTTATTTATTTTATTTTATTTTTTATTTTATTTTATTTCATTTTTTATTGAGACAGAGTCTTGCTCTGTCACCCAGGCTAGAGTGCAATGGCATGATCTCAGCTCACCGCAACCTTCGCCTCCCGGGTTCAAGCAATTCTCCTGCCTCAGCCTCCCAGTAACTGGGCTTACAGGCACCCGCCATCATGCCCGGCTAATTTTTTTTTTTTTTTTTTTTTTTTTGAGACAGAGTCTCGCTCTGTTGCCCTGGCTGGAGTGCAGTGGTGTGATCTCGGCTCACTGTAACTTCCACCTCCCGATTCAAGCCATTCTCCTGCCTCAACCTCCAGAGTAGCTGGGATTACAGGCATGCACCACCACGCCGGGCTAATTTTTGTATTTTTAGTAGAGACGAGGTTTCACCATGTTGGCCAGGCTGGTCTCAAATTCCTGACCTCAGGTGATCCACCCGCCTCGACCTCCCAGAGTGCTGGTATTACAGGTGTGAGCCACCGCGCCCTGCCCCACTAAGAAAAGTTTTAAACAGACATTTAAATAAGCTAATAGGAGACCTTTTCGTGAAGTGGCATCTCATAGGAACCTACGGAAACACGCAAATATCCAGCCCTGAAAGCTGAAAACAAGCTGTGAGCCAAAACACTGTATGATGTGCTTTTTTTCCTTCAGTCAATGCAACAAAGATCTGAAATGTTATTTGTTTTTAAATGCCAAACATCACTCCCTTCAACACTGACATCTCAGATGAGCAATAGCAGAATGGATCTTTCCATGAACTCCAAGAGTAATTCCCCAAAAAGAATTCCCGAAGAGTTCCCCCGCTGGCACAGTCATGGGCTTCCTTGTCTTGAAGAGAAAACAAAGAAAAATCATCTGATCTGCACCCTCCAGGGAGTAATATGTGACTCACTTCATTCTGAAGGAGCAGAGGAAGCTCATTACATTTTTATAAACTACTCAGAAAACTGCCCTGTAGAAAACAGGGCTGGGCGTGGTGGTTCAGGCCTGTAACCCCAGCACCTTGGGAGGCCAAAGTAGGAGTATCCCTTGAGCCCAGGATTTTGAGACCAGTCCAGGCAATGTAGCAAGGCTCCATCTCCAGAAAAAATAAAGTAGCTGGGCACAGTGGCGCACAAGCCTGCAGTCCCAGCTACTCAGGAGGCTGAGGTGGGAGGATCACTTGAGCCCAGGAGGTCGGGGCTGCAGTGAGCTATGATTGTGCCACTGCACTCCAGCCTGGGTGACAGAGTGAGACCTCATCTCAAGAAAAGAAAGGGAAGGGAAGGGGAAGGGAGGGTGGGGAGGGGAGGAAGAGGGGAGGAAGAGGGGAGGGTAGGGAGGGGGAGAGGAGGTGGGGAAAGTTGGAGGAAAGGGGAAAGGGGAGGGAAGGGTAAAGTGGAAAGAAGAGGGAAGGGGAAAGGGGAGGGAAGGGGAGGGAAGGGTAAAGTGGAAAGAAGAGGGAAGGGGAAAGGGGAGGGAAGGGGAAGGAAAGGAGAAAGAGGAGGGAAGAGAGGGAGGGAAAGACGCAGAAAAGGAGGGAGGGAGAGAGGGACGTTATTGAGAAACTGGTGATCAAAGTCACTAGTGACAAAGCTGACTCTTCCGAAGCCCCAGTGGCATGGCCAATACTTTGCTTTGTGCTTTACAAATCCCTGTGAAATTGGTCTCACCACCCCACTGTCACATGGGGAAATCGAGATTCTCAGAAGCTGAGTGACAAACCTGAGGTCACCAGGCAAGTGACAGATGAACCCCATGATCATAGCCCCACACTCTCCTGACTCTCTCTAACTGTTCCCCCTTAACATTAACTATTAAACCACCGTGGCCAAAATCGGCAGCAAGGCGTTTTTAAAGAAGCATGCTCCGTAAGAGGTGGTACAGCCACTGCTGACCTTAACATAATTCCCGGGAGACAGCAAGCTGCACAAGAGTGTGCACCCCGGGAGCAGGTCCCCGCAGGCCACGGCACTCGGAGAGAAGATCAAAGGCTCGAGTTGGAAGTGCCCACTCCATGGGCAACTCCAGGACAGCCCCCCTTCTCCGTGCCCACCCTCTGCAGCAGCTTTGTCCCTTAACAGTCGGGGGAGGCTCTCTCCTGATGAGGTAAGTGGCCTCGGATGGCCTCAGATGGACAAGACTCAGCTTAGCTATAATCACAGGACAGGGACAGGACCTAAGACCCAAGCAGACTTGGAGCCCTTGGAATAGAGGCCAGCCCCCAGCAATCCAACCTGCCTCGCTCCAGCCAGGAGGGCAGCAGACCCTTTGCTGGGAGATTCAGCCTCTGCTTCCAGCGACCCTTTCATGCCAGACGCTACCAGGGCAGCTGAGAGGGTGCTGAGCACGCAGGACGGGAGCCACACCTGTACTTCCTTCTGTTTCCCAGCCTGGGTGCACTGATCTCCCCTCCCTGCCATCCCCATGGTGGTGAGGACACAGGGGAGGCCCCTACAGCCGTCCCCACTGTGACCACGGGAGGCTACTGAGACACAGGAAGAACCACATTCACTATGAACTCAACCAACTGCATCCAGCGAGAGGAAGCCAAGAGGCCCGAGGCCGGACCAGGCACTTCTTGATCCGCCCGTTCCTTCACTTAAGCCTCATGCAACCCTACGGGGTCAGTATTACTGTCCCTATTTTTAAAAACCGAAAACGGGGCCCAAAGAAGTTAAGCAAGTTGTCCAATGGCACACAGAAGCCACTAATGAACAAGACGGAGATCCCACAACAAAAAATATTTAAGGCTGGGTGCAGCGTCTCACGCCGGTAATCCCAGCACTTTGGGAGGCTGAGGCAGGAGAAACTGCTTAAGGCCAGGAGTTTGAGACCAGCCCTGGCAACACAGCAAGACCTCTGATAAAAACTAAAAAATTTTAAAAGTAGCCAGGTGTGGCGATGTGCATCCGTAGTCCCAGCTACTCAGGAGGCTGAGGCAGGAGGATGGCTTGAACCCAGGATTTGAGGTTACAGTGAGCTATGACAGTACCATGCACTCCGGCCTGGGCAACAGAGCAAGACCTTGTCTCAAGAAGAGAAAAAGAAAAACATAAACATTTAAGACCTACATGGCAAAAGAGACCATTGAGTTAAAATAAAATTCAAAATTATGAAAGATATTTGCAACAAGTTAAAAATTCAAAATAGTTAAAGAAATGTAAATCGATAAAAGATAAGCAATCTAACTGAAACTGCAGACTGGCAATTCACAGAAAAAACAGGAATGGCTGGCCAAGCGCAGTGGCTCACACCTATAATCCCAGCACTTTGGGAGGCCAAGGCAGGCGGATCACAAGGTCAGGAGTTTGAGATCAGCCTGGTCAATATGTTGAAACCCCATCTCTACTAAAAACACAAAAAAATTAGCCGGGTATGGTGGCAGGCACCTGTAGTCCCAACCACTTGGGAGGCCGAGGCAGGAGAATCGCTTGAACCCAGGAGGCGGAGGCAGCAGTGAGCTGAGATTGCGCCACTGCATCCCAGCCTGGCGACATCTGTCTCCAAAAAAAAAAAAAAAACAAAAAAAAACAGGAATGGCTGCTAAGCAGATAAAAAACTGCATCTTCCCCAAAGAGACATGCAAATCAAAAAAGGAAGACATTTATTTTTACCTACAGGATTAGAAAAGAATAAAAGAGCTAATCTCTCCAATGAGGATGAAAATATGGCAGATTTCATCTTCACACACGGCTGGCTCTAGTATTAATTAGCACAAATATTCCCGAGGCCATTTGACCACGGTTATCAAATGTGAGGTATGCAAATCCTCCGCACCAGTAATTTCACTTCTGAAAATTTATTCCTCAGCAAAACCTCAAAAGTTACTCACACACACACAGACCACACATCAAACTAATGTTCCCTGAAATGTTATATGAAAAAGAAACTTGGAAACAAATATAAAAAAGAGTGCTGGCTGAATATATTGCAATACATCAACACAGTGGAAAATGAGGCCATCTCAAAAGAGCAAGGAAAGGCCGGGTGCGGCGGCTCACGCCTGTAATCCCAGCACTTTGGGAGGCCGAGGCGGGCGGATCATGAGGTCAGGAGATCGAGACCATCCTGGCTAACACGGTGAAACCCCGTCTCTATTAAAAATACAAAAAATCAGCAAGGCATGGTGGCGGGCTCCTGTAGTCCCAGCTACTCGGGAGGCTGAGGCAGGAGAATGGCGTGAACCCGGGAGGCAGAGCTTGCAATGAGCCGAGATGGCGCCACTGCACTCCAGCCTGGGCGACAGAGCAAGACTCTGTCTCAAAAAAAAAAAAAAAAAAAAAGAGCAAGGCAGGTCTTCATTTGCTAGAACGCAAGGTCTGCAATCAAACATCCTTAAAAAGCAACTTGCAAACCGGGCGCGGTGGCTCACACTCATAATCCCAGCACTTTGGAAGGCTGAGGTGGGAAAATTGTTTGAGCCCAGGAGTTTGAAACCAGCCTGGGCAACACAGCGAGACCTGGTCTCTATAAACAATACAAAAGTGAGTATGCACCTGTAGTCCCAGCTACTGGGGAGGCTGAGGTGGGAGGACTGCTTGAGCCTGAGAGTGGAGGCTGCACTGAGTCAAGATCCCACTGCAGTGAGTTGAGATCATGCTACTGCACTCCAGCTTGGGTGACAGAGTAAGACCTGGTCTCAAAATAAATTAATAAATAAAAATAAAAAGCAATTTGCACTTGGAGGTGGGTGGGGAAACACAGAAATGGTGTATATGTTTATACCCAAAGAAAAATGTTCGGAAAGACACCCAGAAAGCGTTGATTTGCTACTTTATGCACCTCTCTTTGAATTTTTACAATGATGTTTTACTTTTTTTATTAATGAGATTCCTAAGGATTTTAAAAAATAAATCTATTCTACCCATCCTTGCCTTCCCGTCAAAAAGAAACTACTGGCTGGGCGTGGTGGCTCATGCCTGTAATCCCAGCACTTTGGGAGGCCGAGGCAGGTGGATCACTTGAGGTCAGGAGTTTGAGACCAGACTGGCCAATGTGGTGAAACCCTGTCTCTACTAAAAATACAAAAATTAGCAGGGCATGGTGGCAGGCACCTGTAATCCCAGCTACTCGGGAGGCTGAGGCAGGAGAATCACTTGAACCTGGGAGGACGAGGTTGCAGTGAGCTGAGATCACACCATTGCAGTCCAGCCTGGGCGACAGAGACTGTCTCCAAAAAAAAAAAAAAAAAAAAGAAAAAGAAAGAAAGACAGAAAAGAAACTACTGACTACTGACGGATTGCTGGGTTCTGGATGGACATGCAGAGCACCCGCCATGATCCCTCCAAGCCTGGCACCTCCACCGTGCCTGGCCTGGGGGAGCAGCAGAGCCCCGCAGGCCCTGTTGGGGTTTGGGGAGGCCCCACCTCCCTCCTCAGACTTACTGAGCCCCTCAGTTTCCCAGATCTCAGACTTGGGCTCAACCCCTGCAGGCCTCACACTAGGCCTCCCTTTGTGTATCACAGTCCAGCAAGAGTCCAGCCCAACCGGCCCTGCCTCAGGTCTGCGTTCTGCCAGCCTCAGCCCCAGCCCCAGCCCCCCAAGTCTCACAAGTCCAGAGAGCTGTCTCACCTCCTGGAATTCTCACCCATTTCCAAGACCACTTCCTTAGGGTGATGTTTCTAGGACTTTCAACATCTACATTCTAGATCAGTTTTCAGGGCATACCCTCCCTACCCGCAGTGACGCACAGCCGCTGAGACAAGCCCAAATCGAGAGTTACGTTCTAATTTTAAGATCTCTGTGCCACCATCCAAATGTGGACAGATGCTGAGATCTCTCCGGAAAGATGCCCGATAACAGGAAGCTGAGGCCAAGCCCGGGGGTGTCTTCTCCACGGTCTGTCACCCGCACCACCAGGACACAGCCTGCACACACAGGAAGTCCTTTTTTCCAACACATAAAAACCGATTCCAGGCGGGGCGTGGTGGCTCACGTTTGTAATCCCAGCACTTTGGGAGGCCGAGGCGGGTGGATCACCTGAGGTCAGGAGCCTGGCCAACACGGTGAAACCCCGACTCTACTAAAAATACAAAAATTAGCCAGGTGTGGTGGTGTGTGCCTATAATCCCAGCTACTCGGGAGGCTGAGGCTGGAGGATCGCTTGAACCAGGGAGGCGGAGGTTGCAGTGAGCTGAGACCGCACCACTGCACTCCAGCCTGGGCGACAAGAGTGAAACTCTGTCTAAAAAAGAAAACAAAATAAAAAACAAACCGATTCCAATGGAGCCACCGGGGCAGCAACCCCAAGCACCCCAGAGAGAGCACAGAGGCCACAGGTGAGAAGCCACGGCTGGGGGGCCTCCGTCCAGCACCACAATGCCTGCTGAAGTCGGGGGGGTAGCCAGGGAGCTACTGGACTACCAAGAAGACACCATCACTGCCTCCCCTTCAGCAGCCGAGGCAGGGGGCCCATGATGACCCCCACAGCACCCCGAGCAGCTGCAGCGTACTCCAGCTGCCCCAGCGGCTCCCTCCCTCCCCGGCCTCTGTGTGGCCCTGGCTCAGGTGGGCTATACTCGGTGTGCCCCAGGCCCCAACAGCCTGCGGTGTGAGTCCCAGCCCAACACTCCTCCCCAACCCCTCACCAGGCCACGTGCACCCCTCAGTGCAGGGGCCCCGCTGTGACCCGCCTCCTCCTCCTGCCTCGCCCGCAGTCTGGGCTCACAGGCTGCAGTCTGGACTCCCTCTCCCATCCCTGAAACTTGCTGGCTGTGCCGCCCGAAGCCCCGCCCCTAGAGTACTGGGGAGCCTGTTCAGTGGGGCAGGGGCCCCACTACAGGTGAGCACTGTGAAGCCGGCGAGCCTGCCTCTTTCCCAGAACCTAACACAGCCCAGAGTACAGTGGGCAGTCAGAGGAGGCACTGGGGGGCTGCATGGAGAAAGGACATGGCTACCTCCTCACACCCCCCTACCTCCCACCTCAGCCGTCCTGTGCCGTGGCCACCCATCTGGCTGTTCCCAGGCCGTAGGCTCCTAGGTGGGATAACCATGCTGGGGATAGCTTGGTCCCGCCGGGATAGCCCTGGCTGCCAGCAACGCTGTCATCATCACTGCCCAGCTCTGGTCCTGGCCCACAGGCCTTCCATAAACCGGCACAGCCTGTACATGCCCCTTTGTGACTCGGCCCTGCAGGCGTAGACCCCCTCCCCCACGGCTCCTAGGACACCAGCTGACCCCCTCCCACCCACTCTCGCCACTCTCGCCCTGCCCTGGCCACAGAGGTGAACAGATCCTGGGCGCCAACTGGCCCCCGCGGGACAGAAGCCAGCCCTGCTCGTCCACACACCCAGCAGGTGTGCGGGAGGATTTGCCCCGGGAGGAAGGTGAGGGTGATGGGGGTGGAGGGTGGGATGGGAGGGGCACATGGGCCCTGCCTCCTGCCTGCTTCCCCCTGACCGTCCCCTGCGTGGTGGTCATCCCCACCCTGTGGCCCCCCCACCCCCGCCCCTTGCTGTCCCCTCGCTGTCCCCTCACTGTCCTCCTGCCAGAGCCCTTTGTTGCTGAGCATTTCTCACAGCCGGGGTCCCCTCCCCACCAAAGGGCCTCACTTACTTGCCAAATTCCAGCTGTCCCTCAGCCCCTTCACCGTGGCCTCCCACCCCCTCACCGCCTGGGGCGTCCAGGGCTCAGGGAGGGGCCTCTCCAGAGCCACCCCCACCCCATGGCGCGTCGCCTTCCAAGGCGGTGTGAGTCTCAGTTTGGCTGGAATTTAGAAATGTCAGATTTCTAAGAATGAATATGTTAAACAGTTTATAAATAACACAATCCCCATGGGAATGCCGAGACACGCCTGCCGCGTGAGAATGGTCTCTGAGACCCTGAGACGTTCCCTGTGTCTGTGAACCTGGGAAACTGGGCCCCGGGGACCGCCATGCAGTCAGACCCTGCTGTTGTCTCCGCCAAGGCCAGCGGCTACGATGGTCAAAGCAACCCCGAGCTCCCAGAAGGCTCCAGGATAGCCACGACCCTCACCTCTTTCCAACCAGTGGCCTCCATCTGGGCAGGACAGGCCAGCGCTCAGCCATTTTCTCTGCTAGATTTTAAAGGCGTCATCATCACACGACACCTCCTAGGCATCCTGTCCCTGTATCTGGCACCCCTCCAGTGCCCAGGGCCTGCACTGAGTGAGGGGCTGGGGGGCTGCGAGGACACTTCTCTGCTCCCATGGCCAAGTCCTAGAGAGTCCCCAAGATGGCCAGGTTCACAGGCACCACAGGGTCTGGACAAGGGGGTGCAGACCTGCAAAGCGGGGGCTCCAATGACCCCATGTGCCATGACACCTGCAAGGCAGCTCTCATCACGGCTTTCTACAGATGAGGAGATGGGGTGCAGAGGGGGTGATGGGTACCCCAAACCACTGAGCAGGGCAGGGTTGGGCCAAGCCAGCCTCCTCTCTACCTGGGACCCACAGGCTACTGTTCTGTCGGTGTTGGTCACTGCGTTGTCACAGTTTAAGGAGCCCTGAGCCCATGCCACTGGCCATCCAGAGGGCAGCCCACTTCCATGGCAGTCATCTCAGTGGGGGAGTCAACTGGACAGTGGGTGCTACTGGACCCCATTACGTGGTAGGTAAAGGCCAGGTCACTGCTCTGTACCCAGCAGTGCTCAGGATGTCCCGTCACAGAGGCCCTGAATATCAGCAGTGCCAGCGGTGCTGGGGGAGACCCTGCTGTCAGCTCAAGTGAGTAGTGAGTACGGGAGTGAGGTGGCGGGGTCTGTGGGGCTCCTGAGGATGGCTGGCCTCAGGGAGCTGGGAGGAGGGGTTTCACGAGGGGATGGCTGTGGGGGTCAACAGGGTAGCAGGTGCGGCAGGGCAGTACCCATGCACAATGCAGGGGCTCAGTCCAGGGACCCGGCACACAGGTGAGTCCTTCTCCAAGATGTCATGATGCGTCCAGTGAGGAACGAAAGACACGAAGTGCCCCGCTGCCCGGCTCCACTCACAGGGCGCAGGTGACAAGGCTGGGGACTTCATGCCACATCTGGCCACAGGGCTGGAGGCCATGCAGGAAGGACAGCCCATGTCCCTTTCCAGGGCAGGAGGCAAGAACATGTCCAGAAGGCTGGCTCTAAAACCAGTGAACTGGGCTAGCTCCTAACCCTCTGCATCCAGCAGACGAGGACGGCCCACGTGGCACCCTCTGCGTCTGTCTCTCACCCATTTAGGTGAAGTAATAATAACAGCTAAGGTCTTCTGGTGTGAAATAAAAAAATGATTTTTTTAAAACGAGGGATCCAGGCTCAAGCATTTTCAGGAAAGGAAATATCTAGTTGCTCAGCTCATGCCACAGAGGCCAGAACACACCCCCTTCCTGAGCCACAGAGGCTGGAATGCACCCCCTTTCCGAGCCACGGAGGCTGGAACGCACCCCCTTCCCGGAGCTTCCCCTTGGAGGTAATTAAAGTGAGCCAGACACACAAACAGTCCTTCAGGGCCCCATTGTCCCTGGACAAAGGGACCGCTCTTCAATGTAAGGGCCCCATGAGGTGCCCCCTTGGCTCAGGGAGGGCCCATCGCCATGACAACCCCTGCCAACAGGAGAGGCGCTGCGGTAAACGCTGGGGGGACGAGAGCCGCCTTCATCTCGGCTCACACGCAGCCCCAGAAAAGTCAGAGCGCAGCGGAAGGAAAATTAAGACATAAAGGAAAAGGCCCCTGGGCTTGGGTTTGGGGGTGTTTTCCTTTCTCCTTTATGCCTTTTGGTACAGCCAAAATTTTCTAGAGTGTGTGTGCTTATCTTTGTGAACAAACCAAAAATATTCCTATTCTGAAAAGCAACTTCTAGTGCTCCTGATAAAGCTTTAAAGATTCAAAAACACAAAGTGCTGGCCGGGTGCGGTGGCTCATGCCTGTAATCCCACCAGCACTTCAGGAGGCCCAGGCGGGTAGATCACCTGAGGTCAGGAGTTCGAGACCAGCCTGGCCAACATGGCAAAACCCCATCTCTACTAAAAATAGAAAAATTCGCTGGGCATGGTGGCAGGCACCTGTAATCCCAGCTACCAGGATGCTGAGAAGGGAGAATCTCTTGAACCCAGGAGGCGGAGGTTGCAGTGAGCTGAGATCGTGTCATCGCACTCCAGCCTGGATGACAGATCAAGACTTCGTCTCAAAAACACACACACACACACACACATACACTCACAAAGTGCTGGTTTTCTTCACATTATAGACCCTTGGCAGTTTTTCTGGTTTTGTTTTTACATAGAAGATGGACACCAAAGGTGGGACAGAAATATGATTCACACAGAGAAAAAGCACATGCAACAAGGGCACACCTGGAGACTCCCTGAGAACCACACGCAAAGCAGGTGCCCCCGGCTCTTCCAGTCTACACAGCTGGCTGCTCACCACAGCCCAGGGCCCCCACCACAACCTCCTGGCCAGGCCCTTAAATCCCAACCGGGACCAACACGTGTGTCAAAGCATCGCTCCAAAACAGAGCATGGCGTGGAGCAGACTTTCCTTCTGCTCTATTTCATAACACGATAGTGACTGTGCTGAGCTTCTTTGGCACGCTGTCGTTCATTCCTTCAACAAACACTGACTAGGCCTTGACTTCGGGCCAGGCACCCAAAGCTCAGAGAGCTGTGGATCCCAGGACTTGAGAAGCTCAGGGCAGTCAGTGGGGCTGACAGCGCCAACACCCCCACAATGCCACACTCCCCTGGGGGCAGCGGGCATCACGGGACACCCCAGGGGGTGATGTGCTGAAGGCCAACAGTGGGGAAGGCAGGGAGAGTAGGGGGCAGAAGAAGAGTAAGAGGGTGAGATGAGGGAAGGAGGTGTCTCCCTGGTATGGGGCAGCCCCAGGAAAAGCCACTTTTCCCACTGACGGGGGCTACCAGCTCTGTAAACATCCCTCGGTCATTAGACACAATGACCCGCCTCTCTGCTCACTGCTCATCCCAGGCACTAGGTAAGAGCATCCCCTGCCCGGATGACATGACGGTCACCTCCTGCTTTTCTCCTGGTGTCAGCTCTTACAATTCTGCCAGGATGTCCTTCATGCTGCCTCCGAGAAACGCAGCAAGTCATTCAGGTTCTGGGGTCCTGAAGTGCCCCGAGCCCACCCCCAGATCCCAGCCCAGTGGCCCCCACGCTGCCAGGAGCTCTCAGTGTGGCAAACACAGCAGCAGCAAGAGTGACGGCGGCGCTCATAAGCCCTTACTAAGCGTGCTGCCCTCGAGGGCTCACAGCTAGGGGCAGGTGTCCCGGATTTGCAGAGGAGGACCAAGAAGCACTCAGGGACTGAGGTGTCAGCCCCCAAATCAAGGTCCAATACTGGCCAGGTGCGGTGGCACATGCCTGTAATCCCAGCACTTTGGGAGGCCAAGGCAGGCGGATCACATGAGGTCAGGAGATCGAGACCATCCTGGCCAATATGGTGAAACCCCATCTCTACTAAAATACAAAAAAATTAGCCCGGTGTGGTGGTGTACACCTATAATCCCAGCTACGTAGAAGGCTGAGGCACGAGAATTGCTTGAACCCGGGAGGCGGAGGTTTCAGTGAGCCGAGATCACACCACTGCACTCCAGCCTGGGTGAAAGAGTGAGACTCCATCTCAACAACAACAAAAAATCAAGGCCCAATACTATGCATTGCCTTGACATCTGCTGAAGCCAGGAGGCCTCAAATGGCCTCACCACAGGTCCCCCGCCCCACTCTGCTCCTTCGGATAAGATCCCTCCACAGTCAACCCTTCTTGTCACGGGGATCAGGCACAGCTCCTGCTTATAGAGGGTAGCGGGTTTCCGTTCCCTGCCATCCAGAGGAATTATTCAGACAAGCTACCCATGTGCCCCTGCAAGAACCAGGGGCCCCCCACCCTCTTGTTCCTTCCGGGTCCGGGCTTGTCCCCCACAGCACCTGGCTGTCCTCTGCTCCTGAGTGCTGCCCCGGGTGGCCCCGCATGGCAGGCGACGTCCTCCTCCAGGCTGGGCCTCTGTGCTACTCACGCACTGCTGCTGACCTCATCTGTCCAGTGTCAGGTGCTCAGCAATCCCCATCATCCTAGGACGGGAATCCATCCCTCCCCAGTGGAGTGAATAGGAGGCCATTTAACCAGTGAGTGACTTCTGGGGCGAGATTCAAACCCGCGACCACCATCACGGGCGCCTCTCAAAATCACGCGACTGGGGACAATACACCTGGGGACTAGGCCATGTGGGCTCAACGCTGCTGCAGTGAGCCAGAACACATGAAGGAAACACTCAAGGAAAGGCGGTATCCAACTACGGCCTTTATTCCTCTACTATCAGGCAACACAGGGAAGAGTGTTCATGATCACGAGAGGCAACATGGCCTGTAAGTGTGCAAGAGGATTAAAAATACAAGTTCAAAAGCATTCCCCACGTGGGGTCCTGAGTTTTACAGGACACTTAAACCAGCCCACATACCTGACCATACCAAGAAGTCCAATGCAGTCACACAAAAACATGTACACTAAAAGGGAGGCAATCCAACACACTTCAAGTTGCAACTTGAGTATTTCAAGCAATATTCTCAACCATAAAATCTTAGGAGCCAAGATCAATGTGGGGAGGCCTTAGGTTTACCATAATGAGACACTGCCTGTACACTGTTATAATTGGCCCTTATCTCGTGCACCAGGGATAGGAGTCCCAGCCCTGCAGTGTGCACTTCCTACGGGCAGCAACACTTCTGTTTACTCCGTCACTACATCCCCAGAGCCAACACTCACCTGCGCAGAGAGCCTCCTAATAAATACTGGTTGGAATATGGCCCAGAAGCTCAAAGCCATAGATAAGTTTATTAATACTTTTTGTTGTTGTTGTTGTTTTGAGACGGAGTCTTGCTCTGTCGCCCAGGCTGGAGTGCAGTGGCACAATCTCAGCTCACTGCAGCCTCTGCCTCCCGGGGTTCACGCCATTCTCCTGCCTCAGCCCCCCCCGAGTAGCTGGGACTACAGGTGCACGCATCCACACCCAGCTAATTTTTGTATTCTTAGTAGAGACGGGGTCTCACCTTGTTGGCCAGGATGGTCTCGATCTCCTGACCTCATGATCCACCCGCCTCACCCTCCCAAAGTGCTGGTATTACAGGCACGAGCCACCGCACCCGGCCCTCATTTGTAATTTTTCACAGCTCTTTACTTGTCTTGTCTACACTTTTCTCACATCCCAGCACCCACCTGGGAAAGGTTCCTGGGGTCAGAATCATCTGACCTTGACTGTGGGTCTTTCCCACCCAGGTAGGCTCCAACACCAGGGGAATCCCACCCAGTCCTCGAGATGACAGTGTCAAAAACCCAGTAAGCGAGACTACTCACAATGGAGCCGGCATTTCTGAAGGGTGATTATTTAAGCCACACCTCAACTGCGGGCCTATGTGATGCTGAAGCTCTTCCACCCAGACGTTTCACCAGGCCCCGACGGTCCATCCAGGTGAGGGCTGGAGTCAGGTCCACCTGCACTCTGATCCCCGGGGGCCCAAGGCCACACACCTCTGGCTGCCAGTCAGTCAGAACCAGTCCTGGTGAGGTGGGGAGTGGGGGCATGAAGGATGTGGCCTGAGGACACCCCAACAGCATCTGTGTATCACCGCCAGACCCTTGCTGAAAGTCAGGGATAATGCAATGGCCCCTCTCAGCACCTCCCCAGACCTCCCCAGACTCTGTGGTCCCTCCTCCCAGCATCAAAGAGAAGAGTCACTCCCCGGAGGGAGCCGGGGCTGCAGGGCCGAGGCTCACGGCTGGGCTCTGGAATAAGAGGGGTGTTTCTGAATGAATTGCCCAGCCCTGTCCTGCCTCGCTGAGTCATTCCCAAGTCAGCAAGCACAAGTCACTGCGGGAAAAGCTCTGGAGCTGCCACCCCTTCCCACCCCAGGGATGCCTGTCCGTACCCGCCGTCAATCCAGCCCTCAGGCCTGGGGGATGAGCACCTCAGACGTGCTCTTTGCAGCTGGCATCCGCTCCAAACTCCATGCCTCCCCACAAAAGTGGCTCTGTCCAAACCCCAGCCCTCTTGGGCCCTGGCAACCAGCCTAGTCCTCGCCAGCCCCTTCTAGAAAGCACCCCCAGCACCCCCTCAGCTTCAGCCTGGGCTGAGAAAAGGCTGTCTGGCAGCGTGGACCCCCCTCAGCGTCCCAGCAGAGCCAACCCCCCCCGGGGACACTCATGGGACACAGCATGGGCAGTAGGAGCCATTCCACCCGTGCATCAGCCCTCTGGCCACACTCTGGGACCTCATGGCCCTGCCCACCACTCCCAGCCCACAGCCAGGCAAGTGACCCCCACCTGGGCCCTCCTGGGGAGAGCTGCACAGCTGTCGGCAGCACAGCTGGAACCACAGCCCAGCGGTCTCAGTGCGTATCACAAAGGCTAGCTTGTGAGTGGATGCTCCCAAGTCACATGACCCCCAGGTAGGAAGGTTTGCACATGTTTCATCAGGGTAAAGGGAAAGAGGCTCACCTTAAACACAAACTCTATGAAGGCCTTAGACAGAAAATAGGAAAGCATGACAGTCTGTGTCTCCATGGTGAAGTCAGCTCTGGGAGGGCTGAGCCTGATGCAGAGTGGGTGTGCACAAGCTGCAGGGCACCCCGGGGGCTGGAGGTGGAGGACACAGCCAATAGGACGGGCCTCAGTCACACAGTGCTCAGGGCTGGGGACTCAAAGGCACAGAGGCTGAGGCTTTGTAAGTCCTGCTGGGGGATCAGGGGATGACTAAGTCACTGGGGCCTCCCCAGCCTGGCAGGCTCCTATCTGTGTAACAGGCTCCCAGCAGCCAGTGTAGGAAGGCAGCCCCGGCAGGAGGATACACCAGGACATTCCGCCCATCCTGCAGATCTCCAGCACTGACCAGCATCCACAGCACAGTCGACTGGGGTTAAGAAAGTAGGAATGAGTTCAGAGAAATGCAAATCAAAACCACAATGAGATATCATCTCACACCAGTTACAATGGCGATCATTAAAAAGTCAGGAAACAACAGGTACTGGAGAGAATGTGGAGAAACAGGAACACTTTTACACTGTTGGTGGGACTGCAAACTAGTTGAACCATTGTGGAAGACAGTGTGGCGATTCCTCAAGGATCTAGAAGTAGAAATACCATTTGACCCAGCCATCCCATTACTGGGTATATACCCAAAGGATTATAAATCATGCTGCTATAAAGACACATGCACACGTATGTTTATTGCGGCACTACTCACAATAGCAAAGACTTGGAACCAACCCAAATGTCCACCAATGATAGACTGGATTAAGAAAATGTGGCACATATACACCATGGAATACTATGCAGCCATAAAAAATGATGAGTTCATGTCCTTTGTAAGGACATGGATGAAGCTGGAAACCATCATTCTCAGCAAACTATCGCAAGGACAAAAAACCAAACACCGCATGTTCTCACTCATAGGTGGGAACTGAACAATGAGAACACTTGGACACAGGAAGGGAAACATCACACACCGGGGCCTGTTGTGGGGTTGGGGGAGTGGGGAGGGATAGCACACCGGTTTTGGGGGGTTTTTTAAAATTTTTTTTTATAGACACAGGGTCTCGCCATGTTGCCCAGGCCGGTCTTGAACTCCTGGCCTCAAGCAAGCCTCCTGCCTCGCCTCCCAAAGTGCTTGGGATTAGAAGCATGAGCCACCACACCTGGCCAGGACATACTTTTCAAAGCTCATTTGCTGCCACCTTGACACCTCCCAGGTAATTTCCTCGACCAGCTCATGTTATGTGGCTCCTCCGGCCCAACGGACCACAAAGTCCATTCCCTCCACTTCTCACCCAGGCACACGACTCTCTCAGGACACAGGCAACACCCTATGTTGTGCCAGGCAGGAAGCTGCGGGGTGGGGACTGGCAGGAAGGCAGGCGGCCGAGGGCTGTCCCCTCACCCTCCCTCCCCGTTTCCCACTGCAGCTGACCCCCACTGACCCATGCCCAGAATCCCACCTAAACCAGTGTCACGGCTGGCAAAGCCATGGGATGCCCTTTTCGTGTTTTAAAGCAAAGGAACCTTTATCACCCATAAGGGATGAGCTGGGCTCATCCACTTCCTGAGGCTGGTGACTCTGGGGGAAGAATCCAGAGGGTCTGGCTCTGGCCAGGGCAGGTTCTCACCCCAATGGATCATTCCCCTGAGGTATACAAACCACCTCCCCATCCCCCACTGCCTCAGTTTTCCCAGCTGCAGAGCATGGAGCTGCCAGGTGCAAGTTTGGCCCCTGAAGGGGCTTGGCCCATTTTCCCACTGCTCCACCTTTGCTCTGGCAAAAAATGCTGGGCCGATGACCCGCAGGAAAAACAGGAGGGAAGAGAGAATTCCTGCCACAAATGCAATGGGTTTCCCGGGCCAAACCGGAGACTTGGACGGCCGTCCAACACCAAAGCCACCGGTTTCCTGCCTACGGGGTCATCCCGGCCTGGTTTTCCCCCAAAACAGACTCCATCTGGCACTTGTCATCTTCCACGGGGCACAAGGCGGTATCTGGAGGGTAGAACCACAATGGCTGATGTGCACTGTCCCGGCGCCCCAGGCCGGCTCTTGTCTTGGTACCTCTGTCCACAGTAAGGTGCCCCTGCAGACACGCCGCAAAACACGCCCCTGAGCTTCCCGTCCTGCACACACAGACGCACCCCTGACCTCTGACGGCCACATGCAGGACAGACAGGAAGTCTCACAGAACAATAAACCTTCATATTTTCCATTCTCTCCTCTTTGAAGAATTGGGAGAACTTGCGATTATGTGTTAGAATTTTCCATGCTTAGAAGCGAGGGCTGCATTGAAGAGGCGACTCCCATGGCTATGGCACTTGGCATTGAGACCCAGAGGGAAAGGGAGGGTGAGCTGTCATCTGAAAGCACCCACCACCCTGTGTCCCCATATTCTGTTTATTACACACCTCCCACGGTGTCCCCTTCCTTTTTTTTTTTTTTTGAGACAGAGTTTCACTTTTGTTGCCCAGGCCAGAGTGCAATGGCAGGATTTTGGCTCACTGCAACCTCTGCCTCCTGCGTTCAAGTGATTCTCCTGCCTCAGCCTCCCAAGTAGCTGGGATTACAGTCATGTGCCACCACACCCGGGTAATTTTTTTGTGTTTTTAGTAGAGATGGGGTTTCTCCATGTTGGTCAGGCTGGTCTCGAACTCGTGACCTCAGGTGATGTGATCCATCCATCTCGACCTCCCAAAGTGCTGTGATTGCAGGCGTGAGCCACCACGCCTGGCCTCGGCATCCCCTTTCTAAAGGACATCTCAAAGCACAGCGCGGCCCCTCAGCACAGACGCTGCTATCACAGCAGACCTTACTGAGGAGTCAGAGCCTGTGGGGGCACCATCAGCAGGGGCGCTCAGCCCGTGCCACACTCAGTCTCGTTAGAGGAGAACGAAGGGAGTGGGCTCCCACAGACCACATTGCACTGCGACAAGGCAAACCGATGGTGTGCTCGGGCATTCGGGTGGACAGACTGCAGATCCCACTGAGAAGGGAGGCCTCGGTTATCTGATTTAACACGAAGAAACCAGTCACACACACAAACATGAAGGCAGGCGTGGCAGTGGGTTCACTACCCTGCCCCAATGCCCAGTACCTGTGGATGTGACCTAACTTGGAAATAAAGGCTGCAGATGAAGATATAAATTAAGATGGGGCCAGGCACGGTGGCCCACGCCTGTAATCCGAGTGTGGCTGCGGTCTCTGCCTCCATCTTCACGTTGTGGCCTCCTCATTGTGTGTCTGTCTCTGTCTTCTCTCTTATAAAGACTCCAGTTGTGGCTGGGCGCGGTGGCTCGCCTGTAATCCAGCACTTTGGGAGGCCAAGGCGGGTGGATCACTTGAGGTCAGGAGTTCGAGACCAGCCTGGCAAACCTGGAGAAATCCCGTCTCTACTAAAAATACAAAAATTAGCTGGACGTGGTGGCGCATGCCTGTAATCCCAGCTACTCGGGAGGCAGAGGCAGGAGAATCGCTTAAACCCAGGAGGCAAAGGTTGCAATGAGCCAAGATTGAGCCACTGTACTCCAGCCTGGGTAACGGAGCGAGACTCTGTATCAAAAAAAAAAAACACCAACATAAAGACAAGAAAATACTGCCACGTGCTGCGCTGTGCACGACCCGGAAAACATGACACTGGCCGGGGAGAAGCCAGACACAAAAGCCCACGGGTTGGGGCTGCCAGAGGGTACAGGCTTTCCTTTGAGGGAAATGGAAATGCTTTGGAACTGGACAGGGTGGGGGTGTTGCACACCACTGTGATGTTCTAAACACCACAAAATGGCTCACATTAAAATGGTTAACTTCACGTTCTGTGAATTCCACCTCCGTAGAAACAAACAAGGACAAAGATCCAGCCAAATTGCTTCAGTGTATCCAAATGCTGATACAAATACACTTGAACCAGCGTGTGTACTGGTGGTTTTGGACCCAAGGCTTGGTCATGAAGAGAGGGTGCTGAGGGCCAGCACTGGGCCACACAGAGCACAGGGCTACGATTTGGGAGCCCCCGGGTTGGCCCGGGGAGCAGCGGTCTCAGCCGCCCACTACAGCTCACCTCTTGTCCAAGTTGGTAGAACCAGGCAGAGCCTGGGCATCAGGTCTGAATGCCCAGCTGGTCTCCCTTCCTGGGCGGGGTTGGGAGGTGCCCAAGACATCCACATACCCAGGGACCCCCTCCCATGCCCCTGAGATGCAAGGTCCCAGAACCTGCAGAAAAACCAGGAAACACTGGACCCTGCTCAGGTGCCGCCAGAAACACGAAGCCTTCCTTGCACCCAGGGCCCCTAAAACAGGGAACATGTCCATTTGTGTGGCTGTTGATAATGCAGTCAAATAACCAGAGATTTGATCCATGTACCAGGCACAAGATTTATAGTTCAGTACCTACCCCTATTGCTTTTTTTTTTTTTTTTCTGAGACAGAGTTTCGCTCATCGCCCAGGCTGGAGTGCAGTGGCGCAACCTCAGCTCACCGCAACCTCTGCCTCCTGGGTTCAAGTGATTCTCCTGCCTTACCCACCCGAGTAGGTGGGATTACAGGCACCCGCTACCACATCCAGCTAATTTTTGTATTTTTTTAGTAGAGATGGGGTTTCACCAGGTTGGCCAGGCTGGTCTCCAACTCCTGACCTCAGGTGATCCACCCGCCTCGGCCTCCCAAAGTGCTGGAATTACAGGCGTGAGCCACTGCGCCCAGCCCCCTATTGCCATTTGTGATCTCAAGACATGGTCTAAGAGCACAGGAAAAGGCACAGAAGGAAGAAGAGCCCCGAGCTCAGAAGGAGGCCCTGGATGGCCTCGAACCCCAGGACAGGACCAAAGGAACCCGTTCAGTGCTCAAGCTCTCAGGGAAATCATACCTGAAACCACAGACACAGGCACCTGCTCCCACGCCTCCCACACCTGAGTGTCTGCAACAGTTTGCATTAGTCCTTCTAGCATTTTTTTCTTGTAATAAAATGTACATAATACGGATCTTAACATGGTAACCACTTTTATTTTTGAGACGGAGTCTTGCTCTTCTCACCCAGGCTAGTGTAAAATGGCCTGATCTCAGTTCACTGCAATCTCCTCCTCCCCAGTTCAAGCAATTCTCCTACCTCAGCCTCCTGAGTAGTTGGGATTACAGGCACCCGTCATCAGGCCCAGCTAATTTTTTGCATTTTTAGTGGAGACAAGGTTTCACCATGTTGGCCAGGCTGATCTCGAGCTCCTGACCTCATGTGATCCACCTGCCTCGGCCTCCCAAAGTGCTAGGATTACAGGTGTGGCCCACTGTAACCATTTTTAAATGCACCCACAGTTTAGGGGCATGAAGTACCTTTACACTGTTATACAACCATCATCACCCTCCATCTCCAGAGCCTTTCATCTTCCCAAAGTGAAACTCTGTCCCCATTAAACGCAACTCCTGTCCCCTCCCCACCCCCTGGCAACCACCATTCTACTTCCTGTCTCTATGAATTTGACTCCTCTAGGGACCTCAGTGGAATCATACAGAATTTGTGCTTTTCAGTCTTGCTTATTTCACTTAGCATAATGTCCTCAAGGTTCACCCACGTTGTAGTAAGTGTCAGAATTTCCGTCCTTTTTCAGGCTAAGTAGTATTCCATCATGCAACTGAACCACATGTTGCTTATCCATTCGTCTGTTCACAGACACCTGGGTTGCTTCCACCTTTTGGTTACTGTGAATAACACTGCTATGAACATGGGTGTACAAATACCTCTTTAAAGATCTTGTTTTCAGCCGGGCGCGGTGGCTCACGCCTGTAATCTCAGCACTTTGGGAAGCCGAAGCAAGAGGATCATGAGGTCAGGAGATCGAGACCATCCTGCCTAACACACAGTGAAATCCCGTCTCTACTAAAAATTCAAAAAATTAGCTGGGCATGGTGGCGGGCACCTGTAGTCCCAGCTACTCGGGAGGCTGAGGCAGGAGAATGGCATGAACCCGGGAGGCGGAGCTTGCAGTGAGCCGAGATCGCGCCACTGCACTCCAGCCTGGGCGACAGAGCAAGACTCCATCTCAAAAAAAAAAAAGATCTTGTTTTCAGTCAGGCCGGACACAGTGGCTCACACCTGTAATCCCAACACTTTGGGAGGCTTGAGGCAGGCGGATCATCTGAGGTCAGGAATTCGAGACCATCCTGGCCAACATGGAGAAACCCCGTCTCTACTAAAAATATAAAAATTAGCCAGGTGTGGTGGCACACGCCTATAATCCCAGCTACTGGGGAGGCTGAGGCAGGAGAATCGCTTGAACCCAGGAGGTAGAGGCCGCAGTGAGCCAAGATCGCGCCATTGCACTCCAGCCTGGGCAACAGAGTGAGACTGTGTCTCAAAAGCAAGAATAAAAATAAAGACCTTGTTTTGAATTAGAGCATACCCAGAAGCGGGATTGCTGGATCATATGGTAGTTCTATTTTTCATATTTTGCGGAACCTCCATACTGTGTTCCACAGCACCTGCACCATTTTACACTCCACCAACAGGGCAAAAGGGTTCCAGTTTCTCTGCATCCTTCAACACGTGTTTTCTGAGTTTTTTTGACCACAGTCATCCTAATGGGTATGAAGTAGCATCTCCTTGCAGGTTTGGGGTTTTTTTGTGTGTGTGTCAGTCAACTCACTGGCAAACAGTTATTGCCCTGCAAAAGCGTGTATGTGTTAAACAGGGTCTTACTCTGTTGTGCAGTCTGGAGTGCAGTGATGCAATCTCAGCTCACTGCAACCTCCACCTCCCAGGCTGAAGCGAACCTCCCGCCTCAGCCTCTTGACTAGCTGAGACTACAGGTTCATGCTACCACACCCAGCTAATTTTTTTATATTTTGTATATTTTTTTGGTAGAAATTGCCAATTCCTCGGCTCAAGCAATCCTCCTGCCTCAGATTCCCAAAGTGCCAGGATTATAGGCTGGAGCCCCCACGCCTGCGGTTTCGACTTGAATTTCCCTGTTGACTAATGACTCTGAGCATCTTTTTTTGTGCTTATTGGCCACTTGTATCTTTGGAAGAAATGTCTATTCAAGTCCTTTGCTCATTTTTTAATTCCATTGTTTTCTTGTTGCTAAATTGTAGGAGTTCTTTACATAGTCTGGATATTAATCCCTTATCACATATAGGATTTGCAAATATTTCATAACAGTTTTTAAATGGGATACTTTCTCAGAGCTTGAGACATACATGGGCAAGAAAAAGGAGGTTTCCCCAATCACAGTCAGATCTCCAGGCTGGATCTCTGCTTTTCCATTCCCCAACCTACAGAAGGGTGAGAGGCAGCAGGGAAGGGGCCCCAGGGGATGGCCATTCCACCTTCGGAGGTCCAGAGGGGGCCAGGCAGACCCAGCGTCAGGCAATCTGAACGGGGCAGTGAGTGGAGAACAGCCCAGGCCTCATCTCTGGTGAAATCTCAGGCCGTCTCCAATGCTGGGAGAACACCTGCTCAGCGGGCCCATGCCCAGCATCACAACACATCAAAGGACAGCCCCTGGGGCCTTGGCCGACAGCGGAACTGCAGGGCAGCTGAACAACTTCATTCTGATGATGAAAACCGCCCTGCAACAATCAACTCACTGACAAATGGTTATTGCCCTGCAAGAGCATTCTTATCTCCGAATGCTAACAGGGCATGTGATTTTATTTGAATTAGTTGCTGTTAGTTTACTTTAACCAAGTGTCATTTAGATTAGATATGAACAAAAATCCTAAAAAATATTTAAAAGAAGATACAAAACTGTGAATAAAAACAGACTATTAAGAAAGAAAAATCTTAGCCTGGTGCAGTGGCTGATGCCTGTAATCCCAGCACTTTGGGAGGCCAAGGCGGACGGTTCAGCTGAGGTCAGGAGCTCGAGACCAGCCTGGCCAAAGTGGTGAAACCCCATCTCTACTAAAAATACAAAAATTAGCTGGGTGTGGTAGCGGGCACCTGTAGTCCAGATACCCAAGGGGCAGAGGCACGAGAATCGCTTGAACTTGTGAGGCGGAGGTTGCAGTGGGCTGAGATTGCACCACTGCACTCCAGCCTGGGTGCCAGAGTGAGACTCTGTCTCAAATAAATAAATAAATAAATAAATAAATAAATAAAATAAAAAGAAAGAAAAATCTTGATGGGTGGATGGATAGTTGGAAGGAGGGAGGGAGGGAAGAATACAGGGCAGGAGAAAGGCGACTCCCCGGCTAGTACAATGCAGCTTCTCTGAGCTGGAAGGCCCCTCAACAGGTGCGTCAGCCCCTGCTCTGAGCAGGCTCCTCATCTGGTATCTCCCTCCCCAGGCTCCCCAAATAAGAGCCTCCAGCTCTGACCAGTGACATGCCTGCCTCCCTGCACCTGGTGCCCACCAGTCCTTCACTCTACAGCTTCTTGTGACAGCTCTACCATAAGAGACCCCACAAGGACCCAGAGAAGGCTCCAAGGAGCCCCTTCTCCAGCCTCAGCCCCTCCCACAGTCCTGCAGCACGGCTGCCACTGTCGCCCACCCCCACAATCAGGCACCATGTGCAGGTAACTCTCAGCCGTCCCGTTTCAGGCAACGCAGTCACTTGCACTGAGCTTCCGTCCTCAGAAACCTCCAGCTCTGTGCCCCAGGGCCTCGCCACTGACAGACAGAGGGGACCGAAGATGGCTGTCAGCACCACGATTAGAGCACACAGACCCCAGAGTCTGCGCCTGGCTCTTCCTGTCGCTACAAGCTCTCTAGCCTCAGTTTCTCTGCCCTTACCATGGGGATCCTGTAAGATTTCACTGAGACGATGCAGGCACAGACTGAACAGGCACCGCGGTGGTGGGAAGCACACAGACCCAGGCGGTCCCGCGCCCACTTCTCAATCACCCCTGCTCTGGGCCAGCCTCCTTGCTACATGATTCCCCTCTTACAGGCCTGCCCCCTGTGCTTGGGACACGCGTAAGCCTCCAAACAAGGCCCGCAGCTCTGAGGGACACATCCTGTCCCCTGCACAATCCCCATGACAACTGGAAGGGGCGAAGTCGGTGTGTCGGGCGGCTGGAAGGAAAGGTGTTACCCCACACGATGACCTTGAAAACGGCCCCCACCCCCGTTGTGTGCGTGTGTGTGTGTGTGTGTGTGTGTGTGTGTCTGTCTGTCTGTGTGTTTTGTTTGCTTTTTAAGAGCCCCTGGCCTTCATCCAGGACAAGAGAACAGGCGCTAGAGGGATGACCCCACTAAAAGGCTGCTGTGGGGCTTTTCCCAGCTATGGAATGTTCACGCCCAAAAGGGGGACCTGATTACTAAGGTATCCACAAGTCCTTACCCGAAGCAAAAGCCTAAGAATTCAGTCACTGGTGTTTTCCTGAAAAATGCCCATCCCTTCACCAGGGCGAGTCCCTCAGCACGTGTGGGAGGAAACGAAAACGGCTCCTGGGGGCTGTCCGTGCTTCTGCGCAGCTCCCCTTGTACCCCAAGTAAAGGCACTGGGCCCTCCACCTGGCAGGCAGCCCCCTCCCCTCACCCCTCCGAGGGTCCCCTCCGGCTCATTCCAGAAATAATCCACACCGCCTACCAGGCCCCAGGTCCACAGGCTTCAGGACAGGGAAGCCCAGGGGCCTCCAAGAGGAGCGGCCACTACTGCAAGACTGGCCTCTGGACCCTCATGGCTTGAACTTCCACCTGAATTTCCTCCCAAAACAAGCAAGAGGAAGGCTGGGTCACTGAATTAAAGAGGGTCGTTTACGGCTGGGCGTGGTGGCTCACGCCTATAATCCCAACACTTTGGGAGGCCGAAGCGGGCAGATCACCTGAGGTCGGGAGTTCAAGACCAGCCTGACCAACACGGAGAAAGCCCCATGTCTACTAAAAATACAAAATTAGCCGGGTGTGGTGGTGCGCGCCTGTCATCTCCGCTACTCGGGAGGCTGAGGCAGGACAATCGCTTGAACCCAGGGGACAGAGGTTGCAGTGAGCTGAGATCGCACCATTGCACTCCAGCCTGGGCAACAAAAGCAAAACTCTGTCTCAAAAAAAAAAAAAAGAGGGTTGTTTACTACAACCCCTCCCAGCATTAAGGAATTTCATTCTAGGGAATTTGGGGCATTTATATGAACCCGTGTGTTCAGGTTACAGGAAAAGAAGAAAAAATTAGAAAACGATTTCCCCCAAGGCTGTGAACTGAAGAAATCACACCAAACTCAGGACTGCTTTCTACATGCTGCACCCAGAAGATAACATCTAATTCTGTTTGAATCCAAGTGCTGGCAGGGATGAGCCCCGTGGCACCGGGCCACAGGCCACACCCCAGCTAAGGTGGCCGCTGCCAGGGGCCCCAGACCCCATCTACCCACCTATCCCCTTCCTCAACAGGTTCTGCTATCGGGTTTCAAAATGTGCAGGCACAGGCACCAGCCCAAACCCAAGGGGACCCTTCAGCAGCGACACTGGGGCCAGCGTGGGGTTCTGGCACGCCCAGCAACATGGGCCCGCTCCAGGCGTGGCCAGCACCGCCCCTCCTGCCGGCTCCTGCCCAGGGCTTTGGGAACTTGCCCGGAGTTTCACCTGCCTGCTACTTCACCTAGACTTTTAAAAATGGTCTCTCAACACCCTGGTCGGTACATGGGGCCAGACATAGACCTCTTGTCCCCGGGCAGCTGGTGCTGAGGTGGGCGCCCTGCCCTGGTGAGTCCATGTCCCGTGGACCTGTGGCCCCTTCCATTCTCCCAGGCCCCTTTTTCCCGTCCGCCTCCTGCTCCTCCATTCCCTCCAGGTCTGATGACTCAGAGAGAGGCAGAAGTTACTGTCCTGGCAAACCCGTCTACGAAGCTTGGCCACAGTAGCCCTTTGGGAGACAATGAGGAAGACCTGACACTGCCCACTCCCAAAGCCCCTGAGACGGGCCAGTGCCACGCTAGGCTGCAGGACAGCTAGGTGCTGTGCGTAACCCGCCAACTCTGCTGGGCCTTTAGCTCAGCCTTGTGCAGGCCTGTCCCCATGACACCCTGCCTTCCCTCTGAGGCTGGGTCCTGTTCCCATCCCACTCATGCCAGCAACCTTGTCATTTGCTTCTCAGAGGCACCCCCAAACCACTCCACTCAGATCTCACAGAGGCCACCAAGGACCTGCCCTTGGCTAACCCATCACATCTCTGTCCCCAGGCTCTCCAACCGCCAGACGGCATCCATCACGGATGACCCCCTCGGAGACACTCGCCCTCCCTCAGCCTCCAGGGCCTGCACCCGTGGGCCCTCCCCTGCACGTGGTTATTCCTGCTCCAGCTCCCAAGCAGACTGTTCCCCACCCAGGAGGCTATTCGGGCCATGGCTCCTCAAGGCTGGGCCTGGGTCCCCTCCTAACTGCCAGCACCCTCACTTCTGTGTCCATAACCTGAGCTGGTCTCCCCAGTCTGGACCTGCACACACAATCAACTTCAGGACACTCTCAAAGACGCCCAGCCACACGGGGCCAAAAATGGCCTCACGTCTTCTCACCAAAGCCGATTCCCGGTAAGGACTCTGGCTCAGGGAACGAACCTCTCTCAGTTTCACTCTCATCCTCCCAGAGCCAGTTTTTTCTGGAAGGCACAGACAGGGAACATGCCTTAGGAGCTGCCCGGTCCAGGTTCAAATCCCACTGCTGCCATCACAAGCTGGTGCCCTGGGAGCCCTGTCCTTGGTTTGCTCATCTCTAGGATGGAGGTGGCGACGGTACTTTCCATACCACAGTGTGGCGGCTGGAAAACTGCAAGCGATGGGGCCTGCAGAGCCTGGGAGGGTTCCCGGCACATGGAGCACATCGGCTGAGATGTGTCTGACCATCTAAGCTGGCAAAGCCCTCCTCAGCCACCCCCATGCTGGAGCAAGCATGATGTCCCCAGCTTCCCTCCCCTCCACTCTCACCGCCCAGCAGCTGGGACATGGGACCCAGCTCTTGCCTAAATCCTCCCGAGGGGGCCCACCAAACCCTCCACAGTCAGCCCTCTCTCGACCCGGGGGATCCATCTGACTCCCGGTCTCCCTGCCCATCACACACTGCACACGTCCAGGGGGGTAGAGAAGAGTCCCAGCCCGCCCTTGCCTGCACCTGGTGTCACCACTCTACCCCTGAGCTCAGCCCCCTTGCTCATCGGATGGTCCATCTCCACCCAGCCGCAGAAGTCAGGACCACACTGGCTCTCCCGGCTTTCGCACACAGCAGGTGCTCAATAAACAAACCAACACTCCTTATTTCTGAGGCAGTGTTTCTCAAGGTATGAGCAAGCCACTGTCTCCAGACTTATCAGAGCTCTGAAATGGTTAACTCATTGCCAAAAGCACTGAACTCTCCTGGGAAGGTTTGACACTGGCAGAATCCTGCTTGGCCACTGAAGCAATTTAAGATGGTCCGACCCAGGCTGGGAGCGGTGGCTCACGCCTGTAATCCCAGCATTTTGGGAGGCTGAGGCGGGCGGATAGCCTGAGGTCAGGAGTTGGAGACCAGCCTGGCCAGCATGGTGAAACCCCATCTCTACAAAAATACAAAAATTAGCCAGGCATGATGGCGGGTACCTATAATCCCAGCTACTTGGGAAGCTGAGGCAGCTGAGGCAGGAGAATCACTTGAACCCGGGAGGCAGAGGTTGCAGTGAGCCAAATCATGCCATTGCACTCCAGCCTGGGAGACAGAGCAAGACTGTCTCAAAAAAAAAAAAAAAAAGGTCCGATCCTTCCCTACCCTGTGAGTTCCAGAAAAGCACGCTGCCATGCATCCAGACAATGCCTGAACAGTAGCCCGCCCCTACTTCCTTCTTTGCAATCGTCTGTTTAAAAGCCACTGCAATATCCTGTATTTAACTAGGCAAACACTTAGGGAAGCTTTATCAAGCCTAGACGACTTTATACCATCCACTCTCCACCAAAGTCAACGGCGAGAAGGTTACTCAATCCTGTTATTTCACCGAGTTTCAGTATTTTCTGACATGCCTGAATGACTCATCCGCCAATCATTCTCACCCACAAACGCCACTTTCCTACATCCATGGGTCTGCAACACACACAGCAGGAGAGGCAGGGACATCGCCTTTCTCCCAAGCTCCGCATTCTGCAACAAGAGGCCTACAGCCCTGCACCCACGGACACACACTCAAAGTGAATTAAAAATGACGTGGCCCGGCCACAGATGACTGGAGAAAAGAAATGTGGTACATATATACCATGGTGTACTATTCCACTATAAAAAAGAATGAGGCCAGACGCGGTGGCTCACGCCTGTAATCCCAGCACTTTGGGAGGCTGAGGCGGGCGGATCACGAGGTCAGGAGATCGAGGCCATCCTGGTTAACACGGTGAAACCCTGTCTCTACTAAAAATACAAAAAAATCAGCCGGGCGTGGTGGCGGGCGCCTGTAGTCCCAGCTACTCGGGAGGCTGAGGCAGGAGAACGGCGTGAACCCGGGAGGCGGAGCTTGCAGTGAGCTGAGATCGCGCCACTGCACTCCAGCCTGGGCGACAGAGCGAGACTCTGTCTCAAAATAAAATAAAATAAAATAAAATAAAATAAAAATAAAAAAGAATGAGATCCTGGGCCGGGCACAGTGGCTCACGCCTATAATCCCACCACTTTGGGAGGCCAAGGCAGGTGGATCACGAGGTCAGGAGATCGACACCATCTTGGCTAACACGGTGAAACCCCGTCTCTACTAAAAATACAAAAAAATTAGCTGGGTGTGGTGGCGGGTACCTGTAGTCCCAGCTACTCAGGAGGCTGAGGCAGGAGAATGGTGTGAACCCAGGAGGCGGAGCTTGCAGTGAGCCGAGATGGTGCCACTGCACTCCAGCCTGGGCAGCAGAGTGAGACTCCATTTCAAAAAAAAAAAAGAATGAGATCCTGTCATTTGCAACAACCTGGATGGAACTGGAGGTCATTATGTTAAGTGAAATAAGCCAGGCACAGAAAAACAAATATCCCACGTTCACACTTGCTTGTGAGATCTAAAAATCAAAGCAATTGAACTCATGGGGACAGAGAATAGAAGAATGGTTACCAGAAGCTGGGAAGGGGGTAGCAGGAGGAAGGTGGATGGTCAATGGGTACAAAAAAATAGCTAAAAAAATGAATAAGGCCAGGCACAGTGGCTCACGCCTGTAATCCCAGCCCTTTGGGAGGCCAAGGCAGGCAGATCACTTGAGGTCAGGAGTTCGAGACCAGCCTGGCCAACATGGTGAAACCTTGTCTCTAAGAAACATACAAAAATTAGCTGGGTGTGGTGGCGTGCACCTGTAATCCAATGTACTCAGGAGGCTGAGGTAGGATAATCACTTGAACCCAGGAGGTAGAGGTTGCAGTGAGCCGAGATCATGTCACTGCACTCTAGGCTGGGAGATACAGTGAGACTCCATCTCAAAAAAAAAAAAAGAATAAGACCTAGTATTTAGCCCAACAGTGAGACTACAGTCAATAATAATTTAATTGTACATTCAAAAATAACTAAAAGAGTATAATTGGACTGTTTATAACACAAAGGATAAATGCTTGAGGGGATGGAGACCCCATTCTCCATGATGTGATCATTACACATTGCATGCCTGTGCCAGAATATCTCATGTACCTCATAAATACATACATCTAACCAGGCACAGTGGCTCATGCCTATAATTTCAGCACTTTGGGAGGCCAAGGCAGATGGATCACTTGAGCTCAGAGGTTGGAGACCAGACTGAATAACATAGTGAGACCTTGTCTCTATTACAAATAATTAAAAAAAAAATCAGCCAGGTGTGGTGGTGCAATGAGCTGAGATCAAGGCTGACATGAATCGTGATCATGCCACTGCACTCCAGCTGGGGCAAGAGAGCAAGACCCTGTCTCATACACACACACACACATATATATATACACACACATAAATTTGTGTATATAATTTATATATAATTCATTATAACATATATTATATATTATATATAATTCATTATATATAAATTGTTTTTCAAAAATAAAAATAAAACAAAGAATGTCAATGTTTCTGAAAGACCACTGTCCAGAAAGAAGGCAGAGCACATTCAAGGCTTGAGTTGTCCACTGGGTCATCAGCCACGTTGCCCTGAAAAACGCAAACACAGCCTTTATACAAGCTCATAATAAAAAGTTCCTATCACAGAATTTAAAATCTCATTCAAAAACTATCGCAAAAAATGAACATCTTGTATCGCTGGATGTCATTCAAAACTGGCAGCTATTTGAATTTCACTATCTTCTGACTTCAAAAAATTTTCAAAAAATGTTTTCTCCTTGGTGGGCTACATAAAACCACCAACAACTATCTAGTCACAGTCACAGTGTTCAACCCCACGCCAGGCTAAATGAACTGCCCCCACCACGTGGGCCTTCCCAGGCCCTGCCCTCCGATGCGCTCCTCCCTCCTGGGCTCCTCTGCTGAAAGCTGGCAGCCCTTCCTGGAATGGCTCCCACTAAACGTAGTCGATGGCTGGCCTGTTGCATACAGCACCTCCAGGCTGGTCATATTGCATCAAAGGCTTTAGGGCATGGCTGTAAATCCTGGGGAAGCAACAACACTCCATTGAAAACAGTGGATGAGTTTGAAACCACCGCTTCCCCGCATTGTTCCTTAATAAAACCTCCAGATAATTCAAGGGCTGATCTTTTTGTTTGGTCTGTTTTCTATCCGGTGCTTTGCTGTCTGGAACCATAGATCTTATAGTCAATAGTGATTTACTTATTTGGAGCATTAAATCCTAGTCGAATGGTCTGAGATTTCTGCGCATCCTTTTATTTATTTATTTATTTATTTATTTATTTATTTATTTTGAGACAGTCTCACTCTGTCACCCAGGCTACAGTGCAGCAGTGGGATCTCGGCTCACTGCAACCTCCGCCTCCCAGATTCAAGCAATTTTCCTGCCTCAGCCTCCCGAGTAGCTGGGACTACAGGTGCTCGCCACCACACCAGGCTAATTTTTGTATTTTTAGCAAAGACAGAGTTTCACCATGTTGGCCAGGTTGGTCTTGAACTCCTGACCTCAGGTGATCCACCTGCCTCGGCCTCCCACAGTGCTGGGATTACAGGCATGAGCCACTGCGCCTGGTCATATGCCTGCTTTAAAGCACCCATTTGACCCTGGAATAATTCAGTTTAGCAACTAATTCGTCAAAAATGTTCTCCAAAGGAAGAGAGGGGAATGCGAAGAGCGGGCTGCTTTCTGCGGATCGTGGTTTAACGCCGAGTGCCCCCCACTGGCTGTGCAGTCCTGAGAAGGCCACTCAACACCCCAGGGCCTCAGTGTCTGCATCTGTAAAATGAGCAGCAGCATGACACCACTCAGCTCCCGGTTACCAGGGAAACACATGAGAGCGCAAATAAAAGAGTAAAGAAAACCGCCTGCTGGAACCCAGTCAAAGGTAACCACTGTCATCCGGGTGTGTGTTGGGGCGGTGGTGGTCTGGGGGGTGGTGTGGATGCATGAGGACACAGCACCTGATTTACACGAGAGTACGAGTGTGTCCACAAAGGAGCAGAGCCAATAACTGGATGACTGAGACTGGATGACTACATAGTGTGGAGCCCCCAGCCCATTTTCAACTGTGGTCTAAGCTGCGCCCCAGGTGAGACAGCTCTCAGGAACCAACCTCCTTGGAAGGGAATCCATCCTAAACCCTGCTGTCTGGCTAACAGCGGGGGGGCCCACATTACTGATACCACAGACACACAAAACATCCCTGCCCCCAGCATGGATCTGTTCCCACTATCTCGTCCCTCATTAAATCTAAACCCTATTATTGGGCCAAGTCATTTTTAAATAGGCCAAATTTCCCATTGTGCTTTATCTATAAGATAAAGTGGTATAGAAGAAAAACTTCCTAAGAATATCCATAACCCCGGTTAATTCGCCCTTAAGGGCCTATTCCATATTCTCTACACGTTTACAATCTCACAAACCTAAAATATTCACCGACAAATAGACTGTACTGCCAAAATTGTGCGGAAGGTTTGTATTATACCAAAACTGAACCTGTAAGTTTCACATCTTATAAGCAAACTGTAACTGGAAGCTGTTAGCTATCCAACCCTTCCTATATTACAGAATAACAGCCAACCTTGGAAACGAAACAAATCAGAAAGTTAACTTTTTAATTATTCCAGGGCTCCTGTGGCAAAGTTGTATCCTAATAACTCACTGTTTAAACAATTTCTCTGAAACACTGACTCAAACAGCCAGCCAATCTGAGCTCTTCTTGGCAGTAGTTTGGGCTTATAAATAAGGTCACCTGCCTGCACCAGCATCCTTGGATGCACGGTCAGGCAAACCTCAAAGAGCCACTGGGGGACCTTTACTGTTCCCCCAGGCCCCTCGAAGTTCTTCTCTCTCTTCTGTGTCTCCCAATTCCAACACTTTCTATTAGTCCCCCTCCCCAGCACCGCAGACCAGCCCCGGCACACAGGGTCAGAGGCATAGAGGACCGGCCAAACTTCTGACTGCTGAGCCAAGGTTTCCTCTCCCTCCTGTTCACCTCCAGCCCCAGAGCAGGTGAGCGAGGTGCCCACACTGGCTCCACCACTAACTGGGCAGGCCTCTTCAACAGCACCCAAATTACAAGCCCGCATCCAGGAGCAGAAGCCAAGATCAAATGAGGCTATGCTTTTCAAAGAGCTTGCACAAAGCCCTACACACCTAAGCCCGACTGTTATTATCTGCAGGAGACAGAAAAGCCAGACCAAGGGAACACCGGCTGCATTATAGGGTGACTCAGGGACCCATCTGACAATTCCAACGGTCCCACCCTGGAATTAATTGGCACTGGGAAGGGGCAGTGACCTCTGATCTTCCCAGAGAGCCCTGTGGCTGGCTGACGAAAGAGCATCTCCAAGCAAATCCTGTGACCCAGATCACCTGGAGGCCACTTTTTAATAGCTGTACTCAGGAGCCACTAGCCTGCTGAGGAAGGCGCTGATCCCCGGTCTTGAACTTGGGAGAACCGCAGGCCTGCTCCCAGGAAAATGCTGACGGAAGCGGCGCGGTGCCTCTCCCCCTCGCTGGGCCTAGGCCGGGCGCCCACCCCCAGCATCCAACCGGCGGCAACAAATCCTTGCAGAGTTGCCCGGGCCCGGCCCAATTGCGCCCCGGCATGCCAGGCGGAGCCCTTGGCGGGTTCCTGAGGCTCTCCAGGAGGCCCATCAGGAGCTACTCCTCCCACCCCGACGGCCACTCACCAGACACAGACACCTCCATGAGCGCCTCCAGCGGCCGGTTGTTGTCCAGGTCGCGGCTGAGCTGCAGTTCGCCCGTGGCGGGGTCCAGCAGCAACAGGCGCAGCTCGTTGCCCTGCACGAAGGTGTAGTTGAGGCTGTCTGACACGTCGGGGTCATGGGCCGGGATGCAGCCGATCACGCCGGTGGGGAAACTGTTGGACTTGTTGGTGACATAGTTGTTGAAGAGGATCTGGAAGTCGGGCAGCACAGGCGGGTTGTCATTCTGGTCCACGAGAAGGATGTGCACCGTGGCTCGGCTCACCAGCGGAGCCGACGTGGCCTGCACCACCAGCACATACTCCCGCCGGACCTCAAAGTCCAGCTCCACCATGGCACGCAGGTCCCCGTTGAGCAGGTCCAGCTGGAAGAAATGCCGCATGTCCCCTTCCACAATCTGATACATGATCTGGGCATTAGGGCCTTCATCAGGGTCGTTAGCACGAATCTTTGCCACCACCGACCCCACTGGGTTGTTCTCCTCAACAAACAGCTCCAGTTCGTCCTTCTCAAACATGGGGGCATTGTCATTAATGTCCAAGATGGTCACCTGGATTTCTACCGAGGCGCTAAGGGGAGTGGGACTGCCCCGATCCACAGCCAGAGCCCAAAGGTTGTACACGGCCACATTCTCCCGGTCCAGCCGGCGCTGGGTGCGAATCACACCGGACGTGGGCTCGATGTAGAAGTCCCCATCGCCGTCGTCCCCACCCTGGAAGGTGTACAGCAGACGCCCATTGGGACCTGAGTCCCGGTCCGTGGCAGAGACCTGGAGGATGCTGGTCGAGGGTGGAGCATCCTCAAAGATGGAACCCTGGTAGAAATCCCACAGGAACTGGGGTGCATTGTCATTGGCATCGAGGATGAGGATCTCTAGGGTGGTGGTGTCTGATTTCTGCGGGATGCCGTTGTCCTGGGCCATGATGGTCAGCGTGTAGGCGACCTGGTTCTCATAGTCCAGCTCCATCATGGTGTACATGGTGCCACTGTCGGGGTCAATGCGGAACTGCGGCACGGGGTCCTGAATCACGTAGGTGATGCGGGCATTCTCTCCTGTGTCCTCATCGTTGGCACTGAGGGTAGCAATGGAGGTGCCCACAGGCCTGTCCTCACTGACACTCACTGTGTAATGGGAGCTCTGAAAGACAGGCCTGTGGGTGTTGGCATCAGTGACGTTGATTAGGACATGCGCAGTGTGCGACCGTGTGCCGTCGGATGCTGTCACCGCCAGCACGTACTGCTGCTCCTGCTTGTAGTCCAGAGGTAGCGCCAGGGTGATGAGGCCGCCCCCTCTCTGGCTGCTGAGTGCAAAGCGGTTCCGGGTGTTGCCGCCTGTGAGCTGGTAGGTAATCACACTGTTGGCGTCACGGTCGCGGGCCTGCAGGGTCAGCACGCTGCTCCCCACGGCCGCATCCTCATTCAGACGAAGCTCGTAGGTGGGCTGCGTGAACACCGGGTCGTTGTCATTCACGTCCAGCACCGTGATGGACACGCTGGTGGAGGAGCTCATGGGGGGCGAGCCGTGGTCCACCGCCTCCACCCCGAAGCTGTAGTGCTCCACCTCCTCGCGGTCCAGCTCGGCACACACTGTGATCCAACCGGAGCTGTTGTGGATCTGGAAGGGGAAGTCAGGGGTGGGGGCAGGATTCTTAGGCCCAGCGCTGCCGCCCCCCAGAAAGGTGGAGGCCGTGTCCACCAGGCGATAGTGCAGCCGGGCGTTCTCTCCAGAGTCCGCGTCCACCGCCTGAATGTGCACCACGGGGTAGCCCAGGGGCACATTCTCCAGCACCGTGGCCTGGAAGGGGCTGCTCACAAAGATAGGCTCGTTGTCGTTGACATCCAGCACCTGCACAGACACCACCCCTGAAGAATTGATGAGCGGGGGCCGGCCCCCATCCTGGGCCTTAATGCTCAGCGAGTATTTCTGGACATCCTCGAAATCCAAGGGGTTGATCACATCCAGGATCCCGCTCAGCGAGTGCAGGTAGAACTGGCCGGCCACGTTCCCGCTGAGGATGCTGTAGTGAATGGCCGCGTTCTGGCCCTGGTCCCGGTCCGTGGCCTGCACTCGCAGCACAGCCGTGTTGAGCCCCACGTCCTCGGGCACCTGGACCACGTAGTTCTGCTCGCTGAACTGGGGGTAGTTGTCGTTCTCGTCCTCCACCTCGATGTACACGGTGGCCGTGGCACTGAGCGGGCCCGGATTGCGCCCCTGGTCGTTGGCCTCCACCAGGAGCTGGTACTCGGCCGCCTCCTCCCGGTCCAGCACCGCCCGTGTGCTCACCACGCCAGAGCTCTCGTTGAGCTGGAAGACGTCCCACGCGCCCCCCAACACGCGGTAACGCAAGTTGGCGTTGATGGGCGAGTCGCGGTCGCTGGCGCGGATGGTCAGCACCTCGTAGCCCACCTCCAGGTTCTCCCGCACGCGCTCGCGGTACTCCGACTGCTCGAAGACCGGGCTGTGGTCGTTGGTGTCTTTGACCAAGACAGTGATGTAGGTGGTGGCCGAGCGCGGCGGCGTACTGTAGTCCACGGCTTTCACCCTGAGGACGTGCGTCTCCTTGGTCTCGCGGTCCAGTACGCTGTCCGTGCTCACGGCGCCCGTGGCAGAGTCGATTCGGAAGTAGCCCCGGGAGCGCTCGTCGAACAGCCCCTCCATGTAATAGCTCACGCGCTCCTCCTCGCCCTCGATGGTGTAGTGCGCGTGCAGCTGGAGGATGAGGGTGCCCGCCGGTTCGTTCTCAAACAACGCCACCTGGTAGTTGGGCATCGGAAACTTCAGGCTCCCTCTGCCGCTCGTGCCCCGCCGGGCCCGTCGCGCCGGCCCCGCCCGGGCTTCGGGCAAGTTCGGCGGCAGGGGCGGCGATGGGGATGGCGACGCGGAGGGCGTCCCCGCGGTGGCGGCCTCCAGCGCCAGTCCCACCCGGACGGCGCCAGCCGCGCGCCGCAGGGCGCACAGCAGACGCAGGCGGACCGAGCCGCCCGGCGGCAGGCAGATGGGACGGCCGGGACAGCGGGGCCTGGGGCGCGGCGGGCAGCGGCAGGCGGGTAAGGTGGTCGGAGCTGCGAGCGCCGAATGCTGCGCGGCCGCGCAGCCGCCGGGGACGGGGAAGCAGAGCGCCCCGCAGAGCCGGGCACCGGTTCCGCAGAGCCGGGCACGGGCTCCGCAGCCGGGAAGGTGCGTGCGCGCCCGCAGGCGGCGGCTCAGCGCCGTCGGGGCACTGCGGGCCACCAAGCGGACTTGCAGCGGCAGCGGGCGCCCCGCGCCCGAGACGCGCCGACGTCCTGCCAGCCGCCCATCGCGGCCCACGTCCAGCAGCTCCCGCGGCGCCCGGGGCGTGCAAGCGGCGCCCACCGCGTAGGTACAGCCGGGCCGGAGGGCGAAGGCGCGGGTCCCGCCGGGTACGCGCGGCTCCCAGGCGGCCGCTCGCAGCCCCATCGCCGGCAGGGCGGCGGCGGCGGCCAGGAGCAGCAGCACGGGCAGCACGGGCGGCGGCGGCGGCGCCATGGCCCGGAGCCCGAGCCCGAGCCGGGCGCCCGAACACAATCCATGCACCCGGCGCGCCTCCGCATCCACCCGGCGAGGCCGGGGAGCGGCTCCCGGGCGCCCGGCCCTCGGGGCGGTCCGCGTCCCGCCTCCCCGGGGGCCCTGGCGGGGACTGTGGGGACCACGCGCCCGGCCTCCCCCGCAGCTTCCACTTCGAGAGCACTTTGCGAAAGTTTGCGAAGTTGGTTTCAAGATGGCTCCTCCGCGCGTCCCGGGAGGGCGCCGCGCATCAACCTGCGGCGGCGGCGGCGGCTCCAGGCGGCTCCAGGTGGCTCCGGCGCGGGCTCGGCCGGACGGGCGTGGGAAGCGGGGCGGGCCCGGCGCGGGGCGGGGGCTGAGTTCCCGGAGCGGGCTGGGCAGCTCCGCGCCGCGCAGACCCCGGCGGCCGGCTGCTGCCTGGGCGGTGCGCTTGGCCCGCGCCCACTCCGCCCGCGCTCTCCCCGCCCCCGGCCCGGCCCCGCCCCGCCCCCGGCCCAGCGGCGTATTGTTCGGCCCCGGGGGGAGCCGGCTCGGAGGTGCGCGCCGAGAGGATCGCTATGGAGACGCGAGGGCGCGGCCGGGACGGGGACTGGGGCCCTACTCCCCGGAGGCCTCCCCACCCAGCCTCCCGGTGGGGCGGGGCCGAGGCAACAGGGCCGGGAAAGGTGGGGCTGGGGCCCCCGGTGGCCGCTACCCGTGGGGCGGTGGCTCCGCACCTCGGGCTCGGGGCCGCGGCTCAGAGCCTGGCTCCCCACCCCGGCAGAACAGATCCACGGAGACCGCCGCCAGGAGTGCCGCGCGGGTAGGACCCGGGGGCGGAGGACTGGGGCCGAGAGGCCGGGGAGCCCCCCCCCACCCATTAAGGACTGCGGAGGCTGTCGAGGAGGGTTACCCATTTTACAGCAAGACGCACGGAGGCTAAAATGCTTCACCCCGACTAAAACTCCCTGGACTTTGAAGCCCAATAGGCAGCTACCGGATCTGCGTCCCACTTGGTTTAAAGCGCAACTTTTAAATGAAAGAAGAAAACCCCGGTTGACATAAGGGATTTGGAGAGGACGGCGGAGGCGCGCTCATCTCCCGCGTGCGGCCCGACCCGAGCGTTCGCGGACGCATCGCGGAATCCCCGAGCGTCCGGCTCCTCCCGAAGCGGGTTGCGGGGAAGGCGGGGGGCTGCGGGTCCTGGAAGCTGCCTGGGGCAAGCAAGCACCCGCAGGGATTTAGAGCTGTGCCACAGCCCCTGCCCAGCCTCCTACGGAGGACAGCGGGGGGCGGGGGGCAGAGACCTTAGAGCTTTCAGAAAAGTGACACACACCCCCGCCTCCTGCGGGGAACCACGGGGGGCCGGGGGCAGCTTTAGGTTTGCGTGACGGGTACACCTGCCTCCGGATGGGGCACAGGGATAAAGGGGGTGGAGGCTTAGGACTTGGCGACCCCCCGCATGGGCGGGGCTTTGGGACTGTGCCACCAGCGGCTGGGAAGGGCGCGCACTCCCTTGGTGGCGCTCGGGGCGCCGGAGTCCAGTGCAGCCCTTAGGCCTCCCAGTGGTCGGGGACGGTAGGTGGGGGTCGCCTCTTCTCTCCTAGAAGGGCTTCTCCTGGGGCCGGTCGGAGCGGTGGGGGTGGGAGTAATGCGCAGTCACCCCTAGAACGGGTCTTTTTGGCAAGGGAGGGTCGGATCCTGCAGCCAAATCTCTGAGCTGAGCTGAGATGAGTCCAGTCTCAACGAGGACCGTGGGCGGCTGTGGAGAACCGGAAGGGTTTCTCCCCCGGAGCGATGTGTCTGTGTGTGTGTCACACGCATACTCAGCCAACTTCGCTCAAAGCTGCTGAAACAGTGTCTTTGTGCTGAAGCCCAATGTGAGCATTTTCTTCCCAGTAGCAAGGATTTGAACACGTTATATTGATCTAAAAGGTGGAGTTGCTTTGGAACCTTTTAATTCGAGGTTTCCACTGGAGAGTCCTGTTGGGAAATGTGTGTGTGGAGGGAGGGGAGGAAGGAGAAAAGTCCGTCTCCTTAATGTGAGCGGTCCAGGACCTCCCCACCCGCCATATACCCTTCCACTGGGATTTTTCCGGGAAGGATGAAAGGACAGGAGTTCTGGGGCCGGAAGGCAGGGCGGGTCCCTGAGCCCGGAGCCTCCCAGTGGAAGGCTACTGGGCGGACCTGAAGGGGACCCAGGCAGGAGGAAAAACCAGAGAACCCCAGGAGTGCCTGTTTTGCAATAAGGCTTTAAGCAGAGTGGGTTGGGTTTAAATAAACAAAACTCAGCTGCAGCCAGTGGGTTCAGGTGTGGGCCTGCTTTTCTGGAATAAGGCACCTGCAGGCTGCGAGGTAACCACAGGGACTGCCCAACACCTAGGGACAGGGGAGGATGGATGAATCTCACTAACAGGATGTCCAGCAAAGACAAAAGATCATTCCATTCACGCTTAGACCGACAGCAAGCCCGACTCCACCATAACGTTTAGAGGTGTGCACAAATAGGGGAAAGATGAAGAAAAACAAGGAGGTGATTATGGGCACATTCAGGAGGGCTCTGGGGGAGGAGGGGCATCCCCTTCTGGACCTGAGGGTTACCAGAGTGTCGGCTTCATGATCACACTTTGAACTCCAAACACATGATTTGCGTACTTTTCCCTATGCCTGCATCTAGAGTCGGCAGTTTTTGTTTTTTTTTGTTTTGTTTTGTTTTGTTTTGTTTTGTTTTTTTGAGACAGAGTTTCACTGTTGTTGCCCAGGCTGGAGTGCAATGGCACGATCTCAGCTTACCACAACCTCCGCCTTCCAGGTTCAAGCAATTCTGCCTCAGCCTCCCTAGTAGCTGGGATTACAGGCGTGCGCCTCACGCCCGGCTAATTTTGTATTTTCAGTAGAGACGGGGTTTCTCCATGTTGGTCAGGCTGGTCTCGAACTCCCAACCTCGTGATCCGCCCACCTCGGCCTCCCAAAGTGCTGGGATTACAGGCATGAGCCACCGTGCCTGGCCTATTTTTATTTATTGCTAAATAGAGATGGGGTCTTGCTATGTTGCCTAGGTTGATCTCAAACTTCTGGGCTCAAGAGATCCTCCCACTTCAGCCTCTCAAAGTGCTAGGATTACAGGTATGAGCCACCACACCCTATTTAGAGTCCACAGTTTTATTTTATTTTACTTTATTTATTTTTGAGACGGAGTTTTGCTCTCTCACCTAGGCTGGAGGACAGTGGCGCGATCTCAGCTCAATGCAACCTCCACCTCCTGGGTTCAAGCAATTCTCCTGCCTCAGCCTCCAGAGTAGCTGGGATTATAGGCACACACCACCAGTCCTGACTAATGTGTGTATGTTTAGTAGAGACGGTTTCGCCATGTTGACCAGGCTGGTCTGGAACTCCTGACCTCAGGTGATCCACCCACCTCAGCCTCCCAAAGTGCTGGGATTACAGGCATGAGCCACCGCGCCGGGCCTAGAATCCACAATTTTAAGTAAGTGGGGAGGGGAGAGGGACTAACAAGACGGAGGCCGCAGCTTGTGCTGAGACGGCCAGGTGGTCCGGCCGCATCAGAAATCACGAGTTTGGAATGACTGGCACCTTCGAGGGGTTGAGCTTTAATTCTGCCACTAACTAGTTGTGTGACCTTCGCCAAGGCCTAACTCCTTGTTCTAACTGGACACAATAGTCCTAGACTCCTAGCGTTGTTGAAGGATTAACAAGACAATCTGTGTGAAGCGGTCGGCACAGGGTCTGGCTCAGGCATGGATCTGCCAGTAATAGCATTTACTATTTTCACAGTTGCTGTTTCCTAGCATGAGTTCAAGGCTGCCTCCTCTCTGTCTTCATTATGTGAATTGAATGTGGTCACACATCTGTGTTGGAGCAGAGGCAGGGGCTGCAGCTTTCAGCTGATTTCCCAAGGGGTCTGTACTTGGACACTGATCCAGTCCACCCAATGTGTTTCCAGAAAGTGGAGCTGATTCCTGGAGAGCAGAAGGGATATATGTGGGGCTTTTTGTAAAGGGCAGTGACCTATGTGGTGGGCTTGTCCACTGCCCGAGTCTGCGGCTCCCACAGGTCACTGCCCGGCTCATATCCTTCCCCTTTGGAATTGGCTTGGAGCAGGGTCTCTCCTCCCCGGCCCCTATGTGCCCACCATCTCTGGGGTCAGTGGCCCACTCATGACTCTCAGGGCGGGGAGGGGGCTTGGAGTTCAGTAACAGCACCCTGGGTCATTCTTGCACCTGTCACCCTGAGAGCCACTGACCAGTTTTCTGTGCCTAGAATCGCTGCTTGCGGCCTTTCTCAGGGGCTCAATGGATTGTAATTGATGTTTGTATTTTGCACTTGCCCGGAGGTGTTTCACGGGAAGTGAGCATTTTTTAAAACAAAAATAGAATTTAGAAAAAAAAAAGGCAGACACGATGGATTTCTAGTGTTGTACGTGCTGTAGAAAGCACTTGAAAATGCGTTTTGCCAGGGGCCGCAACCAGAAGCTACATGACTTCTGGAATCTGTTCCTTACACAGTAAATTCCTGGGCCAGTTGGTAAACAGCAAGGAGCCACAAGAAATCACTCATAGGCAAAAGCCGAGTGAGCCCAGGCCAAGCTCCACTTTGTCCACTTTGCCCTATTTTTGGAATTCAGGGGGAAACATCTTGGGAGCAGGCCCATTGCACCCCTCTGCCTCCTCTCGATGCCTTACAGTTGGTGGGGTTTGACACATGGAAAATTGTGAAAGTTAGAACACGGAACAAAAATGAAGCCTCAACATAGAGTTAATAGAGGCAAGGGGCTACAGAGAATTTAGATCCTAATCAAGCACGTCTTATGTACTAGCGCTTCCCTGGAAGGCCAGGATAACTTTATGACTACAAAGAAAACATGTTTTCCTGCTTGGAAGTTGCCAGAACTTGTCTAATATAAAAGCTGGGATTTCTTGCCCGTGGGCTGTCGCGTACGGCTACCCAGGCCGCCTCGTGAAGCCTCCTCCTGGGAGCTCGGCGCCCTCAGGTGCTCCCTGAGATGCCAGCACCTGAACGACCTGCTCCAGGGAGGCTTTAGCCCCAAGAAGGTTCTGGAAAGCTCCAGGAAGTTTAGCCGGCACGCACAAAAGCCAGAGACAAATCTCCAGCCTGCCTGGAAATGCTGTGGGCTCAGGGCAATGGGCTGAGGTCTTGTGTCCAAAACTGCTCTTGCATCTCCCTGGGGAGCCCGGGTGGGCAGGAACAACAAGGTCCTGTGGCCATGCCCTCGCCCCATGCTCACCCACACTGCCTGTGCCTGCTGGGCCCATCTCAGGGCTGCACTGGCCCCTAGTGGCCAAGCATGGGCTCTACCCCTCTGCGCCTGCCTGGCTGCCTGTGCAGGTGCCCACCACACTGTCCCTGAGCAGAGCAGAGACCAGCCTGAGCCCCGGGCTCCGTGGCTACCATGCTGAGAGTGAGCCCTGTGCATGCACACACACTTACGATGCTGCTGGCCCCGAGCAGTGGCCGGCCACACGGGCTGCTAGTCATACTGCCCGCTGCTCCTGGGACTCCTGAGCCCCTCACTCTCTATAGGGTGAGGATGCCCAGCTCTGCAAGACACACAGCAAACGGAGCCTCAGAGTGCACAGCGTGGAGATGGGGCTCCCCCCACAGGCTGCACCCCCATCTAGTCCCGGGGAACGAGAATGAAGGGCCTACCTGAGCACACAAGCCCCAGGAGGGCATGGGAGCTGCATTTGGGGGCAGTGACTGGGAGGGCTGCTGACTCCAGGCTCAGGTAAGGGAGATGCACGTGTTCCCGGAAGAGGGTCCACACCTGCTGAGTTCACGCTGCTGAATATCCTTGCTCCTATCACTATTATTATCATTGTCGTGGTCGATCTTGTTTCCTGGCCCCCACCTGATGCACATAAACGTTATCATGGAGCCAATATGGGGGAATATTGTCTCACTTGATTACTGTTCTTTTTTTTTTTTTTTTTTTCTGAGATGGAGTCTTGCTCTATCACCCATGCTGGAGTGCAGTGGCACAATCTCGGCTCACTGCAAGCTCCGCCTCCCAGATTCACACCATTCTCCTGCCTCAGCCTCCTGAGTAGCTGGGACTACAGGCACCCGCCACCACGCCTGGCTAATTTTTTTGTATTTTTGGCAGAGACGGGGTTTCACCATGTTAGCCAGGATGGTCTTGATCTCCTGACCTTGTGATCCGCCCGCCTCAGCCTCCCAAAGTGCTGGGATTACAGGCGTGAGCCTGCGCCCGGCCCTGATTACTGTTTACTGATTACTGATTACTGTTCTTCTTTACATACCTCCCTCCCTTTTTATTTCCCTGAAACTGGGTCTCACTCTGTCACCCAAGCTGGAGGGCAGTGGCATGACCACAGCTCACTGCAGCCTCAAACCCCTGGGCGCAAGTGATCCTTCTGCCTCAGCCTCCTGAGTAGCTGGGACTACAGGCACATACCACTATGCTTGGCTAATTTTTTCTTTTTAATGTTTGTAGTGACAGGGTCTTGCTACATTGCCCAGACTGGTCTCAAACTCCCAACCTCAAGCTATCTTCCCTCCTCAGCCTCCCAGAGTGCTGGCATTACAGGCATAAGCCTCTATGTCTGGCCTTATTTATTTATTTATTTATTTATTTTTGTTTCACTCTTGTCACCCAGGATGGAATGCAATGGCACGATCTTGGCTCACTGCAACCTCCAACTCCCAGGTTCAAGCGATTCTCCTGCCTCAGCCTCCCATGTAGCTGGGATTACAGGCATGCGCCACCACACCTGGCTAATTTTTTGTACTTTTAGTAGAGATGATGTTTCTCCATGTTGGTCAGGGTGGTCACGAACTCCTGACCTCAGGTGATCCACCCACCTCAGCCTCCCAAAGTACTGGGATTACAGGCATGAGCCACTGCGCCCGGCAAAACCTGCATTTTCTTGCACCATCTCTATCTCTAAGAGAAGTCTGAGTGACCTACATTTAAGTTCTCAAGTTAAACTATTACATTTCCCTGCAACCTTGGTGCGGTGGCTCACGCCTGTAATCCCAGCACTTTGGGAGGCCGAGGCGGGCGGATCATGAGGTCAGGAGATGGAGACCATCCTGGCTAACACGGCGAAACCCTGTCTCCACTAAAAACACAAAAAAATTAGCCGGGCGTAGTGGCGGGTGTCTGTAGTCCCAGCTATTCGGAAGGCTGAGGCAGGAGAATGGCGTGAACCCGGGAGGCGGAGCTTGCAGTGAGCCGAGATCGTGCCACTGCACTCCAGCCTGGGTGACAGAGTGAGACTCCGTCTCAAAAAAAAAAAAATGAGATCAAGGGCCAGGTACGGTGGCACATGCCGGCAATCCCAACACTTTGGGAGGCCAAGGTGGGTGGATCACTTGAGCCCAGGAGTTCAGGACCAGCCTGGGTAACATAATGAAACCCCATCTCTAAAAAAAAAAAATTTTTTTTTTTTTGAGACGGACTCTCACTCTGTCCCCAGGCTGGAGTGCAATGGCGCAATCTCAGCTCACTGCAACCTCCACCTCCCGGGTTCAAGCGATTCTCCTTGATCTCCTCCTCAGCCTCCTGAGTGGCTGGGACTACAGGTGTGCACCACCACGCCCAGCTAATTTTTGTATTTTTAGTAGAGATGGGGTTTCACCATGTTGGCCAGGATGGTCTCAATCTCTTGACTTCGTGATCTGCCCACCTCAACCTCCCAAAGAGCTGGGATTACAGGTGTGAGCCATTGCACCCGGCCCAAAAAATAAATGTAAAAAGAAAAAAAAAAGGAGACACACTTCACATATCTTAAAAATTACCCACTTTAAAGTGTACAATTCAATGCTTTCAGTATAGTCACAGAGTTGTGTAGTCATCACCGCTATCTAATTCCAGAACATTGGATCACCCCAAAAAGAAGCCCCAAAGTCATCATCAATCCCCTGCCAGCCCCCAGCAACTGATAACTGGCTTCCTGACTCTATGGATTTGCCTGTCCTGGGTGGTTTGTGTCAGTGGAGTCACACACTGTGTGGCCTCTTGGGCCTGGCTGCTTTCTCAGCATCACATTTCACTGTTCCTGCACATTGGGGCATAAATTGGTGCTTCCTTCCTTTTGAAGGCTGAGTAACGTGTCACGCTGTGGATACACTACAGTTTGTTTATCTACTCATCAGCCAGTGGGGATTTGGGCTGTTTCCACTTTTGGACTCTTTTGAATACCCTCCCTTCCTTTTGAGTGGAGAAAAAAGGGCAAGACATTCCCTCTGCAAAATTGCACACAAAATCTTTTTTAAAATTATTCTTTTTATATTTTGGCATTGTAACTACTACTAACCATGCTGTCATCAACGGCTCAAAGAGGACTTTCCCTGGGGACTTTCCTCTGCCCCTGCTGGGTATAGGGAGGAGCACTAAAGTTGCCCTGAGGGCCAGGCACGGTGGCTCATGACCGTAATCCCAGCACTTTGGGAGGCCAAGGTAGGTGGATCACCTGAGGTCAGGAGTTCGAGACCAACCTGGCCAACATGGTGAAACCCCATGTCTACTAAAAACACAAAAATTAGCTGGGCGTGGTGGTGCGCACGTGTAGTCCCAGCTACTCAGGAACCTGAGGCAAGAGAATTGCTTGAACCGGGGAGGCAGAGATTGCAGTGAGCTGAGATCAAGCCACTGCACTCCAGCCTGGGTGACAGAGCGAGACTCCGTCTCAAAAAAAGAAAAAAACTGTTCTGAGGTAGGATTGGCAGATTGGGGGTGGGGGAAGCCAGTGGCCCCTACTTTTCTGTCCCCTCCTAACACGCTCACCCACCCCCTGATGCTGTTGCTGGACAGGAGGGCCACCCACCGCAGCAGCCGTGAGTTGATGACACTCTGCCAGCCTGGCCTTGTCCTCCCTGGCCCCCCGCTTATGTCCTGATTGGAATGGGGAAGCAAGAACAACCACACTTGAACCACCCACTGTCTCCTTTCCTTCATGCACATTCAGCCATTCATTCAATATTCATTCAATACCGTGGTAGACATGGACACCCCTCCCCCCACAGAGAGATTATTGTCATGGGAGAATACAGACAGTACATGTCAGATTATTTTTTTCTCTTCCTGAACTTGCAAAACTTTTCTGGGGTGCAAGAGAGATGGGCAGGTGATTGTGGGCAAGAACGATTCTACAGGAATGGGAGAGACCCAGAAAAGCTAGAGACAGTGTCAGCATTCTAATTATTATTATTGGTTTTGTTTTTGTTGTTTTTTTTGAGACACAATCTTGCCCTGTTGCCCAGGCTGGAGTGCAGTGGTGCGATCTCGGCTCACTGCAACCTCCGCCTCCCCGGTTCAAGCGATCCTCCTGCCTCAGCCTCCTGAGTAGCTGAGATCACTCCCGGCTAATTTTTTTGCATTTTTAGTAGAGATGGGATTTCACCATGTTGGCCAGGCTGGTCGCAAACTCCTGACCTCAAGTGATCCGCCCCGCCTTGGCCTCCCAGTGCTGAGATTGCCGCATCCTAATTATATCATTGTATCTTCTTTTTAAAGATTAAAAGACAGACGGCAACACTGGGGTTGCAGAGCTCAGGAGCCAGTCCTGGCCCCCTGCCTCCTCCCTCATGAGGTTCCCCTGATCCCCAGGACATCGGCTTCCACATCTGCACATCTGGGAGACAAATGCACCATCAGGGAGGGCAAATCATACCTGGGAAGGGCCTGACTCCAGCAGTTTCAGCAGTGGCTGAAAGATCATGGCTATTTTTGCCATCATTACAATGGAATGTCCACTCCCTCCAGCCACCTCCACAGCAATCAACACCGGTGTCCAGCCACTCTACATGGACGTGTGGGGAACAGAGCACAGGCCTCTTGGCTTGGCTGTGGTCACCGGGAGGGAGCAGGGAGGGACAGCTGCCAAGAGGATGGGGGAGGGAGCCTGCTACTCAGGAACGCTGGGGCAAGACATGAGACAAAGGGCTGCCTTCACCCACCAGTAGGAGCCTGACCCTGAGCCCAAAGAAACTGCCCACCTGTGTGCTGACCCCAGGGCCTGAGGACAGGTCCCCAAGTGGACGTCTCAAAGAGAGTCCCACATTCCAGGGCACATGGGAACTATGGCCTTCTGGCAGCTGGAGGGCAGCAGGAAGGGCACAGCTGTCTGAGACCCGTGTGGCTTCCCAGAAAGAGGTGCCACCCCTGAGGAGGCACCGGTGCTCACGGACTCCTGGTTGCCAGTCTTGCCAGGGCAAAAAGGCAAGCGAAGGAAACCCTCTCTTCGTGGGGCACTCTGCCTTGCAGTGTCAGGTGAGATCCCGGGGGGAAAGCTGGCTTGAGCTCCTCTGGAATGTGCAGGGAGGACTCCGTCAGGCCCGGCTCTGCCTCCAAGCTGGGCAGCAGGCGAGCCCCAGAGCTCCACCAGCCCCACTGGCAGAGGAGGGCCCTCACGAGGCAGGAGCCCATGATTCATGCCCTGCTGGAATTTGTCGAGCATGCCGAGATTTGCAGCTCCTCCGAGATTGGGTCCTGCCCTGATCAAAAGAAAAGAAGATGGATGAGGACACTATAAATAGGCCAGAGCCACCCAGCTGGCCTCGGGGATGCAGGCGGTATGTGTTCTGGGCTCTCACGAAGCTAAGAAACTCTAAATCCAAGGTGACATCGTGGCACACCGCCACCTGCTTCAGGGGGACACAGGGGACAAGGAGGAGCTATTGGCAGAGCGCTCGGTTCCTGCAAGTTCCAACTTCTGCTAAAATTGGTTAATTGGTTCCTTTGCATGATTCAGGGCACACAGGCTTCTCTGTCCACAAAATTTGCTCGCCTGCACACCCAGAGAAATGGACTTGGCTTGGTTTTTCTGAACTTTTGCCTCTGCGGAATCAGCAGTGGACGTGTGAGCTGGGGCCTCTGTCCCTGTCATGTGAGGAGGTCAGGCAGGACAAGCAGGAAGCACTGGGCAATGAGTCAGGAGGCCTGGTGGGGAGCTTGGGTGAGTCTGTTTTCCTCTCTGGACCTCAGTCTTCTCCTCTGGTTGATGTAATAAAATCCTACAAACTGAGTCTTTTTTTTTTTTTTTGAGACAGAGTCTTACTCTCTCACCCAGGCTGGAGTGCAGTAACATGATCTCAGCTCACTGCAACCTTCATCTCCCGGGTTCAAGCAATTCTCCTGCCTCAGCCTCCTGAGTAGCTGGGATTACAGGCATGCACCACCATGCCCGGCTAATTTTTGTATTTTTAGTAGAGACAAGGTTTCACCATGTTGGCCAGGCTGGTCTCGAACTCCTGACCTCAGGTGATCCACCCGCCTTGGCCTCCCAAAGTACTAGGATTACAGGTATGAGCCACTGCACCCAGCCACACAAACTTAGTGTTTTGTTTTGTTTTGTTTTGTTTTGAGACAGAGTCTCGCTGTGTCGCCAGCTGGAGTGCAGTGGCGCGATCTCAGCTCACTGCAAGCTCCACCTCCTGGGTTCATGCCATTCTCCTGCCTCAGCCTCCCGAGTAGCTGGGACTACAGGTGCCCACCACCACGCCCGGCTAATTTTTTTTTTCTTAGTAGAGACAGGGTTTTACCGTGTTAACCAGGATGGTCTCGATCTCCTGAACTTGTGATCCGCCCGCCTCAGCCTCCCAAAGTGCTGGGATTACAGGCGTGAGCCACCACGCCCGGCCCAAACTTAGTCTTAAAGTTAACTTAGTCTTAAACAAGATGCTGATTATCTGCTGGTTGCGGAGGTCAGCGGTCTGAGATGGCTCTCTCTACATCTCTACATGGGTGAACGTCACAATGTCTGCCTTGTTGGGGTCAAGCCAGGTTCTGCTGGGAAGCCAGTGCTCGTGGTCTGCCAGAGTCCAGGACGGGGCTGTGCAGTCGGCAGGAGGGTGAGTGATCCATCAGTGTCACTCCTGGCCAGGGTGTTCTGGGAGGAGAAGGGGGGCTTTGTTTGAGTGGAAGCCAGGAGCATTCCCAAGGCTGGCCTTTGGGGGGTACCCACTGTGACCCCCAAATCCTCACCACACTTCAGAGATGCTTCCTGAGGCCAAGACTGGGGCAAAGCTGCTTCATTTCATCTGGGCCATGCACCATTGTTGGGGGCCTGCCTGTGCCCAGCCCTGTGCTGGACTCTGCCCCTAATTTTTCAGATATGTGGCCCGCCCTTGGTAAGTCCCGTCTGCTGTGCTGGGGAGACAGACATACACACATACTCGGTCAAATACTGTGGAGCAAAACCAAGGGACAGGTCACTCTAGAGAGACAGTGAAGGGGGGTGTCTGTGAAAGCTGTCCAGGGTAACTGGGTTTTGAAGGTTCTCCAGGCAGACAAGAATGTTGAATTCCAGCCAAGGGGAAAAACATATACAAAGACCTAGAGGAATCAAACAGACTCTGTGTGGCAGGGGAGAATTTGTGACTATAGGCAATTTAATATTACTGAGGGGTGAAATCGTAGGGGTGGAGAGTAGGGTGGGAGTTGAGGCCAGAGGTAGGCAGGGGTGGGTTAAGGGGTCTGGCCTTTGTACTGCAGGCACTGGGGATTTTCAGCTGTAGAGGGACAAGGTCAGCTGTGCATCTGAGAGCATGGGTGGCTGGAGAAGAGCAGGGGTCGGGGAGGAGACCAGTTGAGCATAGAACCAGAGGCCCATGGTGAGATGTTGCCGGAGGACACAGGTGAAGAGGCGGCTTTCCATCCTGAAAGGATGTCTGCCCAGCATAACACACAGGGCACCAGAACCCACCCACAATGACTCTGGCCAGCCAAGAGGTGGGTTACCCCAAAGTCCCACCCAGGAGCTTCTTTGGTGGAGGAGGGGACTACTGTCCCCAGGCTGCCAGTCTCAGAGATAACGAGAGTTCTTGTCTTTCTCATAGTCAGCAGTTCCAACATTTGAGAGTCACTGCTCACCCACCTGCAGTGATGAGGGGGGTTGAATCTCTTTGTTTCTGCCTCTGTAAATGTGGACACCTGGCCCCTTTACTGTGGCAATACTGGCGGGTGAAGCCCCCCAACCCGTGTGGAGAAGGGGCTCCGAGAGGCCCCCGCTCCCGCACCCCAGTCAGGTGAATATGATCGTGTCCTTTTGTGATCAGCGTGGGGACAGCAGCAGGAATTAGAGCAGTGGGACAGGCACCAGCACCCACTCCTTCAGGCCGGGCTTTCTCCCCATCTCCCACCCCGTTCACTCCTGCAAGGGGCTCTTCTCTGGCCAGTGAGGCGAAGGCCAGAGGAGAGGGGTGGGGATGCCTATCCTGTCCTACCTGCCTTCACCGCGGAGCAGGGCAGTCGGGGCCAGTCCATGCGGCAGGTTCTGCCTCCCGGGACAAGCCCAGAGCCAGGCAGCCTTTCTCACTGGGTCCGTCTGGGTGGGCTCCTGGAGGTGGGGATGGCATCTCCAAGGAAAGGACTGGAGGTGAGGCTTGTGGAGGGGAAGGCAGACCTGGGGCAGGAGGGAGGGATTCCAGAAGCTTCTGGATGGGAGGTGGACTGCAGGGAATGTGGGATCTCCCCAGAGAGAGGCCAGACATCCCCGGTGTCGGGAGCTGGGCCATGGAGGGGGAGTTTGGTGAATGCCCTGGCCATGGCCCAACAGGACAGAGCTTTGGCTTTAGTGTAAATCAGAATCTCCCCTCTAATTTTGGGGTGTGGACATGGTAACAAATTGGGGCTCTTCCGGGAAATAAGAGGGGGACGGACCCCACATTTCCAGGGTCCAAAAAAACTCTACCTCCCTCTATGCCCCACATGCCCAGAGAAGGTGTAGCTTCTCTGCTTTGCCTGTAACCCTCTGAGTGTCCTCCTGAGCCCCTTCTGCTGGGCAGTGGGCACAAAACGAGGCCAGCCCAGCTGGGCACAGTGGCTCATGCCTGTAATCCCAGCACTTTGGGAGGCCGAGGTGGGCAGATCATGAGGTCAGGAGTTTGAGACCAGCCTGACCAACATGGTGAAACCCCATCCCTACTAAAAACACAAAAATTAGCCAGGCATGGTGGCATGCGCCTGTAATCCCAGCTACTCAGGAGGCTGAGGCCAGAGAATCACTTGAACCCGGGAGGAGGAGGTTGCAGTGAGCCAAGATCACGCCATTGCACTCCAGCCTGGGCGTTCTGAGTGAGACTCCATCTAAAAAAAAAACAAAAAACAAAAAACCGAGGCCAGCCCTGTGACATCAGACCCCAGATCCCTCCCCTCCTCCACTGCCGTCTCTCCAGTTTCTGGGTGCTTGAGGGGATGATGTGGCTTATGTGGCCGCCTGGTGACAGGGGTTCTCAGGGCCTCCAGCCTGAGTCTCTGCCTCCTCATCCTCCAGCCTGCTGTCCCCTGAAGGACCCATGTCCCGCTGTCCTGGCTCCCGCTGGCGTTGGCAGGTGGGGGGCTAGGGACAGGTCTCCTGGCCTCAGCTTGCCCTAGAACTTGGACCCTCCATCTGCTACCCCCTGCTCCCATGCTGCTGCAGGCCCCGACAGTCTCCTAGCCGCTTCTGGGTCCCAGGAATGCCAAGCCCCTAGCCTCCAGCTCTCTGGCCACACGGACCACATTGCACAGGCTGGTGCTGGAGCAGCCCATGAGGCCATCTCCGTCTGGGGAGCAGAATTCTGACACGGACCCAAAAGGAGCTTTGTGGCTCTCTGCAGAGCTGATGGCCCAGGAAGCATCTCATTTTTAAAGCAATAATGCCACTAGATGGACAGAGCTGAGGAAATGCTACATGGCCGGGACAGGCGAGGGTGGGTCCAGCAGCTGGAAGCCCCCTGGATCGAGGGCAGTCCTCCCGTGGGGCTGTGGGGAGACTTCTCCCTCTCTCCCTCAAAATGGCCTCCCTTAGCCCCTGCCTTTCTTCTTCTTCCTCTCTCTGAGCTGCTTTGCCTGCTTCTCCAGGCACCCTGTCATCGGCCAGAGCTCCTGGGCTCAGCTCTCTCCCCAGTTCAAATGAACGGCTCCTGGCGAACGAGAATCTTGTTTCTAATTCCCAGTTCCCAAGCTGGCCTGGTCTGTGTGAAGCAGCTACATGGTCAAGTCATCAGCGTCAGACAGGGTCATGAGACTACACATAAAGGTGTTCACCGAGGGCTGCACGGGGCCCGAGACCCAGCCCAGCCTGGCTCACCCAGCCCGGCTACCTGGCGTGGGCTGGCTGCTGCTGGGAAGGGCCCCTCTCAAATGCACACAGGCACAACGGCAGCTGATGACAAATGGCTCCACTCCTTCCTGCCTTCACGCCTTCTGCAAGGTGACATTTCAGCTCATGGGAAGGTGGGAGCTATTTCCCCACCCCTGCAATCTGGCAGATGGCCTTATGATTTGTTCTGACCATACAGTGAGGCAGAAGTGATGTCAGTTCTGAGCCTAGGCCTTAAGTGCTCTTCTGCCCTTCAGGAGCCCTGTGTGCCAGAGGATGAGAGACCACATGGAGCCGAGAGCAGCTGTCCCAGCTGAGGTCCCAGGAATGTGAGCCCAGCTAAGACAGCAGAGCCATGTCGCCAACCCTTAGTGACCTCAGAAGTGAGCCCATCTCAGATCAGCAGAGCCACTCAGTGGGCCTGGAGGCTCACGGGAAAGAATTAATGGTTGTGTTTGAAGCTATTACATTTGGGGGAGTTTTGTTACACAGCAATAGATAACTGATACAGACATCCCATGGACTATCTCTGAGCATCACATACTAAAAATGTGACTGCAGGAGCAGTTAATCAGAGAAGCAGGGTCTCACTGTAACTCAAACAGAGACCCCCAGCTGTGGCTATGGCCTCTCCAGAGGAGAAGAGTCATAGTGGTTAAGACACATAGACAGAGCCTGAAGGCAAGGTTCACTGTGTGGCAGCCAATCTCCAAAGGTGGCCCCAGGGAACCATGCCTCCTGGTGTTTCCACCCTTGTTTAGTCCCCTCCCACACAGAATCTGGATTGGCCCTAACCCTCACATTAACCAACAGAATGCAGTGAAGTGCCACTGTGCCAGTTCCAGGCCTGAGACTTAACAAGACCCAGCAGCTTTGGCCTGTGCGTTCTCAGGAGACTGCTGCCACCTAAGAAGTCTGACCAGCCTGATGGAGAGGGGCTACCCAGAGGACATTGAGGGTGCAGAGATGTGAGTGATAAGTCATCTTGGACATTCTGCCACCATCTGACGGCAACTGCATGAGAGACCACAAGCAGAAGAACTACCCAGCTGAGCCCAGCCAACCCACAGAACCCTGAGAAATAATAACGAAGTGTTGTTTCAATGGTGTGTTTGTTACGCAGCAATAGGTAGCTGGTGCACTCTACTTACCAGCCAAGGGTTCTTGTGCAAGTCATTTGCGTGAACTCTACTGCACTTTGCAAATGGGGGTGATTCTCACTAATCTAAGCCAGGAAAGTCTACCTGCTCACCCTGGGTATCATGAAGAACAGCTTTAGAACAATACTTTAGTTCCCTCTTACAAAGCCATAAAGGTTCCAGAAATGTGAGGTTCAGACTCAGAGAACCCAGTAATCTATCATCCCAAATACACATCCGAGAGGGTTGTTCCCCTCTTGAAGGGTCACCGGCAGCTCCTCATCTCTGGACCTTTCTGGGTCTGCCCTGCCCACTAGTCAGCCCCATCTCCCATCCCCCACTGGCCCCTTCCCCAGTTTGTACATTTGACAACGTATGACTTGGTGTTCTAGCTGCGGCTCAAATGCTGCCTCCTCTGACACCTTCCCTGTCCTCTGGGCAGGCTAGGGTGCTCCTCATCTGTTCCCACAACCACTGCATCATGCATTACAGCTGTCACTGTCCTGTATTACTGTCTCCCTAATGATGACCCCAGAGGGCCAAGACCAGCTCCTTCCACTGTGTGGCACTGAGCAGAGGGTCAAATACAGAGGGAAGATCAATAAGTACTCCTGGGCCAGGTGAGGTGGCTCACACCTGTAATCCCAGCACTTTGGGAGGCCGAGGCGGGTGGATCATAAGGTCAGGAGATTGAGACCATCCTGGCTAACATGGTGAAACCCCATCTCTACCAAAAATACAAAAAATTAGCCAGGCATGATGACAGGTGCCTGTAGTCCCAGCTACTTGGGGGGCTGAGGCAGGAGAATGGCGTGAACCCGGGAGGTGGAGCTTGCAGTGAGCTGAGATCACGCCACTGCACTCCAGCCTCAGCGTCAGAGCAAGACTCCGTCTCAAAAAATTAAATAAATAAATAAATAAATACTCCTGGGTGAATGAGGTCGAGGCCAGCGCTGCCTTCATGGGGGCAGCATCTCCTAGGGAGACAGACCCCCCCAAGCAGGGACACAGGTAGCAAGGCTGGGCTGGGGACGAGTGAGTGTGAGAGGAGGAGGGTGTGAGGGCTGGAGAGCCCTCAGGGTAAGCAGAGCTTAGGCCTGTCTCCGAGGGGGTGTGGGATTGCTTTCTGTTGCACTCAGGCGTTTCTGTTCATTTTGGCCGTCTGCAAAGCAGCCCATTAGGTTGTATCTGTGGTGCCTAAAACGGAGAGGAAATCTGGGAGTTTTCTAGGTAACGTCCAATCCAGATGACTGGCTTGAACAATTCTAGGGCTCTTCCCACTACCAACACCCTCAACACACCCCAGTGCACCAGCACACACACAGGTGCCCCCTCACTCTTTCTGCTGTGCATTCCGGCTGCACTGAGTCGCAGCATCTCACTGGCTGCCCTCAGAGGAACCCATGAGGTCACCAGGAAGGGGGACTGCTGCAGGACCCTGAAGCTTGGAAACAGGCATGAGAGCTGAGGAGTAAGCAGCAGGGGCCAGGCCCCATTCCATGGCTTAGCCAGAAAATGTACACCCTGAATTCTCTCCAAAGTACTCCTCTGGAGCAAGGTGAGAGCCATGTTGGCAGCCAAGGATGTAACTCCCAGAATGAGCTAATGAGTCAACTTGACTTCTGGCAGCATAGTGATCAGATATCCCAAAATGCCATCCGCTACCTGATTGCAAGTAAATGTCTACAGACATAACATTATTGCACTGCCAAGATCACAAGGAAGCCCTCCTTCCACAAAAGAAACAAGCAATAAATAAAGCAAACTATCTGGAACCAGAGATGAGCAATAAGCACTTTCCTTAGGTAATGCAAAATGCAGAGTGGTGAGTGGGGGTAGTGAACCTAAGAGTCCTACACCGACTTGAGACCCTCAAAGGAGGCTACCCGCCTAAGGAGAGGGTGGTTCCAACCAAATCTGCCTGCCAGGACAGGGATCCCTCTGGGAAACCTGGGTGTCTGCTTCAGAGCTCCAGGTGGAAACATTTAAGAACAATAATAATGTCCCTGGAGGATTTGCAACCATTTGCTCTCCTGCAGCGCTGAAGTTAAATTTACACTATCCTCATAGACGGGAAAATCCCCACTCAAGAAATTAAATTAAATTGGTCCTGGTCAGTGATAAAATGGTAGAGGCAAACAGAAATTCTTTCTGGAGGAAAGCATCCCAATTTAGGCCTTCAGGATTCCTACAGATGAAGCACAACCAAATACACACACACACACACACACACACACACACACACACACACACACCCCAAGGAGACAAGCCACCATAAGGCGAGACTCAATAGAAATAACAAATAGATTTAGACCCCTGAGAACTGCTTGAAATAAATGAAGTGCCGGCCAGGCGCAGTGGCTCGAGCCTGTAATCCCAGCACTTTGGGAGGCCAAGGCGGGCGGATCACAAGGTCAGGAGATTGGGACCATCCTGGCTAACACGGTGAAACCCCGTCTCTATTAAAAGTACAAAAAATTAGCCGGGTGTGGTGGCGGGCGCCTGTAGTCCCAGCTACTTGGGAGGCTGAGGCAGGAGAATGGCATGAACCTGGGAGGTAGAGCTTGCAGTGAGCCGAGATGGCACCACTGCACTCCAGCCTGGGCAACAAAGCGAGACTCCGTCTAAAAAAATAAATAAATAAAATAAATAAATAAATAAATGAAGTGCCAGGCGTGGTGGCTCCACAACTGTAATCCCAGCACTTTGGGAGGCCGACGTGGGCAGATTGCTTGAGCCCAGGAGTTCATGCCTGGGCAACATGGCGAAACCCCATCTCTACAAAAATGTACAAAAATTAGCGGATGTGGTGGAGCATGCCTGTAGTCCCAGCTACTCAGGAAGCTGACGTAGGAGGATCACTTGAGCTTGGGAAGTCTAGGTGGCAGTGAGCTGTGATAGTGCCACTGCACTCTAGCCTGGGAGACAGAGTAAGACTCTGCCAGGAAAAAAAGAAAAAGGAAGGGAGGGAGGGAGGGAAAAGAAAAGAAATAGATGAAGTCTATTCATCTATCAATTTTTCCTTTTTGATTGTCTTCCTTATTCCATCTAAGGAATTCCAGCTAAATCTGCCTTTATATTAAAGAAGTTTTTTGTTTTTGTTCATTTGTTTGTTCGTTTTTGAGACAGAGTTTCGCTCCTGTTGGCCAGGCTGGAGTGCAATGGCACGATCTCGGCTCACCGCAACCTCTGCCTCCCAGGTTCAAGAAATTCACCTGCCTCAGCCTCCAAAGTAGCTGGGATTACAGGTATGCACCACCACTCCCAGCTAATTTTGTATTTTTTGCAGAGATGCATTTCTCCATGTTGGTAAGGCTGGTCTCAAACTCCCAACCTCAGGTGATCTGCCCACCTCAGCTTCCCAAAGTGCTGGGATTACAGGCGTGAGCCACCACACCCAGCCGATTAAGGAGGATTTAATGGAATAAGGAAGATGATCAAAAAGGCAAAAGAGTCTATTGGAGAAAAAAAGGCCAGAGAGATTTGAAAAAGAACCAAATATACTTTTACAAGTGAAAAAATACAAATGTTGAAACTATGAGTTAAACAGCTAAAGAGAGAATCAGTGAAATGGAGCACAGATACGAAGAAATTTCCTAGGATGCAACATAGAAAGATGAGAAGAGAGAAAATATGAAAGAAAGGTAAGAAGGCTGGGAGGAGAGTATGAGTGAGTCTAATGTGCATCTAATCAGAATTCCTAGAATTCCAGATCCCTGGATGAGGTGGTACTAAGTGGGGGCAATGGGTGGGGGTGCAGTGCAGGGCTATACCAGGCAGAGGGAACAGCACGTGCAAGGCCCTGAGGAACCTAACCAAAGCTGGTCTGCTAGGGCCCTTACTCTGTGCTGCCTTATGCAGGGCAATGCTGGGGCACAGATGGGGCTTAAACACTGTCCCTGCCTGAGCAGTAGGCAGTCTACTGGGGAGCCAGCCACAGTGAGGTAGACAGCCGTGCTACTGCCTGGCCAATTCCATTTCCCCTTCGACTGCTAACTATACCTCTTCTCCTCCCCAGCTCTCAGGCCACATAGCCCAGGCAGAGCTAGCCCCAGTCCTTCATGCTTCAGGGATGGACATGTGACCTCGGCCAGGTTAATCACAGCCAGTGAGGTCCAGTTCTCAAACTTTTGTTAGAACCATCGGGCACAGGAAATCTCTGGTTTGTCCAGGGGTGCTGACAGGGGAGACTGTTGGTCTGGAACCACCAAGAGATGGAACCAACATAAAGAAAGGCCCCCGTTGAGCCCTGGATCCAAGTTTTCTGAAAATACCCTGGACATAATGTTACAGAAGTTAATAGATTTCCTTTTCTGTTTGAGCTGGTCTGAGCTGTTTTTTTCTGTTACGTATAACTCCTTGCTCTGTCCCTGAAACAGAGGGAAATCCCAAGGCTGGAGAACCCATGGGAGGACCTGGCCCAGCCTAGGGGTCAGTGAGGCTTCTTATGGGAGGTGATAACCAGGCTGGGTCTTGATAGCTGCACCAGAGTTAGCTGGAGGGAAGAGGTGCGCCCGGGCAGGCTGGTGCAGGTGCTGGCTGCCTTCCCAGGAGTCAGGGCAGCTCACTGGCTCCTGGGCACAGTCTCTGCCCAGGCAGGCCCTGGGCTCCCAGGTCAGCTCTTAGCAGAGGCTTCTGAGGACCTCAGGGTTTGGCAGGAACAGGAGGCCTAAAGAGGGGACAACTCGGAAGCACTGCATAGGGTGGGGCAGGCCAGCCTCCAAGGGTCTTATTTCATGTGCCATGTTGGTGTCAGGACCTCCAACCTCAGGATCCACTGAGGTTTGTGAGAGGAGCTGTGTCGGGAGGTCACCAGCCCATCCTGTCCCTCCCTGGCCCCCAGCATGGCCAGTGCCATGGCCACCCCTGTCATGTTGCCAGGCAGGTGCAATGTGCAGGGCACCAAACCAAGTGGGCTTGAGAATCTGCTCTCAGCTCTATAACAAAGTCGTTTCAGCTTCTTGATGCCAGCTGACTTGGCACCCACCCATGTTCAGTCTCGTGCAGATCAATCAGCTGATCAGTGGGCTGCACGGGTCTCTGTGCCCTGTGCCTGTGTCACTACCAGCCCAGGCTCCCATGCCCAGCTTAAATGCCCTCTCCTCCAAGAACCCTTCCCTGATCACCCAAGGCATAAATGTTCCATCCTGCCTCTAACAACCCTTTGAACCAGGACCCCAAGCTGCCGTGGGAGGTGGTTACTTGTAGGTATGTTGTATTTTCCTTTGGTTCATCTCTGTCTACTCAGGGCCTAGTGAGGACCTGGCAAGAACACCTGATAGGGTAAGTCCTAGCCAGAGAAATCAGGCCAGAGAAAGAAAGAAAGGGCATCCAAATTGGAAAAGAGGAAGTCAAACTATATCTGTTTGCCAACGATACGATCTTATACCTAGAAAACGCCAAAGATTACTCCAAAAGACTCCTAGATTTGATAAATAAATTAAGTAAAGTCTCAAGTTACAAAATCAATGTACACAAATCAGTAGCATTGCCATACTCCAGCAATGATCAAGCTGACAATCACAAGAACTCAATCCCTTTTTTTTTTTTTTTACCTTTGAGATGGAGTCTCGCTCTTGTTGCCCAGGCTGGAGTGCAATGGCGCGATCTCGGCTCACTGCAACCTCTGCCTCCCAGGTTCAGCAGTTCTCCTGCCTCTGCCTCCTGAGTAGCTCGGATTACAGGCACCCGCCACCATGCCTGGCTAATTTTTGTATTTTTAGTAGAGATGGAGTTTCACCAGGTTGGTCCACGCCTGTAATCCCAGCACTTTGGGAGGCTGGGGCGGATGGATCACCTGAGGTCAGGAGTTTGAACTCAATCCCTTTTACAGTACCTAGACACAAAAAATAAAATGCTTAGGAATATACTTAACCAAGGAGGTGAGCGATCTCTACAAAGAGAACTATAAAACACTGCTGAAAGAAATCATAGATGACAAAAACACATGGCAATACATCCCATGTTCGTGGACTAGAACAATCAATATTGTGAAAGTAACCATACTGCCCAAAGCAATCTACAGAGTCACTGCAATTCCAACCAAAATACCAACATCATTCTTCACAGAATTAGAAAAAACAACCTTAAAATTCATATGGCATCAAAAAAGAACCTGAATAGCCAAAGCAATCCCAAGCAAAAAACAAATCTGGAGGCATCACCTTACCCAACTTCAAATTATACTATAAGGATGTAGTAATCAAGACAGTATCAAGGAAGTGTCTACTGGTACCAAGCACTGTATCAAGGTAGATATATAGACCAATAGAACAGAATAGAGAATCCAGAAATAAAGCCACTTACAGCCAACTGATCTTCCACAAAGTATGCAAAAACATAAACTGGGGAAATGACATTCTATTCAATAAATGGTGCTGGGAAAATTGGATAGCCACATGTGGAAGAATGGAGCTGGATCCCTCTTTCTCACCATATACAAAAATTAACTCACAATGGGTTAAATACTTAAACCTAAGTCCTGAAATCATAAAAATTCTAGAAGGAACCCTAGGAAAAACTCTTATGGACATTGGCCTAGGCTAAATATTTATAACGAAGGCTCCAAAGGCAAATGCAACAAAAACAAAAATAAACAGGACCTACTTAAACTAGAAAGCTTCTACACAGCAGAAGAAATAATCATGAAAGTAAACAGACAACTTAGAGAATGGGAGAAAATGTTTGCAAACTATGCATCTGACAAAGGACTAATACGCAGAATCTACAAGGGACTCAAATCAGCAAGAAAAAAAAATAATAATTCTGGCTGGGCGCAGTGGCTCATACCTGTAACCCCAGCACTTTGGGAGGGCAAGGCGTGCGGATGACTTGAGGTCAGGAGTTCGAGATCAGCCTGGCCAACATGGTGAAACCCTATCTCTACCAAAAATATAAAAAATTAGCTGGGTGTGGTGGCAGGGCCTGTAATCCCAGCTACTCAGTAGGCTGAGGCATGACACTCAACTTGAATCCAGGAGGCAGAGATTGCAGTGAGCCGAGATTGTACCACTGCACTCCAGCCTGGGTGACAGAGTGAGACTCTATCTAAAAAAATTAATAAAATAAAATAAAAATAATAAATACTTTATAAACATTAATTTACTGACTCTTCTTAATGACCTTGATGTTATATTCTGTTTGATCCCTATTAACAGACAAGGAAACTCGGGCACAGAGAGGCTAGGTTACTCATTCAGAGTCACACAGCCAGTGTGCAGCAGAGCCAGAAGTAAAGCCCAGGGAGTCCCACTCCAGTCTGTGCTCTTAACCCTGGGCCATGACATGTCATCACCCTAGGTGTGCAGTGAGGGGACTGGGGCCTAGGAAGGGGAAGGGACTCATACCTGAAGCCACACAACCAGGGTCCAGCCCTAGGCAGGCTCTTTCTCCACAGAGACAGAGCCGGTTTGGGCCCCTCCTCTCTTCTCTTGGTGACAGTTTTGCCCATGGGCATCCTGCGGGCAAAGGGGAGGCTGAGTTTCTGGTTTGTGGGTGTGTTTCAGGAAGTGCAGCTTGATGGGGTCAGTCTTTGTGTGCAGGGAGAGGAGCTGGGTGGAGGCTGGCTGGATGACTGGGCCTAGGCCTCCGGACAACGGAAAGGAGCAGAGAAGACGAGGGATGCGTCCCGGCACTGGTATTGTGGAGAGAGACCCCAACCCCCAGGAGGGTGAGGAAGGGGCTGTTGGTTCCCCCGCTGGTGAGCAAGGGCTGGCTGTGGGAGGGGCTCCAGGAGCGGAGGGGAACTGTTAAAGATTCAGACCCAGCTGGGCGCGGTGGCTCACGCTTGTAATCCCAGCATTTTGAGAGGCTGAGGTGGGCGAATCACCTGAGGTCAGGAGTTCAGACCAGCCTGCCCAATATGGAGAAACCCCGTCTCTGCTAAAAAATACAAAAATTAGCCAGGCGTGATGGTGCACACCTGCAATCCCAGCTACTAGAGAGGCTAAGGCAGGAGAATCGCTTGAACTCGGGAGGCGGAGGTTGCAGTGAGGTGAGATTGCACCACTGCACTCCAGCCTGGGCGACACAGCGAACTCTGTTTCAAAAAAAAAAAAAAAAAGATTCAGACCCAGCCTCCGCCCCCTGTGTCACACAAACTGTTCTCCTCCTAGGGCAGGCTTAGAGGGGCCCATGCCTGGGGCACCCAGGTTGGCAGGCAGCTTCGTGGATGCCTCTGGGGAGGCCTTCCTGACTGCAGGCCGGCTCTGGGGTGCTGCAGAAGAACTCACTTCCATCTCTTCTATGATGGTGGTGTAGGTAGCCATGTTTGACAACATGTGACGATGCCTGGTGGTCACGTGATTCCAAAGGCACCACACCATAGGTCAGCCCAGGACCAATAGCTGGTGGCAGGAAGCAAGGAGCTGAACAGGTGGATTCACCCCTGGGGACTTCAGCCTGGCCATCCCAGAAGAGGCAGCTGCTGACAGGGTCTCATGGAGGGCTGAGGATGCAGGGAGGTCTGGGGGTCTTGAGGGCCACATAGGGCCTTGGGAAGTCTTGGGAATTTAGGCGACCTAGGAGACCTTGTGGGGCTTTAGGAGGGCCTAAGGAACCTGGGGGGCCCTGGGGATCGTTGAGGGGCCTGGGAAGGCCTTGAGGGGTCTCTGGAGGATCTTTTGGGCCTTGGGGGCCTGAGGAGCCTTGGGGGACCTCCAGAGGCCTAAGGGACCTTGGGAAATCTTTGGGACCTTAGGGGGAGAGGGGATGTAGGAGACTTGAGAGGCCTGGGGCTTTGGGTGGACCTTGGAAAGCAAGGGAGGTTGGGAGGGCCATGGCGGGTGGAGCAGCCCCCCCAGAGGGCCTGGGTCATTCAGCAGCCACAGCCTGGACATTGTGCTCCGGCTCTGGGAGCCCTGGTCATTCCCTCTGTGTGATGGGGGGATCCCAGGCCTGCTCCAGCATCCCTGTGAGGGTGAAGTGATCCCAAGGGGACAGGCATTGCCCTCACCCTCAGGCCTGCATGCCCCACACTCCACTTCCACACAAACTCATCTGAAGGCACATGAGGCTGTGTGGTCTACCAAAGGCTTCATGGGGAGGTGGAGGAAGGAGCCCCATTGCGAGACATCCCCGTGTCCCCAGAGCTCCTCTCACACTGACAGCCACTCTCTTCACTGGTTCGTATAAAGTGCCCAGAACAGTGCCCGGCACACAGGAGGTGTGAGCCATCGTCACTGCTGTCACTGTCTTTCAGTTCTCTCTTTCCCAGACGGCCTCTCAGGATCCCTCTTTTTGCCTCCAGCGATCTGGTGCCCCTCGTGTCAGAACAGATGCATCCTGCGATGCTCCTCACGTGAAACAGGAAGAGCCTATACATGAAAATGTGCGTCTTCCCCCATGGTGTTTCGTTTTCTTGCGGGGGGACTGAGTCTCATTCTGTCGCCCAGGCTGGAGTGCAGTGGCACGATCTCGGCTCACTGCAACCTCCCACCCCCAGGTTCAAGTGGTTCTCCTACCTCAGCCTCCCGAGTAGCTGGGATTGCAGGTGCCTGCCACCATGCCCGGCTAATTTTTTGTATTTTTAGTAGAGATGGAGTTTCACCATGTTGGCCAGGCTGGTCTCGATCTCCTGACCTCAGGTGATCCGCCTTGGCCTCCCAAAGTGTTGGGATTACAGGTGTGAGCCAGCACACCTGGCCCTCTGTGGGGTTTAGAAGTAGCTCAGCACAGGCCAGGTGCAGTGGCTCATGCCTGTAATCCCAGCACTTTGGGAGGCCGAGGCGGGCAGATCATGAGGTCAGGAGTTCGAGACCAGCCTGGCCAACATGGTGAAACTCCGTCTCTACTAAAAATACAAAAAATTAGCCGGGCGTGGTGACGCGCACCTGTAGTCCCAGCTACTCGGGAGGCTGAGGCAGGAGAATGGCGTGAACCCGGGAGGCGGAGCTTGCAGTGATCCGAGATAGCGCCATTGCACTGCAGCCTGGGCGACAGAGCAAGACTCCGCCTCAGAAAAAAAAAAAAAAAAAGAAGTAGCTCAGCACAGCATGTGGCGGGTGCCACCCAAGAAGGTGGCACAGAGGACAAAAGTCCACAGAGGACAAATGCAGCCAGTGTGGAAATCAGGCCCCAACTTGCGGGGCCGAGGCCGTGAGCAGCCACAAGGTGGCCCCAGTGAGCTTAGGGACCAGCTAGTGCAGGGCAGGTGGGAGGTTCACGCACAGCTAAATTAGGCTAAGAGAGACGTGGCAGGGTCTCCCTGGGGCAGCAGGTGGGGGCTCAGCTCACCCTGGCTCCCGGCTGCACAGCTCAGAGTGGGCACCTCCTCGCCTGAGGAGAAGGAAGGGCCGCCTGTAGCCAGCAGGTGTGCCAGCATCCTCCTACCTGGGCTGGGGCCCGGAAGGCGAACACAGGGCAACCGAACCCATTGCAGAGCAGGGCCTGAGGGCTGGCTTGGGAGCAGGTGGTTGGAGTCTGGCTCTGAACAGGCCTTGATCCGTCCCTTGGGTCCCCCAGGCCCTTCCCAGCCTCCACCCCGTGCTGCAGGCCACACCTACAGCCTTCTGTGCCGAGGGCTGTGCCCCTGGAAGCCACGTGGGGCAGACTGGAGCTGCCTGGGTCCTGGAGCAGCATTTCTGGGGCTTCAGCCCAGGGGAGCTGACTGGATTTGCGGCTACACTCACACCACACTCCTCCTCCGGGCTGGGCCGGGTGAGAGGAGGGAGATGAAGGAGGGCGGGCCTGCCCTTGCTGGTCATCAGGGTCGCTCATCTCTGGGGATCTGGCTGGAGCTAGGAATTGAGGAAGGACAGGCTGGTGGCAGGGGCCGGGGCTGGGCTTCTGGCGGGCCAGGCCCCCCTCTAGGGAGGTCTGTGCTCACTGCATCCCTAGGGACACAAGCCCAGGGCCAGGGCCTCATGCTTTCTGGCCTGGCAGGCTGCCTGCCTCAGCCCCACCCCACCCAAGGCATCCAGGGACACTGGCCTGTGGCAGACACGCCCACAGCTTTGCTGTGTGTCCATCTTTGTTGCTTCTCCTTTTGGGGAGCTACCCCTACCCCTGCACTTTAACAGGTGAACCCAGTGTGAGCCACTGCCCCGCCCACCAGCCCCTGAATCAGGCCAAAGAAGTGAAAACCATCTGACCACAGAGGAGGAGCCTGGGGGCGCAGCAGGGCCCCAGCTGGCCGGAGGTCAGCCTCAGGGTGGGTGGCCTGGAGGCCAGCTGTCTGGAGGATCCTGAGCAGAGAGGGGGGCAGGCCCTTGGTGCCTTTCCTTCCAAGAGGGGAATCTAAAGGGAGAGAGTGACATCAATCCAAGGCCCACCGTGCAGATGCTGATTACAGAGGCCAGCGGAGGTGACACAGGTCCTGCCCAAGACAGTCCTGGAGATGGATGGTGGGGCTGGTACCTGTCTTAATTTGCTGCATTGCTAGAAAGAAATACCCGAGGATAGGTAATTTATAAAGAAAAGGTGGTAGCCAGGCACAGTGGCTCACACTTGTAATCCCAGCACTTTGGGAGACTGAGGCAGGCAGATCACCTGAGGTCAGGAGTTCGAGACCAGTCTGACCAACATGGAGAAACTGTCTCTACTAAACATACAAAATTAGCCAGGCATGGTGGCACATGCCTGTAATCCCAGCTACTTGGGAGGCTGAGGCAGGAGAATCATTTGAACCCGGAAGGCAGAGTTTGCGGTGAGCCGAAATCGCGCCATTGCACTCCAGCCTGGGCAACAGGAGCAAAACTCCGTCTGGAAAAGAAAAGAAAAGAAGAGAAAAGAAAAGGAAAGGAAAGGAAAGAAAAGAAAAGAAAAGATGGTTATTTGGCTCATAGTTCTTCAGGCTGGTACAAAGAAGCGTGGCACCAGCATCTGCTTCTGGTGAGGCCTCAGGAAGCTTCCACTCATAGCAGAAGGGGAAGGGTAGCAGGCATCCCATGGAGAGAGGAAGGAGGGAGGAGAGGGGGAAAGGAGGTTCCAGGCTCTCTTTAACAACCAACCCTCGCGGGAACTAATAAAGGCAGAACTCACTGTTAACGCAAGCACCAAGCCGTTCATGAGGGGTCCGCCCTCATGATACAAACACCTCCCGCCAGGCCCCACCTCCAACACTGAGGATCAAATTTTAACCCGAGATCTGGAAAGGACAACATCCAAACTATATCAGCATCCCAACAATGAGAATGTACTTCATGTTACCTCAAAATGGCTAAGACAGTAAATGTTTAAACATGGGTAAATCTAAGTAACTATTGGCTGCATAGAATAACATTAATTTTTCATTGTCTTTTATATAGATAAAAATTTTATTTATTTATTGAGACACAGTATCGCTCTATCACCCAGGCTAGAGTGCAGTGGCACGATCTCAGCTCACCGCAAACTCCACCTCCAGGGTTCAAGCGATTCTCCTGCCTCAGTCTCCCGAATAACCGGGACTACAGGCGTGTGCCATCACGCCAGGATAACTTCTGTATTTTTAGTAGAGACAGGGTTTTGCCATGTTGGGCCAAGCTGGTCTTGATCTCCTGACCTCAGGTGGTCTGCCCGCCTGGGCCTCCCTAAGTGTTGGGATTACAGGCGTGAGCCACCGTGCCCGGCTTATATAGGCCGGGCGCAGTATAGGCCTTGCCCATACCCATCAATAGCCACTACATTCGTGAATAGCCACTGCATTCCAGCCTGGACAACACAGCAAGACTATATCTATTTTTTGTTGTTTTTGTTAAAGTACATTAGTGGCCGGGTGCAGTGGCTGACGCCTGTAATCTCAGCACTTTGGGAGACCGAGGTGGGCAGATCATTCGAGGTCAGGAGTTCGAGACCAGCCTGGCCAACACGGTGAAACCCTGTCTCTACTAAAAATACAAAAATTAGCCCAGCGTGGTAGCTTGCATCTGTAATCCCAGCTACTCAGGAGGCTGAGGCAGGAGAATCGCTTGAACTCAGGAGGTGGAGGTTGCAGTGAGCCAAGATCACACCACTACACTCCAGCCTGGGTGACAGAGCCAGACTCTGTCTTAATAAATAAATAAATAAAGTACATTAGATGATGTCTTAGTCCCTTTTGTGCTGTTATCACAGAGTATCTGAGACTGGGTAATTTATAAACAATGGAAGCTTATTTGGCTCATAGCTCTGGAGGCTGGAAGTCCAAGAGCAAGGTGCCAGGATCTAGGGAGAGCCTTCTTCGTGCAACACCCCATGGAAGAAGGCAGAAGGGCAAGAGAGTGTGCACTGAACCCATTCTTTTATCAGGAACCCACTCCCAAGATAACTAACCCACTCCCAAGATAACTAACCCACTCTCATAACGAACCCACTCCCATGATAACTAACCCACTCCCAAGATAACTAACCCACTCCCAAGATAACTAACCCACTCTCATAGCTAACCCACTCCCAAGATAACTAACCCACTCCCAAGATAACTAACCCACTCCCATGATAACTAACCCACTCTCATAACTAACCCACTCTCATGATAACTAACCCACTCCCAAGATAACTAACCCACGCCCATAACGAACCCACTCCCATGATAACTAACCCACTCCCAAGATAACGAACCCACTCCCAAGATAACGAACCCACTCCCATGATAACTAACCCACTCCCAAGATAACTAATCCACTCCCATGATAACTAACCCACTCCCATGATAACGAACCCACTCCCATGACAACTAACCCACTCCCAAGATAACGAACCCACTCCCAAGATAACTAACCCACTCCCATGATAACTAACCCACTCCCAAGATAACTAACCCACTCCCAAGATAACGAACCCACTCCCATGATAACTAACCTACTCCCAAGATAACTAATCCACTCCCATGATAACTAACCCACTCCCATGATAACGAACCCACTCCCATGATAACTAACCCACTCCCAAGATAACTAACCCACTCCCAAGATAACTAACCCACTCCCATGATAACGAACCCACTCCCAAGATAACTAACCCACTCCCAAGATAACGAACCCACTCCCATGATAACTAACCCACTCCCAAGATAACTAATCCACTCCCATGATAACTAACCCACTTCCATGATAACTAACCCACTCCCAAGATAACGAACCCACTCCCAAGATTACTAACCCACTCCCATGATAACTAACCCACTCCCAAGATAACTAAACCACTCCCAAGATAACTAACCCACTCCCATGATTATAAACCCACTTCCATGATAATGAACCCACTCCCGTGATAACTAACCCACTCTCATGATAACTAACCCACTCTCATAACTATAATTAACCCACCCCCAAGATAACTAACCCACTCCCATGACAACTAACCCACTCTCATAACTATAACTAACCCACTCCCAAGATAACTAACCCACTCCCATGATAACTAACCCACTCCCAAGATAACTAACCCACTCCCAAGATAACTAACCCACTCCCCTAACCCACTCTCATAACTAACCCACTCCCAAGATAACTAACCCACACCCATGATAACTAACCCACTTTCATAGCTATAACTAACCCACTCCCATGATAATGAACCCCTCCTATGATAACTAACCCACTCCCATGGTAACTAACCCACTCCCAAGATAACTACCCACTCCCATGATAATGAACCCCTCCTATGATAACTAACCCACTCCCAAGATAACTAACCCACTCCCATGATAAGTAACCCACTCCCATGATAAGAAACCCACTCCCATGGTAACTAACCCACTCCCAAGATAACTAACCCGCATCCATAACTAACCCACTGTCATGATAACTAACCCACTCTCATAACTAACCCACTCCAAAGATAACTAACCCACTCCCAAGATAACTAACCCACACCCATGATAACTAACCTACTCTCATGATAACTAACCCACTCCCAAGATAGCTAACCCACACCCATGATAACTAGGCCTCTCTCATGATAACTAACCCTCTCTCATAACTAACCCACTCCCAAGATAACTAACCCATGCCCATGATAACTAACCCACTCCCATGATAACCCACTCTCATGATAACTAACCCACTCCTCCGTCCCAGTGCTGTGCTGTCACCTGCTGCCAAAAGGTGGCATAACCAGTTACCCTCAGAAGCCAGAACCCCAAGTTCCACGCTGCAATCCCCATCCCAAGCTGGCGGCAGGAGCATGCCCTCTGCCACTTCCCTGGGGCCTGGCAAAGCCCTGCGAACTGCAGGGACAACCCCCCTGGAGAGTCACAGCAGGAGAAGTCCTCCACTTCTTCCATTACCTCCATGCTCCCTCCTCACCACCCCGACACTGATGTGGGCCTGGGATGCTGATGCAACTTACAACGAGGGTGTGCATGGCTGCAGCGTCTCAGGTCTTCCTGGAAACAGGTGTTAAGTTGGTGGAGCATCTCACACCCAGTGGCATTTTTAAATCAAGGAAACACAAGGATGAGGTTGCAGTGAGCCAGGATTGCACCATTGCCCTCCAGCCTGGGCAACAAGAGTGAAACTCCATCTCAAAAAAACAAACAAAAACAAAACAAACAAACAAAAATGCACAGTGCTAGAAAGAAATAGAAAATAGCAGAGGAAGATTGCCATGGTGGATACAGGAGTGATTTTAAAGCAGGTCGTCGGGGTGGATCCCAGAGCAAAGGTGGTCCTTGAGCAAAGACTTGAGGAGGCTGAGGGATGGAGTGATGCAGACGTTGGAGGGACAAGTGGGCCGGGCAGGAGGGACAGCAGGGGCTCCCCGGGATCACAGGGAGGGCTACAAGCCCATAGGTGAGCAGTAGGCCCTGCGCAGAGAAGCAAGAGGGTGGCCCCCAGGGAGAGGAAAGTGGGCGGGGTGAGGGGGCCTGTGCAGAAAAGAAACAGGGAGTCCAGTGAGGAGGCTCCTGCAGAGGCTGGGGAGGGAGGATGGCCTGGAAGCAGTGGCAGGGAGCAGGGCCAGGCGTCCTGCACCTGCAGGCCCAGGGGTTTGAGGGGCGCGGGGATCAGGGAGACCCACAGGAGGGCCCTGCCGGGAAGCTCTGTTAGCACAAAGAAGTGAAGGGGATGGTGGGAGGGAGGCCGAGTGCTGAGAGGCTGTGGGAGGCCCCAGTAGGGGCTCAGGGGGCCCAGGGTGGTTTAGGAGAGGAGGGGACAGGACAGACTGGGATCCGCAGCAGATGAAGGGTAGACCTCTGGGCAGGTGGCTCAGGGTGCTGAACCTGTCTTCATCCCTGGCGAGGGATCCTCTCAGTGTGTGCAGGGCTGGCTCCTTGACCCCAAGATCACAGGTGCCTGCTGGCGGACATTGAGCTGGTTGTGGAGTCTTTGCCCTTCTTCCACTGTGATGGCTTCTCGCTGCTGGGCCACCCGCTCCGCTCCCGGTCCCTGCTCTGGCTTGGCGGGTGTTGCTCTGTCCTAGGACCTTTCTCACGAGCCACTCCTAACCTGCGTCATCCCCTCCTCCCAAACGCTGCTGTCCCGCGTGTTTTCCACCGAGGAGCGGGCACTCTCACACTTGCACCCTCACACACCTGGCTGTGTGTGTCTCCTCCAGCTCCTCCAAGCCCCCAGGCCATCTCTTTGCCCTGTGGCTGCATCGCTCTGTCACTGTCCCTGTCTTTTCATGCTGGTGGTGTCAGGGACATGGTTGCTGTGGGCTCATAGGGTATCCTGGTTGGGCCTTGAACTAGCTGTGTGATGCTGGTCCAAACACATTACCTCTCAGGACTCAGCTTTTCCGTCTGTGGAATGGGCACAGTAATGCCCCACTGCCTCCTTCCCAGGTCAGGCGGGAGCAAGGCTGAATCCCCCGTGTTCTGTGTCTGTAACTGCACTGTGCCTGCGCCAGGGCTCCCCTAGCCTAGGGCCTGGCGGGGGACACCGGGATTGAGGCTGGATGTCCGTCGGGTCTGATGATGCAGGCCTTGCAGGAGTCTGTGCTTTATCCCAAAACCTGGGAAACTGGGTTCTGCCAAAGGCCTGGGTTTGGCCTTGGGGCCTTAGAAGATTCCAGTGCCATTTTCGCAGGAGGGGATCCAGGGTGCTGCTCCACGGCATGGCCCGGAGCCCAGGCCCCAAGCAGTCCTGGCCCCTGGGCTCCCTTCTCTGTCCCTGCATCTTCCCCATCTTTCCAGAGCTGGGTTTCGAGGTCAGTGTGCCAGCTCCTGGGCGCCCCTCACTGACCACATGGGGGCTGCGTGATCTCCGTGGCAGGCAGAGAACCCAGGGACCTCCTGGCCTGCCCATGCCCACCTGCCCTGTGCCCAGAGCTCCCTCCCCCAGCTCAGCTGCTCTTCAGGTCCTCACCCTGCCCTGCCACAGCCCTGCAGTGGCCTTTCTCCCGGGAACAACAGCCACAGTGTGGGGAGGGGCTTGCTTTCCACACCCCTCCACACCTCTGGTGGTGGGAAGAGCTCTGTAAGAGCTGCTCAGATCCCTGTCTCAGTAGGTTTTCTGCTGCTTATAACAGAATTCCGGAAACTGGGTAGTTTATAAAGAAAAGGAATTTATTTATTACAGTTATGAAGGCTGAGAAGTGCAAGGCCGAGGGGCAAATCTGGGGAGGGCCTTCCTGTTGGCCAGGCGAGCCTCTGCAGAGTCCCGAGACAGCACAGGGCAGCACACGGCAAGGGGCCTGAGAGGCCTAGCGAGCTAGCTCAGGTGTCTCTCCCCCTTCTTATTAAGCCACCAGTTCCCCCCTCCCCCATGATAACCCATTAATCCCTTAACCCATGAATCCATTAAGCCATGAATGGATTAGTCCATTTATGAGGGCAGAGCCCACATGATCCAATCACCTCTTTATGGCCCCACCTCTCAATACTCCCCATGTTGGAGATTAATTTTTTTTTAAGACAGGATCTCACTCTGTTGCCCAGGCTGGAGTGCAGTGGCACAATCTTGGCTCATTGCAGCCTCCAACTCTTGGCCTCAAGAGATCCTCCCATCTCAGCCTCCCAAAGCACTAGGATTACAGGCAGGAGCCACCTCGCCCAGCCGAGGACTAAATTTCAACATGAGTTTTGGAGGTGACAAATGTAGAAAGTAAAAATTCCTCTTCAAAGTTTCCCTTCTTGTTAAATAAATCATAAGTGTTAAAAATAATAGTTTCTTTGAAAAACTAACTTCCTTCAAGCCTCCTTGCTTTGTGCTAATAACTCTTTGTTAAGCCCTAGCCTATGTAGCTGCTAAACATGCTCACAGTCAACATAGTACATTCTATGTCCTGGAACCTTAACCAAGATATTTGTGCTGTACCTGCTCACAGGCATGCTCCCGCTTGCAGCCTATGCCCCTTCCCTATTTGGCATAAGCAACTTCCTCTTTTCCTTTGTCTTTCCATTACTTTTACCTTTTTAGAAAAGTTTTAAACTGTTAGCCAATCGGGTTTTAGTTTAGATTGTGAGGTCTGGCTGCAGCCAACGGAGACAGGACACAGTAACAGGGACAAACGCGTAAGGGATAAAAATTGCTTCCCTCCTTTGTTCAGGTGTGCTGTCGCCATTGTTCCATCTGCGATGAGCACCCTTTCTGCAGAAAGTAAAAATGGCCTTGCTGAGATAATTAAATTTATGTTTGAGTGCTGTTTCTTTGCAGCACTGGGGAATGAGCACTCTGTTTCTAGATAAACATTTTACATAGAACACAAATATTCAAAGCACAGCACCCCCTCCCACCTGCTTATCACCCAGAGGCCTCCAGTCTATACCCAGAAGAGCACTGATGGGATCCTGTTGTTCCTGCTTGAGACCCGGCCATGGCTCCTTCCTGCCCTGGGATATGGGCTGTCCTTCATGGCAGCTCCTGCTTTTTCCCAGCTAAACAGAACAAGTGGAGCTCTCTCTCTTCCCACCAGGCCTTTGTATATGCTGTTCCCTCTGCCTGGAATCCTCTTCCTACTATCTTATCCTAGTTAACCTCTGGTCACTCCTTGGCCTCTCTTAGAGTATCATGGCCTCCAGGAAGCCTCCTCAGCCTTCTGTGGCTCTCTGTCTCATCACTGACCACACTGTGACTTCATTGCCTGCCTGGCTCTGCCTCTCTGTTGGATAAGAAGGCCAGGGGACCTTCTTGAGTGTTCCTCCTTGACACACGTCCACAGCATAGGGCTTGGCACCAAGGAGAGGTCAGGATAAGTTCGTCCCTGGGGTGCTCTCAGCCTCAGTTCGATTCTCTAAAAATGATGAGGTTGGCCAGGCACGGTGGCTCAGGCCTGTAATCTCAGCCATTTGGGAGGCCGAGGCGGGTGGATCACCTGAGGTCAGGAGTTCGAGATCAGCCTGGCCAATATGGTGAAACCCAAACCCCGTCTTTATTAAAAATACAAAAATTAGCCAGGCATGCATGGTGGCACACGCCTGTGGTCCCAGCTACTGGGGAGGCTGAGGCAGGAGAATCACTCAAAGGCAGAGGTTGCAGTGAGCCAAGATTGAGCCACTGCACTGCAGCCTCGGTGACAGAGCAAGACTTCGTCTCAAAAATAAAATAAAATAAAAAAGATGAGGTTGTCCTGGATCCCTTCTCCCAGCCATGACCCTTATGGGGTGCCTCCCACATGCCTGTAGCAGGGGAGACTGGGGGTGGACTGCCCGCTGACCCTCCCATGCCAGGGCACAAGGACCCAGATGCATCTGGAGCTAAAACACTTCTAGCTCCTGGAATTTTCAGGGGTGGGAGGCAGGTGTCAGCACAGGAGGGGCTAAGGAAGCACCACCTTCCCACTGATTCCTGGCAGCAACCCGGTGCCAGGAGTGGTAGCAAAGGTGAGAGTGAGGCCGCCTCCTGGGAGCCCTGACTGTTGAGGAGTGGGACTGGGCCCCTCAGCTCTCTGGCTGGGACGCTGCCATCTCTGGCCCAGAGCTGAGAGCCACCAGCTGCTGCTCTGTTCAGTCTCCTATAGGAACCCCAACTCCCAGCCTGGGACTCTTCGCCCAAACCTCTCACTGCTCCAGATCCAGGGGCCTTCCTCCCTAGCCCTGGCCCCACCCCTTCTCCCCTAATCAGGATGAAAATAGCAACCGCCGGCACTTCCCAGTGCCATTTGGTGCCAGGTGCTGCCATCTCTGGGGGGTGGCGACGAGGTGATGTGGGGAACGGCCTGGAACCCAGAGTTTGCACACCCCGGGGCTTGGAGTGCTTCCTTCCCACCTCTCCTCGGTGGCCCCGGGCAGGTTCCTGAGCCCTCTGTGCCTTGGCGTCCTGTGTAATAAAATATGCGGTTTTGTGCATGTGGAGTGACAGCCTGGATACTACATGCCAAGGTACGAACCTTCCAGGTGCACCTGCTTGGTTCCAGGTCCCGTCTCAGAAGGTGAGGGGGGGCTGGGATATGAACTCGGATTGGCCTGCCCCTGACACACCCCTGCTTCTCATCGACTTATTTCCATGCCTTTGGCCACAGACAAACATAACAGGATGGCCTTGAGGAGCCAGTGGACAGTGCGGGGGTGTCAGGCTATATGGAGAGCCCTGCTACCACTTGTCACTGGTTCCTCTCGAGTCCTGTCATCTTGCCCCCGATTTCCCTCAAGGCTCTGAGGCCGGGAGGCACGGGTCTGAGGGCCCCGCTGGCCCCTGGTGTGAGCAGGCTCCAAGCCTCCTTCCCAGGCCACCCACCAAGCTCAGGGCTCCGCCGTGCCCACTCGGAGCAGCCCTGCCCCGCCATCCCTGTGTCCAGTTCTGCTTTGAGCAGAGGAGCAGGGAGCTGGCGGTGGCCTTGCCATCACCAGCTATGTGACCCTTAGGGTCTGGCGGCCACTCTGAGCCTGTGCCCTCGTGTGAGTTTGCCAGGGCTGGTGTAACCAACACCACAGACAGGCGGCTTACACAACAGAACTTCATTTCCTCATGCTTCCAGAGATTGAAAGTCTGAGATCAATGCGTCTGCAGGGCTGGTTCCTCCTGAGGCCTCACTCCTGGGAGTGCAGATGCCGCCTTCTCTCCGTGTCCTCATGCAATCCCCCCTGTGTGTGTCCGTGTCCCCATCTCCTCCTTTTATGAGGACACATGTGCTGTTGGGTTAGGGCCCACCCTCAGGGCCTCATTTACCTTCATCGCCTCTTTAAGAACCCTGTCTCCAAATGCAGTCTCATTGGGAGGTATGGGAGTTAGGACTTCAACAGATGAATTTTTTGGGGGACACAATTCAGCCATAAACGCTGCTCTGTAAATGGGCTAATAGGATGGCTGTGAAGAGCCACGGAGCAGGGTGGTGGGCACCACGCAATATCAAGTGTCCCCCTTTGTGGGGTGTGTGGTCCGTGCCTGTCCATCAGGCAGGGGCTCTGTCTGACTCTCTGCACTGCACCAGTTTTGCGCCCCTACCAAGCAGGGACTGGGCACCGAGCAAATGTCTGGAGGGTGGGCCAGATATGAGGGGCTAGGCATGCTGGGTGCCCTCGTCTGGTTTCCCTTTGGCTTCTGCCTGCTCACTCCTAATCCTGGCCGTTCACAAAATGAACATTTCTTGGGCGCTTGCTCTGTGTCGCGCTGTCTGCTGCAGCCCCTTTTCTGTTGGGGTACTGCCTGCCTCAGCCCCAGTGGTTCAGATGGCACTGCCAGTCACAGCACCCTGGCCTCTGCCCCCGCAGTCCCCTTGGCTCAAGCGTGGCACATGACCAAGCAGGGCGATGAGAATCCTTCCAGGAGACTTGGTGGAGGGGTGTGGGGCAGGAGGGGGTCTCTCTTTGGGATCGCTGCTGTGAGGATGGAGGCTTTTTCTCCACTGGGAGAAGCAGAGAGGTTCGGAGATGAGAGGTGAGAAGCAGCAGGTGTCCTGCTGGCAGAGAGACTGCCACTGCTGCATCCGCACAAACAGGTTGCCTTTGGGGCTTGGCTGAGGTGAGTCATTTGTGTACAAAATGACCCGGACAATGACACAGCCTGGCCAAGGTCTTGAAATGTGGGGACAGCAGCGAGGGACTCGCACAGGAAAGCTCTGGGCCTTTGCTCCCAGGAGCAGCTCACCTGGGCTGTCAGGGAGAGTGGAGAGAGGAGACAGGAAGGAGCACAATCAACAATGAAAACGATTAAAATGTGGTCACAGTGCTGGGGCAGGAGGTGCCCTAAGGGCCCCCCCCCTCCCCCAGAGCCTTGGCAGGTGGAGTCCGGGTTCATTTCTGACCAGGCTGGCTCAGGGCTTCCTGGAGTGGGCAGCTCTGGAGCTGGGCCTGGCAGGCTGGGTAGAGTTAGTGTAGGGCAGGTACCCCTGGGAGGATATGGCCAGAGTAGGGAGCGGTAGGCAGGAAAGTAGAGCTTGTGTTTGGGAAAAACAAATCCTGTTTCCCTGGAGGACAGAGATAAGGCAGGAAAGCCTGGAGGGTTTGGACAGCGGGGAGGGGGAGCCAGAGAGGTCTGGCGGTCAGGCCTGGTGCTGGATGGGGGCTCTGGGCACAAATGTGAGTCATCTCCGCCATCCTGGAAAGAGACGGTCCTGCAGACAGCGCGCCATCGCACCCCATGCTGCCTGCGGAGGCACAGGACAGACGCCACTGGGCAGCCCTTGCGGAAGCGCTGGATCCTTTACCCTGAAATCACTGGGTCCCCAGTTCTGCAGACAGGAACCTGAGCCTTGGAGAAGTACAGCTCACCTGAGTGCCTGCCTCTAACCCAGGTCCATCAGGGCTAGACCTGGAGGGGGATCAAAGAGAGGCCCTGAATCTTGCCACAGGGAGCTTCAGGTGCACTTGAGCTGGGGCCCTTGAGACAGAAGGAAGTGGGGAGGGCGGATCCAGGTCTGGAGTCTTTGGATTGAAAGGTTGGAGATGCCTGTGGGACTCCCAAGGTCAGTGAGTTGAGGGCAGGGCACTGGGGCAGGCAAGAGACACAGGAAGGGCGGGGCAGAGCACAGGGGACCCAGTCTGGGGAGGGGGAGGCAGAGAGGGCTGGGCAAAAACAGCCTCCAGGCCTTGTCTATTTTCTCCACTCCGGTTCTCCTCCACCCTCCCACCCCAACTCCTCGCAACCATCCTCCTGGGTAAGACACTAAAGCGTGTCCCCTAAACCTAGGGTTCTGCAGGGTGATCCCCTCTGCCCCTTCACTGAGCAGTCTCCTGTGAGCTAGACAGCCTTAAAGCGGGGTGGTGGGTGGTTTTTCTAGAGGGTCCAAAACCCGGGGATAGGTGGGCTTAGAGTGGGTCCCCTCTACGGGTGTCCTGCCCCGCAGGTAGTGCCTGGGGAGATGCAGGGGTGTGGGTGAGATTCAGAGAAAGGGTGGGCCCAGAGGTCCAGATCCTGGGGACAGACAGCACCCCGGGCACCTTGGGATGGGCGCGCCAGGTACTGCGCGAGTCTAGCGGGGTTCGTGCTGCGTCCCGTACAGCGCGGGCTGCAGGTCCAGCCCCGGCGTGGGGCCGCGTCCGGCGCCCCGCGAGGCGGTCGAGGAAAGGCATTTCCACCCGGGACGCGGGTTTCCACCGGCAGCCCAGTCCCTGACCCATCTCTAGAAAGGCGGGCGGTCCCGCGGGGCGCGGGCGAGGCCACAGCAGCGAGCGTGCTCCCGCGGGTGAGCCCGTGGCGTCCGCCGTGGCAAGCGCGCGGACGGCGTGGCCGTGGCCGGCGGCGGCCGCGCGTGCGCGTGGGTGCGAGCGGCGGGGGCGCACGTGGCCACCCAAACAAAGGCCGCGCCGCGTGACCGAGCTGGCGCACGCGGACCCGCCAGGGCAGGCGCGCCCCCGCGGACCCCCGAGCCGGCCGCGGGGCGGGGGCGGGGCCGGGGTGGCGCGCGGGGCGCGGCCCCTTTAAGGTGCGGCGCGGGGCGGGGCGGCGGCTGCGCAACGGGGCCGGGGGCGCGCAGACTCCGCGCAGCGGGACGCGAGCGCGCGACCTGGCGCCGCCGCCGCCTCCGCGCTCGTGGCCGGGACCCGCGGGGCCGCCTCCTCCCGGCTCCCCGGCGCCGCTGGGCTCCCGGGCGGGCGGCAGGCGTAGCGCGGCCGGGCGGCCGGCGAGGGGGGCGCCGCGGCGGGTGGATGAGAGTTGGCCCCGATATCCGCTCAGGGTAAGCGGCGCGCGCGGACACCCACCTACCCCGACCTGGTTGCCCCGCGACCACTCTCCCTTTTGGGCTGGCGGCTCGCGACCCAGCTCACTCGGCCGCGCTCTCCCCGCCGCCGCCGCCGCCGCCCGGGCCCGAGCCGGCGACCCTCCGAGCAGGGCCCTGCGCGGGCGCGCCCCGCACACGCCCCCGGGTCCCGCGCGTCACGGCTGCTCCCCGCGGGCACCTGCGGCCGCAGGTCCGGGTTCTGCCCGCCGGCTGGGGGAGACGAGGACATCCCGGGGTTGCGGGGCCCGGACTGGGGTGGGGGTCGCCGGACCGGGGGTCACCGACGCTGGGCCACTGGAGGGGGACGGTATCGGCCCGGGCCCGCCAATGTCGTCCTGCCGATCCACTCCCGGGTGGGACGGGAGAGGAGGAGGGCGCCCCAGCCCCTGCTTCCCTACAGACGACCTCTCCAAAAAGTTGTGGGCGCTTGTCCCCTCCGTGCACCCCACTTTCTGCCCTGTCTTCTCTCCCTTTGTTCGGGATGTTGAGCTCATGGGGCTCTGCTGGGGCGGGCTGGCACCTTGGCTGTAGCCCAGGCCCGTGCGCCTGCCAGAACGTGGGGTGCAGTGTGGCAACCCCGGCCCGAGGCCCCACATGTCTAGAGCAGGACCTGCACCCCTGCCAGGTCCTGGACAAGGGAGGGAGGAGAGCCAGTTTGTTCTCAGCCGGGTGGGCTGGTGCCCCTGCCCTGTTGGCTGTGTGGCAGAAGGTGCAGCAGTGCCCCGGGGCCAGGGACCTGAGTGTGACTCCCCCAGAGCCAAGTCCACTTTTTCGGCTATTGTCAACCCTGCATCTCCTGAGGTAGGAAAGATTCGGTTTGGGGGAGACCTTTTGCAGGATGGGGTTCCCTTCTTGCCTGCCTTGTGTGGGTTAGGAAGAAAATTCAGAGGTGTCTCTCCTACATGCCAAAAAGGAGGTGCCTGAGTCCCAGCCCAGTGCAGCCCTGCCCTGGTGCTGGGCCTGGGAGGGAGGTCAGGGTCAGGGCTCTGTTGCCTCAGAAGTCGAGGGCAGCACTCGAGAGAGGAGTCTGGGACTTGCCTCCCTCACCCTCCTGCTCTGTGACCTTGGGCAAGGTAGTGAGCCTCCTGGGCCTCAGTTTCCTCACTAGCAAGTGGGCAGGGGCAGGTAAGAGGATCGAATGGGGTGATGTGGGCCTCCTCAGGCTGGGCTCGCCCTGGGTTGGGGTTCAAAATGGGTTTAGGAGGTCAGTCATGGCCTCTGCCCCGGGCGCTGTGGCTGAGCCTGAAGTCTGAAGTCTGTCTTCCTGACTTTTGTGTCCCAGGCCCATTTGGGGATGCACAGTCTGGCCAGGGTGTGTGTTCAGTTGCTGCCTCTGCCCCGTGCTGGGGTGAAACCACGTTCCCCTGTTGTTAGCTGGGACTCCCCAGATGAGTGACCTCAGTAACCCTGCCCCTCCTTCCTGCTGCACACCCTTCCGAAGACCCCTGCCTGGTCCAGGAAAGGGGCCCTGCCTGTCTTGCCTTGCTCCTGCCTTGGCAGCCATGTGGACCCTTCTGCAGCACTTTGTGGTCCCGGGGCAGACCTCGAAGCCCCACAGTCCTCACCGTGCTGGGCTCACAGGGAGATGCAGCTTGGTCCTGGAGCCTGGGAAATTGGGCACCTGGGGTCTCAGTGAGCCACCAGCCCTCTGCTCTGCTGCTCTTTCCTCTCAGCTGCCCCTATGGCTGATGCGTGGAGTGCGGCTGTCCCAGCCATGCAGCCTGGGGGCAGGCGGGGCCTGTCCGGTGATGTCTGTCTTGCACTCTGGAGAGCACGGGAAAGTCTCCAAGTTGTGGTGTGTTTCCACATAGCCCTGGGAGGCTGTTTATTCTGGGTCTCCTGCTGAGGGAGGTGGAGGACCCTTCACTGGGAAAGAACCAGGTGGTCTCTCTCCAAACCACCAGCCTTCCAGGCCTTCCCCTTAGTACCCTCCTCTTATCTGTGGAGCCCGGCGCCGGCGTTAGGTGATCTTTGCTCTCCGCTCTCCCAGGCTTCACCTTCACCAACTGGAAAACGAGGGAGGAGAATCAGAGCCGGTTTTCCTGAATCACCATTTCTGCTGTAGAATAGAATAGAATAGTGGTTCAGGCTCAATGAAAAGAAAGTGTTATTGGAGCCTAGTGAGCCTCTGCTGCCAGGGAGGGCTGCCAGCCTGAAGCCTGTTTTCTCTTTGGAAGGAGTATCAGAGCAATGTTAGACATGTTACAGAAACAGCAGCACCCCACTTGACGGGTCCTGGTGACTTTCCTGTTATGGGAGAACCTGGGGCCCCGATAGTCCCATGATGTGATCTGTGTTAGTGATTGTGCCATCCGTGTGCCCCCTCCCCTCCCTGGGGGCCACATGAAGCCCCCTTCCATCTCCCCATGTTTCTCTGTTTGGGTATTTCTCTCCGGTAGCCGAATCTACTGGGGTTTATTTGGCATTGGGGTTCCAGTCCTGTCATGACAGGGCTCCGGCCAGGGGCTCATTTTAGGAGGCTGCCCCATCTCGGGGAGCTGGGGAGGCGTCCCTGTATGTGGGCTTCTGTGTGTCAGGTTTGGGGTCTCCTGCCTAGTGGCCATGGTGGGGACTTGGGTATTTACAGAGCTCCTGTTGGTGTGGGCGTGTGCTGGCTGGGAGGGAAGACACCAGGGACTGGCTGGGTGGCCTGGTCACCCCCTGCCTGAGTTCCTGCCTCCTCCCCTGCAAGGCGGCCCAAGAGGCTGCTGCCTGGCCTCTTTAGGGGTAAGGAGACTGTCTCTGCAGAAAGCCCGGGGCAGCAGGGACAGTGTTGGGGTGTGTGGCAGAGCATCCCTGCTCCGACAGAAATTGACAGTGAATTGAGGGAGAGAAGCTGTGGCCGGGTTTAGTGAGTAACAGGCAGAAGGCAGAGGGTGCTCGCTGGGAAGCAGCGTCTCTTGCCTGGCTTGGAGATGGTCATCTGCTGGGCGCCTCCGAGGCCAAGTGGACCACTCACAGTGCTTTCGAAGGCCTCTGGTTTGGGCATCCCACAGGCTGGCTTGGGGTCTCTTTGGCACCACGGTGGGTTTAGATCTGCCTTTTCTTTGCCTTTTGGTGGCACAGCAATGGTCCTGAAAAATACTGCTTGTAAAGGAGTAAAAGTTCAAGTCTTCCACCGTCAGGTGTGGCTGGGGGGTCTGAGAGGAGGCCTGGATCTCCCAAGGGGACAGTTATGTGAACAGAGTGTCACAGGCCTAACCCAGCCCAGCGGGTGGGGCCCAGGCCAGCCTGTCACCTGCTTGGAGCCCTTGGCTGCTGGGGATATGTAATAGTTTAACTTGAGAACTTAGAGGCAGGTCACTCAGACTCTTAGAGACAGAGGTGGCGCAAGAAAATGTGGGTTTCGCCGGGCGCGCTGGCTCACGCCTGTAATCCCAACACTTTGGGAGGCCGAGGCGGGCAGATCACCTGAGGTCGGGAATTCAAGACCAGCCTGACCAACATGGAGAAATCCCCACGTCTACTAAAAATACAAAAAATTAGCCGGGCGTGTTGGCGCATGTCTGTCATCCCAGCTACTTGGGAGGCTGGGGCAGGAGAATCGCTTGAACCCGGGAGGCAGAGGTTGGGGTGAGCTGAGATCGCGCCATTGCACTCCAGCCTGGGCAACAAGAGCGAAACTCCATCTCAAAAAAAAAAAAAAAAAGAAAGAAAGAAAAAAGAAAATGCGTGTTTCCCTAATTGGAGAAAGCCCTGTTGTTTTGCCTTTGGTATCTCGGCATGTGGCAGAGGCCTGGGCGGACACTTTGGGCTGGTAATTCGCCACTAATGACAGTCCCGTCTACAGGGCTACTGTTCTGATTGTTTGGTGTTTGAGTTATAACCTAGGGTTGTGATTATGTTTAAGCCCAGTGATTAAAGTCCCCTGTGGTTACACAGGAAAGGCAGGAAGTACCGGCCTATCAAAAACATTAATAATAGTAATAGAAATCACTCATTCTGCACAGCAGGCCTGCGCTGAGTGTTTCACACGAATTGTCTCAACCAAGTCTGCAGAGCACACAGCTTCACCCCATTTTACAGATGAGGAAACTGAGGCACCGGGAGGCAGTGCCACTTGCCTAAGTCCCCAGTTCGTTCCCGAGCAGAGCTGGGATTTGCACGTGGGTGGCTTTGCCCCCAAGGCTATGCTCATAAACATTGCAGCCTTTCTGCCTTCCTGATAACCCTCCTCTAAGGGGGGTTTTGTGAGAGAAATATCAGCAATAAACTCAAAGTCATGATGAGACTTCTCTTTTTGCTGTCAAATGTGCAGTAAATAGCAAGATTCGGACAGCATGTCCTGCTCAGGGCCAGACAGCCCTCTAAGCATGAGACATGATTTATTTTCGTACCAACTGGAGGTAGGTGCTCTTGTTAGCTGCATTTCACGCAGGAGGAAGCCCTGGCACAGAGCCACAGGTTGCTGCGTGGTAGAGGTGGGTTTGGACCAATGGGCTGTGCTTCTAACCTAAGCCCCATATGCACGGGGGTTGGGCGGAGAGCGTGCTTGATCTTGCTGCTGTGTGTTCTTGGGCAAGACACCTAACCTCTCTGGGCCTCAGTTTGGTCACCTGTAAACGAAGGCCTTGGCCTAGGGTATAGAAGCCAGAGCTTGAGAGCTGGCTCTGGCCTGAGATGGCCGCGTCTGCACCACCTCCCACAGGGAGGCCCAGGTGGGTGGAGAGGCCTGGCTGCCACTTCCCTAGAGGAAGCAGGTCTACTGAGGAGCAGTGCTGGGGCCTTGGCTGGGGCTGGGTGGGGCTGGGTGTGGAGGCCATGGGTGGTCGAGGAGTGAGGGCTTCTGGGATGCACTTTGCAGTGGCCGAGTCACTGCCCTCTGTGAAGTGAGGTCCAAGGAGGCAGAGCGTGGGGCTGCTGGGAAACCGTGAAGCTTTGTGCTTGGTGAATTGTTACTTGTCCCTGGGGAACAGGAGGGACAAGAGACTCTGCTTGGGACTCTGTGCCACCAAACTCCCGAGAAGCTGCAGTGGGAGAAGCTGAATGCTGGGCAGCGGGCGGTTAGGAGGCTCCAGGAAACGGCTCAGCCTCTCTTGGTGGGTTCCCCTGCCGGCCGTTCCTGGGACCTCTCTGCTCCACGTCCCCCCTCCAGGGAGGCCTCCCATGAGTGCCCCAGCTGTGCCTCTGCTGTCACTGCTCTCCTCTTCCTGAGGTTCTTGTTTGTCTACTGTTTACCACGCTTCCCTTCTAGAAGGTGGGCTCCTGAAGTTAGGGGTCTCTGCTCATGTCCAGCGACCTGGAGCGGCACCTCATTATGCCTGGTATCCTGGGACCCTGGCTCGGGTCTGAGCTGGGCTGTGGAGTTGGGTAGGGCCAGGAGCCAGGCTGGGAGTGAATTTGTTTGTTCCTCACTCTTGGTGTTGACCTTGGCCACCTGGCTGAGGTGTGTTTGTCAGCGTCTTTATTGAGGTGTAATTCACACATCATACAACACACTCATTGAAAGTGCACAGTTCACGGACTTCTAGTACATTCACCAAGTTGTGCAGCCATCACCACAATCGAAACCCAAACAGGAACCTGGGCCTTCTAGACACTTTAGGCACTCCCTGGACCCTTCCTCCCTGCCTGTGGTGACCACCTTTCTCTCTCTTTTGTCTTTTGAGATGGAGTTTCGCTCTTGTTGCCCAGGCTGGAGTGCAATGGTGCGATCTCAGCTCACCACAACCTCCGCCTCCCGGGTTCAAGCGATTCTCCTACCTCAGCCTCCCAAGTAGCTGGGGTGACAGACATGCACCACCATGCCTGGCTAATTTTGTATTTTTAGTAGAGATGGAGTTTCACCATGTTGGTCAGGCTGGTCTCGAATTCCTGACCTTAGGTGATCCATTCGCTTCGGTCTCTCAAAGTGCTGGGATTACAGGTGTGAGCCACCACACCCAGCCAACTCTATTTTTAAAAAACTGTTTTAGATTTATAGAGAAATTGCAGAGATAATACAGAGTTTCCCAATTATCCCTACCAACAGTTGCAGTTTGTCTGGTGATTAACATCTTACATTAGTATGATAGGTTTGTTACAATCCATGGACTAATATTGATACATTATCATTAGCCAAAGTACATAGTTTGTTCAGATTCATTAGGTTTTACCTAATGTCCTTTTTCTGTTCCAAGACTGCATCTAGGGTCCCAGATGACATCTAGCTGTCATGTCTCTCTAAGCTCCTCTTTGCTATGACAGCTTCTCAGACTTTTCTTAGTTTTGATAACTCTGACAGTCTTAAGAAATAGTAGGTGTATTGTGGGATCTCCATCCATTGGAATTTGTCTGTTTGAACAATTGGAATTCCTCTGTTGGAATTTGGATGTATTTCTCATGGTGCGACTGGGGCCCTGGCTTAGCGGGAGGAAGACCACAGGGGCATGGTGCCCTCTAACCACGTCACGCCAGGCGCATACCTTCGATGTGGCCCGCGGCTACTGGTGCTGACTTGGCCACCCACCTGAGATGTGTTTGTCAGGGGTCTTCACAGCAGTTCTTGTGTTTCCTCCTTCCAGTACTGTTGCCTTTGGGAGGAGGTCACTACACGCGGCCACACTTAAGGGCTGGGGAGTCACGCCTGCCTCCTTGAGGGCAGAGTGGCTGTGTCACTGATGTGGCCTTCTTCTTCAGGGGGGTCTGTCTCTTCTCCCCATTTATCAGTTTATGCAGCCGCTTACTTATCCATGTGGGTTCGTGGATACTCATTTAATCCTCTAGGTCAATGCGGAATGCCATTATTTTGTTTGCTCACTCGTTCCAGTGCTGGCCGTCGGGTTCCCTGGATGCACCCCTTCACGGTGGGTGGTGTGAGTCCTTCCTCACTTTCTGGCCCTGTGAGATGCTCCAGGCTCAGCTTGTCCATTCCCTGCCCAGGCCTAGAGTCAGCCCCTTCTGCAGGGAGCCCGGGTTCCTTTTGTTGGAGGGCAGAATCGGAAACCAAGATCCAGGTGGCGGGTACGCTCATCACTACCGGGGTGTCATTGCTTCTGGGCCCTCTTAGCTGACAGCAAGGAAATGCACGTGTGAGCTGACGCGCACATATGTACGTGTCTCTGCCTGTGTCCGCGTGTAGCCTCCTGTACCTGTATTGAGCAAAGTGTGAGTTCGCGCCGCTGATGAACTCTGATCCGTTTCCTGCATGGATCTTTCTCGTCTCCTTTCTTGCAGATCAATTCGTGTCTATTCAAGCAGCAGGAAGCCAGACTCCCACCGCTTGCCACACATCTACTTAATTGTTAGTACCGGTGTGTCTGCGTAGTGGGACTGGAGTTGTTAGTGGGACCCCCCGGGAAGCAGTTCCCGATCCCTTGGCTTCGAGCCCGGGCTCCCGGTATGCTGCCGCAGCATGGCTGGCTGGGGCTGGGGAGGGGCCGCCACCTCCCCAACATGATTCCACGACTTAGAGGGAAGAAGGGAGGGAGGCTGCAGGAGAACCAGGGACTTCCCTGCTGTGCTTAGTCAGCCCGGCCCCGCAGGGACGGGCACGGGCTTGGCGTTGCTTTGAGACGTGAAAGTGGGGCTGACTTAGAACGCATCCCAGAGTCCGGCCTCCTCGGGGAAGGAGGAGAAAGGCTGCCGGCGGGACGCTTTAGAGCTCAGACAAATCTCCGACTCCATCCTGGCCAGGTCTGTCCCCTCTCTGCCTCTGAACTTGCCACCCTGGCAGGGGACGGCCTTTGAAAAGATCTACAGAGCCGCATCTGCTGGGCTTTCTGTTAAGCATCTTTCATTCAGGAATGCGTCAGGCCCTTGCAGAAGTTTTGGGAAGAGAGAGAACCAGGTGGTCACTCCTCGTCTGCTGGTTTGTCGGCGGTGTTTTCCAGGCAGCATTTTGGGGATCTGAGTGGAGCCTGTCTTTTTTCTTTCTTTCTTTTTTTTTTTTTTTAGATGGAGTTTTGCTCTTGTTGCCCAGGCTGGAGTGCAATGGCGTGATCGTGGCTCATTGCAACCTCCACCTCCCAGGTTCAAGTGATTCTCCTGCCTCAGCCTCCCGAGTAGCTGGAACTACAGGCACGCACCACAACGCCCAGCTAATTTTGTATTTTTAGTAGAGTCGGAGTTTCTCCATGTTGGTCAGGCTGGTCTCAAACTCCTGACCTCAGGTGATCCGCCTGCCTCCACCTCCCAAAGTGCTGGGATTATAGGCGTGAGCCACCGCGCCCGGCTGCCTGTCTTGTTTTCTTGATGTTGGGTTAACTTCGGCCCTAGACCCAGGAAGCCTCCGGTCACAGCACCCCAAGGCCCTTGCCTGGAATACAAGACTTTCACCCTTGTGTTCGCGGTCCCATGAGGGGTGCTGGCCTCTTATCACCTGTCCGGGGCACCTGAATGATGCTTCTGCCTTCAGGGCACACATGGTGGAAGGGAGCTTGTGGGAGGTGGAAAGGTAAAGAGAGCCTGGTCTATGGGATGGGGAAGGGCCTGACCCTGCCAGGGAGGGAGCGACAAGGAGGGCTCCCTGGAGCGATGAGGGAGGGGCACAGGAGTTTATAGGACACAGGAGTGGGGATGGCTTGAGACCGGCCTCTCAGGTCAGCTTGTTAAAGGTCAGCCTCTGTGCAAGGCTCCTGGAGACCCAACCAGCATGTGCCTGCGGCTCCTCTGGGGCTAGGACTGAGGTTCAGCCACGTCTTGGGTGCAGTGGGATACCTGGCTCCTTTGTCTGCCCCCGAAGGCCCTTGTCTCTGTGCTATGGGGCTAGGCCCTCCCATGACCCCCACGTTTCCCCAACCCTATGGAGTGTGTCTAAGGAAGCAGGTGGAATTGGCCTGGCTCCCCCAGTCTGGGACCTAGAGCACAGCCCGGGGAGCCAGGGCTGCCCTCGCTGGGGATGCCAGCATTCTTGGGAATGCAGCTTAGGGGGTGGCCCACTCACCTGCCTATGCCCTTACCTGGGGCCAGCCTCCTGCCTTCCTGCTGACCGTGTCTCCTTCCTTGCCCTGGCTCCTCCCCACCGCCCCACGTGCCCCACCCCCATCCTCACTGGGCCCCACTGGCGCCTCCCTGCTTTCCAGGTTGAGATTGGTGGGCTGGCTCAGTCCGGTGCGATGGTCGGAGGCATTTGCCGGGTGATGCTGGCTCGGAGGGGCTCTGTCCCCTCCTCTGTCTGCCCTCCCCTCCCCAGCCCAGGGCTCCCTGGCTCCCCGGGCTCTGCTCTAGGCCCCAGACTGGGGGAGCCAGGCCAATTCCACCTGCTTCCTTAGACACACTCCATAGGGTTGGGGAAACGTGGGGGTCATGGGAGGGCCTAGCCCCATGACACAGAGACGAGGGCCTTCAGGGGGCAGACGAAGGAGCCAGGTATCCTACTGCACCCAGAGCTCTGGTGTGGCGGAATCGCTGGTGGGGTCTCAGCTTCTCAGGGCGACTGGCTGCTGTCCCTGCTGGGACATGAGTTGGGGGGAACCCCTACCTGTCTGCTGGGGAAAGCGGCCCTGGGGTGAGCCTGGCCTGAGCAGTGACAGCCTGCAGGGTCCTCTGTCTTCCTGCCCTGCAGCTGATGAGGAGGGAGCTGAGGCCCTGCAGCTCTGAGGGCACTTGGGACCTGGATGGGCAGAGGTAGAAAGGTGTGTGTAGACCTTGGCCCCTGGGTGGGGAGTTTGGCGTTTAAAAGTCTGAAGCAACACCCACACCCCGTCTGTGTCCCAGAACCCACCCTCTTACCCGGGAAGAACCGGACCGTAACTACCCTGTGATGCTGGACAAAGCCCGTGCTGATGGTCGCCTACTTCCTCGCATGCTTTCTCAGCCCACTCTGCGCCCAGTGGCTCTTGTTTGCCACAGAACCCTGATGAAGTAGATTATCCCCTGCCCTGGGGGAATGCTCAGCTGACAACAGGAGTGGACCCTGTGAGAGTGGAGGCCCCTGTGATCTGTGGAGCGTGTGTGCCCGCTGGGCTGTGATGAGCCAGTGATCTGGGGCTCCGGAGTAGAAGGTGACATTGTGTCCCCAGCCACTGCTGGACCCCAGCAAGGTGTGTGAATCATTTCACACATTCTCCACCCAAGAAGTGAAACTGTCAGGTTTAAGTGTGTGGGGGTGGGAAGGGGAAGTCTGTTCCAAAAGCCCAGCCGTCCGGAGTGACACTGGGCCATCAGCTCTGGGAGGCGGAGGCCGTTTGGGGTCCTGTTCCGGCTTCAGTGCCCAGGTTTGTGTCTTCTGCTTGCTTTCTGTAGCCCTTCTCTTCCAACTAGGGGGATAGTCAGGGTCTGACAAAGGCTTGAGGGGGAGGGCCTCCACCAGCAGCATACCTGGCAGGCAGCCCAGGCCGGGGCGGGGGGCCAGTGGGCTGGATGGGGGTCAGTGGGCAAGGCTCCGTCCTGTCCTGTCCTGTCCTGTCCTGTGGGAGAAGCCTAGGCAGGCACACTCAGCCAACCCCAGCTCAGGAGGGAGGGACCCAGAGGCACTGGCCCGAGGTAGGGTTGAAACAGGTGGAACTGACTGGTGGTCGTTGCTGGCCCCTGGAGCCTGACCTGCCTAACAGTGGAGGTGGCAGATGTTTGGTGGAGAGGAAGTGAAACAGGCGTGTGCGCCAGAAGCCCGGGCGTCGGGGTGGGGCCGCGGGAGGATGGTACAGGGCTCCTGATCCTCCCCGTCTGGGCAGACGCACTCACATCACAGGTTGGCAAAAGGCCTGAGGGTCCAGGGGGCCAGGGCCTGGTCAGGAGGGGCACAGGCGGGGAGGGAGTGGGTGGTGTCTACTTGGCTCTAGATGTCGGGTTTAGAGAGAGACTCTGGGACAGCCCCAGCCCTGGTGGAGCCCCATGGAGCCGCCTTCGGGGGCTCTGTCCCAGAGTCTCTCTCTAAACCGGACATCTAGAGCTGTGACTCAGGATAGGCAGGCCCTGGGGGGTCACCCCCAGCCACCCCATCTGCTTTGAGAACCTAGGAGCATGGGAGAAGCCAGGTAACCCCAGTGACTGCCCAGCGTCCCCCACAACCCGATGGATGAGGAGCCAGTAGGTCAGGAGGGGCAGAGCTGAGGTCAGCACACCTCCGTCCCTGTCTGGCTGTCCGTCTTCCATCCCTCCAGGCAGCACCACGCAAGGGCAGGGAGGTGGCAGGCCTGCTGAGCTCTGTGGATGTGGGGCAGACCCGGCTGGCTTGTTGGAGCACCCTCCCCGGGCGAGTGCTGTTCATATTGGTATCTGCGGAGTGGGTCAAACCACTACAGAGGGCAAGAGGGGAGCTGTGGCCTCTGGCCAGCCACGTTCTAAGCTTTTACAAGGCCCCACCCTGTCCCTCGCAGTCTTAGCCATCAGCTGCCTTTGGAGAATGAGCGATCTGAAGATGTTCCTGGCTGGGGGGCAGGGGTGGCCAGTGCTCCTGGAGCTGCGGGGTGCCCACCCTTTCGTCCGTCCTCCTTCCCCGGCCTGATCCAGGAGCCCCAGCACCGCCCTCTCCATCCCCGGGGTCCTTAGGCTTCCCTGACACAGGTCTCAGGAGGGCATGTGACACTGGCGTCGGTCCGGGCTGGGCAGAGCCTGGATGTGGCCCAGGCTGGGCTGGGCTGGAGCCGAAGCCTTTCTTCTCAGGTCCTGTCATAGCTGTGGGGCCTGGGGCTGGTGACCCAGCCTCTGCCAGCGTCTCCCCACCCCCTCCCACAGTAAGGTTGGTGACAGCAGAGTTCTCTTAAACATTTGAGATGTCCTGTGCTGGCCCGTGGCAGTGCAACCACAGCTCGTAACTGTGGCGCTGGGCAGAGGGCTGGGTACGCAGCAGGTGCTTCGTCAGTACTGATGGGAGAAGCAGGGACGGCAGGGGGCGGGGGGACCTGGATGGGCGACACTCCCCAGCCTGCTGGTGCTCCAGGGAGGACCTTTTCAGAGCTGGGAGACCCTGGCTCAGTGTCCTTGTCCCTCCAGTCGCTGCTGCCTTCCCGAAAGCCCTGGAGCCTTGTTAAAGAGGGCAGCCCTGGCTCTTGGGGGGAGTCCTGGGTTTGGGGGCGGCTCTGATATGGGGGAGCCGTGGGTGTGGGGGCAGCTCTGATATGTGGGGGAGCCCTGGGTGTGGGGGCAGCTCTGATATGTGGGGGAGTCCTGGGTGTGGGGGCAGCTCTGATATGGGGGAGCCGTGGGTGTGAGGGCTGTGCCTCACGTGGCCCGAGGGCAGATGGCCCAGTGTGGGGCTGGGCTGTTTGGGGGGATGGGGAGGGCTGCCCAGGGAGAAGGTGAGTGGGTGGCCCTATTATCTGAAGACCTGCTGGGGCCAGGGGATGTGGGGGGTGGCTGCCACCTCTGCAGTGACCCTGGAAGGGCCCATGCTGCCCCTGCTTTGCAGGTGAGTAAGCGGGTGTCTGAGAGTTCCCAGCTCTGCCTGCAGGGCCCATGCCCTGTGGCTACCCCCCAGTCCCGCTCTGTTTGCTTTATTTAAGTATTTTGGAAGATCACTCCTCAGCCTCATGGGGTGGATCCTTAACTCTTCTGGCCCAGCCCACTCCTCAGGTTTCTAGGTGACCCACCTGCTTTGTGTGCACCCTGAGGCCTGCTGCACTGCCAGGACCTCAGCCCCTGCCCTGCTCCCCAGCAGCCTGACTGCCTCCCCTCCCTCAGCCCCTCAGAGAGGCCTCCTGTCAACACCCTTTCTGCAGCTTTCTCCCTACCCCTTCAGCCAGCTCCCCTCGTGGCCCTCCCTGCTGCCTGGTTCCTGCGGCATGTATTGGTGGGGAGGCCGTGTCGCCTCCTGTAACTCCCACGGCAGTCTTGCAGGATGGGTCCTGGCCTGGTTGGGAGCCCTGAGTCTGGTTGATTCCTGCCTACTGTTGGCCCGGGTGGGCAGAGCCGTGGCAGTCAGGAGAGCCTTGGCCTGGGGGGCCAGAGCCCTGCCCCCACATCTACACCAGCTACTGGGCCGCCTGGACAGCCCTGTGCCCTGCGTGCCTCCTGCGTCCAGAGGGGCGGAGCTGGGAGTCTGACTGTGACAGCTCTGGGGCCACATGGATGGCCCTCGGCCTGATTCCTCTTGGTGGGAGGCTTTGATTGGGAAGCTGGGGGAAGGTGGCTAGTGGGTGGGGTTCGGGAGTACTGGGGACCTCTCCCAGTGTCCTTCCTCCAGCCAGTCCTTGGCAGAGAGCTGAGAAGGTGCCGGGGATGGGTGAGCGCTCCACTAACCCCGAGGGCTGGGATTGGCCAGGAGCGCGTCCCAAGGAGGAGGTGACCTGGGCCACTGTGTGTGTGACCAGGCCTGGGCTGCTGCCGTTAACACCCAGTCAGCTGGTGTCTGCCTGTTGCTCGTGACTGGCCTGGTTTGGTGGCCTGGTAGAGGGGAATGGGAGGGGAGAAACCCGGGCTGGGCCCAGGTGAGTGTCAACAGGGGAGGGAGAGAGCAGCAGAGGTCCCGCCAGGGCGTGCTTGGGTGAGGGGAGGAGGAGCTCAGAGAGATTGGGGGAGAGTCCACAGTGTTGTCTGAGGACAGCTAAGGACGATGGACACTACTAGTTTATAAAAACAGCCAGAGGCCGGGCACACTGGCTCATGCCTGTAATCCCAACACTTTGGGAGGCCGAGGCAGGTGGATTGTCTGTGGTCGGGAGTCTGAGACCAGCCTGGCCAAGATGGTGAAACTCTGTCTCTACTAAAAATACAAAAATTAGCCAGCATGGTGGTGGGTGCCTGTAATCCCAGCTACTCAGGAGGCTGTGGGATGAAAATTGCACGAACCTGGGAGGCGGAGATTGCAGTAAGCCAAGATCGTGCCACCGGACTCCAGCCTGGGTGATAGAGCAAGACTCTGTCTAAAAAGAAAAAGAAAAAAAAACAAACAAACCCAAAAAACAGCCAGAGAAGGCAAGAGCCCTGGAATGGCCTAAGGTGGGAAACTGCTGCCCTCTCAGCCGCGGGGTCCAGTGTGTGATAGTGAAATCTCTCGTTATCTTAAATTCTCTCTTCAGGGACTTAAACAGAAATTAACAGGGCTGGGTGCAGTGGCTCATGCCTGTAGTCCCAGCACTTTGAGAGGCTGAGAGGGGGAGGATTGCGTGAGCTCAGGAGTTTGAGAACGGCCTGGGCAACATAGTGAGACTCCATCTCTACTAAAAATAAAAAATTAGCTGGGTGTGGTGGTGCATGTCGTAGTCCCAGCTCCTTGGGAGGCTGAGGTGGGAGTTGGGGTTTGTTGTTTTGGACAGATTTACCAAATTCATTTGGACGACGTTACTGAAGCTCCATGAGGCAGAGGCTAACGGACATTGCTGAAGTCCTAGGTTGCATCCCTCATAAAGGCCACCCCCGGGCCGTGCACGGTGCCTCACGCCTGTAATCCCAGCACTTTGGGAGGCTGAGGCAGGTGGAATACCAGAGGTCAGTAGTTGGAGACCAGTCTGGCCAACATGGCAAAACCCTGTCTCTACTAAAAATAAAAATTAGCCGGGTGTGGTGGTGGGTGCCTGTAATCCCAGCTACTCTGGAGGTTGAGGCACGAGAATCGTTTGAACTCGGGAGACGGAGGTTGCAGTGAGCCAAGATCAAGCCACTGCACTCCAGCCTGGGTGACAGAGCGAGACTCTGTCTCAAAAAAAAAAAAAAAAAAAACCCAGAAAGGCCAACCCCCGCACCCCTCAGCCCCCGCACCCCTCAGTTAGCCATGCCCAGGGACAGTCAGAAAGCATCTGTGATATCAGTGGACATTGGGGCCCAGCCCAGGACTGGTGTGTCCCCTCCTGTGCCTGCAGGCTTGACACAGCAAGGCCCTCCCTCTCGCCCCCAAGTCCCCACACTTGTCAAGGGCATCACGGCACATTCCAGGAAAGTTGGTTGATGTCACGGGAGTCGAGACCTCATCCTGACGCCCAGCTCAGCAGGGCCACCGGGGCTCAGGTTAGGTGGTGCCATAGTTGGGGGACAGTCCCCATAGGGTTGCGCCCCCAGAGTGCCCTAGGGAATGAGGCCCACTGCTACTGCCACCAGCCCAGCTGGCATAATTGATAAATAAGTGTGGTTCTTTTAAGTTGGGCAAGTGTGTATTTTTAAATAACTGACTGCTTAATTGTACGATTAAAAACAGCAGAGCTGGGTGCAGGGGTGCGTGTCTGTGGTCCCAGCTCCTTGGGAGGCTAAGGCGGGAGGATCCATAGAGCCCAGGAGTTTGAAGCCAGCCTGGGAAACATAGGGAGGAGGCCCTGTTTCCAAAAAAAAAAAAAAGGATGAAGTGGGCTGTTAGCACTGAGTCATGGCGAGCAAGGTGAAGAAGCCCCACTGTGGCTGTGTGGTGAACTCAGTCATTCACAGCCGGGAGGGGCTCGATTCAGTTACTTTCCTGAATGTTTTCACTGTTCCGACTGCACCAGGGAGGAACCACATCCTCTACGCCTGCAGAAGCAAAATTTCTCTCCCGAGAGTCTTGGAATTCTGCGGCCCACATGTATGGTGACCAGCTCTGCAAGGGGCTTTAAAAACCCCAGTGTCGGCTGATTTGTTGGCTGACACCGCGCCCGGCACCTCCAGGATGTGGCCGGCATCGTGGAGGGGCTGCTGGCTGCCTGCCTTGCTTTCAGTTCCACATGGAGACAATGACTCTGCTGCACTGAGTTTCAAGAATTTTGGCAATAAAAAGAGCCTATATGACCTATTTATGAAGTATTCCAGAATCACTTACATGAATATTTTGTCCTAAATTCTGTATAATTAGAAGATATAAACCCCACATTGTGATTATTTTTGTTCACCAACATAACCTAAATTAGAACTCTCCATGCGGGCTTTCAGAAAAGAAAGCATTTGAACAAAAACATAAAAGGAATTGGTTTTATCCACACCGTTCTCAAATACTTGAGAGTAACGTGTTTGCTTAAGTAACATCGATATCTTGTTTACTGTTATTTGATTTGCAGACCTTTCCTCTTTACCAGTACCAGTAGCAGAAAGGTAAATTGTACTGAAACGTTTAAAAAGTCGTAAGTTCTGACTTTGAGGCCTGATGAACCATCACGGGATTCTCCCCTGCCTGGTTCCTTTTCCCCGGAACCTCACATCAAGCAGAAGCTTCCTTGCGGGCGGCCCTTGTTGCAGGCGGTCTTGGCGAGAGACATCCCCATTTCTGCAGCTGGACGGTGAAAGGGACGTTGTTGTTCTTGGCCATTTGGCAGGTGTTCTCTGACTGCCTCTTCTCCGCTGGGCCTGCCGCACAGGGAGGGCAGGTGGGACCGCCCCCCAACCCCTGCCGCAGGGCCTACCGAGAGTCCCATGGCGGGCGGGCAGAGGTGGGCTAGTGTTGCATTAAGTGACTTCCCGTAGCAGGCTGTTCAGTGCTGGGGCAGCCTTCTAAGGGAGGAGGCTTGTGGGCTGAGACCTCTTCCCTTTTTCATCATTTGGGCTTCCGGGGCATAGAATGGGATGCGTCATTGGCCTGGGGTCTGTGCTGCTGTTGGGCGTCTGTGCATAGTCCTCTTTTGTCTATTTTCATTATTTTTATTTATTTTTTTGAGATGGAGTCTTGCTCAGTCACCCAGGCTGGAGTGCAGTGGCGCGATCTCAGCTCACTGCAACCTCTGCCTCCTGGGTTCAAGTAATTCTCCTGCTTCAGCCTCCCAAGTAGCTGGGATTACAGGCGTGCACCACCACCCTGGGCTAATTTTTGTATTTTTTTAGTAGAGATGGGGTTTCATCATGTTGGCAGGATAGTCTTGAACTCCTGACCTCAGGTGATCTGCCCGCCTCGGCCTCCCAAAGTGCTAGGATTATAGGCGTGAGCCACCTCACCCAGCCATATTTTCGTTATTTTTAATAATGTAATGGGAACCTCTGGGCTCACCGTCAAGCAGAAGCCAGCCTTGATACCCAGCATCCTGCCAGCCCCTCCCCAGCATCCTGCCAGCCCCACCCCAGCATCCCGCCAGCCCCTCCCCAGCTGCCCCACGCCCGGCTCCTGCCCCAGCTCTGTGTGTCCTGTGCTCTCCCTTCCCCACCACCCTATGCACACCTTTCTCTGCCTGGGTCCACACTGTCACCTGCTGTAGCTCTACCCACAGGCCATACCTGCCTGGTGGGCCCCTCCTCCCTGCCCCTGTTTTTGTGGAAGGACAGGTGGAAGTGGGCGGGTGGGGTGGGTATGGTGGGTGATGATAAAGAGCATTCTAGGCCAGGGCAGGAATGCAAGCACATGGGTGTGAGGGGCCAGGTGTGTTCAGGGATCCTTGGCACTTGTGGGGTGGCGGGAGCACTGGCCAGAGGAGGGCTGGGGTAGGGGGAGGCTCCTGGCCCTCTGGGGGGCCCTTGGTAGAGGAAGGGGCATTGCTTGTGTGGGTGGTGAGGGACCTCTGGTTGGGTGGGGGGGGTTAGGTGTTTTAGGAGGCTTTGGGTACAGAGATGTCCAGGGGTAAAGTGGAGCTTGGTCTCAGGACAGTTGGCCCTGGCATCTGTCCTGCCCTGGGGGGCTAGGAGGGCCGGACTGGAGATGGAGGCTGGGGCTGTCCTGGTCCCAGGTGAGGTGGCATCTCCTAGGAGGGAGGAGAGGGTTGGTGCCCTGCAAACCCTGGGGGAGGGGCAGCACGGGGAGCTGGGGTTGGGGGTGAGGAGGGGCGCCCCACATGTTCTGAAGCGCTCTGGAGTGGCTCCAGCCCGGCCAGCACTAAGTTTTGCTGTCTGTGGTTTGCTGTGCCTGTGTCCGCTGCTGGTAACCAGTGCATCGGGACTTGGGCTTTCTGACTGCACCAGGTTTGTTTCTGCTGCTCTGAGTGCGGTGCCCAGTCACCGAGGTACCTGTCGTTCCCGCCTCCTGTGGACTGCGTGGCCTGGCGTCGAGGCAAAGCAGCAGGAAAGTTGGGTCCGCATCCCAGCCCCACATGCGGCCCGGGGGGAGAGTGTGCCTTTCCCCTGGAGACACACAGGGTGGGGGAAGTGAAGTCAGTGGCAGGCACCCAAGAGGGGCACGTTTTCAATCCCAGGGTGGGCGTGGGTACTAACTACAGGTAGAGACCATGCGACGCAGCGGGTCTGCACGCCTCAGGGTTCTGGAACAATCCAGACGGGGACATGGGGGAGATTGGCCACTGGGACTGGTGTTTCACTTGGCTGCCTCTGGACATAGTGTCTCTTCCGACTTTATTTTCCTGGGTTGTGAATCTCCCTTTTATGCCACAAAGGTCCCCCACCCAAGGGACTCTCATCCTGCAGCCCATGGGCCTGGCCCTGTGTCTGGAAAGGGGAGGTGGCGCCCTGATGTTCTGGGCCTGGTGGTCAGTATGGGCACAGAGGTGCAGGGGTAGAGGATTCCACATTTTGAGAGAAAAACAGGCGCCCCTCAAGGCAGCTCAGCCCTAGGTGAGGTTGGCTTTGGGCACACCCATGGGAGGCCCCTCTTCCTGCCCTGAACCCTCTGAGCGTCACCCCTCCCACCCAGCCACCAGAACAGCCTTTCCAGCTGCCCCTCCAAGTCATCGCAGGGACCCCTGCGGCCGGTCAGGGGGCCAAGATGGGGACACCCAGAGAACCACAAGCCCAGGCCACACAGGCAGGTGACTGCATGGGCAGGTGAGCACCCCATCTGACAGGTGCCAGGGTGAAACACGACTTGTCCAGATCCCCGGCCTTAACACCCAGTGCTGTTTCTGTACCCTGGCCACCTTCCCAGCTTACCCAGGGAGGCTGAGGAGTGGGTGCACAGGAGGAGTGGGAGCTGGCCGAGGGGCTTGCAGAGGGTCAGAAAGAATCTGCTATCCTGGTGGGACAAGCACCCAGACCCTGGATGCTCTCCGTGCTGGAAGCGTTGCTTCAGTGCATTAGGATGGGTTCACTTTCTCGTAATTCACTCTGAGGACACGTTGTTGGAATCATTGTGCATAGTTCTGGATCAGCACCATGACGGGAGGTCAGAGGGCTGCCTGGCGCAGTTTCTCTGCTGCCTGGATTGACCATGAGGACAAGGACTAGCTGTGCCCAGCCCCCTGCTTCCCGTGGATAGGGACTCTGGCTGCTGGCTCGTGCCATCGGGGCTGGAGTCTTAACTGGTGAAATCACATTTATGAGGCTGATAGCCATCAGTTTCCACAGACGTAAGTGTGGCCAGGATGACAGATGTCCCTGGCGGCCCTTTCTGCAGGGTCCTGCAGGGACTCCAGGGCCATCTGGCCACAGTCCCGAAGTCTTTGTCACCATCCCTCTGTGGGTGGGTGCTGGTGCCTCCTGGGCTGTTGAGTGCTTGGCAAGGGGCTCGAATGGCCTTTCTCTTCTCAGTTGAACCAGTTGATAGAATCCTGTTTCCTTTTGGAATTTAGAGATTAGCCTTTTTTATTTTTTTCTGAGACGGAGTCTCATGTGCTCTGTTGCCCAGGCTGGAGTGCAGTGGCACGATCTCACAATCTCAGTTCACTGCAACCTCCATCCCCATAGTTCAAGTGATTCTCCTGCCTCAGCCTTCTGAGTAGCTGGGACTACAGGCACATGCCACCACACCCAGTTAATTTTTGTATTTTTAGTAGAGACAGGATTTCACCATGTTAGCCAGGCTGGTCTTGAACTCCTGACCTCAGGTAATCCATTGGCCTCAGTTTCCCAAAGTGCTGCAATTACAGGTGTGAGCCACCATGCCTGGCCCAGATTAGGCTTTAAAAATAGCATTCTTTTGTCCTCTTGGGGCCTTTTTTCCACCTGTCACTGAGACCTCCACTCCTTTGCAGAGCTTGGATGGCTGCAGGGCTGGCTTAGCTGCTGCCTCCAGGTGGGATCGGGAGCCACCCTTCTCAGCGTCCATCCATCTGTCAACCTGCTGGACTGGTTAAACCAGGTCTCCACGCCTGCTTTCGATAAGTCCTGCCCTCCCCTGGGAATCGGCGGCCAGACCTTTGGGTCCTTTGGAGAGCTGCAAAGTGGCTCAGCAGGAGCGAGAGGTTTCCTTGGCTGCTGGAGACTTGCAGGTGCCAGGTGTAGGCCCTGGAGGTGGCACACAGACCAGCTCCTGCTCAGTGCCCTGTGTCCCTCCTGGCAGGAGGCATACTGCTAAGCAAGGCTGTTTTAAAGAGGGTTTGTTTAAGTTGGATGTTTAGGAGGTTAGGTTCCCCCAAGGAGAAAATGCTATGAAGCCCCCAAAGGCGTATGGGGATGAGATGATGTGGTGAGTTGGAATCTTCTTTAGATCCAGAGGAACTTCTTTGGGTGGTAGTTACCTCTCCTTCTCTCTCTCTTGCTCAAGTTTCAGGTGATTTTCTGGCCTGGTTTCATTTATCTATCTATCTATTTATTTATTTATTTTTTGAGACGGAGTCTCGCTCTGTCGCCCAGGCTGGAGTGCAGTGGCGCGATCCCGGCTCACTGCAAGCTCCGCCTCCTGGGTTCACACCATTCTCCCGCCTCAGCCTCCCGAGTAGCTGGGACCACAGGCACCCGCCACCACGCCCGGCTAATTTTTTGTATTTTTAGTAGAGACGGGGTTTCACCGTGTTAGCCAGGATGGTCTCGATCTCCTGACCTCGTGATCTGCCCGCTTCGGCCTCCCAAAGTGCTGGGATTACAGGCATGAGCTACCACGCCCGGCCTCTGGCATGGTTTTAATTAGGACAAAAACAAGTACAGTTTGATTTGCAAGTTACCCTTCTGGGGGCAAGTTTAGGTGACACGTTGGTTTTGTTTTGTTTTGTTTTTACCATTATCTGCTTGTAGAACTTGCCTTTAGAGCACTGTACAAGGTGGCATTTTTTTAGTCCATTAGGTTTTGGCATTGGCGGCCTTTTGTTTTGTTTTGTTTTTGAGACAGAGTCTTGCTGTGTCGCCCAGGCTGGAGTGCAGTGGCACAATCCCAGCTCACTGCAACCTCCACCTCCTGGGTTCAAGTGATTCTTATGCCTCAGCTTCCGGAGTAGCTGGAATTTCAGGTGCATACCACCATGCCCAGCTAATTCTTTTATTTTTAGTAGAGACAGGGTTTCTCCATGTTGGCCAGGCTGGTCTCAAACTCCTGGCCTCAAGTGATCCTCCCGCCTCAGCCTCCCAAAGGGATAGGATTACAGGTGTGAGCCACCACACCTGGCTGGGTGGCGTTTTTTTGGTGAAAATTTAATGAGAATTCTAGGGAGATGTTTGGGTGTCTTGCTGCTCTGGTAAGTGGAGTGAGGGAGTGTCTGTGAGATGGAGAGCGGGAGGGAGGGGTGGATGGACTGGTTATTTGCACCTCGGTGTTTGTTGCCAGAGGATTCTAATTGAGCAAGCTGTAAGACCTTGTCTAGGATGAGTCCTGGCCTGAACGCCTCTAAGTTGCTTTCTCTCCCACTTTGGAGAAAAGCAGTTCTGGTTACCGGCTTGATTTGCTGTGATTTGCTGACTGCCGGCTCCTGGCTCACCTGTGGGTCTAGGTGGTAGCTTCTGGTTAGTTGAGGTATATGGGGGTCTGCTTGGGGGAAGGAGCTTGTTTAGAATGTGGGGAGACCCTGAGGTCAGACAGGGCCTGTGGTGCAGCTCCGAGCTCCTTGAGGGCCAAGTATACCCGAAATTGGAACTAGGAGCTGACACTGAAAGCCAAGTCCTCAAAATCCGTGCGGGCCAGCGGGGAAGGATGGAGCTGGCCTTGTCTGGAGAGCACGCTTAGCAGCTACATGGTGGGTTTCAGGCTGGGACTGAAAGAAGGGGAACCAGGAGGGGACATGCATGGGAAGAGGGTAACACAGGAGACAGGAGCCGCCCTGCACCCAGAGGGCTAGGGTTGGGGGTGGTGGGACTGTGAGCTCCTCTGGTGGCCTCCGGTGCCCACCAGCTCAGTGCCCTGCAGCACCCCCGGAGGAGGATGGGGGTCCCAGGGAACTGTGTGACACAGAGGCCGTGACAGAGATGGAGGATCAGATCAGGACATCCCAAGTCCTTGACAGAACCCCTAGCACACAAGAAGTAGATTTTTGGAGCCTTTGTTAACAGATGGGACCACTGGGGGTCAGATATTTCTGCTGTTGAGCCACCCTGGGCGCAGACAGGGCCTGTGTGTGAGAGTGCTTGCGTTGTCAGTTACGCAATTTGCAGATGGCTCGTGATTTTTCAGACGTTGAGCTGGTCGTTTCATAGTTGTGCTTTTAGATACTAAGTTGTTTTTTTTTTTGAGACGGAGTCTTGCTCTTGTTCCCCGGGCTAGAGTGCAGTGTCACGATCTTGGCTCACTGCAACCTCTACCTCCCGGGTTCAAGTGATTCTCCTGCCTCAGCCTCGCAAGTAGCTGGGATTACAGGCTCCTGCCACCATGCCCGGCTAATTTTTGTATTTTTGTATTTTTAGTAGAGATGGAGTTTCACCCTCTTGGCCAGGCTGGTCTTGAACTCCTGACCTCAGGTGACCCACCCGCCTCGGCCTTCCAAAGTGCTGGGATTACAGGCATGAGCCACCATGCCCAGCTGATACTTAAGTTTTTTTGAGAATTAAAATTACCTAGTGAAAAATTACCTAGCAACCTGCATTTAATGTATTAGCTCCATTCTCTGAAATGAGCATCTTGGTTCTGTCTGGAAGATGGAGATTGAAATGTTTCCACAAGTCAGCACCATCGAACATGATGGCCCCACATGCCTACGAGTTCCATGGTCGCCGTCGCTGGAGCAAAGGCGTGTTGTGAGGTGTGACTGCTTTTGCAGAAAAGTGACCATCGGAAGGCTTTCCCCACGTGGGGACTCCTTAGTCCTGAGTCAGTGAGAATCCCAGGTGTGTCTCACCACCGGCGGCACCTTCTCCCTGTAGGACTGTCTGTCGAGTGGCTGACTGTGAATCTCATCTGACCTTAAGGCCACCAGGAAGCTTGCTGGTTATTTGTCAAAGGGTCCTGCGGAGAGTGGAAGAGTCCTTTAGTCATAAAAGGATTCTTCCTGAGGTGTCTGTCTTGGGAATCGACTGTTTTATGCCTCGATTTTTAAAGGCTGGTGACACCTGTGCCCTTCTGTGAGAGAATCACCTGCCTGTGACCAGTGCCCGCAGCTGTCACCTGGAGCTGTCACCCTGTTCCAGTGGTGGGATGTGGGCCACTGCTGAGGGTCTCCTAAAGCCCCATCAGAGAGAGCGTGCAAAATGGAAAGGGCCCCCACAGATTTGCTTAAGCAGAGGGGGGCTTTGCCAGCTTGGGGCCAGGGGCCTGCGGTATGGAGCTGCTTGGGGTGCTCTGGCTGGGTCGCTGGTCTCCCCTTCTTCTGACGTGGTGCTTTTTCACCCTCCACGCCTCCTTCTGCTTCCCTTGTGGCTTCATTCCCGTGATGAGGCAGAGCATGTGATTGGCAGCCCCTCACCATGGGATGGGTAATTCCCCGTGGAGAGCAGGGTCCTTACCAAAAGAGGGACAGGGATGCTGAGTGGGGGAAGCACAGACAGTGCACAGGCAGGCATGGAGGAGACAGCGGAGCAAGGCGGCAGGTGCGTCCTGTACACTCAGGTGCTAAGCCCCGGTCGCAGAGCCCCTTACAGCCTCAAGCGATGGAGGACACTGGCGAGTCTTTGTGCATGTGGGGTGTATTCATTGCCACTCGCTATTAGAAATCAAAACTAAGAAATTTAAAAAGATTTATTAATTTACTGAAATATGCAACTATAAATCTATTACATGTTAACATAAATAACATGTCTTTCTTTAAAAAGAAATCACTACTTGGGGCCAGGTGCAGTGGCTCATGCCTGTAATCCCAGCACTTTGGGAGGCCAAGGCAGGCGGATCACAAGGTCAGGAGTTCAAGACCAGCTTGGCCAATATGGTGAAATCCCGTCTCTACTAAAAATGCAAAAATTAGCCAGACATGGTGGCAGGTGCCTATAGTCCCAGCTACTCGGGAGACTGGGGCAGGAGAATCACTTTAACCTGGGAGGCGGAGGTTGCAGCCAGCTGAGATTGCACCACTGCACTCCAGCCTGGGTGACAGAGCGAGACTCTGTCTCAAAGAAAAAAAAAATCACTACTTAAAAAAAGAATTAGTGAAGAGGGGTGCCGACATTTTGTAGCTCTCCTCGGGGTGTGATTTGTCAGGAGACAGCTTGTCTTCTGTGACCCGTCGGCCGCCGGGTCACACCGTGCAGCTGCCAGGGGGCAAGTGTGGGAAAGGCAAGCAGCATTTTAGGATTATCACTGGAATAGTTTCGACCTTGTGGGTCCTCAGAAAGGAATCCCCAGGGTCCCTGGGCCACACTTTGAGAACCTCTGGTTTAGGTCTTAGGCAAGATTCTCTGCCATGTGAATTAGGGTGTTTTGGGTTTTTTGTTTTTATTTTAATTTTTATTTTATTAAAATTTTTAATTTAATTTAAAAATTAGATCAGGTGCAGTGGCTCACGCCTGTAATCTCAGCACTTTGGGAGGCTAAGGCGGGGGGATTACCTGAGGTCAGGAGTTCGAGACCAGTCTGGCAACACGGTGAAACCCCATCTCTACTAAAAATAAAAAAATTAGCCAGACATGTTGGCATGTGCCTGTGATCCCAGCCACTCGGGAGGCTGAGGAGGGAGGATTCCTTAAGCCCAGGAGTTTAAGGTTGCTGTGAGCTGTGATTATGCCACTGCACTCCAGCCTGGGTGACAGAGCAAGACCTTGTCTCTAAAAAACTTTTTTTTTAAGTTAAAAAATTTAGTTTACTGTGGAATAGTTGATGCTTTCAGGATTCCGAACTCACCATGGATCAAGGCTCCTGATGGCTTCAGCCCCCAGTTCATATCTCCAGAGGTCTCCATTGGTCCTGCTTCCATGCCAGCCCTTCTTGGGCAGCTCTTGGGCATGCTTCTTTGTCTTTTTTCTCCTCTCCTCCTCCTCGTTTCCATAGACACATGGCCAGGCACGTGCTGGCAAGTGACCACGTCGGCGGTGGGCTCTCCATGGTGGTGCACGGGGGTCCTCGCTCCTTGCGAGGCTGTGGGGCTGCACTGTGGATTGTCCCACATGGGTGGGTCCAGCCTTTTTGCTGTCATGAAAACGATGCTGCCGGGAGACGGCCTTGCCCCACCGCCATCGTGCGTGTGAGAGACTAGGAGAGCTTCCTGGAAGTGAAATCACCATTTTGTTGGATATTGCAAAATTTCCTTCCATGCCACTCTCCACGTGGGACAGAGCCTGTGTCCCCTGACCCCACACCCACATGCTGTGCCTCTTTGCCAGTCTTTTGGGGAAGTGGTTTCCCAAGGCAATTTAGTTTGTATTTATCGGCTGGGCACAGTGACTGATACCTGTAGCCCCAACGCTTTGCGAGACCATGTTGTCCAGGAGTTCGGGACCAGCCTGGGTAACATGGCAAAACCCTGTCTTTACAAAAAGTACAAAAATTAGCTGGGCATGGTGGCGTGCACCTCTAGTCTCAGCAACTTGGGAGGCTGAGGCAGGAGGATCACTGAACCTGGGAGGTCGAGACTGCGGTGAGCTGTGATCGTACCACTGCACTCCAGCCTGGGTGACAGAGTGAGACTCTGTCTCAAAAAAAAAATTGTATTTCTCTCATTATAAGTGAAGGTTAATCATCTTTACATTTGTTTAAGGGCTGTTTGTTTTTCCTTTATCTTTTGTCCATTTTTCTCTTTTTTTTTTTTTTTTGAGGCAGAGTCTCTGTCTTCCAGGCTGGAGTGCGGCTCACTGCAACCTCTGCCTCTTGGGTTCAAGCAATTCTCCTGCCTCAGCCTCCTGAGTAGCTGGGCCTACAGGCACATGCCACCACGCCTGGCTACTTTTTGTATTTTTAGTAGAGATGGGGTTTCACCATGTTGGCCAGGCTGGTCTCGAACTCCTGATCTCGCTATCTGCCTGCCTTGGCCTCCCAAAATGCTGGGATTACAGGTGTGAGCCACCACACCTGACCTCTTGTCCATTTTTCTATTGAAATGTTTGGCCATGGCAGGCAAATGAATCCTTTGTGGTGTGTGTTGAAATTTTTTTTCCCGGGTTATCATTTATCTCTGACTGCTTACGGAGGTTTTTGCCTTGCAAAAATTTGTTTTTAACATAACGTATCTTCTCTTGTTTTTTTTTTTTTTTTTTTTTTTTGAGACGGAGTCTCGCTGTGTTGCCCAGGCTGGATTGCAGTGGCATGACCTCGGCTCACTGCAAGCTCCGCCTCCTGGGTTTACACCATTCTCCTGCCTCAGCCTCCCGAGTAGCTGGGACCACAGGCGCCCGCCACCACACCCGGCTAATTTTTTTGGTATTTTTAGTAGAGACGCGGTTTCACCGTGTTAACCAGGGTGGTCTCGATCTCCTGACCTCGTGATCCGCCCGCCTCCGCCTCCCAAAGTGCTGGGATTACAGGCATGAGCCACCGCGCCCGGCCTCTTCTCTTTTTTTTTTTTTTTTTTTGAGATGGAGTCTCACTCTGTCACCCAGGCTGGAGTGCAGTGGCGCGATCCTGGCTCACTGCAAGCTCCGCCTTCCGGGTTCACGCCATTCTCCTGCCTCAGCCTCTCGAGTAGCTGGGATTACAGGCGCCCACCACCACGCCTGGCTATTTTTTTGTATTTTTAGTAGAGACGGGGTTTCAATGTGTTAGCCAGGATGGTCTCGATCTCCTGACCTCCTGATCCGCCCGCCTCGGCCTCCCAAAGTGCTGGGATTACAGGCGTGACCACCGCGCCCAGCCTCGGCCTCTTCTCTTTTATTGTGTTCCTCATCTCGCTGTGACAGACCTCGTCCAGTCCCAGGGTTATGGGTGCCCCTCCAGGGCCACCTTTGCTACATGAATGCTTTCCTTGTTCTGCATTCAAACCTTTGGTCTAATCTGAATTTATTTTGGGAAGGTGTGAGGTGCAGAGCCAGCCTTATCTTTTTCTAGGTAGCTTCCTAGATGTCCCAACGTGATTGGTGGAGTGAGTTATCTCACACCCTCCTATTAAAATGCCTCTGATCACAATTGGGTCTGAGTCTGTTTTTGTACCTTCTCGTGGCTCTGTTTTCTGTTCATGCGCCGTTAACATGCTTTGAACTCCGCTGCTGCCCCATTGCGTTTGCGTGGCAGGGCTGGCCTCCCCCCGTCAGTCCGGCTTTTCAGAATTTTCCTGGCTATTTGGCTTGTTTATTTTTCCCTATAAACCTTAGATCCAGATTGTCTTGGTTCTTCTAAAATCTGTTGTTTTTCTTTTAAGGGAAATTACATTCAATTTGTAGATTTTCAAAGGGAGGATCGGTTTTCTCTCTCTCTCTCTGTATAAATTGTGGTAAAATAGACATAACACAATGTACCGTCTTAACCATTTCGGAGTGTGTCATTTACTGGCGTTAAAGCACATTCACACTGTTCTGCAACCGTCACTACCATTCATCCCCAGAACATCTGATCTTCCCCAACCGAAACTCCGCACCCACAAAGCACTGACTCTCCAGAGCCTCTCCCCACCCCCGACACCTCCCAATCCACTTCCTGTCTCTGTGCATTTGACTCCTCTGGGGACTGCAGATAAGTGGAATCTCACAGTGTCTATCTATGACTTCCTCCTTTCACAAAGCAGAATGTCCTCTGGGCTCACCCAGGTTCTGGAGCCATAACGTCCTCTGGGTTCACCCAGGTTCTGGTGCCATAATGTTCTGTGGGTTCACCCAGGTCTTGGTGCCATAATGTTCTCCGGGTTCACCCAGGTTTTGGTGCCATAATGTTCTCTGGGTTCACCCAGGTTTTGGTGCCATAATGTTCTCTGGGTTCACCCAGGTTTTGGTGCCATAATGTTCTCCGGGTTCACCCAGGTTTTGGTGCCATAATGTTGTCTGGGTTCACCCAGGTCTTGGTGCCATAATGTTCTCTGGGTTCACCCAGGTTTTGGTGCCATAATGTTCTCTGGGTTCACCCAGGTTTTGGTGCCATAATGTTCTCCGGGTTCACCCAGGTTTTGGTGCCATAATGTTGTCTGGGTTCACCCAGGTCTTGGTGCCATAATGTTCTCTGGGTTCACCCAGGTTTTGGTGCCATAATGTTGTCTGGGTTCACCCAGGTCTTGGTGCCATAATGTTCTCCGGGTTCACCCAGGTTCTGGTGCCATAATGTCCTCTGGGTTCACCCAGGTTTTGGTGCCATAATATTCTCCGGGTTCACCCAGGTTCTGGCAAATGTCAGAATTTCCTTCCTTTTCAGGGCTGAGTAATATTCCATGGTGTGGATGGGCCACATGTTGCTTATTCGTTCATCTGTTCATGAACACTTAGGTTGCTTCACCCTTTTGGCTCTTACGAAAAATGCTGCAGTGAACATGGGTATGCAAATATCTCTTCAAGACCTTGCTTTTAGTTCTTTTGAGTATCCCCAGAAGGGGGATTGTTGGATCATATGGTAGTTCTATTTTTCGTATTTTGCGGAACCTCCATACTGTGATTCACAGCAGCTGCACCATTTTATACCCCACAAACAGTGCACAAGGGTTCCGGTTTCTCCCCATTCTCGCCAACACTTGTTGTTTTCTGAGTTTTTGATCATGGCCGTCCTAATGGGTGTGAAAGGGTCTCCCCTTGTGGTTTGGTTTGCATTTCCCCCAGTGACGACTGTGCTGAGCATCTCTGCATGGGCCTATGGCCGGTGCTGAGCATCTCTGCATGGGCCTATGGCCGGTGCTGAGCATCTCTGCATGGGCCTATGGCCGGTGCTGAGCATCTCTGCATGGGTTTATGGCCGGTGCTGAGCATCTCTGCATGGGTTTATGGCCGGTGCTGAGCATCTCTGCATGGGCTTATGGCCGGTGCTGAGCATCTCTGCATTGGTTTATTCCTGGTGCTGAGCATGTCTGCATGGGCTTATGGCTGGTGCTGAGCATCTCTGCATGGGCTTATGGCTGGTGCTGAGCATCTCTGCATGGGTTTATTGACCAGTGCTGAGCATGTCTGCATGGGCCTATGGCTGGTGCTGAGCATCTCTGCATGGGTTTATTGACCGGTGCTGAGCATGTCTGCATGGGCTTATGGCAGGTGCTGAGCATCTCTGCATGGGTTTATTCCTGGTGCTGAGCATGTCTGCATGGGCTTATGGCTGGTGCTGAGCATCTCTGCATGGGCTTATGGCTGGTGCTGAGCATCTCTGCATGGGTTTATTGACCAGTGCTGAGCATGTCTGCATGGGCCTATGGCTGGTGCTGAGCATCTCTGCATGGGTTTATTGACCGGTGCTGAGCATGTCTGCATGGGCTTATGGCAGGTGCTGAGCATCTCTGCATGGGTTTATTCCTGGTGCTGAGCATGTCTGCATGGGCTTATGGCTGGTGCTGAGCATCTCTGCATGGGCTTATGGCTGGTGCTGAGCATCTCTGCATGGGTTTATTGACCAGTGCTGAGCATGTCTGCATGGGCCTATGGCTGGTGCTGAGCATCTCTGCATGGGTTTATTGACCGGTGCTGAGCATGTCTGCATGGGCCTATGGCCGGTGCTGAGCATCTCTGCATGGGTTTATTGACCGGTGCTGAGCATGTCTGCATGGGCTTATGGCAGGTGCTGAGCATCTCTGCATGGGTTTATTGACCGGTGCTGAGCATGTCTGCATGGGTTTATGGTTGGTGCTGAGCATCTCTTCATGGGCTCATGCCCAGTGCTGAGCATCTCTGCGTGGACTTATTGGCCGATTGGACGGGCACTCGGGTTATTTCCACCTCTTGGCTTGGGCGAATGGTGCTGCTGTGGACATGGGTGTGCCAGTATCTCTTTGTGTCCCTGCTTTCAGCTCTTTGGATTATACCCAGAAATGGGATTGCTGGGTCATATGGTAGTTCTGTTTTGAATTTTTTGAGGAGCTGTCGCACTGTTTTCCCTGGCCCCCTGTATGGCTATGGCTTACCCTCCCCAGCTGTGGGCACTGGAAGCAGGCCAGAGCGTTTGCCTGAGAATCCAGTGAGTCCAGAGCTCTGCTGCCGACCCCACCTCACTCCGACAGCCCAGTGCCCCTGGTCTCCCTGCCGGGCCCATGGGCGTGCAGGAGCAGTGAAGCCTGGGGTCCCATCCCCCACCCTGTGATGGTTGTGATGTCCTTTCCTGAGCCACAGTTCCCTCGTGTCTTTAAAAAGGGGGGGGTCATACAGCATTAGGAGAAATACCTAATGTAAATGACGAGTTGATGGGTGCAGCAAACCAACATGGCACGTGCATACCTATGTAACAAACCTGCATGTTGTGCACATGTACCCTAGAACTCAAAGTGTTATAAAAAAAGGAGGGGTCATAATAATAGTCGCCAATAGTTATGGGTTCTTAGTACCTGCCAGGCTGGGTGACAGGTGTAGGGGAGCCAGGAACCAGCCCTCCACAGGCTGGTGTGTAGGGATTGAGTCAGGTGCGGCCAGGAGGCACCGGGCAGGTTACTGTCCCTTACGAAGTGTGGCTATGGCCACCATTAACGTGGGGGTGCCAGGGGATTCGCCCGATGCTCCCTGCCTTTGCTCCTCCCTGGATGCATCCTGACATGCCTGCTTGGCTCCATCTCCGCTGCCCGCACCAGTCCCAGCCACCGCCCTCTCTCCTCTGCCTGGCCACGGTTTCCTAACTGGTATTTCCACTTCAGGCCTCTTCCAACCATTGGCCAGGGTGCTCCACGCTGTGCTCGGAATGGGACCGAGTGCCCTACCACAGCCTCTCTGCTCCCACCAGCTCCTTTCTGGTTTGTTTTGGCAAAAGTGCCCTGCATGTGCTGCTCCCTCGTCCCGGAGTGCCCTTCCTCTGCAGCCTGCGACCTGTCCTTCATGCCCTCAGCCTGCGGTGCCGCGACTGCTCCTCTGAGCACCTTCCTGGGCTGGTGCCGGCTGCCCCCCCAGGGGCCGTGGGGTGTCTTCTCCACAGTTAGGGCAGCACTTCCAGCTCCATGGGTTTGTTGGCCTCGCCTCCTCTGTATCCTTGCGCTGAGGGTCCTGTCGGGCACGTAGTAGGTGCTCATTAAACACTTAGTGCGTGGCTCGGTCATTGTGGTTCGTGGACATGCAGTATTCCAGCTCTAAGATGCACTGCCTGCTCCTTGTTCTTGTTCCCTAGTCCCTAGTAGATGGCGAGCAGCCCCTTAGCAAGCCTGTCCAGCCTGCAGCCTGCAGCCGAAACATGTGCTTCTCTCATCTTCCATCAGGGCCGCCCGTGCTCTCAGGCCTGTCAGGACACTCTTCTGTGAGACTGGACTATCAGAGCACCCCAGCTGGCAGGTGGTTACCTGGGCAACAGGTGTGAAGTGGACCTTGCGGGTTTTTGATCTTCCTTCTGAAATAGTATTTTGGGCCGGGCATGGTGGCTCACACCTGTAATTCCAGCACTTTGGGAGGCCGAGGCAGGCGGATCACCCGAGGTCGGGAGTTGGAGACCAGCCTGGGCAACATGGCGAAACCCCATCTCTACTAAAAATACAAAAATTATCTGTGTGTGGTGGCGGGTGCCTGCAGTGACAGCTCCTTGGGAGGCAGAGGCAGAAGAATTGCTTGAACCCAGGAGGCAGAGGTTGCAGTGAGCCAAGATTGCATTACTGTACTACAGCCTGGGCGACAAGAGCGAAATTCCGTATCAAAATGTGTGTGTGTGCGTAGCTGGCCAATATATATATTTTTTTCTTGGCCAGCTGCTGTGGTTCATGCCTGTAATCCCAGCACTTTGGGAGGCTGAGATGGAAGGATGGCTTGAAATCAGGAGTTTGAGACCAGCCTGAGCAACATAGTGAAATCCCATCTCTACTAAAAATTTTTTAAAAATTAGCTGGGCAGTGGCACGTGCCTGTAGTACCAGCCTCCCCAGAGGCTGAGTTGCGAGGATCACTGGGCAGTGGCACGTGCCTGTAGTACCAGCCGCCCCAGAGGCTGAGTTGCGAGGATCACTGGGCAGTGGCACGTGCCTGCAGTACCACCTACCCCAGAGGCTGAATTGGGAGGCCACAGTGACCTATGATTGTGCCATTGCACTCCATCCTGGGTGAAAGAGTAAGACCTTGTCTCTAAAAAAAAAAACAACAACAACCCGAAAAGCCCAAAACATTTTTTTTTGTTTTTTCTTGGCTCTTGGGTTTTGCCCCAGAGACATACATCGCAGACCGCTGAGTGGCGCTGGTTGCTGTCTGGGCCGGCTTGGCCTCAGGCGATCCTGTTGCCCTCCGCGCAGGAGCCTGGGTCCACCTTCTCCTGGCTGTGTGCTTCCTTAAACACGGAAGGTGTTCCGCAGCCTGCTGTGCGGGGTAGCCCTGTGTTGGGCTTGTATGTATCCCAGGGCTTGGTCCATGTGGGAGAGTCTTGGTAGGCCTGGCGGAGCCCTTTGACCTCAGCTGGGCCACATTTAAACAAAAGAAGTTGACAAAAGGGGAGGTAGTGGTTTGGAGGTACACAAAGGCTCTTTTCACGGGAGGAGCTATTTGAGGCCATGTGGGTTTACTTCTGTACTAGATTTGCCCAGGGACCCAGGAACTTCTGTAAAATCCACCTGACTCACCCATTCATTTGCTGCCAGTTCTTTGGTGCCAGGCCGTGTGCTGGGCCCCAGGGACACGGCACGCTGATGGTCAGAGAGGCCCACGCACACACTGGATTCCGCATTGTGGAGTGCGAGTGCTTTGGGGATGTGGAACAGCAGAGCAGGGTCTGCAGAGCATCCCACCGGGGAGGGCCGTGGGGCCCCAGGCAGGAGGCGGTGCTTAGGGCTGGCTCCTGGCTTCACCAGTCTTCTTCACTGTGTTGTTGTTTGTCACTGGGCAGTAAGAGGCGCCTCTCTGAAACCTGAGGGGCGGCCCGGCTGCTGGTAGGTGTGGACGGGGGCCTACACTGGTGGCTGTTCTGAGTCGGTTCGCCTTCCAGCACCCCTGAGTGTGGCGCCCTCCTTGCTGGCTCCTCTGCCTTGGGTGGGACCTGGGATGGTGGGGAGAAGCCCCCAGGCTACGGCCCAGGTTGGATAAGAGGGTGGATGGTGGCACGTGGGATCCTTCACCAAGCTTCTTCTGCCCCCAGGAACTTGGAGACCGTCCAGGCTGCCCCAGCCTGGCCAGGGACCACGCCTTATTCCTCACCCTTCCCTTAAGAGGACTGGATGGTGGCAAGGCCCACACATGAATCTGTGATGCGCGGGCCACTTAAAGGAGCACGTGCGTGCCTGGTGAGGGCTGCGGTTCCCTCTGGTCTGCCCTGTCCCTGGCGTGGGTTAGTGGGGACATGGGCTTCTGTGAGCGTTCTTATTCTGCTAGGCATCTGTGGACCCCGGACAGGGACGGTCAGTGACAGCCCACGGACCACACACCACCCACTGCCACCTGTTTCTGCCTGTTTTGTAAATGGTGTCTGATTTGTACACAGCCGTGCCCATTTGCACCACAGCAGAGTTGGGAAGTTGTAGAGGCCGTGTGGCCTGCTGGGCTGAAGGTGTTCACCGCCCGGCCTCTCACAGACTGGGCTTGCTGAACCCCACCTAGGAGCCGCTCCCTGTGCCTTCGCGATATTGCAGTCTTTGATGCAGAAACACGTCTGGGGAACAGCCTGCTTTCAGACAGCTTTCAGCTTGTGGGAAATTGGGCAAGGGCAGTGGCAGGAAGACATGGCGAATCTGGGGAATCCAGAAGGGGCTTCCTTTCGGCCATCTCATTGGCTGGTTATTCTCAAGCCCTGGTTGCTAGGAGTGATGGAGAGAGTTGGAAAAAGAATGTTTCCACTAGAAACGCATCCCTCCGTGTGTTTCCTGTGGCTTAGTGTATTTGCTTCTACAACACAGTAGTTTTTGCTTGCCTACCTGTGCCTACACTTAGGTTTTCTTGCCAGCTTTGTTTTCTTTAAATAAACATCTTTGCAGGCCGGGAGTGGTGGCTCATGCCTGTAATCCCAGCACTTTGGGTGGCAGAGGCTGGGGGATCAAGTGAGGTCAGCAGTTCGAGACCAGCCTGGCCAACATGGTGAAACCCCATCTCTACTAAAAATACAAAGAATTAGCCGGGCATGGTGGCAGGTGCCTGTAATCCCAGCTACTCGGAAGGCTGAGGCAGGGGAATCATTTGAACCCGGGAGACAGAGGTTGCAGTGAGCCAGGATCACGCCATTGCAGTCCAGCCTGGGTAACAGGAGCGAAACTCCATCTCAAAAAAAAAAAATATTAAATAAAAAATAAACATCTATGCGGTCACTCTGCCAGGGTCCCCATTCAGGCTTCTAGGCAGAGGGGCCTATGAGCTGCCATATGGTGTGATGGATGGATTAATAGAGGCATATGCTGGGGAGGGTGGGGTGACGGGTGCTAAGCTGCTTCTGGGGCTGTCGTGGGGTTTAAGCAAGCTCAGGCCATGGAGTCCAGTGGAGTCAGTTCGTGTTCCTGTTGTGCCACTTCTTTCTCACCCTGCCTTCCCGAACCTCAGTTTACCCATTTGTCAGGTGGTTTAGCAGATGCTTCTTCCTTTCAACATTGTGATTGGGGTAGGGGAGATGAACACTGGTGGGAGCTTGTCACTCTCGTCCTTTCATCCTGCTTTGTACACTCCGAGAAAGGCTTATTGGGCAGAGGCTGCCCTTCTGAGGTGTGGATGGAACTGTTGGTGACATTATTTTTATTAATTTATTTTTAGAGACAGGGTCTCGGCTGGGTGTGGTGGCTCATGCCTGTAATCCTAGCAGTTTGGGAGGCCGAGGTGGGTGGATCACGAGGTCAGGAGATCGAGACCATCCTGGCTAACATGGTGAAATTCCATCTTTACTAAAAATACAAAAAAAAAAAAATTAGCCGGGCATGGTGGGGGGCACCTATAGTCCCAGCTACACGGGAGGCTGAGGCAGGAGAATGGTGTGAACCCGGGAAGCGGAGCTTGCAGTGAGCCGAGATTACACCACTGCATTCCAGCCTGGGAGACACAGCGAGACTCCATCTCAAAAAAAAAAAAAAAAAAAAAAGAAGAGACAGGGTCTTGATCTGTTGCCCAGGCTGGAGTGCAGTGGTTCGATCATAGCTCACTGCAGCCTTGAACTCCTGGTCTCAAGCGACTCTCCTGCCTCAGTCTTCTGAGAAGCTGGGACTACAGGTGCACACCATCCCGCCTGGCTAACTTATCTTTTATTTTTCGTAGAGGCGGGGTCTTGCCGTGTTGTCTGGGCTGGTCTTGAACTCCTGGGCTCAAGTGATTCTCCTGCATTGGACTCCCAGAGTACTGGGATTTCAGGTGTGAGCCACTGAGGCTGGCCGATGGTACTGTTGTTATTGTTACTGTTACTGTGGTTTCCTGACCATGGATGCTGTGCTGTGGACCTAGATTTGGATGATGTCCTTGGCCTGTTGGAGGAAGGCCTTCTCTCCTTGGTGTCAGGAGTTGGTGGTGTTGAGCAGGCTCAGGTGCGCGGGAGGCCTGGGGGAAGTGAGGGCACAGTGCTTGGTCCTGAGAATAGCCTGTAGCAGGCGCTGCCAGCCCTCATTCACCTGAGGCTTCCTCTCAAGGCCCAAGCTGGTGTAAGCCTGGACTGTGGCCCAGGTTCCCTGGAGATGGGCTCCTGAGCTCACACGCGTGCTCAGGTGCCCCTGCTACCTCTACCTAAAGACCTGGAAACCGAGGGTTAGGACTGGCTTGACCTGGGCAGCCTGGTGCAAGGAACCTTACTCTCAACCCTTTAGGGCTGGATCACGGATGGGAGCAGAGGGTGTGGGCCTGGTTTGTCTACAGCTGGGGCAAGGACAAGCCGTGCTGGCCAGTGGGTGGCCGAAGGCTGCTGCGCCTTCCCTGACGCGGTCTCCTGCTTCCCGGGGCCCCCAGGCTGAAGTGCTGTTTGTGTTCTGTGTGCCATGGTTCTCTCCTGTGGCTGCCCACAGCCCCTGCTCACCCACAGGCCCTTCCTGCCCCACCCGTGGACTTTGGGCTTGGGTCCCTGCTCGGGAGCTCGTAGTGACTAGCAGCGTCTTGGGATGGTCTCAGAACTTTTTACCCTGGCTCCCCACACCCACAAGACAGCGCTGCCTCCCCAGCGCCTGTGGTTATGCAGTGGTGATGTATGGGGCGTGAGAGCAGCGTTTGTGGAACACTTTTTTGGAGAGTAGGGCTGTGTTTTTGCTGTCGTTACCACTGCTGGCTGGGCAGGTTGCTGAGTCCTTCCAGCACTCTCATGTTGTCCTCTAACAGCCCTGAGCAGGGGCCCCTGTCCGAGGTCACACAGCTGTGGCCAGCCTGGGCCTGGCTTCCGGCTGCCGCGACCCACTGCATGCCTGTGCTTGAGATGATCTGGTGGATAGTGGGACACATGTCCACTCCTCGAGGCTCTCCAGCCCCGGTGGTACTTAGGGCGACTGGAGCAGATGTGGGTCAGCCCCATTCGGTGCTGGAGGCACAGAGGGCCAGGATGCAACCCCTAGCCCCGCACAGGCGAGTGTTCCCTGTGTCCCCGAGCTGCTGTCGCTGTGGTATGTGGTGGTTTTGGGTCCTCCAGGCAGGGTGATGTGATTGAAGTAGAGAGTAACTTGGGCTGGGTGGCGGCTACCCGATGGCTGGGAAGGCCGTCTCGGACAGAGGGCATCGCTTGGGCAGCATCCTGGAGGCCAGGAAGGGGCCTCCATGGTGCAGAGGGCAGGGTGCCAGGATGGGGCTAGAGGTCAGGCTGCTGTTCCTGAGTCAGAGATGGGCCCACCCCACCCCGAGGCTTCAGTGCTGCCATACACACCCCCTCCTGCCCTGGAGGCGGGCTGCCCGGCTTGCTGCTTCCTGCTTCCCAGGCTGTCTTTGACCCCTTGGGGCCTCTCAGGAACTCTTTTGCATTTAGACCTCACCTTCTATTTCACGCATCTGTCTCAAGCCTGCTGGGAGGGAGGTGGGTGAGGGGAGGCTGCTGCTGTTCACGGAGCCCTGTGCCCTCATGGCCGTCATGGCCGCGGCTGCAGCAGTGTGAGGAGGGATCTGGAGGCGGCTCACGCGGGTTCCCAGGAGCTGATTGATGGATTTTCAGGAATTCTGTGAGTTGGCCGTTAATAAAAATGAAAATACATTAACTTGCAGTTAGATCAATTATGTTGAAAGCAAAGGCATTGAATACTCGAACCCCATCATTTCTGAATCATATGATAGCATTTTACTATTGCGTGTGCTGCCGAGGTTCCCTGGGCCTGCCGCGCGTGGCAGAAACGCTGTGCAATGATGGCCGCTGGCATGGCGGGAGTGTGTGCACCAAGGGCGGGGCGCTGCTGCCACTCGGGGCCTCACTTCTCCTTGTGTTGGTTGTCTAGACTTACCAAACTGATGAGGAAAGTGTTAACGTGCAGATGAAGCTAAAAATTGTGTGAGGTCTGTAGCCGTTCATTACGAATGGCGTAAAAGCCTTGTGAAAATATTCTGCCATTGGAAAGCAGCTACCTTATTCAGCAAGGACATTTCCCGTGTTGTAGACTCACAGGTGGCGTTCCCCTGCATGTCTCCCTTCCACCTTTGTTGTGGTTTGTAAACGGAAACAAAAACACCAGCCAGCATCCGTGTGGTGCTCATTGGTGGTGGCTGCCAGGGGCCAACCGTGGAGACAGGATTTGAGCACAAATTCATGAAAGCATTCTGTGGGAGTCAGTTGGCTGTCCAGAATTTATACTTTATGGGTAGTGCACATTTCATGATTATTTGCAGATACGTGCCGCAGGTAGTAAACATAGGACATGTGCCTGTGCGTGTAGGTTCCCCTGTGCGTGTAGGTTCCCCCGTGTGAAGGTTCCCCCGTGTGTAGGTTCCCCTGTGCTTTATAGGTTCTCCTGTGCTTGTAGCTTCCCCTGTGCATGTAGGTTCCCCTGTGCGTGTAGGTTCCCCTGTGCATGTAGGTTCCCCTGTGCGTCTGGTTTCCCCCGTGTGTAGGTTCCCCTGTGCATGTAGGTTCCCCCGTGTGTAGGTTCCCTTGTGCATGTAGGTTCCCCCGTGTGTAGGTTCCCCTGTGCGTGTGGGTTCCCCCGTGTGTAGGTTCCCCTGTGCGTGTAGGTTCCCCCGTGTGTAGGTTCCCCTGTGTGTGCGGCTTCCCCTGTGTGTGCAGGTTCCCCTGTGTGTAGGTTCCCCTGTGTGTGTAGGCTCTCCTGTGCTTGTGGGTTCCCCCATGTGTAGGTTCCGCTGTGCGTGTCGGTTTCCCCGTGTGTAGGTTCCCCCGTGTGTAGGTTCCCTTGTGCATGTAGGTTCCCCCGTGTGTAGGTTCCCCTGTGCGTGTGGGTTCCCCCGTGTGTAGGTTCCCCTGTGCGTGTAGGTTCCCCCGTGTGTAGGTTCCCCTGTGTGTGCGGCTTCCCCTGTGTGTGCAGGTTCCCCTGTGTGTAGGTTCCCCTGTGTGTGTAGGCTCTCCTGTGCTTGTGGGTTCCCCCATGTGTAGGTTCCGCTGTGCGTGTCGGTTTCCCCGTGTGTAGGTTCCCCCTTGTGTAGGTTCCCCCGTGTGTGCGGGTTCCCCTGTGTGTGCAGGTTCCCCTGTGTGTGTAGGTTCCCCTGTGTGTAGGTTCCCCTGTGCGTGTAGGTTCCCCTGTGCGTGTAGGTTCCCCCGTGTGTAGGTTCCCCGTGCGTGTAGGTTCCCCCGTGTGTAGGTTCCCCTGTGCGTGTAGGTTCCCCCGTGCGTAGGTTCCCCTGTGCGTAGGTTCCCCTGTGCGTAGGTTCCCCTGTGCGTGTAGGTTCCCCCGTGTGTAGGTTCCCCTGTGCGTGTAGGTTCCCCCTTGTGTAGGTTCCCCTGTGCGTGTAGGTTCCCCCGTGTGTAGGTTCCCCTGTGCGTGTGGGTTCCCCCATGTGTAAGTTCCCCCGTGTGTAGGTTCCCCTGTGCGTGTAGGTTCCCCCGTGTGTAGGTTCCCCTGTGCGTGTAGGTTCCCCCGTGTGTAGGTTCCCCTGTGCGTGTGGGTTCCCCCATGTGTAAGTTCCCCCCTGTGTAGGTTCCCCTGTGCTTGTGGGTTCCCCCGTGTGTAGGTTCTGCTGTGCGTGTTGGTTCCCCCATGTGTAGGTTCCCCTGTGCGTGTCGGTTCCCCCGTGTGTAGGTTCCCCCAAGCGTGTAGGTTCCCCCTTGTGTAGGTTCCCCTGTGCGTGCAGGTTCCCCTGTGTGTAGGTTCCCCTGTGTGTGTAGGTTCCCCTGTGTGTACGTTCCCCTGTGTGTACGTTCCCCTGTATGTACGTTCCCCTGTGCGTGTAGGTTCCCCTGTGCGTGTAGGTTCCCCCGTGCGTGTAGGTTCCCCCGTGTGTGCAGGTTCCCCTGTGTGTGTGGCTTCCCCTGTGTGTAGGTTCCCCTGTGTGTGTAGGTTCCCCTGTGTGTACGTTCCCCTGTGTGTACGTTCCCCTGTGTGTAGGTTCCCCTGTGCGTGTAGGTTCCCCTGTGCGTGTAGGTTCCCCCGTGAGTAGGTTCCCCTGTGCGTGTAGGTTCCCCCGTGTGTAGGTTCCCCTGTGCGTGTCGGTTCCCCCGTGTGTAGGTTCCCCCAAGCGTGTAGGTTCCCCCTTGTGTAGGTTCCCCCGTGTGTGCAGGTTCCCCTGTGTGTGCGGCTTCCCCTGTGCGTGCAGGTTCCCCTGTGTGTAGGTTCCCCTGTGTGTGTAGGTTCCCCTGTGTGTACGTTCCCCTGTGTGTACGTTCCCCTGTGTGTAGGTTCCCCTGTGCGTGTAGGTTCCCCTGTGCGTGTAGGTTCCCCCGTGCGTGTAGGTTCCCCCGTGTGTGCAGGTTCCCCTGTGTGTGTGGCTTCCCCTGTGCGTGCAGGTTCCCCTGTGTGTAGGTTCCCCTGTGTGTGTAGGTTCCCCTGTGTGTACGTTCCCCTGTGTGTACGTTCCCCTGTGTGTAGGTTCCCCCGTGTGTAGGTTCCCCTGTGCGTGTAGTTTCCCCCGTGTGTAGGTTCCCCTGTGCGTATAGGTTCCCCTGTGCGTGTAGGTTCCCCCGTGTGTAGGTTCCCCTGTGCGTGTAGGTTCCCCCGTGTGTAGGTTCCCCTGTGCGTGTGGGTTCCCCCGTGTGTAGGTTCCCCTGTGCGTGTGGGTTCCCCCGTGTGTAGGTTCCCCTGTGCGTGTGGGTTCCCCCATGTGTAAGTTCCCCTGTCCGTGTAGGTTCCCCCATGTGTAGGTTCCCCTGTGTGTGTAGGTTCCCCCGTGTGTAGGTTCCCCTGTGCGTGTAGGTTCCTCCGTGTGTAGGTTCCCCTGTGCGTGTGGGTTCCCCCATGTGTAAGTTCCCCAGTGTGTAGGTTCCCCTGTGCTTGTGGGTTCCCCCGTGTGTAGGTTCTGCTGTGCATGTAGGTTCCCCTGTGTGTACGTTCCCCTAAGCATGTAGGTTCCCCCGTGTGTAGGTTCTCCCATGTGTGCGGGTTCCCCTGTGTGTGCAGCTTCCCCTGTGCTTGCAGGTTCCCCTGTGTGTAGGTTCCCCTGGGTGTAGGTTCCCCCCATACGTGTAGGTTCCCCTGTGTGTAGGTTCCCCTGTGCGTGTAGGTTTCCCCGTGTGTAGGTTCCCTTGTGCGTGTAGGTTCCCTTGTGCGTGTAGGTTCCTCTGTGTTGGGTCCTTAAACATTAACCAGCTCCTTCCTCCCCAGGCCTGGGCAGGATCCCAGCACACAGAGGAAGAAGCGGAGACTCACGTAGGCATCTCCTGGCCCTCCCAGTCTTCCTGACTGTCTCTCCTGGGCCACGCTGGCAAGTGGCCCCAGAGCGGGCCATACACCGTGCTGGCATTAGCACCCCAGGGTGTGCTTAGCCCTGGGCCCGCTCCCTGGCCCCCCTGGGTGGCTTCCCTGTCACAGTGCAGAAGGCTCAGCTCCCCACATGGGGTTCCAGCCTGACCCTCGTATGACTCAAGCCTGAAGATACTTTGCCAAGGGAAGGAATTCAGGTTTCTTCCTGGAGAAACATCCCAGATCACTGAAGGCTTGTAGTTAAAAGTTTTTGTGTATTCAGGGACGCTGTGCTTTGGCAGGGCCCAAGGCAGAGTCCATGGGTGTCCCTAGTCCATGGGTGTCCCTTTCTCTTGAGGCCTCTGGCAGAGGAAAGAAAGCTCAGCTGGTGGCTGCGGGCTCAGGCTGGCGGGGACCCCCCAGCCGTGGCATCTGGGCTGCCTTTGTGTGTCGCTCCCTCACTCTCTGAACAAGTGTTTGTCACTGCCCACCACGTGCCAAGCTCTGCAGAGGGAGACTCGGGTGCCTGCAGCTCGAGTCCACCTGAGCATCACCGGCAGAGCCGAGCCCCTGGAGACTTAGCCAGACACAGCCCCTGCCCCGGGGGAGCACCAGGCGGGTTCTAACCAAGCAGGACTGGAGGCACAAGCGCTAAACAAGGAAGCCATCAGGGCAATCCAAGGACCCCACGTCAAACCAAACAGGATGGTGGAATGACAGCGGGCGGCGCCTAGGGAATGGGGCAAATGAGCGACGTCCCGGAGCCAAACGTGTCGGGCCCTGCAGTGGGGACAGAGGCGGTGGTCGGAGGGTTGCAAAGGGGGTCGGCAGAGCTGCAGCCAAGCCTAGATGAGCCAGAGCTGATGAGGGTGTCGGGGGAGCAGCCGTGTTGACCCGGGTGCGTGGAAGCCCCTGGAGAACTTTGGCAGGGGCGCTGCAGAGGCTGATTTTGCCTTTGAAGGCCTCACCATGCTTGCCATGTGGAGAAGGCTTCGGGAGGCACGCGGCTGCCTGGACCAGGCTGGGGTGGTGGGGAGAGGGGAGGCACGCGGCTGCCTGGACCAGGCTGGGGTCGTGGGGAGAGGTGGACAGATGTGCAGCCCCGTCTGGAGGCGTGCGGCCGGCGTGCGCTGCAGGTTGGCAGTGGAGTGAGGAACGGGGCTATCAAGGGCTCTTGAGGGTTTCACCCAGACAGCTGGTGGACACGGTGCCATCCAGTCAGAGTGCCCCTTGAGACCCGAGTCTGTGCCAGGCGTGGCATAGTTGAGATACTGGTGAGCTGTCCGGCTTGGAGCCTGCAGGGAGGCCAGGTCAGGGGGCAGGGTTGAGAGCAGCCAAACACCCGGATACGGACATCAGCATTTGAGGCCGCCTGACTGTGCCCAGCTGGCAGGACTGAGGCCTGAATCCAGGGAGGGGATGAAACTCCTGGACAAGCCTTGAGTTTGGGGCAGCACACATGTCATCAGTTGTGAGCCGACCTCTTGAGGCTGATGTTGGAACAATAGTGGCCAAGGTCGGGCACGGGCTGGAAGGGCAGGATCTGCAGTCTCAGGACCCCAGAGGGCCCAGGGAGCTGTGTGTGTGCTGGGTCCTTGGGCCTCTTTGCATCAGGAGTTAGGGAGGTGCAAGTATGTGGCTGTAAGCATGGGGACATTGGGGTGGATGTTTTTGTTTTGTTCTTAGAGACAAGGTCTGGCCCTCACCCAGGCTGGAGTGCAGTGGTACGATCGTGGTTCACCGCAGCCTCAAACTCCCAGGTTCCCAGGCGATCCTCCTGCCTCAACCTTCTGAGCAACTGGGACTGTAGGCACGTACCACCACGCTGGCTCATGTTCTTATTTCACTTTCTGTGTCACTGCATTGCCCACCTCAGCCTCTCAAAGTGCTGGGATTACAGGCCTGAGCCCTGGTGCCTGGCTGGCGATGGGGTATTGGTAGAACCAGGCCTTCTTTGCTGGCCGCCCCCGGTCCTCCTGTTCACTCTGCAAAGCCCTGGAGTCTGCCAGCTGCCCCATCCTCACGTCCTCTTCAGCTGCCCAGGTTGGCTGTCCAGCTGCTGGTCTAACCTCCATCCAGGCCTTTCTGACAGTGAGGTTTAGGGGCTACCTTCCCTAGAGGACTGAGACTTGGAGGAGGGCCAGGTGGGGGCTGGGGCCCACTGCAGTGGGGGTGGGGGAGGTGTGTCTGTGTCGCTCAACATCTGCGAGTCCCCCAGGGACATTGCTTAGGAGGGCTGGCGGCTGTGGGAAAGCGGATGCTGTTTATCCCAGGATCAGCAGGAGAGCCGCCAGATAATAAGGGGATGAAGGGCGTGCCAGCAGCCGGGCCCTGATGTGGAGGTCAGCTGTGATCCAGGGACCCAGAACTCGGAGAGGAACTTTAGCAGGGGAGATGGTGTGAAGGAGACACGGCTCAGGGCAAGCGCCAGAGACCAGGAACCACTTTTTTTTTTTTAAATCTTGGGCTGGGGAAGGGGAAATAAAGTCCTTTGCGGTTTCTGAGTCCAGGGTTCCCTAGACACTGTTGCCTTTGTGTGTCCAGAAGCAATTCAGCGGTTTCCAGAGCAGCATGCTTTTGTGTTCCAGGGCTGGCTGGCCCAATTCCGTCCTGCTTGCAGAGAGGGCCTGGAGCCTGGCCGGGCGCCGCCCTGAGCCTGGGGGATCCTGGGAGAACCTGGACAGCCGTGGTGAGCCCTGCTGCCCTGCTCTGGTGCACAGGACTGGAGTCCTCCAGGCTCCAGGGCAGCAGACACCACCCTCTCCGTGCCTGCTGGTGTTGGGCGGCTTGGAGGCTATGGTTCCTGGGTCCTCGTAGCACATCCTGGTTCTGGGCCAGGACCTGAAGGAGCCACAGTGAAAGAGTGTTTCTGGATGTATCTGAGACAGACGGAGGTAGGGGGCAGGGGGCAGGGGGCAGGGGGACATGGTAGGGCCCATCTGAGTGGAAGCCCCAGCCTTGGGAAAAGCTGCTACTCTCTGGGGCAGTGGTCCCAGCTACCACGTGCTCTTCTGGAGCCATCTTGATCTTGAAAGGCAGGCTCCCTCCCAAGGCCGGGTGCAGGCCAGACCCCACCGGTAAAGCACCTGCGCAGCCCGGGGCCAGGGGTCCAGTGAGGAAGGGTGGAGGCCTCCTGAGAACCTGGCCTGGTCAGGAGGGCCGGCAAGAGGAGGAGCCTCCCAGGAAGCCCCTCAGAACCTGACAGGACGAGAGGAAGGGAGGCCGATCTGAGAGGGAGGGAGGCCCATCCGAGAGGGAGGAGGCCGATCTGAGAGGGCCGCATGGCTCGGAGTTGCAGGGGCCCTGGGCTGCCAGGGGTGGGCCTGTAGGTGCAGGTGGAGGGGCTGGTCCTGGGGAGAGCGGCTGGGCTGCAGGCTGAGGAGCTGGGCTTCCTCCAGGGACCGTGGAGGGGGTGGGGATGGGCAGCTAGAAGTGGGGAGGGCAGGGGCCGTCTGGTTGGGGATGCGCGGCTGCAGCACGCAGGACGGAAGGTGCAGGTGAGACGCAGGTGGGCGGTGTCGGGAGACCCGGGTCTGGCCTGAGGTGCAGCCTGGAGCTATGCTCAGTGTGTAGACGGGCCTTGGTTCCTGCATCTGTAAGTTGGGCGTGTGCTGGGTAATAGTGTCCTCCCCCAAAATTCATGTCCACCTCGTACCTGTGGACCCGACCTTACTTGGAAATGGCTCTTTGCAGATGTCACTGAGATGAAGTCACCCTGGTGTACAGTGGAGCACTCTTCAGTGCAGTGCGGGGGCTGCCCATGTGGCCGTGGAGGGCACCCCTACCCCGGTGCAGGCGCAGGCTGGAGGCGTAGCCCGGGCCCATCCCTGGCGGTGTGTCGCGGAGGGCACCCCTACCCCGGTGCAGGCGCAGGCTGGAGGCGTAGCCCGGGCCCATCCCTGGCGGTGTGTCGCGGAGGGCACCCCTACCCCGGTGCAGGCGCAGGCTGGAGGCGTAGCCCGGGCCCATCCCTGGCAGTGTGTCGCGGAGGGCACCCCTACCCCGGTGCAGGCACAGGCTGGAGGCGTAGCCCGGGCCCGTCCCTGGCGCTGTGTCGCGGAGGGCACCCCTACCCCGGTGCAGGCGCAGGCTGGAAGTGTAGCCCGGGCCCATCCCTGGTGGTGAAGGCTGGAAGGTCCATCCCTGGCAGTGTGTGGTGACATGTGTCGTGACATGGAGTTTGATTCTTAACTGACCGAAGCTTGAAAAGTCTGTCTTTTTGATGGACCCAGGGAGTTGGGTGAGGAGGGTGGTGGAGTCAGTGGGGCTGAGAGCAGGGTCGTCTAGGACCCTGATGTGTGGACGCCCTCCCCAAGGGCCGCTGTGAACCATCCAGCAGGATGACCCTGGGTTTGGGGCTGAGCCGGTGGCTGGGAGAGCAGACTGAGGAGTAGCTGGACACTGGCGGGGCACGCATTGCATTCTGATGGTGACAGGCGGGACACTCAGGGCCTTTGTCCCCTCTCTCATTGCCTCATTTGCTTGCCTGAGGTGATTGGGAAGGCAGCCCTGGCCTCGGAATTACAGCCTCCCAGACAAGGGGGCTGTCCTCTGCCCAGAGCCCTGCAGGCAGCCAAGAGTTCTGTGCGTGTCCAAGCGTGTCCCCTGCTTTCCTTGGGTGGAGGCCAGCTCGGTGCCCTACACAGGGCCTGCAGGCCCCAGCGCCCGGGTCATCCCCTCCGCTTCCCTCTCAGCTGCCGCAACCAGGAGGACTCGCCGGGTTTTTGAAAATGGAAGGAAGTAGGTTTTACATTGCTACACTTCCCCTAGCCCGTTCATCCTTCCTTTTTAAACATTAAAAAGCAGTAAAAATGGTGGTTACCGGGGGCTTGGGGAGGGCATGGGAGTTCCTATTCAGTGAGCAGAGTTTCAGTTAGACAAGACGAGTCCGGAGGCAGCCGCTCAGCATCACAGATGTAATTTATGCCACGGAGCTGCACGCTAAAAACTGGTGAAGTTGGGCTGAGCACGGCGGCTCACGCCTGTAATCCCAGCACTTTGGGAGGCCGAGGCGGGTGGATCACGAGGTCAGGAGATTGAGACCATCCTGGCTAACATGGCGAAACTCCGTCTCTACTAAAAATACAAAAAATTAGCTGGTGTGGTGGCGGGTGCCTGTAGTCCCAGCTACTCGGGAGGCTGAGGCAGGAGAATGGCGTGAACCCAGGAGGCGGATCTTGCAGTGAGCCGAGATCACGCCACTGCACTCCAGCCTGGGCGACAGAGCAAGACTCCATCTCTAAAAAAAAAAAAAAAAAAACTGATGAAATTGGTAATATTTATATTATGTGTGTTTTACCGTAATTAAAAAATATTGTGGGAAAAGAAGTAATAGGGAGGCATTTTAGGAGATTTGGAGAGAGAATTGTTAACGACCACCGTAAGCCCATACTCCCGACGTCTGGCCCCATAGCGCCCGAGTCTCTTCACGCACCTGTTTGCCATAACGACAGTCACAGGAAGGTCCCGGTTTTAGTTGCCTTCATCCCTTTACAAGGACGGGGTCCTGTGTGGGTCCACCAGGGTGCTCCAGGACCCCCTGCCCTGCTGGTCTTGATGGATGGTGTGTGACGTGTTTCCCCCCACCAGGCCTCCACTTCTTGAGCTTGGTCCTAGGGTCCTGGTACTGAGTTGTGGGGTGGCCGGTTGAGGGGGCGTCTGTGTGCTTGCTCTGCCGCATTCCGCAGCCCGGGTTAGCTTTAGTTTCCTTTCTTTATTTTATTTTATTTTTTTTGACACAGAGTCTCACGCTGCCCCCCAGGCTGCAGTGCAGTGGTGCAGTCTCGGCTCATTGCAAGCTCCGCCTCCCGGGTTCATGCCATTCTCCTGCCTCAGCCTCCTGAGTAGCTGGGACGCTTGGACTACAGGTGCCCGCCACCTTGCCTGGCTGACTTTTTTGTATTTTTAGTAGAGATGCAGTTTCACCGTGTTAGCCAGGATGGTCTCGATGTCCTGACCTCGTGATCCGCCCGCCCCGGCCTCCCAAAGTGCTGAGATTACAGGCATGAGCCACCATGCCCGGCCTAGTTTCCTTTCTAGTGAGCTTGAAGGTTTTCGCGTATTAGGAAGTGGTCTTGTCATTTTTGCTACATTGACTACATTGTCAAGCTGCCTTTTTTTTTTTTTTTTAAACAGAGTCTTGCTCTGTTGCCCAGGCTGGAGTGCAGTGGCGTGATCTCGGCTCACTGCAACCTCCACCTCCCGGGTTCAAGCAATTCTCCTGCCTCACTCTTCCAAGTAGCTGGGATTGTAGGCGCACATCACCTCGCCCAGCTAATTTTTGTATTTTAAGCAGAGATGGAGGTTCGCCATGTTGACCAGGCTGGTCTCAGACTCCTGACCTCAAGTGATCCACTCACCTCGGCCTCACAAAATGCTGGGATTACAGGTGCCAGCCACCGCACCTGGCCTAGTCAAGTTGTCTTGTAACATGGATATTAATCCTTCATGTATCATATTTGTTACCTGTATTCCTTGTTTTATAGCGTATTTTGACATTTTTTACTTTCTTTTTACAAATGAGAGCTTTTTACTTTTGCCTGGTGGCCTGTTAGACATTTTTACTTAGTGGCTTTTTTTTTTTCAGTCCCTTAATATAGACTCTTCCATCTTCTTCTCTCTAGGGATTTCATAGCTACTAAGTTCCCTCTTCCTTTTTTTTTTTTTTTTTTTTTTTTTCTGAGACGGAGTCTCACTGCCCAGGCTGGAGTGCAATAGTGTGATCTTGGCTCACTGCAAGCTCCGCCTCCCGGGTTCAAGCAATTCCTCTGCCTCCGTCTCCTGAGTAGCTGGGACTACAGGTGCCCGCCACCACACCCAGCTAATTTTTGTATTTTTAGTAGAGACAGGGTTTCACCATGTTGGCCAGATGGTCTCGAACTCCTGCCCTCGTGATCCGCCTACCTTGGCCTCCCAAAGTGCTGGGATTACAGGCGTGAACCACTGCTCCCAGCTGTTCTCTTTTCTTTTAAGGTTTGTGTGTTTTTAAATTGACTGAACCTTTAGTCCCTCTGCAATTTGTAGCTCCTATATGGGAAGCTTTTCCAAATGGCTGGCTCATGCTCCCTCAGCCTATGAGCAGCAGTTGCTACCTCCCCATCACCCACATCCCCCTCCTGGGGTCCTCCCAGCTTCCAGGGGATGCTGGGCATCAGGACAGCTCCCCGTAGAGCCTGTGTCCTGTGGGATTTTTTTTTTTTTTTTTTTTGAGACAGAGTCTCGCTCTGTCACCCAGGCTGGAGTGCAGTGGCGGGATCTCAGCTCACTTCAAGCTCCGCCTCCTGGGTTCATGCCATTCTCCTGCCTCAGCCTCCTGAGTAGCTGGGACTACAGGCGCCCACCACCACGCCCGGCTAATTTTTTGTATTTTTAGTAGAGATGGGGTTTCACCGTGTCAGCCAAGATGGTCTCAATCTCCTGACCTTGTGATCCGCCCGCCTCGGCCTCCCAAAGTGCTGGAATTACAGGCGTGAGCCACCGCGCCCAGCGTCCTGTGGGTTTTGCAGCAGGGCCGGCATCAGGAATACTCAAGTGCCCATCCCAGGAGAGCCTCCCCTCCCCTCACCATGCTGGGAACCTCCGCGCCTCTGTGGCTCAGAGTGGGTTCTAGTGCGTTCTGTGTCTTCGGTCCTCACTGTTAATGAGTCTTCTTGCCACGAACTGTGATGCTGAGGAGAGCGGAGGAGGCTTTGGGGGCGGGGCAGGCATGTAGGAGCTGGAGCTGACCTTGCTCTCAGTGCTTCCTTGCCATGCTGCCCGCCCCAAGCAGGAAGTTTGGGAAATACCCCCGCCAGGGATCACTCCCCGCCCCATCTCCTTGCTCCTGGCCCAGTTGCCCTGTCTTCTTGAATTCCTGGATACCTTTGCCTTACTGGCATCTTTCCATTTTCAGAGGCAAAAATGTCAGCTCAGAAAGCTGGTCAGTGGCAGGACAGGCTTTCAGCCCAGGTGTGTACAGAGCAGTCCTCCCACGGGGACCCAGTTGTCTTGGACAAGTTGGGGACGGGGTTTTGGGAGAGGCATCCAGGCCATGGAGCTGCGTGATGGGGCTGGGGCTGGGTGGCCTCTCCCTGCCTGGCTGGCCCCTCCTGTGGGCCACTGATCCTGGCCTCCAGGCTTTTGGGGGTGCCTTGGTGTTGCTGGCCAGGTCGGGCAGCGATGTGGGGAGCAGTACCCCACGGCACATCCGCCCTTTGGCACGTGGTGTGTGTGAATTACGCGTGTCCTGATGCAGCACACAGTGACTCGCACCTCAGTGTGACCAGGTTTCTGTGTTGATTGGAGGAGGAGGCAGGCATGGGGGCTGGGACAGGAGGCCCAGCTGGCCATGGGTGCCTGACCCCGCTGTCTCTGGGAGGGCTTCTGGGAGGTGGTGCGATCTGAATGTGTCTCAGAGTATGAGCCTGGTCGCATGGCGAGTAGGAACACGCTTTAGGCAGAGGGAGCAGTGTGGGCGGAGTCCTGGGAGCCGGGGCCAGGTGGAGCAGGTGGGACACAAGGCCAGGTCCCCTAGGTCCAGGAGAGAATCAACCGAGGCATCCCTAGCACACGCATCTGCTGGTTTCCAGGCGTGGCTGCCGTCCTGGTGGTGTATGTGGCCGTCGTGTTGACCACGTTCTTGACGGTTTGTTAGGCAACCTTTTGGCATGGCTGGCCCTCCTTCCCAATGCCAGAGCAGCATTCTTCCCTTGCGCCTGCGCGCCGCCTCGCCGAGCCAGGCTGAGAACCCTGGCTTCCTTCTGCCTGCTGGGAGCCGGGGGCCTCGCTTGGTGGGAGGCAAGGACGCAGCTCAGCACTGACCAGGCTGGCCTGGGTGGGGTGGCCAAGGGCCCCACCTGATGGGTGCAGGGCGGGGGTCTCTGGGTCGGGGTTTTCTTTGGAAAGCTGGACCGGCCGTGCCCTGCGTGTGGGAGCTGGCTCGTGGGGCTTGGAGGTGTGTGTGGGAGGGACGGTGGCAGGGCGGGGTCTCTGGGTCGGGGTTTTCTTTGGAAAGCTGGACCGGCTGTGCCCTGTGTGTGGGAGCTGGCTCGTGGGGCTTGGAGGTGGCGAGCGGGAGAGTGACCACGCCCCTCTCTTGCAGGGAACCCGAGCGTCATGTTAGGGTGAAGCAGAGGACCTCAGTGCTGAACATGCTAAGGAGGTTGGACAAAATCAGGTTCAGAGGTCACAAGAGAGATGACTTCCTCGATCTAGCGGAGTCTCCAAATGCCTCGGACACCGAATGCAGCGACGAAATCCCCCTGAAGGTACCGCGGACCTCGCCCCGGGACAGCGAGGAGCTGAGGGACCCTGTGAGTACCTGTCCTCGTCCCCCGGTGTGGGCTGGGGTGTCGTCCCCGTCCTCTGTGGCCGGGCCAAGCGTGGACTCAGGCAGATTCGTGTCCTGCCCATGCTGGTCAGAGATGGACTGGGCCTGACTCTCTGTCTCACCTGCTCCCGACCCCTGCAGACCTTGTGGGGCCGGGGTGCTGCCACGCCGAGCCTTCTGTGTTCGCAGGTCTGATTAGCGGCTGGATTGGTTTTCCTCACTGGCTTTTCTGGGTGGGTGGCAGACTTCTCACGCACATGTGACGCGGAAGCCTCGGCCTGGCCCTGGGAGCGTTGACATGCGGATGGAGCAGGGCGGGCGTTGTCTGGAAGCCGCTGGTGCCTGGCTTGTCTTCTATTCAAGCCAAGGTGCACGTTTCCAGCCCCCAAAGCTGGCTAAGCCCAGGCTGGGCCCTCATCAGCCACGCGGAATCAGGGCTGGGCTTGTGGCCAGCTGGGGGGACAGCAAATACCCACGGAGCACCTCAGCTAGGCCCTGGGCCCTGGGTGGGAGCCAGGTGGGGAGCCAGGCGGGAGCCAGGCAGGAGCAGGCCCTGCCTTGCAGAAACTTGCATTTGGTGGGGGGTGGGGCAGGGCCCGAAGCATGGTGGGTTGGGCTCCCTGCGGCCCCTCCTCTGGCCCAGCATGGCCTCTAGCTCCTCCCCGCATGCACACACCAAATTTGGTGTCTGGCTGGTTTCCTCCTCCAGCCCCTGAGCCAGGTCTTCTTTCCAGGTGTGGCCTGGGAGCGCCGGCCTTCCCTGGCTCCTTGCGTTGCTAATGCTTTATAACAGGACAGTGACTGTGCGTTGCTTTCAGCAGGAATTAATAATTTACTGCTGCTGCTGCTCTCTCGACACTGCCCGATCAGGCAGGTGGGGCCGCTTGGCTTCCTGGGGCATCACTACAGACCACAGAGTGCCCGGCCTGCCGGGATCGGCCATCCCCAGGCAAAGGTTGTGGTTGGTCCTGGGGGTGGACCGGGACCCCGGTAGGGTGTCTGCCCTTGTGCAGGTTATGTGGCAGAACGGCAGGGGCCTGCCTTCGCCGGAGAGCTGTGTCTCATCCGCCTCTGGCTGGGGCTGGCACAGAGGGCATGGGTCACGATTCTCCGATGGTGGTCTGTGTGCTGAGCATGTGGTGGGTGTCTCGGGAACAAAAATCTCCCTCCCGACACATACATGGTTCAACAGGGAGGGGTGACGGGGATTCCACGCAAAGGCCAGAGCGGGGCTGTTTCCCCAGCTCCCTCTCCGCCATCCGTCTGTCCTGCTCCAGGTGTTGTCTCGGTAGGGACCCTCCCGCCTGAGGGACCCTGTGAGTACCTGTCCTTGTCCCCTGGTGTGGGCTGGGGTTTCGTCCCTGTCCTCTGTGGCCGGGCCAAGCATGGACTCAGGCAGGTTCGTGTCCTGCCCATGCTGGTCAGAGACGGACTGAGTGTGTGCGTGGTGTCTGAGGGGCGGGTGGACTGAGTGTGTGCGTTGGTGTCTGAGGGGCGGGTGGACTGAGTGCGTTGGTGTCTGAGGGGCGGGTGGACTGAGTGTGTGCGTGGTGTCTGAGGGGCAGGTGGACTGAGTGTGTGCGTGGTGTCTGAGGGGCAGGTGGACTGAGTGTGTGCGTGGTGTCTGAGGGGCGGGTGGACTGAGTGTGTGCGTTGGTGTCTGAGGGGCAGGTGGAGGGCTGCAGTGAGGGGGCCAGGGCCAGGGTTGCAGGTATTGGTCTGGTTGGAGCAGCAGGAGGTAGGGCTGTGGGATCATGGGAGTCTTCACCTGGGGCAGAACATCTGGATTTGGGGGGCATCAGGGATCCCCTTCGGGGGAGGGTCAGTGTCAGAGCTGGCCGCTCCAGGGTGATGTCTGGGGAGTAGCTTGGAGAATGTGGCTCCTGGGGGTGGCAGAGGGTATGGCGCTAGCGGTGTTGCTGGCGTCACAGGAGAGGCAGGCCGTGGTCTGGACCAGCTCTGGTGGGCAGGTGGTGGTCCACGAGGTACAAGGGGGCTTGAGGGGGCATGTTGAGTTGAGAGGGAGCCCACCGAGTAGGGGCAAATGCTGCAGAGGCCAGGGCAAGGTCAGCCTGTGGACTGGGGCCCCCCTTCCTCGAGGCTGTGAGGGGCTGCGGGGGGAAACCACCTCAGGGACTCGGACGTCTGGAAACCCAGGAGATTCCTAGTGTGGGTGAGCAGGGCCCCGCTTGGGGCATCGTGCTGAATGCAGGTCAGGCACTGACTGCAGAGACCAGGCTGAGTTCCTTAGCTGTGTAACCTGGACCTGAGCCTCAGTATCCTCAGCTTTTAAGGGGGACGGCAGTCTCGTCCACCCCCAGGCCTGCTTTAAGGATCAAATGAGATAATAAGTGAAACGTACGTGGCTGGCGTCTTGCTTATGGTTAGCTTGGAGGGAGTTGTAATTATTAATGACCGTGAAATACTGATTCGCTAAACCCTCCTCCTGGTTCCAGGGCTCCTTTGCGAAGCCTCGTTCCTGTAGCACGTTGACACTGCTCCGGCCCAGGCTCACGAGGCCCCCGGGGTGGGGGGCTGTGCAGCGTTGCCCTGCTCCTTCCGAGGTCCCCTCTCATCACCCTTCTTTACACGGGCAGCCTCCCAGAAACATCCTGAGACCTGGGCTCAGGCACAGAGGCCTTGGGGGTTGGTTTTATAACAGCTTAATCGAGATATTCCCACCGGGTATACAGTATACAGTTCACCCACTAAAAGTGTGCGACTCAGGGGTTTCTATTAATAGCATATTTACAATGCTGTGCTACCATTACTACAGTTTTAAAAGGTTTTTATCACCTGAAAGAGACCCCGTTCCTTTCACAGTCACTCCCATTTCCCTTGGCCACCGGCCCCACCAGCTGCCAGCCTGCTTTCTGTCGATGGATTTGCCCATATGGGGCATCTCATATAACATGAGGCCTCGTGTGTCTGTCCTTTGCTCGCATAAGGGACGCGAGGTTCATCCATGCTGCGGTGTGCATTGGTGCCGCCTGCCTTTTTATGGCTGAACCTGTTTCATCATATGGCCAGGCCACATTTTCTTTTTCTTATTCTTTTTTTTTTTGAGACAGAGTCTCACTCTGTCACCCAGGCTGGAGTGCAGTGGTGTGATCTCGGCTCACTGCAACCTCCACCTCCCAGGTTCAAGCGATTCTCGTGCCTCAGCCTCCTAAGTAGCTGGGATTACAGGCACACACCACCACGCCCGGCTAATATTTTGTATTTTTATTAGAGACGGGGTTTCGCCGTGTTGCCCAGGCTGTTCTCGAACTCCTGAGCTCAGGCAATCCACCCGCCTCAGCCTCCCAGAGTGCTGGGATTACAGACGTGAGCCACCGCGCCCGACCTGTTGTCTTTATTCATTGATCTGTTGTGGGCGCTTGGGCAGTTCCATTCTTGGACTGTGATGAATGAGGCTGAATGCCTGCGATTGAGTGTTTGTGTGCATGTGCTTCCACATGGTCTCGCTGGGCCATGCAGAGGCCCGAGATTGCCCTTTTCCAGGATCTACCGCATTCTCATGTGCAGCCGCGCCATGCTCCGTGCCCACCGGTAGGGTCTGAGGGTTTCCCTGGAGGGGCAGGTTCAGACCGGAGCCCACCTTGCAGCCTGGGGTGTTCTGACCGCCCCTCTCAGTGCTCCAGGAGCTCTTCCGTGGCGGACCCCAAGCAGCCTCACTCCTGGCAGCGGCTCAGGATCTCACCCTGGGATGTTCGTCACTTCAGCTAATCTGTCCCCACTGAGGGATCGCAGGTGCTTGTGGCTCTTAGCGTCCATCACTCCTGGCAGCCTGGTGCCCATGTGGGCTGCGGCACTTTTGGTGGAAGTGCTGGACCGAGTGTGCCTGTGTGGTGGTCCTGGCAGCTGTGCGGTGTGCCCTCCATAGCCCCCCGAGGGCCGTGTGCCCTCACCCCGGCCTCCGCAGTGTGCCCTCCATAGCTCCCTCGAGGGCCGTGTGCCCTCACCCCGGCCTCTGCAGTGTGCCCTCCATAGCTCCCTCGAGGGCCATGTGCCCCCACCCCGGCCTCCACGCTGTTCTCAGGCTTCTCTCTCCACCGCCCCGAGGGGCAAGACGGCAGTGCCGAGTGGCTGTAGGTTGCACGGCTTTTATTGTGCAGGAAGTTGGTCATCTTTGCACACATGTAGGCTTCATTCTTTTTATTTGTTGTGGTAAAATACACAGAGCATTGAATGTACCATTTTCATTTTCACTGTCAGTGTGCAGTTCAGGGGCACGGAGCACATGCCCTCTGTTGTGCCACCATCGCCACCTCCACCTCCACCTCCACCTCCAGAACCTTTCGTCATCCCAGACTGAGGCCCAGCACGTGTCACACGCCAGCTCCCTGGTGGGAATTCCTCCCTGCCACACCCCGGCAGCCTGCATTCCGCCTCCTGTCTCTGAATGTGACTCCTGGGGACCGGGGATGGGTAGAACCTCACAGCCTGTGTCCTTTCGTCTCCTGGGGACCGGGGATGGGTAGAACCTCACGGCCTGTGTCCTTTCGTCTCCTGGGGACCGGGGATGGGTAGAACCTCACGGCCTGTGTCCTTTCGTCTCCTGGGGACCGGGGATGGGTAGAACCTCACGGCCTGTGTCCTTTCGTCTCCTGGGGACCGGGGATGGGTAGAACCTCACGGCCTGTGTCCTTTCGTCTCCTGGGGACCGGGGATGGGTAGAACCTCACGGCCTGTGTCCTTTCGTCTCCTGGGGACCGGGGATGGGTAGAACCTCACGGCCTGTGTCCTTTCGTCTCCTGGGGACCGGGGATGGGTAGAACCTCACGGCCTGTGTCCTTTCGTCTCCTGGGGACCGGGGATGGGTAGAACCTCACGGCCTGTGTCCTTTCGTCTCCTGGGGACCGGGGATGGGTAGAACCTCACGGCCTGTGTCCTTTCGTCTCCTGGGGACCGGGGATGGGTAGAACCTCACGGCCTGTGTCCTTTCGTCTCCTGGGGACCGGGGATGGGTAGAACCTCACGGCCTGTGTCCTTTCGTCTCCTGGGGACCGGGGATGGGTAGACCCTTACGGCGTGTGTCTTTTCATCTCTGGCCGCTGTCACCAAGCACCATGTCCTCCAGGTGTGCTCCGCTTCATTCCTGCTTCCTTTCGTTGTGGGCTGTTTGTGTCCTGGGACAAAGTGGCTGAGAGTAGAACCCAGACCTGCTTGGGAGGGGAAGGTTGGAGGGGCCCTGGGTGGGCTTGAGGGGCCCACGAGGCTGGGCTGGGAAGGGGAGGTAAAGGTGGAAGAGACAGGTAACTGTGTGGCTGGTGCTGGCTGGAAGGAGAGGTGGCAAGAAGGAGGTGGGCATGCTTAGGGCTGGGGCAGCGTCTGGGGTGACCCCCGACCAGGAGGCAGGAGATGGGAGACGTCCCCAGAAGACCCACGCCCCATCTTGAGAGGGCTGCAGATTTCAGTTGAGGCAAAAGTTGGAGAAAATAGTTCTAGAAAAGCTGAAGAACTGAGAAATGGCCAGGCCTACCACTCTAGTTTTATAGTGACAGCGCCACAGCCTTGGTGTCCTGCACCCTTGGAGTTCTGAGTCCAGGCCTCTGACTCCAGCTCAGGGTGGCTCCTCTGTAGGTCTGAGAAGGGGTCAGCTGGAGGGACCCACAGGGCTTGCAGAAGGATTCAGACCCCAGCATTTCAGGGCAGCACCCCAGGGCCTTGTGTCCCAATAGGAGACCCCTTGTTCATTGGTGAGTCCTGCAGAGCCAGCCCTCACCACCCTGGTATCCAGGTGGCTCTCATCTGGGCTGTGGAATCCCAGGACTGGGTGGAGACCGTGGGGCCCAGCCCTCGTGGGCCTGGAGCAGCCATTGGAGACAGGGTTGGCACATGTGGATGGAGCCGGGTCACCCGCACGACGCTGCCTGTGCTTGCTGGGGAGGGTGCTGGGCGTGGCGGAGTTGAATTTTCCGCCTCTGCACTGGGCAGAGCCTTTCCACGCAGGCCTCTGGCCCCTTGCCACATGTCTGTTATGGGGACCCACACAGCCCCCCGCCCGGTGGGGATGGGGATGTGGAGGGAAGAGCATACTTATTTGTAGGGCTGAGTGGGCAGAGGCAGATGGGAGCCTCCAAGCTCTTCTCCAACTCAGCCTCCAGGAAGCAGCCCTGCCCAGGCTGACGTGCTGGAACAGGGTGGCACGGTCCAACTGTTTTCCCCAGGCCTCCCCGAAAGTATGCCACAGCCCAGGCTCCTCGGAAGCCAGGGGGCCCCCAGCTGCCCTGGTTCCATCCCTCTGCCCGCCCGTGGGCCTTCCTCCCCTGACCCCAGTGCCAGCATTGTCTGTCCTTGTCACAGGTGGGTACTGTTCTGAGTTGGGGCACTGGGACGTTTCCTGTGGGAATAGAGCTGTTTAAAGTGTGGCTCCCTCTCCTGCCCTCCCTGGGGAGCCCCCCACCTAATGAAGGTGGGGACTTGGATGAGGTGGCATGGATGCCCGTCCTCTCTTTGTCCCTGACTTCCAGGTAGCCTTTGCTCATGTCTGTCCCAGGGAAGGGCTGGCTGTGTGGGGCTGTTTCAGGGGCTCCTGATGAAGGCTGCTCCTGGCCCGGGAGCCCAGCAACTGGGGGCTCTGGCCGGCCCTGCTTTCTCCGTGGGTTGGCGTCCTTGCTGCTGCTGCCAACGGGAGTCCCCAGCTGGAGGAGGCCAAGGCCACTGGCTTCCTGGGGACCCCAGCCTGCCTTGTCACCAAGAAGAATGGGGTCCTCTCTCTCCAGCATCACTTGAGACAATCCCAGGAAGAATCCATTGTGGGAAAGGCAACCCCTAGTTCCGAGCAGGGTGTCCATGGGGTGTAGGCAGGAGGTGGGCTGGGTGGGCTCCGGGGGTCCCGGCCGTACAGGGGGTGTTTTCTGTCCTCAGTGTGGGGCTGGGACTTGGGATCCTTGATTGTTGTTTAGGCCGCCTTCCCGGTTAGAAAATTCATGATAAGCACTGAGGTCTCCCAGGCCAGGCCTCCATCATCCTACGTGGACCACGTTACTCCTGGGCCACCCTCAGGCCTGTCTCACCCCCGGGTGCCTGTGCTCTCAGCAGACAGTTGGGGGTGAACAGGCCCACTGGCCCCAGGCACACACCTGCCCTCTGTACCTTCAAGGAGCCATTGTAAACAGAGTAAGTGAAGTATTTGGAAAATGCCTCTTGAAGGTGGGCCCTGCCGAGGGCTGGGGGAGTGTGGCAGGTTCCCTCGGTGGGGAGCGAGGCTGCAGAGGTGCCTGGCTGCTGGGTCTCATTTCAGCTTAATGATTATGACTTCCTCCTCCAGACAGGCACATTCCTGTCTCTGACCTTGCCTTGCAACCGCTGTGGGCAGGGTGGCTAGGTTTGACTCAAATGCAAGGAAAATGGAGAGAAACTTCTGGAAGCTACATAGATAAGAAACCTAAGGAAGGGGAGACAGAGGAGAAGAAGAGATAGGTGTGCATCTCCAAACACCAGCCCAAGGCAGACTCAGCGAAGGGGCAGAGGGCGTGCCCAGCTGTGCAGGAGCAAGGGTGGGCGAATGGCGGGAGAAGGAGCAAAGGCAGGAGCCAGGTGCCAGCCTGGTCCTTGGTCCACAGTCAGGGGTCCTGGAACTGCCCAAGGCACTTGGGGGCAAGTGGGTCGGAGCAAGCAGGTAGTGCGTGGCCACAGTTTCTGTGTTTGAGATCTTTAAAAATATTCATAATAGGCTGGGCACGGTGACTCATGCCTGAAATCCCAGCACTTTGGGAGGCCAAGGCGGGTGGATCACCTGAGGCTAGGAGTTCAAGACCAGCCTGGGCAACATGGTGAAACCCCGTCTGTACTAAAAATACAAAAAAATTAGCCAGGTATGGTGGCAGGCACCTGTAATTCCAGCTACTTTGGAGGCTGAGGCAGGAGAATCGCTTGAACCTGGGAGGTAGAGGTTGCAGTGATCCGAGATCATGTCATTGCACTCCAGCCTGGGCGACAGAGTGAGACTTCACCATCTCAAAAAAAAAAAAAAGAAATCATAATAGAAAACATTCAAAATGTCCAGCACGCTTTTGAACTAGAGAGCAGCGGGCTGGGAGCCCAAGTGTCCTTCGTCCCTTTGTGGTTGGTACCACCCCTGGCCACTCCTGTCTTGGGGAGCCGTGTCCTCCCTGCCCCCGCCCCCAGCCACTCCTGTCCTGGGGAACCGTGTCCTCCCTGCCTCCACCCCTGGCCACTCCTGTCCTGGGGAACCGTGTCCTCCCTGCCCCCGCCCCCGGCCACTCCTGTCCTGGGGGACCGTGTCCTCCCTGCCCCCACCCCTGGCCACTCCTGTCCTGGGGGACCGTGTCCTCCCTGCCCCCGCCCCCGGCCACTCCTGTCCTGGGGGACCGTGTCCTCCCTGCCCCCACCCCTGGCCACTCCTGTCCTGGGAGACCGTGTCATCCCTGCCCCCGCCCCCGGCCACTCCTGTCCTGGGGGACCGTGTCTTCCCTGCCCCCGCCCCCGGCCACTCCTGTCCTGGGAGGCCGTGTCCTCCCTGCCCCCACCCCTGGCCACTCCTGTCCTGGGAGGCCCTATCCTCCCTGCCCCCGCCCCCGGCCACTCCTGTCCTGGGAGGCCGTGTCCTCCCTGCCCCCGCCCCCGGCCACTCCTGTCCTGGGAGGCCGTGTCTTCCCTGCCCCGCCCCCGGCCACTCCTGTCCTGGGGGACCGTGTCCTCCCTGCCCCCACTCCCAGCCACCCCTGTCCAGGGGAGCTGTGTCCTCCCTGCTCCCCACCCCTGACCACTCCTGTCCTGGGGGCCCGTGTCCTCCCTGCCCCCCGCCCCTGGCCACTCCTGTCCTAGGTGGCCGTGTCCTCCCTGCCCCCCACCCCCCCGGCCACTGGATGACTCTGGAGCAGGTCCCAGGCACGTTCTCATTCTGTCTGAAACACGCCAGGGTCCATATCTGAAAGAAGAGGACTGGAGAGAAACAGCCCAGGGCAGTGCAGGGGTCCAGCTGCAGGCTTTGCAGTGTGCCTCCTCCTGGCTGCGTGTGGGAGCGCCCAGGCCCTTGCCCACTCAGGTGAACCTTTTCCAGGCTGTCTATGTCAGAGCCACCTTCATGGGGACGTTTAGCCCCCGGGGTCTGTCCTGGGGCCCCAGCTGGGGTCCTAGTCTGGCGGCACCTGCGTCTTGAGCTTCCAGGGTCAGCTTGGAGCCCCAGACCCATGTCTCCAGCGTAAGCTGGAGCACAGGTGGGGTTGTGTGACCTCCTTGAGACTCTTTTGGAGCTTCTGTCCTCCTGGATGGGTGCTTGTGGGATCCCAGCTTCCAGCACCTGGGCTCCGCTGGCCTCCCAGAACAGGCGTCCCATGCCTGTTCCTCATCTGTCAGTGCTGGGACAGACCCCAAGCAGCTCCCACAGGGTCCGTCCAGCGGGCGGGACAGATGGAATCACCCTGCCTCCACTCATGCCCTGGGAACTCTTGCCCCAGCAGCGAGAGCAGCTGAAAGTGTGGGAGGTCGGGCACCCAGAACGGGGCAGCCACAGCCAGAGTGCCCTGCCTAGAAGCTGCTGGTTCCCGAAGCCAGCGCCTTATTCCTGGGCTGTGGCCACAGCGTGGGTGATACATGTGCAAGGAGCCGTTGCGGTGCTGCTCCGGGTGGCCTTGTTGAAGCCGCACACCTGTTACCTGGCTCTGGAGGAGGAAGTCTGAGGACCCAGCTGGAGAAATCGGGTCGCTGCTGTCCTGTGGTGGGACACTCACTCGTGTGCTGTCCCTCACCAGGTCCCTGGCAGGATGCAACGTGGAGGGCGACTGTGTGGCATCCAGTGTGGGGCCCAGGCAGGCCTGGCTGTGCCGGGCATGGCCCCTGCTTTCTGTCCCATCAGCAGGGTGTGGAACGGCCGCCTGTGCCCAGTCCCTGGGCTCCAGGCATCGGGCAGCTGTAGCCTGTAACTCGAGCCCGTCCTGGCTTGCTGGGGCTGTGAGCTGGGGTTTTTGTGGAGCAGACAGGATGACGAGGCCCCTGTTTGGAGTTTGCTGTGGCTCACTGGGGCTGTGAGCCGCGGTTTTCATGGAGCAGAGAGGACGACAAGGCCGCTGTTCGGAGTTTGCTCACCTCGGTTGCGGCAGACCCTTCTGCCCGGGGGCCAGTCTCTCCGATCTACTCAGTGTGGCTCGTGGAGGCGCCCGCAGCCTCCACTGAGGTGTGAGGGCCTGGCTCTGGCACGGCCAGCCGGACACACGGGGCCAGCACAGTTCCAGGGTTTTCTTCCCTCTGCAGCCTGAGGAGATCAGGATCACAACCATCAAGAGACTTAGCGCCACTTATCCAGTTCCCTTTTTTTTTTTTTTGAGATGGAGTCTCGCTCTGTCGCCCAGGCTGGAGCACAGTGGCGCGATCTTGGCTCACTGCAAGCTCCGCCTCCTGGGTTCATGCCATTCTCCTGCCTCAGCCTCCTGGGTAGCTGGGACTACAGGTGCCCGCCACTGCGCCTGGCTAATTTTTCGTATTTTTTAGTAGAGATAGGGTTTCACCGTGGTCTCGATCTCCTGACCTCGATCCACCTGCCTCGGCCTCCCAAAGTGCTGGGATTACAGGTGTGAACCACCGTGCCCAGCCTCCATTTTTAAGATATTTCTTAAAGCCAGCCTTACAGGGGCTCTGAGGATATCCACATTCTCTGAGATGTCCCTGCTCCCCACAGAGGAGGCTGGGTAGACAGACACGGGTCTTATGCTGGGGGCTCCGTCGCCCCATCTGACTGCTGCGTCGTCCCCATGTCCAGAAACTGCAGCTGCTGGTCCCTTTCACATGCCACTGCTGCCATCCTGGGGCCCCTGGGCACCTCTGGGGGAACTGAGTGGTGCAGACCCAGGGTGCCACAGGTGGCCCCTTTGAGCTTTTGGTGTTTTTCTTCTAGGCTGGTCCAGGGACCCTCATCATGGCCACAGGAGTCCAGGACTTTAACCGGACAGAGTTTGATCGACTGAATGAGATCAAAGGTCACCTGGAAATTGCCTTATTGGAAAAACATTTCTTACGTGAGTACCAGAAAGCGCTTGGAGGGGATGGGACAAGGTGGGTCAGGGGTGGCTGAGATGGGGGATGTCGTCTTGCCCAGGAGCTGGGTCTGGTGAAGACCCACGCAGGCTCCATCGCTGGACACGAGCCCTGGGCAGCTGTGGCTCCGACGTGGCCCTTTGGGCTGGGTGGTCCCGGCACAGCCTCTGTCTCTGTGTTTGAGCCTCCCTTGCGGCCCTGCTAAGCCGGCACTCAAGGTTGCTCCACAGGGGCTGGGGGCGTGGGGGCCTTTCCCCTGCGGGGTAAAGGAGAGTCTCTGGGGAAAAGGAGTGAAATGTTCCCAGAAAATTGTAATTATTTTAGTGAATTGGTCCCTTGCATTCCCAGTGGGTGGCTCGGACTTTTTCAGAGCTTTTGGAAGGACTCTGAAATCTTATGTTTGTTCTGGTTGGTTTGTGTCTCCAGGAGGGAGGTGGGGCAGTAGGCTCTGGCGTCCACTGGCCTTGGCCAGGCGTGCCTGGTTTGCTGGGCTTCGGACTCTGCAGCAGTGAGAATGGCAGAGATTCTTACAGGAGGGGCTCGCAGGCTTGGCCCCACTTGGTGTATCGCTCTTGAGCCTCTCTCCCCACCTGTGTCCTCCCTGTTGTCCAGATGTGGAAACTGAGGCACAGAGGGTTCACAAAGTGATGCCTGACTAGTAAGAGGCCACTTACCAGTAAGACAGTGCCAGGCAGATGAGTCCCAAATTTCCTGCCAGCAACCCTGCTGTGTGTGGTTCTCACAGCTGACTCTATGGTGGAATTCTTGTTATTACGCTCCTGTGTGTCCAGAGCCAGTCACTTGTGAACCACATGGAGCCCCCATTTGTGACAGGCAGGGGCTTACGACCGGGGTGCACAGGTCACTTCCTTCTGGGTGTCGTGCCCAGCCAGGGTCTTTTCCATGCTGTGTACCAGACAGCCAGTGCCTTTGCCAGAAGGATTGTCATCTGGGTGCCCTGTCCTTGGTTACCAGTGCTCTCATGTCTGTGCGCTCACCTGGTGCTCAAGGGTCCAAGGCCTGTCCACACAGCCTTGTGGATTCACCTGGCAACAGGCCAGAGCGTGATAGTGAGCCTGTGTATGTACAGCACTGGACTGTGTGTGTGCTTAGATGGCGTAATGAACTCTGTGTGCTCATGTTTGTGTGGCTATGGTTAACGGTGTGTGCGTGAGTGTGTGTGTGTGTGTGTGTGTGTGTGTATGTACAGTGGTGGTTAACTCTGTGTATGCATGTGTGTGAGTAGTTAACCACGGTAGTAGTTAACCGTGTGTATGTAGACAGTGGTAGTTAACCCTGTGCGTGCCTGTGTGCCTGTGTGCAGCGGTGGTTAACCCTGTGTGTGTGTGCACGTGTGTGGTGGTTAACCCTGTGTGTGCACGTACGTGCACGTGTGTGGTGGTTAACCTTGTGTGTGCGCATGTGTGCAGTGTTAGTTAATCCAGTGTGTGTGTGTGTCTGCGTGTGCAGCAGTAGTTAACCCTGTGAGTGCACATGTGCGGCAGTGGTTAACCCTGTGTTTGTGTGTGAGCGTGTGCAGTGGTAGTTAACCCTGTGTGTGTGTGTGCAGCAGTAGTTAACTCTGTGTGTGTGCGTGTGGCGGTGGTTAACCCTGTGTGTGCGTGTGCATGCCCGTGTGCAGTGGTGGTTAACTGTGTGTGCGTGTGCATGCCCGTGTGCAGCAGTATTACCGTGTGTGTGTGTGCATGCCCATGTGCATCAGTATTAACCGTGTGTGTACACATGTGTATATCCATCTGTACTCTGACAGCTTTCTTGGGCCCCTGAGGACTGGACACTGGTCGTTCTGAGGACAGCTCTGGTGACACACTATGGCTGTGGTGTGGAGTGACTCGGTCTCTCCATGAGCCTTAGGTTGCATAGAGCCAGCTTGGGCAGAGAGGGGCTGGCCCGCATGGGCTGCCGACAGGGTTCAGTCCTCCCGATGACCGTCCTGGTGACCTGCCGCCTGCGACCTCACCAGCCTGCAGTGGTGGCTCTGCTGGAATTGATGGATCTCTGAGAATGGAGAGGCTGGGCTCTCCCTGGGCGGTGGCAGCAGGGGGCTGGCCCTTGGTTGACTGTCCAGCTGGGCCTGTGCATGGAAGGTATGCTATTTGGCCTGGAGAGCATAGCTCAGCAGACGCTAGTTAAGTCATCAACCACCAGAGGCTGCCTTATCCGCTGAACCTCACGAATTGCCTTTCTGTGAGTTGAAGTGGTTGAATATTGACGGTTTTTCAGTCATGGGGCAGGGGGTCAGTGTTTCACTTTCAGGGAGCAGGTGCTCTTGGTGCAGGGCAAGGATCTGTGAGCATCAACAGAGACCCTCTGCTGGGGCCCGGGAAGCTTCAGGAGAAGAGGCGAGCTGGCATGTGGGGTGGAGGGATGGAGGGACGCCTGTCCAGGCAGATTCGCTTTGAGACGTTGTTGATAACAAAGTTGCAAAATGGAGACAGCTGAACCCACAGGGCTGCCTCTCTGGGGCCGAGCAGATCCCGGAGGAAATGAGGCCACCTGGTCACAAACAGAGCTGCTGGCGTCCCTGGACCAGCACTTGTGACTCTGTCCTCAGCATTTGCCAAAGGAGCATCTCCTTTTACCCCTTGGTAGCTCGTGAAGTAAAAGTGTTGGGTTCACCTCTGACAGCCTGTGGGGTGGTGAGCACGGGGATTATTTTTTAATTATGGAAAATTTCAAATGTATCCAGAAATGGAGCAAAGAGTGTCATGGGCCTCCCTGGTTGAAACCCACCACTGGCCGCAACAAGATTCCCAGCAAGATTCCGGACCAGGCAGGCTTCCCCGACACGCCCTCTCCCTGCCCCCAACCCCCTGCCCCGGCCCCCCGCCCCCCGCCGAGGTTTTGGAGCAAATCCCAGCCAGCATCCTCTCATTTCAGCTGTAAATATTTCAGTGGATAGCTCAGTGTGTTTTAAAAACAAAAGCCACGAGTCTAATATCACAACTGAAAAAAGCAAACAGCTTTTCGTTAATACCATCAGCTGTCCAACTTAAGCTCAAATTTCCCTGATAGGGATCGAGCCGCTGCACTCCAGCCCGGATGACAGAGCGAGACCCCATCTCTTAATTTTGTTTATTTATTTATTTAGAGATGGAGTCTCACTGTGTCGCCCAGGCCGGAGTGCAGTGGTGCGATCTCGGCTCACTGTAACCTTTGCCTGCCGGGTTCAAGCGATTCTCTGGCCTCAGCCTCCTGAGTAGCTGGGATTACAGGCACGCACCTCCATGCCTGGGTAATTTTTGTATTTTTAATAGAGATGGGGTTTCACCATGTTGGCCAGGCTGGTCTCGAACTGTTGACCTCAGGTGATCCGCCTGTGTCAACCTTCCAAAGTGTTAGGATTACAGGTGTGAGCCACTGTGTGCGGCCCCATCTCTAAATAAATAAATAAGGAAGGAAGGAAGGAAGGAAGGAAGGAAACAAATAAATGTCCCTGATGAGGTCTCAGATTGCTTTGCAGCTCTCTGTGAATGAAGAGTCAGATGAGGTTGGTGTGCTGTGCTCGGTGGTGTCTCTCTCCGGTCTTGACCCTGCGGGTTCTCTGCGCGTCACACTTTTTGTCCTTGGTAGACCAGGTCACCTGCTGGACAGTCTCTGCTCTGGACTGTGCTGAAGGCGGCCTAACATGGTCCATACCCTGTGCTTCCTGGTCGTGGCGGGGTTGGGTGACCCTCGGGGGACTATCCCTCTGTTGGTGGTGCCGTGTGCTTCCATGAGGCAGTCTCTGTTTAATGTCACAGCTTTGATGATTATTGCTCAGAGCCATCATTTCATTAGAGGTTGCAGAATGGTCATTTTCTACTTCCGCTATTCTCTCTCCATTTGTTAGCCGACACATTTCCGAAAACAAACTTCCCTTTGTCTGCCGTTTGGCTCCGCCAAGGAGTAGTTCATAGACAAGGGGCAGGGTGCATGGTTGGATTCCCCCCTCATTTTCCAGTTTTCAAAATAATGAGTTGCATTCTCTTCTGAGAGCATCCACCAGAGAGGGTGTTGGGCTCTCCTGGGGTTTTTGGTATTCTCATGAGACAGTGAATGTAAACATATTTGGTGTGTTTTGATCATTCTGGCTCGTATCTGATTAATGCTCAAATAGTTCTGCCTCTGGGCCTCTTTCAGTTGGCTTCTGAGAGTCCTTCTGACACAACCCAGTTGTCTCTGAGAGATTCCTTGCCTTTCGGTGTGACCAGATATCCCAGGCTCATCGCCAGCATTTCCTGCCCCAGTCCTGGAATTGACCATTTCTGAAATAAAGCCCTGGTTTCTTTTGGTGGAAGCTGACGTTGATACACTCCATGGGGATCCTGGGGCATTGATGGCCGCTGGTGACCTGTCGTGTGTGGACCTTCTCAGTGGACAGGGCTTGGGCCTGAGGAGTTCATACAGATAATTCTATTGGAATTCACACCAGGACTCCTAAGTGCCTGTGTAACCTCATCAGACTTTTATTGTATCTTTGTTTTGCTGAAATCTTGGTTCTCAGTGAACATCATCGGCATTACACATTTGTTTGATCCCTTGATAATACACACAATCTCAAAATAAAATATCACAAGATTACTCAATGCAGTCTCTATTTGTTTCTTGTTCTTTTGTCCTTAGGGCTTGTCCCACTAGAAAGGTACAGATTATGGTGTTTGACAGTCACTGGCAAGACTTTTTTCTTCCTTTGAGGCTGTGTTATCAAGTCAGTACAGAGTTGGGTGCATTTGTTTCTTTTCACCTTAGATTTCTAGAGATGGCTTTTTTTCTTTTAAATTTTGACATGATTTCAGACTTACAGGAAAGTCACAAAAATAATACAAAGAATTCTTGTGTATTTTTCATCCAGTTATTCCCCAAAGGTTAATATTTTACCGCATTTGTCTGTCTGCCTCTCTTATCTATCTATCCATCCATCCATCTATTTATCCATCCAGGGATCCATTCATCCATCCATCCATCCATCCACGCATGCATCTATCCATCCATCCATCCATCCATCCATCCATTCATCCATTCATTTATCCATCCCTGGATCCATCCATCCCTGGATCCATCCGTCCATCCACCCACCTACCCATCCATCCATCTATCCATTTATCCATCCATCCATCCATCCATCCATCCATCCATCCATGCATCCATCCATGCATCCTTCCATCCATCCATCCATCCATCCATCCATCCATCCATCCATCCATCCATCCATCCATCCATCTATCCATCCATTTATCCATCCCTGGATCCATCCATCTATCCATCCATCCAACCATCCGTCCATCCGTCCATCCATCTATCCATCCATCCATTCATCCATCCATCCATCCATCCATCCATCCATGCATCTATCCATCCATCCATCCATCCATCTATTTATCCATCCATGTATTCTTTTTTTCTGAGCTGCTTGATGGTCAGTTGCAGACACAATGCCCCTGCATGCTAAATACTTTTGTAGTATTTCCTAAAGGCAAGGATATTCTCTTATCTAACTTCAGGACAGTTATCAAAATCAGGAAATTAACATTGATACAATGCTATTATTATCTGGTCTGAGATCTTATTCCAACTTCACTATTGTCTAGTAATGTCCTTTGTAGCAAAAGACAGTTCTGAGTTGGGATAGTTTCATGCCTCTTTCGTCTCCTTTCACCTGGAGCAGTAGTTCTTTGTTTCCTGATATTGACGTTTTTGAAGAGCACAGGTCAGTTATTTTGCAGACTGTCCTCAATTTGGGTTTGTCCCGTTTCCTCATGAAGAGACTCAGGTCATGCGATTATGTCCGGGTGCCACAGACATGATGGCGTGTCCTTAGTGTCACATCGGCAGGTACATGATGCCATTTTGTCCCATAATGCATGATGTAGAGAATTCTTTTTTTAAGTTAAATTTATTCATACAGCTATCTAAAATCGTTTCCATGGTTCCAAAGTCAAGGTATATTCAGAGAAGTCGAGTTTGTCTCCTTGCACCCCGCCCCCATTTCCTCTCTTCCCCTGTAGATAACCAGTTTTCTTCTAATTTTACACTGTATTCTTCCAACTGAAATTTTTTATAAACATGAGCATCTATATTGGTTCTTACCTTCCTGCTTAGGTAAATGTTAAGGTGCTCACACTTTCTGCATACTCACATTATATCCTGTAGGTCACTCCAAGATGGTACACAGAGATAATCCCTGTTCCAGGTTACACTTGCCCCTGTTCTATGTTACACCTGTCCCTGTTCCATGTTACACCTGTCCCTGTTCCGTGTTACAACTGTCCCTGTTCCGTATTACATCTGTCCCTGTTCCATGTTACACCTGTCCCTGTTCCGTGTTACACCTGCCCCTGTTCCGTGTTACACCTGTTTCTGTTCCGTGTTATACCTATCCCTGTTCTGGGTTACACCTGTCCCTGTTCCAGGTTACACCTGCCCCTGTTCCATGTTACACCTGCCCCTGTTCCGTGTTACATCTGTCCCTTTTCCATGTTACACCTGTCCCCGTTGCAGGTTACACCTGTCCCTGTTCTGTGTTACACCTGCCCCTGTTCCGTGTTACACCTGTCCCTGTTCTGTGTTACACCTGCCCCTGTTCCGTGTTACACCTCTCCCTGTCCCGGGTTACATCTGTCCCTGTTCCAGGTTACACCTGTCCCTGTTCTGGGTTACATTTGTGTCCATGGTGTTACTGTAGCATGGCTTCATCCACTTGTCCACTTGTTCCCTGTTTTTTTTTTTTTTTTTTTTTTTTTTTTTTTTTTTTTACTTTGTTTTGTTTTTGAGATAGGGTCTCGCTCTGTCACTGAGGCCGGAGTGCAGTAGCACAATCCTGGCTCACTGCAGCCTCAACTTCCCAGGCTCAAGCAATCCTCCCACCTCAGCTTCCTGAGTAGCAGGGACTATAGGCACATTGCACTGCACATGGCCTTTTTTTTTTTTTTTTTTTTTTTTTTTTTTTTTGTGGAGACGGGGCTTCACCATGTTGCCCAGGCTGATCTTGAACTCCTGGACTCAAGCCATCCATCCGCCTCGGCCTCTCAAAGTTTATTACAGGCGTGAGCCACTGTGCCTAGCCTTGCTTGTTCCGTTGATGGACAGTTGTACTGTCTCCAGGAGTAGAGGATGTTAGTAGTTACTGATAGTTCTTCGCAGGCTGTCTGCACCTGGAGGATATGGGATGAGCTTGTTTTTATACCCCAAGCATGATGTCTTGGGTATAGTGGGAGCTTGGTGAATGGAGGGATTAATTGCAGATTAGTTGGAGTTCGCCCAGCAGAACCTGTGCCTTGTCCCATTCTCACTCCCATCTCAGTCCCCAGAAGGATATAGAATGTGAGAGAGGACATTATGTAATCTGGGGACCCACAGACATATTCTGGTTGTCACTAAGCCAACGTCTGTGTGCCACTGTGGCCATCTCTGCCTCGCCTGACCTGCAGGAGGGCGTGCTGACATGGAGAGCTGTGTTCAGGAGTCAGGACCCAGTTCTAATTCTTGACTCAGGCGCTGGTTACCAGGTGGCTGTGAGCATTTACCCGTTTGGGGCCTCAGCTCCCCCACCTGTAAAGCAGCTAAGTGGTCAGTGTTAAAATCCCACTCAATTATCTATAGTGCTTTCTCTCAGAAAGCAGAGTGTTACTCTTCATGGAGGAGAGGAAATGGCCCAAGCGTGCCGCAGCCTTCTCTGATGATTAAATCCTGAAGAGTACAAATGTTCCTGCAAGCAAATGACACAGGATGAAGAATGTGAAGTTGAAATGGGTTTTGGCTCATGGCTGAAGGCAGGAGCCTAAATTTGTTAAAGAAGCACATAAATAAATTAAAAGCATCATGCGTTTTTATTTAGCCCAAATGCATTTCGGTTGCTAGTGCTTTTTGAGCGCGGTTGCCGTGCATGCGTGTGCATCTGTTGGTCACTAGTCACCTGCTGCGCGCAGGCTCTGGGAGGTGAGATTCCCCAGGGTTGTAAGGTGCACACACAGCCTCTACCCAAGAGCACTGTGATGTAGAATTTGGATTTTGGGGGAAAGTGCTTCTGAGGACCCTCGGGGCCAGGGAGCTTCTCTTCCTGGGGGCTTCCCGGTTGCTAGGCTGTGTAGGGGAGCCCTCGTGACTGCCTTTCTTCTTCCTGTGTTGCTGGAGAGGGCTGCAGATGCCTCCCTGGCTGAGCTGGAGGGTGCTCCCCTAGGCTACCACGCCCTGTCTCTGGGCATGGGTACCCTCGTAGCGCCAGACACGGGTGGATTCCCGGCAGATGCACTCACACGGGCAGTGGCAGTGGTTCCTCAAGAGTGTGACTTGGAGAGAGACTGCCTTTTCCTCCTGAGCCCCTGATGCTCCCAGAAGCTCCCTTTCCTGCTGTGACATACAGGGATCAGAGTGGCTGGCCCTTACGCCATGGGAGATCTTCTCGAAGAAGCTGGCAGGAGGGGCTGGCCATCTGCTTCCTGAGGCCTGCAGACCTTCCTCTGAATGCTCAGTTTTAATGGAGGGGTCCTGGAGCGGAAGGGAAGTTTCTAGGTGGCTGTCCTGGGTGATTCAGAGTGAGGAAGACCTTCCTTACCATTGAAGTCTTCTGGAAGCAGAAGGGTCTGGGGAGCTGCCAGCTCCCTGCTGGCGGGGGTGTCCTTTTGAGGCCTGATGGAGACAGGCTTAGGTGTGGGGTTGACTCAGTGTCCCTGGACTTGCCCCTTTGGACCTGGGCCTGTGGGTGTGGTTCTTGGCTCAGGCCTTTTAAACTCTGCTCTTACAGTTTCTCTGGTGGTGAAAAGCTAAACTCTGTGTTAGTGTGTTTTCACGCTGCTGATAAAGACATACCTGAGACTGGCGCTTTACAAACAAAAGCGGTTTAATGGACTCACAGTTCCACATGGCTGGGGAGGCCTCACAATCATGGCGGAAGGCAAGGAGGAGCAAGTCACATCTTACCAGATAGCAGCAGGCAAAGAGAGAGCTTGTGCAGGGAAACTCCCCCTTATAAAACCATCAGATCTCGTGAGACTCCTTCACGATCACAACAAGAACAGCACAGGAGAGACCTGCCCCCGTGTTTTAATTACCTCCCACGGGGCCCCTCCCACAACACTTGGGAATTCAAGATGAGATTTGGGTGGGAACACAGCCAAACCATATCAGACTTCCAGGGCCAGACACTGGGTTGGTCTGGTTCTGCCCTAGAGTGACATGTTTAATAAGTGACGACTGTGAGTGGGTGACCCAGACCTACAGAAGGGAGCAGACAGGCAGAAGATGAAGACAGGTGGCACTGATACAGCAGCGTGTCTATATTATATGGAATTTCCCTAGGAAAAAATGAAGTTGGCCCCCAATCCCTGTTTCTCCATCACCTCCATTGCCCCATGAACTCCTGTCTGCTCTTTAATTACACATTGTGGATGTTTGGCCCTGGGATACTTCATTGCCCAGGACAGATCTTTGAGTACAGGGGTGAGCTGACCCTACCACACCGAGTTCCTGGCCTGTCCTGTCCCTGGAGCTCACACCTCAAAGGAGAAACCCCTGATCCTGCCAGTGGGGGGCCTCCTCCCTGCTGCCCCCAGGGGCTGGGATGAAGTCAGAGAGGGAGCCTGAACACACCTGCCTGTGTGTTTTGCAACGGCTGCAGGTCCTGGGTCCAGCATTGTCGTCTGACAGGTGTTTTGGATGATGCCTGTGTTGAATTCCATGGGAAGTGTTAAGTCGGGAACCACTGCCCACCTCTGTGACCTCTCTAGTCACTGCGTCCCGCCCTGCTGAACACATCCCAGCTCCCTGGCCTCACAGCCAAGGTCCTGCATGCAGTGGGTGAGACATTCCCCAGGCCAGCAAGCCTTCCCGTCCTCTGCACCTCATCTGTAGATGAGGCTACATGGCAGAGATGGGCTCTCTCGTGGCACATGGAGAGTACTGATGCAGCAGTTGGCATGTCCTGATGTCCCAGCTCTGTAAGGAGACCCTTATTTGTCATATTCATCTACCAACTGGAGTCATATGGGAGGGAGTAAAGGTAGCTGCTGCCTTATCTGTGATTTCCAAGGGCCTGGGCCCAGAGCCTGGCAGCTACTGGATGCTCAGCGCACAACTTTATGTGTGTCTATATGGATGGATGGATGGCTGTGGGTAAGTGGATAGGTAGATGGGTGGACGGGTGGGTGGATGGGTAGATGGATGCATTGCTGGAAAGATGGATGGGTGGATGGATAAATGGATGGATGAGTGGACATGTAGATGGATGGATGGGTGGGTGGATGGATGGATGGATCAGTGAGTAGGCAAACGAATAGGTAGATTAGGTAAATGGATGGGTAAATGTTGGGTGGATGGATGGGTTGATGAACAGACAAGTGAGTGGATGGATGGATGGATGGATGGATGGATGGATGGATGGATGAATGGGTGAGTGGATGGATAGATGGGTGGGTGAATGGCAGAGGGATGGGTAGATGGATGGGTGAATGGGTGGATGGATGGATGGATGGATGGATGAGTGGATGGATGGATGGATGGGTGAGTGGATGGATGGATGAATGGATGGATGGGTGAGTAGATAGACAGATGGGTGGGTGAATGGGAGAAGGGATGGTTAGATGGGTGGGTGAGTGGATGTGTGGATGGATGGACATGTGGGTGGATAGATGGATGGATGATTGGATAGATGGATGCATCAATGAGAAGGCAAACGAATGGGTAGATTTGGTAATGGGTGGGTAAATGATTGATGGATGGATGCATGGATGGATGGATGGATGGATGGATGCATGGATGGATGGATGGATGCATGGATGGATGGATGGATGCATGGATGGATGGATGGATGGATGGATGGATGGATGCATGGATGGATGGATGGATGGATGGATGGATGGATGGATGGATGCATGGATGGATGGATGCATGGATGGATGGATGGATGGATGGATGGATGGATGCATGGATGGATGGATGGATGGATGGATGGATGGATGCATGGATGGATGGATGGATGGATGGATGGATGGATGGATGGATGGATGGATAGGTAGACAAATGAACCAATAGGCTGTTTCCTCCACCAGGCATACTCTTTTGCATATACTTTAAGGCCTTACTGGCCACCTTCCAGAGCTCCAGATGCACCACCTTGCTCCCATTCTGTCTGGTGTTTGGTCCCAGATGCAGTTTTATCTGTGCCACCTTTGCTTCCTAGTGCTTTGGGGCCTAGAGTCACCAGCTGGAACTGGAGTTGGGGAGTGTCCCTGATTGCCCCTAGCCCACACTCAGCAGGGAGCAGGTGCTTGGCAGAGAGCCTGTTGCTGTGGGAAGGGACTGGGGGCCTGGAGGGCTTGGCTGCTGGGTGCCAAGCGCTTGGTTGGAAAGGGAGGTTGTGGGGGCGAGGGATGGCACGTGCTGTCGAGCACACGACTCTCCTGGCTCCGTGCTGGGCCGGAGCCCCAGAGTCCAGCCCACAGGCTGTCAGATGCCGCGTGCCTCTCACAGGGAGAGGCAGGCGTCGGTTTCTGAAAACCAGCTGCTCTGGGTGAAAACCCTGGCTGGGATCCTAGTTCTTCTTATTTGACGTGGTAAAAATGTCAGTACATTATCTGTCCACCTTAGATCCTGCATTGGTGTCCTGAAATGTACCTAAAACGGTGGTTGGCCAGCTATGTGCTCAGCAGCCTTCAACATTAGGATGTGACGCACTTGGAAGCTTGCTCCTTCCTGGTTATCAGCCAAGACAGTGTTGACAGTTGATCGTTCAGTAAACATTATCTCTGCACATAGCGGTAAATGACACCGCAATAAATAAATGTTAGGGAGAAAATGCAGGCAAAACTTCACAATAAAAGCGAGGCATTTCTTGGAATTCTCTGTTTTCCCTGAGCAGGGAGGGCCACGGGAGGAAGGGGTTAAAAGGGCTGCCTCTGTGCTGGTGGCTGTAGATGAAGCCGTACTCTGGGCTCTGCAGTGTAACTTGCAGCCTGGTGATTCGATGGAGGGAGTGCCTGTCTTCTAGAAAGTTCCTGTGGTGATGGCAGGAGGGCTGAATTGGGCTGGGAGAGTTCAGGTGAGAGTCCGGGGGAGGTGGCCAGGTGGGGCCTCTGGGTGTGCGGGCCTCCGGGGATGCGGGACTCCGCCAGGCCAGGAGCAGCTTTTTGGGTGGATTCTGAGTTCGCGCCCCTGGCCTGGTGGGAAGGAGTTTTATTTAAAGATTATCACTTGATTTTTATTTTTGGGTGAGGCTGGGCCTGTTGAATCAGTCGTGTGCCAAGAGGACTCCTGCCTGAGAGATCTACTTTTACAGGTTTAAAAATAGCCGCAGAACTGCTTTCCTTCCTCCCAGTAACTTCCCTGTGCGCTGAGTGTCGAGGCTGGGTGGAGGGCTGCGTGTCGAGGCTGGGTGGAGGGCTGCGTGTCGAGGCTGGGTGGAGGGCTGGGCGTCGAGGCTGGGAGGAGGGCTGAGCATTGAGGCTGGGTGGAGGGCTGAGCATTGAGGCTGGGTGGACGGCTGGGCCTCAGCCCCACAGTCTGGGCCTGTGTAGGCCTGAGCCGATGCATCTCCTTTGCCTCCCCTCAAATCAGCGTGGCCGTTCACTCATCAGAGAACGTTCTGGGGGTTGCCCCGGAGTGACCAGTGAGGTGGTTGTCCCTGCCCTTCTCCTCGCAGATGCTGGGGAGGCGTGAAGGCTGGAGCAGGTGGGTGCACAACCAGCCTGGCTGTCCCAGGGCTTCCTTTAGCCTCTGTGGGGGCGATTTCTATGTGCCATGTGTCGCCACGCCAGGCTCTTGTCCTGTCCCGGGGGCTCCTAGTCTGTGGCTGATTCTGCTTCATTCCTTGGAGAGTGGTGGCTGGTGCTGACTGGAAGTGGGTGGGGCTGCCTGCAGGACCAGAGTCACTCTTCCTTGTGAGCGTCCCTAAACCTTGCGCTAGAGCTTGACCCCTGACTGCAAGACGCCTGTGGGTCTGAGGGTCCCTCTGGGCACGCAGAGTGTCCCCTGGGCTTCCTTCCATCTTCCCCTCTCCTCGACATATTTTTCTGCCCAGTGGCTCTTGTGATAGGTTGGAGTGGGGGCAGGCCCTGGCCCATCGGGTGGCCATCCTGGTTTCCCTGTGTGCCACGTACCCGGGCCATCTCGCTTTCCTTCCTGACAATGAGACGGCTGATGTGCCTTCCTAGGCATCGGGGGAGCAGACCCCTGGATGAGAACTCACGAGGCAGGCACAGATTTCTCTTTCCAGGAGCTCCCTTGGGACTTAGGTTCTAGGTTCCGACTCACTCCTTGGGCAGGCATTTTGGGCCCCTGGCCTCCCACTGGGTTCCTTGCCATTTGGTGGCTGCTGTGACCAGGTCTGCTGTGCACTCAGCCTATTTCGGCCGGCCCTCGACCCTGGAAGAGGCGCAGCTCACTGGGCTGGAAACAGTGCCATGGGATCTGCACAAGCTGTGGCCTCTGATGTGGTGGCTTCTCTGCTGCTGCAGGGCTGTGACTTTCTGGTCTGATGTTGCGGGCCACGGCTCCTATCCCTGGGTCTCCGCCTGTGACTTGGCCCCCGGCAGGTGTGATATCACACGCATCCTGGTGCACCCGGGCAGCCTCCCATCCCTGTGCGGCGTGTATGGCTGCCACCTGGACTCTGCTCACACACGTCTTGCACATGTCTGTGCCCAAGACAGGTGCAGGGGGTCTTGGGAGAGCAGGTGCCCCGTGCTGCCATTAGGATGCGCTGTGGCAGGTCATGCATTTGTGGGCCACGTGGGTGACTCTGGAACACCTCCTCCATCCGTGCTGTTCACTGCGGGGGTTTAGAGAGGCTCGGTGTGCACTTTTCTGGTGGGGCCGCCTTGGTGGCGGCACTGGGGAATCCTGCTTCAGGTGCCTTTGAGGGCGGAGCTGGAGGTGGGGGGGAGAGAGACGGAGCTAGGGGCTGCCAGGGACGCTGTACTCCTTTAGGGCTCCTGGACCCACTAAAGGAGGGCTTCCAGTGGTTTTATGACCCAAGGACTGCCAGGGGCAGGAAAGTCCACGCCGGGCCAGGTGGAAGGAAGAGGACTGTCCCAGCCTGCCTAGGCACTTGGTTCCTTTGCTTGACACGATTGTCTCGAGGGAGAGTGTGGTTGGCACACTCATGGCCCCACAGAGTGTCCATGTCCCCCCAGCCTGTGAATGTGGCCTCCCATGGCAGAAGGGACTTTGTAGATGTGGATGAGTCGCCGACCTTTGGTGGAGATGGTTCTGGATTATCTGGGGGCGCACAGTCACCACAAAGGTTCTGAGAAGGAGATGGCAGGAAGGTCAGAGGAGGCCATGTGAGGGTGGGGTTAGAGGTCACAGTGACGTCATTGCTCCCTGGGGGCCGCAAGCCAAGGAGCACAGGAGCCTCAGGAAGCTGGAAAGGCAGGAAATGGGTCTCCCCCTTCCCGGAGCCTGCAGAAGGAACAGCCCTGCCCACGCCATGAGCTCAGCCCAGGGAGACCCAGGCTGGACTTCTGACCCCAGAACTGTAAGAGAATACGTTTGTGTTGTTTTAAGCCACTGTGTTGGTGGTGAGCCATGGGAAACAAATGCAGAGGTCACCAAGGGGCTCCGTGGCCTGCCCTGTGTGTGGCCTCGCTCCCACCCCCACCCTGCAGGACACCTTGGCCCTGACCTGCAGGGCAGGGAGGCCTGTGGGTGGGGCAGCCCGGCGTCCTCAGTGTCTGTGAGCAGCTCGGGGCACAAGGAGGCCCACTCCGGAGGCCGAGGGAACCCAGAGCCTCAGCAGCAGCTGCAGATTTTCGGTGCCTGGACAGGGGCCGGGGCTGGACGAGAGGAATCTGCCGTGTGAATAGCAGCTCAGTAGTTTGCTCCGGGCTGGAAATCGGCCCTCCTGTTTCTTTTCTTACTCGGGAAAGAGAAAGAAAAATTGATGATGGGGGATTTGCATCTCCTTTGTCCTGTGGAAAGATACAGCTGTGCTCGGCACACTGCAGTTGACCTGAATGTGTCGCTGGTGGGCAGGAGGCAGGCCGGTGCGATGGAGTCGTGGGGCGTGTGATCATCATTTCAGTTTCGGGAGAGACAGCAGCTTGGCCTTGCAGGGAGCCGTGTGCTCAGAGATAGGAAGGACTCATGGGAGAGCAGCGGTCAGACGCTCCAGCTGGTTTCGTTTACTTAGCTGTCTTTGTACCATCAGGAACGACACTGGGCAAAGGTGGGAAGCCTCATGGCTCTTCCGGAAGCTGGGACAGGCTGATTTGCCACGCTGTCCGAGGAGCCCTGTCTGCAAGGCTGAGGGGGCCGTGCCGCCCGCTGCCCCGGGAGCCAGGCATCCTTTGGGCTCTGAGCAGCGAGCATGGCGGGGCTCTGGCGTTCACATGGCGTCCTCTGGGCTCTGAGCAGTGAAGATGGCCGGGCTCTGGCGTTCACATTTGTCAGGGCTCTGCAGAGAGCCTGACCCCAGGAGGTCCAGGGTGGAAAGAGGGGCGGCTGCCTGAGACCCCTTTGACCTCTGAACCCAGGCTTGTGAGTGTGCTTTTTCACACAGGCAGGCATGACATGGCATCCCAGGCTCCAGGAGGGACCCGTGTCCGCATCCATCCACATCTGTCCCTGGGCTGGGACTGGCCACCTTGGCTCAAGCTTTGGCCAGTGCTCTGCCGCGTGGTGGAACCTGGCTGGCTGCTGCCCTTTCACAGCTTAGTGACTCCAGGAAGGGGCGTAGGGGGCAGCCCCATTTAGGAAAATGTGGTTTCCTGTTACCCGTGCAGGGAGGGGCCAAAGTGCCTCTCTGACCTATGGATGGAGAGGCATGTGGGCTGCCTTGACCTTGACAGGGCCAAGATCAGAGGAGGTGATGTGTGGGTACTAGGAGTTAACCTGGGAAAGTACCTGAGCCTTCCCGCCTTGGCCTACTCCGCCCAAGAGGCCTGCCGGGAGCAAGCCTGCCCAGTGTGACTTGTCTCACCTCTGTGTTCCCACGTGATAGAGTCACTGCCACAACATGAAGACAGAGGCATGAGATGGAAACACCCCGTGGCTCTCTCTGAACCCTCCCCAGCTGGCTCCGAATTTGGGACTGAGCCAGGCGGACGCTCCCTTTGGGGAGAAACACCGGCTGACGGGGCATTTGGTTCCTTCCTTCGCTTATCCAGTGAGCCTTGATTAAGCCCCTTCTGTATGCCAGCCACACCGAAAGAGGGGCCAGGAGGCTGAGAATCGGGTCTGTTGGAGGTGGCTGGGGGGTAGGGTGGGAGGGCAGCATCCATCTCAGGTGGGCCAAGATGCCCAGGCTCTCCTGGCTGTCAGTGGGCGTGTGACCCCTCGGAGGAAGGGTCCCCAGGCTCCTCCTGCCTTGGGGCATGGACCCGCCCACCAAGGGCTTCAGGGCCAGCCCGGGCTCACGCAGTGGGTTCACATGCTCCATGCTGCTCTTGGGGACCCACCCAGGCACCCTCTCAGGGCAGGGTGTTGTCCCCTCTGTTCATGGTGGTGTCCCGGCGCCTTGGCAGAGCCCGGCGTGTGATGATTACCTGAGTATTTCTGACGAAGGTGTGCCAGAGCCGGCCCTCAAGTGGCTCCACGAGGGCGGGGGGCTGGGGGCTCGTGCCACATGCAAGGTTGGCAAGGGGCTGGGTGGAGGTCCCTGCAGGGGGTGGGGTTTGTGGACTGATCCCCGTGTTAGGGCTGTGACACCGAATTCCCAAGTCCCCGCCTGCCTCCACTCCGTGCACGGCCCGCTGGTCAGCACATCTGCCCTCCCTGCTAGACGCACTACGTGAGAACTGGCCAAGCTCCCCTCCCAACCACTCTCCCTTCCCCACATCTTGCTGGTTTCTCCTTGGGCCAGGCTGGGTCTTGGGGCCAGAACAGATGGTGACACCGGGGTGGTCCCTCCTCCGGAACCTGTGGGGTGTGTTGGGCACAAGTCAGGGAGGCCTGCAGGTAATGGAGGCTTGGAAACGTCACACTGTACCAGGAGGTTGTGTGCCATTTCTGGGAATCCCCACCCAGCACACGGAGTGGGAATCATGTCCCCAAGAGGAAAGAGCAGGACCCGTGAGAGAAGATGACAGAAGGCTACGCCAGATGGGGGGGCTGTTGGGGAAGTCACTCGGGGAAGTGGTATTGGGGTCAGGACTGAGGCTGAGGGACAGCTTACCCTGGAGGGTGGAAGAGAAGCTTCCTCGGGAGCAGGGCCAGCACATGCAAAAGTCCTGGGGCAGGCCCGACCCTCGGCAAATCTGAATATTTTCTGGACATTTGAGGACCTAAAAGCAGGTCTCTGTGGCTTAAGCCCAAAAAGCAAAGATGAGGGGTGGTGTGGAGGGTGCTGAGGCTGGGAGTGGGTGGGTGGGGGCCTCGGGAGGGAGCTTCAAGCTGGGAAGTTGGATTCATTGCCAGCCCGGTGAGGAGTTCTAAGCGGGAAAGCAACAAGTTCTGGCTTGTGCTTTACAAGCAGCCTTGGACCTCAGCTTGGAGCCGGACGGGAGGGTGTGCCAGGAGCTGGGAGGCCGGTTAAGAACATGGGGATGGGGCTGGGGCAGCTGAGAGACCAGCAGAGTGGATGGATCTGGGATCTTGGAAGAAAGAACCCCAGATGTGTAGGGGGTGAAGGGCCCCCGCCCAAATGTGGCTGGCACTGCTCCCCTCTGCTGTAAAGGAGCCAGCCGGCCGCCCAGAGAGGGCTGGGGGGTAGCTCCCTCAGCCCTGGAGACGTGTCCCCCACAGCCCTGGGTCAGGGGCCCTGCAGCTCCTGCCACCTCCTTCCTGCTGCTCTGAACTGGAGCCCCAGGCCGGGCTGGACCCTGCCCCTAATTCTGACCCAGAAGCCTCCCCAAGGCCCTAGGCAGAGGCCACCTGCCTCCCTTCTGACCCCGCCTTTGCTCAGCTCCGGGACTGAGCACTTGGTACCTTGCAGCCTGTCCTGAGCCCTGGGGAGGCACCGGCTTCAGCTAACGCTCTGCCTGGCCATGTCAGCGGGTCGGGGACCTCCGTCCGCGGAGAAAAGTAGCCGTGCCAGGGCCAGACGCTTCTCCCCAGAACGGAGGCGGGGCGGGGAGGGGGAGCTCTGGAGGGAACCAGCCTGATGAGACTGGGCAGCCCGCAGGGACAGGCCCAGTGCCCCCCACCCCAGCCTCCACGGGGAGGGTCTTCTCCAGGCCAGCTCAGCTGCCCTGGGGGGCTCTCGGGAGTCCAGGATGCTGAAGGACACTGAAACCATGCTTGGAGAAGGGCCGATCCCAGCGGGCCGGGGAGCAGGGCAGAGCTCCAGCACCCACACTGGGCAAGTGGATCCTGGCCCTTGGTAAATTCGAATATTTTCTCTCTGGTTAGTAACAGCGAGTAACAGCATCCAGCACCCCCAGTGGGAGTGGGGCTGGTGAGATGCAGGTGCCTGTCTCTTCCCTTTTGGGTACCGTGAGCCTGTGGCTGCCGGGCAGGAAGGTGTGCTGACCTTTGGCTTCTGGGTTTACTGACCCTAGTCCACCCGCGGCTGCTCCCTGCCTGGGCACGGCCCCCTGCTGTTTCTGTACGGCTACTCCTGGACATTGGCTGGGACTGGGGCCTGAGGCTGTCATACTGCCCTTGGCCCCAGTTTTGGAGTCTTAGGTATGGCCCTGTGGCCCCAAGTCATGTGGTGAGGTGTCCAGGACAGGAAAGGAAGCTACTGGGGTCACTCCCACCCTACCCAGAAAGAAACTTCCAGGCTTAGAAGCCTGCCTTCAGCCTTGGGCTGCTGGCCAGACCCCCAAGGGTTCCTGCCTCACGCTGGTGGGGTCTGGCTGCTGGCCCTGCCCAAGAACCTGGGTGAATTCATCAGCCACGTTCCTTTGTCTCAGGAATATCTCCTGGGACTCCAGCAAACGCTCTTCTCCTGCTGCCATTGCCATTTTATAAGGTCTCAGCGTGTCCGCCCCATGGTCAGTGTGGTCTGTGCAGTTGAAGTCGAGGCTGACTGATCTGGACCCTCAGCCACCATAGGCCACAGCCAGCCCTCAGCCACCATGGGCCACAGCCAGCCCTCAGCCACCATAGGCCACAGCCAGGCAGCCTTCTGGGGAGAGACAGCACTTAGGTGACCCTCAGCTGGGTTCTGCAAGCCACTGCTGCCCCGTAAACCAGCATTGTTCCACCTGAACTTAACCGTGACCTTGGCCCTGGGGCCACCTGCCTGAGCCTGTCAAGGAGACAGGGTTGGGCTGGGCAGGGGACACCACACAGAGGAGGGTGGATGGGCTGGGGTGGGGAGCGCCTGGGCAGGGTCTTGTCAGTGGCCCAGGCCTCTGAGAAGGACCGAGGACCTGTGGGCGTTCACAGGTGCCAGCTCTCTGCTCTCATCGGTCTGTTGCTCTTGTTCTTCATGCGTGGAGCCTGTGCCAGGCCCTGGGAGGGCAGTGGGGGAGAAGCAAGGGCCTCAGGCTTGCCCTTAGGTGACCCAGCGGTGTTGGTTTTAGGAGGAAGAGGCAGGGATGGGGCAGAGGAAGCGGGAGAGAGGCCGGGTCCCCGTCTCTCCTGTCTTTAAGTGGTAGAAGTGTCCTGACTGCCAGAGGCTGCCTGCACTCCCTGGCTCCTGGCCCCTTCCATCCTCAGTCTTCCAGTCTCTCCGACCTCTGACCTCTGACCCTGCCTCCTCCCTCTGCCTGGATGCTCTTTCCCAGGGTCTGTGGCCTCGCTGTGTTCCCTCCAGGCCTTGACTCAGAACTCACCTTCTCCCGAGGCTTTCCCAGAGCAGCCCTGTGTCCAGCCTGCCCCGTGCTCTTCTCAGGCCCCCTGGCCAGCTTGAGCTGTGGGCTGTCCCCGCTGGCCCAGGGCCTTTGCTCTGCTGCCGACGCGTCCCAGAACCTCACCCAGCACATGGAGGCGCTGGGTGGGTGTGGTGGGCTGGCCAGGTGTGGTCAGCGTCCTTTCCGCAGGTGTCCTCAGCGTGGCGGTGCTTGGTGAAATGGCTTTTGTGTTCTGTGTTGCACTGTTATGAAGCATAGTGAGGAAATTCACACCCTTGCTTCACCCACCTCTTGCCCCAGTCATGTAAGAGGAGCCCCGTTACTAGCTCCTGCCCAGGAGGAAGGGCTGGATGGGGACCAGTTCATGTCCTGCTGTGAGCGCCCCGCACCCTGGAGGAAGGTCAGGTGCTCAGGTCCGCTTACGGAGCAGAGACCCCTCTGCTGTTTCTGAGTCAGGCACCCCTGCCCCAGCATCCCAGAGTCGGGGTCGCGTGGACATGAGCGATGGTCACCTGGCCGTTCTCTCCCCCATAGAGGAGGAGCTCCGGAAGCTGCGAGAAGAAACCAACGCGGAGATGCTGCGGCAGGAGCTGGACCGCGAGCGGCAGCGGCGGATGGAGCTGGAGCAGAAGGTGCAGGAGGTGCTGAAGGCCAGGTACCGCGCCTTCCTCGGGGCCCTGGCCTGTGTGCGGCTGCCCCAACCCCCCACCCCACCCGCCCCGCCGTCCTCTGCTGCACCCATAGCGTCTTGGCAGCATCATTCTTGGCCCTGGAGAGGCCTGAGTGTGAGGGTGGGCCCGGCTCTGACTGCCCAGGTATAGGTCCTGCCTGTGCCTGCATGAGCTGTGGTCTTGGGAATGTGTCATCTTCCTGTGCCTCTGGCGGTCTGGAAAAGGGTGCACAGGTGCTCCTGCCAGCCCCCAGGCCTGGGGCCAGGCCAACTGAAGAGAGGCTTGGCATGGGGCCTGCAGAGCCCCAGAGCCACCTCATGGCTCTGATCCCGGCCTGCTGGTGACCCCATTCTGTACATCCACCCAGTGCCCCACCCCGGGGGCCAGCCCGGCCTCTTAGGATCTTCCCAGGACCTGCCTTCCCAGTGCTGCCTGTGCGTGTTCCCATGCCCCCTGTCTGCCCCAGCCACGCTGTGGCCCCCGCCCCCCTGCCCCCATCCTAGCAGTATCATGTCCTGGGCGCCAGTGCCGCCCTGGCTCCTAGAGAGGCATGTCTGCACCTGACATCTTTGCTCTTGTTTGTGGGTCCCATGTGGGACCCTGAGTGCTCACAGTCTCCTCCCTCACCCTGCCCTGCGCCTCACAGTGCCGCCAGCAGGAAGCAGGTCATTCAGGACCCCAGCGCAAGTTACAAAGCCAGTGCCCTCCTGTCTCGCTAACACCACGAGGCTCCGTGTCCCTCTGCACAAGTTCAAACTGGTGCCTGGTACATGAGGCCAGGGAGCTCAGGCCACTCACCTCTGGCTCCCAGGCCTCCCGCTCAGCCTCCACTCCAGCAACCTCCTGCTTCGGCCTCCCTCTCAGCCTCCACTCCAGCAGCCTCCTGCTTCGGCCTCCCTCTCAGCCTCCACTCCCTCAGCCTCCCCCCTCAGTCTCCACCCTCAGTTTCTGCCCAGCCTCCCCCCAGCATCATCTTCAGCCTCCGTCCTCAGACTCCACTCCCTCAGCCTCCCCACTCAGGTTCCACTCAGCCTCCCTCCAGCCTCCACTTAGCCTCCCTCCAGGTCTCCCACCTCAGCCTCCCACCACCATTGGCCACACCTTTGTCTGTGGCCCCCATGACCTGCATGGATGGCTGTCACCAGTTAGGGAGGCACACGGCATCTCTGGGACACCCCAGCTGAGCACTGCCTGCTATGAGCGCTCCGGGGGCCGTGTGTCATTGTCAGGACTCCAAGTGTCGCTGCTTAGCTGGCCCTGAGGAAGCGGCTCCCTTCAGCACCCTCAGGTTTAGTGTGTGGGAAGACGGGGGATCCGCTGGGCTGACTCCCACTTCTTCCTTGCCCGCCTCCTGCAGGTCAGCATGACCTTGTGGAGTGCCCTGGGGGGCTCATGTGGGGGCTCATGTGGGGGCATCCAGCTGGTGTGGGGGAGGGAGAGGCCTCACTTTCCTATTCCGCCCTGGCAGAACCTCCCAGACCAGAAATGGGTGCATGGGCCTCGGCAGGCGCTTTACCTGATGCTGAACCTTCTGGGAAAATCCACAGAAGCTCAAAGCTTAAATTACATTTAATTATGTAGAGTTGCAACAGAGACCTGACCTGCCACGCTGGGAGATCCCAGGGACAGGTGCGGTCCCCAGGCATTTGGCCACAGTGCCATCCCCGCCACGGGACGCTGCTTCTCCCCCGGTGGCTAAGGTGGCCTGAGGCTGTCCCCGTGGCCCTGCTCCCTGTGTTCTGTTTCCCATCCTCTCACTCCCGCCAGCCCCACTCCAGGATCTGGTCCTCATCTTTTACCAAAGCCCCTTGGTGGCAGGTGTGCCCAGCCCGGGTCAGCTGTAAGAACGCAGGGAGCCCCATCTCGCACAGTCTCTGCCTTGGGAATGGGTGGGGAATGGGCAGTGAAGGAACATCCAGGCTGTGACCCAGGAAGTGGAAGCTGAAGGTCCTGGGAGCATTAAGGGCTCTCCCCTGCTTTACATGGGGGCGGCGCTTAGGAACCTTCTGGAAGCCTGAAGGAGGAGGGGTGAAGGAAGAGCAGTCCCAGGCAGAGTGACCTCCTCTTTCCTTGTCGTCCTGGTGCAGATCTGGGGTGGGTCTGGGTGGCTGTGGTCTGTCCAGGGTGGGTAGGTGTGTGAGGGCACACACAAACATGCAGACACATGTGCGCACACACTGCACACACACATACCACACACTCTGAAGCTGCAGGATTAAAGCACAGCAGTTCTGTTTATGCAAACCTCTATTTTGGTTTTTAAGAAAATTCTCAGAAAGTCACCTTGGTTTAAGGCTACTTGTCAGTAGGCAGAGATTCTCTCCATTGTGGATCCAAAGTCCCCTGAAAACCTCACTGTCTGCTTCCTGCCCGCTGCTTACCTGGCCGTGCCCTGTGTGCCCTGTGCTCCGCCCTCTGTTCTCTTCTCAGGGTTTACTCCTCCCCCAGCTTCCTCCCTCCCCACTCCCGCTTCCCAAGAGTTAGGAAGGTTAGGGGCGACCACACAGCACTTGGCCCGGTTCTGTGCTGCACCTGCTCACAGGCCTTGGCTGGAGGGGCTGGGTGTGGGACGGAAGCAGACCCTAGTGGCCGTCTAGTGCCCCTGCCCAGTCCAGGCAGGTCGCTGGAGTAGGCTGAGCTGGGAGCTGGGTACAGGCTGCTGACAGGTGGCACCCAGCCTGTGGCCTGGCTTGGTGCCTGATAAACACATGTGTGTTGATCAGTATCTTTTCATTAGCAGACGGGTTGGTGATATGAGAGTATTCTGAGTTTAATGATGTTGAAAGAAGCAAGTGTGCTAAAATGAATAGGAAAGGAAAGAGTGGTGAAAGATGCTGGTTGTTTAAAAACAAAACGTGTGCCTGTTAGGAAGGCAGCTCTGTGCTTGCCTGGATACGCTCGGAACCAGCATTTCAGCAGTGGAGACTCTGGAGAGAGCCCTGCTGTCCCTGACCTCTCCTGTGCAGTACACGGTCGCGAGAGCCCTCGGGGGTGCCTGACTGGGCATGGAGTTTGGAACTAACAGACCTCTTGTCTCTTCTCTCCCTGCTTTTTAAGAACCGAGGAGCAGATGGCTCAGCAGCCCCCAAAAGGGCAGGCCCAGGCCAGCAATGGAGCAGGTACACCCTGGTGGGCGGGTGGACAGGCAGGCGGGCGGGTGGGTGGCTGCGCGTCACCTGCTGGTTCTGTAGGCCCAGGTTAACAATGGAGCAGATACCCCCTCCCCCAGCAGGTGGGCAGGCGGCAGGTGCTGGTTCTGTGCCCAGGCACCTGCTGGCATCCGGGAATCTCCTCCCGTCAGAACTGGGTTAGTGTCTCTGATGCGAAGTGGTGAGTCATCATAGTCGTCATCACAAATTTCCAGTCACTCAACTAAAGCGTGATTGTGTGTTCTTTGGGGAATACACACGTACTCTGTTTCAGCCTTGCCCCACGGAACAGTGATGTGAGAGCCACGCTGGTCACTGCCGCTGCCCTGGTGCCTCCCCGAAGGGGACCAAGTGGGCAGTGGGGCTATGGTTGGCTGTGAGTGGGGAGTTGGGGGTTCATGTGCCCTTTTATCTCTCTCCTCGTCCTCCATCCCTGAGTGCCTGTTCTTTATCTTGCCCCACGCCCTGCAGGCAGCCGGCATAGTTCCCTGTACCTGGGGGTCAGCAAACTCCAGCCCCCGCCTGGCTTCACAGATTTAAATGGTTTCATTTCATGACATGAGAACGTAATATAAACCTGAAATTTCAGTCCATAAATAAAGTCCATGGGAACACAGCCGGGCCGGTTCACTTACGGCTGGGACGAGTGTGCCGATCTCACCTGGACCCTCCCCTTAAAAACTCTGCCAGGCTGCCTTGGGGGCGGGAAGAAGCCGCAGGAGCCTGCCCTGGCCCCATCCTCCCTGCCCGGGTGGCCTTGGGGTACACAGACCTCAGCCCCCTTGGCCTGTGGCTCTTGAGCCTCTGCCCTGAGCCTGCAGCCCCCTGGGTATGGTGACCACAGGCCCTCTGGTCCCAGGGCCCAAAACTTTGGCGAGGCAGCACCCGCTGCAGGCGGCTCCTCACTGGCCTTCTGAAGGGAGGGACTGGCTTGCACCCCTGAGCCCCCCTTCCGAGGGATTCTTCCGGTTTCCCGCCGTGGAGGCTGCTTTCCAGAGGTGTTCGCTTTTGGTAAACATTGCTGGTCATCAGCACGACAACACCGTGCGCTCACCCTGGGCTGGCTGCGCTCGCCAGGCACCCCCAGCCCAGGACACAGCCTCCCGCTGCGCCATCCATTGGCTGATGCTCAGGATATGCAGGGCTGGGGCAGTGACCTCTCCATCTGCTTTCTGACAACCCGGAGGTAGAAAGGGGGTTTGATGCAGACGTCTGAGGTGGGCCGAGCAGCCTGGATGGACAGGCTGCCCGCTGACGAGAGCCCAGGGCGGGCAGAGAGCTGGGGACAGGGATGAAAAGCAGAGAGACCCGGCACTGAGGTCGTCATGGCTGGGGCAGCTCTGCTGTGTGCCGGTTGGTTTGCACTTGGTGTCTTCAGAGGACTGAGCCCTTCAAAGTCCCTTGTACAGGGACCCTTCATTTCCCTGACCTACCCCCGAGCATTCCTTGTGCCTCTGCTGGCCGCGCCCTTGCAGTGAGGCCCCTCCCTGCCCTGAGATCCCGGAGCCGACCCCAGAACAGGCAGTGCAGCCCTGCCGTGCCCTCACCGGGTCCCTGCCCCCTGCAGAGCGCCGGAGCCAGGGGCTGTCCTCGCGCCTGCAGAAGTGGTTCTACGAGCGGTTTGGGGAGTACGTGGAGGACTTCCGGTTCCAGCCCGAGGAGAACACTGTGGAGACAGAGGAACCCCTGAGCGCCCGCAGGTAGGGGTTCGCCGAGCTGGGGCTGCCTGTGCGTTAGGGGCCCCGGTCCCTGGGCTGAGGCTGCAGCGGGTGGGCCATCCTTTATCACCGTGGGCCAAAGCTGTCTGTGAGGCTGCCGAGAGCTCCTGGAGGCTCCGCTGTGTCTGGTCTTCTGGGGGCCGTGCCTGGCAGGGGCTTGCGAGGCCCGCTTAGGTGCAGCAGAGCTGCATGCGCGCACTGCTCTCAGCTGTGGCTTGTGACAGTTGTGTGGGGACTCATGGGGCTCAGCCCACTGCCTGGGGCCTTCCTTGGCTCTTGAGTCCCATCAGTAAACCTTGGTTCCCCTGCCAGGTGCTGCCATAGGCCCTGGGGGTCCCGAGGGAGCTAGGTCAGCAAAGGCCCTGCCCTTGAGGACTTCTGTTCTGGGGACACAGGCAGGAGATGAGGGGACGATTTCATTGGCGAGTCGCCCCTGCCTTCCTAACTTGGGGAGTGGCACTGAGGGCCATCCCGGCGCACCCTGCTGTGCTGAGCCGCCGTGCATGGCCATTCTGTGCACTCAAGGGGTCCCAGGCTGTTGAGACGTCCTCCCTGGCCCCTGCAGAGCCAACGGAACCGGGCAGTGGGGACTGCAGAGCCGGCGGGTGCATTAACCCTGGGCTCCCATCTCTCCCCTTCTCTCTTAGGTTAACTGAAAATATGAGACGGCTCAGTGAGTACCAGCGGCTCTGCGTGGCGCCCACGATGCTCAGTGTGGGTGGGGCCCATGGCGGTGGGGACTCTGGGATTCTGAGCTGAACCGACTCTCCAGGGAGACGTGGTTAAGCGGCCTCCTACCCACAGTGCTGACCACTGTGGTCTGCTCTGTCCCCAGAGCGCGGTGCCAAGCCGGTCACTAACTTTGTGAAGAACCTCTCTGCCTTATCCGACTGGTACTCCGTCTACACGTCTGCCATTGCCTTCACCGTGAGTGGGTCCTCCAGGGGCCGAGCAGGGTGGGTGGGATGTGCCTGCCAGCATTCACCACATGATCAGGCACCTTCCCAGGGTGGGAGGTGGCCCCCAGGTGGCACTTCCTCAGGCCCCAGGGACATGCTCATTTCTCCTTCTGTAAAGTGGGCTCACTGATGCCAGTGCCCAGCCATGGGGTGGCTTCAAGGATCAAAGATGTTGGGCGTGGCCCGGGGCTAGCCTGCAGGGCTCCCTGGACAGGGATGTGGTGCAGCCTTGTCCCCCAGGGTGCCCTTGGGAAAGGCCTCTTGGCACTCACCGTGCAGTGCGGTGGCCACGCTGCTGAGGTCCACAGAGTACCTGGTGCTGGGGCCAGGAGTACCTCCAAGGGCATGGCAGCACGAGGGGCCCAGCCCAGCCCCTGTGAGCCATGAGTCCTGAGGGATTGGAGGGTGCCAGGGCCCACATTGCCAGGGCCTTGGGGAAAAGGTGCCCAGCCGTCCTGCCTGGAACTGCCCTGCAGCGGCTGCCCCAGCGGGACAGGAGACTTGCCACCTGTGTCTCAGTACTTGGTCCTCGGGGGGAGCCCCCTCACCCAGGATGGAGACTGTGCCTCCAGCACGAGGAAGATGCAGGCAGCCCACCTGCTTGCTAGGGCCTCCAGGCCAGAGAGGAGGCGTCCACAGCCTGGCACTGTCCAGGGCTCCCAAAGGCAGCACTGCCCTGCTGAGCGGGCCCCTTGGGAGAGGTCCCCAGATGACCTCAGCCTGGGTCAGGCTCTCCAGGAAAGTCCCTGAAGCCTGTGGCCCTGTGCCTGCTGCGGGCACTTACCACTCACCTGGGACATGGGCACTTTGTTCACTCACAGATGAAGGCTGGGTGCTGGGACCACCGGCTTCACCCTGGCCCTGGAAGGCCTCTTCTCCTGCCACCCTCACAAATGCTTTGCGACAGGAGGCCTTTGCTGCCTGGGCTCCCACACGCTCCTGTGCCATGTCTGTTGTCACTAAGAGATGAGCCCAAGCTTTGAACCTGCCTTCCAGGCCTCACCTCCATCCCCTGCCCTGTGCACATCTGCTCTGCGTCCCGGGCTCTGTGCTGGGCACAGATGGTGCCTGGCATGAAGGTGGCCCCGGGCATGCACCTGGCTCGCCCTCAGCAGTGCTTGCCTGCCTCGCCCAGCCAGGCTGAGTCCTGGTGATGCCCCAAGTCTGGTGCGTGGGAGCCACACCGGGGCAGGCAGGACCCGCATGTGGAACCAGCCGCCCTCTTCTGTCCCCAGGACACGCTTCTCCCTAGGTGTCTCCTGGCTTCCACCGGCGGCTCTTAAACCGGGGAAGCAGCCCTTCCTCCGGCTTCCCCATCAGACGCACCCTCATCCCTGAGTGTCTGGAGAGCCAGCGGGTGGCCTGGTCTCCCCACTGGGGCCGCCTGGTGGGGGGAGGCGGGAGGGATGTGCCTTGTCCTGATCCAAGCTGTCAGGAGGTCTGACGCCCTGTCTCTCACCCGCAGGTGTACATGAATGCCGTGTGGCATGGCTGGGCCATCCCATTGTTCTTATTTCTAGCAATTCTGAGGTTATCCCTCAATTACCTCATCGCCAGGTAGGTGAGCCGGTTTGTTGCAGCTGCTTTATCCCACCGCATGTATGGCTGTGCTGTCTCCCTGCGTCTCACAACCGTGACCCCAGCTGGGTATGTCATGCACTGACGTTTTGGGGGTGGTCCCCTGACAGGCTCCAGAGACCCCCCAGGCAGGGCGGCTGCCCCCTCCCTGGTTTGCTAGAGATGGCAGTGGGAAGTTCCCAAATCCCCCAGCAGCTCCTTCCCCGGGCGGCCAGCAGAGCCAGGGCCGTTCCAGCACCTGCCCGAACATCGCAGGGGGCTTCTCCCCAACATCAGTGGGTAGGTGGGTGAAGCAAACAGGGCTCCACGCCCCGGAAGGTTCCTGCTGGCTGCCTGTTGGAGATGAGCCTGCTGGGGAGGAGCTGGACCGGGAATGAGTACCAGTCGCCTGCAGACAGCACGCCCGTGTGACTGACGCGTTAACCCCAACCCTGGCCTGAGTCAGGGCTCTCGTGTCACCCCTTATGCCCCCTCTGAGCACCCCCTCCCTGTGGAGGCTGAGGGGGGCTCTGGGAAGCCCATGCCCTGGGGTGGACCCCTAGTCCCTGCACTCCTGGGTCCTTCTTAGCCTGCGGTTACCCCTGGAGTGAACCTCAGCCTTGCACCGAGGCTCAGGGAAGAGCTGTGATTCTGTACTTTGACTTGGCCGTTCAAAAGTTTGCACTTTTATGCACCAGTGTTTCCAGATGGTTCTCTGTGCCTGCCCCAGTTGGCTCATTTGAAAATGTTTTTTGTAGAAATCACTTAAATACTCTGGAAGGTGTCGTTGGTACCCAGAGCTAGGTCAGGATCAGCTTGGACACTTGCTGATGCCACTTTGGATGTTGAAGGGCCGCCCTCTCCCACACCGCTGGCCACTTTTAAATATGTCCCCTCTGCCCAGAAGGGCCCCAGAGGAGGGGCTGGTGAGGGTGACAGGAGTTGACTGCTCTCACAGCAGGGGGTTCCGGAGGGACCTTTTCTCCCCATTGGGCAGCATAGAAGGACCTAGAAGGGCCCCCTCCAAGCCCAGCTGGGCGTGCAGGGCCAGCGATTCGATGCCTTCCCCTGACTCAGGTGGCGCTGTCCTAAAGGTGTGTGTGTTTTCTGTTCGCCAGGGGGTGGCGGATACAGTGGAGCATCGTGCCCGAAGTGTCTGAGCCCGTGGTAAGTCCCTGGAGGGTGCACGGTCTCCTCCGACTGTCTCCATCACGTCAGGCCTCACAGCCTGTAGGCACCGCTCGGGGAAGCCTCTGGATGAGGCCATGTGGTCATCCCCCTGGAGTCCTGGCCTGGCCTGAAGAGGAGGGGAGGAGGAGGCCAGCCCCTCCCTAGCCCCAAGGCCTGCGAGGCTGCAAGCCCGGCCCCACATTCTAGTCCAGGCTTGGCTGTGCAAGAAGCAGATTGCCTGGCCCTGGCCAGGCTTCCCAGCTAGGATGTGGTATGGCAGGGGTGGGGGACATTGAGGGGCTGCTGTAGCCCCCACAACCTCCCCAGGTAGGGTGGTGAACAGTAGGCTGGACAAGTGGACCTGTTCCCATCTGAGATTCAAGAGCCCACCTCTCGGAGGTTGCAGTGAGCCGAGATCCCTCCACTGCACTCCAGCCTGGGCAACAGAGCAAGACTCTGTCTCAAAAAAACAGAACAACGACAACAAAAAACCCACCTCTGGCCCACTGCCTAACTTTGTAAATAAAGTTTTATTGGCACATAGACACACCCATTCATTTACATACTGCTGCGGCTGCTTTTGCATTACCCTTGAGTAGACGACAGACCACGTGGCCATGGAAGCCAAAAATATTTACTGTCTGGCCCTTTACAGAAGTCTGCTCTAGAGGGAGACCCCGGCCCATGGGGCAGGACCACTGGGCGTGGGCAGAAGGGAGGCCTCGGTGCCTCCACGGGCCTAGTTGGGTATCTCAGTGCCTGTTTCTTGCATGGAGCACCAGGGGTCAGGGCAAGTACCTGGAGGAGGCAGGCTGTTGCCCGCCCAGCACTGGGACCCAGGAGACCTTGAGAGGCTCTTAACGAATGGGAGACAAGCAGGACCAGGGCTCCCATTGGCTGGGCCTCAGTTTCCCTGCCTGTAAGTGAGGGAGGGCAGCTGTGAAGGTGAACTGTGAGGCAGAGCCTCTGCTCAGCCATTGCAGGGGCGGCTCTGCCCCACTCCTGTTGTGCACCCAGAGTGAGGGGCACGGGGTGAGATGTCACCATCAGCCCATAGGGGTGTCCTCCTGGTGCCAGGTCCCCAAGGGATGTCCCATCCCCCCTGGCTGTGTGGGGACAGCAGAGTCCCTGGGGCTGGGAGGGCTCCACACTGTTTTGTCAGTGGTTTTTCTGAACTGTTAAATTTCAGTGGAAAATTCTCTTTCCCCTTTTACTGAAGGAACCTCCAAAGGAAGACCTGACTGTGTCTGAGAAGTTCCAGCTGGTGCTGGACGTCGCCCAGAAAGCCCAGGTACTGCCACGGGCGCCGGCCAGGGGTGTGTCTGCGCCAGCCATGGGCACCAGCCAGGGGTGTGTCTACGCCGGCCAGGGGTAGGTCTCCGCCGGCCTCCGCTGCTGCCTGGGGAGGGCCGTGCCTGACACTGCAGGCCCGGTTTGTCCGCGGTCAGCTGACTTGTAGTCACCCTGCCCTTGGATGGTCGTTACAGCAACTCTGGTGGTTGGGGAAGGGGCCTCCTGATTCAGCCTCTGCGGACGGTGCGCGAGGGTGGAGCTCCCCTCCCTCCCCACCGCCCCTGGCCAGGGTTGAACGCCCCTGGGAAGGACTCAGGCCCGGGTCTGCTGTTGCTGTGAGCGTGGCCACCTCTGCCCTAGACCAGAGCTGGGCCTTCCCCGGCCTAGGAGCAGCCGGGCAGGACCACAGGGCTCCGAGTGACCTCAGGGCTGCCCGACCTGGAGGCCCTCCTGGCGTCGCGGTGTGACTGACAGCCCAGGAGCGGGGGCTGTTGTAATTGCTGTTTCTCCTTCACACAGAACCTTTTCGGGAAGATGGCTGACATCCTGGAGAAGATCAAGAAGTAAGTCCCGCCCCCCACCCCGGCCCTGCGGCGCCCGCCCGGCCTGAGCCTCCCGTCTCCTTCCAGCTTGTTCATGTGGGTCCAGCCGGAGATCACACAGAAGCTGTATGTGGCGCTCTGGGCTGCCTTCCTGGCCTCCTGCTTCTTCCCCTACCGCCTGGTGGGGCTTGCCGTGGGTAAGTAGATGCACCTGCGGCCTGTAGCTTCAGGAGGAGGGACACAGGTGTCCGCATGCCACCAGTGTCTGCCAGGTGTCTGCAAGAGCTGTTAAACTCACCTGGCGATCCTTCCTCTGCTTTTTGTCACAAATGTTTCAATTTGGGAGAAGTGAAGCCCATCCGAGATCGAGGGACACGGTGATTGTTTCTTAAATCAAGAAGCCCTCCACTTCCAAGGCCCCCATGTCTCCTGCAAAGTGGGAGGAGCTGGAAGACCCAAGACCCAGGATAGCAGGACTTGGGGTGTCAGGGAATTGCCCTGGGCAGGACATGCCTCTTGGGGCGCCTGTGGGCTTAGGGGTGACAGTCATGGAGAGCCTGAGAGCCTGGTTTGATGTGCAGGGAGGTTGGTTGTAGCTGATGAGTTTGGTGACATCACGTGAAGCCAAGGGTCTCATCCACTAAAACACTCATCTGCAGAGCTGGCGGCGGGGAAGGAGGGTGGCTGGCGGTGAGGACCGGGCTGTGCCGGGAGGTGGGTGGGGTGTGGTGGCCCCCCCTCACCCCAGGAGGCGCTCATCCACTGCTGCCCAGCATGCTCTCTTCCCTCCTTTCTCTTTTCTTTTTTCTTGCTTCCCTCCTTTATCTTTGTCTTTCTCCTTTTCTTTGTTTTTGTCTCTCTCTCTCTCTTTTTTTTTTTTTGGAGACGGAGTGTCGCTCTGTCGCCCAGGCTGGAGTGCAGTGGCGTGATCTCGGCTCACTGCAACCTCCGCCTCCCGGGTTCAAGTGATTCTCCTGCCTCAGCCTCCCAAGTAGCTGGGACTACAGGCACCCGCCACCACGCCCAGCTAATTTTTTTTGTATTTTTAGTAGAGACGGGGTTTCACCTTATTGGCTAGGCTGGTCTGGAACTCCTGACCTCAGGCGATCTGCCCACCTCGGCCTCCCAAAGTGCTGGGATTACAGGCGGGAGCCACTGCGACTGGTCTCTTCTGTTTTGTTTTGTCTTGTCTTGTTTCTTTTCTTTTCTTTCTCTTTTCCTCAATAACAACGATCCAGTGTCTGACATGGGCCACACACTGGCATGTGGGAGCGAGGCCGCCAGGGTCCTGTCCTTGAGGGGCAGGTGGGACTCGCCTGAGCCCACGCAGGACAGCGTGTGCGGCTGTAGGAGCCACAAAGCCAGGGGTGGGGAGAGCTCCGTGCCGGAGTCGGGAGGTCAGACCCCGGCCCCTCAGCAGTCTAGGCTTGGCGTGCTGCGCAGAGGAGCAGTGGGGGCTGTGTCTGTGTGGAAGAGCAGATGCCCCCTGCCACGTTTCCTGAATGCCTTTACCATAACGCAAGCCCGACCCTAGCCCTGACCCAGCGTAACTGCTGGTGGGAGGACAGGCCTCTCTGGACGCAGCACGGCTGAGCTGTCCAACAGCAGCTCACTGTGGCCATCAGGTGGCATCACCAGGAGTGGGCAGAGCCAGATCTGATCAGACCCTTACCCCGACAATGCCCTGGAGCCCCTCTGGCTAGCACCCAGGACTCTAGGCTCATGAATGGGTAGGTGACCACTGTGACCTCCTGTTGGACCCCTAGGCCTGGGTCCAGGTGCCGAGGCTCCAGAGCTGCAGTGCACTTGCGGCCCTGGACAGCTCCGGGGCAGGCCGCCCTCCACGGGGAGCCTGGGGGTGTGCACCTGGGTCTTGGTGTCCTGCATCTGCCCTGCTGTCCTTTTTTTTCAAGACAGCGTCTCAGTCTGTCTCACCCAGGCTGGAGTGCAGTGGCACGATCTCGGCTCACTGCAACCTCCATCCCCTGAGTTTAAGTGATTGTCCTGCCTCAGCCTCGGGAGTAGCTGGGATTACAGGGGTGCACCACCACACTCAGCTAATTTTTGTATTTTTAATAGAGACGAGGTTTCACCATGTTGGCCAGGCTGGTATTGAACCCCTGACATCATGATCCGCCCGCTCGGCCTCCCAAAGTGCTAGGATTCCAGGCGTGAGCCACTGCGCCCGGCCCCTGCTGTCCTTTTTTGTGACACCCAGTGTGGTTTGGGTTCTCACAACCACCCTGAGATCACCACTGCCACTGGGCAGCGGTGACCCTGCCAGGTGTGGGCCAAGATGGCATTCCTGGCTTATCGGTGCCCATGTATTCTTTTGCAGTGCTGACAAGGGACCTCAGCTTAGAGGGGCAGAGGCTGCCTGCTCCAAGCAAGGATGGCCCCAGCTGGGACTTGGGCTCTCTTGAGCTGAGCTGTCCCTCCTGGGTCGGCCACCACGTGGAGGAGGCCTGGGAGCTCAGTCCAGTCAGCCAAGGGGGTGGTCCTGGCCCTGCCCCTCCTCACACCTAGCATCTTTCAAGAATCAACAAGTTGTCCGGACACGGTGGCTCACGCCTGTAATCCCAGCACTTTGGAAGGCCGAGGCGGGTGAATCACTTGAGGTCAGGAGTTCGAGACCAGCCCAGCCAACATGGTGAAACCCCGTCTCTACCAAAAATACAAAATGTAGCCGCGTGTGGAGCTTGCAGTGAGCTGAGATCGCGCCACTGCACTCCAGCCTGGGCGACAGAGCAAGACTCTGTCTCAAATAAAAAAATTAAAATTAAAATTAAAAAAAATTAGCCAGGCATGGTGGCAGGCGCCTGTAGTCCCAGCTACTCAGGGGGCTGAAGCAGGAGAATGGCGTGAACCCGGGAGGCGGAGCTGGCAGTGAGCCAAGATCATGTTGCTGCACTCCTGCCTGGGCGACAGAGCAAGACTCCGTCTCAAAAATAAAATAAAATAAAATAAAATAAAATAAAATAAAAAATTTAGCCGGGTGTGGTGGTAGGCTCCCAGCTACTCGAGAGGCTGAGGCAGGAGAATCGCTTGAACCCGGGAGGTTGCAGTGAGCTGAGATCAAGCCATTGCACTCCAGCCTGGGCAACAGAGCAAGACTCTGTCTCAAAAAAAAGAATCAACAAGTTGAGAATTGGGGTCAAAAAGTCTGACTTGATTGATGAATTTCTGTGAAAATGTCCTACAAAGGCAAAAAATGAAACAAAGGCACAGCTTTATCAGTCCCTTTATAGCACAGATAGTACATGGAACTCTGACCCTGGGGCCCCTGCAGGGAGGGCCTGCCACGTCTGGTCTGGTCTGGCGGGCTGTGCACTGGGGGCAGCGAGACAGCCCCCAGCACTGGGAGGGGCACCCGGAGAGACCGGAACTCCTGACAGCTTTTGCTGCCCAGGGGGGTGCGTTAGCAGGTGTGTGGGGGCCGGCCCCGCCTCCCATCCCTGCATCTGTTGCCAGGTGGGGTCCTGGGGCGCAGTCAGGCCTGGCTCTTCTGAGGTCGTGTTTAGTAGGGGGACTGACCATGATTGTGTCAGGTGACAGTATCGGGGAGAAAACGGAGCTGGTGGAGGGGAACTTGCGAGGGCGTGGCTGGGAGCCGTCTGAGCAGCTGGTCATGGGCGGCCTCTCAGCAGGGATGGGCTGGGCGTGGGGGGGCACCCAGTTGAAGAAGGGCAGGTGGGAGGGGGTTTGGGGAGGGATTGCCATGGAGGGACCTCAGATTTGGTGTCAGGTGTGGGGAATTGGGGCAGAGGAGGCACAGTCCTGAAGTGTTTCAGGTGGGTCAAGAACAGCCCTGAGCCAGGCGGAGTTGGAGAGAGAAGTGAGGGGCATTGGATGGGGGGGTCCTAGCAGAGCTGAGGGGTCTTAGTGGGAGTGGGTGGGGCGCTGGCAGTGGGGCCCTCGCCTGGGGTTGAGACTGTGCAGCACGAATGGGCCCCAGGGGAGCGAGGCTGGGGGTATCCAGGGTGAGGACTGAGCGAGCAGCTGGACTCTCACATCCAGGCTCAGGGTGGAGGGTGCCAATCTGGGAGGTGGGAGGTGCCGGAACCATCACCCTGAGTAGACTGGCATAGCTGCAGAGCTCTAGATGGAGCAGGCTGTGTCCCCTGCCCTCAGGACTCTATGCTGGTATCAAGTTCTTCCTCATTGATTTCATCTTTAAACGCTGCCCGAGGCTGCGCGCCAAGTACGACACGCCCTATATCATCTGGAGGAGTCTCCCCACCGACCCGCAGCTCAAGGAGCGCTCCAGCGCCGCAGTCTCACGCAGGGTGAGCCCGGCCCCCAGCTGCGGGGATGGGGGGATGGGGGGCCACGAAGCCGGGCATCCCCAGGCCCACAGTGCTCTGTTCACCTCCGGCTCATTTAGAGGCTGTTTCTTCAATTTTATAGACTCCTTAAACTTGAGGGTTTTTTTTTTCCCTGTTACCACTGCGGTTTCTGAGGCTCATCCAGCCCCTCCCAAGCCCAGGGCAACACCTGGGGACTGGCCATGATGACTGAGAGCCAGCAGGCCTGGGAGTGACCACTCCATGGGGGTGCCCGGCCCCTGCCATCCCTGACAGTGAGGCTCTGGCGCTGAGACCAGGCAGTTTGAGAAGGGCCCCCTTGGAGCCACAGCCTGGCACTGGGCCATATTTCATTCACAGTCACAGGCCCTCCAGATGTGCAGCACAGCATCCCAGCCAGGACCACGGGGAATGAGCAGGCCTCGGTGCTCCCTTCGGGGTGGCTCAGATGAGTCAGGAGGGTTGCTGGGCTCTCCCCACTGAGGTGAGGTGGCCCTGCCTGGAAGAAGGAGCCGCTCTGGGCCGGAAGGGACCTCGGGAACGTCTTCCCAAATTTGGATCCCAGCTTTTGGGGAGGTGTGTGTGCGGCCAGCACATCTGGGTGCTGCAGGCGTGGGCAGCGGGCCTGACCTCGACGCTGTTTGCCGTTGGCAGCTGCAGACGACCTCGTCACGGAGCTACGTACCCAGCGCACCGGCCGGCCTGGGTAAAGAGGAGGACGCCGGTCGCTTCCACAGCACCAAGAAGGGCAATTTCCACGAGATCTTCAATCTGACAGAAAACGAGCGTCCGCTGGCGGGTATGTGTGCCGTGAGTCTGAGGCCAGGCCGAGCGCCGACACAGACTGAAGGCCCGTGAGGGGGGCGCTGTGGATGCAGGACGGGGTCGCCCTGTGACAGGCCAGAGGAGCCCTCAGGATGGCATTCACATCCCACTGCCCCAGGAGGAGTGCAGGAGCCAGGGGTCATGAGGACTCTGCGGGCTACAGGGGAGGAGGGCGTGCCCGTGGGGAGAGCCGCCCACGCTGCAGCACTCCCCTGACAGCAGGCGTGCAGGCAACACACTGGGGAGAGAGTCCAGGGCGAGGCCTCAGGGCCTGCAGGGCGCTGGCAGGGGGTCTGCCCCTGGTTCCATCGTGTCTGGAGAAACAAGAGCCACCAGGGGACAGGTGACTCAGGATCCTGGGGACAGGTCAGCTTTCCCAAAGGGAGGGCCTGTTAAACTAAACCGGGCAGCTCGAGGTGTGTGATGAGCGGCTGCAGAGGCAGCTGCGGAGAACGGAGCTTCGTCCTCTGCTGAGCCCTGGCCCTGCCGGTCTTGGTGGAGGTGGTGTCCCAGCGCCCTGACCCTGCCGGTCTTGGAGGTGGTGTCCCGGCCACACTGTGACTTCTGTTGCTCCCTGCTCTGCCTGGGTGCTTTTACTTTAAAAACCCTGCCAGTGCCTGTTGAAGAGGAAACATCTGTTTTCCACCCTCTGGGGCCACCTCACTCTTGCCGGCGCGCCTTCCTCTCACTGTGGGTGTGACGTGAGCGCGGTGGGCGGATGTCAGGATCTGAGAGTCAGGCTCCTGGGTCCCAGCGTCAGGTCAGAGGCTGGGTACTTCCAGTGGAAAGTGTGACAGGCGGGCCTTCTCCCATTAGTGTGCGAGAATGGCTGGCGCTGCTGCCTCATCAACAGGGACCGGAAGATGCCCACGGACTACATCAGGAACGGGGTGCTCTACGTCACGGAGAAGTGAGTGCAGCCGTGGGGCCCTGTGTGGCTGCAGGGGAGGGGGCGCAGGAGGCTGCCTAGGCCCTGGGATGGCGTGGCTGGCCCAGTGCAGGTTTTCCTGAGTGGTGGCCATGGCCTCTCCCATGCTCTGCTCTTGCCGGCTGTCTGGGCTCCCAGGGAAAAGGTGTTGTCTCCAAGCCGGACGTGGCCTGGGCTGTACTGCTGCCATCCCTCAGGCTGGCGGGGATGCTGTCTTCTCTGGGGCCCAAGCAGTTCATGGAGACGAGGGGCAGAGTCTCCCAAGGAGGGGACCGTGTGGGGACCTGCTATTGCTGAGGCCCTGAGTCCTTGTTGCCCTGAGTGCCTCATGCAGAGCAGTGGCCGTGAGTGTCTCACTCAGAGCAGTGGCTGTGAATGTCTTATGCAGAGCAGTGGCCGTGAGTGTCTCACTCAGAGCAGTGGCCGTGAGTGTCTCAGAGCAGTGGCCGTGTCTCACTCAGAGCAGTGGCCGTGAGTGTCTCAGAGCAGTGGCTGTGAGTGTTTCACACAGAGCAGTGGCCGTGAGTGTCTCATATAGAGCAGTGGCCGTGAGTGTTTCACCGGTTCTGTGTCTGCTGGGAAGGGAGCACCACTGTCCATCCCACTGGGGGCTGAGAGGCAGCCCCGGGAGACCCCCACCTGGTGGGAGCGTGCTCTGGTTCAAGAGCCAGGCGACGCCTCTGTCCGTTCCCCTTCCAGTTACTTGTGCTTCGAAAGCTCCAAATCTGGGTCCTCAAAGAGGAACAAAGTCATCAAGCTAGTGGACATCACGGACATCCAGAAGGTTGGTGCACCTACCCACCCCCACTAACCCCCGTGTTTTCTTCGTCACCTGACAGAGGCTGGCGAGGCTTTCCCTATAGACTTCTGCCAGCCTCTGTCAGCATCTGGGCGCCGCGGCCACGCTGGCCGGCCATGGTCCGTTTCCTTGACTTGAGTCCCCATGTCCCTGTGGGTCTGCCCCTGCCCTGGGGTCCACTTGCCTGGACCGTGTGTCTCAAAGTGGAGGGGCTGGGTTGGAGCCCAGGAGGTCAGGACCCAAGCCCCACTCTGGCTGCTGTGTTCCCCTCGTATCTGGGACCCTCCCCATAAAGAAAAGCACAGGGGCCCTGAGCCCCTGCCTCGGATGCAGGTTTTCAGGTGGGAGCTCAGATGGTCGCGCCCGCTCTGGGCATTTTCTCAGCATTTTACCGTAGCATGGAATGAGCAGGTGGGCGTGGCCACAAGTGCCTGTGGTCCCTTGTTTTCTGGGGCAGGGAAGGCTCAGTGAGGCACTGGCAGGCACACTTGGCCCGAGTGGTCAGGGCCCCCAGCTCCCTCCCAGCTCCGAGCGTCCTGGGCATGTCCGCATTGGCACGGCGGGCACTCCCGGCCCCACGGCAGTTGTGGGTCATCTCTCCCACCCGGCTCTGGAAAAAAGCGTGCAGTCAGGTGACCAGAAGGGGTGAGTTCAGGGCTGGGGTCCTTTCCGCCTGCCTCTTGGGATTGGCGGTGCTGACAGATGGCCCTCCTGGTGCCAGGCCCTGAGAGCGAGTTCTGGGGCTGAGTGCCTACCGTCAGCCTCCTCAGGCCGGCTTGTCTCTGACCTTCCTCAGGCCAGCTGGCCGACGGTCTGGGCTGGGGTGGGACAGACCCTTTACAGGTCTGGTGTCTCGGCCACAAAGTGAGGAGGTGTCCACAGGCCCTTACCTTCTGTTGTTTGGAAGTCCCAGGTGCCCGTGGGCCCTGCTGCCTGTGTGCCCAGTGGAGGAGGATGCCCTGGGCCTGTGGAGGGCTGTGCCTCCCTGTCCCCAGGAGAGACCTGTGGTGACGGCCACGCTTTGCCTTTCAGTACAAGGTCCTGTCTGTCCTCCCAGGCTCAGGCATGGGGATTGCCGTGTCGACGCCATCCACCCAGAAAGTAGGTGCCGGGCGGGGGGCCGCCAAGGGGTTGGTGTGGGCCCAGGGGCCTGACTCTGAGCAACCCTGGGACCAGCGTGGGGCAGACAGCCAGAGTTTTAGTTTGGGCAGCAGGGTCACAAAGCCGCCCCCTCCCTCGCAGCAGCTAGAGCCTGGGGCTGCGTCCAGGTTGGGTTGGAAATCTTGCTGGGGCCATCGAGTCACCGGACAGACAGGGATGTTGGGCACAGGGGTCCCCTGACTCAGTGACTTGGGAGGAGGGAGGCACGGGGCTAAAGCCTGGCTCCCCTCTGCCTCTTGGCTCTGTTCCCCTGAAGGCTGGAGCCTGGCTCCGGGTGGTGGGGAGACACCTGTCTTTTGCACCCAGACCCACGTGACTAGCGTGCTGGCCTGGGGCTGGTGTTGGACTTCGTCTCGGTCCTGGTCCTGGCGCCAGCCTGGCTGTGCCATGCTCACTGGTGGCATTTCTTCCCTGCCAGCCGCTCGTGTTTGGTGCCATGGTGCACAGGGATGAGGCCTTCGAGACCATTCTCAGCCAGTACATCAAGATCACCTCAGCGGCAGCGTCTGGCGGGGACAGCTAGTATTGACTTGCCCAGGACGTTGCTGGAATTTTCTTTTTCTTTTTCTTTTTCTTTTTTTTTTTTTACGATTTGGTAGTGGAAACAATTGGACATCCTCATGAGCTTTTGCAATAATTCTCCTGGACCTGTGGTTCTATTGTGTTGACCTCTGCGTTTTATCGACCAAGAAGGGGCCAGGGCTCACAGGGACGGGGGTGCCCCTCTCCCACAGGGCACGTCAGGTGCCTCTGAGGGCCACCCGCAGACTGGGGGAGGGGGCAGAGGCCCTCGGGGGCCCGTGGAGAAGACACACAGGACCCCTGGCCCTGCCCTTCTCCGTTCCAGCCTGGACAGAGAAACCTCTCCAGCCACCCCAAGAGGTTCTCGCAACCTTGTGTCCCGCTCTCCAGAGGCCAGAAGCTCGTCCACCACCAAAGCCATAGCTGAAGAGTGCGGGGCCCTTCCTCCTGGGGACAGAAAGATGTCGTCAAGGAGGGACATGGGGGCCTTTCACCAACCACCGAGAAACGGGCCTGGCGGCCCTCCTTCCTCTTACATGAGACCCTCCTGTGGCATTTGCCCTTGGTGCCGGGCTGGGGCCGGGCGCAGTGACCCTGCCTGCGCTCCACACTCGCTCCACGGGAACAGAGAGGGTGAGAAGGGCCCACCCCTCGCCTGCCCTCAGTGTCTTTGGTGGCACCTTCCTTGCTGGCCTCCAGGGCGCTCAGCACCGCGTCTGTAAGGGCCTGCCTGCTGCTCTCGGCCTGACACGCCGGCCAGGAGGTCTGTAGCTGGGGACCAGTAAGGGCACAGGATGGTGCAGGTAAAAGCACATCTTTCTCACACTTTGCTCTTTGGAAGGCCCAGGAGAACATCCGCGAAGGCTGTTGGAGGTGCTCCGAGCACTGTGGCATGTCTGGCACATGGCCCCCAGGCTGCGGTTGCCTGGGTTGGTTGGGGGAGGAAGTGGGGAGGAGTGTTCCGGGACCATGGTGGCCCAGGCTGCAGCCGCCTTTGGGCCATCCGAGAGGCTCTGGCAGCCCCTGTGCTTTAGGGAGCAACCGTGAGCCGAGCCCAGAGGCCTGGGCCTGCACTGCCTGCAGCCGACATGCGACAGCGTTCCCTCCCCCGCGTGCCTAGCCGGTGCCGGTCCGGGCACAGACCCCCCCAGCCCCCGCCCTGCCCCAGGGAAGCCTGGGCTTCCCGGGAACAAGGTGGCATTTGTGGAGGGAGCGCCCGCAGGCCTGGTCTGCTGGGGCCGCCTGCGCTGGGCTGAAGGGAGGGAAAGGCGGCTTGGGCCTCCTGGAAGGAGGTGGCCACCCCGCGGGCCTGCGTGTCTGCTGGGGCGGATCCCGCAGCTCCCTCAGCTTGTCCTGAGTCCCTTGGGTGTCGTTGAGATTGTTGTTTTTTGAAGAAACAGAAGATTCTATTTTTTACAGCGAGCAAGCTGGTTTTCTTATTTTTGTATCCTTTTTCAGATGTAATTTTTATCTTTGCTCCGATCCTCATTTGCTGGTGTGGGTGAGGGATCCGGCGGCATGGGCTGGTTTCACCCCCTTCACGAGGGGCCGCAGAGTCACACGCTGGTGCCGGGGGTGCTTTGGGGGGAGCTGCGCCGATCACCAGATTAAGCACATGTCCTATCCCAGGCGGTGGAGCGGAGCCCCCGTGGCTCTGGACTGCGCGGACGTTGGCGTCAGGATGACCACACGGCGGCCTTTCCCGAATGGGGACAGAACCCGCTCTGAGCCGTGGGTCTGGCTCCTGTAGGGGACTGGCTCTCTTGGTGCACCAGGGGAGGGGGACATATCCCAGTGAACCCCACCTTGGCGCCTGAGGCAACACAGGGTGGGCACTGACCCACCCCCAGGGGCGGCTGCAGAGGCAGTGCCCGCAGACAATGGCCACACCTCTCTCCCCAGGGCCCGGCAGTGCCCAAGGATGGGTCCGGGGCCTCGGGGCCAATGAGCGCCTCTTCCTAGGTGCTGGGATTCAGTCCCCAAACACAGCGGGAGGGGTCCCTGGGGCAGATGGGGCTTTACCAGCGTCGGGTGGTTTAGTTCGAGTCCCTTTTGTGGAGAAAGGGAGATGAAAACTGACCACGTGCCAGGTGTGGCCGAAGCCCCCAGGGAGGGCCACATTCGGGGAGCGGGGGGTCGGGGGAGGGCCACCGACTGGCTCTGCTGCCAGCACAGGCCCCTCCCTGGAAGTCCTCGGGAGCGGAGCGCGGATCGGCACGGGCTCTGGGCTCCCCGTGGAGAGAAGCTGTAGTTTTTACCAAATTGTGTACATCTGGGCAGATGTTTAATTTCTGTGACTAATCACTGAACTAGACGAATGTTAAATTTTTTATGTCTGAAGCCTGAGTCTATTTTGGATCTGTAAATAATCATTGCCAGTGTGACTTTTGTTCAACAAAAGGATTGTACTGTATTAAGAACCGATGAAAAAAATTCTCCTGTAACATTTTTTTAAGAAAACTTTGTTTGTTTAAAGAAAAAGTATTGTATAAATTATAATTTTTATTTAAATAAACCTAAAATGCTTTGTGCTAAGGCTCAGGGCTGTCTGCCTCCTTGGCAGGGCCACACGCATTGTAGGCGGCCTGAGCCAGCTGGGCCACCAACCCCAGGCCCTCAGTGCCGCTGCCAGCCCGCCACTCCCTGGGGCCCCACGGCTGCCGGCGGCGGGGCGTTTGGGTACTGATGCGGCCTGAGTGACGGCTGTGGGGTGAGGTGGGGCTGAGAAGCAGAGTCCTGTTGGACGTGGGCATTGGAGGCTGGGAGCAGGGGGCAGGGCCTGAGTTCCAGAAGACAGGAGGCCAGGTGGCGAGGGACGCGGCCTGCAGGGAGGGTACCCAGGGCTGGCACAGGGCGAAGTGGGGGAGGTTGAGGCAGAGGCAGTGCCTTGGGGTCAGGGGGCATGCAGGCTTTGGCCCCTCTCCACTTTGGTGTCCTGGCTGCCTGGGGGTTCTGGACACAGGGGTTTCCAGCAACACTTGGGGCTTGGTCCATCTGGATGCTGAGACTAGACACAGAAGGGTGCAAGGACCTGCCTGGCTTTTGAAACCCCTGGAGTTGGGCATGAGCCTGTGCCAGGTGCACCTGGTGCTGCCTAGCCTCCTGTGCCTCAAGCCCACAGGAGCCCCCTTGGAGGCAGAGACCTCCCCAGGTTACACAGCAAGGGAGCTGGAGCCAGGCGGAAACTAGGTCTAGTGGGCCACGCCACCCTAAGGGGCACAGCTTCGGAAAGTAGGACATATGCGTACTCCATCGACATAGCCAGCCACTGATCCATCCATTCATCCACATCTGTCCGTCCGTCCGTCCGTCCGTCCATCCATCCATCCATCCATCCATCCATCCACCCACCCATTCATCCATCCACCCACCCATTCATCCCTCCATCCATTCATCCATCCACCTACCCACTCATCCATCAATCCATCCACCCACCTATTCATCCACCCATCCATCCATCCATCCACCCACCCACCCATCCATCCACCCACCCATCCATCCATCCACCCACCCATCCATCCATCCATCCACCCACCCACCTATCCATTCACCTACCCATCCATCCATCCATCCATCCATCCATCCATCCATCCATCCATCTTTCCACCCACCCACCCACCCACCTATCCATCTACCTACCCATCCATCCATCCATCCATCCATCCACCCATCCACCCATTTACCCACCCACCCACCCACCCAGCCAGCCAAGTCCTTGGTGCTGGGACACAGCAGTGATGGGCTAGGAACCTGCCAAACACACCCTCACATCCTTCCCAGGAACACATCCATGCTGTGATAGCCACCGACCCCTTCCACCCACCCCTCTGTCCTCTGCAACAGGTCCTCCCCCAGCTTGCTCCTAACTTGGAACAAGGCTCAGACCTACCTAACCCGTTGGCAGCCCACACTGACCCCTCCACACAGACAGGGGGCAGTGTGGGCCCATGGCAGGTGTCACTGGAGCCGGGCCATGGAGGAGGCGGAGGGGCCTCCCAGGGGCTTCTGAGTGCTCAAAAAGGCCAACCTTGTGGGAGACCACCCACCCTCGGCCCACAGGCTCTATGCCTAAACCAACAACTTGCCTGTTTTGCGTATATTTCACCATTTAGTGTCAATAAAGGTGCCTACATATACCTCTATCACCATTTACGGGTGATTGTGATAACTATTTCAGTGCAGCTGGTTTCCTTGGCAATCGTGCATGTTTTAATGCATGCATTTTACCTTACTCAGCGGCATCTCTCGGCTGTACCTGGCTACCAGAGGGGCTGTGCAACAAGGAAAGGTCACAAACCTGTGGGGCAGGCCTGGTGCCCTCTAGGACTTTTGTTCTGGGAGTGATGGGGCACTGCAGAGCTTCCAGCAGAAGCTGGCACTCTGGCTGCAAATCAGAAGAGGGGTCACCCAGGGTGGGGGTGCGTCAGGGAGAGTCCAGAGGGGAATGAAATTGTTAATGATTTTATTCTTGAACCAGGGGTTCTCTTCATAGGTACTTGCTATATGTTTTTAAATATTTACTGGATGAATGTAACGGATGAATGAGTAAATAAATCAGAGAGGGCCTCACATGGACCAAAGTGAGTGACGCTGGGAACCCAGGGTTGTGGTCCATTCTGCTCGTCCTGCAGAACTCCAGGAGGCAGCATTCTATGGGCTTATGAGCTCCAGCAGTGTTTGGAGGACAGGGTTGGCCAGAGACTACAGGAGCCACAGACTAAGGGCACAGCCAAGGAAGGACCCCAAGACCCCGTCCTGTGTTGGTGTGAGCTGGGAAAGCCGCCCAGGGAAAGGGCTGTGCAGCCACCCAGTGCTGCTGAAATCAGAAATCTGCCCTCAAAACCCCTGGAACCAGGAAGCCCAGCTCTGCCCTCCTCCTGGGGCCCTCGGGTCCACGTCAGCTGGAAGGGAGACACCTGGGATCACAGAGGGGCAGCTGGGGTGGGGCTGGAGCCAAGAGGCAGTGATGGGCAGCTGACCACTCCCTCAGACAGGAGCTGGCCCATGCCCCTGCCATCCTCTCTGCTCAACTCTCTACCACATGTCACAGCTGGCATCGCAAGCTAGGGGAAATAGCTGGACCATGCACGATTGTAAAGAAGACATTCAGCTGTTACTATCTGTAAATGATATGATGACAGAAAACCCCGAAATTCACAGGTAAATCATCATCATAGGAGTGTGGAAGCTGCTGGTACAAAATGAGTCAGGGGAGGCCGTGAAGAAGCTCTCGAAGACCTGCCTGTAGCAGAACTCACCCCAGAACCCTCGGGACTGCGACGAGGGCGCCCGCCCAGTGACGGCCACTCCTGCGGTGAACAGTACTGCCTCCTGCCAGGAGCTGCTGTGACCTGTGAACTTCGTTCTAGAGCAGCTTACATGGACTTCTTTGCCTTTTAAAGTGTTGCCTTTATCGCGAACACCCCCCAAAATGCCTTCCAGTGTAGCACGCATATCCTGACTGCAATCCCCTTGCTGTTCCTGAATAAACTCTTTCTTAGGAGAACACTCTGATGTCACTTTAGGTTGACGGGAGGCAAGGTTTCTGGATATAACCCAACACATAAAAAACAATTGTGGCGGGCAGATCACGAGGCCAGGAGTTTGAGACCAGCCTGGACAACATGGGGAAACCCCATCTCTACTAAAGATACAAAAAACTAGCTGGGCATGGTGGCATGCACCTATAATGCTAGCTACTTGGGAGGCTGAGGCAGGAGAATCACTTGAACCCCGGAGGCAGAGGTTGCAGTGAGCCGAGATCACACCATTGTACTCCAGCCTGGGCAACAGGGCGAGACTCCGTCTCATAACAAACAAAAAATTGCATTTCTATGCAAAACAAAACAAATTTTAAGATAGCCTCAAAGGCCAAGTGTGGTGGCTCACGCCTGTAATCCCAGCGCTTTGGGAGGCCAAGATGGGAGGTTCACTTGAGGCCAGGAGTTTGAGACCAGGCTGGGCAACATGGTGAGACCCTATCTTTACAAAACATTAAAAAGCCTCAAAATAAGAACTTTTGGCTGGGCACAGTAGCTTACTCCTGTAATCCCAGCAGTTTGGAAGGCTGAGGCAGGAGGATTGCTTGAGCCCGGGAGTTCGAGACCAGCCTGGGTAACAGAGTGAGACCCCTGTCTCTACAAAAAATTTTAACAAAATAGCCAGGCATGGTGTTGCACGCCTGTAGTCCCAGTTACTCAGGAGGCTGAGGTGGGATTGCTTCAGTCTGAGAGATTGAAGTTACAGTGAGCCGTGATCACGCCACTGTACCCCAGCCTGAGCAACTGAATAAGACCTTGTTTAAAACAAGGTTAAAAACAAACAAAAGTCAAGTTTTAGGAATAAATCTAAAAATTTAAAGACTTTCATGGAAAAAATTATAAAATAATTAAAAGACATGAATGAGGATCTTTCATGGACCAGAAAAGTCAGTTTCACAATGCAAATGTCCTTTCGAAGTTCCTCAAATACAAATGCAAATGCCCTCTCAAACATGTGGAGTGGGCCGGGCGCAGTGGCTCACGCCTGTAATCCCAGCACTTTGGGAGGTCGAGGCTGGTGGATCACGAGGCCAGGAGCTCGAGACCATCCTGGCTAACACAGTGAAACCCCGTCTCTACTAAATATACAAAAAATTAGCTGGGCGTGGTGGCGGGCACCTGTAGTACCAGCTACTCCGGAGGCTGAGGCAGGAGAATGGCGTGAACCCAGGAGGCGAGCTTGCAGTGAGCCAAGATTGTAGTGAGCCGAGATTGCGCCACTGCACTCCAGCCTGGGTGACAGAGCGAAACTCCGTCTCAAAATAAATAAATAAATAAAAATAGACATGTGGAGTGAAAGAAGCAAGTTACAGAAAACAACACGTTTCCTTTGGATAAGGAGCAAAACCTGCAAAACTAAACTCGCTGTTGCAGATACAGCCATGGACAGAGGCAGGAAGGGATGCGCTTGGCGTGACCTCGTAGCGCCCTCCCAGGGGGAGCGGGGGGACTCCAGAGCAGGGCACAGAAGGCTTCGGGGCGGCGTTCAGTTGCCTGGCATAGGTGGTGGTGACACCTTGCTTCATTTTATTCTTGTTCTTTAAATTGTGTGTGTTTTCATGAAAAATATTCTGCTTTGAAAATAACAGGTATGTGTAAAGGAAAGAAAGCAAGCCAAGTCTGCCCAAGTAACTTTATTCGTGTCTTCTCAAACATTTCAGATCAAATAATGCCATTTTCTAATCTTGAAACCAGCAAGATTAGAAAGAGAATGAGGCCATCCTTTCACTCAGACTTTCCCAGTTACTCAAGATTGTATTCAGGAACGAAGTCAAACTCGGCCTCACTTCTTAATTAGAATAAACTAGAATCAGGTCCATTGCATAACTGCTAATTGTTTTGCACCAGGGAGCCACAAAGGAAGCTAAAACTAGCCTTTCTAAGTTATCCTAAGTTTTTACTATCTAACCAGCACTTCTGATTTTTTTTCCCTTAAAACTCTAAAGTACAGGTGTTGTATGTCTGCCGCATCTGAAAGGCTGCCCCGGAAATCAGAGCCTATCTAGCGGGAATGTCTGGGCAGTCACCCCCATCCTGCGCGCAGATAGCAAAGGGCTGCTGGCAGGTGTCAGACACACGGTACCGCAACAGCAGTCCCGAGGTCTGAGATTCTGAATGTCAGCAGGTGGCTGGAGAGTATCACCAGAGCCACTCAGGAACCAGCCATGCGGAATGGCTGGGTTTCTTATTGAACATGAAATGCTTCCTCTTTGGCCTGGACTGTTTTGCTAAAATTGTTAGTGGGTTTTGGGGCAGGCCAGTGTATGGGAAACTTTTTTTTTTGTTGGGGGGGGCGATGGAGTCTCCCTCTGTTTGCCCAGGCTGGAGTGCAGTGGCGCAATCTTGGCTCACCGCAACCTCCACCTCTTTCTTGGGTTCAAGCGATTCTCCTGCCTCAGCATCCCTAGTAGCTGAGATTACAGGCGTGCGCCAACAAGACTGGCTAAGTTGTGTATTTTTAGTAGAGACGAGGTTTCACCATGTTGGGCAGGCTGATCTCAAACTCCTGACCTTAGGTGATCCACCCGCCTCGGCCTCCCAAAGTGCTGGGATTACAGGCGTGAGCCACCGCGCCCAGCCGGGAAACATTTACCAGGGACAATAAAGGCTTAGAAGAACCTTTTGGGGAAACTTTGTGAGGAGCACAATTCCAGAGGGCCCACAGCAGCCACAGCCTCCTGGCGTGACACCAGGCACACTGCCGGCTGCACAGGTTGCTGGGCACAGGCAGGCACAGCCAGTCTGGAAGAGCAGCCCGTCTTAAATCTTTGGTTTCTTTCCAACCAGGAGCAAACATTGGTAGAAAGAGCCAGGGCATATTTACTCTTTACACCCAGAATTTTCATTCATTATTGAACCATTTGGCTTGCACAGTGCTCTCTGATAATGTGGTCCATAAAAACCACCATTAAAGCTGCCCTTTCACCTGATCTGGGTGGGGCTAAACGAGGAAACGAGAAGTTTCCTGTATGCTTCAAAATATAAATCAATGCCAGGAAATTCTGAAAATGGATGCTGCCTGTTAAACATGAAATCACTAAGGGAGCTTCTGCAAAACCCACCCGGCAGCATGAGGAACGGTGTCTACAGCGTGCTCCAAACGGCCACGGCCCCGCTCCTTACAGATCAAAGTTTAAGCCGCATATTCTCATATTTCAAACAAAACTACGTTACAGACATCATCTACGTGGGCACGGATACACACTAAACAAGGACGTAGTACACAATTGAGGGGTGCCCCGGGGAGCGCGGCAGGAATGCCTTCCGGGAAGAATCCTCTGGTCGCCGGAGCCCTCGCGCTGCAGAGGAAACCAGCGATCCATCGTGGCTTCGAGGCAAAAGACAGACATCCGAGACGCAGTTTACACTACTCTGGCTTAAAAGGACAAGATGTTCAATAAATATAGAGAACTCAGTGTGAAGAAAAGACAAGGACAAATCTGGACCACGTGTACAGACTTCAGGCCCTGCCTCAGAGGAGTCCTGCGGGAGTCCAGGACCGGCCCCTCCTCCACGGATGGCCAGCTTCCTCCTGACTGCCCCCAAGCCCGGCTGTGTTAAGCACTTCGCGTCGATATAAAGCATTGGTATTTGACATTTTAACAGTAACAAACTTGCCAGTGCTTTACACACTGCCAGCTTCCAGAGCTTATCATCCGTGCTCCCAGAACAGACGCCAAGGTCATGCTCCCAGCCGGATTGTCGTAGCCTCGCCGCCGTGATGAGGCAGGTGTGGAGGCCCCAGCAGCCTTCCCGGCGCTGGCGTGGAGGCCCCTCCCGCGGATCACCTGAAGCAGGGCCACGTTGCATTGCAGTTGCACAGTATTGTAAGGATCAAGCAGCGATGTCCTAACCGTAAACGAAGAGGAAGGTGAAATGAAGGCAAAGAGAATCAACCACTTCCCAAAACTTGGCCACAAACCGTTACAGAATAAGTCCTGCAAAGTGGATCAAAGTGACCCACTGCTACCTCAGGCCCAGATGGTGTGACCTGCGTGGAAATCATATAATGTCCCTAACATTATTGCAATAGAGCCACTAACGGGCCATTTTCTAAACTACACTGTTGACATCGTTAAAACCTAAGAGGCCAGTGCCCCCAAGTGAGCAGCTGCATCCGCTGAGAGTAAGCGGCGTGGGCTGCAACCCGCAGATGCGTACAGAACTGAAAATGCCAAATATGTACACAAAATTGTTGACAAAAGGGTTTTCTTCTAAAATCAAGATTTAACTATCAAAAATAAATTTCTACATTTAAATGTATATATCAACATAATTGGTCTGTAATAATTATCTTAAATAGTTTTCACACTTTCCCAGTTTGTGAGCAGGACGCCGGCTTCTCAGCTGTGTGAGTCTGGCTTCGGATTCTCTTCAATTCCTCGTGCAAAGAGTCGAACCAGCTGGCAGTGGACTCTGCAGAGACAAGCGGCCACGTGTAAACCCCACGTGTCCCTCACTCAAAGCTGGCCTGAGCCCCACTCCTGGACAGGGGCTGCAGTAAACCCCACGTGTCCCTCACTCAAAGCTGGCCCTGAGCACCGCTCTTGGACAGGGGCTGAAGTGGGGGTCCATCCCCCATGGAACGGTCAGACGTCACCGTGGGCTGTAGGAGTCCAGCCCACAATGACGGGCCCTGGGCGTGGAATAATTCACTTAGACTCCCGGGATGCCGAGTTTGTAAAGGGGTTGCCAATGGCCAGGTGGGAAATCTGGGCATCGGTAGACCTGACTCGAACTCCAGCACCCCCATGGAAAGCAGAGCGTCCGCTCCAGTGTCTGCCCACTCCACCCACCCACCCACCTCCATTTTCTCAGCAGTACTGAGCGCGCAAGGCCTGCGAGGAGTCTGTGCGGGGCGACTCAATGCGTGTAAGAGATGTGTGAGGAATGCTCAGATGAGAAGGACAGGTGGCCCAACGCCAGCAAGAGCCTTCGGGCTTGAGGAACAAGTTGGGGGTCCCTGGAGGTCCCCTGCCCAGGGGCTCGGTGGCCACAGTGAGTCCGTGGGTGAGTGCCATCTTCCCACACAGGACAGCTCTATTTATCTCATTTATTAATGATATCACAGCCTCCTCAGACGTATTTCAGTAACCTAAACCCCTTCATTAAGTGACAGGCTGGGGCAGGGCACAGTGACTCACGCCTATAATCCCAGCACTTTGGGAGGTCCAGGCGGGCGGATCACCTGAGGTCAGGAGTTTGAGACCAGCCTGGCCAACATGGTGAAACCCCGTCTCTACTAAAAATATAAAAATTAGCCAGGTGTGGTGGCGGGCGCCTGCTACTTGGGAGGCTGAGGCAGGAGAATTGCTTGAACCTGGGAGGCAGAGGTTGCAGTGAGCCGAGACCTCGCCATTGCACTCCAGCCTGGGCAACAAGAGCAAAACTCTGTCTCAAAAAATAAAAAAATAGAAATAAATAAGTGACAGGCTGTTTCCATGGAGCTGAGCTCACACACACACAAATTATATTTTTAAAAGCGACGTGCTGCTCAAGGCATAGCCATATTTATCAAGATAGACAGGACGTATTTCAAGAATGCCTGTCCTGATTTTCAAATTATTCTATTTCTTTAATAAATACATACACCAATATTAAAAATAATCCCACTTCCCAAACTTGTCAAATGAGTTGACAGAGGAAAGTCCCTGTGCACGGCTGCCTGGGGTGGCCGGTGTTCCTGGGACCTTTCGACAGCCTCTTGCCATCACCACCGCCCTGACAGAAAGAAAGGGGGCGCGTGGCCCTGGGCCTGGGGAGGGGCAGAGACCTCCTCCCTTAGGCTTGTTCGGATGCGAATGGGAGAAGCTTTCTTAGAGCCGCAGCTGGCTGGCTGAGGAGTCACTGAAAGTGGGGCGCTGTCCACAGAGATGCGTGCATCCTCTTACATGCTGTGACTTAAGGCACCCAAGGGCCATCTGACACCCAGCTTTCGTTGCAGACAGGCGTGGGCCTGCTGACCAGCCTGCTATCGCTCTCACGCCAGCCACACTCTGTTAACGAGCGTCAAGCTGGGCTTCCTTGAAGTAGACCGAGCTCTTACCAACATCTGCCAAGAGTTCAGAATCCACCTGAGCTCTACCGTTCCCCAGTCTCATGTAATTTGCACGCCCACACCTAATTCAGTGGCCTTTTGAAAAAATCAACTTGCTTGTTACTGGGTCTTTCCATGGAGAAACAATTTTCTTTGCACTCAGATTCCATCTGGTTATGTGATACATCACAGACTTCCAAATACAATGGGCCCCAGTGGGTGTGGGGAGGACACCACTTCCCACCCTCCGCCCAGCCAGCCAGAGGAGGGGTGTGGCACCTGCCCCAGGGAGACCGAACATCCGTGTGTGGCCACACCTGCCTCCCCGCGTCCCCTAGGCTGCGTGGCCTCCAGCACGGGGCGTCCCTCTGGGGCTCCTCCTCTCCTTCCCATCCTCGGGGTGCCCTTCCCAGCCCTGCTGCCTCCTGCCCCTCCCTGCACGGAGCACCTGCACTTGGTGATTGACTGTGGCCCTTGAGGCCAGCGGTTCCCTGGTGGATTCAGTGGACAAAGGACTGCCTGTAAAGGCGGTTTCCTTTGTTTGCCTTTTGAAATTTTTTTGAGATGGAGTCTCGCTCTGTCACCAAGGCTGGAGTGCAGTGGCATGGTCTCGGCTCACTGCAACTTCTGCCTCCTGGGTTCAAGCGACTCTCCTGCCTCAGCCTCCGGGGTAGCTGGGATTACAGGCATGCACCATCACACCCGACTAATTTTTTTTGTATTTTTAGTAGAGACGGGGTTTCACCATGTTGGCGAGGCTGGTCTTGAACTCCTGATCTCAAGTGATCTGCCCGCCTCAGCCTCCCACCTTTTGAATTATTTAGGAGAAGAGAGAGAGAATGCCAGGGCAAAGAGCCCAATGCCAGCCTGGAGCACAGGGTGTGGAAGAGGAAAAGAATGAAATGGAGGAGCTTCAAACACCCATGAAAATTATCTGCAAAACAAAATGCTGAGGACTCGGCACCCTGGCATCTTTCCAGAATGTGGGTAACGGCATCTCATTCGATATTTGACATAGGGAGAGAAAAGTGCATTTATAAAACATTCTTACGTTTTGTGTTTATAAAGCCCCAGGGAACCCCCCACCCTGGGTGGGGCAGCTTGTGACAGACACCTCAGGGCTCAAGGGGATGGCGCTGGTGGCTGGAGGACCCCTGCACGCACCTGACCTCGATGGCAGGGCTGTGCAGGACCTCCCCGTCGCAGTTCCAGGAGCTGTTGGAGACGGTGCAGCAGCAGGAGGGGTGGCTGCTGCAAATGTGCCCAAAGCGCTTCTTCCCCCCCTCCTTGAGGTCGCTGTCCTCATCCTCCATGTGCTTCGACGTAAACTGGAATTTCTTGACGCGATAAACTTCAACAAAAGTGAAGTCAAACTACCAAGAAACAGTGAGAGGGACCATTCAGCTCTAAACGTCATCGTCTGGGTGGGGCAGCAGAACACCCCAGGCCTGACAGCGAGCGCTGTCAGGCCTGGGTGCACACACGGCCCTTCTCGGAGGATGCGACTGCTTGTGCAGGCCCCTGGAGTTCCCTTTCCAGCTGAACTGACAGCTCAGAGATGAAGGGAAACCTGGCACCCACCTTTCCCGGCGCCCACCTTCCCCGGCGCCTACCTTCCCCGGTGCCCACCTTCCGCGGCACTTGTCAAAATGACTTCTAATGCTTTTAGAAACCACAGCTTATCTACAATGACGAACGCTTTTTACAGAATTCTGATAAATAATTAGCAGTGATTATTAGAATTTTGTATTCTCTTTTTAACAAGCACTACTTAAAAAGCCACATAAAAATAGCATTAGACTAGATCTTAAATAGAACTTAAGTAAAAAAAGAAATGTGACTAAATTTGGAGACTGTGACCAAAAGTTCCGCTTCCCCCAACATGACTAGACTCGGGTCTTCCTCTGCATAGGCTACAGAAAGATGTGGTAGAAGGGTCCGAACAGAACCCATTTCTGGGAGCCTAAAGAGTCTATTTTCAGTGGCCTGCAAGGGCCACTTACATCTTTACTGTGTCGCTTTGTTCTGTTTTTAAATAGGAAGAGAAACAACGGGTAAGAAGTTGTATTATAAAGATTCATACCTCTTAGTTTCTGTGCTCAAATACATGTGTGTGTATATGTATGTATGTATGTGTGTGTATATGTATGTATGTGTGTATATGTATGTATGTGTATGTATATACACATATATGTATATATACACATACACACACATGTATACATACATACACACACACACACACACACACACACACATATATTTGAGATGGAGTCTCACTCTGTCACCCAGGCTGGAGTGCAGTTGCGTGATCTCAGCTCACTGTAGCCTCCACCTCCTGGGTTCAAGCGATTCTCATGCTTCAGCCTCCCGAGTAGCTGGGATTACAGGCGCACGCCACCACGCCTGGCTTTTTTGTATTTTTAGTAGAGATGAGGTTTCACCATGTTGCCCAGGCTGGTCTCAAACTCCTGACCTCGGGTGATCCGCCTGCCTCAGCCTCCCAAAGTGCTGGGATTACAGGCATGAGCCACCGCATCTGGCCTCAAAAATTTATCGTTTTAAATGATATTTTACAAGGAGTAGTTGTAACCAGGAGTTTAAAGTTTGTGAAATTAAAAAAAAAAAAGTTTGCCCTTCCTTCCCTTGAATTAAATAATGAATTCCTACAACACATAAACCAGGGACTGCTGGAACATAAATTACTCGCCAGTGGAGGCTCCATGCAAGAGCACCCCACTTACCTGGTCCTGCTGGTTGGTGTGCCTGATGAGAAATCTCAGAAAATTGAACCTGGAGCATTTCCGGATGAGGATGAGGTCAGAAGACCCGTCTCCCAAGTGGGCAGCCGGGGAGAGGCCCCTGGGGCTCCGGCGACAAGCACAGGACATGTTTGTGGCATTGATGGCCAGAAACTTCCCACAGACGACTTGCCACTCCTCCACGTCCTCTGAAGCACAAAGAACCACGGAGATGTCACAGTTACAATGGCGCCGGGCAGCGCCCTGCACCAGGACGGTGGGAGGCCATTCGGGCTCTCACCTGCTCATGCATTTAGCAGACACTTCATGCAATCGACTCTTCAGCTCAACACCAAAAACATCCACCACGGAACTGTCCGCTCCCCGCAGGAAGTGGTACCCAAAGGATCACCTCCCAGAAGGCAGGACTGTTGTCCCTCTCCTCACTTGGTGACTTTTGGACAATTTAGAACAAGGGTCAGCAAACCAAGGCTGTGTGTCAGATCCGGCCCGCCGCCCGTCTGTGTGTGGCCTGAGAGCTAAGAATGCTTTTCACGTTTTTAAATCCTTGAAAAAGGTCTGGCGCGGTGGCTCACGCCTGTAATCCCAGCACTTTGGGAGGCCGAGGCGGGCAGATCACCTGAGGTCAGGAGTTCGAGACCAGCCTGGCCAACATGGTGAAAACCATCTCTACTAAAAATACAAAAATTAGCCAGGCGTGGCGGTGCATGCCTGTAATCCCAGCTGCTGGGGAAGCTGAGGCAGGAGAACTGCTTGAACCCGGAAGGCAGAGGTTGCAGTGAGCTGAGATTGCGCCATTGCACTCCAGACTGGGCAACAAGAGTAAAACTCTGTCTTAAAAAAAAAAAAAAAAAAAAAAAAAATTAGCCAGGTATGGCGGCAGGCGCCTGTAATCCCAGCTACTCAGGAGGCTAAGGAAGGAGAATCGCTTGAACCCAGAAGGTGGAGGTTGCAGTGAGCCGAGATCGCGCCACTGCAATCCAGCCTGGGTGATGGAACAAGACTCTGTCCCAATAAATAAATAAATATTATTGACTGGGCATGGTGGCTCAGACCTGTGGTCCCAGCACTTTAGGAGGCTGAGGCAGTCAGATCACCTGAGGTCAGGAGTTTGAGACCAGCCTGGCCAACATGGTGAAACCCCATCTTTACTAAAAATACAAAGATTAGCTGGGCATGGTGGCACATGCCTGTAGTCCCAGCTACTAGGGAGGCTGAGGGAGGAGAATCGCTTGAACTCGGGAGGCGGAGGTTGCAGTGAGCTGATATTGTGCCCCTGCACTCTAGCCTGGGCGACAAGAGTGAAACTCCATCCAAAAAAAAAAAAAAAAAAAAGAAGAGAAAGAGAAAAAAATCAAAATAATAATATTTTGTGACATGTGGAAATTCTATGAAACTTAAATTTCAGTGTCCATAAATAAAGTTTCATCGGCAGATGGCCATACCCACTCACTGTACACTGCCTAGGCTGCCTCTGCTGGACAGAGACTGTGTGGTTGCCAGGGCCTGAGGTGGTCACCAAGCAAGCCCTCAATGGGACATCTGCTGCCCCCACATTCTAGAGCACCTGGGACAGGAGTCCAGACTCAGCACCACAACAGCGTTTCAGAAAGGGTAACGGGGCCTTTCACAAAACCCACTGCTCCACACAGCCACACACGGCAAGTAACAGTGACCTGACGCTGCCTGGGGCTAAGAAGAAATGGATGCCTGGTGCCAGACAGGAAAAAGGAAAAGCACAGGTGGGCAGGGAGAAGAGGCAGTGCCCTGAGAGAGGACAGAAACCCGCACTCCAGCACACACAGTGACAACACTGAGCCTGTGTTTTAGGAATTACCCGCAGCTTCCAAACCATACAGTGCTTTCTTCTGCTCCTCCTCCAGCTGCTGCTTGCTTTGCCTGCAAACAAAGCATCTGAAAGACAAGAATATCATCACCTTTTAAATATGGAGCTGCAGGTGCAGTGCGTATGCTTGGCACATATAGATGTATTTACATTCTTTTCACATACGAAAAAATTCCATTTCAAAGGCTTAACAAAATATTTTTTGGCATATTAATTAGAGGTTTCAGAATGAGACCTACTTTTACAATGACACATTCAACATGTCCTTCTCTAAAAGGTTTGGACATGAGGAGAAGCACAGCATGAGGACGCTGAGGTGCCACCTGGAGACGGTTTCTGCCTGGCCCTCCAGCTAACATAGCCTGGCTGGGAGAAATGACTGAGGCACTGGTTCCCCCAGCGGACTCCTGGGGTGAGGACTCATTTACTTTCAGAAAACAAATCATACAGGGTTTATCTGTTACAGTCAATAACAAGCAAATAACTCAGAACCATCAGCTTAGAACTTAGTCATTCGTCTAGCACGTCCTTCTGATCTTGGGGGCTGCCGGATTCACGCTGTCAAACAGGACACTGTTTGCACTGATGGAAATCGCTCATCAGCAGCCGAGTTCTTTAATGCACTGACGCAAACAGCATCTGCCTCTACATATTCTGATTTTATGGTCTCCAATTCTTCACTTAAAAAAGGAAAGGAGCTAGAAGGAGGTTCTGAAGTCTGCATGACTTAAAAGGAAAGGACGTGAGTGTCCTTCACAAAGGCGCAGCTGTCTCCACAGCCCCGTGTCCTCAGCCCCAGGCAGAGCAGAGACAGGATGACCATTCAGGCGCCCTCCATGGTCACTAGGGAGGTCATGCGGCCTGGGACAACTATGTTTAGATTTATTTAAGGTTCTATTTACACTGGTCGCATATTACTGAATACACTGTGTGGGGGTGGGGGCGGAGATATGCCAGGTGAAAGGAGTCCCTGCTTGTTCAGTGGCGTAGCCACCATTGCAGAGCCTGCAGTGGCCAAACTGGGGGACCAAATGTAAGGGGAGAGCGCAGCGTTTCCAGCTGTGTTGTCTGCACTCAGCCTCCCCTCCCCGGTGGGGCGCCTCTTTCCCTTTGCATCCCCTCTCCCTGGGCAGCTGCCCTGGCTCTGCCCCCCAACCCCTGGCACCAGCCCTTGTTGCCAGCCCGAGCCTTCTTGCTGAGGGTCCCTGCCTTCCTGTGGGGTTGAAGGCGTGGCTGGCCTGGGCTCTGCTAACCTTAGAGTGGGCTCCTGCCTTGGAGCATGGGGCTAACATGGGTGAGGGTCTCAGCCAGGGGTGTGGACAGGAGGGTGGCTGCTGAGAGTGCACACTTCAGCCAGCTCTACCAACGGTCCTGCCACCAGTGCCCTGCACACGCACAGTCACTGATAAGGTGTCTGCCATCCTTTCCTGCCTGCATTTCTCCTCCATCAGGCCCCTGCAGGGGGTAAAGGGAACCCCAGCAGGGAAAGACCCTGTGCTCAGCCCCCACTCCAACAGTGGGTGTGGGACCCTCCCCCAGAGTCCTCATCCCTGGCACAGCAGCAGCTGCCTGCGCAGGCCATGGGGACAGAGATGGGGACAGCAAGCCCCATGCACGCCTAGGCCATCATGGGCATCATAGGCATCGTGTGTCTGGGCACGCTACATCCGGCACCTTCCACCACATTTGGAAAATACTTCTGCATTCACCTTCCTAACCGTCCTGCTTCATTTCCCGTCATTTGCAAGAGAAACACACAAAGCAATGCACTTACCCTGCCCGGCAGGGCTTCCTATCCCTTGGAGATCCCACCGTGTGTTGTGCAGGGAGGAAGGACACTGTCCCTTCATAGCAGTGGTGGGAGAGGAAGGTCTTTAAACCTGGGAACAGAGTGCAGTGAAGAAAAAACATCCACAAGGGTCATTGCTTGGTTAGGATGCTGTGCTGGGCAGCTTCAGAAATGTCGCTGAGCGCGCATCTGCCTAAACCGTCTGCAGGAGGGAGAGGCCGGGCCTGCTTCAGGCCATGTCACCATTGAAGGCAGTGGCAGGGTCTCTGCCCTCCCTCAGGACAACAGCACGTCTAGTCATAGTGCTGGTGCCTTCTGACACCCAGTGATGCTGGGACAGCCAGGGCTATGGCCACTCTTGACGCTGGCAAAGTGGGGCCTTTGCCATTAGCCACCCCTCATAGCCTCGATGATGTGGCCTGTGGGCTCCAGTGGCTCAGGGTCATCCCCTCCACCTCTTCATGAGGGTCAGTGATGCCCCCACCTGCCTCAGGGCTTGGCCCCCACTGGGGTCAGCCACAGCCCCTGTGACGTCCTGAACAGCTCAGGACAGAGGCCAGGGCCGCTGCCACCCAAAGTCTGGGGCCACCCTCCAGGCAAACGTGTGCGCTGTCCACGGGGCTGCCAGCAGCCTGGCACCCGGGCTGTCTGGGAAACACCACCCAGCAGGACAGCAGGGACTGGGCAGGAGGCAGGAGAGGGGCCCCAGGGTGTCGTGGGCCACACCAGGAGCCAGGCCGTGTCCTGTGAGTCTCAGGGCGACTTCACTCCTCCGTGTCTGATGCTGGGGCTGGTGCTGCCCTGTATGACATCTGGTGTGGCAGTGACGGCCTGCAGGGCCGTCACACACAACCTTACCCCCGACACACAGAGGCCTCACATCCTCATCCGCAGATGGCAAGCCCACAGCCAAGTGTGCACCGCCCAGGGGTGGGGGAAGCTGCCGGCAAGAGCAGTCTGGCTCCTAGGACATCTGTGTGCCTGAAAGTCAGCTCCCGACTGTCCCTAGGACAGCCCCGTCTGTGGGTCTTGCACCTGGCATGGGCCAGGTGCCTGGAATGCACTCAGCGGGCGGGCCCTTCCAGGTGGCTGCAGCTCCGCCTCCCTGCAGAGTGGCTCTGGCCTCTCTCCCTGCTCCTCCCATGGGGGTCCCACAAGGACGTCGTGTCCACGGCCCTGGGAGGAGGCCGACCCACTGGTCAGCAACCTTCCAAGCCGGCTCCTCTCTCAAGTGCAGGGGGCAGGGGGGCAGCTGCCTCATCACCCAGACGCAGCCTCCAGGGTGGCGCCTCACCGACATCTGATGTCCCGGTTTCTGTCTGCCCCTAGATGGGCCCCAGATGTCCTACCGGCACCTAAAACTCCACGTGTCTCAACAGAGTGTGTCATTTCCACACGCTCATTCTCCTTCCATGCCCTCTGTGCTGCTCCAGAACAACCGGGTGCTTTCTGCCTCACAGCCACAGAACCCAAACCCGCTTTCCTGAGAGCATCTCAGGCCCTGTGGCCAGGATGGGGATCCAGAGACCCGGAAGGCGTCTCCTGCCTCGGGGCTCTCATCCTGGTGGGAGGGACAGAGCTGCAGCCACTGCCTGTGGTGATGGGCTGAGGGCAAAGGGGGGGGCCAGGCATGCAGGGGGGCTGCCCACCACCCCACCCCAGCAGGCAGGGACAGGGAGGGGGCATCCCAGGGGCATTCTAGGCAGAGCCACACTGGGCTCAACAAAGGGCAGTCGGGAGAATGGCACAACCCAAACCGCTTCCTAAAATTCTCGCGGCTTCTCTAATTTTCTCGGTATTCCCTTTCTTAATAAGCCTTAGATAAATACCTCACTTTGCCATTTCTTAGGTTTTAATTTTCAAGCCACACTAGTTTTTAATTTCATTAAATCTTTTCAAGCTTCGTAAAGTTTGCCAAATCACTATTTCTTTCTCTCATAAGGGTTAAGATTTTAGTATCAGGAATTACTCGATTTAATTTGATACAGATTTATCTGAAAGCGAACTGTAAAGAGGCGGGAAAGTCGACCGGGCAGCGAGAATGGCACACCTCATGGTCTACATATTTTCTTCTTTCTTTCTTTTCTTTTTTTTTTGAGACAGGGTCTGGCTGTCGCTCCAGCTGCAGTGCAGTGGCCTGATCTCTGCTCACTGCAGCCTCCACCTTCTGTGCTCAAGGGCTCCTCCTGCCTCAGCATCCCGAGTAACTGGGGTGCCCGGCTAATTTTGTTTTTAATTTCTGTGGAGATGGGGTCTCCCTATGTCGCCCAGGCTGAAATTCTACTTTTCTTTTTTTTTGAGACAGAGGTCTCGCTCTGTTGCCCAGGCTGAAGTGCAGTGGCACGATCTCAGCTCACTGCAGCCTCTGCCTCCCGGGTTCAAGCAATTCTCCTGCCTCAGCCCCCCGAGGAGCTGTGACTATAGGTGTGCACCACCATGCCTGACTTATTTTGTATTTTTAGTAGAGACAGGGTTTCACCATGTTGGCGAGGCTGGTCTTGAACTCCTGACCTCAGGTGATCCACCTGCCTTGACCTCCCAAAGTGCTGGGATTACAGGCGTGAGCCACTGCCCCTGGCCAATTCTATGTATTTTTAAAGTTCTCCTTTTCCAGCGTTTAAAAGCTGGTGACGTCGCACCCACTGCCTGATGTGTGCAGACTGCAACTCTTGTGTCTGAACTGGCACCAGCCTTCATTTCTGGTTCATTCTAAACTCTGTGGTCGGGTAACAGGTCACCGCCGCCTGGCCCGAGGCCCCAGCAGCAGCCCCGGGAGCCTGGAGGACCTGCATGTTCCGAAGCCCACCCAGACCTGCCGTGTTGGATGCTCTGGGGGGTCCCCGCAGCCTGGGTTCTACCAAGCCCTCCAGAGGATGCAGGTGCCCACCACAGTCTGAGGACCACTGGGCTCAAGAAAGAGTGAGGCAGGATGCGGGCAACCTCTTTGTGCCTGTTTTCTCCGCTATAAAGTGGGGCAGGAGCACCTGCTGGGGTGAGAAGAGCACTGTGGAGAATGAAAGCTTTTGGGCTTCAGGGAGTGCGGCGTGGCATTCGCTCCCACTCCTCCTCCTCTGTGCCCACTGCGGCCGAGCCGCAGGAAGGCAGGATCTTGCCTGTTTTGTTCATGGACACGTCCCTGCCTCAAAAACCAGGCCCGGCATAGAGCAGGGGCTCAACAAATACGTGCTGAGTGTATCTCACTTGTATGGCTAGCTACGGTGTAACCCCAACAAAACCACGCAACCTTGTTGAATGAAGTAAAGGATACCTGTGCCTGAAGTTACAGAAGAGCTTCCACACAGATATCCCAGGCTGAATTTCTGCACAAAGTTCTTGCCACTTTGACTAATAAGCTCAGAGTGATTATAAAACTATTGTTTTACAGGCCAGGCATGGTTGCTCATGGTTGTAATCCCAGCACTTTGGGAGGCCGAGGTGGGCAGATTGCTTGAGCTCAGGAGTTTGAGACCAGCCTGGGCAACAGGGCAAAACCCTTTGTCTACAAAAATATACAAAAAAAAAAAAAATTAGCTGGTCACGGTGGCATGTGCCTGTAGTCCCAGCTACTCGGGAGGCTGAGGTGGGAGAATCACTTGAGCCTGGGAGGTCAAGGCTGCAGTGAACCGTGATCGTGCTACTGCACTCCAGCCTGAGTGACGGAGGAAGACTGTGTCTCAAAAAAATTTTTAAAAAATATATTTTAAAAACTATTTTTTTTCCAATTAATACTTCCACTTGAACAGTTTGGGGTGGCCTCTGTCACCTGCCTACCAGATGTGAGAGGCTGGTGGCCTGGCGTCTTGGGGTTCCAGCACCTGGGGTTCTGGAGTGAACTGCGTCCGTCATGGTGTCTACTCTGTGGCTTATGCTTGGGTCCAGGGGGCAGGATCTGGTTTAGAGCAATCCAGGTTCCAGTCCAGACCCTGCCACGTTCTGGCCCCGGCACATTTCATGAGGCCCTTAGCTTCCCGTCTGTGAGCAGGTGGGGGCCCACCTCTGACGGTGCTCAGTGGATTCAGTCAGGTAACATCTGTGAAGGCAGTCGGGGCACGACCAGCGGGGAGCGAGTCTGCATTATTCTGAGTTACCTGAAAAGTCGTATCTGGCAAGACCCAACCACCGTTTCTTCTCACTGTCCTTGATGATGTCCCCGTAGAAGCCGTAGCCCAGCAGGGACACGGAGTAGCGAAGGAGTGTGCTGTTGTGGTGGACTGAGGACACATCCATGGCCAGCGAGTCCCCTGTGGGAGAGAACGGCCGTGAGGGAAGGCAGCCCCCCTCCAGCCCCGCCCCATCCACTCCATCCCCTTCAATAGCACTTTGCAAACGTGGGAGTTACTTTTAAAAAGTGTGAAACAAACAGAACGCATTCAGTGCAAGGATTCTCTCTCTTGGGGTGTTGGATGCCATATTTTTTATTCAAATGACTGAACTCCACTCAAATTTCTAAAACAGGCTCGGGGAGCTATCCTGTGGGGACTGAACAAGAGTGTATCCGTGAGGCTCATGAAATATCTTTAACTGAAAGGACGGTGGTTTTAGAATGAAGAAAAAGTACATGGCATTTTAAAATACAAAATCAAGCCGAGTGCAGTGGTTCACGCCTGTAATCCCAGCACGTGGGGAGGCCGAGGCGGGCAGATCACCTGAGGTCAGGAATTTGAGACCAGGCTGGCCAGAATGGTGAAACCTTGTCTCTACTAAACATATAAAAATTAGCCAGGCATGGTGGCGTGTGCCTGAAATCCCAGCTAGTGGCGAGGCTCAGGCAGGAGAATCGCTTGAACCCGGGAGGCGGAGGTTGCAGTGAGCCGAGATCATACCACTGTACTCCAGCCTGGGCCACACACAGAGTGAGACTCTGTTTCAAAAAAAATAAAATAGGCCAGGTGCGGTGGCCCGCGCCTGTAAGTAACCCCAGCACTTTGGGAGGCTGAGGTGGGTGGATCACCTGAGGTCAGGAGTTCGAGACCAGCCTGGTCAACATGGTGAAACCCCGTCTCTACTAAAAATACAAAATGAGCTGGGCGTGGTGGCAGGTGCCTGTAATCCCAGCTACTTGGGAGGCTGAGGCAGGAGAATCGCTTGAACCCGGGAGGCGGAGGTTGCAGTGAGCCAAGATCGCGCCACTGTACTCTAGCCTGGGCAACAAGAGCGAAACTCTGTCTCAAAATAAAATAAAGTAAAATAGAATAAAATAAAATGCAAAATCAGAAGTAGGCCGGGCACAGTGGCTCACGCCTATAATCCCAGCACTTTGGGAGGGCAAGGTGAGAGGATCACTTGAGCCCAGGAGTTTGAGACACAGGGAGAACCTGTCTCTACAAAAAACACAAAAATTAGCCAGGTGTAGTGGTGCACTTCTGCAATCTCAGCTACTTAGAAGACTGAGGTGGGAGGATCGCTTGAGTTCTGGAGGTCGAGGCTACAGTGAGTCAAGATCATGCCACTGCACTCCAGCCTGGGTGACAGAGTGGGACCCTGTCTCAAAGAAAAAAATATCCTGACCAGGTGCTGTGGCTTACGCCTGTAATCCCAACACTTTGGAAGGCCGAGGCGGGTGGATCACCTGAGGTCAGGAGTTCGAGACCAGCCTGACCAATACGGTGAAACCCCATCCCTACTAAAAGTACAAAATGAACTGGACGTGGTGGCGCGAGCCTGTAATCCCAGCTACTCTAGAGGCTGACGCAGGAGAATCGCTTGAACTTGGGAGGTGGAAGTTGCGGTGAGCCAAGATAGCGCCACTGCACTCCAGCCTGGGGACAACTGGGAAACTCCATCTCAAAAAAAAAAAAAAATCCTAAGTGGCTATTTTAAAATATACAGTTTCTGTGACTTCAGGTGAGGCACGGTAACCCTGTCTACTGGGGTGAGGAACAGGCGAAGGCACAAAAGATCTGTCCTGCCAGAGCCCACCGTGCTGAGTGCCATGGGCAGCCCCTTCTGCTCTTCCTGACCGGGGCTCTGCATCCTGGACTGAAGCCTCGAGGCCTCACAGAGGCATGCGTTCCACAGCTGGCAGCCCAGGCACAGCTGCCCGTGCCCACTGCCACAGGCAGTATGGCGGGACGCGGGTGGTTTCCGAGCCTCGGGGCAGCAGCCTCTGGAGGAGGAACTGAGCAAGAGTCAGGTGAGCTGAGTACGGGCATCGCGCATGTGGTGGATTCCGTGGGAAAGAACTCGGCCCACACTGGGCGTGCCCCCAGGAAGCCCGTCCTGACAACGTGGCCTCGGAGCTGCGTGCTGAGTGGGATCACAGCGCAGCGAGCAGAGCAGGGGACACAGCGTGACCCACGGCCAGGACAGGACGGCAACGGCTGGAACACGCGACGGGGACCAGAGTGGGACAGGCCTGGGGGCGCAGGAGGCCCGGCTGCCACCGTGCGCATGCGCAGAGGAGGGGCTCACCAACAACGATATGCAGCGCCGAGGTTTCTGCGTCGCTGGTGCCCACGGTGGAGTAACACACGCAGTCCGTTGACCCTGTAAAGGGAAAAAGAAGGTCCCAAATAGCATCAGAATAACAGAATTGTAATCGCCTCCCAATTCAGTGAGTGGTACCTCATTCCTTTCCTTCCATGGCCCTAGAGTCAACACTAAGGAATAAATAGAATTTACCTACAAAATGAATATAGAAAATACTAGCGTTGATTCCTCAAGAATATTGAGATTGGGCCGGGCGGTGGCTCACGCCTGTCATCCCAGCACTTTGAGAGGCCGAGGTGGGCGGATGACTTGAGGTCAGGAGTTCGAGACCAGCCTGGCCAACATGGTGAAACTCCGACTCTACTAAAAATACAAAAATTAGCCAGGCGTGGTGGCATGCACCTATAATACCAGCTCCTCAGGAGGCTAAAGCAGGAGAATCGCTTGATCCCGGGAGGCAAAGGCTGCAGTGAGTCGAGATCGCGCCACTATCCAGCCTGGGCAACAGAGTGAGACTTCGTCTCAAAAAAAAAAAAAAAAAGGAGCCAAAAAGTTAAAAAAATATATATATGTGTGTGTGTGTGTGTGTGTGTGTGTGTGTGTGTGTGTGTGTGAACATTTACAATTATAGGCATAACAAAATTTTTTTTTTTTTTTCCGAGACGGAGTCTTGCTCTGTCGCCCAGGCTGGAGTGCGGTGGCGTGATCTTGGCTCACTGCAACCTCTGTCTCCCAGGTTCAGGCAATTCTGCCTCAGCCTCCCGAGGAGCTGGGATTACAGGCACGCGCCACCACGCCCTGGCTTACTTTTGTATTCTTAGTAGAGGCAGGGTTTCACCATGATGGCCAGGCTGGTCTCTAACTGTTGACCTCGTGATCCGCCCGCCTTGGCCTCCCAAAGTGCTGGGATTAGGCGTGAGCCACCACACCTGGCCCTCGTAAACTTCTGAAACAGCTGGATGCGGCAAAGGTCACACACAGCCATTACTTGAGATCTTAATACCAGGACAGCCAGGACAGGCAGCTCAGGTCCCTGCTTCAGCCCGATGTTCCCCGTGAACGGGGCCGGCTGCGGCTTATGCATCTTTTTATCCTGCGCTTCACTGGCTCAGATGAAAGGGAAGCTGCAGCTGCCCCGGCTGATCGCACGGCCTTCCCTCTGAGGACCATGCTCAAAAGAATGATTTGCATCCACAATGACCACCCATACCTGTGGGAGTAGCTGTGCTGGTTCTCAACATTCCCCACACAACTGAATACGGGAGTTCCTCATCCACCCGGCCAGCACTGCCGCCACCCGAGTAACGACCAACCACATGCTCCCGTTCACGCGAGAAGGACGGGGCTCCAGGGGGGTTGCTCCCAGGACATGCGCATCATCTCCTTGAGCCTCTCTGTGCCTAAGTCATTAGCAGGCAATGCTGGCTGAAGTTACAAGCAGCAGATGCAGTTACAGGCTAACACCCGATGAAGGACCGAATGAATGACGATCTCTTCTTCCTATCAATTTGCTAATGCATCTATACTAATACATATGTGGAAGAGACTTGGAAGGTAAAACATGCTACATCAGGTCTCAAAGCAGCCGGAGCCATGCCTTTCAGATGCTCCAGTGACATCTGTCCCGGAGGCAGCCATCCACGGGAGGCAGCTCAACACCCTCCAGATCTCAGGACCCCAACCCCCACCTGCCCCTCCTGCCTCTCCTGCCCCCAGCCAGCAAGACAAGCAGTGACCTCTGCACCTTCTAGCGGCTGGAACCCTGGAGCATGAGTGAGTTCAGGTACCTGCTGCCACCACCGGCCGTGCGCATCCAGGCGGCCTCCCACAGGGTCTGTGGCTGTCAGGTCTCACTCACAACTCTTGTGCCCCCAGGCTGCTCCCCAGGTTGCCATGGTGACCGTTACAGGGCCACCCTTGGGTGTCTCCCTCACCCTTACTCCTCCACTCAAGGCGATGCTGCGGAGCAGAGACTCCACACAGCCCCCCACCAGCTACACCCCGGAGTCTCAGACCCCATGCAGCGCCCTTACCGTCCAAGCCACCAGCGTTCTCACCGGGGCCCACATGCTCTTAGGACCAAACGCAGAGAGCGATATCGGAGCAGAGTCAGACGTCACCCCCTGCCGAACCACCGCCTCCAAGACCTCCTGCTGCATGGCAGAGTGGAACTCGGCATCTCCCTCGGGCCCTGCCCTGCCCCTCCACCCCCACCCCCAGCCACACTGGCTTCCTTGTCCCGAACACCCCCAGCTCCTCCCACCTGCTGCCCTCTGCACCAGCTGACTCCCGGCCTAGGCCCCTCACCTGTCACCTCTCAGAAAGGCCTCCTGGACACCCATGGAAAGGGGCCACAAAGAGACCCTCTCCCCAGACCCTCCCCCAGTGGCATTTGCTACAATGCGCACCCACCCTGGGAAAGGCTTTTATGCCCACATTTGGTGGGGTGCCTGCTGTCCTCTCCTGGGGCAGAGGCCACAGCCAAGGCCTAGAGGAGGGCAGGGCACACAGCGGTACCCCCACCCTGACCACGGGGCAGGGCACACAGTGGCACCTCCACCCTGACCATGGTGAAGTGCAGCCTGCATCCCCACGAGCACTCCTGAGCCGCAGGTCTCAGCTCCTGAGGTCGTTGTGGATTTTAAGAGCTGAGGATTTTAGGGCTTAGCACTGCCACTGGCAAATGGTGACAAAAGACAGGTTTCTTGCAAACAAGGTAAGAACCATACAGCATAGATGAGAATGCAGAAAAACAGAATTCATGGAATCCAGAACGCACCACATACAAAGTTAAAAGACCAAAACCTAATTTGGAAAAGAGTTGCAAGACACAAAAACCAATGAAGGGCAAATAACGTATAAACAATGTTATGGTCAATTAGAAAGTGACAGGCCGGGCATGGTGGCTCACGTCTATAATCCCAGCACTTTGGGAGGCCGAGGTGGGCAGATCACGAGGTCAGGAGTTCAAGACCAGCCTGGCCAACATGGTGAAACCCTGTCTCTACTAAAAATACAAAAATTAGCCGGGCACGGTGGTGGGTGCCTGTAATCCCAGCTACTAGGGAGGCTAAGGCAGGAGAATTGCTTGAACCCAGGAGGCGGAGGTTGCAGTGAGCTGAGATCATGCCACTGCACTCCAGCCTGGGTGACAGAGCAAGACTCCATCTCAAAAAAAAAAAAAAAAAAAAGTGACAATGCCCTCTTGCTTCCCCATGAGAACATGGACTAAGCAAGGGAAAGGAAGTTTACAAAAGCACACAATGCAAACAGCAAGAGGACCTGTGAAAAGCAGTGTGGCCTCACACATAATGAAAGAAATACAAATAAAGAGAGTAAATAAAGATAGTGAATAAGGCAGCATACTCAGTCTATCAGATGGGATAAAAGTTAAACCACAGACAAACCTCCAGGCTGTGCCAGGCTTGGGGAAACTCCCCCTCCCAGCCCCGTGGGTGGCCTTTATGGGAGAATTAAGTGGGCCCAGAGACTCCACGTCAAGGGATGTCCACAAGGAAATCATGACCTGGAGCCTCTGAGAGCCACACGTGCACAGGGGCCAGGGTCCTTCACGAGTGTGGAAGATGCAGAGAGAGTATGGAAAGAAGGATGGGAGTGAGGGGCCTGGGGTGAAGACAGCAGGAGACGGTGCCTTGATCTCAGGCACTTGTGGCCATAGGGAGACAGTGCAAGGCCATCAACATTGGTTGTCTGGGTCATTCAAAGAATCGGAACGGGCTGGGTCCAGTGGCTCATGCCTGTAATCCCAGCACCTTGGGAGGCCAAGGCAGGTAGATCACTTGAGGTCAAGAGTTTGAGACCACCCTGGCCAACGTAGCAAAACCCTGTTTCTACTAAAAATACAAAATTAGCCAGGCATGGTGGTACACACCTGTAGTCTCAGCTGCTCAGGAGGCTGAGGCAGGAGAATTGCTTAAGCCCAGGAGGCAGAGGTTGCAGTGAGCCAAGATCGCACCACTGCACTCCAGCCTGGACGACAAAGTGAGACTCTGATTCAAACAAACCAACCAACCAACCCAAAGAACTGGAACGCCTCTTGAACCAGCGCCAGCCAGCAAGACAAGTGGTGGGTGACTGGCCAGGCATGGTGGTGCACGCCTGTAATCCCAGCACTTTGGGAGGCAGAGGCTGGTGGATCACTTGAGTCCAGGAGTTTGAGACCAGCCTGGGCAACATGGTGAAACTCCATCTCTACAAAAATATGAAAAAAAAGTTGGCCGAGTGTGGTGGTGCACGCCTGTGGTCCCAGCTACTTGGGAGGCTGAGGCAAGAGGATCACTTGAGCCTGGGGCAGTCTAGGCTGCAGTGAGCCACGATCATGCCACTGCACTCCAAACTAGGTGACAGAGTGAGACCCAGTCTCAAACAAAAAGACAAGCCGTGATCTGTGCACCTTCAGGGGCTGGGAGCCTGGAGCGTGTGAGTGTGCTGAGTGTGTGTGAACACAGAGCTCGACCTTGCACAGCTGTGCTCAGTCATTCAACAGATATCTAAGAGGGAGTTTGGGTGCCAGGGCTGGGTGCCCCACCGAGGACACATGAGTGAAAGCCAACCTCCCTGCCTGTGGGGAAGACAGACATCAGCCAAGGCCCAGGGGCCCTCCCGAGCCGTCTGCTCCCGGCCAGCTCTTCCGCTCTCCCCACTCCTAACTGCCTGGCAGGAACCGAGAGGTCGGCGGCACACAGGAGGCCTGAGAAGGATGTGAGGAAATCCAGCAGAGGCTCCCCCGAGATCCAGCGGGATGTTGCTATAATGCTTTGGTTTATCTGAGAGACTTGTTATTGGAAGGGGTGCTGAGAGCTTTTTCTCTATTGAGCTATTTCTAAAGAACCATTTCTCCCCTTAGTGTCTCCCAGCCTGGAGCCAGGCTGTTCTCATTAGACAGGACTCTTCTCAGGTGAGTGACATTCTTCTAAAACTCATCAGGCGATATTATGAAAAGTTCCTCTCTATTAATAACTGCATCACGCCTTCCCTAAAAGCCAAAGGGAAGGGATCGTAACCAGACGATCATCCTTTCCTATATACTTAAAACCATGACCATGGTCAACTTGTTGCTAACAATTATTAGTAATTCACGAGATATTATGCTAACACAAATCCCCCTAAAATGAGTCTTGATACTGAAAACACCCGCAATGTCACCATCCGTGGGGAACATTTGCCTCACACCATTATTCACAAGCTCTGTCATTAAGAAGGAGTAATGACTTAAGTTTAAAGGATGACTCCCTCAAGTAAACACTGGCCCACAATGTCACCTGTCGGAGGCAGGTTAGAGTTGAGAGCGGCACCCACAGAGAAGGTGGCTCAGGGCCTGTCCCTCGTGAGGGCTAGCCTTTCCCTTGCTTTGAGGCAAGGTGGCCTCTAAACCTCCAACTCTCGCTCCCATCCGGTGACCTGTGACCTCACCCCCAGTCCTCCTGTCTTCATCCATAAAATGGGGATGACTGCGGTGCTCACATCCCAGAGCTGTGACGAGAGTGAAAGTGTGCACCATGCCGCCACCCTCGGGGCCAGACACAGGGCCAGAGAGGACAGACACCTCGTCCCCTGCCAGGTCATTTGCAAAGCCTGCAACACACCACGCTCAGGCCCTCAGCTTGACTTAGCTTAACACTGTGATTTTTCAAAGAACAAGGTGGTTCCTAGAAGGATGTTGAATGGACCAAGCCGAACCAGCACTTCAGGACACAGCCCAGCTGTTCCCGGGCTCGGCTAGGTCCTGCCCTTGGTTCCGCCCCCACCTTTCCCACTCAGTCTCCTCCCAACTCCCCAGCCCGATTCCTGCCCACACCCACCCCTAACTCCCGGTTCCTTCAGGTCCAGAAGCCACTTCTTCCAGAACGCACCCCCTGCCAACCTACCCACCTGCTCCCGGGCACCGGGGGTTCCCCACTCCAGGACTGCACCCCCAGCGGTGGGGTTCTCCTGCCTTGCGTGAAGCAGCCTTTGGGGGAGTCGGGCAACTTTCCTTTCCACGAGTGTCTATTTCATTGGGGTCATACTCTCAATGATATCCCCCCAAGAGTGGCCCTAATGTTAGGAAATCTGTACGAACTAAACTGAGTATAATTGGGTTATTAAGTGTCCGAGGTGGCTACTTGTGCAGAACAATTCCTAAGGACGGGAACGAAGAGAACAGAGAATGCCAGGCCGGCTCCATACCTGCGGGAATGATTCCAATCCGGAGGCTACTGGGGACCAGCACAGCCCGGGGGTGGTTCTGGTCGACCCCGGCGCTCCTCTGCGTCCTCCCAATCAGACCGTGCAGCACCTCGCTGAACATACCATCTCCGCCGACACAGACGATGCTGCAGGAGGAACACAGCCGGTCAGGGCTCCTGCAGGTGCGGCCCTCTGAGCGCAGCAGGCCTGAGGCTTCCAGCTTCAGGAGGGGCAGCCTGCACACCTGGCCCTTGGCAGGCATCTAGAAGTGCGGCTCCTGAAATGTCCCTAAGTGATAAGGTCGTGCCTCTGTGCCAGTTGGCCTAGACCACGTGTACAAATAATGAGATTGATGGCAAATACTGGCTTTCCTTCTGTGAGTCTGGAATTTGGGTGGCTAGGCAGAGAATGCCTGCATGCCTGTACCCCCTCAAAAACACTACACTCTGGGTCTCAGGACTCAAGTTTGCGGGGCGGGAAGAGTACACCTGTGCTGCTGCATTTGTGGGAGCAGAGAGGGTGCACTCCAGGTGACCCGCACTGCGGGAGAGGCACAGCAGTCTGCGCGGGGACGTTTCTCCTTTGCTAAGCTGGCTGTGCAGCCTTGCTCTGTCCCGTCAGAAATCTCAGCCGAGAGCACGACTCTAGCTCAGGCAGCAAATCACCAGCCGTGTGGGTGGTCTTGAGGACCCAAGGCAAGAGCAGAGGGGACGGAATAAATGCGGACAAAATGGGGCATGAGACAATCTAAGGAGAGGAGATGGAGAAAGGGGACAGTGGCTGAAGGGAGAAAGGACGGGTTGGTTTCAGGGTGTGCTGTCCTATGCCGGGGGTAACCCACAGGGAACCAACACTGAGGTGGCAGAATGAGAGGTGCAGGCATGGAGACAGACATGTCACTGCAGCCCAGAGGGAAGGCAGAGGACAGGGCTCAGGTTTCCTGGACATCTCTATAGCCTACGGCAGCCCAAGAGCTCTCATCACCCGGGAAGAGAGGGTTGCAGGGGGAAGGTCCGCCGGTAGAGGAGCGGTGTGAGTCGACTAGGGGGTGCAGCCTGAGGGGCCTCCCTCAAGCATGACAGCATCAAGGTGCCTGCCCATTCCCCAGTGGGTCTGTCTGTGCAGGCGCGACCAGTCTCCAGGGCTGGGATCTCTGCCCACCACCCACCACTCAGGCCACCTGCTTTGGGCCCGGCTCCCATGGGAAGGCTCTTTGCCCTTCCCCGTAGCCTACACCTTGCACCGGGGCAGCCTTCCCAGCGGGGCTGTGGTTTCGAGGACAGGGCATCCTTGAATGGGCAGTGTAGCATCTGTGTGTTAGACAGACAGATCACTCAGACAGACAGCTCAGCCGCAGGAAGAGCAGCCCTCACTGGCCAGGCCTCCCAGCCTCCTGCACGGCATGTCCCTGGGTTTGGGGAGAAGGCGTGCCCTCAAGAGGCGAGGCTGATCCCTTGGCTAGGGTGGGTGCAATAAGGTGCCAGCCCCATCCCTGCTGAAAAGTGAAGACGACTGTCTTCCTGCCAAGCTGCTGTCGGGTGGAGGTGGTGGGAAGAAGTACATGGAGGAGCTGCCATCGGGTGGAGTTGGGGAGATGTGCATGGAGGAGCCCCCTGCTTCCTGGAGCCCATGAACAGAACACTCCCGCATTAGGAGGGGAGCAAAGGGGTCTCCCTGTCAGCACCTGGGGGCAGGGGCTCCTTTTATTTCCCTTTCTAACCTTAGCACCAGCAGAGTGCTGGGACCTGGAGGACCCTCAATAATGTTTGTGGAATGAATAATGATTTCAATAAATATCCGCTGCAATTTATAACACATTGCTCACCGACTCCAGATGGAACAGAGAGAAGAAAACAAAAAGCCAACCAATGACAAGGCAATTAACTACAGGGGAATAGCTAAACTCAAGATGAAGAGTGAAATTTTAAGCATAAAGAACAGCACAGAAGAGCTGGACAGACTTGAGTACATGAATTTGAAAACTTCTACTGGGAAGAATTAATGCCATAAGCAAAATTAAAAGACAATTTCAAAATTAGCAAAAATATTTGCAAAAATATGAATATAAATATGAATTGCCTATTATTTGTTGGATAAGAGAACAAATGACTGAAATTATGGCCAACAAAAGAAAATGGGCCAAAGACATAAAAATCAATTCCAAGAAGCCAGCTAGCCAATAAACATATTTCTTAAAATATTAGAGACTTTCACATGTCAAATTAGCAGAGAAATTTTATACTGATAATACCAAACATGTTGACAAAGACAGTAAATAATATACTATAAGAAAGAATGTAAACTGGCCGGGCGCGGTGGCTCATGCCTGTAATCCCAGCACTTTGGGAGGCTGAGGCGGGTCGCGTGGATCACCTGAGGTCAGGAGTTCGAGACCAGCCTGGCCAACATGGCGAAATCCTGTCTCTACTAAAAACACAAAAATTAGCTGGGCGTGGTGTTGGGCACCTATAATCCCAGCTACTCGGGAGGTTGAGGCAGGAGAATCATTTGGACTTGGGAGGCCGAAGCTGCCGAGGTCACGCCATTGCACTCCAGCCTGGGCAACAAGAGCGAAACTCTGCCTCAAAAACGAAAAAAAAAAAAAAGAATGTAAGTTAATAGAATCTCTTTCGAAAGCAATATGGCTGTACACGGCAGAGATTTTAAAATGTTAATCTCCTATGACTAATTTCATTTCTAGGAATTTACCTTAAAAATGTAGATGTATGCAGAGAGATTTATGTACAACAATGCTATCCTAAGAGCAAAAATTGGAAAGAGCCTGAACATCTACAAGTGAGAGGCTAAATAAATATGGCATGCCCACATAATGGACCATGATATGGGCATTAAAAATAGTAGTTCTGGGAAATCTCTAGGAATTTTGGGGAAAAGAAGAATCCCAAACTGTAAAAACGACAGCATCTAAACATTCTTGATAATGTGCTTGGTTGATTTGCTTCTCTGTCTACACAGCACCGCATAAGCACATCTTCTGAAAGACCGAAAGGGAACAGAACCAGCAAACAACCATTCTCGCCCAGCCCAGCCAGAGAGGAGTGTGTGACTGCACTTTTCTGCCTTTTCTTTCTTGCCTTCCTGTAAGAAGCATGTTTACTTTTACAATTGGTCGTGGGTGGAGGCGGGGGGCGGATTTAGGAAAAGGAGCTCTCAAAACTGAGAGGTGGGTAGAACTTTTTCATTAACAATGGACTTGATGGCGATGAAAGACGGCTTACTCACCCGTCGTATTTGTCTATGTTAATCTCATACAGAGTCTCCTTGGCCTGATTAGCATGTTCAGTAACTGTGGGGAAAAATTACATCACACAGTTTATATTCACATCTGTGAGTCCTCACGTAAAAGGCAAATCATCCATTCTTTTAAAATGAGTTCCTGTAACACCTTCAGGCGGATTTCCTAGATAAAATTCCCTCTTCAATTCTACATCGCTCTTATGGGACGGGATCAAGCTGACCTCAGGGAACGTGAACATGAACCTCTCTCGGGCCACAGTCTGCGCGATGACATGCAGCGTTCCTGGTATTTAATTGCCGGCAAATAATAATTTCTTTGAAAGAGATTACGTCTCTTTTATAATTTTTCCTTATTATACAAGTTACTTCCAAAATTGTACACTATACCAAAGTGTAGTAAGAAGATGTTAGTGCAGTCTCTATACCTGATGTAAACTTCTATTGAAAGTCCCCCCACCCCACAACAGGCCCCGGTGTGTGATGTGAGATTATTTCTAAGACTTATTAATCCTTTGTGTCTCCTCTTTTGAGAATTTTCTGTCCAGAATCGTTGCCCTTTTATCTTCCTAGTGTTTTTCTTGATTGCCTTCTATGCTGAGAATTGGCTGGAAAATACTAAGTTATTTATTTTGTATTCTTCCCATTCTGGTATGTAAAAAAAAGTTCTATTTTGTTTAAAATAATCTTACAGGATAAAAATCTTGGGCTGGGCACAGTGGCTCATGCCTATAATCCCAGCACTTTGGGAGGCTAAGGTGGGCAACATTGCTTGAGCCCAGGGGTTCGAAACCAGCCTAAGCAATATGGTGAAACCCCGCCTATACAAAAAATACAAAAATTAGCCAGGCATGGTGGCACAAGGTGTGGTGCCAGCTACTTGGGAGGCTGAGGCAGGAGGATCATCTGAGTCAAGGAGGCTGAGGTTACAGTGACCCACAATTGCACCACTGCACTCCAGCCTGGGCAACAGAGTGAGACACCGTCTAGAAAAAGCAGAAACGTCTCTAGTGACTATACTTGAATCATTCTCAAACTTACTTCTACATAGTTAACATAGAATTTGTTACCGATGATGTCAGTGGTGATGGAGGCTAAGGTGAACAGTGGTGCCACTTTTCTTTCATATATCCGCTTGCCTTGTCCTTTTCCTCCAAACGGGTTGATAAATACCAGTAAATGCTTTGGTCTGGACGCTGTAAGACAACAACATGTAAATAACAACGAAAATAACAAAATCAAAACGAAGAGCTCTGTTACTGGACAAAATCAAACCATGAGGGTTTTAGAATTCTGCTTAGTATTACCTGATGGAAAGTATTTTTAAATCTTAAAGAACAATGACAAAGAGCTTCCTGATCTATGAAAAGAGAAAATCAACAGGTTGTCCAACTGGGCAAAGGCTATACACACATGTCGGACATCATGAAACTCCCACGAACTCAGAATTCCGACTGAGAAGGGCTCTCTCTGCTCTGAAGGGTGCTGTCGGGTACACATGCTGGGGGCAGCAGCCTCGTTCTTCTGCAGGTGAAGGAGGTGAGTGTGCAGACAGCAGGAAGAAGGAAGCAGACAGAGGGAAGAGTCTTAGGAAAAGCGGACCAGCAGGTATGGAAAGAAGAAGCCACACAGGGAGATGCTTGCAGAGATGGAAAGACAGAAACCAGTGACCTCGTTTCCATCTCTCCAGGGGCCCCGCCAAACTCCCATGCCTGGGTTTCCTCAGTCACCCCCATTTTCTTTTCTTTTCTTTTTTTTTTTTTTTGAGATGGAGTCTCGCTCTGTCGCCCAGGCTGGAGTGCAGTGGTGTGATCTCAGCTCACTGCAAGCTCTGCCTCCTGGGTTCATGCCATCCTCCTGCCTCAGCCTCCTGAGTAGCTGGGACTACAGGCGCCCGCCACCACGCCCGGCTAATTTTTTGTATTGTTAGTAGAGATGGGGTTTCACCGTGTTAGCCAGAGTCACCCCCATTTTCTTATAACAACTTCCACATTTCTGTTTTGGTGGGTTCATGTGACTCTGCTACTTAAAAGAACACATTTAACTAACAAATCAATAAAAGTAACAAGACAGTATCTACCCAAGGAAACTGAAAACCTAAGTCCATACAAAAATCCAGACACAGGGCCAGGCGCGGTGGCTCATGCCTGTAATCCCAGCACTTTGGGAGGCCGAGGTGGGCGGATCACGAGGTCAGGAGATCGGGACCATCCTGGCTAACACGGTGAAATCCCGTCTCTACTAAAAAAAAATACAAAAAAATTAGCCGGGCGTGGTGGCGGGCACCTGTAGTCCCAGCTACTTGGGAGGCTGAGGCAGGAGAATGGCATGAACCCGGGAGGCGGAGCTGGCAGTGAGCCAAGGTCGCGCCACTGCATTCCAGCCTGGGCGACAGAGTGAGACTTCATCTCAAAAAAAAAAAAAAAAAAAAACAAACAAACAAAAAAACACAGACACAAATGTTCATCACAGCATTCTTCACCACAGCCAAGCAGTGGGAACAGCCTGAACGCCCATCACCTGAAGAAGAAATCGAGACGCAGTCCACACATCAACGGAGCATCCTTCAGTCATGAAATAAGCAAACTACTGGGTGCGACCAACATGAATCAATGTGAAAACAGTATGCAGAGAGACTGGAGGCTTCCACCCAGGAGCACACGTAAAACTTCTGGGGTGACAGAAGCCTTGATGGGTTTGAGTTACAAAGGTATGTGTGTTTCAGAAGTCATTGATTGAAACTTAGGATTTTGGCCAGGCATAGTGGCTGACACCTGTAATCCCAACACTTTGGGAGGCCAAGGCAGGAGGATCATATGAGCACAGGAGTTCAAGACCAGCCAGGGCGATATAGTGAGACTCTGTCTCGACAAACGATCAAAAAAAATCAGGCCAGGCTCAGTGGCTCACGCCTGTTAATCCCAACACTTTGGGAGGCCGAGGTGGGCAGATCACTTGAGGTCAGGTGTTTGAAACCAGCCTGGGCAACATGGTGAAACCCTGTCTCTACTAACAATACAAAAATTAGCTGGGAATGGTGGCAAGCACCTGTAATTCCAGCTGCTCAGGAGGCTGAGGCAGGAGAATCACTTGAACCCAGGAAGTGGAGGTTGCAGTGAGCCAAGATCGCGCCATTGCACTCCAGCCTGGGTGACAGAGTAAGACTCCATGTCAAAATAAACAAACAAACAAACAAATTAGCTGGGTGTGGTGGTATGCCCTTGTAGTCCCAGCTACTCTGGAGGCTGAGGTGAGAGAATCACTTGAACCTGGGAGGTCGAGGCTGCAGTGAGCTATGGTCGTGCCACTGCACTCCAGCCTGGGCTACAGAGTGAGACATTACTCCAGATTCTACCAATATTACAAAGAAAATGAAAGAATTTACTAATAAGTTCATGCTAATAAACTCACGAATTTGGATGAAATGGTTAAACTTCTCAAAAAGCAAAATTTGTCAGAGATACCAGAAGAAATAGAAAATCTGAATAGTCTGACAGCTAATAAAGACACCAAAGCTATTAATGAAAACTTCTCACAAAGAAAACTCCAAGCCCAGATGATTTCACAACTGAATTCTTCCAAACATTTAAGGAAAAAATAGCCTCAAGATTATAGGAACGCTTCCAGAGAACAGAAAAAAACAAACACGTATGAACTCTTTGTATGACACACCACTGTGACCTTGGGAACAAAACCAGACAAAGATGTTATCAGAAAGGGGCTCATATTCAGACATCCCTCCCCTGAACCTACGTGCAAAAATCCTAAACACAATATCGGTAAGTCAAATCCAGTGACACATAAACAGTACTACATCACAACCAAGAGAGGTTTGTTTACTCCAGGACTGCAACAATGAGAAATTAATGTAACTCAACACATTAATTGAAAAAAAAAAAGAAAGTCATACAGTCATCTCAATAGATGCAGAAAAGGCATTTATCAAATTAAATACCCATTCTCCACTTAAAAAAACCAAAACTCTCAGAAAAGTAGGATTAAAAGGAAATTCTGTCTTAATCTGATTTTTAAAATCTATTAAAAACATAAGAAACATCATTCTTAATGGTGAAACACTAAAATCTTTCCCCTGAGATCAGGACTGAGACAAGGATGCTGCTAGCACCCCTGTGTTGGTCCAAGCCAGGGCAAAAACATAAGGAAAAGAAATAAAAGAGAGAAGAATTAAAATGGAAGAAACACAACTGTTATTATGCACAGCTGACATGATCGTGTTTGACAAAAATCTAAAATAATCATCAAACTATTAGCATCCATAAGTGAAGTTTGCAAGGTCATTGAATGCAAGGTGAAATACACAATTCTATCACATTTCTATACACAAACAATAAAAAATAAATAAACAGTGCAGTAGGGAAAACGAGACTTTCCCGTAAATGCCACAGGGTCAAGCAGATGTTTATAGTTAATGAAAATACTAGGTTGGGCACAGTGGTTCGTGCCTGTAGTCCCAGCTACTTGGGAGGCTGAGGCAGGAGGATCGCTTGAGCCCACTAGTTCAAGGCCACAGTGAGCTATGATCGCATAGCTGCACTGCAGCCTGGGTGACAGAGCAAGACCCTGTCTTAAAAAAATGAATACATAAAAAGAAAGAGGAAAATGAATCTTGACTGCTCACCTCACACTGGACACAAAGATGAATTCCAAATGGATTACATAGATCCAAATGTGAAGCGGAAAACAATAGAGCTTGGAGAATAAAACGTCTTCGTGACTTTGGAGTAGACAAAGATATCTTCAATAGGACACAAGCTTACCAGAAAGTTTTTTAAAATCATAAAAATAGGCCGAGTATAGTAGCTCACCCTGGTAATATCAATGCTTTGGGAGGCTGAGGTGGGAGGATTCTTTGAGCCTAGGAGTTTGAGACCAGCCTGGGCAACACAGCAAGACCCCAGCTCTATGAAAAAATTTTCAAAAAATCAGCCAGGCACGGTGACATGTGCCTGTAGTCTCAGCTACTTGCGAGGCTGAGGCAGAAGCATTGCTTGAGCTCAGGAGTTCAAAGCTGCAGTGAACCGTGATTGTGCCACTGCACTCCGGCCTGGGTGGCAGAACAAGACCTCATCTCCCTTTTTTTTTTTTTTTTAAAGATGGAGTTTTGCTCTTTCGCCCAGGCTGGAGTGAAGTTGCATGATCTCGACTCACTGCAACCTCCACCCCCAGGGTTCAAGTGATTCTCCTGCCTCAGCCTCTCGAGTAGCTGGGATGACAGGTGTGTGCCACCATGCTTGGCTAAGTTTTGTATTTTTAGTAGAGATGGGGTTTCACCATGTTGGCCAGGCTGGTCCCGAACTCTTGACCTCAGGTGATCCACCCGCCTCGGCCTCCCAAAGTGCTAGGATTATAGGCGTGAGCCACCATGCCCGGCCAAGACCCCGTCTCTTAAAAAAAAAAAATACGAGATTGAAAAGGCAAATTACAGAATTGGTAATTCTTATTAATTACATAAATTTATGTAATTAATAAATTCAATAAAAGATTCAGATCCACAATATGTAAACAGTTTCTACACATCATTAAGAAAAAGATACAACCAGCTGGGCATGGTGGCTCATGCCTATAATCCCAGCACTTTGGGAGGCTGAGGCAGGTAGATCACTTGAGGCCAAGAGTTCAAGATCAGCCTGGCCAATATAGCAAAACCCCCTCTCTACTAAAAAATACAAAAAAACTAGCCAGGCGTGGTGGCACACGCCTGTAGTCCCAGCTACTCAGGAGGCTGAGGATTGCTTGAACCCAGGAGGCAGAGGTTGCAGTGAGCCAGGATCGCGCAACTGCCCTCCAGCCTGGGCAACAGAGCGAGACTCTGTCCCCCCACCAAAAAAAAAAGAAAAAAAGAATGAAAGAAAGGAAGGAAGAGAAAGATAACAACCAAACGGAAAAATGGACAAAAGACTTGAACAGAACCTCACAAAAGGCGATATCTGAATGGCCCATGAACATATGAATGTGTTTCTCAACCTCATTAACCATTAGGGAGTGCAAACTACAACCACAGTGCAAGACTATTAACACCACCATGGCTAAGACGTAAAGGTGTGGCTAAGATGTGGGGCAACCAGAACTCCCGAACCCTGAGGGTGGAATGCAGGCTGGCAGCGTCTTCTGAAGTCAACACATGCAACAAACACCTACAACCCAGCGACTCCATTCCCAGGTATGCACCCAGGAGAAATGCAGACGGGTGCAAAAGACATGCTCTAGAATGTTCCCAATGCTACTGTTCATGACAGCCCACATCAGGAAGCTGTCCAAATGACCAGCCACTGTACCATGGGTGAATAAATGGCCGTAACATTCACATCACGGAATACCATACGGCCTAGAGAATGGACAAACGGCAGCCCCACGCGAGAGCGTGGAAAATTTATGCAAGACTACTCGCCACCACGGTGGAAAACAGCGTGGAAAACTTCACAAGTGTCATGTTGAGCCGAGAGCCAGGCACAAAAGGTTTCATACTGTATGATCTGATTTCTATCAAGTACAACAGTGAACCTAGTTGTTTAGAAGTCGCAGCAGTGGTTCCCCTTTGGGGAGTCATGACCACAGGGGCACGGTGGGGGACCCTGGGGCTGGCAATATTCTGCTCCTTTATCTGGGTGCTGGTTACACAAGTGTGCTCAGCGTGAAAATTCACCCAGTGCACACTCAGAATGAGATCCTCTGGGTCTGTGATATGACAAATACTAAAACAGCCTGTAATCCCAGCACTTTGGGAGGCCGAGGTAGGCGGATCACTTGAGGTCAGGAGTTCGAGACCAGTCTGGCCAACACGGCGAAACTCTGTCTCTACAACAAATACAAAAATTAGCCAGGTGTGGTAATGGGTGCCTATAATCTCAGCTACTTAGGAGGCTGAGACAGGAGAATCGCTTGAACCCAGGAGGAGTTTGCAGTAAGCCGAGATTGCACCACTGCACTCCAGCCCGGATGATGGAGTGAGATTGTCTCAAAAACCAAGAACAAAACAAAGAAAAAAACCCACTAAAACAGATAACAGGGTTAGAAGTTAAAATTGTAGAGTAGCTGAAACAATAGAATCATATACAATTTTTAGCTACAAGGAGACTATATCAAATGCACAATTATAAAGATGAAAATGAACCCACATTCTCCAGTGGGAGGCAGGGTTCAGAGGACTTTCTCTTGGAGTCTGCACCTATAGGATCAGGTCTGGAATCCAGTCAGCCAAAGTCTCATGAAAACAGGTTTGATGGGAGGAAAGGGAAGGAGAAAGCAGGACGGACGGAAAGGGGGAGTCGAGAGACAAACAGAGGAGGGGAAGGCGGGAGAAACAGATGCACTCTTCTGAACAGCCTAGTGCGGAACGACATGCAGAGGAACGGGGCTTGTGGTGGTTTGAGATGTGAGGACGGTCAGGATGAGCTTTTCACGACAGCAGGTGGTGGAGGCCAAGTCCCCCAGGATTAAACAGGGAAGTATGGAAGCACAGGCCCTCCTGCCCCAGTTGTAATCAAGAGGAGGGCTCCTTCAAGCAATGATGCTGCTCTGAAGCAGATATATGGGAATGCCTCCTTTTAATAAACTGAAATTCACTTTCTTGATGTAGGTGCCAAATTCATTCAAAAATATATAAAACTAACCTAAACACATGCCATTTCTATTCTATGGGTGAAGCCTGTGCTGAGTTGTCAAGACTGTGTATTGGCTGGGCTCAGTGGCTTACACCTGTAATCCTAGCACTTTGGGAGGCTAAGGTAGGAAGATGGCTTGAGCACAGGAGTTTGAGATCAGCCTGGGCAATATGGCAAAACCCTGTCTGTACAAAAAAAATTAGCCAGGCGTGGTGGCACACACCTGTAGTCCCAGCTACTCAGGAGACTGAGGTGGGAAGATCACTTGAGCCCGGAAGGTAGAGGCTGCAGTGAGCTAAGATCATGCCACTGCACTCCACCCCGGGTGACAGAGCGAGACCCTGTCTCAAAAAAAATTGCCTATTAAGGTTATAAGCAAACAACATGAAATAGTGTTATGAATACAAAATGAATGAACACCTACCACTTTGTGTGTGTGTGTGTGTGTGTGTGTCTACCATATGTTCCTTTTTTTAAACTTTTAAGTTCACGGGTACATGTGCAGGTTTGTTATATAGGTAAAGTGCGTGTCATGGGGGTTTGGTGTACAGATTATGTCTCTAGCCATCCTACCACTTTTTAAGGGTGACAAAGTCTTGTTACTCAGCATGCAATAACTAACCCACCAGGCTCCAGGCTCCTACTACATTTCAGATGTGGACACATCCCTGGCTGGGCGTGGTGGCTCACACCTGTAATCCCAGCACTCCAGGAGGCCAAGGTGGGGAGATCACCTGAGGTCAGAAGTCTGAGACCAGCCTGGCCAACTTGGTAAAACCCCATCTCTACTAAAAATACAAAAATTAGCCAGGCGTGGTGGCGCATGCCTGTAGTCCCAGCTACTCGGGAGGCTGAGGCAGAAGAATCACTTGAACCCAGGAGGTGGTGGTTGCAGTGAGCTGAGATCGCGCCACTGAACTCCAGCCTGAGCAACCAAGCAAGACTCCATCTTGAAAAAGAAAAGAAAAGAAAAGAAAAAAGACATGGACGCATCCCAGACAGATGTGAGGTGTATTCCTCCATGTGCCCAGTTTAATTCTCACATTCACCTCGAATGTAAAAGCTATTACCATCTCCGCTTCCAGAAAGAGAAACTGAGGCTCAGAAGGGTAAGTGACCCGCCCCCAGGCCTCCTGGCCAGTGAGCAGGGGGCTGGACTCCATGCCAGGGTCCAGGCTGTGGAGCCCATGCCCTTTGCATTCACTGGGATGGTCTGCTCATGAGAAATTAAGTCAGCCTGACTCATCATGTCCACCTGGGGTATGGCCAGCTGCACGAAACGGGGAGACACTTCAGGAAGATCACCCAATCAGGCATGCGCATGCCACCACGGCCATCCTGTCTCTCAGTCCAAACACACACGTACTCAGCTTCTCCAGCATCTCCCGCAGGGTCTGCAGCCACAAGTGACACAGCTGCTCCTCTGGACACCAGAAAGTCACCTGCGCCCACTTCCAGCGGTGCCGTCGTGCTCTCTTTACACAGTGAACTGCACAGAAGCAAGCATGCTCGTTAGTGCAAAGTTTGCAGGGTCACTGACAAAACCTCAAGTGAATATGCACCAAATGCAGCTAATTATAGGTTCCTAACCAAAATTTCCCAGGGGTTCTCCTCCCTTCTAATTAGTAACTTTCAAGGTATATTAGAAAAAAACATCCGATCTTTCAAACCTTTTAAGTCATATAAGGGAAAAGGGCTGGCTGTGATGACTCACGCCTGTAATCCAGCACTTTGGGAGGCTGAGGCGGGCAGATCACCTGAGGTCAGGAGTTCAAGACCAGCCTGGCCAACATGGTGAAACCCCGTCTTTACTTAAAATACAAAAAAGTAGCCGGGTGTGGTGGCGGGCACCTATAATCCCAGCTACTCAGGAGGCTGAGGCAGGAGAATTGCTTGAACCCAGGAAGCAGAGGTTGAACTAGCCGAGACCGCGCCACTGCACTTCAGCTTGGGCAACAAGAGCAAAACTCTGTCTCAAAAAAATAAATAAATAAAAATAAGGGGAAAAATGACCATTAACTAAAACATTAACTAAAGGTAGCATTTGGGGAAAAAAATAGGAAGATTTCATAAAGATAAACCAATGCATTGAGCTTGTTAAACAAGTAACAGAAAAGTTCCCTCTCGTGTAATCTACATAGAATTAATGAAGAATGTGGGAGAAGACATTTAGGCTTATCACCTGTAAAAGCGTAAGGCTTTTCCATTTTCTGCCATTTTCCACTGCCTTGATGTTTCCCGTGAACGTCTGTTTCCTCAACGGCGATGATCTCAGATACAGGCACAGAGCAGGCATCTGTAAAAACACCACGTCCTTCTGTCAAAGAATTCGTCAGAATCCACACAGGTAAAATCAGTCCAACTCCAAGAAGCTGAGAATATTCTGCTTTAATATTCTCATTAGAAATTCAGGCTGGGTGTGGTGGTGTGCACCTGTAATCCCAGCACTTTGGGAGGCTGAGGAGGGAGGATCGCTTGAGCTCAGGAGTTGCAGTGGGCTATGATGGTGACACTGCACTCCAGCCCTGGCAACAGCACAAGACCCCATCTCCAAAAAGAAAAAAGATATACATATATATATATATTTTTTTGAGACAGAGTCTCACGCTGTCGCCCAGGCTGGAGTGCAGTGGTTCGATCTCGGCTCACTGCAAGCTCTGCCTCCCGGGTTCGCGCCATTCTCCTGCCTCAGCCTCCCGAACAGCTTTTTTAATACCCCCTCCCCCAAAAAGGAAGGTTATAGGTCACTTTTAAACTCACAAATAAATAACTGTGGGCAGCTCAATGTTACCAGACGGCGGGATGTTTTATTCAGCCGAGTCACCAAATGGAGGCTGTGATTTTTCACACGATTTGCTCACCCATTCAAGCAGCAAATGCGGACCATTCCGGGCCAGCTACCATGTGAAATTTGGGGAAACATGCTCGAGACATGGCCTCTGTCTGCAGGACAGTGCCTGGTTCAGAAATCCAAGTGGGAGGGAGACACGTGACAGGACCCGGGACAGCTGGAACCACGGAGCTTGCAAGTGAGGCAGAGCCCAAGTGTGGCGCGAACTGGAGTGCAGGGGGAGGAGACAGGGGAGACTTCCAGGGGCCCAGGGGATGACAGCACCGGACATGCTCCACCCTGGGAACCAGCAAGGACCCATTCCACCCGAGCCACCTGGGGCGTGTTCATCTGCTGGGCAGCTGTAATTACAGGCTTGCACATCAAAGAAAGTTCTGGGCTGGCAGCAGAGCTGTGGGAGGTGACGGGTAACTGAAGTCCAAGGCCTGAAAGAACTTGCCCAGGAGAGCATGGGATTGAAGACAGCAAAGCCAAGTTTGAGGAAGGTGGCTTCCAAAAGCTTATTCTGGAATTACTGTTAGGCATGTATGATATATCCTTACACAGAAGAATGTTATAATTTGTGGTTAGCTTCCTAGGTTGGCTATAAAACCTGCAATATAGCTAAAATACCGTATTTTTGCCGTAGCTAAATGCAAAAAAAATTGCTATAACATTTGTGGTAATTTTGCATCATTTTTAAAGTTGTGGCCCATGGAAATCAAGTTCTAGGAACCTGGGAGGGTAGTGTCTGAACTGGGCCTTTGAGCACTGTAGAAACCTTTGAAAGGCCAGTAGTGGGGCCTCCTGATTCCCTCTGAAGTGAAGCCAGCCCCAGGGGAGCAGACTTGATGGGGAGGGGGTGGGTTACAGAGGATGAAGTCTGGCTGGAGAGCAGAGGTCTCAGGAGGTGTCTGTGTGCATCCTCCTCCTGGGTATAGGATGTGGGGTCCAGAGTGACTCTCAGGGTCCCCACCCTCCGGTGTGCCCCACCTGGGCCTCCCATCTTTTTTTTTTTTTTTTTTTTGAGATGCAGTTTTGCTCCTGCTGCCCAGACTGGAGGGCAATAGCTCCATCTCGGCTCACCGCAACCTCCACCTCCCGGTTCAAGCGATTCTCCCTCCTCAGCCTCCCAAGTAGCTGAGATTACAGGTTCCCACCACCAGGTCCAGCTGATTTTTGTATTTTTAGTAGAGACAGGGTTTTGCCATGTTAGCCAGGCTGCAGGCCGTGCCGTGCCAGGGGTGCCAGCACAAGACCAGGCAGTCCACGTGCGTCCTGCCAGAAGGAGCGACACAGGTGCTGGGGCAGGGAGGTGGTGGGGACAGCCTCACTGTCAGGGTCAGGGTTCAGAGGATTCCCCGTGGGTGGAGGAAGGCGACGTAGGGGCAGGAGCTGGGGAGAGGCAGAGGCCGCTGGGAAGGAAAGGGCGAGCGGCTGCGAGAGGGTGGCCACTCTGGGTGGAGGGATAAGGATCCCACTTGGGTATGACTCTGAATAGCTACAAGTGTTCGGGACAGGGCAAGAGACTGAACAGGACCAAGGACGCCCTGGGGTGAATCCAGGCACCTTCTGCCACACTGGACCTGCAGCAAGGTGTACCTGCTCCTCTGGCAAGAGAAAAAGACAAAGATGCCAGCAGGGTCATTAGTTTACACACGTTCCTTTTACACACAGATTAATAAATGGAATTATTGTCTCTAAAAAGGGACAGAAAAGTTAATAGAGGAACAAAATTCAATATTGTCTGCACAGCTTTATTGAGGAACGTCAAGAATAAGAACACAGGGCGGACACAGTGGCTCACGCCTGTAATCCCAGCACTTTGGGAGGCCGAGGCAGGCAGAGCACTTCGGGTCAGGAGTTCGAGACCAGCCTGGCCAACATGGTGAAACCCCGTCTCTACTAAAAATACAAAAGTTAGCCAGGTGTGGTGGTGTGTGCCTGTAATCCCAGCTACTCAGGAGATTGAAGCATGAGAGTTGCTTGAACCCGGGAGGCGGAGGTTGCCGTGAGCCGAGATCACACCAGTGCACTCCAGCCTGGGCAACAAAGTGAGACTCAGTCTCAGGAAAACAAAAAAAGAAGAAGAAGAATATAGCTGACCTCTGAACAACATGGGCTTAACCTTCAAGGGTCCACTAATGTGGGGTTTTCTTCTTTTTTTTTTGTTTTTGAAATGGAGTCTTGCTCGTCACCCAGGTGTGGTGTGATCTTGGCTCGCTGCAACCTCCGCTTCCCAGGTTCAAGTGATTCTCCTGCCTCAGCCTCCTGAGTAGCTGGGATTATAGGCGCCTGCCACCGCACCCGGCTAACTTTTGTACTTTTAGTAGAGACGGGATTTCACCATGTTGGCCAGGATGGTCTTGAACTCCTGACCTCAGGTGATCTGCCCGCCTCGGCCTCCCACAGTACTGGGATTACAGGCATGAGCCACCGCGCCTGGCCAGATTTTTCAATAAAAGTGACACTAAGCTCACTTGCCTCTCTTGCCTCCCCTTCCACCTCCTCCGTCTTCTCCACCTCCACCACCGCTAAGACAGCACGACTGATCCCTCCTCTCCTCTTCCTCCTCAGCCCACTCAACATGAAGACCATGAGGATGGAGACCTTTGTAATGATCCACTTCCACTTACCAGATAGTAAACACATTTTCTCTTCCTTATGGTTTTCTTAACCACGTTTTCTTTTCTCTAGCTTATTTTATTGTAATAATACAGCATATAAATCAGGCCACATAGGAAATATGTGTTCATCGGCTATTTACATTATCGCAAGGCGTCCAGTCAACAGTAGGCTGTTAGTAGTTAAGTGCTGGGGGAGTCAAAAGTTTTCAACTGTGTGGGGCTGGGGCGCTAACCCCCATGTTGTTTGAGGGTCAATCTGCACTGGGTGCGGCTCAGGACAAGGGCTTCCTTGCTGACTCAGGAGACCTGGAGTGGTGCGGCCATGGTGGGAACACATTCCCCAGGTGGCAATGAGTGGCTGGACTTGGCGTGGCTTTGGCCTGTATCTGGCTGCAGTCTTACTGTGGGTAAGCCGCTAAGCCTGGAGCATGGTGTAAAGGGGGTGGAGCGATGAACCCCATAGGGGATTAGAAACTGGAATAAGATAAAGGGTGAAAAAGTTTCAAGCACAAAAATGTCCGATAAATGATGGCTTCCTTTCTTGCCAAAAAGGCTGGGCTCAGCAGGGCGGGGTGGCTCACACCTGTAATCCCTGCACTTTGGGAGGCTAAGGTGGGCGGATCACGAGGTCAGGAGATCGAGACCACCCTGGCTAACATGGTGAAACCCCGACTCTACTAAAAATACACAAAAAATTAGCCGGGTGTGGTGGCGGGCACCTGTAGCCCCAGCTACTCAGGAGGCTGAGGCAGGAGAATGGCATGAACCAGGGAGGCGGGGCTTGCAGTGAGCCAAGATTGCGCCACTGCACTCCAGCCTGGGCGAAAGACAGCAAAACTCCATCTCAAAAAAAAAAGAAAAAGAAGGCTGGGCTCAAGATGGAGGCTCTGCCTCCTTCCTCCTTCAGGCCATTGTCCCTGTGTTAAGCTGAGGACTCCACAGTGAGAGAACTCCACAGTGAGACGCCTCCAGCCTAGCAGCACTTACCCCTTCTCCTGCTCTCCTCACCTCGGTGTGTCATCGGCATTACGCCCTAGTCTTCGATACTCTCATTTCTAATTAGGAGATAAAGAACCGGGCCAAGAATCTGAGCAAACGGAGAGCAGCTCCCTGCGGGGGCTCAGGAAACACTTGCCAGCGTCCACCGGTTGGAGAGCTGGCGCCTGCTCATCTGAGGGCAGGTCATGTGGACGGCAGTGGGACCACCGAGGGCTGGCACACAGAAGAATGCGGACGGTCCTCTAGAAGCAGAAGGAACTGCCCTCTGAGGGTTAGTCTCAAATTGCCGGCACCAAGCAGCATCCCCGCACAGCACGTGGTGTGTGGACATGCCACAGCATCCGCGGGAGAAAACACACCTGACCCAGGTGGACAGATGCTGTGGGAACATCTTGCAAAGGGCGGAAGGTGGGAATTGGGGGCACTTTCATATTCTTTTGCTGACAGAGATAAATTCTCGTGACAGAATTCTCGTGAGACACCACAGTGACTCGTATTGACATGCAGTGAGCTCTTCAATAGAGGTAATGATCAAATGGCCATCACATTCCAGAAAAATCAAATGCCATGTCAGCGAGTGAGGCTGGCCTCCTGGTTCTCGTGCGGCTCACGCGTTTGCTGACTCCCTCTCTGCAGACCACTGCAGCATTTGCCACAGTCTGGGTAATGCCTGCTAGGGGCAGCTGAGAGCACGCTGACTTCCAGCTGCTTCTTTTTCCATTCTGTTCTCTGTGCTTTTTAGTGCTTGTTGTGATCCACTAGAATTAAATTTATTTCATGCTTGTGACTTACAGATGAAAACAGTGCCTGCTGTCAATCAGCTTTGATACTAGAAGTTCCCGGATTAAACTGAGCCACGCGCAGTGGCCTCCCATCCAGCAGGAGGGCCCACGGGTTTCCCGTGTGTCACGGGGCACTGAGTGTCTGCCAGTGACATGGGTGCACGTGTGTGGGCACGCTCATGGCAGGGCAGGGTCAAGGTGGCAGAACATGCCGCTCCAGACCTCACGCAGCCGTCGGGAGGCCCCAGATGTCTTTCGCCTCTTGGGCATATGCAACGAGAACAAGAGCGAGTTCCCAGCTAAGAGCACAGGGGAGCACAGCGGTCCCTGGGACTCTCCCTAATGCAAGCTGCCACGTGAGGACCGGCAGAGGGAACAGGGTGAGAGAGCAGGCCGCTGCCCACTGCGCCCACTGGAGCAGTGCCAAGTACAGTGTGGAAGTCTGTGGATCACACCCACACACACTGCAGGGGATGCTGAGGCCCAGAAGTGGCACGGGCCACACTGACCTCCACATGCCCGGCCCGCTTAGAGTCCAAGCAGTAAGGGTCACCCCAGAGGAAGAACACCCAAGAGATCCGAGTGGCTGGGAGGCCTGATTCCCCCTGCAATGACATGCAATGCAAACGCATTTCCCTGGCAACCCGCCGCTCAGTAAACATGAGCTGTGTGAACATCTGATCTTCATTAAAAATTAAAGGTGAGTGCTTGCCTATGCCAAGGAAGACCAAAAACCAGCCCTGCCCACCACTGCCAGGGAGAGTCCAGAAATCTCACGTGCAGGAAACTCAGAGATGGTCAAACTGTCCCCCGCCCCTCCCCGCCCACCACGTCCACCCTGACACAGCCCTTGATGGGTCTGATACACAGATGGAAGGTGGGGGAAGCCAGAACCCACGTGACGCCCACAGGTCAGCCCTGAGCTGCGACTTATCCAGACGCGACTGCGTGTCCCCAGCCCTTGCCTCCGCTGCGGCTGCTGCTGTCATACAGGGATGCGCCCAAGTTTCGTCTTTTATGGGAAACCTTCTGATTGTAAAACATTAGCTACAATTTTAAAAGGAAGAGAAAAACTCACCATGCAAATCTAACAAAGAAAAAAATCTGTGGCCAAATTTAGCCCAAAGACCTCTGCTCTGCAACCCAGTGAGGCTGAGCCGTGGTTTTTCTGACCGCACGGATGATGAAGAAAATCTCACAGCAAGCCCCCAGAGTTCATGATGCTGGGATAAGGTACCTGCCAATCATAACTTACTGCTATTTCATGCCATAAAATGTGACCTTTGACCCTTGTCAGCACACCATTAGTAGCCACCAATGTCTCCTCTTCTTTTTTTTTTTGAGACAGGTCTCACTGTGTCACCCAGGCTGGAGTACAGGGGTGCAATCTCAGCTCACTGCAGCCTCGACCTCCCAGGCTCATGCAATCCTCCCACCTCAGCTTCCCAAGTAGTTGGGACCACAGGTGTGTGCCACCATGCCCAGCTGTTTCTTTTTTTTTTTTTTTTTGAGAGATGGGGTCTCTCTGTGTTGCCCTCAGAGACCTGGTTGGTCTCTCTAACTCCTGGGCTCAAGCGATCCATCCACTCAGCCTCCCAAAGTGTTGGGATTACAGGCGTGAGCCACTGTGCCCAGTCTTCTTAGTTCTAGGGACACATCTCAAGTAAACAGTGTCCATTCCCTGTGGAACCCACCCCAGAAATCCTTCCTCGTCCTAACGTCCCGATACCAGCCTAAGGGTGCTGTGGTCCGCGTGCCCCACTCTCAGGCAGGGGCCTGGTCAGCATCCCACAGGACCACCCGGTGACCACCCAAGGTCCATGGGCTTCTGAACATCCTGCACATGCCGCCCCAACACTCCCCTGGCCCAGCCACCCCCCCCGGCCCTGCCACCCCCGCGGCTCCTTAGCATGGATGCTCCCTTAGCATGCACAGGAGGCCTGGACCTGAGGATGCCAAATCATTCCTCTCAGGAAACAGGGCTGTGGCATGTGGACGGGCATGTCACCTGCACAGCCCACGTGGCAGCCAACACACAGGACTTTGCTTTTCCTGTTAAGCCAGGAGGTTCTGGAGGGCAGGGTGGAATTACACACCTGCGCAGCCCCTGTGTGTGGGTTCAGGAAATGAATCAGACTAATCCTAGACCTGCTTAGACGACACCCGCAGAACTGAAGTCCATACCAGCTGGCATCTCAACACAGAACACCCGCCGTCCCCACTCCATGCTGTCAGGTCGCGGGAAACCTGCATCAGCCTCCCGTCCTAGGGATGAGACGGGGTGTCCAAGGGCTCCAGGGACCGTACGGTGCCTCAGGGAACTTTGTCATGGGAACTGGACTGATTTTGCTCCAGGAACCCCGCTCTTCCCCCCGTGCACCCTGCTATGAAAGGCCACGGGGGCTACTTAAACAAATCCCAGAGTCCCTGCCTTTGAAGAGGGAGCTCACCCCAGATTCTGGAGCAGCCTCGCTCTGAGTCCCCACTCCCCAACCTGTGAGCTCAGCTCTAAGTCCCACATCTCCACCTCTGAGAAGATAACAAGGGGCGTCTCAGAGGGCTATGAGGATCCCATTGGGTGTGAAGCCCGCAGCACTGCAGGGCACAGTACACGCTGGCCTAAATGGAAAGCAGCATTCAGACATCTAGTTCTGGCCAGAATGAACCAAGCCCGACCGCCTGTCTCTCCCACCCGCTATGACTGATAGCTCTGGACAAGATACAAGAAACAGGCAGTGAACCGGGGACACCAGAGATCCACAGCAGCAGGCCCGCTGGCTGGAGAGGCCAGCGTGCAGAGTCAGCAGCTGGGAGCTGGGTTTATCTCCAGCTCTGGCCTCGGGGACGTCTGAGCTATGGGGCAGCAGGGTGGGTGCAGGCCCCTGTCCCAGAGAAGCCAGGGTGTGCTGAGGGCAGAGGGGTGCTCAGAGGAGAGGGGGCTGGAGCAGGAATACTTGGCTCTGAGAATGACCAGATGAGTCCAGCCTCACTCCTGAGGGGCCAAAACAGGGCAGCCAGGGCCTCGGAGGCTGGACAGCCAGGGCCCACCTCCCTCGCCACATGAGACAGACCTGCCATCTGTACCCAGCCAGGCTGAGCACCTGCTTTTGAAAAAGAAAAATTGGCTGGGTCTGGTGTCTCATGCCTGTAATTCCAGCACTTTGGGAGGCTGAAGCGGGAGGACTGCTTGAGGCCAGAAGATTGAGACCAACCTGGACAACATAGTGAGGCCCTGTCTCTACAAAATAAATTTTAAAAATTAGGGAGAATGATGGTACATGCCTGTAGTTCCAGCTACTTGAGAGGCTGAGGTAGGAGGACGGCTTGTGCTCAAGAGGCTGCAGTGAGCCAAAACTGAGCCACTGCACTCCAGCCTGGGAAACAGTGAGACTGTAAATAAATAAATTAATTAATTTAATTAAATAGAAAAATTGTCCAAATGACTTTATTTTTTATTAATTTTTTTTAAGAGACAGGGTCTTGCTCTGTCACTCAGGATGGAGTACAGTGGTACAATCATGGAACACCGTAACCTCGAATTCCTGGTGTCAAATGCTCCTCCTGCCCCAGCCTCCTGAGTAGCTGGGACTACAGGCATGCACAACACCCAGCCTCCAAAAAACATTAACAGGACTTGGCCTTACAAAATAATGTACCAAATATCCAGGAAACAACCCACAATAAATCAGCACACCAAGAACCAGGAAATGTTAACGTTCTCAAGGGAATAATCAAAAGACGTCAAACCTGAGATGACCCAGATGTTGATGTTATCAGACAAAGACTTCAAAGTAGTCTTTGGCCAGGCGCGGTGGCTCATGCCTGTAATCCCAGCATTTTGGGAGGCCGAGGCAGGTGAATCACGAGGGCAGGAGATCGAGACCATCCTGGCTAACACGGTGAAACCCTGTCCCTACTAAAAATACAAAAAATTAGCCAGGCGTGGTGGCAGGCGCCTGTAGTCCCAGCTACTCAGGAGGCTGAGGCAGGAGAATGGCGTGAACCTGGGAGGCGGAGCTTGCAGTGAGCCAAGATCGCACCACTGCACTCCAGCCTGGGTGACAGATCGAGACTCCATCTCAAAACAAACAAACAAACAAACAAACAAAAAACAAAGCAGCTGTTATAACCATGCTCACTGAGACACAGTTGAACATACTTGAAGTTTTCAGGAAAGAGGCTGGGAGTGGTGGCTCACGCCTGTAATCCTAGCACTTTGGGAGGCCAAGGCGGGCAGATTGCCTGAGCTCAGGAGTTCAAGACCAGCCTGGGTAACATGGCAAATCCCTGTCTCTACTAAAAAAAAAAAAAAAAATAGCCAGGCATGGTGGCAGGCACCTGTAATCCCAGCTACTCAGAAGGCTGAGGCACGAGAACTGCTTGAACCCAGGAGGTGGAGTTTGCAGTGAGTCGAGATCACACCATTACACTCCAGTCTGGGTAACAGAGTGACAGTCTATCTCAAAAAAAAAAGAAGTTTTCAGGAAAGAAATGGAAACTATTGGAACCAAAAGGAAAAATTTAAAACTGGAAAGTACAGTATCTGAAATTTAAAAATCACCAGATAGGCTTAGCAGCAGAATGAATTAGATAGAGGAATAGTGAAGTTGAAAATAGGTCAGCAGAAAGAATCTATTCTAAAGAGCAGAGAGAAAGAAATTGTTTTAATGCACAAGCACCTTCTGCTTCTGGGAGGATGGATTAGCTGTGCTTTTCCTACTCCTCCTATTAAGTGAAGCCCTGGACGTCACACATGAAACAAATATAAGAAGACTCTGACAGGCAGAGAAAAGGCAGCTGTTCAGGGCCTGGGATCTGAGAAAGACACACGGCATCCCCCTGGGGGTTTCCTTTGCCTCGTCTATCTTGGATTTGGAACTGGAGCAGCCTGAAACCTGGAAATGCCAACAGGTACAAACGCAGAGCCCCAGTGAAAGCCAACTCAGTCTAGCCAGGGAAGGGGCAGCTTTGCAAGACAGAAAACTTTGAGACAATAACAACCTACCCCAGAAAAAAACGGGCCCAGCCCTCCAACCAAGCCCAAGTGGCCAACTAGCAGCTTAGACTTCCACCCTTGAGAGGCTGTGAGCAGGCACCCCACAACCTCTGCCAGGGCTGTACAGGGGAGGCCACGCAGGAAGCTGGAACCCCCATCAGCGCCAGCTGGTAAAAAGCCTCATGCCCACTAGGCATTGGTGGAGACAAAGGGGCAGCCCAGCCCGGGCCCCCACCCTGCACTGGCGAGGTGCCCCTTCCTCCTTGCTGGAGTGGAGTAAGAGGAGGCCTGGTGGGGAGACAGGGCTTTCACTGCCACTGAGCTGCAAGGTGCCCACACTCCACCCACGTGCTGTTAGGGGAGTGCATGTGGGGAGCGGCAAGGAAGCACCTCCACCCCCCGCCAAGGTGGCCTTAGCAGAGGCCTGGCGGGAGCTGTACCCCCCACCCACCCGGCAATGACAAGCAGCCCCTGACTCCGCTGCCAACAAGGCTGAGGGGAACCTGGGCTTCCACCCCCACCTGGCAGTACCAGCGCCGTTCCCTGCTGGAGCAGTGCCAGAGAAACCAGCTAAACAGAAGGTGTAAACGCTGCCCAGTCTTGGAACATACTGCAAAATAACCAGTGCTAGGTGAGTCTGGGAAGGAGGGCTGGGCCTTGGTGAGGCTGAGGATAGAGGAAAACATGTCAGGCAGGGAGGGCAGAGGGCACCTGGGGAGGCACAGGGCATGCGGGAGATAATGACGGCTGGGCTGGTGAGCACGTGTGCCCCGGGAGCAGGTGGGGGCAGGGCCAGATCGGGGGAGGTCAGGAATGCAAGCCAGGCCACAGGCACGCATGGGCGAGCAGTGCCTGGAAGAACTTTGTAGCAGGGCAGGGTGTCTAAACATCAATGGGGCACACAGGCTGGCTGTCAGGACGGGCCAACGGCACTGGAGAAGGGATTAGTGACCCTCAGGGTGCTCTCTAAACTTCCAATCCCCATCATCCAGGGTTCAGCCGCCGGGGTGCTCCCTAAAGAAATTCAAAAGGCAGCAGGAGGGGTCGGGAGGGGAAGACCGGGGCCAGCTGGAGGCAGAAGTCATCTGACCCAGTCTGTGGCAAAAAGGGGACCAAGGTCAGCGAGAAAGGAGAGAAGAGGTATGGGATCCGGACAGCCGAATCGAGAACCCAGCAGACGTGTGGGATCCGGACAGCCGAATCGAGAACCCAGCAGGCGGTGAGGGTGGGCCACTGGCCTAGGAGAGAGGCCGAGTAGCTGGAGCTTGTATGCGGGTGACAGGCTGGCTGTCTCCAGGACAGAGGAGAACTCGTGCCTGGAAGTCCACGCTGGGCTAATCGCTGAAGCCATTAAGTTGAGATGCATCCTGGACCAGCTACAGGTTCCTGAGATAACCCTCAAAAGGCAGGACTCAGCTGCATTTCTCATAGAAAACGCTGTTATGCAAAAATCTAGACTGTTAGAGAAGAAAAATAAATTGGGTGGGGGGGACGGGAAGTAAAACACATTAGGAGTTTCTTAAACACACAGAAAGTGTATCTTCTCGAGTATGAAAGTTTCTTAAATACTGGTGGTTTAATTTCTCTGGGATAGATAATCAAAAATGGAATTGTTGGGTCAAAGGATATCACTTTTTTTTTTTTTTTTTACAGTTTGAAAACACTGCCAGATTACTTTCCAAAAACACCCTAGCAGTTCCCACTTCCCATTCACCGGGTCTGCCAGCCCAGAAGCGTCCTGAAACTTCCCCAGCACAGAGCTGTGCTTTCGCCCTTCCCCATCCCTTGCTGGTTGAGAGCAGCATCTCATCATTGCCTTGGGTCAGTATCTACTCAGACGCTCAGCATCCACTTCCGAATGTTTTCTTCCGTGAATCGCCTACTTATATCCATTGCCATTTGTCTAATGGATTGTCTGCCTTTTTTCCTATCAATTTTTATGTAAGTTTAAAATGTTCAAAAAATGTTAACCTGGCCAGGCGCGGTGGCTCACGCCTGTAATCCCAGCACTTAAGGAGGCCAAAGAGGGAGGATCACGAGGTCAGGAGATTGAGACCATCCTGGCTAACACAGTGAAACCCCATCTCTTCTAAAAATACAAAAAATTAGCCGGGTGCAATGGTGGGTGCCTGTAGTCCCAGCTACTCGGGAGGCTGAGGCAGGTGAATGGTGTGAACCCGGGAGGCGGAGCTTGCAGTGAGCTGAGATCACGCCACTGCACTCCAGCCCTGGGCGACAGAGTGGGACTCTGTCTCAAAAAAAAAAAAAAAAAAAAAATTAACCCTTTCTCTATCCTATTTGTTGCAAATATCACCCCCATCATTTTTTATTTTTATTTTATTATTATTATTATTATTTGAGATGGAGTCTCGCCGTGTTGCCCAGGCTGGAGTGCAGTGGTGCAATCACAGCTCACTGCAACCTCCGCCTCCCAGGTTCAAGAGATTCTCGTGCCTCAGCCTCCTGAGAGGCTGGGATTATAGGCGCACGCCAACATGCCTGGCTAATTTTTGTATTTTTAGTAGAGACAGGGTTTCACCATGTTGGGCAGGCTGGTCACGACCTCCTGACATCAAGTGATCCACCCGCCTCGGCCTCCCAAAGTGCTGGGATTACAGGTGTGAGCCACCACGCCCGGCCCTTATCTTTTTTTTTAAATTTATGATATCTTACAAAAGAAATTTTAAAATTATTTCGTCAAATAATCTAGCTTTTTCTTTATTCTTTCTGGATTCCATCTTGGTTAGGAGAGCCTTTTCCCATTCCAATATTATAAACTGTCCTCTATTTTCTTGTAAGAATTTACAGCCAGGTGCAGTGGCTAACGCCTGTAATCCCAACACTTTGGGAGGCCGAGGCAGGCAGATCATCTGAGGTCAGGAGTTCGAGACTAGCCTGGCCAACATGGTGAAACCCTGTCTCTACTAAAAATACAAAAATTAGCTGGTGGCAGGTGCCCATAATCCCAGCTACTCAGGAGGCTAAGGCAGGAGAATCACTTGAACCCGGGAGGTGGAGGTTGCAGTGAGCCGAGACCTTGCCACTTCACTCCAGCCTGGGAAACAGAGGAAGACTCCAAAAATATAATAAAATATGTTATATATACATACATACATATATATATATATATATATACATTTTCCTATAATCCAGCTTTCTACTCTTAAATATGCACCCAAGAGGAGCAAAAGCATAGCCCCTAAAGGGTCAGGGTGTCTTTATCCACATAGTCAAGGTGAATGGACTGCAAACTGTCCAGAAGCCCATCAGCAGGTGAACGGATACACTAGTGCACCCACACAATGCAATATGACTTAGTAACCAGAAAGAAGGAACTGCTGACATGATGAATCTTAAAAAAAACAAAATGAGATAAAGCAGCCGGGCACAAAGACGTGCACATGGCATGATTCCATTTACATGAGATAAAGCAGCCGGGCACAAAGACGTGCACATGGCATGATTCCATTTACATGAGATAAAGCAGCCGGGCACAAAGACGTGCACATGGCATGATTCCATTTACATGAAACTCTATTAGCATCGTGCCTGTCCCTGGTGAGAAAACAGCCCAGGGCCCAGGAGAAGGTGCTGGGCTGCTGCGATCCGGGTGATGTTTACACAGGTGCACACAATTATCAAAATTTAACCAACTATGTGCCTTAAAATGTCTGAGTTTTATTGCATGCAATTTAGACCTTGATAAAATCGATTTTTAAAAATCATGTCTTAGGAGAGGAATTAGTAGCGTGGAAAACACTCTGCAGTATGTTTTCTCAGCTTTTCTTTCATGCATATTTACATATACACAAATACCAAATATTAATCACGTCTAAGTCGAAGAGTGACTTTTTGTGTATGCTTTTCTGTGTTTTCTCGATATTATTAAATCAACATGACTTACTTTTGTAAGCAGGAAAAACATTTTTTTAAAGTATCTGTGGCATGCCTATGTTTTGCCAGGCACTTTGCAGGGTGTGCTGAGGACACGCTTTATAAACACAGTACTGACCTGCCCAACGAGTTCACCACCAGCCTGGGACATCCCAAGTGGGGTTGGTGGAAGGAAGGGGAGGATCCTCCCACAAAGGTAGAGCCTGGGCAGTAGTCCCCTCACCCCCCAACACACACACACACACACACACACTCTTCCCATTCCCAACTCTAAAGGAATAAATGCAGGGTTTGTCTAAGTGTGTTTTGCGACAGTCAGGGGAAATAACCCAGATATCAACTCAGTGTTTCCAGTTCAACGAGCATGACCCACTTCAAGTTCCTGTTTTCGTCCTGCCCTACTTCCCACCAGGCTGGCGGCCCAGGGCACTTGCTGTCGCGGCTTCCTCAGGTGCAGACCTCACCCAGGCCCAGGAAGCTGCAGCGATCCAAATTGCTAGTCCTTGTCTGTGCTCTTGTACAGTCAGTCACTGTCCCAGCATGATGACCCACTGACGAAAGTGCACGTGCCTGGGTTCAAAGCCAGCTCCCTCTGTACATCACTGCCTCTGGGCCCAGTCAATTCCCACTCCTACTGTCCACATCTGAAATAGGGGTGATGCTACGGAGAAAACAAAGGAGTCGGAATAACTAAGCGGCCACCCCAGCAGGGCACACACAGTGGCCTTGGCTTTGTCTTTAGCCCATTGGTCACCTGGAGCTCCAGGGCTGCTCCTGCCTCATCTCACAGGTCCTCCTAGGGCCAGTTTTTGCACAATTCTCCACCTCTCATCATTCCTCAACCTAATCAATCCCAGTGTGCCCAGATACACCTGGGGGAATGGGGAGGGCTGGGCAATGCCACCTTGCTGACCAAATTAAATGTCCTGTGAGCTGGTTCACATTCTTCTGCCCTACTATGGCCCTACTGACCTCAAGCATAGAAGAATCGAACCTGGGCCTGATTCCTTTTGGGGACTGTAAAGCTATGAGAAAAAAACTAGAGACAGTGTGGCTGTATTCCTGAACTCATTCACAACTTAGCGTTTCCCAACTTGTTGATGTTTTCCCATTGCATGGGAGAGCACTCCTGGGTGGAGAGGGCAGGCTGCTTCCTGGAGGAAGCCCACCAGCCAGGGCCACCAGCCAGGGCCCCACCATCCATGGCCCCACAAACCAGGGCCCTCCCTCTCCAAGAGGGACCAAGCTCCTGGCAGGCCAGTCAGGCAGCTCAGGATGAACCCGCACAAAAGCACCTTGGCTTAGCAAGAGTGAAGCAATTAGCATGCCAAGAGGCAAACCCCAGCAGGCTGGACAAAAGCAGACGCCACACCACACCAAGCCCTGACCTGGGGGACCAGAAACCATAATGGGAGCTGGCTGGGGACGCCAAGGCAGAAAGCAGTGATGACTGACCTCCCACACAGATGCCCTGTAAGGGTCTGGCGTCTCTGCGGCGGCTGGAGCCTGAGGGAAGCCTTACAGCCCAGTGGCTACAAGCACAGCAGCTAATTGGGCCAGTCACTTCCAGCCCCTGCAGATCGGCCCCTGCATCCCTAGGACGGGAGCAGCTGCCTCTCAGGAACCCATCCGGTTTGAAGCCCAGTGGCCCGCACTTAGGAAGTGCTTGGGGGAGGCAGTCATCTTCCTGAAGCCTAGGGATTTACAACAAAGTACAAACCCTTCGGGCCCAGGTCAGGCACCTGTTCTCCTTGTGTGTGGGCCCTGGTGGGTGATATTTGGGGTGTGACATTTCTACCAAAGGGGACATGAGAAATACCTTAGGAAAGTCAAGTCTCAGATGCCCAGCCACAGATAGGTGACCCCAGGGCTGGAAACCAAGTGTTGGTCATGGGTCTGAGACCACCCCTCGACCTTGGCCCCACCTAACGTTCAACTCTGTCCCCACCAGAACCCAACCCACAGATCCTCACCACTCAGCACCAGAAAGCGCCCAGAAGAACTCCTGACCTCGACTGCCCACAGGGTCTAAAGGTGTCATCCCAGGCTCCGAATATCCACCAGAGAATCTTGGCCTCCGCCACACCCACCCCATTCCAGCTCCGCACATCCAGCATGAATCCTGGCCTCTGCCACACCCACCCCAATAATTAAAAAGAAAAAAGGCTGGGTGCGGTTGCTCACACCTGTAATCCCAGCACTTTGAGAGGCTGAGGTGGGCAGATCACCTGAGGTCAGGAATTCAAGACCAGCCTGGCCAACATGGTGAAACCCTGTCTCTACTAAAATACAAAAATTAGCCGGGCGTAGTAGCGGGCTCCTGTAATCCCAGCTACTCCGAGGCTGAGGCAGGGAGAATTGCTTGAACCCAGGAGGCGGAGGTGCAGTGAGCCAAGATCGTGGCATTGAACTCCAGCCTGGGCAACAGAGCAACACTCCGACTCAAAAAAAAAAAAAAACAAAAAACAAACAAAAAACAACAAAAAACAAAAACAAACCCTCTGTCCTCCTGCAGGGCTCTCTCCAGGGTGGGCTATGCGTCCTCCATGTTTACCAAAGTCACTCTTCTCCTCATCCGGAGGGCCTCTGCGGGGCAAGTAGCCAACCCGTGGCACGGAAACCAATTCCCCCATCCCGAGCAGGGAGCACACCCCACAGAAAGTCAGGGGCCCCTTCTTTAACTTCTTAACAGGAAGTCCTCACCCTGCAAGGGCGCCTCTCAGGTTTCGGATCCCTGCTAAAGAAAAGCATCTGTTCTTGGAGTAAACTGCAATGCGCGCGGTGGGGAGCGCCTGGCACCCCCCCTCGGGATCCATCCACAGTCCGTCTTGTCCAGAGGTGCCCTGCGGACAGACCGCACCGGGGGCCACGACCCCGCGCCCCGGGTCCCACCTCCCCGCGGGGATGGGGCGCCGGCCTCCCCTCCACTGCGCGGCGCTTTGTCCTCGGGTTCCCGGAGCAGACGGCGGCGCACAGCCCGGCCCCTGGCCCCGGCCTCCCTCCCGCCTGCCCCGACCCCTCCCTGGCGCCTGCGCTCCCAGGGCCCCCGGCCTTACCACAGCCGCTCGCTCCCTGCACCCGGTCCCCCCAGCCGGGTCCCCCAAGCCGCCCCCGCTCCCTGGCCAGGTCCGGCCGAACCCGGGCGGCGGCGACACTCACCCGCGCCGGGGGCGCCGGCTCCGGGCCCCGGGCTCCGCCACCAGCGCAGCAGAGCCCGCGCGGGCTCCAGGCTCACGGCGCAGCGCTGCTGCTTCACCCACAGCACGGATTGCAGCGGCTCCGCCGCCCCCGTCGCCCCCATCTCCGCCGCCGGGCTCGTCCGCCAGGCTGGGGGCGCGCGGACGCCGAGGGGCGCCGGACCGTTAGCGGCCCCTGCAGTGGCCCGGGCGGCGGGCGGCGGGCGGCGGGAGGCGGCGCTGCGTCACCCCGTACGCGGGCGGCGGGGACCGCGGAGGGGACGGGCGGGGCGGGGGCGAGGAGGAGGCGTGGGTAGAGGAGGGGCCGGGAGCCAGGGAGAGACGGGGGGACCCGAGAAGGGGAGAAGAGGGAGGAGGAAGGGGCCGGGATGGGGCTGGCCGAGGCCAGGGCGCTGGGGCCGGGAGGCGGCTGCCTTTCTCTCCTCTCTTCTCCGGCGGGTGCCGGGTGCTGAATCTGGCGCTCCCGCGGCCGGCCGGGACTCAGTGGCGCCTTCCGCGCGGGCCTCGGTTCAGGCGGGGTCCGGGCGGCGTGGAAACGCAGTCCTGGCGATCGGGCGCGGCGGGGGGCGGGCCTGGATGGGGGCGCCACGGGCGACGTGACCTTGGGCGGCGGGTGCCCTCTACGATCCTGGCGTCCTGTCGGCCTGGGAGGGGGCCTGCAGCTGGGCCCCGACAGGCAGGTAAGGCTTTCAGGAGGCGGAGGTCTTTTTAGGGGGCGGGGGCGCTGGCCCTTTGAACTGCTCTGGGGCCTGAAGCCACAGAGCAGACAGCTGAGCAGCCGCCCCCGAGCTGGCCCTAGGAACCGGAGCCTGGGCCCCAGACTTGGAGAGACACGGCCCCTGTGGCCCCAATTCACCGCCTCCCCAGGAAGGCCTCCTTGACCCCACAGCTGAAGGAATCACCAGCCTGCAGGGACTCCAGCCCTGCCTTCAGAGCACGCCGTGCGCCTTCATGCAAGCTCCAGTCTCTGCGTCCGCAGTGCTTAACACAGCCCCATAGGAAGCAGCCACAACCTGGTTCGGAGGGCACATCCCTCCCTGATTTATCAGTGAAGACTGTGCTCACAGAGGTTAAGTCACTTGCCCAAGAGCACAGGGCTCCAGTGTGGCAGAGCCTAGGCTCACACTGACACTGCCTGGATGTGACACTGAGGTCTGAGGCCTGCCCCTCCCCTCGGCTCCCCTACCCAGCCCTGCTGCTGCAGGCAGAGGTGAGGTGGGCTAGGTCCACGTGGCCTTGCTGCTGTGCCTGGCACCAGGTGGCAGCATATACAGGTCTTACCCTGCCAGCTCCTTGTGACTGTCTTGTCTATAGGGCGGGAACCAGCCATGAATCATTCCTCCCTGGGAGCCCAGCCCCTGTTCAGGCCATGCAGTGAAGGCCCCAGGACAGTCCTGCAGCCACCGTGGGCCCAGTCAGAGTCCTAGCAGGCAGTACCTGATCGTGGCACACAGTGGGGTGTGCAGCAGCGAGGCCTGCCCAGCCTCCTCCCTCCCTCAGCTGCCGCTCTGAGGCCTGGGAAATGTGGATCTGAAACTTACTTGGAAAGAAAAGCTCATGCCAGTGGCAGGAGGGTGCCGCTGCATGCGAAGAGGGTTGGCAGGCAAGGGTGGCATGGGCAGGGGCCCGAGAGCACCAGCGTCCCTACTGGGGACCCCTTCCCTGGGCCTCCCTGTGCTTAGGCTCCCCGTGCCCCTCCCGGCGTATTCACGTTGCTGTCCCCCGGCTGCACGCCTTGGCTTAAAATCCTGCAGCCAGAGGTGGGGGCCCAGAGACGACTCAGAAGTGCTTAGGCCCCGAAGGAGCTCCGTTGGGGGAGACAGCAACATCAGTTACAAAACACACAGGAGATTCAATGAGGCTGTTAGGGTGGGCCCTCATCCAGCGCGTCCTTACAAGAAGAGGAAATGTTGACCGGGCTCTGTGGCTCACACCTGTAATCCCAGCACTTTGGGAGGCTGAAGCGGGTGGATCACCTGAAGTCAGGCATTGGAGACCATCCTGGTCAACATGGTGAAACCCTGTCTCTACTAAAAATACAAAAATTAGCTGGGTGCAGTGGTGCGCTCCTGAATCCCAGCTACTCCGGAAGCTGAGGCAGGAGAATTGCTTGAACCCAGGTGAGCTGAGATTGCGCCATTGCACTCCAGCCTGGGTGACGAGAGCGAAACTCCATCTCAAAAAAAAAAGAAGAGGAAACGTGAACACACACAGACCCCCGAGGCGTGTGTACACAGGGGTGGCCATGGGAAGGGGCAACAAAAGAGAGTGACCTCCAGGAGGCCAACCCTGTGGGCTTGAACCTTGACCTCAGACTTCCAGCCTCTGCCAACTGTTCATGGGAGACGACAGATTGCTGTTGTTGAAGCCATCCAGTCCGTGATATTTTGTTATGGCAGCCTGAGCAGACCCAGGGGACCTGTAGTCCTAGGATGGGCTGGGGAGGGGCCTGGCCACTGCAGGGCCCCATGCTCATGCTCAGGGAGACAGGGTGATGTCACGAAGCCCAGGTTTCCAGAAGATGCACATCCTGCAGTTGAGTTGCATGGGAGAGGGGTTGGGTGGGGGTCAGGCCCTGTGTGGGGCCAGGGCCATGACTCTGGGCACAGCACTGGAGGGATGGGAGGAAAGAGCAGCTCCACCCCAGAGCAGCCGTCAGGTCCCTGCTGTGTGTCAGACCCAGGGGGCCCTTCAGGAGCTGGCTGCGAAGGACACAGGAGCTTTGAAAATGTAGACGAGGCCAGCCCTGGCTGCCTGAGGACCTCCCGGTACCTCACCCACCTCTTCCCTGGCAGGCACCTTTCCCACCTTAGACCCTGCCCAAAATGCCCTTCCCACACGTCTGCCTGGGAGGCCCCCACTCACCTTCTCCTTCAAACCACATCTTGTTTCTTCTGCCACAGAGTCCCCTGATAGCTCACTGCATGGCACTTCCACCCCCGGCTGCCACAGGGCCTCACTTCTCCTTGTGGCACTTCAGAACAACTGATGCCCCAACCTGTTGCTAGCCTGCTGTGTACATGGCTGGTCAGCTCTGCACAGGGCCCTGAGCTGCCAGGTAGGCCAGAGAGCATGGGCTCAGCCCCAGCAGCCTGGAGTTCTGGTCCTAATTAGTCAGGCCCTGACCTGCCACCTGACCCTGTCTTGTGTCCAGTCTGCAGGCTTGGGTTGCTGCCTGGTGGCCTGATGGCCCTGGAGCCTGCTAAGCCAGACATCCTGCCCAGCGGCGGCCAGCACCCGTTCCCCTGGGCGGCCAGGTTGTCCCACCCATGGGCCACCTGGCTCCTGAGGTTCTGTCTAAGCTGGTCCAACCCCATACCCACGAGTGTCCCACCCACTGGGTCATCCATACCACGGGCCCCGGCCCCTCCTGTCCACGGAGCCCTGGCCACCAGCAGGAGCCTGGCACCAGCAGCCCCGTCTAACATGGTCCCCGCCATGGCCTCTGATCTATTCTTCCCTTCTCTTCCTGGGCCCCTGGCCTTGTTTGCTGTGCCAGTCCTTCCAGCTTATCTCCCGAGACTCCCTGTCTCGTGAAGTCAGCACCACCATCTGACATCAGAAACTAGAATGCTGGGTTGGGTGGGAGGATCCTGGCACCAGCTGTACATGGGCTGCCAGGAATGCCATCCTCTGCCCTCCACCTTCAAGGAGAAGCCTCCCATGCTCCTCTTTAAGGCTGACTGCCTTAAAAAGGAGAATCCGAGGCTTCTCCTCAAGGGTCTGGAAGAAATGTCTTGGGCCCCAAGAGGCCCAGATATTTGGAGAGTAAGCTGATCATTACAAAACACACATCCCTACATTCGCCACATGATCCAGACAATCGCCCCTGGAAATGGGTATTATTTACCCCTTTTTACAGACGTGAAAACTAAGACCCACAAAACTAACCTGGCCTGCTCCGGTTGTACAGAAAGGTAATTAGATGGGTTGCAGGGGCACTCCAGGCTCCCCTGTCCCAGGCTTTGGGGTCTCCCTGCCGTGGGAGAGTCTGAAATGTGGGAACTGTAGATGACACAAGCTCCAGGCTTCAGCCTCTGTGGGCCCTGCTCCCTGGGCACTAGGGCGGGCCAGTATGTTCCACCCTCCAGGACGTGCAGGACTGTCCTGCCTCAGCTTCTCTTACAGGAAGACGGTGCTGCCCTGCCCATCCTCAACCTGCCCATCTAGAGAAGACAGACTTAGAGCCTGGGCTGAAGTGGAGGATGGCCCTCAGCGGGCAGTGGAACCAAGCTAAAAGGCTAGGGAGGTGAGGCTAGCCTGGGATAGTTCCAAAGGCAGCCAGGGATCAGGACTATTCACACCCCTGGAGGGCCAGGGGGACATCACACCCAGGGGGAGGCCTCCAAAGGCTGGGCTTAGTTTTGGCCTAAACCCTGCAGGTTCCTGCCCGGCTGACCTCCCTCTGTTAGGCACCAACAGGATGTCTGTCACTCTGCTTAGCATTAGCACATTTCACCCTCAAGGTGATACTACCCTACTACAGATAAGGAAACTGAGTCCCAGAGAGGCTGGAGGAACCAGGGTTATCCAGTGGGCCAGGGGCAGAACTGGGAATGAACCCAGGACTGCCAGACTCTGAAGCCCACCCTCTTCACTGCCTTGCACCCTGTTGGCCATGTTCGGGGTTTCTACTCCAAGCTGAAAATGCCCTGAGAGCAAGCCAGCTTACCAGCACCCAGGGGAGGGTGTGCACCTGCCTCTTCTGGTGTCTTCAAATAAGGTGTCCATTTCTCACTGATGCAATGCAGGCTTGACTCATTCCAGGTACTGGAGGCACAGCAATGTCCAGCCTTGGGAGTTTGGGGGAAGAGTTACCCCAAGAAGCCCCCATCCTGGTGACATCTGTGACCCCGCATGGGGTCCAGCTGAGTGGCTTTTGCACACCCTGGTCGGGTGGAGTGAGATCACTGGGGAGACGGGACCTGGAGCGCAGGCTGTGAGGACACAGCCAGAGGCCATGAGTGCTCAGGAGTGCCATAAACTGTGATTTTGAGACTGATAAGGCCAGGCTAAATAGCTTGCTGGGTGTGTCTTGTTTGCCTTTTTATATTTGAGGCCTATAAAAAAATAGTGAGAAAATAGCAAGATGCCCAGGAGACAGGTGATCTGATTCAGCCAGGGGGTGGGAGGTGGAGGCACCAGTGACTCCCGCTAGCCAGGGACTGGAGGCAGGCAGGTCTGGGGACAAGAGGATGAGGGATGGGGCCACATTTGGAGCCTGGTGCACTGAGAGTAAAAGAAGAAAACCTGCTCCAACAAACCCTTGAAATTGAAAATAACACCGCCTGAAGGCATGTGCAGAGGGTGCTGACCCCAGCTTAAAGAGAGGGTGTGGTTCGGGCACACTGGTTCACACCTGTAATCCCAGCAGTTTGGGAGGCCAAGGCAGGTGGATCATGAGGTCAGGAGATCGAGATCATCCTGGCTAACACGGTGAAACCCGTCTCTACTAAAAATACAAAAAATTAGCCAGGTGTGGTGGCGGGTGCCTGTAGTCCCAGCTACTCGGGAGGCTGAGGCAGGAGAATGGTGTGAACCCAGGAGGCGGAGCTTACAGTGAGCCAAGATGGCGCCACTGCACTCCAGCCAGGGAGACAGAGTGAGACTCCTTCTCAAAAAAAAAAAAAAGAGTGGGTATGGTGGGTATGATGGCCTGGCGTGGTGGCTCATGCCTATAATCCCAGCACTTTACTAGGCCTAGGCAGGCAGATCACCTGAGGTCAGGAGTTCAAAACCAGCCTGGCCAACATGGTGAAACCCCATTTCTACTAAAAGTACAAAAAAATTAGCAGGGTGTGGTGGCGGCTCATGCCTATAATACCAGCACTTTGGGAGGCTGAGGCGGGTGGATCACCTGAGGTCAAGAGTTCAAGACCAGCCTGACCAACATGGTGAAACTCTGTCTCTACTAAAAATACAAAAAATTAGCCAGGCACGGTGGTGGGTGCCTGTAATCCCAGCTACTCAGGAAGCTGAGGCAGGAGCCTCGCTTGAACCCAGGAGACGGAAGTTGCAGTGAGCCGAGATTGTGCCATTGCACTCCAGCCTGGGCGACAAGAGCAAAACTCCATCTCCAAAAAAAAAGGCAACAATAGGGGCATATGTCATATGCTGTCAGGACCTTCTGAGGCCGTGTCATGAGCATGTCTATAAACAAAAAATTTTTTATTTTTTGAGACAAAGTCTTGCTCTGTTGCCCAGGCTAGAGTGCAGTGGCGCAATCTCGGCTCACTGCAACCTCTGCCTCCTGGGCTCAAATGATTCTCCTGTCTCAGCCTCCCGAGTAGCTGGGATTACAGGCACCCACCACCACGCCCAGCTAATTTTTTGTATTTTTAGTAGAGATGGGGTTTTGCCATGTTGGCCAGGCTAGTTTCGAACTCCTGACCTCAGGTGATCCGCCTGCCTCAGCCTCCCAAAGCGCTGGGATTACAGGCGTGCACCACTGCGCCCAGCCAAAAAATTTTTTTAAAGGTAATGATAGATATATTGTCATACAGATTGATGAATACACAACAGCATTGTGTATATTCACAGGCCCCAAACAGCAAAGACACAAAACCATAAAGGAATGGACACGAATGCAACCGTGCATGGGAGGGCTTGGCAGATGCGTTGGGATCCCAGCACAGCCAGGGCAGAGGCCAGGAACCACACCTTAGTGCACAGAGGCCCAAGGCTCAAAGTCCAGGGTACTGTGCTCACCCAGGATGCAGGAGTAGGCAGTCACCACATGGGATCCACAGCCCCAGGTCAGTGGTAAAGCAGGGGAGAGTCTGGTGAAGGGAGGGACCAAGGTAACAGGGCCAGAGAAAGTTGCTGACCACTGGTGGCCAGGCCAGGCCACATATCCAAGTCCTGTCCTCCAGGCTTTGTTCTGTTAAAAACAGCTTTATTGAAATATGGCCGGGCACGGTAGCTCACGCTTGTAATCCCAGCACTTTGGGAGGTTGAGGCAAGAGGATCTCTTGAGGTCAAGAGTTCAAGACCAGCCTGGCCAACATAGCAAAACCCTGTCTCTACTAAAAATACAAAAATTAGCTGGGCGTGGTGGCCTGCACCTGTAATCCCAGCTACTTGGGAGGCTTAGGCATGAGAATTGCTTGAACCCGGGAGGCGGAGGTTGCAGTGAGCCAAGATCGTGCCATTGCACTCCAGCCTGGGCGACAGAGCGAGATTGCGTCTCAAAATAAATAAATAAATAAAATAAAATAAATAAGTAAATAAACAAATATAATTCACATACAATTCACTCATTTAAAATGTACAGGTCACTGCTGATGAGTATATTTACAAAGTAATACAACCATCACTAAAATCAATTTTAGAACATTTCCATTCCCATAAAGAAACCCTATACCCATTAGCCCTCACTGTCTATACCTCCCTTCCACCTGCCTCGGCCATTAATCTACCTTCTATCTCTGTGGATGTTTTTACAGTTCATCCATGTTGTACTATTTTATTTTATTTTATTTTATTTTTTTTTTAGAGGGAGTCTCGCTCTGGCGCCCAGGCTGGAGTGCAGTGGCATGATCTCGGCTCACTGCAAGGTTTGGCTCCTGCGTTCACACCGTTCTCCTGCCTCAGCCTCCTGAGTAGCTGGGACTACAGGCGTCCGCCACCATGCCTGGCTAATTTTTTTTTGTATTTTTAGTAGAGAAGGGGTTTCACTGTGTTAGCCAGGATGGTCTCGATCTCCTGACCTCATGATCCACCTGCCTCGGCTTCCCGAAGTGCTGGGATTACAGGCGTGAGCTACCGCGCCTGGCCACGTATATTCTTATATATGTACACCTGAGGTCAGGAGTTCGAGACCAGCCTGGCCAACATGGTGAAACCCCGTCTCTACTAAAAATATAAAAATTAGCCAGGTGTGGTAGTGGGCGCCTGTAATCCCAGCTACTCAGGAGGCTGAAGCAGGAGAATTGCTTGAACTCAGGAGGCGGAGGTTGCAGTGAGCCAAAATCGTGCCACTGCACTCCAGCCTGGGCGTCAGAGCAAGACTCCGTCTTAAAAAAATAAAAATAAAATTAAAAAATAGTGAAAATGGTAAATTTTATGTTACATGTACTTTACTGAAATAAAAGATTAATTTCTAGGGTGACTGCCCACGCAGGAGATTAGGGTATCCCAGATGGGCCATGACAGCAGGGGTGGAAACAGATGGATTCGGATCAAGGTGGTCAAAAAGCAGAAACGATGGGATGCAGTGATTGACAGGATGAGGGGTGAGAGGGAACGGTCTAGAATGACCCCCAGTACTCTGCCTTGTCTGGGGGGATGGGTGCCTGTCATTTGGGTGGGAACACGAGCAAGGAGCATCCCACGGTGCCTGTGGGGTTTTGTGGTGGGGTCTGGAGGTCATTCCTTGGTGAATAGATGGGAGTGGATCTGCTTGAAGCAAGGAGGGGAGGGGACCAGGACCAGGGAGCCCCATGTCCTTGATTATCAGGGACAATCCTAGTCTCTATCTACTGTGATATCTTCATTGTTGCTGGTGCTTCTGTTCACTTGCTGGAGTAGCCCTGCTGTGGGATTAGTAATCTGGTCATCCACCGACACTCAAAGGCAGGGCAGCGAACAGGTGACCTCATTTAGACCCTGAGCAGAAACAGAACAGCTTCAGGTGGAGCCCATGAAGGAAACTGAGATGGCCCAGCCAGACAGGCAGGAGGAAAGCAGGGCTCACAGCACCCCAGGGAAGGTGGAGAGAGGGAGGTGTGGTCCTGTGGAGCCCCAGCTCCACCTGCGCTCGCTGGGAGCCTTCGCCTCACCTGTTGGAGCCTCCGTTTTCTCTCACACGTGAAACGAGGATAGTGATCGCAGAACAGAGTGGCTGAGAGCTCAAGATTCAAGTCCAAACTCTGCGAGGAAAGGCGGTGAGATCTTGGGCCAGGGTTTCCTAGGACGGCACTGTGGACATTTGGAGCCACATCACTCTTGGTGGCAGGGACTGTCCTGTGTACTGCAGGATGTGCAGTAGCATCTCTGGCCTTCACCCAGAGACAACCCAAAGTGTTCCCCAGACATTGCCAAATCCCCCATGAGAACCTCCGCCTTCCAGAAATCACTCGATTTCTCTGTGCTTTGGTTTCTTCCTCTGTAAGTGAAGATACTAAAACCAACCTCATGGGATGTTATGAAGGTTAAATAGTATCGTAAATGCAAAGTGCTTGGCATAATAAGGGCTCATTAAATGTTAGTTCATAAAATCAGAGCGAGCAGCCCTGGCTGACTGTTGAGCCCAGCATCTGGGGTACTGTCGGCGTTCAGTCGGTGGTGGCAGTGATCATGTTTCTCTGAGGCTGGGGAGAAAGCCTCAGGGGCTACCTCTGGAGGGACTTCTGTCCCCAGGCAGCAGCCAGAGGCACTTGGAGGGCTGTACTCCCCACTCAGGGTCTGGCTGATGCTAAGGGGCAGAGGGGATCCCTGCTGGACTCTGCATCCCCTATGCTGCACGCTTCCTTCCCATCCTGGCAGGACCAAGCTGCTGGGTCTGAGTTTTGGGGCTCTGGGAAGTGGGCTCCTGTGACTGCCATGCACTCCCCATAGTGGGAGACACACCCAGACATCCCTGGGCTAGCCTCTGGTGACCAAATCCCCCTGGTTTGCTGGACTTTCCTAGTTTAGTGCTTCAAGTCCCACGTCCCGGGAAACCTGTCACTTTTAGGAGGTGGATTGCTCAAGTTGTCCCGATTCCAGGTTGTACAGCCTTCCCCGGGGATGGGCTAGGCCAGCTGCACCCTGGGCCCTGAGCTCTCCTTGCTGGGCTCATCTCAGGTGGCACTGGGAGGTGACCTCATTTAGACCCTGAGCAGAAATAGAACAGCAGCGCCAATTAGCAGCTGCTCAGGAGCCAGGGGCATGTGGATCTGCCCCAGCCTCTCCGCAGAGGGATGTTTGTGGGATACAGAAAATTCCACGTGCAATCTTCTTCCACAGAGAGGAAGGGTTGTGAGGATGCCCACTTCCTTGGGGACGCACCCAGTTTTGCTTCTTGCTTGTCCACTTGTCAAGGGTGAGAGCATTTGGGGCCGGGAGGCACAGACCCTCAGAGATGCTGATTCATTGGGTTTGAGGCAGGGTGGGGTGAGAATCCACAATTTTCACACCCTCCTCAGGGGATCTGGATACAGGTGGTCCTTTCGACGCACAGTGGGATACAGTAGGGACCTGCCTTGCTCTGTTCCAGCCAGGGTCAGGGGCCCAGGCCCTGAATCCACTCTGCACCTGGGCCTGGGTGGTCACCCGCTCACTGGACACAGCCCCCAGAGGACAGCCGAGAGACAGATGCCCGGATGGAGCCTAGCACAGAGCCAGTACGACGTCGCTGCTGCTGAGAGCCGGTGTCTACCTCCGTCCACTCGACGGAGTGGCCTCTTGTATAGGTGGGCACCTGGTGCCAGGAGAGAACCCTGGCAGGGAGCTGAGGGACCTCTGTGGTCAGGCTGCTTCACTGGCCAACCAGGGACCTTGTGCCATTCCCATCCCATTGCTGCCCCCAGCTTGCCCTGAAAGCACACTTGGGGGTGGTAGGAAGCCAGGTGTCTCTCAGTGTCTGTCCTGGTGACGATGGGACCTAGAACGTGCTTCCCCACCCAAATCCCTCCCACATTCAAAGGGAAGCCTGGGTCTCAGCGGTCAGGGACCAAGCAGCTGGGCTTCGCCGCCAGTGACTGCTTAGGGGGTAGGAAGTGGGGTGGCCTTTCTCGGGACTGCCCCGCTAACCTGCCCCTGTAGCTCCTGCAACAGCCTCCCAAGAACCAGGGCTGAGAGGAGAGCCTCCCAGAGGCCACTGCTTCGCTTGTGCCTTCACCCCCTTCCCTCCCCAAGGTGGCCGCTCTCTCGCCCCAGCATCTCCTCTGTCCTCTCTCCTTCCTCCCCACCGGGGGCTGCTTACCGTCAAGAGTGGAGGGGTGACAGAAACAGCATTGGCTGGGGAGTCAGGGGAGCTAGGGCTGAGTCTAGCTCTGTCTTAAATATATTGCTAGTTTCTAGGCCTCAGTTTGCCCACCCACAAAATGGGAGTATTGGAGGCAGGAATCTAAGGTGCCCACCTGCTCTCATACTCCAAGGCTCCTTGGGCACATCCTGAGTCCGCCGTTTCCCACAGACACAGCCGACTGCCTGCTGCTTTCTCTGTACGTTTTGTGACTTCCCTGGGAGCAACATGGAGGAAGGGCCAAGTTTTGAGGTACACAGAGCTTGCTTTATCTCATGAAGGAAAAAAAGTTCCATGCTTTAATCTTCCTCTTCCAGTAAAGAAACAGCCTGAAGTGGCCTGTCTGCGAGTCACAGTGTTAACTCAGATCCACAGGAAGATGTTCACCGGATGCTCCTTGGCCAGGCTGCCATCATCCACTCGGGGGTAAACAGTCTCCGAATCAGGGCTGGCTGGCGGCTGACAGCCAGGGCAGGAAGTCTGCAGGGCAAGCTGCAGGATGTCACCCGAAGGAAATATTTTGTGTTGTGCATTGCGGTGGAGAAGTGCAATGAGGCTTAGGGGTTGTGAAAACAGATTCCTCAAGCCTTCACGGAGGACCTCTGTGCTGGAGGTCTCACCCAACAGGTCTTGCAGGCTGGTCTCAGAGAAGTTCCTAGAGCTGCGTGTGGAGTCACCCAGCCTTCTCCCCCATTCAATACGGATCCCAGACATTTGTGGGATACTTGCATCTCCCTATAGCACTTTCCCATGTATCGTCTCATCTGATCTTTAGAAGAACCCTCCTAGGCATGCAGGACAGTGCTGATTACCTCATTTTACAGATGGGAAGGTGATGCTCAGAGAGGGGGCTGGGATGTGTCCATGTCACATGGAATTGGGGCCAACTGACCCTTGGCCAGCTCTTTGGCTGCATGTGGCATTTCCAGATTTCCAGTGGGTGATATGAGGCTTGTGACTCAGAGGGGTGCCCCAGAGATGAAGGGAGAGGAGGCGTGGGGCAGCTCTGGGGTAACTGCCTTGCAGGGGATGAAGGGAGAGGAGGCGTGGGGCAGCTCTGGGGAAACTGACTCGCAGGGGTGCCCCGGAGATGAAGGGAGAAGAGGCGTGGGGCAGCTCTGGGGTAACTGCCTTGCAGGGGATGAAGGGAGAAGAGGCGTGGGCCAGCTCTGGGGAAACTAACTCTCAGGATGTGCGTCAGGGGCTTTCCCAGGCGTCCAGTGGCATCCAGCATGGTATGGGGCTAGGGTCATGGGGGCAGGGCGTCAGGAGGCTGGCACTCCTGCCGTGGGTGGATGGCATGAGGAAAGGAGGCTTCAGGCATCTTCCTGCATGGGAGAAACAACGCCTAGTCCCTTAACAAGTCCCTGAATCCTTCAGCTGCTAGCACTCCCCAGCCCATTGTCTGTGCCCACTAGAGCCCGTGTGGGTGGTGATTCTGCCCTGTAGGAGCTCCCCATGGGAGTGGAGGGGAAAGGCCAAGTTCCCCAAAGACAATGTCAGTTTATACTCAGGGAGGGGCCCACAGGAGGTAGCAGGCCCTGGAATCTGGGGGCTGGAAGTCTGGAGCTGGGCGTGGGGTGAGGTGTTTGCCTGGGCCTCAAAGCATGCAGTGATTTCAGTGAGTGAGGGTGCAGGGTGAGGGACGGCTCCCAGGCAGAGGGCACCAGCAACAGACACGCTGGAGTGTGTTGAGGGACAGAGTACTGGGCAGTGGCAAAAGAGGAGCCCCCAACCTGGAGAGGCCTTGGGTACCAGAGTGAGGAGTCCGCCGTTTCCCACAGACACAGGCAGCCCCTGATGGCTCTTGAGCAGAATGTTTTACGATGGGAGGTGCTGGGCAGCAGTCATTGGGGAGGGCCATGGGGAGAGGCCAGCAGGGGACCAGGGCCCCCTCTCTTGGCTCTAACAGCCCCGCTGTGCCATGGGCAGGATGCCTGGCAGGTCCAATTCCAGGCATGGCCGAGGCCAGCAGCCATGGAAGAGTGTCTGGGGTCAGTGGCTGACAGGAGTGAACGAGGAAACGAGGAAATGGGGCAGGGCGGGGAGGGCGTGGCACGCACTCCACCAGGCCCCAACAGGTGCCCAGTCTGCCACGCACCCCTGGCCTTGGCCTGGTGCCTGATAGCTGCCCCTGCTAGGACATGGGGGTGTCGCCCAGCTCTGACAGCTCTGGGAATGAATCCTGGGCTAAGAGCCACGAGTCCTCTTCAGGGTTCAGCTGCTCCGCTGAGGCTTAAACCAAAAGGTCATCAGCTCCCGTTCAGCCTCCCTCTCCCCTGCTTCCTCCTTCCTCCTCCCTCCTTCTCCAGCTCTTCTTCCTCCTTCCTCTCCTCCTCAGGCTCCCTCCCTTCTCCCTTGATCTTTAGAAGAATCCTGGGAGAGGGGCAGGACAGTGGCAGTTATCTCCCTCTGACACAGGGGGAAGGTGAGACCCAGAGAGGGGCTGGGACTTACCCAGGCCACTTTCCCTGCTCCCTGCTTCCCACGCCATACCAAATCACACTGCGCACTGGGAACAGTATACACGAGAACCTTGGGCCCTCCTAAGTGGAGCTGCTTTTCCTAGAATTGCCATCAACATTTCTAAACAATGTGGCCCATCTGGGGGCAAAGCCTCCTCCTTTGGGAATGACCCCTGCCACAGTGAGGGCCTGACCCTTTGCAGACCATTGCAGTCCGCTGGCTTGACTCTGCCTTCTGGCAACAGAGCTGGGGGAAGGCCCAGGAAGGATCAAGAGGGTTCCAGGCCCTGGAGCCCTATCTCCCCACTTCCCTCAGGTTACATCCAGTGCACTTGCCAAGTATGTCATCAATGACCAAGTGAGGACCCCGGGAAGCTCGGTGGGGAAGGCGGGGGGCTATGACCTACTGGAAATTCCCATAGCCAGAGTGATGGGGATGAAGGAGAGGTGCTGGTTTGGGACACAGCCTGCTGCAGGGACTCGCAGAGCCAAGGACAGAGCAGAGCAGGCATGGCAGGCGGTGTGAGGACCCGGCCCTGGCAGCTGGGAGGGTGCCTGGATGATGGTCCCCCTGCTGGAGACCCCCTCTCTTGCCTGTCTCAGTTGGCCTGGGCTTTGTCCTCCGCTGACCAACACCCTCCACACATTGCTTGACACTCACAGTGGGGAGGTGTCCGGTCTTGGGCTCCATGGCTGCCCTTTGCTAGGGACACCAAGAGGGACGTGGTGATCAAGGATCTGGGGGATTTCTTTGCAGGCGGCTGAGGCTGGGCTCCCTTGGGGCTCCCAGAACACTGTGCAGGCATCTCATGTCAAACATGGATGCATTCTTATTGACCAGGCACCATTCCAAGCAGCCTATGTGCCCATTAGTTCTGGCCACAGCTTATTCTTGGTGAAAGGCTGCAGGTGGCTGCAGCCCTTGCTTCTCTCTGTGCCATCTAGAGATGGTAGTGACTGCTGTGGCAAGGGCGGGTGGCCTGCACAGCACTGCCCCTCCCGTGGGAAGGTCCCGGCGTCCTGGAGGTCCACATGGGCTAGGGCCAGGCGTTTTTCCCTCGGGAAGGCTGCTCTCACCTTCCCCACCAGGAGACATGGGAGGTCCTGGCTCCAAGCTGAGCCCCCTGCAGTTGTAGAGGGGCCACTCTGATGGGGAGGGAATGCTCCTGGGTTCTGCTGGCACAGCCTGCTTGGCACAGTGTGGCACTGGATGGAAAGAGGAGAGACCAGGGGATCTCCCCCTGCAAAACACCACAAATGCCTTGCTTCTCGGGACCTCAGTTTCCCCAATCCTAAAACAAGAGACTTGGGGTCAGGCACCAGGAACACTTTAAGTTTGGGCCTTGGGCCTTCCCAAGTGGAGACGCTGCCTAGGGGTCAAAACGTGTGAAGGGAGAGGGGTGTGGGAAGCCGGGGTAACCAGAGGACTGAGCCTGCTCCAGCAGATACACACAGGGGTTACCACACCAACGTGTGGCCCTTGAGGGCTCCCTGGCTTAGCACAGCCCCTCACCCCTCTAGCCCTGCCCCCTGCCCCTCAGGCCCCTAGCGCCCCTGGGCCCAACACTGGGTCCCATGCCTCCCCCACCCCCATCCCCAGGCCCCGCTCTTGCTTCCCGCAAGTCCTGCCCCACGCCCCTGGGAGCCTCTGCTTCAGTGAGGATGGGTCCTTCTCCACAGTGACAGAGGGGATGGAGATGTGGCAGGAGTTCCTTGGAAGGTGCCATAGGGCATCACTTCATGCCAGCTGTGGCTTGGTCCCTTGCGTAGGGGAGTAGGGGGGAGGGGCTGCCTTTGGATCCATTGCCAGCGAGCTTAACTCCTCCAGAATGGCATGTCTCCCCACCCCTTGCAGTGTCCCCAGGACACCTGGGTGGGCAGCCACCATCCCTCCTTTGGAAGAACCAGTGTCATCCGAAGGTGGTCAGGAAGTGGGAGGATGATGCCGAGTGGCCAGTACAGACCCTACAGGGCCAGATTCCTGAATTTTATTTTTGTTTGGATCGCTAAGCGTCAGTACTATAAACAGCAGTTAGCCCTGGCTGGATTCTGTCATGTGCCCAGGTTCATGCCCGATTGCATTGAGCCCTCTGCCAGCAGGTGAGGAAACAGGCTCAGCTGAGAAGGCTGCCCAGATTTGCACAGCAGGATTGAAATCCATGTCTGTCTGGTTCCAAAGTCAGGGGTTCATCCACCTTACCACTCGGCCTGACCCGCAGGCTCTTAGGATTGAGGCCCAGAGAAACGAGGTGTTTGCAGTGTCTCAAAATAAGAGACCACTCCCCCCAGTCTCTCTTTCCATCCAGTGCCACACTGTGCCAGGCAGGCCATGCCACCAGAACCCAGGAGTGTCCCCTCCCCACCAAAGTGGCCTTCTGCAACTGCAGGGGGCTCAGCTTGGAACCAGGATGCCAAACCGTGCACAATCCCAGCAGAAGTGTGGTGCCAGCACCTTGCCTGCCTTCTCCCCTCACCCTCAGGATGTCCATGCCTGGGATGCCACATGGGCAGGCCCTTTAGTGCCAGCCTCCCCACGCCATGCACCTCTGGGTCTATGTCCACCCAAAAGTGCCATTCAGGCTGGGGCCGCAACACACTTTCCATCCTGGCCGCCAGGCTCTGATGTCATAAGGGCACAGAGTTCCCAGGTCTGTGTCCCCAGTTCCTAGCAGTCAGATATCTGGCCCAGTCAGATATCTGGGAGATGCCTGCTCTCCGGGCCACTTTCTCTTCTGGTGTTAAGTGACAGACCAGCTCCTTCCTTCACTCTAGCAGCTGCGGGAAGTCCAGGGATGACACAGCACCATGGGGCCATAGGGCCTTCCGGTTGCCACTCCAGGCCAGGCTTCACGTCACTTACAGACTCACTCCCTACTCTGCGGTGTCATATTTGCTCAGAGATTTTGGTTTACAAACTGCCTTCCAGTCCTTTGTCTCAGGGGATTCCCATCATGACTCTGGGAAACACACAGGGCAGGTGTCCTCATCTCCATTTTACAGGTGGGAAAACGGGGGCTGGCCGTGTTTACAGCAGAGTGTGATCAGTCACAGGAGACATGAGGCCAGGATGCAGCTTGCAGACGGCCAGTCTGGGCTCCCTCTGATGTCTGCTGTCCTCTCTCTATCCTGCCTGAGTCACTTTGGGTTGGACTGTCCATGAGTCACGGCCGACTGTGGCTCCTGCACGTTTGCCAAGGGGGTGGGGACCACGTGCTGCAAAGGACCATGGGAGGAAATGCCACAGCTGGTTGTGTTTCCGATTAGCAGTGGGACTGTGGCCAGGGCCCGGCAAGGTGAACTGGACAGTGAGTGGGCTGTGGGGTCAGCAGCTGGACTCCAAACCCTGTTCCCTTCACTCTAGCTGGGGGACTTTGCCTCTTGAAGCCCCTACTTTCTCATCTTTAAAATACAAATCATGATACCCACTGTGTGCGCCATCCCCTCCCCACCCCCACTGCCACCCCCTCCCTCCCCACCGCTGGGCATCTGGTGAGGGGGGATGAGGAGGATGCTGAGGATGCTGGAATTTGCTGAGCTTGAGAGGTGGAGAGGGTTGCAGATGCACACGGGAAAGGGACTGAGAGGCCTGCAGGTGAGGTCTGGGCAGGAGGTCTGCAGGAGCATGGCAGAGGATCAAAGGTGATGGAAGGGGCTGATGGTGGCTGTGAAGGGTGCGATGCATCTCCAGGGTGCATTTAGGAGGCTTGTTTGCATGAGCCGTGGCATAATGGCCCTCCTCTGTCTACCCTGAAAGCCTCCGAAAATCAGTCTTATTCTTCAAAGCATTTGGATTTGCATTTGTTGTTTTTCCTGGATGTGAAAATAATTGATCAATTTTTGGGGGGTGGGGGTGTCTTTTTAATTTTTTTTTTCTTTTTTTGCATCTAAGAAAGCATTTGGGCGGCTCCTGCCTGTAATCCCAATGCTGGCCGGGCATGGTGGCGCGTGCCTGCAATCCTAGCTACTTGGGAGGCTGAGGCAGGAGAATCACTTGAACCTGAGAGGCAGAGGTTGCAGTGAGCTGAGATCATGCCACTGCACTCCAGCCTGGGCAACAGAGTAAGACTCTGTCTCAAAAAAATAAAATAAAATAAAATAAAAAATCCTAAAGCTCCAACATAATCCTTGACTCCACATCCTGGATCCTGGTGCAAGGGGTGGCGTCCCAAGGCCTTGGGCAGTCCTGCTTCTGTGGCTGCTCTATGGGTTGGGGTGGAGTGCCTGCAGCTTCTCCAGGTGTAGGTGCAGCTGCTGGTGGCGCTACCATTCTTGGGTCTGGAGGGTGCAGTCCCCTTCCCACAGCTCCACTAGGCAGTGGAGTTCACTACTGTGAACTGTGTGTGGGCCTCCAACCCCACATTTCCCCTCCATACTGCCCTGGTAGAGGTTCTCTGTGGGGGCTCTGCCCCTGGTAGAGGTTCTCTGTGGGGGCTCTGCCCTGGTAGAGGTTCTCTGTGGGGGCTCTGCCCCTGGCGGAGGTTCTCTGTGGGGGCTCTGCCCCTGGCGGAGGTTCTCTGTGGGGGCTCTGTCCCTGGTGGAGGTTCTCTGTGGGGGCTCTGCCCCTGCAGCAGGCTTCTGCCTGGGCACTCAGGCTTTCTCATACATCCTCTGAAATCTAGGTGGAAGCTGCCACCTTTATTCCTGCATTCTGTGTGCCCACAGGTTTAACACCACATGGAAGCCACCAAGGCTTATGGCTTGTATTCTCCAGAGTGGTGGCCCAAGCTATACCTGGGGCCTTTGAGCTACAGGCGGAGCTGCAGCAGCTGGTATGTGGGGAGCAGTGTCCATAGGCTGAGGAGTGTCCTGGGCCTGGCCCCTCAAACCATTCTTTCCTCCTAGGCCTCTGGGCCTGTCATGGGAGGGGCTGTCTCCAAGATCTCCCAAATGCCTTTGAGGCCTTTGTTCCATTGTCTTGGATATTAGCACTTGGCTCCCTTTTAGTGATGATAATCTCTCTAGCTAATGGTTGCTCCCCAGCCTGCTTGGATTCTTTCCCTGCCACATGGCCAGGCTGCAAATTTTCCAAAATTTCATGCTCTGCTTCCCTTTTAAATATGAGCTCCAACTTTCCTTTGCTCCAATATATGATCATTGGCTGTGACAAGCAGGCAGGCCACCTCTTGAATGCTTTGCTACTTAGAAATTTCTTCTGCCAGTTACCCTAGGTCATTACTCTTAAGGTGTCTTTACAGCAATGCCCTGCTTCTTGGTACCAGTTTTCTGTGTTAGGCTACTTTTGCGGTGTTTATAAAGGAATACCTGAGGACGGGTAATTTATAAAGAAAAGAGGTTGAATTGGCTCATGGTTGTGCAGGATGTACAGGAAGTGTCGTGTTGGTCTCTGCTAGGTTTCTGGTGAGGCCTCAGGGAGCTTTTACTCATGGTGGAAGGTGAAGCGGGAACAGGCATGTCACATGTTGAGAGCAGGAGCTAGAGAGCTGTATTTCTTTTGAAAACATATTCTTTGATTTATTTATAGTTTAAGATAAGCTTGAAAAATATATACTTGGTTTAAACAATCATACCCATTTCCTATTGTGGTTTTCTACTTCCTTATTTGTAAGATTCCCATATATTAACCCTTTGTCAGACATAGCACATATATTTTGTCCAATTAAAACATTTTTTTTGACAAACAAGTAAACATTTTAAGTTGTCAAATCCACCAGTTTCTCTCAACATGGCCTTTGGTGTTGTAGTGGATATTGGGATTGTTCCTGGATATTGGGATTCTAACCCTCCCTTGTTGGGCAGCAGCCACAAAATTTGGAAGGATTGACTCTCATTGCCAGCTACAATGGAGCATCTGCCAGGTGACAGGTCCCCAAATGACACTGGATGACCCAGCTCTTCCCCCTCTTGCTTAGAATTTTTGGGCAGAATATACAGAGGTTGCAACATCCTGAGATAAGGTGGAACTGTCCCGAACAGCTCAGGCTTTGTGCTCATCTCCCCTAGATCAGGATGTCCTGCAATGCTGTAGCCCAGTGGACCCAGTTGCATTTGGGGTAGAGAACCCAGAGTAGAGTGTGCTTTTCACGCCCCTCAGCTGTGGTGTGAAGTGGGGGCACCTGCAGACAACACTCTAGTGCCCTGGGTAGCTTTCCTGATTGCTGGTGGACTGGCTCGCCATGGATCCTAGGCTTGGGTTGATGTTTGGGGCCTCTCTGTGAATAATAAAGTTGCTTTGTCTGACGTGTTTTGCAGGTGTTCTGTTTTACCAGACTAGACATTAAGAATGCAGTGGGTAGGCCAGGCGCGGTGGCTCACGCCTGTAATCCCGGCACTTTGGGAGGCTGAGGTGGGTGGATCACGAGGTCAGGAGATCAAGACCATCCTGGCTAACATGGTGAAAACCTGTCTCTACTAAAAATACAAAAAATTAGCCGGGCGTGGTGGCGGGCGCCTGTAGTCCCAGCTACTTGGGAGGCCAAGGTAGGAGAATGGCGTGAACCTGGGAGGTGGTGCTTGCAGTGAGCCAAGATTGCGCCACTGCACTCCAGCCTGGGTGACAGAGTGAGACGCCGTCCCAAAAAAAAAAAGAATACAGAGGGTGGAGGTATGACAGCTGCAGCAGCTAGGTCAGCTTTGAGCCCCTGCCAGAGTCAAGAACCCTTGCAGAACTCTGGCTGCTGGGTTTGTGCAAAGCCTCCTGGCAGTCTTAGGAAACTCAGCAGAAATTGGTGAGGTGTTTAAGTGTGCTCTCCTGGAATTGGTAAGCAATGTATAGTGCTCCCTTCCCGGGGACTGATACTAGTTCACAGTATTTCTGCTCTCTAGCATCCTGACTAGAGGTAAGCACATGATCCCAGGGGCCCAACAGAGGCATCCTGTGACCTCAAGGGGAAGTTGTCCTTGGCAAAGACTTAAGAGACTGACAGAAGGAGACAGGCCCCTTGGGTCATTGTTGAGCTGCTGTATCAGCCCTTCTCCAAACCTTCTGAGCTACTTCTGGGCTTTTTCATTAACCAACTAATTCCCTTTGTAGTATAAGCTAATTTGAGCTGAACTTTGTCATTCTTGCAACCAACAGCACCCTAACTCATCCTGACTTAGTGTCAGGAAATGGCACGTTGCTAGTCCCTGTAATATAAAAATGGCTGAAAGGAGTTGGGGAAGGGGGCAGTGAAGACGACGCCTGCCTCTCGCGGTGTGAAACTGGGGACCTTTGCTATATGCCGTCTATTATTGTGGTAGGCTGAATAATGAACCCCTGAAGATATACCAGGACTTAATCCTGGGACCTGCAAATGTTACCTTAAATGGCCAAAGGGAGTTTGCAGGTGTGATTGAGCTAAGGGCCGGGTGATGGGGAGATCAGCCTGGACCGGATTATCCAGTGGGCCTGACGTGAGGTCAGAGGGATCTAGGAGGAATCGGAAGGAGAGAAGATGATGTGATGATGGCAGTAGAGATTAGAGTGATCTGCTTTCCAGACAGAGGAAGGAGTGTCGGCCAAGGAATGTTAAGTGGCCTCTAGAAGCTGAAAAAGGTAAGAAACTGACTCTCCCCTAGAACCTCCAGAAGGGGGCAGCCTTGCTGACGCTTTGAGTTTAGTGCAGTGAAGTGCTAAGACTTTGGACTTCTGACCTCCAGGATTGTAGGAGGGTAAATGTGTATTGTTTTCAGCCGCTAAGTCTGCAGCATTCTGCCAACAGCAGCCTTAGGAAACCAATACAGATAGAACAGTCAGCTTTTTACTTTGGGGCACAGGCTCGGTGCCTATGGACGGTACAGCACCAGGAAACTTAGGAGGCAGAACCCACCAAGTGGGAGTGTGGCAGCTCACTCAGTAAGGTCCTGTGAGAGATATTCTAAGCCCGGAGCAGGCCATCTGAAAGCAAAGAAAGCAGAAAACACTTCCCGAGGAACCCAAATGGCATTGCAAATCCAGCCATCCTGAAATACTATCCCAATTTTTTTTTGTTTGTTTTTTTGAGGCAGGGTCTCACTGTTTTCTAGGCTGGAGTGCAGTTGTGTGATCCTAGCTCACTGCTGCCTTGAACTTCTGGGCTCAAGTGATCCTCCTGCCTCAGTCTCCTAAGTAGCTAGGACTAAGAGTGTTTACCACCATGACTGGCTAAAAGAAAAAAAAAAAAGTTTCACAGAGATGGGGTCTCCCTATGTTGCCCAGGCTAGTGTTGATCTCCTGGTCTCAAGTGATCCTCTCGCCTCAGCCTCCCAAAGTACTGGTATTATAGGTGTGAGCCACTGTGCCTGGCCTGCTGCACTTTTGTTTGCCTTATCATGTAGTTCAATGTAGCTCAGTGCATAGCACAGTTCAAACTCAATAACTATATTTTAATGTATTATGAAACATTTTATACATGTAAAAACTCATAAAGAATATAACCAACACCTGAATATAGCCCATCTGCCTTAGGAAACAAAGCATAATAGCACAATTGATCCGCTATGAATGAATTCCTTCCTGTTCACAGTCCCCACCTGTACCTATAGGCAACCACCCTCCTGAATTTATCTTTTACCATTCTGGTTTTTTTTTTTTTTTTTTGAGATAGGGTTTGGCACTATCGCCAAGGCTGGAGTGCAGTGACATGATCACAGCTTGCTGCAGCCTCAAACTCCTGGGCTCAAGGGATCCTCCTGCCTCAGCCTCCTAAAGTGCTGCGATTACAGGCATGAGCCACCATACCTGGTCGCATTCTCATCCTTTAAAAGAAAATAGTACTAAATGGTATCATACCATGTGAATTAATATTCAACTTTTTCTCATTCAACACTGTGGAGTCAGGTGCGGTAGTGCTTGCATCTGTACTCAGCTACTCAGGAGGCTGAGGTGGATCACTTGAGCCCAGGATTTTGTGGCCAGCCGGGGGAACATAGTAAGCCCCATTTCAAAAACAACCCCACAGTTTGCAAAATTCATTTATGTTGATGTATGCAACTAATGTATTCATTTTTACTAACTTATGGTATTCTACTGCATAACTGTGTAGATTATCGATTCTGCCATAGATGGCATTTTGGTTGCTTCTCCCCCAGACCCCAACTACCACTAGAAGCAACGTTGCACTGAACATTCTTGTGTTTGCACGCATAGGCAAGGTACTCTAGAGCACATACCAAGAGTGGAATTGCTAAGTTATAGAGTATCTTTGCTAGAAATTGCTAAGTGGCCATCCAAAGTTAGTGAATGAACGTACACTCCTACTGGCAGTGCAAGAGAGTTCTGCTCTGCTCACAAATCCACATCCTTATTAAGTTTGGTAAAGACAGGTTTTTAAGTTTTTGCCAATCTGTTAAGTGTAACATGGTATGTCCTTAGTTTTAATTTGCATTGCTGCTCAATACTTGTTGCAAAAATGAATAAAAAATGTTCCATTCCATACCTCTGGGATTTGAGAATCTGTCCCAATTCCTAGGTCCCATATGTAGACTCCAACATCTGTATTACTTTGGCTTTCAAAACTGGCCTTCTACTCAGACTTTCTTTTTCCATCTTCACGTTTCTGTTGTGATCCTAGTAATCCTTTGCTTAGCTGGTTTTGAAGCCTTCAAGTCAATCTCAGCCTCACTCCTTCGCCTGAAAACAGTAGCTAGCAAAGTATACGGTAAGCTATAAAAAGCACCCGGATCTAAGGTGTAACCAGTCACTAAGTGCTGCCAGTTTTTCCTCTGTCAATTGTTTCAGTTCTTCCTTCCTTTCCCCTTCCATCAGGTTAATCCTGCTGTCACCTCGCTCACTGGTTCTTGCAATAAGCCAGACTGAGCTGGAAAGAACCGCCATGGTCCTCAGTGTTGTCTGTAGGGGACCTCACTGTCTGAGGCTGTCAGGGCTCTGTCAGGAGGAGACCCCTGGGGCCTTCTGAGCCCTACTAGGAGAGGATTCTAGGAGAGTAGGACGCCTTGCACATAGTAAGTACTAAGTCAATGTTACTTACCAGTAAATGAAGAGGCATGGGAAATTGTTATTATTTTTGAGACGGAGTTTCGCTCTGTCGCCCAGCCTGGAGTGCAGTGGCACGATCTGGGCTCACTGCAAGCTCTGCCTCACGGGTTCACGCTATTCTCCTGCCTCAGCCTCCAGGGAAATTCTTAATCAGAAAATATGTCTTAGATTTTTGTTTTAAAAGAGAACTGGCAGGAGCTCCAAATACACTAAAGCTCCAGTCTGAAATGACAGTCCCTGAGCATTCAATCTTTGGTCTAAGAAGCACAGAAATGTAATGCAAACCAGACACGGTTTTTTTAGTGATTTTCTGCACACACACACACACACACACACACACACAGTAAAAAGATCTAGTCATAACGTGTGCACCTGCAGTTCCAACTACTGGGGAGGGTGAGGCAGGAGGATCACTAGAGGGCAGGAGTTCGAGACTAGCCTGGGCAACATAGCAAGACACCCACCCCCAGTCCCCCCCGGAAAAAAAGAATAAAAAAGGTAAAAATAATTTTAAAAAGAGTAAAAGGAATGTAAAAATAATTTTAATGCATTTTATTTAATCCAATACATTAAAAATGTTACCTAACATGCAAACAATATACAAATTATTTTATACGACGTCTTTGGAATCCTGTATTTTACACGTAAAGCGCATCTCACTCCGGACTAGCCAGGTTTCAAGCACGTGATAGCCGCACAAGGCTGGAACCCAGGCCTGGGGAATTAATTCTTGTCCTCGGTGCTCAAACCATTCTTCCCTTCAAGCCTGGCCTAATCCCCAGTCTCTCTCATCTCTTCGAATACGCTCCGCGGTTATGCCCCTCACCTCACTGCACTGCAAATATTTCGTCCACTGAGTATTTGCTGATCGTCACTCAGTGCCGGGTGACCCAGCTTGACCAGCACCCGCAGCCGCCCTGCCACTGTTGGGCCGGGTATGGTGTGTCTGGCTTCCCTCTGTTCTGGGCCGGCTCCGAAACGCGCTCAAGAGAAATCGGAATCAGACACGGGGCAGTTCAGCTTTGGAAATGAGGAGCTCGAGGCTCCTGGGAGTCCGTTGCGGGCAGGTGGGCGCCGCTGTTGTGTCGGGAGAGCCAGGAGCGACAGACTCAAACTCAGAAACCCAACCACCTCCGCTCCCTCCGCGATGCGTGTAACGTGCGTTGCGCGGCGTCGCCCTTTAATAACGACGGGCGCTCGGAGTGCTGCGTCACTCGCCACCAGGGACTTAGGCGGGACTTCCGGGCGCGCGTAGGCACAACTTCCGGAAGGAGGCGGAAGAGCTTCTCGGCTCTAGGCTCTGGAGTCCCGGGAGCAGTGAGGGGCCACCCGGGGCACAGGAAAGGGCCGCTAGGGGAGGGCCGGGTGCACTCGGGGTGTCTGGGCCGCGGGTCTGAGGGATGAGGAGGGGCCATGGCCAGCGACGGGGCCAGGAAGCAATTCTGGAAGCGCAGCAACAGCAAGCTCCCGGGCAGGTGGGTGTGCCGCGGAGGGCCAGGTCGGGGTCAGGGGTCAGAGGTCAGGTGGCCGCGTTGGCCTCCTGGGCTGCGGGTGGAGTCGGGGGTCTGGAGAGGGCAACTTGGACTCTGAGGAGACTGCTGGATGGTGTGACGGGCGTTGGGGGGCTCGGAGGTCGGAGCGTGGGGTCTGGGGGTGACAGTGGCTGCACGTAGGATCGAGGCTTGCAAGGACGAGGAGGAGCTATTGGCGTTTTTCCTGACACTGGCAGGCTTCTTTCCGAGAAACTCCTGGGCTCCTTGGGGAGGCTGGAAGGAACTGATTCGGGTCATGCTGTGAAGTTTGGTGGAGTCCGGAAGCTGGCCGGGCTGAGGCCCCCCGTCTGCTGGGTGGATCAGTTTCTGCAGGGGGTGTGGTGTTTTTGACCCACTTGATTTGCCTGTGGTCTCTTGAGGGCTGCGGCTCTTGCCTTGAGCATAGAAGAGGACTAGAGTTTCCCTGTGAGTTTCCATGTTTCTGCTTGCTGGTGTCAAAACCACCTCCTATGTTGTGTTAGCAGGAAGTTTTTTTTTTTTTTTTTTTTTTTTTTTTTTTTTTCTTCGGCTGGAATGACCTGGGTACACCCTAGATGCTATACAGCTCCAGAGCTCCAGAGTCCTTGTCTGATTGCTGTGGCGCTGAGCTATGCCAGGGCCCTAGGGAATGAGACATTACGTGGAGGGTACCTAGGATAAAATCAGCCACTGGTGAAAACAGATCAGAGATAAGCAAACGTCAAGATTTCAGAACATAGTTCTGTTCCAAAGCTGAAGTCTGGAATGCTGAAAATTATGAATTGTGTTACGAAGATAAGTCTGAGTAGAATCATTCATAAACACAGTAAAATGGTTTGTACTCCTGTTTCATAATAAATATTATTGTTTGAGTGTTTGAATGATAAACTTTGGAATTTACTGCATCCAGTTAGAAAAGTTTACTTTTGGCCAGGTGTGGCGGCTCACGCCTGTAATCCCAGCACTTTGGGAGGTCGAGGTGGACAGATCACCTGAGGTCAGGAGTTTGAGACCAGCCTCACCAACATGGAGAAACCTAGTCTCTACTAAAAATACAAAATTAGCTGGGCATGGTGGCACATGCCTGTAATCCTGGCTACTTGGGAGGCTGAGGCAGGAGAATCACTTGAACCTGGGAGGTGGAGGTTGCAGTGAGCCGAGATCGTTCCATTGCACTCCATCCTGGGCAATAAGAGCGAAACTCTGTCTCAAAAAAAAAAAGGAAAGTTTACTTTTAAGAGTGATCTGGGGGTTAGCAGCGTGAGTTACTGACAGCTCAGACAGTGGCTTTGAGAATGAAGGGAGTCATCAAAGGTGGCCGGAGACCCTATTCGACTCCACAGGACCGTGCTTGATTCGAGAACAGTAAGACCTTTCAACAAAACCAGTGTCAGGGTCCAAGGTGAGTGAAGATTCTGGAATGGTGGTGGGTAGGAGGTCCTGGTAGTGACAGGAACAAATGCTGTAGAACATAAGAGTCCAGGGAAGAGGAGCCACATGACAGTGTAACTTTTATGTGTTACTTTTAGGTCTTAAGGTTTTGGTTCCTCATCAGTCTAAACTCTAATTCTTAATCAGCTTAGATGTAAGAATAACAGAGCTGCTGTGTGGAGTTACAGCAGTGACTCAACCTTTGGATTGAAGGCTGTGGCTCTTGGTAATTTGTCCTTATACTGAGTTGAATTTATGTCCATCTGGAAACTATGGATGTGACATTTGGAAATAGGGTTTTTGCACAAGTAATCAAGGTAAAATGAGGTCATACTGGATGAGGGTGGGCCTTAGTTCGTCAACTAGTATTTTTATAAAAAGAGGGAAATTTGAATACAGAGAGACACACACAGGGAAATGGCCCTATGGAGACAGAAACAGAGATTGGAATAGTACATTTACAAGCCAAGGAAAGCCAGGGGTTGCTGGCAGCCACCAGAAGCTAGAAGAGGCAAGGAAGGATGCTCACCTAGAGACTTGACAGAGAGCATGGCCCTGCAGATGACCACTTGATTTTGGGTTTTTGGCGTTTAAAACTGAGAGAGAATAAGTGTCTGTTGTGTTAAGCCATTCAGTTGGTGGTAATTTGTTATGGCAGCCACAGGAGACTAATACAGTCTCCAGCTTTCTTCTGTGTGAACCTGAAATACCGAACACCAGCTTTCCTTTTCCTCTGACTTTGATGCTATTCTGTGTCTTAGGCACTTTTGAGAGCAGCTTCTGTATTACCTTTGTGAAGTTGGAGTCTTGGAGAGTTCGAGGCTGTCACTGAAGAGGGCAGAAGAAGAAGGAGAGGTTGGGTGCACCAGGAAGGCCTGTGAAGCCTCTGTGTCTCCCATCCGTCTTGTGGCTCAAGCCTCTGGCAGTGCTGCTCTTTCAGGTGGCAGGCTGGAACTCTTCCCTGAAGGAGGAGTCACAGAGGGGTGCCCGTTTTCCTATCAGTAGTGGTGATTGGTCACTAGCTGCGTATTTATTTAGTCCACACCTATGCAAGCACAGTGCTAGTGGAGATCCTAGCCAGGTTCCTGTGGCTTTGGCAGCTCTTTCAATTGTTTCCCATGATTGTTTTCTTTCTTTTTTTGTTTTTGTTTTTGTTTTTGTTTTTTTTGAGATGGAGTCTCACTGTGTTGCCCAGGCTGGAGTGCAGTGGTGTGATCTTGGCTCACTGCAACCTCTGCCTCCCAGGTTCAAGTGATTCTCCTGTCTCAGCCTCCCAAGTAGCTGGGATTACAGGCGCCCACCAGCACGCCTGTCTGTTTTTTTGTATTTTTAGTAGAGATGGGGTTTCGCCATGTCGGCCAGGCTAGTCTCGAACTCCTGACCTCAGGTGATCCATCCACCTCAGCCTCCCAAAGTGCTGGGATTATAGGCGTGAGCCTCCATGCCTGGCCTTGTTTTCCTCCTTTTTTTTTTTTTTTTTCTGAGACAAGAGTCTCTCTCTGTAGTCCAGGCTGGAGTGCAGTGGCATGATCTCAGCTCACTGCTACCTCCACCTCCTGGGTCCCGGTTGAAGCAGTTCTCCTGCCTCAGCCTCCTGAGTAGATGGGATTATAGGCACTGGCCACCACGCCCAGCTAATTTATGTGTGTGTGTGTGTGTGTGTGTGTGTGTGTGTGTGTGTGTGTGTGTGTATTTTTTTTGAGACGGAGTCTCACTCTGTTGTCCAGGCTGGAGTGCAGTGGTGCGATCTCGGCTCACTGCAAGCTCCGCCTCCCGGGTTCACGCCATTTTCCTGCCTCAGCCTCCCGAGTAGCTGGGACTACAGGCGCCTGCCACCACACCTGGCTAATTTTTTATATTTTTGGTAGAGACGGGGTTTCACCGTGCTAGCCAGGATAGTCTCGATCTCCTGACCTTGTGATCCTCCTGCCTCGGTCTCCCAACGTGCTGGGATTACAGGCTTGAGCCACTGTGCCCGGCAATTTTTGTATTTTTAGTAGAGATGGGGTTTCACCATGTTGGCCAGGCTGGTCTTGAACTCCTGATCATGTGATCCACCAGCTTCAGCCTCCCAAAGTTCTGGGATTACAGGCGTGAGCCACCACACCCAGCCTTGTTTTCCTCTTTGTTTTTGAGTGCAGCCCTCATCTCAAGGAAACTCAGGAGGAAGACTACACCCACTGTACAATACAAGACTAGTAAGGGATCTTTCAGATAGTTCAACTCTTTTTTATTTTTGAGATGGAGTCTCGCTCTGTCGCCCAGACTGGAGTGCAGTGGTGTGATCTAGACTCACTGCAATCACTGCCTCCCGGGTTCAAGTGATCTTCCTGCCTCTGCTGCCAAAGTAACTGGGATTACAGGCGCCCACCACCATGCCCAGCTAATTTTTTTGTATTTTTAGTAGAGATGTGGTTTCAACATGTTGGTGTGGATGGTCTCGATCTCTTGACCTCATGATCCGCCCGCCTTGGCCTCCCCAAGTGCTGAGATTCCAGGCATGAGCCACCGTGCCCGGCCCACACCTCCTGTTTTTATGCAGCCTGAACTAAAGTCCCCCTTTTTTGCATCAAACTCAGTGTTGTTGGTGCCTCTGGCTTCCTGTTCTCCCTGGTATGTGCTTGCTTTCACTAGTGAGATCCACAGGTTTAGGAAAAGTATCTTTCTCATTCTTGCATTGTCAGTACCGATACCTGGTGTTTATTCCGAACTATCTCCTCGATTAGCCTGGAGAGTGAGTGGTTTGGCCAGGGCTATAAACTGCAGGAGAGGTGGTCTTGCTGGTAGACCCTCGGTTTATGCACACCCTGGTCCTTAGGTTGCATATGTGGCTGACGCTTTCCTAGAAACTTTGTTTCTGGATGAGCCAGGATGTGTGGTGTGGTAGATAGACCCTCCTAGTCAGAGGACTAGGAGTTGGTGGTCCAGATTTTAACTTTCTTTTTCCGGTAGTGGTCTTCACCAAGTTACCTCTGGGGCCATCAGTGTCTGTATCTGTAGCACAAAGCGGTTGAGTTTGGTTTAAGTAGCTATGGCAAATGGGGAGATATCTTTGGCTTAGCACGATTCTCTTTGAGGAGAAAAGAATGGGCTTCTTGGACCAGTTTTGAGAATTTGATGATTTGCTGATCCAGCAAATATGTATTCAACCCATAGTATGTGTTAGGAACAGCCCCAGGTGCTGGAGATAATATTAGTGAACAAAATAGACCTAGATCTCTGCTCTCCCAGAGCTTACAGTGCAGTGGGAGAGCCGGGTATAAATAACATAGCTCAGTTAAATGGAGTTAACTGTTGGAAGGTGACAGCTGCTATCAAAACAATGCTGGGAAAGAGGACTAGGTGGCTTAGTGGCAGGTGTGGTGGTGAGAAGGAGCCCTTCACTGAGGTGACATTTGAGGAAAGATTTGCACGAGGTGAGGGAACAGGCCAACCAGGAGGCTGGGGAAGAGCGGTCCTGGCAGAGGAGTGAGCAGGTGCAGAGGACTCCCAGAGCGATGCTGGCGTGCTTGAGGAGAGGAGCTGGGGCCAGGGTGGGTCTGGCCGAGAGAAGGGGAGAGTCGTGGGGTGCGTCATGAAAGGTGGTGGGGTAGGGCCTCATGACCACAGTGAAGACATGGACTGTTCTTTGATTCTGGCTGAATGGGGAACCTTTGGAGGGCTTTGAGCAGAGAAGTGGCATGGTCTGCATTAGGTTTAATGGGATATCTTTGGCTGCTGTACTGAAGACAGATTGGAGGCGTTGGGAGTCGGGGCAAGGGCAGAAGCAGGGAGACCAGGAGGCCAGGGTGCCGCAGCGTCCAGTGGTCACTGGTGGTGGCGGCTTGCACCTGAGTGGAAGCTGTGGTGGTGGCAAGAAATGGTAAGTGATAAGAATCCGAAGGTTTGGCCGGGCGCGGTGGCTCACGCCGGTAATCCCAGCACTTTGGGAGGCTGAGGTGGGTGGATCACTTGAGGTCAGGAGTTTGAGACCAGCCTGGCCAACATGGTGAAACCCCGTCTCTACTAAAAATACAAAAGTTAGCCAGGCGTGGTGGCAGGCGCCTGTAATCCCAGCTGCTTGGGAGGCTGAGGCAGGAGAGTCGCTTGAACACAGGAGGCAGAGGTTGCAGTGAGCCAAGGTCGCGCCACCGCCCCGCAGCCTGGGCAACAGAGCGAGACTCTGTCTCAAAAAAAAAAAAAAAAAAAAAAAAATAGAATCTGAAGGTTCAGTCTCTGACTGTCTGGGCTGGTTCTTTCCCGGGCCGCTGACTCTCTTGGCTCCCGAAGGGCTGTTGCTTTCCGCAGTTGCAGTTGGAATTCTCGCCACACTTCACTTTAAAAATGCCAAGACAAAATCACAGCACACTGGGCTTGAGAACACAGGCAGTCTTTCAGTGTGGGTCTGATGTTTGCTATTTTAGCTCAGCTCCGCCTGGCAGGGTGTGGTCTGCTGACAGAGGGTATGCAGGCAGCTGGGGTATGTGGAGTATGACGTTTGAAAGTGGCATGGTGGTGGCTGGGCGCTCTGGCTCATGCCTGTCATCTCAGCACTTTGGGGGGCCCAGGCGGGTGGATCACCTGAGGTCAGCAGTTCGAGACCAGCCTGACCAACATGGTGAAACCCCGTCTCTACTAAAAATACAAAAAATAGCTGGACATTGTGGCAGGCATCTATAATCCCAGCTACTCAGGAGGCTGAAGCAGGAGAATCATTTGAATCTGGGAGGTGGAGGTTGCAGTGAGCTGAGATCGCGTCACTGCACTCTAGCCTGGGCGACAGGGCAAGACTCTGTCTCAAAAAAAAAAAAAAAAAAAAAAAGAAAGTGTTATGGTAGCAAGAAAGGCCCAAATTGAGCATGGCAAGGATGTGAGTGCTGGGATAAAGCTGGAGCACAAGAGGGTTCTTAGTGATGTGGCTCTGACAGCCTTCAGCTTACATTGCCAGAGCCACGAGATGTCTGTGAGCAAATCAGACGGTCGGCTGAATAGGCCACAGTCCGTCCTCAGCCGAAGGAGAGGCACTGTTGGGGATAATGAATTCATTTGGAAAACGTTTACGAGCTCCTCTCCTGTGCCAGGTGCTGTGGTGCGTGCTGAGCAAGCCATGTGGCTCTTCACGGCTGGACGCCTGCCCTGTGAACACATGCGCACAGACTGCAGTGCTGGGCAGGTGGCAGTCCCGGGACCCTGGCAGAGTAGCAAGGCCCTCACTGGGTGGAATGCTCATGTCCTCCTTACACAGGTCCCGCTTCCGCCGAGACCTGGCTGTACAGCAGGAACCGATCTGGCTGCTGAGGTCAGGGGAGGGTGTATAGGAGTGGGGAGCGCTTGACTGGGGAGGAGGGGCATGGAGGGTGGTGAGCAGGCACTGGAGCTGCTTCCAAGGCCATGGTGAAGATCTGAGCTGTGGTCCTAAGAGCCATGAGAGAGTGTTGAAGGGTTTTAAACAGGGAGGGGTGTGATACTGTGACACTGTTTGTCATCCTTGAAGAGAGGGCGAGAGAGGAAACTGGTGGGCTTCTGAGGAGGCCGAGGCCAGATGCTGTGGGGTTGGAGAGGATCGGGCATGTTCAGGGTACACATGGCACACTCAGGATTCACTGATGGGCGGGGTGCTGGGGGTCGAGGTGATCTCCAGGGTGCTGGCCTGAGGGGATGGGAGTGTGGTAGGCAGAATACTGGCCCCCTAAAGGTGTCCTCATCCTCATCCCTGACCCCTGTGAATATGTTCTGTTACATGGCAGAGGGGAATTAAGGTCGCTAATCAGCTGACCTGAAATGGGGGAATTGTCCTGTTACCTGGTGGGCCCAGTGTAACCTCACGAGCTTTTGGACGTGGTCAGAGACATGGTGTGGGATGGACTCCACCCACAGCGGCTGGCTTTGCAGATGGAGGAGGCAGCCACCAGGAATGTGGCGCGGCTTCTAGAAGCTGCGAAAGGCCTTCTGCAGATGGCTAACAGGAGAGCAAGGCCTTGCTCCTGCATCCGCCAGGAGCTGAATTCTGCCGCCAACCGGAGTGAGCAGGAAAGGGGTTCTCCCTTCGAGCCTCCCGGAAGGGGCACAGCTGGCTGACGCCTGGACTTCAGTGTGATGAGACCCATGCCGGATTTCTGACCTTCAGAACTTCGAGATAGTGAATGCATGTTTTAAGCTGTGGTAATTTGTTACAGCAGCTGTGAAGAGTTGGGGACTGTGCCGAGGGATGTCTGACAGGGAATGGCAGGTGGCCCAGCACCTCCCTCAGCAGAGTCCTGCACTTGGATGTGGGCAGGAGTACCTTGGTCAGCGGCCTTGGGGGTGGTCACTGGGTAACCTCCACAAAGTGTGTTTAAACCCAGGGGACTGAAGTCAGCTCGGAGGGTTCTTCCTATGTCCTATGTCCTGCTCAGGCCTAGGAACCAAATAGAGCCCTGCCTCTTTCCTCAGAATGTTGGCTGCTGCTTCTGGCCGCCTTGCTTTCTTGTGTTTTTTATAAATCTGTATTGCCTTTTGCTTATGTTTTGAAGAGATTGTTTATTGGGTAAGAACCCTCAGTCCTGTTTTCCATGCAGAGGGAAGCCCCGGAGTCTTGTTCCGGCAGTGATTGTGTGTTCCCCGCCAGTTGGGTTTCTCTTCTTGTTTGTGAGTGGAGATGACCTTCCTGTGACGGGGGCCGCGGAAGAGCTGGTGGGTGAGATTTTGCTGTAGGTGCAGTTCCTTTTCTTGTTCCTTTCAGCGGTTACTTTCCATGTTATTAAATGTCTTACTTTGTCCAGAAACACTTTGAAAAATAAATTGAATGTGAATCATATTTCCTTTCTCTTACATATTCGTCTGATAGAGTAAATCTGGACTCTGGGTTAATTTTAAATGAAGACAAAAATGATTGATCCCTGACAATTTTGGATTATTTATTTATTTGTTTCTTAAGTAACAAGAGCAGGAGGAAGTACCCCATCGCCTCCAAGTGTTTTTGAGGAACCATGGGATTCCTCATGGAATTGAGGAGAACAAGTCTTCGGAGACCACTTGTCTGTTTTTCTTTCTGTTTTTCTTTTTAATTTTTTATTTCTATAGATTACTGGGGAACAGGTGGTGTTTGGTTACATGAGTAAGTTCTTTAGTGGTGATTTGTGAGATTTGGGTGCACCTGAGCAGTATACACTGAACAGTGTATACTGAACAGTGCACCCGAGCAGTATACACTGAACCCAGTCTTTTATCCCTCACCCGCTTCCCATCCTTTTCCTCTGAGTCCCTGAAGTCTATTGTGTCATTCTTATGACTTTGCATCCTCATGGCTTAGGTCCTACTTACTATTTTTTTTTTTTTTGAGATGGAGTCTTGCTCTGTTGCCCAGGCTGGAGTGGAGTGGCGCGATCTCAGCTCATTGCAACCTCTGCCTCCCGGGTTCAGGTGATTCTCCTGTCTCAGCCTCCCGAGTGGCTGGGATTATAGGCACATGCCACCATGCCCGCCTAATTTTTGTATTTTTAGTAGAGATGGGGTTTCACCATGTTGGCCAGGCTGGTCTTGAACTCCTGACCTCAAGTGATCCACCCGCCTCGGCCTCCCAGAGTGCTGAGATTACAGGCGTGAACCACCATGCCTAGCCGTTAGCTCCCACTTATGAGTGAGAACAGGTGATGTTTGGTTTTCCATTCCTGAGTTACTTTACCCAGAATTGTTGTCTCCAATCTCATCGAGGTCTCTGCGAATGCCAGTAATTCATTCCTTTTTATGGCTAAGTAGTATTCCATCGTATATATACATATACATATATATGTATACACACATATACATATATATGTATACACACATATACATATATATGTATACACACATATACATATATATGTATACACACATATACATATATATGTATACACACATATACATATATATGTATACACACATATACATATATATGTATACACACATATACATATATATGTATACACACATATACATATATATGTATACACACATATACATATATATGTATACACACATATACATATATATGTATACACACATATACATATATATGTATACACACATATACATATATATGTATACACACATATACATATATATGTATACACACATATACATATATATGTATACACACATATACATATATATGTATACACACATATACATATATATGTATACACACATATACATATATAGTATACACACATATACATATATATGTATACACACATATACATATATATGTATACACACATATACATATATATGTATACACACATATACATATATATGTATACACACATATACATATATATGTATACACACATATACATATATACATATATACACAAACACACATGCACCGCACTTTTTTTTTTTTTTTTTTTTGAGATGGGAGTCTCACTCTATCACCAGGCTGGAGTGCAGTGGTGTGATCTTGGCTCACTGCAACCTCTGTCTCCTGGGTTCAAGCTATTCTCCTGCTTCAGCCTCCTGAGTAGCTGGGATTACAGGTGCTCACCACCATGCCCAGCTAATTTTTGTATTTTTACCATGTTGGCCAGGATGATCTCCATCTCCTGACCTCCTGATCCTCCTGCCTTGGCCTCCCAAAGTGCAGGGATTGCAGGCATGAGCCACTGCATGTGGCCACACCACACTTCCTTTATCCACTTGTTGATGGATGGGCATTTGTGTTGAAAAGAAGTCATCTCTGTTTTTCTTTCCCTGAACGGCCACAGTGTAGCACGGCCTGCCTGTGGCTAGGACAAGGGCAGTGCTCACTTGCAGGGGCCTGTCCTGGCTCTGTGGCCTGAGAGTGACACCTGCCCCTCCTTTCCTTCTCTGGCAGGCTCAGCATCTCTGCCCCTCCTCAGCTCAGCCCTTCACCCCCTGAACACAGGCCGTGGAGATCTGCATCGTGCAGTGCTTCTAGGTGCAGTGGGGAGCCCAGGAACAGGAGCCCGTGTCCTGTCACAGGGTGGGGAATGTCACCGTGCTTGGCCCTGGGAGCACAAGATGACCCACCTGCGTAGTTCTTTTTCCTGAGGAGTCGGGGAGCGTGTCTGTGTGCGGAGCAGGCTCAGAGCAGGTGTTCCCTGCAGCGCTCAGAACTGAGGTGGCTGGGGCCTTGGTGTCACACCTCACGCTAGGGATTGTCTGTGGAGTGCTTCCCTTGGGCTAGGCACTTATTTTTATTTTTTTTGGAGATGGAGTCTTGCCCTGTTACCCAGGCTGGAATACAATGGTGCCATCTCAGCTCACTGTAACCTCTGCCTCCCGGGTTCAAGCAGTTCTCCTGCCTCAGCCTCCCCAGTAGCTGGGGCTACAGGCTCATGCCGCCACACCCAGCTCATTTTTTTGTGTGTGTGTTTTAGTAGAGATGGGGTTTCACCGTGTTGGCCAGGCTGGTCCCGAACTCCTGACCTCAGGTGATCCGCCCACCTTGGCCTCCCAAAGTGCTGGGATTACAGGTGTGAGCCACTGCACCCGGCGGGCTAGACACTGTACATGCAACCACACGTGTAGTCCTCATAGCAGCTGGGGGTGGTACCGTGTGGTCCCTATTTTACAAATGAGGAAACTCAGAAGCTGAGCTACGTGCTCAAAGCCACACAGCTCATAAGTGGCAAAGCTGGGGTTTGAACCTTAGAAGTCTGTGCCCTTACCCATCACAGCCTCATCCTTATCTCCTCCATTCCCTAGGGGACTTAACAGGTGTTGAAATTATTACAGAGAAAGCTGACTCACTCACCAGGAATCTGATCCTGCTGTGGGCTGGCTTGGGTGGAGGTGTTCCTCCCGCCCCCGCACCCATCCTCCTGTTTGAACTCAGGCTGCTGCCTGCTGGGCCTGCCTGCCCTTGGAGCCCTGCTGAGCTCAGCCTGAGGCCTGGCTCCTCCAGGCTGGGGGAAAACCAGGCTTGCTGTGCTCGGCAGCAGAGATTCTTCTGGAGTGAGGTGAGCAGCTTGTTCTAGGTCCCCCCTGGTGTTCTCTTTGCAGACAAGAGGCAGAGGTATCAGGAGGCCCAGAGGGAACAGGGCTGCCTGGGCTCTTCCCATTTCTGGGCCCCGTGCTGTGGGGAACTTTCATTTTGAGTATCCCCAGACTTTTTGTTCCCCCTTTCTGAAATGTTTCCTCTTTTCTGGTGATAAACATGGAAATTCCACCCCGAGTGCTGCGGTTCATGAAGGGGCACGTAGGCCCTTTGAGTCCAGTTGCTTAGAATACCTGTGGGTTTCCTTATTAAGTAGGAAGTAGAGGCTGAGAACGTCTGTGTTGTTACTGATGGCAGCCCCCCGGGGCAGGGCCAGGCATTGCTGGGCGCCCTCTCCTCCCTGAGTCTGCCTTCCGTAAACGGCCTGCAGTGGGGAAGGTGGGCCTCTGCTCAAGGCCCCGAGCTCCTAGGGGAACGGGTTCACCTTCAGGCCCATCCAAGGCAGAGCCCTTTCCGGCTTCGGGGCCCCTGATATTTCTGGGCCCCCGACTGCATCCGCTCTGTTCCCACGGGTCCCTCCTGGGTGTTCTTGCTCATGCTTGGGTTCATTTGAGCGCTGCCTCGCCCTCCGCCATCCTCTTCCTTCTCATGTGCGCTGTGTGCACCGGAGCCCGGCCGATGCTGATAGAATTTTTAAGTGTGCCGTGCAGCTTTCTGCACCTGGGCCTCTACTCCTTGCTGTGCTGGTTTGAAATGGGCCTTCTTTTATCAAACATTTTTACTAAACTAAAAAATAAAATAGGCTTGCTGGCTCTAAGGCTTTCACCTAGATGAGGCGAGTGATGTTTATTGCAGTCGTCTGGATGAGCTCCTGATCCTTGGCTGAAAGCCATCAGTGGCTCGGGATGTGTGGAGAGGACAGGGCAGAGGACCCGGTCTTGGAAAGGGGGTGGGTCCCTTGGTGTCACTGTGGCTCTCTTAGGGGTGGCAGCTCCTCCGCGAGGGCTTGGTGCACCCGCTGCCCTTGTTTTCACGTGAATGTGTTTGGGGCGGGAGGCTAGCGAGTTGCCTGGGACTCCCTACATTATGCTGTTGGGGTCGGGAGTCAAGAGGAGATCTGGCCTTGCTTCTTTCCGAATACGGAAGGGATCTGGGAGGAAGAAAGGTTCAGAGACAACCACAGTTTTATAGAATCTATGACTATTTTCCTGCTCACGTCTGGGGCCTTGGGAGTTGCTTTCTCGGGGTGGAGGAAGAGCACAGAGCGCCACCTCTTCTGTTTTGAGACTGGGTCTGGCTGCTGCCAAGTTCTCAGGTTTATTGATGGTGCAGTAGGTGATTCCTGTGCGGCCACAGCTGCCTCCTGGAAGGGCTGGTAGAGGGTTGTTGGCTGTGGGCCGCATTTTGTTTTCTCTTAGAATTAATCTCTATAGTGAGTTAGTTTTGTGTTCCAAAACCAGTCACTAGAGCCACTGTAACAGCTTGTGCATCAGCCAGATGTGCCTGCCTCAGCCGTCATGCTTTTAAATAGCTGAGAGAAAAGGCCACCTTTACAGCAGCTCACTAGCTTTTAAGAGGGTGTCACCTAGCTGGGTTTTGTCGTGAGAGAATGTGCTGTGTTCTTGGAAGTTAATTCCTTCAAAGATACGGTGTACCTTTAAAATGCTTAATCATTCACACACGTGCACAGTGAGGAAGAGAATTAAATGGAACAAGCAGTTATGGGATGCGCTCTGTTTGCACATGAGGCCCTGGGGCGTGTGCAAAGGTGAGCCTGGTGTTACTCCTGCTACCGAGGGACTTCGTTTGCTGAGGGAGACAGACCAGCCAGGAGCTTCTGCCGCAAGGATGCTGGTGCCAAGCGGGCCACGGAGGGGCCAGGAAGCCCTGTGGCAGTATAGGCAAGGAAAGGGGAGTTTTCACTGAGGACATGAGATGACATTAAAGTGGACTTTGAAGGTTACCTGGGGTGTGGGGCGTGTTCTGTAGTCAGGGGCTGGGACAAGGCCTTCTTGGCACAGGGTGGCTTGAACACAGCCTGAGTGAGGAGGAGTACAGGGTGTGTTTGGGAGCCTGGCGGGTCGCTGGCTACCTGAGAACAGAGGTGTGCGTGGAAGTAGTGGGCACAGCTGTGGCTGTATGGTGGGATGGTGTGCGTGGAAGCAGTGGGCATAGTTGTGGCTGTGTGGTGGGGTGGTATGGATGGAAGGAGTGGGCACAGCTGCGGCTGCGTGGTGGGATGGGAGGTGAGGGTCAGTGTTCAGGATGGTGGCTGCAGGAGTTTTGGCTTGAGGCTCTTTTGTGTTTGGAGTAGGGAAGGTTTCTGAGCAGGAGTGACCTGATCAGACCTCCTGCTACTGTTTATTGACCTCTTGCTGTGTGCCAGAGACAGAGGCTCAGGTCAAGGAACTGGCCTGAGATTGCATGGGTAGGACGAGGCCAGCCAGGATGTCGGGTGAGAACCATGGCCGTGGGGAGGAGAGAGAGAGGAAGGGGACTGTCAGGAAGTGCTTGCAATTCAGTTAGTTCAGTAGATATTCAAAACGGACCCTGTGCCACACTTTGCAAAAGGTGGGAAAAAAGAGCCCTCCCGAGAGGGGATGTGTGAGCCGAGAGGGGCAGGAGGACACTGCACAGGCCTCATAGGACCTGAAGGCATACGAGTTCTTCCCCAAGGCCTGTAGGAAGACCTTGAAGGATGTTCAGCTGGGGAGTGACCCATCCTCTGATGGGCACAGGACGACAGAGCTGAGGCCAAACCCTGGGGCAGCCGGTGCAACTGTCATGTTCTTCTCAGGAGCAGGGGATGGGTCAGGGCCAGGGCTGATGGACAGGAGAAGAGAGATGTGTGGGAGGTTTCCAAGGTGACCTAGAGGATGTGGAGACGTGGGTGGGTGGTGTGCTTCAGGGAGGAGACGAGGCTGACCCTCCTGTTGGTGGATGGCAGTTCTGGAGGTGGTCACAGGAGATACATGGTCAGAATGAGAGAAAATGGAGCCCCGATTTAAGTTAGTGGGACAGAGGGTTTTCGATGCCAGGACATGGGCCAGTGAGAGCCAGGGGCCGCCAGAAGAGGGCTCGAGGGAGAGGTACGAGGCAGGGATGAGCACATTGTCTATTTTTGTGTGACTGGTAGAGAGTGATGTTGTCCAAGGGTGGGGACCGAAGAGTGGGTGTGAGGAGTGGCCGGTGGGGCACAGCTGATTTTTTGGGGGAACCCGTTGACGTGAGGTGGTGGATTCGTGGCTGAGAGTTGGCAGTGGTTTTGCTTGGAGGCACGTGTTTGAGAACCGTTTACTCGGGTGGAGGAGGTCAGGAGAGAGCATGATTTTTCATAAGAGAAGGAAGGAGGACTGAGGACTCGGCTTTGGGGAGCAGAGTTGGGAACACACAGAAGAGTCTGGGGCATGCAGAGAGGCTGGCAGGAGGCAGAGGAGGGAGCAAGAAGAAAGAGCTCAGTGTGATGAGTCCTGAGGGGAAGCTGGGCAGGGCCAGGATTGAGTGAGAAGCAGCAAGAAGGAGAGAGGGGAAATGGGCCTCGGTGATGGCTGGCTGCCAGGGTGGCGGAGCCGCTCCGAAAGTCATGCATCACTTAGCGACGGGGACGCCTTCTGAGACATGTGTCCTTAGGTGATTTGGTCCCTGTGTGAACATCACAGAGCACATTTATACAAACCCAGGTAGAGTTAGCGCAGTGTCGCCTGCTGCACACCTAGGCTGTACGGCACCGTCTGTTGCTCTGAGGCTATGTGCCTGTACAGCATGGTACTGTTCTGAATACTGCAGGCAGTTGTCACACAATGGTTGGTATTTTTGTATCTAAACATCTCTAAATATGGAGCAGGTATAGTACAAATACAGAATGAAAGATAAAATGGCATACTCGTGTAGGGCAGCTGGTGCGATTGGCGCTCACGGGACTGGACGGTGCCCTTGGTGGGTCGGTGAATGAAGGGTGAGTGAATGGGAAGGTCTGGGTCCTCACTGTGCATCGTGTAGATGTCATTAGCACTCTACATTTAGGCTCTACTAGATTCATAAACACACCTTCTTTCTTCAGTAGTAAATTAACCTTAGCTTGCTGTGACTTTTAAACTTCATAAACGTTTTGATTTTTAAAAAACTTTTTGACTCCTTTCTATTGACACATAGCTTAGAACACAAATACGTTGTACAGCTGCACCAAGATATTTTTCTTTATATCCTGACTCGGTAAGCTTTTTTCTCTTTTTAAAATTTTTTATTTTTTACTTTTTCAGCTTTTTGTTAAAAACTAAGACACAGACACACACATTAGCCTAGGCCGACACAGGGTCGGGACCGTCAGTGCCACTGGCTTCCACCTCCACATCTTGCCCCAGTGGAAGGTCTTCGGGGGCAATAACATGCATGGAATCATCATCTTCCATGATAACATTGCCTTCTTCTGGAATGCCTCCTGAAGGACTAGGGACTTGCCTGAGGCTGTTTTACAGCTTTTATTGTATTTTGTTTTTTAAACAAGCAGAAGGAACATAACTCTAAAATAATGATAAAAAGTATAGTACAATAGGCCAGGCACAGTGTAATCCTGTAATCCCAGCACTCTGGGAGGCCAAGGCAGGTAGATCACCTGAGGTCAGGAGTTCGAAAGCAGCCTGGCCAACATGGTGAAACCCCGTCTCTACTAAAAGTACAAAAATTAGCCGGGCGTGGTGGTGGGCACCTGTAATCCCAGATACCCAGGAGTCTGAGGCAGGAGAATCGCTTGTACCCTGGAGGCAGAGGCTGCAGTGAGTCGAGATCACACCATTGCACTCCAGCCTGAATGACAAGAGCAAAACTCTGTCTCAAATAAAAAAACAAGTATAATACAATTAGTACAATGAATACATCCATAAAGCAGTAGCATAGTTGTTCATTATGATCAAGTATTACGTACAGTACATAATGTATGTGCTATACTGTTATAGGACTGGCAGTGCAGTAGATTTGCTTACATCAGCATCACCGCAAACACAGGAGTATGCTTTGTGATGTGATGTAACTTTGGCTGTGACATCACTAGGTGACAGGAATTTTTCAACTGCATTATAGTCTTACAGGACCATGGTCCTATATGTGGTCTGTTGTTGACTAAAATGTCGTTATGTGGTGCGTGGCTTGACTTCTCTGTGTTGGACAATTTCTTTCTTTCTTTTTTTTAAAGGTGCCCACCACCACACCTGGCTAATGTTTGTATTTTTAGTAGAGACGGGGTTTCACCATGTTGGCCAGGCTGGTCTCGAACTCCTGACCTCAGGTGATCTGCCCGCCTCGGCCTCCCAAAGAGCTGGAATTACAGACGTGAGCCACAGCGCCTGGCCAGGACAATTTCAAAATACTTCCATTTCCTTCATATTTTCTGTTTTCTATAATAAACACACATTGCTTTTGTTATGTGCGGGAAAAAATCATTGTAAAAATGCTGTTTCCAAGACCTATTTCCAGAGATGTCCGTTTGACCCAGTAATTGCCTCAGCCCCTACTGGGTTCTCAGTGCTCCGAGGGCTGTGAGGAGTGTGACATGAGACAAAATGCAGCCCCTGTAGCAGGGAGTTTGTGGTCCAGAAGCAGCACCACATAGCTGGGAGCCTTGCAGGACAGCGTATGTGTTGCTGCCAGTCAGAGTGGTGTGGGTGTCGGGGCGGGACAGCCCTCGGAGACCCTCTGGTTTGGGTCTCAGGTACCACATGTTTCTGCTGTTGACCCTCGGGGTGGGCACAAGTTTCAGATTATGCTGTGGACGGAGGGGATGGTGGAATTGTTCACTGTTGCCATGATGGTTTTTCGTACATTTTTCCTCCAAAGCTCCTAGAGTTAATTTCCTTGGAAAATTTACTTCTGAATATATTTTATAAATCTGGGGAGTATCACCATGTGTTAGAATGAGCTGAGTGGTAAATTCAGTTGCCAATTTGAGTACGTATTTCAGAAAGCTGCTATTGACCCCTAAGGGGGCACTGAATAATGACTGTGCTTGGAGAAGAGAGGTTGATTAGCCATCAAATGAATTTGACTAGATGACTTGCCTGTTTACTTCATATATGTGAAATACAGAGAAGCATTTAATCGTAAATGTTTCATTTATTTTATGATCCTGAGAACATTGCAGCTGGATTTATTGCTTTTCCATACTTTTATTTTCTTTCACTCTTCCCTGTTTCCCTCACTGCTATTTTCACCTACTGCTGTTTAACCTTCAATTAAAAAAAAAAAAGCTGTTCTGATACACCATCAGGTTTGTTTGAAAAGAGCACCTTGGTGTAGAGGCTTCAAATTCAAACCAGAAAAACATTCTGCAGGATCTGCCAGGGAGAGCTGCCTCCTGTCAAAACCCAGCGGCCTTGCAGCGTTGGCCAGAGTCGCTCTGTCCCTCTTGACTCTGACTTGTCTCTTCCTGCTTCAGAGTCACTTGTATCCTCATGGATTAGCTGCCTTCACTGAGGCGGCCCAAGGACAGGGAGAGGGACTCTCGCTTGTTCACTGTCAGCTTTCCAGGACCAGCCCGGGCCTGGTGTGGAGCAGGTGCCCAGTCAGTGTTTGTTGAGTGACTTGAATGGAGAAACATAACGCAGCGTAGTCAGTAGAAGCTGAAGACATCTGTGTTGCACGCTGCTGTCAGGCAAGGACCAAGTTGGAGGCCTTAGCTATCCAGAAGTAGATTCTCAGCAAGTATTGGATTTTAGTATTTTGTTTATTGTTTTTTTAAATTTAAGCTTTTCTGAATCATGTTGTAAAGACAGCTCTGGGCACAGTCCTGAAGAGTTGGTGTTGATGTCAGGGACCCATTCTCTTTCTCTTGGGCATTTCCCCCTGCCCCGACCCCCACAACTGACCAGTGTCTCCAGCCTGTTCTTATGCCGTGACCCCTCTGCTCTTCTCCCTGGAGGTGCCCTCCCAATTTTGTTTTTTTTTTTTTTTTTAGACAGGGTGTCATTCTGTTGCTGGAGTGCAGTTGCTGGTGCTGGTGTTGCTGGTGTCACTGCTGGAGTGCAGTGGTGCGTGATCTTAGCTCACTGCAGCCTTGACTTCCTGGGCTCAGGTGATCTTCCCACCTCAGCCTCCTGAGTAGCTGGGACTACAGGAGCACACCACCATGCCTGGTTAATTTTTATATTTTTTATAGAGACGGGGTTTCACCATGTTGCCCGTGCTGGTCTTGAACTCCTGGACTCAAACGATCTGCCTACCTTGGCCTCCCGAAGTGCTGGGATTATAGGCCTGAGCCACCACGCCCAACCCCAGTTCTCGTGTTAGACCTTAGTTTACCTGCCTCGCCTGCCATGGGTGTCCTCGGGTTCCCCTTACGAGTGGTGGCATTGCAGTTGCATCTCCCTGTGCCTATGCTGAAAAGGGGAGCTTTGGCCACAATTCTGAGGGCTGTTTTTGGGGAGGGCATGGGGAGGTCTTTTTGGTTGGGGGTCTTCTCCAGGGCACAGCCTCTTGGGGCATCTCTCTGCCGGCCCCTCCCTGGCCTGCCCCGGAGTATCTTGTCCCTTGTGCACATTGTTCCACTTTCACCTGTGTGCGGCCTCTCCTGTCGTGGGTTAGAGTCTGTGACCCTTCATCAGTGTTTGCTCATGCCCTCTTCCATCTGAGAGCCCCGGCTGTGTGTTTGTAGGATCAGCAGGATGTGTACCCATTGACCAGAACACCCAACTAATGGCCCCTGCCTTGCTCACTACTAACCAGTTAGTCCTCCTCAAGTTTGGGGGCGATGAAATCTGTCATTTTCATGTGAAGCATGCTGAAGTGTGTTGTTCTGTGGTGATTTACGCTACAAACTTGTCATTCATGGTGGGACAAGTGGACTTGGACTTCTTCTTCTTATTATTATTGAGATGGAGTCTCACTCTGTCGCCTAGGCTGGTGTGCAGTGGCACGATCTCGGCTCACTGCAACCTCCGCCTCCTGGGTTCAAGTGATTCTTCTGCCTCAGCCTCCTGGGTAGCTGGGACTACAGGCGTGCACCATCACACCCAGCTAATTCTTGTATTTTTAGTAGAGACGAGGTTTCACCATGTTGGCCAGGATGGTCTCCATCTCTTGACCTTGTGATCTGCCTGCCTCGGCCTCTCAAAGTGCTGAGATTACAGGCCTGAGCCACCGTGCCCAGCCGGACTTGGACTTATTTAAAGGTTGAATGAATGAGGCTGGTCAGCCATCTCGAGCCTTCCCTTCCATGACGTCCCGGCCTTCCTGGGACACAATGGGGTCAGGGAGGGGGCCCTTCCTTTCCTCCCTTCCATCTTTGTGGAGATACCACGTACATACCACACCGTTCGCCCATTTAAAGTGCTTGGTGTTTTTAGTATATTCACAGTTAGGCAGTCATTACTACAGTCAGTTTTAGAAAAATTTCATCACCACAGAGAGCAACGCTGTACCTGTTAGCATTCACTTCCCATTCTCTCCTCCCCACCCTTGGCAACCATGGGGCTGCTATCTGGCTTCAGGGATTTGCCTGTTCTGGATGTTGTATGTCGGTGGAATCATACAGTATGCGGCCTTTTGCGTCTCTCAGCTTCATGTTGTCAGGATTCACCCATGCTGTGTTGCGTACCAAGACTTCATTCCCTTTATGACCTAATATTACTCCATTGTGTGGTTAGGCCACGTTGTATTGACCCATTCATCAGCTGGTGGACATTTGCCTTCATTCTTTGGCTGTTATGGTTAATGCTGTACAAGGTTTTGGTGTGGATGTGTATTTTCATTTCTCTTGGGTATCTACCTCCGAGTGGAATTGATGGGTCATGCGATAACTCCATGTAACCTTCTGAGGACCTGCCAAACTGTTTTCCACAGCAGCTGCCCATTTTTAATTTCCCGCTAGCAGTGTGTGAGGTCCCGGTCTCTCTGCATCCTCACCATCACGCTTTAGCGTCTTTTTCATTTCTGCCATTCTGCTGGGTGTGAAGTGGTATCCGATGGTGGTTTTGATTTGTGTTTCTCTGATCGCTAATGATACTGAGCTTACTTTTTGAAAGATTTCTGTTTACAGTGTCAAAAGAATGGGCAGACTTAGAGTTATCAGCACTGTGCCCCCAGGAGTCCTCCATGTTTTGACCCTTCTGGAGAGTAAGGCGGTGCTCCAGCAGTGTGCCCGTGTCCAGGCCACGCACACCTCACCTTCACAGAGCCAGAGCGATCTTTAAAAAACTAGAAAGCGTTTCAGACATTCAGAAGGGGCACACAGGCTGATGTAATACAGAACACACCGTATCTCCATCCAGCATGGGAAAGAGGACAGCGCACACACGCAGTTGATGCCGCTGTGGGGTCTTTGCCTGAACTCAGCTGCTCCCTCCACCCATTCTGAGTTTTGTGTTTCCATTCCCATGTGTGCAGGAGCAGTTTTTTTTTTACCACTCATGTGTATCAAAAGTGATATATAGTATCATTTCGCATTTAAAAAATTTTTTTAAAGGATGCCACACTGTCAACTTGCTCTCCTCTTCAGTGTTCTGTTGATGACATTTATTTGGATTGGTTCTGGTGGTTCTAGTTCATTCACATCTGCTATGGTTAGTATTCCATTATATGTATGTATTCTGGCTTATGCATTATTCAGTCAATGGGCATCTAGGTTTATCTCAAAAAAATTTTTTTTATCTTTTTTAGCATTATAGACATTGCTGAGCTCATCTCCTGTGTGCTTGTGCAAGGGTTTTCTAGGTCGTCTATCAAGAAGTGGAATTACGTCATATGCATCTGCTTTTCATAAGGAATCACTAGGGTTCTCTTTAATAAAAAACAGTAGATTACTGCAGTGTTTCAAAGCAGTTTAATTCATTAAAAAGTTTATTGACTAATATCCTTTTTTTTGTATACAAAGTCTTGCTTTGTTGCCCAGGCTGGAGTGCAGTGGTGCGATCACAGCTCACTGCAACCTCAATCTCCTGGGCTCATGTGATCCATCTACTTTAGCCTTGTGAGTGGCAGGGGCTCCAGGTACATGCCACTGTGCCTGGCTAAGTTATTTTTTTGGTAGAGATGGGGTCTCACTATGTTGCCCAGGCTAGTCTTGAACTCCTGGTCTCAAGTGATCCGCCTGCCTGGTCTCAAGTGATCCGCCAGCCTCCCAAAGTGCTGGGATTACAGGTGTGAGCCACCATACCTGGCTGGTTAATATACTTTTTTAAAGACAGATTTCATTATCTGAATTGAGGTAGGTGGGTATGTTGCCACATATTCTTTTAAAATATCTTTAGTTGTAGTCTGCTTTTCTTTTTAGCTATGCAAAATCAAATAAAAGTGCAATTTTGATTAGATAAAATGGGGTTCCTTTAGTCTCAGTTGAACTTTGTTGGAACATTTTTTGTTTAGTAAACAAAAATGGTTTGCCTATGAAGAATTTATGAATTTCCGGCTGTCCCGGGAGGAAAAGCCTGTGGCCTGTGATAATGTTGCAGAGACTTTTTTTTTAAAAAGGACATGCAAATAGTGGCCAGTAGGCCAAGAAGCATGCTGGTTTTGAGCAATAGAGATACATTGGGAAATGATAGGAAGAATGTAAACGTTCATATACAGAGAGATTGATAATATTGATAAACGCTATTTGTAGGTCATGTCCCAGTATTCAGATTTCTGTGATATACGGTTATCTCATTTCATACATGTTCTTATTCCCATTTCCAGGATGAGAAAACGAAAACTCAGAGTACTTACTTGGTTAAAACTTTACCAGCTAGTAAGTGTTGGAGCTGGGCCTTGAACCCGAGCCTTTGATTTTTAAACCTGAAAGCTTTCTACCAATGTCAGAGAGACATCCAAGACATTTCAGGAAAAGGACATGACAGATAGATTGTGCTTGATCTAAGCAGGCTGTATCTTTTTCCCACCCCCTGGCATAGAGCAAGCATTTGATTCTGCTCATAGGGTTTGTGGGTCAGAAATTCACATGGGGCACAGTGGGATGTCTTGTCTCTTCTCCATGATGTCTGGGGCCTCACTAGGAAGACTCGAGGGCTGGGGCTGGAATTATAAGAGGGCTGATTCACTGACTTGTCTAGCAGTGATGCAGGCTGTCCACTGGGCCTTCAGCTAGTGCTGTGGGTTGTAATGTGTACATATGGGAGATCCTTGTGGCTAATTTTGGCATCTTCAGAGAATGGGTAGCTGGGTTCCAAGAGCGGGAACCCAAGAGGACCAGGTAAAAGCTGTATTGACTTTAAAACATTATAACATCTTCCCTGAGATACAGATAGAACACAATTCACCCACAATAGCCTTCACCCATTTAAAGTATATAATGCAGTGGTTTTTTTAGTGTCTTCAAAGTGTTGTGTAACTATCACCACAATCAATTTTAGAGCATGTTTATTGCCTCTAGAAAACCTCGTGTGTCCTTTAACTATCACCCCTGCCTTCCTCCCTGTTCTAGTCCCCAAGTAACCACTAATCTACGTTCTCTGTATATAGAATTGTCTATTCTAGGGATTTCAAATAAATGGAATAATATAATGTGCATTTCTTTGGTAATTATCTTCTTTCACTGAGCATAATATTTTCAAGATTGATCTACGTTGTAGCTTGTATCACTACTTTTGTTTTGAGACAAGGTCCTGCTCTGTTGCCCAGGCTAGAGAGTGCAGTTTTGCCAACATGGCTCACTGCAGCCTTGATCTCAACCTCCTGGGCTCAAGTGATTCTCCTGCTTCAGCCTGCCATGTAGCTGGGACCACAGACATGCATCATCATGCCTGGTTAATTTTTTGATTTTTTGTAGAGATCAAGGTCTCACTTTGTTGCCCAGACTGGTCTTTAACTCCTGGGCTCAAGTTATTCTCCCCACCTTGGCCTCCCAAAGTGCTGGATTACAGGCATGAGCCACCTCTCATCCTTGTCTTTTTCCTGAGCTTAGGGGCAAAATATTCAGCCTTTCACCATTAAGTGTGATGTTAACTATGAGTTTTTTGTAGATATCCTTTATCAGGATGAAGATTACCTTTAATTCCTAGTTTGTTGATAATTTTTATAATGAATGAGTATTGAATTTTATCATATGCTTTTTCTGCATCTATTTAGATGATCATGTGGTTTTTGTCCTTTATGCTATTAATATAGTGTATTGCACTAATTGATTTTTGGTTATTAAACCAACCTTGCATTTCTTGGATAAATTCCACTTGATTATGATGCGTAATCCCTTTTTATGTGTTGTTGGATTTGGTTTGCTAGTATTTTGGGTTTTTACGTGTATATTCATAAGAGATACTGGTTTGTAGTTTTCTTTCTTTGTGATATCTTTGCTTGATTTTGGTATCACGGTAGTACTTGCCTCATAGAATGAGTTGGGAAATATTACCTCCTTTTCTAGGTTTTGGAAGGATTTATGAAGAATTGGTATTAATTCTTCTTTATCTATTTGGTAGAATTTACCAGTGAATCCCTCTGGGCTTGGACTTTTCTTTGTGCGTAGTGTTTTGATTACTAATTTAGTCTCTTTATTTTTATTTTTTATTTTTTTGAGACAGGATCTTGCTCTGTTGCCCACACTTAAGCGCAGTAGTGCCGTCATAGGTCACTGTAACCTCAAATTCCTGGGCTCAAGTGATCCTCCCACGTCAGCCTTCTGAGTAGCTGGGACTACAGGTGTGTGCCACCATGCCCACTAGTTTTTTGGTTTTTAATAGATGAGGTCTTGCTTTGTTGGCCAGGCTGGTCTTGAACTCCTGGGGTTCAAGTGATCCTCCCACCTTGGCTTCCCAAAGTGCTTGATTACAAACGTGAGCCAGTGTGCCCGGCCTCTAATTCAGCCTCTTTCCATGTTATGTATCTAGTCATATTTCCTCCTGCTCCTTGAGTAAGTTTCAGTTGTGTGTATCTTTCTGGGAATTTGCGCATTGTATCTAATTAATTTTATTTGTTGGTGTACAGTTGTTCATAATATTCTCATAATTCTTTTTATTTCTGTAAGGTTGATAATAATGTCTTTTCCATCATGTCTGACTTTAGTAATTTAAGTCTTCTCTTTTTTCTTTTAGTCAGTCTAGCCAAAGGTTTGTCAATTTTATTCATCTACTCAGAGAACCATCTCTTGGTTTTGTTCATTTTCCTTATATTTAAGGAAACAACCAGACCAGCAGCTTTCTGTGTCTCCGTGGAGTCCTGCTATGGTTCTGGGAGTTGCCTCTCCTCTCTTTCTGTCGAGTGGCCCGGCCAGTGCATGTGGCGGCTCCTGCGTCTCCCCTTCACCAGAGTAGCTCTGCCTTTACCTGTTTGGCATTTCCATGTAACATTTCTTTTGAAAAGTTGGTTTACTGCTAAAGTACTGGCTTTCATACAGTGAAACCCCACAGAACAAAACTGGAGCTGCGTGCATTAACATTGATACATAAAGAACAATCTTGAGGGAACATCTAGTTGCAAAGGTACATATGTATGAAATGATAACAGTGTAAACTTTGCAAATGTGCAGAATAATACTGTATGTTGCCCAGAGATCCACGTCTCTTCCATAATAGTATAAACTCTTACATGGAAATGGAAAATGTCAAATACAGGTTGGTAGCCACCTCAGAGGAGGCAGGTAGAGAACCAGAATGGGGAGGGTTTCAACTCTATTATATGACAAAATGTTGGAATTTGGGGGAAGTGAATCTCTGGGTGGTGTCTGTGTGGTTATTCCTTATGTCCTATATGTCACTAAGCTGGCTGCAGCCTGCCAGGGGTAGGTGACTTTGGGCAGGCTACTTTTTTTTTTTTTTTTTTTTTTGGGACGGAGTCTTACTCTGTCACCCAGGTTGGAGTGCAGGGGCGTGATCTCGGCTCACTGCAAGCTCTGCCTCCCGGGTTCACACCATTCTCTTGCCTCAGCCTCCTAAGTAGCTGGGACTATAGGCGTCCGCCACCACGACCGGGTAATTTTTTGTATTTTTAGTAGAGACGGGGTTTCACTGTGTTAGCCAGGACGGTCTCGATCTCCAGACCTCGTGATCCACCCGCCTCGGCCTCCCAAAGTGCTGGGATTACAGGCGTGAGCCACCACGCCCGGCCAGGCAGGCTACTTTCTTAAGCTTTCTGTCCCTCAGTTTTTCCACCTTTTGAATGGGAAGAGTAATGATATCTGCCTTATTGGGTTGCAAAGATTAAAGGACTTAACACATTGAGAGTTTAAAATAATGCTCATCTCTGTTAGCTACTACTATTATTCTCTATGCTTTATTGCTTGCAGTATTGATAGTAAAAAAGAAACGGCATGTTGAGCAAATCTGGAGGCTGTTGAAAGTGGTTGGAGCTGAGCAGTGGCACGTGGCATGGTGGTCACAGGGCTGTTCCTTCACTTTTCTGTGTGTTTCATTCCTTTGGTAAAAGTATCCAGCACCAGCCCCACTGGGACCCGCCTGTGGTTCATGCCACAGGGCGTCTGTGTCCTCAGCACCCAGGACAGTGCCTGCCTCGTAGGTCCTTCCTGGTTGAGAGGAGGGATCAGCGCTTTGCTTTCAGGTCATCTTCAGTTTGAAACTGAAACTCACTCTGATGTATGCAGAAATAAATGTGATGTTTTCATCTGGATGCTGACTTTAGAATTTTCTTCTGAAATCATATATTTCTCCTTATTGGCTTTTTTTTGGGAAGGAGAAGTCATAACAAACCCTTCAAGGGGCCAGACTCTTTTGAATTCCTTTCTCTTCTCTGGGTTTCCAATCTTCCTCTGTGGAGTGAGGGGTGGGACTGGGCTCCTGGGCCTTTGAAGGAAGGCCGGGTGTGGGCTCATGTTTCTGCTTGCTGTGGTGACAGGCCCTTGGCTGCCACTTTGATGTCCCACTGATTCCACTGCTCCTGGCCTTCAGATCAGGTACGTGCTGTTTTGTTTGTCTCAACCTTCTGCCAGCCACTTTTCCTAGTTCTAAGTGTGATTTTTTTTCTTAAGGAATCTTCCTTCTTTTCTTTTTTTTTTTTTTTTGAGACAGAGTCTCGCTGTCGCCTAGGCTGGAGTGCAGTGGCGCAATCTCGGCTCACTACAAGCTCTGCCTCCTGGGTTCACGCCATTCTCCTGCCTCAGCTTCCCAAGTAGCTGGGATTACAGGCACGTGCCACCAAGCCCGGCTAATTTTTTGTATTTTTCATAGAGACGGGGTTTCACTGTGTTATCCAGGATGGTCTCGATCTCCTGACCTCGTGATCCGCCCGCCTCGGCCTCCCGATAAGACTGGGTTTCTGTGCTCCTGTGACATGCTCTTGTAGGAATCATCATAGAACAGTCAAAATGCCAGTTGAAGTTTTGCTTTTGTGAGTAAACTGTAAGGGCCGGAATAGTTTGGATGTGTTGTGCTTACCTTTGCCTCCCCAGTGCCCTGTCCGAGAGTCAGTATCAAAAAAATGTTTGTCAAGTTTTGCTGAAAAATCTTAGAATATAAAAGTGAACATTTGGTATAATTAATATGTTGTGCTGCAGGCATAGGAATGGGATACTGAATAGAAACTGAGTGGGAAACTGAAAAATGACCCAATGTAATATTTTAACGTTAAAGATGATGTTCTCAAAGCAGTGGGTGAAAGGAGAGGTTACTGAATAAATGACATTTGAACCCTTCTTTATTTTTTTTTAAAGTTTCCTACTAAACACTATATAGCAAAATAAAATAAATTCTAGGTGGATTGAAAACTTAAGGGTAGGAACGAGCCCTCTAGAAGGATTGAACTAGCACACGGCAATGTTTATGCACTCTCAGAAGGGTCAGGCCTTTCCAAGTGTCGTCCCCAAAGTGGAGTCACGAGGAAAGGACACAAGAGTGGCTCAGCCTCCCAGACCAAGGAAAACAGATTGGCCACCGCCATTGTCTTTCTGTGACTGCTCTAGCAAATCATCACAAACTTACTGGCTTACAGCAAACATGGTATCCTAGAGTTCTAGAATTTGCAAGTCTGATGTGGGTCTCGCTGGGCTAACACCAAGGTGTTGGCGGGGCTGGTTCCTTCTGGAAGCTCCAGGGGAGAGCGTTTTCCCTGCTCTCTCCAGCTCCAGGAAGCCGCCCACGTTCCTTGGCATACAGCCCCCTTTCTCCACGTACAGAGTCAGCCATGTTGCATTTGTGTGACCTTCCGCGGTCTCTTCTGCTCTGACCACAGCCAGGAAGGTTCTCTGCTTTTGAGTACTCATGATTAGATTGTGCCCATCCGGATTGCCCAGGATGGTCTCCCACCTCATTCGTATTCTTAATTGCATCTGCAAAGTCCCCTTTGCCATGTAAGGTGACGTAGTCACAGGTTCTGGGCATTAGGATGTGGACGTCTTGGGTGGGGGCCGTTATTCTGCTGACCACACCACCAGAACGACTAAGAAGGAATCCTCTGTTTACAAGGTTTTTTTTTACAAAGCAGTGAGAAAGTGGTGAGCACCTCATTAGAAAATGGACAAAGGGTATGAGCAGACAATTTACAAAAAGAAGAGGTACAAATGAACAAAATAAAAAAAAAAAGTTTTACCTTACTAATGAATGAAGAGGCACATAGCCGACACGGAGACCACTGTTCTCTTGTTGAATGAGCAGTGGTGTGTGGTGTTGACACTGCTGGTGGGATATGAACCACGGCTCTTCAGCAGTGTGGACCAGTGGCCTTTTTAATGTGTGCTTTATGTCCCAAGCTTTCCATTTCTAGGAGTTTATCCCCAAGAGGTTATCATAGTTGTGTGCAAATATTTGTCTCCAAATATCTTTATTACTTTTTTTGTAATCACTATATTATTTTATTTTTTAGAGACAGGGTCTTACTCTGTAACCCAGATTGGAGTGCAGTGGTGCATTCTTGGCTCACTGCAACCTCCACCTCCCAGGCTCAAGCGATCATCCGGCCATTTTTTTGTAATCACTTATTTTATTTTTTTGAGACAGGGTCTCACTGTGTAACCCAGGTTGGAGTTCAGTGGTGCAATCTTGGCTCACTGCAACCTCAGCCTCCCAAGTAGCTGGGACCACAGGCTTATGTCACCACGCCCAGCCAATTTTTTTGTATTTTTTTGTGCAGACGTGGTTTCGCCATGTTGCCCAGGCTGGTCCTAAACTCCTGAGCTCAAGCGATCCGCCCACCTCGGCCTCCCAACATTGCCAGTATTGCCTTCAACAAACAGAGATTCGTTTATTTCCTGTGTCTGGTAGTCTGTGGTGAGCAGCGCAGGGTTGGGCAGCAGCTCAAAGCTGTCACAGCCCCATGCTGTTTCCTGCCTGTCTGCCCTGCTGCCCTTCATGGTGGCATCTTCACTCACGCACGATGGCTGAGGCCTCACCTCTGTGTTCCAGGTGGAAAAAAGGGAAAGAAGCTGGGGGCCAAAGGGGTGCTAGCTAAGCCTGTTTTTTTTTTTTTTTTTCCAGAAAAGTAAAAACCAGCATTTATTTCTTGCCGGCTATGAAAAATAAATGTGTGTCACAGGGCCAGCCGTGGCTGACGTCAGCCAAAGGAGCAAAGGCTTCTGGGTAGAGGTTGATGAGTCAACCAACAGTGTCTGCCACGTGGGGTATTTCATTTCCATCAGTTTTCCAAATTTACTCTGATGCATGTAAGACTTTTATAGTAAAACTGTTAAGTCTTTTTCTTTTTGAGATGGAGTCTTGCTCTGTCACCCAGGCTGCAGTGCAGTGGCACGATCTCGGCTGACTGCAACCTCCGCCTCCAGGGTTCAAGCCATTCTTCTGCCTCAGCCTTCCCGGTAGCTAGGATTACAGGCATGTACCACCATGCCCAGCTAATTTTTGTATTTTTAGTAGAGACAGGGTTTCACCATGTTTGCCAGGCTGGTCTCCAACTCCTGACTTCAGGTGATCCGCCCGCCTTGGCCTCCCAAAGTGCTGGGATTACAGGCGTGAGCTACCGTGCCAAGCCTGTTCAATCTTTTAAAAAATTATATTTATCTTTTGCAATTCTGCATTCAATTTCAGACAAAATGATGGCAGGTGAGAATTCCCAGGTGGGCGTTTCTTCGAGTTTTTAGTCTGTGGGCAGAGGCCTCAGTTCCTTCATTGCACTCCCAGACACCCTCATCACCGTGTAGATGCCCGAGGGTCTGTGGTGGTGCTTGTCGGGCTGAGGTCCATTCTCAGGGATGGGCTGAATGCCCTGCTTGTGTGGGGTGTGGGGTGTGGGCTTGTATGGTGCCACTCATCCCTTCTGAACTGGGCCCTCAGGACCCCGGGTGGCTGCAGGGGGGCCTGCGACAGCCCATGAGGAGCTGCTTCCTTCAGTCCTGTGGGTTCCTGGGAGCCCACCTTTCGGCTGAGCTGGTGGAGGGCTCTTGGGAAGGCAGGAGAGAGGCTCACTGGTTTTCCTTTTCTTTTCCATCAGCATCCAGCACGTGTATGGTGCCCAGCACCCCCCCTTTGATCCACTGTTACATGGCACGTAAGTGACGTTCCAACCTCACTTGGCGTCTCGGCTCTGATATGGGAGGGCTGTGGCAACCCCGGTCTTCCTGCTTCCTTCCTGCTCCCAGGCATTCCTCAGGGAGGAGACTGGTTTCTCATTCAGCCACACTGATCAAGCAGTCGCTTTGTGTGAGATACTGTGCACCCCGTGCTGCGCATCCCGGTGAAGACGGCGGATGTGGGAGCCACAGCCTGATGTGGGGAGGTGGGGGAGCCCTGGGGAGAGCCAGGAGCTGGCATCCTTTAGCCATGGGCAGCCTGGCTGCAGGCCATCCATGCTGGCTTGTCCTTTCCCCTCCTCCTTCCCGCATTCTCCACCAGCTGCTGGAGCCCGGCCCTGGCCTGTCCTGGCCCCTCCACAGCAGGCGGGAGCGCAGAGTGTGGGGCTTGTGCTGGGCTGTTGTGACCCTGCAGGACTGCACCTGTCTGACAAGTTTCTCACGTGAGGTGGGGCCGATGTTGTGTGTTGTCCTATTTTGGGGGAATCTTGTTTAAATGATCATGTCTTCAAATCCATATACCACAGGCCTGCACCCTGCACAGGCGCTCCTGGCCCACACCCCTCACTGCTGGGCAGGAGCCTTACTGGGATTCGGGGAAGGTGCCCCAGGCACTGGCCAGAGTGAGCTGGGGTGGTCCTGCAGGGTATCACCATGTGGCCCTGCGCCTCCTCCCAGGTGACCTTCCTGGAGCCCCCTCCCCCTCCTGCCACTGAGTCCTCATGGGCTTCGCCTGCTCTTCTTTTGGCTGTCTCTGTGAATTGTGTTTGCTTTTTCACTCACTATTGCTAGATCAAAGCTGAACACTTCTATGCCTGTCTTTTCACCTGGGAATTCTTTCCTGGCTGGTTTTGGGTGAAGCCTTCGAGCATGTACGAGTAAAGACTGCCTTTGCATTGCAGTTTGCTCAGGTCCACGGCCAAGATGCCGACCACACCAGTGAAGGCCAAGAGGGTCAGCACCTTCCAGGAGTTTGAGAGCAATACCAGCGATGCCTGGGACGCTGGGGAGGACGACGATGAGCTCCTGGCCATGGCGGCGGAGAGCCTGAACTCCGAGGTGGTCATGGAGACGGCCAACCGTGTGCTGCGTAACCACAGCCAGCGGCAGGGGCGGCCCACGCTGCAGGAGGGGCCAGGGCTTCAGCAGAAGCCCAGGCCCGAGGCAGAGCCGCCCTCACCCCCCAGCGGCGACCTCCGGCTGGTGAAGTCGGTCAGTGAGAGCCACACGTCCTGTCCTGCAGGTACGATGGGAGGACTGAAGAGATGGTCTGGGTTTCTGGCCAAGCTAAGAAAGTGGCCAGAACACACTCACTGTGGGAGAATCAGTGGGTTCCCATCCTCATTTGCAGCAGGCCCCCTGGCCCACGAGAGCCCTTATGGTTCTCTTCCAAGGGTAGGGGAGTGGCCTGCGCTCTTTCCTAGGGCCCCCAAGTGCTTTCTTCTGTCCTAGCTACGTGCGTGTCTCCTCCTAGTGGAGTGGAGGCTTCTGGCCTAGCTACGTGCATGTCTTCTCCGAGTGGAGTGGAGGCACCAGGCTGTTGTGGGCTGGCCGTGAGAGGGCCACGGGGGAGCAAGCGCCTGGGGACACTGTCTCCCTCCTAACTCCACCAGCTTGTGATGGTTCCATGGGTGACATTGCCAGCCGAGGGGTCAGGCCTCTGCATGTTTAGGGGCTGGCCCTCTAGGCAGCTTACAGGATTCCTGCCAGGTGTGCGTACACGTGGGCTCAGGTCTGTAGGGGCTGGGAGTCTGACTTTTGGGTCGGCCACGTTTGCACTCTGACCCCCTCGGGTGGGGTCGTGTCTGGTGCCATGTGCATGGCACTGGTGTGCAGCAGCTGTTCTTGAGGCTGTTTCTGTGGCTGCTGCTCTTTATGTGTTGCAGGCCATCACGTCTGTGATGGAAAAGCTGCATGGTTGTGCGATGAACCCACTGTGGGCCGCGGGTACTGTTTTCAGAGCTTGGGAGACCCCACTGGACAGACTGAGGTACATCTGTGCCCTGCGGCAAGTCCATTCTGGTGAGAGGGACAGATGCAGCACTGCCCACAGTCAGCAAGGGGGCACAGAGCGTGCTGGGAGGCAGCAGGTGCCACGGTCAAGAGAGGCAGAGAATGGGGTGGGAACGCGGTGGCCCTGAGAGCAGTGGGGAGCAGGTGTCATCTGAAACGGGGAGGTCAGGGTGTCTTCGTGTCAGTGGTGCTGTTGGGAGGCAGGGGGTGAGGGGCAGGGGCGAAGTCCAGCTGGATTGGCCACTGGCCCTCATAGGTACCTCCCTCCAAGGTCTTCTGGGGGCTAGGGTGCTCTCCCCACATTTCCAGCTGAGAAGATGGAGATTGTTAGGGTGGCCTGATTTTACCCTGGAGAACTAGGTTTCATACCTAGGTCTAGTTTTTAAAACCACTTTCTAGGAATTGGTTAACTTCTAAAATGTTACAGCTCTCATTAGTTGAGAATGCTGTGCGTGATTTCATTTGATCAGTTTTCTTTTTGGAGTGTAATAAATTTTAAAGTCTTTGAACTCGTAACTGGAAATCTGGTGATGGCCTTTGCGGGAGGCTTGGAAACCTGGTGACTGACTGAAGCATGCACTGACCGCCTTCTGCAGGCCCAGTCCTGGGCAGCGCCCTTCAGCCTGTGGCAGTCGGAGTTGGCAGGATCCCTGGCTTCATCTGCTCATGGGTGGTGCTGACATTGAAGCTCTGTGAGCCTCTCAGCACCGTGCCCCCTACCCCCAAGATGCAGGGCACTGTCAGGCTGAGAGTGGCCAGGACCGCAGGACCACACGGTGTGTGGCTGGGGGATCTGACAAGAGGCAGGCTCAGGCTGTGACCAGCTGGGGTCGGGGAGCTATGAGATGTCACCCTGGGATGTCACCCTGGGATGGCCTCATCCTGGAAGAGCCAAGCAAAGGATGCTGCAGGCAGCTTGCGCTGGGAGAAGGGGGCCCATGACCTCATTGCCTTGTGCTCCCACTTGCCTGCCTTGGAGTTGGCCACCTTTCCTGTGTTTGCTTTCTGGGCAAGCTTTTTTTGAGTACTTCAGTATAGTGACAATGATACCATATATTGATCATTTACTGTGTGGCAGGTACAGTATCAAGTCCCTGTGATACTAAACTCATTAAGCTTTGCAGCAGCACTAGGACATGGACTTATGGGCTCTGCTCAGGAGTGAGCGGCCCCTTACGTGTCCTGATGAAACCACATCAGTCATTTCTGAAGATCACAGGGAAGTCCAGCTGAGCACCTTTAATTCTGGGACTCAGTGCACAGCTGCTCTTCCTGCTGAATATTCACTCTGAGGAACTGTAAGTGCTGCTGAAGCAGGAGCCTCTGAAGGAGGGAGAGGGGGCACTGTCACCCATGGTCCTCCCCTCTGCTCAGGTGCTGGTTCTCAGCCCTGTCTGCAGTAAGGCCGGCAGCGGAAACTCTGGAGCCAGACGCCCCGGGCTGGAGCCCCAGCCCACTGCTTGGTGTGCGGCTGCTACAAAATAGGAATCACTGCAAGGGCACTGAGGCTGGTGGGAGGAGATCCTCCTGGGGGTTGGGGGGAGTCAGGGAGAGTGGGCAGCGGGGATGGGGGAGGAGACAGGGCGGTACTCTGAAGTCTATGTCCCCACTTTAGCAGACTTTTCTGGAAATTTAACTGGGCCACATTCTGCCCAGAGGCCATAGGTTGCCTGGCTCCTGGATAGCCTGAGGGTTTCTGTGTGAATTATTTTCCCCCACTCCCAGGTTATAAGGGAAATGGGGGTGCTCTGTGGGAAGGAGGGCGCGGGGGAGTGCGGCTCCTACCTCCTTGCTCAGCGGCTGCTGGAGTGGATGTCGGCCCGTCAGCTGCAGCGTTTGCTTCGGCTCCATTTCCTGGAGTTTATTTTTCACTCTACTTTAATTTTCAGTTTTTGAAAAATGAGATAGCTAGACAGGATTTAGACCCAGGAGTTTGGAGCCTTTCCCAGCCTCTTGCTTGTTGGTCTCGGATGGCAGTGTTGAGTGATCTGAGGGCCTTAGGGTCTTCCCTTGGGCTGACCCGGTCCCGGGTTGCTGGGTGGAACGTGCTGTCTCACCACCTGCTTGGATCCCCCTGGGCCTGTCCGTCTTGGGGGTCAGTGGGGCCATGGTGGGCAGCAGCAGAGGGCGGGAGGGAGGGCGGGCAGCTTGTACTCTAGTGCCACTGCGGTCACTGCCTGTGGTGGGGTCTGGGAAGGTGCCATCCCTCACCTGTCTGGCTTCCTTTGTTTCCTTGGGATGAGGGTCCCTGTGGGACCTTCCTCCCAGGGCACTGGTGAGACCCAGGAGGGCCAGGCAGGTGGCGGGGTTGGGCACGCTCTTGAGATGGCAGGTGAGAGCCCTCGCAGCGCCCTGGTTCCTGCTGTGTCCCCACTGTTGCCTTCTGTCCTCAGCACCTCTGCAGGCTTTCTCCTTTCCCTCATGGTAACTCACGGGCTTGCCCTCCGCACTCAGGCCTGGCTGACCCGAGGGCACCGTCCTACACAGACCCTCTGGGTCATGTCACCTGGGCAGGCCCTGATCTGCCACCCCAGGCACTGGTGGGAGCCTGACCTCCACACAGCCCGAGGGGCCCTGGAGTTTTCTGGCTGTCATTGTGTTGCTTTTATGCAAGGTGGTCCATTTTGTTGGTGAATAATACTCTGCCAGTGAAGCGAGTGAATTTCAAAGGTGTCAGTTCCATGTTATTGCTCAAGAAACCAAGGTCCCCACTGCTGAGTGATGGGAAGAAGGGACCCATCAGCATTCACAAAGGGACAGTGGCACAGCAAGGAGGAACGTGTAGTCGGGAGGAGCGCCCTCACCCTCACCCCCATTCTCTCACCCCTGCAGAAAGTGCCAGCGATGCCGCCCCTCTGCAGAGGTCCCAGTCTCTCCCACACTCGGCCACCGTCACGCTGGGTGGCACATCTGACCCCAGCACTCTCAGCAGCTCAGCGCTGAGCGAAAGAGAGGCCTCCCGGCTCGACAAGTTCAAGCAGCTGCTTGCCGGCCCCAACACGGACCTTGGTAAGCACCCTGCCCTCTGGAGGACACACACAGACATTTCTTGCTGTTTCTGAAATAGATCACATCTTAAAGGATTCTATGTATGCTTATGTAATGCACACGCGTCCGTGTGTAATTTGCCTTGCAGGAAGGTGATGTTTTCATGTAATATTTTCAAGTCAGTCACTAAGGTAGTAGCAATTTGTGCTTTAGACAAGTTTTGTTAATGTTTTTCCCATGCAATTTGAAAATGTATTTTGCGTTCCTTTTTGTTTTCTTTTTTTAAAATTTGAGACAAGGTCTTACTCTGTTGCCTGGCTGGAGTGCAGTGGTGTGATCATAGCTCACTGCAACCTGGAATTCCTGGGCTCAAGCAATCCTCCTGCCTCAGCTTCCTGAGTATGTGGGACTACAGGATTGTGCCACCATGCTCACCAGATTTTTTAAACAATTTTTTCTACAGATACGGGTCTGCCTGTGTTGCCCAGGCTGGTCTTGAACTCCTAGGCTTAAGAGATCCTCCTGCCTCAGCCTCACAAAGCACTGGGCTTAAGGCGTGATCCACCACGCCTGGCCCATTCTGTTTTCCTGTTGTCCCATTTGCACTCTTTATTATTGCTGCCCTTGGTGAGCCCTTCGAGGCTGGCCAGGTGGACATCCTTGTTCTTGACAGTATTCTGAAGACAGTGGCTCATGGGGGCACAGCGCTGGTGACCATCAACTCAATCTGCTGGTTTTGTACTTTCCTACCATGGGGCTTGCAGTCATCAGAGGGTGACAGGCTGTGAGCCCTGCAAGGGGGCAGGGGTGAGGCTGGGGCAGAGGGGCAGGCCCACAGGGCAGAGCACAGTCACCAGTGTGACTCTTCCTGCGCGAGTTGCTTCCAGGCACACGCAGTGCCCATGTGGACTGCCGTGGCCAGGCTCTGTGGAACGCACTTGCTTTCAGTTCCTCTGGTGGAATTCCTGCTGAATCCACGTCCTTCCTTTCCCTATCTCATCTTTGTGGAGTGCCACTCTGGCTAGGTGTTTGCTAGACGCTGGAGCTCTCGGGAGGACCGGAATGTGGCCTTGGTCATGAGATTGCTTCATTGAGGGGACAAACCTGTATCACACAGTTATGACTGGTGTCACTGTGGCACTCTAAGAGCCAGAGGTGCAACGCCTGGCTTGGCCAGGAGGTGGCGAGTGGCGCACGCGGATGGGCCGCCAGGAGCCACGCAGGAGCCATGCAGGGGCCATATAGGAGCTTGCAGCAGCCGGGCCTTCACGCTCAAGCCCAGGGCAGGGAGAGGGTTTCCGGGCAGAAGCAGCGGTTCAAAGGGCATGGCTGAAGCTGTGTTCTCGAGGCGGGGGAGGGCTCTTGGAAGGTCTCCTGGCTAGAAGGACACAGCTCTGAGTAGAGTTCTCAGAGTGGGTGGTTGTTTCTTCCTTATGTTTGTTTTTTTTTGAAACAGCAACACTTGCATGTGTTATAACATGACACAGCACAGCAGGGTGTATGTGAAAATGAGGCCTGTCCCAGCCCCCACCTTCCCTTCCTTTCCACAGCTCGAGGTGTCTCCTTCCAGCGATGGCCCATGCATCTGTTGTTTTAAACGTTTCGTGTTGATGCAATTCAAACTTGCAGAACAGTTGGCATGAATAGTGCCAACAACTCCCATATGCTCTGTACCCAGAATCACCAATTGTTTACGTTTGCCCATTACCATTCTGCATGTGTGTGCCTGTTTTTGTGTGTATATATACATTTTTTTCCTGAACCATTTGAGAGTCAGTTGGAGATATATCCCTTTACCTCTGAAACCTTCGCTGCATATTTCCTAAGCACAAAGACATTCCCTCAGTATCATCACAGCACAGGGGTCACAATCAGGAAATTTAACGTTGACACAGTACTATTTTAACACTTGTATTATTTTCATCCACAGTCCATAGTCACATTCTGCCAGTTGTCCCAGTAATGTCCTTTCCCTCTTTTTTCTTAGTCCAGACTCCAGTGGGGACCATGCGTTCCATTTGGATGTCACGCCTCTGTCTTCTCCACTAACCTGGCGCAGCAGCTTTGCCGGTCTCTGCATTTCCATCTTGACACTTTAGCAGAGCACGGGCCAGTGATTTTGTGGGATGTCCCTTGGTTTGTGCTTGTCTGATGTTTGCCCACAATGAGATTCTGATTGATAATTTTTGGCAGGAACATCACTGAAGGGATTCGTGTTCTCCTTGGTCATCACAGCGGGGGCACGTGGTGCTGGTGGGTCCTCACGTTGAAGATGTGGACTCCGATCACTTGGTTGAGGTGGCGTCTGCCAGCTCTTTCCACTGAAGAGCTCCCCTTTTTCCTTTGGTGATGAAGTGCTCTGTAGAGAGATGCTCTGGGGTCTGTGCATTTCTACAGTGTATTTCTTTGTCCCCTTGCACGGCAAGGCAGTTGTGCACCTCACTTTTTAAGGGAATGATACATTTTCCCATGGCGTACGTGGAGAACCGCCTTAGTCTTTAGAGTGCCCTGTAACATGCCATCCTATGGATTTCCCCCGACTTGACTGCACCAGCCCCTGCGGTTGGGCAGCGGGTTATTCCTAACTTGCTATTATTACAAACAACTTGAGAACGTTTCTTCAGGCGCCTGAACCTCCTTCTGTGATGGTGACACAGAGCATCCCTAGCCATGGGTGAGGCGAGAAGGCAGTGTGGGGGATGGGTCTGTGAGTTCGCCTAGAGCACCAGGTGTGGAGGTGTCACCCACCAAGACAGGAGATAAAGGTAGATCGTGCTTACGGGAGTCTAGTCTTGTAGTTGACGTACCCATCTTGGCCACTTCCTCTTCTAGCATGCCAGTGCCCCTTCTCTGCTGGCTCTCCTGCCTCCAGGGTGGTGTGGAGATTCAGAACCACGTTGCACCTGGGAGAGTGGGTCCTGGAGCCGGGCTGCCTGTGTGGAGAGCTGGCTCCACTGGTTACTCGCCACGTGACCTTGAGCCAGCTTGGTGATGATCCTGCTCTCAGAGTTCTTGTTTGCGTGATAGACATGATGAAAGCGGTGCTCATTTTGCAGTTTAAATGAGATAGTACATATGACATGCTTAACAGAGTGCCTAGCACATACTAAACACTCAAAAATGTTAGTTATTTTTATGGTTGTTGTTACGTTCATTTGAACTGGCCTTTTTATCTTCTCACTTGATTTTTGTGCTATTGACGTATATGGTCACTTTTGTGGTCATTGACGAGTCAAGGACTTACAGATGTTTTCCTGGTTGTGTCCTGTGGTTTCCAGCAGTAGGCAGGTGGAGGAGAGACAGCTGGTGAAAGCAAGATTTGCCTGATGGGAACCCTGTGCTGGGTCAGGCTCTGAGTACCCACCTGGAGCATTCTGGAGGACTTTGTAATTGAACCAACTTTTGGAAATTAAAATCACACTTAAAAGTAAAGCTTTCAAGACTTGTAGGAAGATGGGAGTATGTAGGGCTAGATTTTAGCACGTAAAAATCAAGTATTTTGTTAGGTTGAGGGGACTGTGGGTTTTTTTCTTTCTTTATAATTCTATGTAAATATCAAATCTAAAACCAAAAAGCTAAATGCAGAGCTTTCAAAGTTAAACGATGACTGCATTTGTATTTAGTAGCAAGAGAAAACATCGCCAGTAAATTGCCTGTTTTTATAAGGCAGTTAAGATAGCTTTGGAAGACAGTGGAATGTACTTTCTTCACATTACATGAAAGACGTAAGTGGCAAATATTTGCCAATGTTGGAGAAGCAAATCACTGATGTGAGAAGTGCCTACAGAAATGAGTCTACCTGCTGAATATCATTCTGTCCAGCGGAGTGCTGTTTTTCTTTGTTTAGCTTACGCTCTGTTATGAGCCTGGGGATGAAAGTAGCAAATAGAACTTAATAGCTCATTTTACTCTTAGCATTGGCTCAATATTTACTCACACAAAGACTGCCTGCTTTGAAGCCCCGGAAAATGACACTCAAGTTGGTCACATGTATCTGGTGAATGGTAGTGCGATTTGGTAACATGTAGAACACGCAGTTTCCTGAGGACCGTCTAGGGCCTGCCTCGCAGCAGTGGGGCCTCGGAGGGCAAACTGTGTGTGGAGCTCAGCTCTGGCCCTCAAGGCTTTCGAACGGTAGGACAGAAGGCACGACGACCCGTCCGTCAAGGAGTGGGGCCAGGCCACGGCTGTGTTCCACTTCCCCTGAGGGGTGACCATCCAGTCTAGGCTTTATGAGAGCGTGCTGATAGATGGAGGTCAGCGGGAGAGGGTGTTTTGGGGGTTGGGAGGGCATGAACAGAAGTTTGGAGCCGTACACCTTGGCAGCACTAATACGAGTAGATGCCCCCTTGGTGTCCGTGGCTCTAGGGCAGCCGTGAAGGGGCCTGGGCCCTTGGTGACAGGAGGAAGCAGGTGCGGCCTTGGAGTAGGCCCTCAGTGTGATGGCTGGCCGTGTCCTTACTCATGAAGTGGCTCAACCTACCTGTTTCGTCAGCTGTAGAGGGAGCATGAGACCTGCCCTGCAGGGTCCTCGTGAAGGTCAGTGGGAATTTATGTAGAGTCACTCATCCAGGCTCTGTTGAGCACCTGCTGTGGTTGTAGGCACTGGGGAGGAATCGGCGGCGAGGCTTGCGAGGGCCCTGCCCTCAAGGAGCTGACATTCTCGTGTGAGGAGACAGAGGGAGCTCGCTCAGTACCCCCGCAACCATCAGAAGGCAGGAAGCATATAGGGAGAGTCAAGGCATGTGGAGGGTAGAGGCTGGAGCTGCTCTGCAGTTGGCTGTTTCTGGGGCGAGATCTGCACGGAGTCAGGTATTTGAAGAGGGGGCATGAGCATTCTAGGGACAGGCCCAGAGGTGCAAAGGTCCTGCGGGCAATAGAGCTTCATGTGCTTGAGGGGTTTCTGAGGCTCTGGCCTGGTGGCTGAGTGGGGTGTGGGGAGAGGCCTGCAAGGCAGGCAGGGACCAGGTCCCCAGGGCTGAGAAGTCCAGGAGAAGGAGCTCTGCTTTTACTTCGAGCACAGCATGAAGCCTCTGGGAGGTTTTGAACCGGGGGAGTAAAGCGCGGTGCAGAGCATCAGAAAGCGGTTGCTATTCTGTGGAAGGAAGAGCCGATGACTGCTTCTGAGCAGAGTGTTGCCAGTGGCCATGGACGACGTGGAGTCCTTGGGCAGCTCATGGGAGGGGCTGGAGGAGGGTCAGAGTAGGGTGGGAGACTAGGGGGCAAGAGTGGAGGCCGTGGGCTGGGGATGTGGGTGGGGTGGGCTGCGTGAGTCGGGGGCTGATGAAATCTGGAGCTGGGTAGACTGGCGAGAAGGCAAGAGCCAGGACCCCCATAGCTTAGAGCCTGGGGTCTGCAGGGATGGGGAACAGCCGATAGACACAGAAATCAGAACACACTCCAGAGATGGCATTTCACTGGGGAGACAAAATCTCCTCCTCATGAAACAGAGAGCCAGGGAAAGCAGTGTGTTTAAATGCTCCCATGGTTACAGCCACTGGGGGCCTTCACTCTGTGCTGGGCACTGTGCTGTAGAGACTGTGTTATCAGCCACCAAAAGACCCCCCTCTGCACCCCCACCCCCTTCCTGCGTGCCCCAGATTGCTGGCCTTATCGCTGGTTTACAGCTGAAGAGCTCGAGACAAGGTTAAACAGGCGGCTGCCCTCCAGCCCCACAGTGAGGGCAGAGCTGGCTGGGAACCGGGGTCACCCCGGGCTGGGCTCCCAGCCTCCAGGTCACACGTTTCTGGTTAGTGTAGACAGTGGGCATTCTTGGTGCTGTTGGAGGCCTGAGGAAGGGCGGCGGTTTTCTCTCCTGTGGGCCTTGTTGGAGATCTCGCTTCTGCTGTGGGAGCTGGGGCCCGGCCCCCAGGAGCTGAGGCGGGGAGGGCGGTTGGTTCTTGCGACCCGGCCGTCAGCGTTCAGCGTCGCCCTCTAGTGGCCAGGTGCTGTCTTTGCAGCCTGGGCTTCATGACCACAGCAGGGCACGTTGGCCTTGTGGGTGGGGGGTGCTTACACTTGCGCGTGTCTGTGTGTGTTCACCGTGCTTACTGAAAGGCAGGCACAGCCTCAGAAGAGAATAACGTGAGGGACGAAGATGAAAGCTCTGGCTAACTCGGCCTTGCCCTGGCGTCTCATCAGGGAAGGGCTTTGTCAAGGAAGGCAGCCCCCTGGCCACCTAGAACTGCTGAATGCAGAGGCCCGGGGCAGAGGGAACAAACTCCAGCTTGCACAGTCCTTCTGTGCATGCACTGGCCCAGCCACACCCAGATCCTTGCTGGCCCTGCTCTGTCCTCAAGTCCCCTGCAGTGAGTGTCACATAGTAGGTACTTGTCATTTGATGGTTCGCTGACTCTTCAGCTAGACCTTTCTTGCCTTCTTTTGGTGCATACATGGTCCTGTGTCTCTGGTTTTACTTTGTTTCTTAGATAAATTTACTAGGTAAGTAACTGACACTACCATCCAATGGCAGCTCAGCAGCAATGCGATGGCACCTCCTTGAGCCAAGGACGGGCTTTCCCAACCGTGTGACTCTGGGTTTGCGTTTTCCCCCCGTGGCTTCCCCCACATCACCGTTACTCTGCTTTCCCTCAAAGCTTGCCCCCGGCCTTGGCCCCTTTTTGCCCGTGTGTTCCCACTTAGGACAGGAGCTGTGCCTATTTCTTTTCTCTGCTCATTTTGTCACTAAAGGGTTTCTGTGATCATCATTAACGGAAATGTTATTGAAAGTTAGAGAAATGGAAAAGATAATAAAACCAACAAACCAAAATTGCCACTGTTTCCACATGCTGTATTAACTAGAGTTGTGCTTGCTTTTTCTCTCTAATTTATTCCCTCTTAATCAGTTCTTACCAGTTTTTCAGAGCTCACTAGCAGAAATGGCTCTCTCTCAGCGGCTGTTTTATCTGCAGAGTGATCTGGGCTTCAGGCAGGGCATGCGAGAGCCTCAGTGAACACGCTGGCTCCCCACTTTCACAGCATTGCCGGCATCCTTTTTTCTGGGTGATGTGTTCCCTGCTCGATGTGGTATTTGAACTACATGTGATGTCACTTGGCTTAAAATAACCAAATTAGATATGATTTGGTGAAAATTAGGAATTTTATTTACTATCCATAGTAATGTAAATCTTCAGTTTAATAGGAAACCTTTCACTGTTCCTTCAGGTGATTTGTTTCTGTTGAATGGTGATTTTTAGTCTGTAATATTAAAAGCAAATGCTAAAAGAGAGTTTGTAAGTCTTTGGTATGGTTTTAAAGGAGCCGCCTTAAAAACTTATCTGTTGCATGTTTGTCTTTTTTTTCTTATAATTTCTTTTGTAGATGAGGATATTGGATACAGACTTGAGCAATTGTGCGACTGTGGTATTTTCTCTATGTGAGGGATAGGAGAAGGAAAGTAGGGCGAGTATGGCAGGATCCCCAGGGACTCATTGCTCCTCGCCCTGTACAACATTTTCTACTTGTAACTTAGCTCCTATTATGGTTTCCTCTAAGAGAGTATGAGTTTGTGTCCATCTGCCCATTAGACTGTGATCCTCTCTTGGGCCGTGGCTGGAGTCACTCATCCTCCTGTTCCAGTGACTGGCACATGCATGGCACATTCTCAGGAAATGCTGGCAGAGTTAATTGAGCCACCAGCGGTCAGTCTCCTTCTCTCCTACCCTGTGTTCTTCAGCGGTGAGTGGGGCATCACTGGTTTTCCAGTTGACACAGGGTGCCTTGTATCTGGGGCCTTCCGTGAAGATGTGTTTTTGCTGTAGGTAACAGAAAAGCAGACGCAAGGACTTTTGAACAAATTCAAAAGTTAAGTTTCTCAGCAAGATGCCTGGAGGCAGGTAGCTGTTGGCACTGGTTCACTGGCTCAGTGATGTCCTCAGGATCTAAGCTCCAAGTCACTTGACCTCTTCCTCACAGCTCTAAAGGGGCTGTCACCATCATGGGGTGATGGAAGGAGCAGTCACCAGGGCAGGCGTCTTCTTACTGGGAGAGTAGGGCTGCCTTCAGAGCCAGGCCACATGGCCACTCCTGGTGGTAGGGGGAGCTGCCAAGGATGTGTCTCCTGTGGGCTGGACATGGGCACTTTCAAACCGGGATTCTGGAAACAGAGAGGTGGGATGGGTTGGATATTGGTTTGGCAGCCAACTGTGTTTGCCATTCACAGAGATTGATGTGTGTGTCTCTCACCGCCCCCCCACACCCCCCACCCGATTTCTGGTTCCTTAATGTCTTTCTGTCCTTCTTCTTCTTCTTCTTCTTTTTTTTCTTTATTTTGAGATGGAGTCTTGCTCTTTCGCCCAGACTGGAGTGCAGTGGCTTCATCTCGGCCCACTGCAGCCTCCGCCTCCCAGGTTCAAGTGATTCTCCTGCCTCAACCTCCTGAGTAGCTGGGATTACAGGCACCCACCACCACACCCGGCTAAGTTTTGTATTTTTAGTAGAGACGGGGTTTCACCATGTTGGTCAGGCTGGTCTCGAACTCCTGACCTCGTGATCCACCCGCTTTGGCCTCCCAAAGTGCTGGGATTACAGGTGTGAGCCACCGCGCCCGGCCTCCAACCCTCTTATCACATTTACCCCATGGCTCAGTGCCGAGCGCTGTGTGGAAAACGTAGTATAGAGACCCAGATGTTTGATTGCATTGAACTGTCTACAGAGTGCTGGGTGTAGAGGGACTCAGTAAATGAACTTTGAATTCTCATAGTCAGTGACATGGCATTTAGAATGAACCCTCCTCTGTTCTGATTTTTTTTTTTTTTTTTGCCCGGAAATGGAGCTGAGACTCAAAGGGCCACAAACCATCCCATTACTCAAGTGCATAGTACTGAAAGCTGCCGAGAAAATAATGTTTTTGTTTTAAGATGGTTTAAATTCCTTGGAGTCTATTATTTAAAAAATATTTAAAAATTATTAAAAATTTTTAAATTTAAATTAAATTTTAAATTAAATTAAATATTAAAAATATTTAAAAATTATTTAGAAAATATTATTTAAAAAAAGTATGGCCACAGACCATTAGAACTGACATGTAAGACTGAGCTGAAAAGAAAATCAAGCTAAAAAAGGATATAAAATGTGTTAACTTAGAAAAATGTGATAATGTACCTTTGACTTTCTAGGGGCTCTGGGTATGATGGTGAGTTGTCACCCAAGCCTGAGGACAGAGTGATGGGAGCCTGAGAGGGCGGAGGTGAGTGCCTGTGGCTGGTGGGTCCCACCCAGGGTCTGGAGTGGGTAGAATAGTGCTGATCTTCGGCCAGTCAGACCTGAGTAGCTACAATTATGGAATTGGGTTTGCTGATATGAGGAGGGGAAGTTCAACCTCTTCACAGGGCTGGCCGAGCAAATGTGTGCAGAGCCAATAGGGCTTTGCTCCTCCCCAGGCATGGCCTGGATACTCTAGTATTATGGGATATTTTATAAGAGGATTGGCAGGTTCTGTGACCGCAGATTCTTCCTGCTCAACCGCAGATTCTACAGGTGCATCCTGTAGACACTTTACAGGCGAAGTTACAGGGAAGAGGATTTCTTTAAGAAGGAAAGTTGGAAGACAGTGGTGAGCAATTAGAATTCACCACCAGCGTGGAACGATGGAGGATCAACAGCAGCAGGATTGTTCTCCTTCTTTAGAATTCAGGGCTTCAGGGATTAGTGTTGATTGTGATGGTGATGGTGATGATGGTGGTGATGATAGTAGTGATGGCGATGATAACTGTGATGATGGTGGTGGGAATGATAGTGATACCAACTCTCCTGCTTGTCGGTGTTGTGGACCCTGTCAGCCCGTGCTGAGGACTTCTGTCCTGTCTGCTCTGAGGCCCCAGTGCTGCTTTGCTTGGAGCTGTTTGGGAGGCACAGTGGGTTTGATGTTAGAAGGAAGAAGCACATGCATGCGTCTGTGTGACAAAGCCATTTGCTTGACGACACGCTGGCACTACTTGGCACTGTACCTCTGCAGCGGCAGTGACCAGTGTTTATCCAGCCTTCCCCACAGGCTAGCTCATTTGTTTGGCATTTACTCCATATGATGAGTAGGGCGGCAGGATTCCTGTGATTCCCATTTTGCAGATCAAGAAACTGAGGCTTAGAAATGGAGGAGGACCTAAGGTCAGATGCCAGCCAGTAGCAACAATCACTTGATTTAATCCAGGCTTCTTTGCATTGCACACTGCTTTGCTTACTTTAATAGGACATGAAGAGTTCGGTTTTAGAAATTTTATACAGGGCCAGGTGAAGTAGCTCATACTTGTAATCCCAGCAGTTGGGAGGCCTAGGTGGGAGGATTGCTCGAGCCCAGGAGTTGGAGGCTACAGTGAGCTATGATCATGCCACTGCACTCCGGCCTGGGTGACAGAGCAACACCGTGTCTCTAAAAGAAAAAGCAAAAAAATAAAAAAGAAACTTGGTACAGGATTAAATCATAGATGATTAAAATAAGAAAATGGGAAGAAATTTCTAATGAACAGAAATGCAGTAAGGGGCTGGGCACGGTGGCTTATGCCTGTAATCCCAGCACTTTGGGAGGCCGAGGCGGGTGGATCACCTGAGGTCAGGAGTTCGAGACCAGCCTGGCCAACATGGCAAAACCCCGTCTTTACTAAAAATACAAAAATTAGCCGGGCGTGATGGCACACGCCTGTAATCCCAGCTACTTAGGAAGCTGAGGCAGGAGAATTGCTTGAACCCGGGAGGCAGAGGTTGCAGTGAGCCGAGATTGTGCCATTGCACTCCAGCCTGGGTAACAGAGTGAGATTCTGCTTAAAAAAATAAAAAAAAATAAAAAAATAAAGAAATGCAGTAGGGATGGGAGGTGAAAAATAAAAAAATAATCCAGTTACCATCACAACTGGATACAATACAGGAAGTTACACCTTAAATCAGTTGCCAAGAATAAAGCAAATCCTTGGTTTTGCATAGAGAGGTGAAGGATATCACCTTTATCCTGATGTTATTGTGTGTGGTGAAATGTAGTCAGGTAAGGCTTTGACTTTGGTGTTTAGCCAGCTTTTTTTTTTTGGGAGACAGTCTTGTTCGGTTGCCCAGGCCAGAGTGCAGTGGCGCGATGTTGGCTTACTGCAAGCTCCGCCTCCTGAGTTCACGCCATTCTCTTGCCTCAGCCTCCCGAGTAGCTGGGACTACAGGCACCTGCCACCATGCCTGGCTAATTTTTTGTATTGTTAGTAGAGACGGGGTTTCACCGTGTTAGCCAGGATGGTCTCAATCTCCTGACCTCGTGATCCACCCTCCTCGGCCTTCCAAAGTGCTGGGATTACAGGCGTGAGCCACCGTGCCCGGCCTTCGCCAGCTTTTGAGGTATTCATATAAACTATTGGAGGCTTTCTCTTGAAATCCCAGACTATGTTCAAATTGGTCCTAAAGAGAAGAAGTTCAAGTTTGCTTAAAATCCTAATGTAGATTATCTTAGGGTAAGAGAATCTAAAGAATAGGTTAGTGTATTAATTTGCCTGGGCTGCCATAAGAAAATACCACAGACTGGGTGGTTTATGCAGTAGACATTGATTTCTCCCAGTTCCAGAGGCTGGAAGTCCAGGACCGGGGTGCTGGCTGATCCAGTTTCCGGGAAGGGCTCTCCTCCCGGCTTGCAGATGCCACATTTTTGCTGAGTTGTCACATGGCATTTCTTCTGTGCATGTGTGGGGAGAGAGATCCAGAGAGAGAGAGGGAGGTGGAGAGCGAGCGTGCACAGGAGCTCTCTGGGTCTCTCCCCATAAGGACACTTATCCTGTGGCTCAGGGCCCCACCCTCATGACTTAATTCAACTTCAGTTACCTCGTTATAGTCCCTGTCTCTAGACACAGTCACGCTCTGGGAGAGGCCTTCAACATACGAATTTGAGGATACAGTTCAGTCTCGAATAGTTAGCATATCTTTTTCAACTCATCTTTTAACCCAAGGTAAACCCATGGATTTGTTTTAGGTTCTAGAAGTAAGAATAACCACATCCCCTGCCACCCTGACCCTTAGCATCTCGGGGGTCAGGGCAGTATGGGAAACAGGACCATGGGCTTTGGGGTGGCGCATGTCAGGTCCTGTCCGGGCTTCGACATTTACTAACACAGTGACCTGGGCAGTGTCTTCATCTGTAGAATGGGGTAATGTCAGAGGCCTCCATAGTGTTTGGGAGGCGTGATGAGGCCATCTGCGGAGTGGTTAGCAGGGAGCCCTGCCCGGCTGCTGTGTTCTTACCGTCGTTTTCCTGTGTGTCCTCCCCACCCAGATTTTCCACTGAGGCCATGAAACTATATAGATGGCATTTGTTGTCCTTTTATTCAGGTTAATATTACATCATCCTCCTCTCCCATGCTGCTATAATCTTCATAACCATCATTTTTAATGGCTGTATAATGTTTTGAAAATGATCTTTACTTAAAATTCTTATTAAAATTGCATATCTAAGTCAAAATTTCATTTATATGCTTGATCAAAATGTAGACTTGTTTGAGAGTATTCAAAATGTGTCACATCAGCTCACGCATACAGAAGTGATGTTCCTGGGTGTTCTGGAGGAGGGAGGAATGCTCTGGGGCTCACCACTTGCAGTTTAGGAACTGGTAACATTGATTTCTACTCTATTTACCAGCGTTTCTAATTGGAAAAGCTGCATTATACGAAGTTAAAACATTTACAGTGGTTCCTCAGGGCTTGCAGCCTGACAAATAAATCTCCTTCGCTCCCGACCCTTCTATTTCTGTCTCCTTTCAGAAGTGTTCCACACATATTCGAGTAGATTTATATAGACGTGTGTTAATATATTTCTTACTCCACCCCATTCTTTTAAAAATACAAATGAAAACGTAATAGTGTTACGTGCCCCTTTTCTCACTCAAAAAAAAAAAAGTATATATTTATGGAGAGCATGAGAACAGGTAAGATTTAGTATATAGGTATAATCATCTTTTATTTTATTATGAGGGTCAAAATGGCATAAAATCATCAAATTTTTAAGTAAAAATTCTGTTTTAAAAACTTGAGGTGCAATTCAAATAACAGACAATAAACTGTTTTGTGGTGGACAGTTCAGCGGCTTTTGGTACATTCACACTGCTGCACAACCCCTACCTCAGGTATTCCTCATGCAAAAGAATAGGCAGATATTTAAGCTTTGGGAGGAGTTTTTTTTAAAACAATAATTACATAATTGGCGAGTTCTTATTCTTAGAATCAAATGAAGAGGTAGCTCTGCTTTCGACCCTTCTAGACGCCCCATGGTGATACACTCTTCCATTAAGGAACTCAGATTCCTCCTGGGAGATAGGAGACACCAAATCCGTCCTTTTGTCCTCATGTGAGTTCTCTGGGGGCAGCTGGGCTGCTGAGAGTCTGTACCCTTACATGCAGGATGATTGAAGAGGCTGGGCTTACTTTGGGGAGCATGGCTGGCATAGGCCAGGCTGTGTGTCAGAGTCCATCATGCGGCTGTCATCCAGGACAGCCTAATTACCAAGTACCCTGGGTGCAGGGCAGCAGACTGGCCTCAGATTCCTGTGGGCAGGGGACAGTGGGCATCGGATATTTGATGAGCTTGTTTCGGCCAGATTCAGGCAGTGGATGGTGACTGGGCCATGTGGACAGGCTTTGGTGCCTGTCCGTGGCCTGGTCAGGAAGACCCATTGCATGGAGTGGTAAGGAGCTGTCAGGGACAGATTCTGGGGTGGGGTGGAACCAGAAGAGAGACACAGGTGACAAGAAAGCAAGGTTCCCATCTCTTCATTCATCCGTCAGACACGAGTAGGTGCCTGCTGTGCCAGGCCCTGTGCTGGACGGTGATGAGCACTTGAGTTGTGTGGCTTCTGAAGGCTGGCATTTGTGGGTGCATCTTGTCTCATGGGTGTGATTTCCATAGTGGGAGATGGGGCAAGCCTCTCTTAGGGAGGGACTCACTTAAGCGGAGAGTTGAGCGGAGGAGGCAGAGTGGAGTCTGAGTGGCGAGGGTGGCAGCAGCAGCAACAGTCACAAGCAACGGTCACAACGGTGTATCGAGCTGCGTGCTGAGCGCGTTGTGTGCAGTGCCCCTGCGATTCCTAGAGACTTACAGAGGCTCAGTGTCTGGCTCAGGGTCGCCCAGCTAGTGGAGCCAGCACTCGAGGCCAGGTGTGTCAGAGAGAGCCAGCATCCAGTCTGTCGCCCTGCAGGACTGATAGTTTCAGAAGAAGGCAGTGGTAGGAAAAGCCAAAAATGCAGCTGGGGTCTGTTCTTGGAAGGTCTGGCCCGCCAGGTGAAGGCATTCGATTTGAGGCAGCTGTGGTGCCATGAGAAAGCCACTGGAGATGGAGAGGAGGTGCTGAGATCCCGTGCTCAGATCCTGCCTCTGCCACCCTCAGACCGTCCAGCTACTTAATCCCGCCGTAGCCTCAGTTTCCCTACCAGTAAAATCAAGGAATTGGTCCAGGTGGTTGCCAAGGTCTGGAAATCTTTGTTCTGTGTGTAGTTGGGAGTCCCAGAAGGTTTTGGGCAGGGATTGGAATGATCAGAGCTGTGCTTTGGGGAGGTTAATCGGGCTTCTGGTGCTTTGTGATTATCCTGCTGTAGGGCTGGAAGTGACGTGGGGGTGACACTTTGAAATTCAGCAGCAGGTGAATTAGCTGTGCTCTGAGCTGTGGCTGTTTGGAACTCCCTCATGCCGTTTCTGGGTCTGGTGGCAGCTTCTGCTCCCCTGCCGCTGCCTCCTCCTGCCTGCTCGTTCCCTGGCACCAGCGCTGGCTTCTCTGCACCCCCTGTGGGCACAGCAGGCACAAGGATAATGAGGCTGTTTGGGTGGGCTTGTGGTGCTGAGGAGACACGGAGCACCCATGAATCATGGGGATCACAGTGGCCCAGATGTGAGGCTGGCATTTGAAGTTTGCAGGCTCTGGGGCTCCCACGGGTTGGTCACACTGTGGGCTGCCTGGCCTCACAGCCTCGTCAGCCACTCTTCCCACCCCTTTGGGGACACTGCCCACCCCTGTGGGGACTGCCGCCTTTCTGCTGGCTGTGTGTGGCTTTGGTTTAGCTCGATGGGGGTTTTGAAATGGGTTTTCCGTGAAGTTGATTGAGGAATTGGCAGAAGGCTCACTGTGTTTAGCGAAAATGGATTTTAGTTGAAGATGCAGCCAGGTAACTCAAACTTTGGGATGGCTTTACTGACCCTTGTTTTATTATCATACTTGTCAAATGTAGGGACTGCTATTCAGTTGACAAGAAAACGTTTCCTAATCCTCGTAAGCTTAAATTTGCTTGTTTCGACTTAATGTTAGCATTTATCTTTTTTGCTTTGGTTCTTTCAAGCCATTTGATGCTTCTTTTGACTCTTTCCATGCTGCAGTTGATCTTTGTGGCGTGTACGGTCTCTTTCCTGTTATTGATAGAGTCTGTCGTGTCCGGAGCTGTCCGTGAGGTGATTTATGCGGCCGCTGCTGCCCCTTGGTCCGCTCTTTGTCTCCCAGGCGGCTCCGCAGGTCTTTCTGTATGCAGGCCACTGCATTTCATTTGCTTCTTCCTTTACTTTAATGACCTTCTAGATCAGACCATTAAATACTTCACTAAAGTACACTCTTTTCTTCCATTTATTCATGGTTATTTCCTCAATAAAGTGTATATTGAATTCGTAAGACACAGATTTCCTTGTGTGTGCCTGTTCCATCAGAAGTCATTGAAACTTTTCTAGGCTTGGGGCTTCTGTGCTTGGAAATTCTGTCCCTATTACCTAAGCCACATATTAAAGAATAAGATCTATTTAGCAAAGTCATTTTTTGATCCTTAGTATGCGGCATTTAATTTACAGTTATTTTCAGTGAGATTTTAAATTTGCTTTGGCCAGTATGGGTGACTTCTCTGGAGAGGGAGAAATCTTATTTTTACTTTAACTTTTTATTGGCTTTTCCGTTTTCCCAGGGTAGAAGAAGAATGCTTTAATAATAGTGAAAATTATTTCTGATTATTTCATTCAATTACAATATGTAGTGAGCTCCTACCAGGCGAGGCACAGGGGACCCAAAGGCTTCTGCTCCAATGGAGAAAGAGATCTGCCGCAGATAATACGGTAGAACTAGGGAGGGTTAGGGCCCTTAAGCATATGTCAGAAGTTCCGTGGAAACACAGAGGAACGAGTAATGAATTCTGCTGGGGATTTGGCTGGGGGTGGGAGCAGGTGGGCCTTCAGGGGCCAGAATAGCTGCAGAGAAGTTATCCTGTCTGTGCTGGGCCCCGGAGGCTGAGCCACCTCCTCAGCCCAGGACTGGGGCAGGGGTTCCATGAAGGCAGGGGCACCTGACGGACAAGAAATCAGATCTAAAAATGCAGACAGTATTTGGGAAAGTGGCGTGGTTTGGACATCTGAATCTCTTTGTCAGACATAGGAGGCTGAGCCCTGGTGCTCCTTCCAGGAGCCTTGGTGGCGACCAGAAAGCTGTTGCTGGTTTCTGCCTTTCCGCAGCCCTTGCATAGTCAGCGCACACCCTGGCCTCTTCACCCACAGGCTGGCGTGGCAGGAGCACCAGCCTTACCTTCTTAGAGAATATTTACTTACATTCATCTTTGCTATTCTTAAATATTATTTAAAATTACAGATGGTCAGTGTTTGAAATTTAGAAACTACTGAGAGTAATAATAAGAAAAATAATAGAATCTAATGCTATGTGCCAGGTGTGGGGTGTGGAGTCCTTGATGTATATTTTCTTGATCATTTCTCACAGTAGTCCTGTGAAGTGGATGCTATTTTTATTCCTGTTTGACAGATGAGGAAACTGAGGCTTGAAGGGGTTAAGAAACATGCCTGACATTCCAAGATTTTGACGTCACAGAGCCAGGGCTCAAACTTAGGAATGTCTGAGTCCACTGGGCACAGGCTCTCCTGCCTGCTGTGCAACCTGCCAAGACCAGTCTCAGGAAGAAAGATAAAAACCCATGTAAACTACCACCCTGGATTCCCCAGGACGTTAAAAAAGCTGATCTTCTTTGTCTTTTTGTGAGGGCTGTGTGTGTGTGTTTTCCTTTTCACGTAGACTTGAGATTAAGCAGTGTATCTAATTATATATCTTCTTATATTTATTTTATTTTTAATTTTTTTTTTGAGATGGAGTCTCACTCTGTTGCCCAGGCTGGAGTGCAATGACAAGGTCCCGGCTCACTGCAACCTCCGCCTCACAGGTTCAAGCAATTCTCCTGCATCAGCTCCCGAGTAGCTGGGGTTACAGGCCGCTGCCACCACACTGGCTATTTTTTTTTTTTTTTGTATTTTTAGTAGAGACAGGGTTTCACCATGTTGGTCATGCTGGTCTCGAACCCCTGACCTCAGGTGATCCACCCACCTCACCCTCCCAAGTGGTGGGATTACAGGTGTGAGCCACCATGCCCGGCCTATTTTTACTTATTTTAAATAATGTCTTTTCCCATGACACTAACTTTCTTTGAAAACATGATTGTTCATGGCTTTATAATAGTTATCAAAATACATTCATTTCTTCCATTTGCTTGTAGGTGAAACATTTCTGAAGACATTCTATTATTTGGGTGTTTAAGTTGTTTCCAGTTTTGTTTTTGATGTTGTTTTTTATTTATTGTAATTACTAACCTGTGAGACACACCCCTGAGACATAACTCTTGAACACTTCCTTGTGTATTTCCATGGCGTGAGCCCTGGGGCGAGGACTCGGTGTTAAACAGAGCTGTGCGGCGGTCGCTTGTTCACTCGTGTTGTCTTGCTTGTCCCTGCGGTTCCCTGCTGGCCCCATGCAGTTTGATAGCCGCTGTTGACTTAATTACTCTTTGCCCTTCGTTTCCTCTGTATCAGTGTTTTTGAATTGAAGTGCCCCTGGGCACAGAGTCCTTTATTTGGACCTTTGGATGTTTTCTCGCTCAGAGTACGCAATCCTACTTCCCCTGTGTTTGATTTGCCAAGGTTTTTCTGCTTCAGACTTTCTAAATTCTTCAGAGGATTGGTGGGCAGTTCTAACAAGACGGTGCCCATTTCTCTTTCTAATTTATTCACTTGTTTGCTCACTCATGAATTCAGTCATTTGCTCATTGATTTGTTCACTCATTTACTCGGAAAATGTTTCTTAAGCATCTGCCTGGTGCTGGGCACTGACGATACAAAGATGTATTTGTGAGTGGTGCTCCCTGCCCTGTAGCAGCTCATCCATGTTGAGAGACCAGGCAAAACAGGAAAATTCCAGCTTTATGGCAAGGTGAAGGAAGGGGATGGGTGCCTGGACCTCCGTGGATGGGGCTTGTTTGGCTGGTGGGAGGATGGAAGATGGAGGGAGAGGGCCTGCGTGGAGGGGAGGCCTGCTGGTGGGTCGGGGGTGAGTGGAGATAATCGGCTGGAGCCCGTGGGGTATACCTGCGTGCGCCATGGGCAGGTAGGTCCCACTGCAGCCTTGGGGAGGGCTCTGGGGAACGAGAAGCAGATTGGATTTTACCCTGCAGGTGGTGTCATTTCCCTGCCTACAGTTCTTTAACAATCACACTCACACCCTTGGGATAGGGTCCCAAGCCTCTGGCCCTCTGGCTGCTGCGAGTGTCCTGGGAGCCTGCCCTGGACCTCCTGCTGCGGCCGGCCGCCTGCCTGCCTGCTCTTGGCGGCAGCTCCTCCTCTGCCTGCGGTGCTGTCCCTGAGCCTCCCCACTGGAAGCTGTCTGTGGCCCATGTGCCTCGTTCCCCCACACTTTGGTTTGGAGGGTATCACAGGGGCGGGATTGGGCTTGGTGCCGGGCCTGGCTCAGGGCCATGCTTGGTAATGATTTGGTAAACTGAAGAGTAAGCTCTGCCTGGAGCTGTGTTTACTCTTTCCCTTATCTCAGCCAAAAACTGTCCTTTTCAAGAAATTTACTGCCTTTCTCTAAGCACTGAATGAAGTTATTCTTTCCAATAAGATTAGGTAAATTCTGTGGAGGACTTGAAGGAGAACCAGTCCCATCAGAAGTCAGCCCAAGAATAGTACCATCTCAACAGCAGTAGATTTTATTGGGGCACATTGTGTGTGAGGCTCTTTGCTTTAGGCAGTGGAGTGAGGTGGGGAACAGTACAGGGAAGTTAGCCACGTGGTAGATGACAGGATGAGTCATGATTCTTTTTTTTTCTTTTTTGGGCTTTTCAGAGCCTTTTGATGCTTATGCATATTATCAATCCCCATGACCAAAATAAGATAGGCCACATTTCCTAACATTTGTCTACAGAGCTGCTTATTCACAGGCCACTTTAACATTTCACGGTCGTGGTGGTCTACAGGAAGCGGGTAGAGCTTGTGAAAACTGAAAACCTTATTCATGGGGTCATTCCCTCTGATTGAACCTCATTCAAAGGGTCATTCCCTCTGATTCCCTAATTATCAGATCTTAACATCTGAATTCTCTCAGTGTCCTTTTCACATAGGCAAAATGCTGATGTTCGAACATTAAAGACTTCCAGTAAAAAGAACATCTTGTATTGCACAGCTTAGAAAATTCTTTCTAAACTCATCAAGTTGTATACATTTAAGTAGGCACATCTTTTTGTAAGTCAATCGTATCTCAAGAGAGTGGCTTAAAATTTTTTTTTCCTTTTGGTTGTACTGGAATAGCTTTCTCTGTAACTTCTACCCATTGGCTGTAATAAGTGGGGCTGTATTGGATGAGTCCAATTCCCTATTCACATTGCTGTAAGTATATGAGGATACTAGGTTGTCCTTTTTTTTTTTCTTTATTCCTTCTAAAAAAAATCTGGGATACAGGTGCAGAATGTGCAGGTTTGTTACGTAGGTTACGTGTGCCATGGTGGTTTGCTGCACCTATTGACCTGTCACCTGTTGACCTGTCCTCTAAATTCCCTCCCCTCACCCGCCCACCAACGGGTGCTGGTGTGTGTTGTTCCGCTCTCTGTGTCCATGTGTTCTCATTGTTCAACTCCCAGCTATGAGTGAGAACATGCTATGTTTGGTTTTCTGTTCCTGTATTGGTTTGCTGAGGATGATAGCTTCCAGCTTCATCCATGTCCCTGCAAAGGACATGATCTCATTCCTTTTTATGGCTGCATAGTATTCCATGGTGTATATGTACCACATTTTCTTTATGTAGTCTATCATTGATGGGCATTTGGGTTGGTTCCATGTCTTTGCTATTGTAAATAGTGTTGCAGTAAACATATGTGTGTGCACGTATCTTCATAGTAGAATGATTTATATTCTTTTGGGTATATACCCAGTAATGGGATTGCTGGGTCAGATAGTATTTCTGGTTCTAGATCCTTGGAAAATCGCCATACCGTCTTCCACAGTGGTTGAACTAATTTACATTCCCACCAGCAGTGTAAAAGTATTCCCATTTCTCCGTAGCCTCACCAGCATCTGTTGTTTCCTGACTTTTTAATAATTGCTATTCTGGCTGGTGTGAGATGGTGTCTCATTGTGGTTTTGATTTGCATTTATCTGATGATCAGTGATGTTGAGCTTTTTTAAATGTTTCTTGGCCGCATAAATGTCTTCTTTTGAGAAGTATCTGTTCATATCCTTCTCCCACTTTTTGATGGGGTTGTTTTTTACTTGTAAATTTAAGTTCCTTGTAGATTCTGGATATTAGACCTTTGTCAGATGGATAGATTGCAAAAATTTTCTCCCATTCTGTAAGTTGCCTGTTCATTTTGATGATAGTTTCTTTTGCTCTGCAGAAGCTCTTTAGTTTAATTGGATCTCATTTGTCAATTTTGGCTTATGTTGCAGTTGCTTTTGGTGTTTTTATCATGAAGTCTTTGCCCATGCCTATGTCCTGAATGGTATTGCCTAGGTTTTCTTCTAGGGTTTTTATGGTTTTGGGTTTTACATGTAAGTCTTTAAGCCATCTTGAGTTAATTTTTGTTTAAGGTATAAGGAAGGGGTCCAGTTGTAGTTTTGTGCATATGGGTAGCCAGTTTTCCCAGCACCATTTACTGAAGAGGAGATCCTTTCCTCATTGCTTGTTTTTGTCAGGTTTGTTGAAGATCAGATAGATGGCTGTAAGTATGTGGTGTTACTTCTGAGGTCTCTGTTCTGCTCCATTGGTCTATATGTCTGTTTTGGTACCAGTACCATGCAGTTTTGATTACTGTAGCCTTGTAGTCAGGTAGCATGATGCTTCTAGCTTTGTTCTTTTTGCTAGGATTGTCTTGGCTATATGGGGTTTGATTCCGTATGAAATTTAAAATAGTTTTTTCTAATTCTGTGAAGAATGTCAATGGTAGTTTGATGGGAATAGCATTGAATCTGTAAAGTACTTTGGGCAGTATGGCCATTTTTACGATGTTGATTCTTCCCATTGATGAGGATGGAATGTGTTTTCCTTTGTTTATATTCTGTTACTTCCTTGAGCAGTGGTTTGTAGTTCTCCTTGAAGAGGTCCTTCACATCCCTTGTTAGCTGTATTCCTTGGTATTTTATTCTCTTTGTAGCAATTGTGAATGTGAGTTCATTCATGATTTGACTCTCTGCTTGCCTATTGTTGGTGTAAAGGAATACTTGTGATTTTTGCACATTGGTTTTGTATCCTGAGACTTTGCTGAAGTTGCTTATCAGTTTCAGAAGTTTTTGGGCTGAGCTGATGGGGTTTTCTAAATATAAAATCATGTCATCTGCAAACAGAGACAACTTGACTCCTCTCTTCCTATTTGAATACCCTTTATTTCTTTCTCTTGCCTGATTGCCCTGGCCAGAACTTCCAGTACTGTGTTGAATAGGAGTGGTGAGAGAGGGCATCCTTGTCTTGTACCAGTTTTCAGAGGGAATGCTTCCAGCTTTTGCCCATTCAATATGATATTGGCTGTGGGTTCATCATAAATAGCTCTTATTATTTTGAGATATGTTCCATCAATACCTAGTTTATTGAGAGTTTTTAACATGAAGGGATGTGATGTTGAATTTTATCAAAGGCCTTTTCTGTATCTGTTGAGATAATCGTGGTTTTTTGTCATTGGTTCTGTTTATGTGATGGATTATGTTTATTGATTTGCATATGTTGAACCAGCCTTGAATCCCAGGGATGAAGCCTACCTGATCATGGTGGATAAGCTTTTTGATGTGCTGCTGGATTTGGTTCGCCAGTATTTTATTGAGGATTTTCGCATTGATGTTCATCAGGGATATTGGCCTGAAGTTTTCTTTTTTTGTTGTGTCTCTTACCAGTTTTGGACTGAGGATGATGCTGGTTTCATAAAATGAGTTAGGGAGGAGTCCCTCTTTTTCAATTGTTTGGAATAGTTTCAGAAGGAATGGTACCAGCTCCTCTTTGTATTTCTGGTAGAATTCAACTGTGAATTTGTCTGGTCCTGGACTTTTTTTGGTTGGTAGGCTATTAATTACTGCCTCAATTTCAGAGCTTGTTATTGGTCTATTTAGGGATTCAGCTTCTTCCTGGTTTAGTCTAGTTAGGGTATATGCATCTAGGAATTTATCCATTTTGTCTGGATTTTCTAGTTTATTTGCATAGAGGTGTTTATAGTATTCTCTGATGGTAGTTTGTATTTCTGTGGGGTCAGTGGTGATATCTCCTTTATCACTTTTTATCGTGTCTCTTTGATTCTTCTCTCCCTTTTTCTTTATTAGTCCAGCTAGCCATCTATTTGTTCATTTTTTCAATAACCCAGCTCCTGGATTTGTTGATTTTTTGGAGGGTTTTTTGTGTCTCAGTCTCCTTCAATTCTTCTCTGATCTTAGTTATTTTTTGTCTTCTGCTAGCTTTTGGATTAGTTTGCTCTTGCCTCTTCTAGCTCTTTTAATTGTGATGTTAGGGCGTCGATTTGAGATCTTTCTGGCTTTCTAATGTGGGCATTTAGTGCTATAAATTTCCCTCTTAACACTGCTCTAGCTGTGTCCCAGAGATGCTGGTACATTGTCTCTTTGTTCTCACTGGTTTCAAAGAACTTTTTGATTTCTGCCTTAATTTCATTATGTACCCAGGAGTCATTCAGGAGCAAGTTATTCAATTTCCATGAAATTATGTGATTTTGAGTGATTTCTTAATCCTGAATTCTAATTTGATTGCACTGTGGTCTGAGAGACTGCTATGATTTCAGTTCTTTTGCATTTGCTGAGGAGTGTTTTACTTCCAATTATGTGGTCGATTTTAGAATAAGCGCCATGTGGCACTGAGAAGAATGTATATTCTGTTGATTTGGAGTTGAGAGTTCCATAGACATCTACGAGGTCCACTTGGTCCAGAGCTGAGTTCAAGTCCTGAATGTCCTTGTTAATTTTCTGTCTTGTTGATCTAATACTGATAGTGGGGTGTTAAAGTCTCCCACTGTTATTGTGTGGGAGTCTAAGTCTCTTTGTAGGTCTCTAAGAACTTGCTTTATGAATCTTGGTGCTGCTGTATTGGTTGCTTATATATTCAGAATAGTTAGCTCTTCTTGTTGAATTCTTCCCTTTATCATTATGTAATGCCCTTCTTTGTCTTTTTTGATCTTTGTTGGTTTAAAGTCTGTTTTATCAGAGACGAGGATTGCAACCCCTGCTTTTTTTTTTTTTTTTTGCTTTCCATCTGCTTGGTATATTTTCCTGCATCCCTTTATTTCGAGTCTGTGTGTGTCTTTGTGTGTAAGATGGGTCTCTTGAATACAGCACACTGATGAGTCTTTACTCCTTATCCAGTTTGCCAGTCTGTGTCTTTTAATTGGGGGCATTTAGCCCATTTACATATAAAGTTAGTATTGTTATGTGTGAATTTGGTCCTGTCATCATGATGCTATCTGGTTATTTTGCACACTAGTTGATGCAGTTGCTTCATAGTGTCATTGGTCTTTATATTTTGGTGTTTTTTTGCAGTGGCTGGTACCGGTTTTTCCTTTCCATATTTAGTGCTTCTTTTGGGAGCTCTTGCAGGGCAGAGCTCTGCAGTTTATCTGGTGGTAACAAAATCCCTCAGCATTTGCTTGTGTGGAAAGGATTTTATTTCTCCTTTGCTTATGAAGCTTAGTTTGGCTGGATGTGAAATTTTGGGTTGAAAATTCTTTTCTTTAAGAATGTTGAATATTGATTCTTTCTCTTCTAGCTTGTAGAGTTTATGCTGTTAGTCTGATGGGCTTCCCTTTGTGGGTGACCTGGCCTTTCTCTCTGGCTGTTCTTAACAGTTTTTCCTTCATTTTGACCTTGGAGAATTTGATGATTATGTGTCTTGCGGTTGATCTTCTTGTGGAGTATCTTAATGGTGTTCTCTGTATTTCCCGAATTTACATGTTGGCCCGTCTTGCTAGGTTGGGGAAGTTCTCCTGGGTAAATATCCTGAAGTGAGATTTCCAGCTTGTTTCCATTCTCCCCATCCCCTTCTGGTACTCCAGGCAATCGTAGGTTCGGTCATTTTATGAAGTCTCATATTTCTTGGAGGCTTTGTTCATTCTTTTTCATTCTTTTTTCTCTATTCTTGTCTGCATACCTTATTTCATTAATGTGGTCTTCAAACTCTGATATCCTTTCTTCTGCTTGGTCGATTCAGCTGTTGATACTTGTGTTTGCTTCACGAAGATCTCATGCTGTGTTTTTCAGCTCCGTCAGGTCATTTATGTTCCTCTCTAAACTTGTTATTCTAGTTAGCAGTTCCTCTCACCTTTTATCAAGGTTCTTAGCTTCTTTGCATTGGGTTAGAACATGCTCCTTTAGCTCAGTGTAGTTTTTTATTACCCATCTGCTGAAGCCTACTCCTGTCAATTTGTCCATCTGATCTTCTGTCCAGTTCTGTGCCCTTGATGGAGAGACACTGTGATCATTTGGAGGAGATGAGGCACTCTGGCCTTTTGGGTTTTCAGCATTTTTTCGTTGATTCTTTCTCATCTTTGTGAGTTTGTCTAGTTTCGGTCTTTGAGGCTGCTGACCCTTAGTTGGGGTTTTTTTTGGGGGACTTTTTGTTGTTGATGTTGTTGTCGCTTTCTGCCTGTTTGTTTTTCTTGCAATAGTCAGGTCCCTGTTCTGTAGGGCTGCTGCAGTTTGCTGGGGGTTCACTTCAGGCCCTATTCAACTGATTCACTCCCATGCCTAGAGATGTCACTCATGGAGGCTGGAGAGCAGCAAAGATGGGTGCCTCCTGCTTCTTCTGGAACCTCTGACCTTTAGGTGCACCAACCTGATGCCAGCAGGATCTGTCCTTTATAGGGTATCTGATAACCCCTGTTGGAGGGTCCCACCCAGTTGGGTGGCATGGGGAGCAGGACCCGCTTAATGAAGCACTTTGTCCCTTGGTGGAGAGGGTGTCTTTTGCTGGGGGAGAACCCACTTGTCTGGGCTAAGGGTTGGTGGGGGCTGAGGTCACCAAATGAAGGGGCCCTACTTTTGCTTGAATGGGGACCCTGGGCTAAGATCTAGGTGAGCTCCAGTATATGTGAGAATTGCCTGTCTCCTGGGGAGCTCCCCAAGCCAGAGACCCCATCATTCCTGGGTTGAAAACCACTATCCTAGGGTAAAGGACAGCAAGAGAGTCGGTGCTGGGACCATTCAGACCAATGTGGGTAACCTCTGCTGTCAGGAACCACAAGTATCCGGCTGCATCAGGCTTCTGGGAGTGACTGCAATTTGAAATCCAAAGCATCTTACTGTCTTCTTTGAAGAAATACACATGTAGGAGGCCGAATGAGGTATAAGGTTGAGGGTCCATGACAGTGTCTCTGTGAAGAATCCAAAAGCCAGGGCAACACCAAACTGTGGTGATTCATGGTGACCCACAGCCTTACAAATCTGATTTATTCAAAGGTGTGATATAGAAAAGTTTAGGCTTATATACATAATGCACGTTTATTATAGAAAAATTTGGAAAATATAGAACACTGCTGCAAAGAAATCGCCACGTGTGCATCACCAGCTCCATTCAGTTTCTGTTCTTCGTGTGGTTGATACTACTGTACCCTACCTGCCATTTGAGGTCCCCTGGGAAGGGCAGGCCCATTCAGGGAGGCCCAGGGCCCTGGGTGAGTTCTCAGGGCATGGGAAGCTGTGTGGCAGGTGCCCGCGTGGTGTTTGTGCCGTTGTCCATGCTGGGCAGGATGCAGACTGCAGTGTGGCTTGAATCCTGCCTCACCACTTACGGGGAGGATTCAATGAATTCATGGAAGGCAGGGTCTTAGAATAGTGCCTGGCACGTGGGCAGTACTTAATAAATGTTAGCGATGCTATTGAGTTTTCTTCTCATGGTCACTGCTGGGTCTGCTCTGCCTTCTCCGGAACTCTTGATGTAATTTAATCAGCTCACAGCACTTCTGGGGTAAGAGCCTGCTGCGTGCCACATGCCGTCACAGGAGCCGGGAGTGCGGCCGTGACCAGGACCAGCAGGTGCTGCACACGCACACCTGACCCCATCCGCACACAAGTGGGATGGACAGTGGAGCTGTGATTCAGATGATGCAGGACCATGGTCTGGGGCAGCACCACCCAGGGCGACAGTGCCAGCCCGGGTGTGATTTAAAGTGTCCCTGTAGCCGTGGTAAGGAAGTAGCAAGCAACAGGTGAGATGAGTTTTAGTAATACATTTTATTAATATAATATATAAACTATATCACCATAACACGTTATAAATTCAGTATATAATAGATATAAAAACTGTCAATGAGATAACTTACACTCAGTTTTCTGTACTAAGCCTAGAGTGTGTTTCCTACTTAGAGCGTCTCTCAGCTGGACCACTTTTTGGGTGTCCTGTAGCTTCCGTGGCTCGAGGCTCCTGTGTTGGACGGTGCAGGGGTGAAGAAGGGGCTGCTTATGAAGGTGATTTGGATGGTCATTCTGATGGGGTGACAGTGAAGCGTAGACCCAAAGGATGAGAGGAGATAGCCACCTGATGATTTGGGGGCACATAACCCTCTAAGGAGGGGTGTGTGGGGATGAGCTTGGTGTGCATGTGGTCCTTCTCCAAGAAGGCCGCTGTGGCTGCAGTGAAGTGAAGGTGGAGCTTGGAGGCGAGCGAGGAGGGAGGGGAATCAGAGCTGCATCCTGCAGGCCCCTGAGGGCGGTGGAAGGAGGTCACATTCCATGCTAGTTGTGGTGGAAAGCCAGTGGAAGGTTTGAGCTGGGGCTGGCGCGATTCGACTTAGGCTTTCAGAAAGATCCCTGTGGCTTTTCTGTGGAGGTAGGAAGACCAGTTAGGAGGGTGGTGGCTGGAGTCGGTGGAGGTGGAGGAGGTGATGAGAAGTCTGGGGTTTGAGGGGGTGTATTTTAAAGCTGTGGGGAGGAGGCTTGTTGAGGGACTGGGTGTGAAGGATGAGGGAAGGAGGGCCATCAGGAGTGGCTGTTGAGGATGGGGCAACTTGGAGAGGAGCAGATTTGGGGAGAAAAGAGACGGAATTTGGCTTGGGACATGTAAAGCCTGAGGTGCCCTGAGCCATCAGTCAGGGTGTCAAGTGGGCAGCTGGACACAGGTGTGTCTGTAGTGATCTGTAGCCGAGGCAGATGCCAGGATGGGGACGTGGGGTGTGGATGCTGGAGTTACATTGAGACCTGGCCTGCCCAGCATTCTTTTTCATGTGCTGATCTGCTTGGGTCAATACATTTTTAATTCTGCAAAGAAGGGTGGTGCCTGTGTTTTCCCTTAACGCAAGGCATTTGCGTGTGCAGCAGGCGTCAGTGGAGTTTTGGAGTGTCAGGGATAATGTAATAGTTATGTAATAACTTAAAATCGATGACTAAACATCCACGTTCCCCCCAGAGAAATTCCTTTTGCCACCAGGAATTTCTTAGAGGTGCCTTTTTCTTCCTGGGGGTCTGAACCCCGCCGTGCCCATGCCTGTGCTGTGTTTCCTCTCTGCAGGGGCCCAGCTCCCCTCACCAGCACAGGGGACCCGCAATGGCTCTGCCTTTGGAATCTGCCCGTCTCCCTTTACCAGGAGATGCAGAGAACTTTGTTCTCTCCCTTCATATGAATTATATAATACCCACTTGCCAAAAAAGATTACAGTGAATTGTTTTTTTTCTTTTGAGACAGAGTCTCACTCTATCACCCGGGCTGGAGTGCAGTGGCACGATCTCAGCTCACTGCAAACGCTGCCTCCCAGGTTCAAGCGATTCTTGTGCCTCAGCCTCCCAAGTAGCTGGGATTACAAGCATACACCACCATGCCTGGCTAATTTTTGTCTTTTTAGTAGAGACGGGGTTTTGCCATGTTGGCCAGGCTGGTCTCGAATTTCTGGCCTTAAGTGATCCACCCGCTTTGGCCTCCCCAAAGTGCTGGGATTACAGGTATGAACCACCACACCCAGCCTAAACTGAATTGTTTTAAATAAAAATTGCCCTCACATATTGCATATGTAATATGAAAAAACGTTTTTCAAACAGAAGTTCACCTGGGTGATGAGACACTGTGGTGGTCTTCTTTTTTTTTTTTTTTGAAACGGAGTCTTGCTCTGTCGCCCAGGCTGGAGTACAGTGGCGCCATCTCGGCTTACTGCAAGCTCCATCTCCCGGGTTCACGCCATTCTCCTGCCTCAGCCTCCCGAGTAGCTGGGACTGCAGGTGCCCACCACCACGCCTGGCTAATTTTTTGTATTTTTAGTGAGATGGGGTTTCACCGTGTTAGCCATGATGGTCTCGATCTCCTGACCTCGTGATCCGCCCACCTTGGCCTCCCAAAGTGCTGGGATTATAGGCGTGAGCCACCACACCCAGCTGGTGGTCTTCTTTTAACGCTAAACTGTGGCCCTTTGTGTGACTGGATGTTCTTCTGCAAGCCGACATTCGGTACCAATGTGGGGTTCCATTGTTTGGCTGGGCCACACTTTCCTGGCCGCCCCTGTTCTCCATTTGTTTCTTCCAAGTTTTTCCCATTAAACACTGCCTCAGATATCTTAGTACTCACATCTTAGCTCTCATCTCTGGTTATTTTCTTGGGATAATTACTCAATGTAAAATTATTGTTTCCAAAGATATGCCTATTTTTAAGACTTGATCAAGTTTTCTTTTTTCACATCTTATGGGCCATCTGTGTTTCTGCTGTCAATTTCCTGAGCGGATTTTTCGCTGATGGTTTTGTCTTGTCCTAGTGTGTTTGGGAGAGGGCTTTTCGTGTCCTGGTGTCCTGGAAGGTGGATGGGATGCAGGTGGAGCTTGGGCACCCAGGGCTCCTGTGAGGCTCAGCAGGGCCAGCCTGGGTGGAAGCGAGGTCCCGGAGACTGTCCCGGAGCTTGCTTGAGTGCTATGGTCCTACAAAGTGAAGTGTTGTACCCATTTTAGAGATGAGGACATGAGTTTCAGAGGGGTGACTGGACAATCCCATAGCACCCACGCAGCAGAGTCAGGATTTGAACCTGGGCAGACGCTTGCCCCATCCAGAGTGAAACTTGTGGACGCTGTGCAGGACGGTTCCTGGCTTGCAGTCAGCACTCAGATAGCTGTTGAATGAATACACGAAAACGTAAATCTGGTTTTAGTTTCCGTTTTTTTTTTTTTGAAAGACAGATTAGCTCACTGTAAAATCTGTTTTTCTTCCTTTGCCAGGAAGCCATCAACAGAGACTCTTTCCTCTATCCTGTTGTAGAGTTGATTGACAGGGTTCTTTGTGCCTGGAAAGCAAATTATGTTAAAATTATCTTCACGACCTATTTATAAGTGCCACGATTCCTCAGCACTCTTTGGTTATAATCTGTGTCCTCAGGTGAGTGGGGTCTCCCGGGTCCCATGGCGCCCCCTGCCTGTTCAGGTCAGGCTTCTAACTTACCTTGGAGAGTGCTCTGCCCGCCGTCACCACGCGATGGTGTTGTGACCTCACGTGGGGCAAGTCATGCAGGCCGAGTCGGCGTTCCTGAGCTCCCATGCAGCGAATGCATCACCTCGGGAGAAAACTGTGTTCAATGTCCTCTTAATGACGTTGGCATTTTCACCATCGGTGCAGCTTGTGTTTCTAAAACATGACTACCTCACCCACATTGCCTATCCCTAAGGCATTTCAGCCACCCAGAGCCCCTTCGGAATCTGCTTTCCTTTCTCACGGACTTACCTTTTGAACATGCGTGTACCAAATGGTATTTTATAAGTCGTAGTCTTCTCGTATCAAAACGAGTCCTGGCCGCCAGCAGAACGTCTGATCAGCCTAGGTGATCGGCCTGCCCAGAGAGAGCTGCTGTCATTTCCACTTGAGGATGCGTGTGGGCTTGGTCACTTTGTGCAGCCTGGTGGTGTGAGTGAGGTCTCAGCCTTAGGTGGGCTTCTGAAGGGTGACCTATGACTCCTCTCTTCTCTGAGAGTACCTGGGTGGAGCGTACTGGGGTCCCAGGATGATGGATGATGGGCCACTTTCTACTGGGGCGGGCAGTGAAGACTTCATCTGGAGGTGCTTGTCTTATCCGCAGGGACTGTCTGTCTCAACCACGTGAGCAGCGTTAAGGCCGCTCTGCAGCTCTTTGTGCGGATATATGGCATGGGTGCTCCCCTTTGTGCTCCCCACCCTAACACAATCTCAAGTGTTGTTAGGCCTGTGCGTCGTGCAGTGTAATTTCCCCACAAGGTGTCACTGCAGATTATTCCCAGGACTTTCACGCCCCAGGGACTTCCGTGTGCCATTGACTAAGATTAGAAGCATCTTGAGGCCAGGGGGCTGCTCCACACTCCCGTGCCTTCCAACACAGCAGAGGTTCTGGTGCAGCGTCAGGACTCCAGTGGGATTTTTCTTTTGTATTTGAGAGAATGGATGGAGGTGGGATACATTTGCTCAGCATGATTTCTCACCCACGGATTAATAAATATATGTAAGTGTGATAAAGTTAAAAAATGGAGGCCTCATAATTCTGCAGGAAGAAAGACAAAGGAATTAAAGATTGAAAAGGCAAGAAGCCTTTGAAGCAGCCTGTTGTCCTCTTAGTTGTTCACATTCTGGTTCTAACAACATGTCCACTTGAAGAACTACCTGGGCCACTGCGAGATGTTTGTCACTGTGAGATGTTTGTCTGTTGCATTTCTCTACCCACTCCCACGGCCTGTCCTGGAGTTCACACTCTCCCTGTCTCTGGCCTGGGCCGCTTTGGGAGTCTCCCGTCTGGCCCAAGGGCGTCCAGCTTACCTCTTCCTGCCCGTCTCCCACAGGAGATCTTGTTAGAGGCCAGTCTGCTTACCTGAGCTTCTGCTTTCAGATCCTTGGTTAGCCTCCTGCATGGAGCTCAGAGTCCAGACTCCTCAGCCTGGGACAGGAGGCCACACCTCTCACCACCTCCCACTTAGGCCTTCTCCCACCCTCCTGTCTCTGTTTGGACTGTTCTCTGCCACCCACTGTCACTCTAGCCACATGGGCTCATCTCTGCTCTTCAGGTGAGCTGTGCACATGTGCACACACAGATACACGCCCTCACGTTGAGCGCTCATTTCCTTTGTGCCTGGTGCTGTTCTTAGTACCTCATGGGTCTTATTTCATACTTGAAACGACCTACATGGCAGGTTCTATATTGTCTGTTTCAGATGAGCTAGAGGCACTGATACAGTAAACAAAGTCCTTAAGGTCACACACTCTCCAATGTCACAGGTCTGGGATGAGAGCCCAGATGTGTCCCCCACCCCCTCCACATTTCTGCTGGTGGTCAGGGGTGGGGGTTTCCCTGCTTCGCTTCTGTGCATTCTCCAAGTGTCGGATCAAATAGCACCTCCTCTTTGTGGCTCTTTTTTCTTTGACTCTTCTCTCTGTCCTTACAAAATTAATTGTGCAGTAATCAAACGCATTGTTTCATAGTTACTTGTGGCCTGGGCTGTGAGCCCTCAGGGTAGGGGTGCATCTTATTCATCTTCAGGTTCCGTGGTTCAGGGCACATATTACGTAGGTACCTGGTGAAATTAGGTAATGTTTGGGATGTCTTGAAAATGTATGTTGTGGAACTCACCCCCTTCATGGCCTGGTGAGTAGGGGTTTGTGAGGGATGGTCCTGTTGTTGCTTCTCTCTTCCTGTGCTCCCTGATGCTCCTGAAGTCACCTCTGCTTTTGCTGCTGATTAGAGACAGAACTCTTCTAACCGACTTACTAGCACGGAGAGAATACATCTGCTTCACATTGCTGCCAAGTTAATACTGCATCTGGGAAGGCCAGAGAAAAACCAAGTTAAGAGAATCTTACTGCATAATTTATGAAAGACTGAGTCATAAAATAAGCATTTACAGTGGCCTGTTTGCCCAAGGTAGGGAATGCTAATGCAGCTATTATTCATCCCGATGGGGCCAGCGGCGTTTCTATGCCTCCAAAAGGTCTTCTGGCTCTTAGTTGCCTCCATGGATTTCTGAGGTTATCTCTAGCCTTTGTTTCCAAAATTGGCTCTTTTCCTGTTTGGGGGCCGGAGGTTTGGAGTTCAGTGCCGCGTGAAACAATTTTGTAGGAACTGTGTGTGTTGATATTTCTAAACAATGGAGGTCGTAAAGAAAAAAATCCCAAGACACCAGATTCAGTGCCAGCTCAGTACTAGGCACCATGAAAGGAGCAGGGGTACACAGGGAAATGAGACTGGCTTTGTTCCCAAGGCGCTGTGCTCGGCGAGAGACAGAATGTCTGCCTGGTGCTGTGAGCGCAGAGCCCTGGGTGGGGAAAGGATCTGAAGTGGAGACATTTCCCAGTTGCTGATGGTACAGCAGGGCTGGAAGGGTGTGGAGCTGGGCATAGGTATTGTGGGCATCAGGCGTGCCGCACCCAAGGCGGGAATGCATGGGGACGCTGAGGCGAGTGACTGGAGGCAGGCTGGCATGGTGGATGGTCTGCTTTCTGAAGGCTTGTGGTTGCCAGGCCTGAGAGTGACTGCTCATCGTATGTGACTTCTCTCCACTCACACTACTTCCCATCACCCTTCGAGCCCCTGGAGGGTAGGGCCCTATTCTCAATAAATGACAGATCAGTGATTGCAGTGTTTCCAGCAGCCCTCAGATCTCCCAGGGCTAGAAATCGCAGGGCGTCATGTTGCATGTAGGCTGCAAGCTGTGAGCAGCTCTGTGTGTGTCCTCATTCCAGCCCTGGCTGGAAAGTGCAGTCTGTCTGGGACCGCTCCCATGGCACAGAGCAGAAGCAAAGGGCTGGTGGAAGGTCCCAGTGCCTCTTTGAGCTTTGCCAGGACAGTGTGTGTCACATCACTTTCCGTGGGCCAGCTGATGGCACAAGGCCAAGCCCAACATCAATGGGCAGGAATGTATAATCCTTTTACAGGGAAGTGAATCTTCAAGAACAGTGATACAGGCTGCTACTCAGAGCACTTGAAGGATTTGAATCTGGGAAGTAATGTGATCCTATTTATAATTTTTAGAAAGTTCATTCTGGTGCAAGTGGCCTGGAAAAGTGCAGATAGATTCAGGGTCAGCGTAGGTGGGAAATACATTTATAGCTGCCTGTGCCGAGCGGGCTCTGGGCAGAGGGTCAAGCTGTTGGAGTGGGGATGCTGAAGAAAGAAAAGCTTTAAGAGGTATCTCCGAGGAAGATGGAGTCAGAGAATCTAGTGACTGGTGGTGTGAGGGAGCCTCAGGGTCCCAGTGAGTCATGCTGGGCATTGGAGTCACGGTGGATGACAGTGACCTCATCTAAGAGGACACGAGAGGAAGAGCAGATTGGGCAGGCCGAAGGCATTTGATGTTGGCCACTGGGTCCTGGCACCATGAGAATGGAGGTGTTGGTGGACGAAATCACCCAGTGGGCTCTTGTCAGGCAGGAGCAGAGAGCATGGACAGAGCCCACCCCTGACATTTCCATAGGAGGGAGGATGCTGACGTGGAGGACCTCCTGTGTGTCTGACATTGTTGCAGGAGTCTCTGTAGAGTCTCCTGTTGGATTTCCAGCAACTCTCCAGAGTAGATTCTCTTTACCACTGTTTCGTTTAACGGTTGTGGGAACCGAGGCCCACAGAGGTCAAGATACCTGCTCCAAGGTCATCCAGCAGATGAGCCTGAACCTGCAGTAACTCCCGGACTCGGAGCACAAGCACGTGGCTTGTGTGTTCCTTCTCAAGTAGGACCACTCCTGGTGTCCTTTGGTTCAAGATCATATCTAGTATATAATGAAATTTTGTTTTATGCAGTTTTTCAAGTGAGTTCACACCCATGGTCTGATTGAAAAAGTAATTAGTATTCCTATTAGAGCTTACCAAACAATCCCCTGATACGTGAGCATCCACAGAGGAACAGAGCAGCACTGTGTTTGTGATCTTTGATTTATAGCTGCCTGTGCCCAGCGGGCTCTGGCAGAAGGCTATAAATAAAATTAAAATAAATGGAAACAATGCACCTATAAATTGGGTTGCAGGAACCTCCAATTACCTTTTAGAGGAAATCCCCAATAAAATGCTGTTTGGCAATCCGTTTGAAAGAGAAGGAGCGATAGATCATCGTGGCGAAGTCAGGAAAGTGAAGGACAGGATACAATGTTGGAATGTTTCAAATATTAAAATTAGCTGATTCCAGTGAATTGCTGTTTGGTGTTATCAATGTTGGAAGGTCCTTTCCCCCCTCATTATTATTGTATCTTTCCAAGTGGGATAAAAGCCATCAGTTGCAAGTGCAGGATTTTAGGGAGGCAAGTCAGTATTTCTCTTATTCCTTTTGTTTTTTGAGTCAACTTCTCGGCTTCATGTTCTGGAAAATGGTGGGGGCCCAGCAAGAGGCTGGGTTTGGGCAGGATGTCTGGCCTGATTTTGCCCTTGTATCTGAGAGACAGTCCATGCATCATGGCAGGGAAGGGCCAAACTGGAGACCAGGTGGCCATGGGGCAGATCCAGAGCGGGAGCTGTGGGCCTGTGTGTGGGGAAGTCACGTTGTCTCTCTTTAGAAATCTTGTTATGCCCTTCTTAATTGTGTCCCAGAAAGTTATGATTTATGGAAAAGAGTACGTTTTCTTTTAAAATATGTTGGCTGGGGCCGGGCGCAGTGGCTCACGCCTGTAATCCCAGCACTTTGAGAGGCTGAAGTGAGTGGATCACGAGGTCAGGAGTTCGAGACAAGCCTGGCCAACATGGTGAAACCCTGTCTCTACTAAAAATATAAAAAGCTGGGTGTGGTGGCGGGCACCTGTAATCCCAGCTACTCAGGAGGCTGAGGCAGGAGAATCGCTTGAAACAGAAAGGCAGAGGTTGCAGTGAGCCGAGATCGCGCCACTGCACTCCAGCCTGGGCAACAAGAGCGAAACTCTGTCTCAAAAAAGAAAAATAAATAAAATATGTTGTCCACATAAAATATTTTAATAAAAATATGTAAAATACATTTATTCTTATTCTGTGGAAATAAATGATAATTATTTGGCTGATGTTTGGATATCTGGTGCTAACAAGCCACTGAAGTCATTGGCCAGCGACATTCTCACTGGTCAGACTTTGGCCAGCAGGCACTGGAATGCGCTTTCTGTCACCTGGCTTCCACTTGGCTCTGTGGAATGTGAGGAAGAAGGGATAGAACAGGGACAGGGAAGGGCGGATGGTGTCCATCCCCAGCTAAGCTGCATGGGGATTCCTCTTGGAGACTGAACATGAGTGTCAGCAGAAGCCTGTAGAGCACAAAGCATGTATGCATTCTGAGGCCCTGTCCGCCTGGGCAGCTCCAGGAAGAGGCAAGGTTAGATCTCTCCTGACTAGGAGGCCCAGCCTCAATTAAAGCTGTGATTTGAAACTTTCAGGTTAGTGGGAAGATACATATGAGTTAATCTCTTTCTATTTAAGTCTTAATTTTATATATGTGATGACTAGGCAGTGTTTAGAATCTTTGTTTGCTGTGTGTCAATGCACTAATGTGACTTTTAACTTATTGGACCATACTTATAGGAAGCTTAAGTTGTTTGGACTGAAGGTTATAGCTCAGGCCCTATTATAAACCTACTTGAATTGTAGGTGGGGGATGCTCAATTAGACCAGCTCATGGTAACTGCTAAGCTACCTGTCACCACTTGAGGGCCTTTCAAGATCGGCAGTTAGAAACCAGCATGGCCGGCCGGCTCCTTGCATTGCAGGCACAGTGGCTTCTCCTGAGTCCCACGGCACATTCTTCTACTGGGCTCAAGCTGCCTTGCCTGAAGGGCTTTGTGCTACTGTCCCTGTCCTTAAGGTCTTCATGACTCGTGGGGGTGATAAGACTCAAGCCAGCAACTGAGAAAGGACGAATATTCAAAGGAAGGGAGGAACACATCTGGCTGGAGTGATCAGGAACATTTTTAAAGGAGAAGGTGACAACTGAGCAGAGGAGCTTGGTCTTGAAGAAATGGAGAGATGGGATAATATTCCAGAAGAAGCAATGGAGTAAAGTTGTGAAGGTGGTTCCAGAGCAGTGAAAGGTCTAGTTTCCCTGGAGCCTTGTCTTTGGGTAAAACTGCAACTGCATGCCAGCCTACTGATACCTGAGTGCTGATAAACAAAGGCGTTTTTGTGGGTTGAAGCAACCATAGGCCAGGGTGCAAGGACTTGTCAGGAGAGAGGAATTGGGTTTTTGTTCCCATTTGGTCTCTCTGCCAGATGCCTTAACATTTTAAAAGTCTTTTCTTTCCATTTTCTTTTTCTTTTTTTCTAGAATTCTTATTCTTCTCAACACTTTTATTCGTAGCATTTTCTTATTTAAATTGTATTTGGACCCTCTATATCCCTAGCCTCTGAAGTAGACTCAACCCCAGCCAAAAGGAGCAGGTGCAAAGCTCAAATCCTGATTAAGAGGAATGAATACAGACTGCTGGGTTGACTAAAATAGGGAAGAGACTCAAGGGTATAAGGAAATACCAGAATAAAAAAGCACACTGTGGCAAATGATGTCAGAAAGATGGTGAAATAGGAGTTTTCAGCCCTCATCCCCCCCAGCAGTAATACTGATTTTGACAAATGCCCACAGGTGAGAGTACCCCTGTGGAGCACAGGAGTACAAGTGCAGAGGTCTTAGCAGTCTTGTTGGAGAAAATCACTCAAGAATAGACACACTGAAGAGGGTAAGAAGAAGAGTTTCACTTATCCATAACACCCCTCCCTGAAGGCAGCATAGCTCAGTGCCAACTCCCTTGGTTCTTGATTTCTCTCAAAAGGGAAGGTGAGAGCATAGTGAACACCCAGTGACCCCAGCCATGTGGGATGCTCTCCAGCAGGCCCACTCCTTTCTCATCCCTTTCAGAACACTGAGTGGATCAGCATGACTGAATAGTTTGGGAGCAACTAAGAGCAAGGAAAAGGGGCTGGGACTGTCAGTAGTCAGGGCATGGAACTCAACAAAGGGCTACAGTTTCTACTAACTGCCTTGTGGACTTCACTAAGAGGCTAGTCCACAAATTTCATAGGATCTGTTTGCTGCAGACACCCCCACCTAGCCCACATATGCCTCCAGCATTCTGTATGCCTCCCTTCCTTGGCAGCTGGCACAACTGCACCCCTGTAGACAGCACGTGAGCCTCTGCAGATTGTGTACAAGCAGACACAGACAGCTGGCTTGACTTTCCTATATTGAGAGAAAGAACTTAACCTTAGACACTTCTGAGCACTGCCCTAAGGAAAAATAAATGGAAGCTTCGTGACACCTGGCCTGGCTTTGTGGGATTGAGATAAGGTATAGAATCCTAAGACTTACCCCCAAATAGGGAACAAGAGGAGTGGAGTGGGTACATTAATAGGAAAGGTCTGAGAGGCTCCCAGAATTCCTAGTCAGGCTGATTGGAAGATCTTTCTCTTCTGAAGCCAGTCAGTAAAGACTGGGGAAAGTGACTGTTACTTCAAATGCAAAGACAGCAATGCAAGACTTAACATGAAAAGTCAGGGAAACATGACCTGACGAAAAGAACATTATAACTTTTCAGTAACTGATCCCAAACAGATGGAGATCTACAAATTTCCTGACAAAGAATTTAAGACAATTGAGAAAACAGACAACTCAACAAAATCAGGTAAATAATATATGAACAAAAATGGGAAGTTCAACAAAGAGAGAAATCATAAAAAAGAACCAAACAAATTCTGGAGCTGAAGAATACAAAGACTGAACTATGAAATGCAATTGAGAGCTTTAACAACAGACTCTAACAAGCCGAAGAATCAGTAGGCTCAAAGACAGGTCATTTGAAATTACCCAATTAGAAAATAAAAAAGCATGAGAAAGAGAGAAGAAAGTCTGTAGGATTTATGGAACAACATTAAGCAAAGCCATATACGCATTATGTGAATTTCAGAGGGAGAAAAGAGAGAAAGGGGCAGAAAGCTTCTTTAAAGAAATAAGAACAAAAAATGTCTTAAATCTGGGGAGAGAAATAGCCAGACTCAAGAAGCCCATGGGACCCCAAACAGATTGAATGTGAAAAAGTCTATACTGAAACACAATATAATTAAACTGTCAAAAGTCAAAGACAAACAGAATTTGGAAAGCAGCAACAGAAAAGCAACTTGTCATATACAAGAGAATGTCCTAAGACTATCAATGGATTTCTCAACATAAACTTTGTATGTCAGGAGTGAATGGGCTGATATATTCAAAGTAATGCAAGGAAAAAAAAAACCTGCCGACTAAGAATACAATACCCAGCAAAGCTGTCCTAATGAGGGCAAGAGTTTCCCAGACGAAAGTGGTGGAGATTCATTACTGCTAGACCTGCTTTAAAAGAACTATGAAAGGGAGTTAAATTTGAAATGAAAGGATGTTAATTAGTAACATGAAAACCTATGAAAGTATAATACTCACTGGCAAAAGTAAGTATGTAGTCAAATTCAGAATACCTCAATATTGTAATGATGGTGTGTAAATCACAGTTAACGCCAGTATAAAAGTTAAACACCAAAAATATTAAAATAACTGTAGCTACAACATTTAGTTAATGGATATACAAAGATGTAAATTAATTATGGTATCAATAGCAAAATGTGCATGTGTGTATTTGTAAGAGAGAGAACTAAAAGTATAAAGTTTTTGTGTGCGATTGATGTTAAGTTGTTATCAGCCTAAAATAGATGGTTAGCACTATGCATTTTGTAACACTATTCTAAGCCTCATGGTAACCACAAAGAAAAAACATACAGTTGATATGGAAAATATAAAGAGAAAAGAATCAAAGCATGCTATTACAAAAAAAAAATCATCACAACAGAAGACGGCAAGAGAGGAGGAAAGAAACAAAAGAGCTATAAAACAATTGCAAAACAACAACCTGGCCATAGTTAAGTCCTTACCAATCGGTAATTACTTTAAGTGTAAATGGATTAAATTATCCAATCAGAAGACAAAGAGTGACTGAATAGATTAAAAAAACAAGATCCAACAATATACTGCCTATAAGTGACTCACTTTAGTTTTAGTGACACATAGGCTGAAAGTGAAGGGATAGAAAAAGATATCCCACACCAATGATAACAAAAGAGAGCAGGGGTGACTATCTTTATATCAGGCAAAATAGACATTAAGTTAAAAACTGTCACAAGAGGTTGGGTGCAGTGGCTCATGCCTATAATTCCAGTGCTTTGGGAGGCTGAGGTGGGAGGATTGCTTGAGGCTAGGAGTTTGAGACCAGCCTGGGCAACATAGGGAGATCTTGTCTCCTAAAAAAAAAAAAAAAAATTAGCGGGGCATGGTGGCACGTGCCTGTAGTCCTAGGTGCATATTTGATGTTAACGTGAACTATGATCACACCCCTGGGTTCCACCCTGGGGGACAGAGCAAGACCCTGTCTCAAGAAACAAAAAAAGTGTCACAAGAGACAAGGGCATTGTATAATGATGAAGGGGTCAGTTCATCAAGAAGATATAACAATTGTGAATATATGTGTATCCAACATTGGAGAACCTCAATATATAAAGCATATATTAACAGAATTTAAGGAAGAAATAGCAATACAATAATAATAAGGGATTTCAGTACTGCACTTTCAAAAATGGATCAATCATCCAGACAGAAAATCAGTAAGGAAACAGCAGACTTGAATAACAATATGGACCAAATGGACCTAACAAGATATAGACAGACCATTCCATCCAACAGCTGTAGAATGCACATTCTTCTCAAGTCATAAGGAGCATTCTCCAGATTAGATCATTTATTGGACCACAAAACAAGTCTTAACAAATTTAAGAGGATTGAAATAATATCAAGAATCTTGATATCACACAATGGTGTGATACTAGAAATAAAAGGAAGAAAGTTCACAAATACGTGAACAAGACACCCCTAAACTACCAGTGGGTCAAAGAGGAAATTAAAGGGAAATAAAAAGAAATCTTGAGGCAAATGAAAATGGAAATACAGCATACCAACACTTCTCAGATACAGCAAAAGTAGTTTTAAGAGGAAAGTTTATAGTGATAAGTGCCTTGTTAAGAAAAAAGATTGCAGGCAGGGCTCAGTGGCTCACGCCTGTAATCCCAGCACTTTGGGAGGTCGAGGCAGTGGATCACGAGGTCAGGAGTTCAAGACCAGCCTGGCCAAGATGGTGAAACCCCATCTTTATTAAAAATACAAAAATTAGCCAGGTGTGGTGTTGGGTGCCTGTAATCCCACCTACTCGGGAGGCTGAGGCAGAGAATTGCTTGAACCTGGGAGGCGGAGGTTGCAGTGAGCCAAGATTGCGCCACTGCACTCTAGCCTGGGAGATAGAGTGAGACTCCGTCTCAAGAAAAAAAAGTTGCAAATAAACAGCCCAACTTCTACACTTGAAGGAACTAGAAAAAGAAGAACAAACGAAGTTCAAAGTTAGCAGGAGACAGAAAACAGTAAAGATTAGAACAAGTAAATGAAATAGAGAGTAGAAAAACAACAGACGAGATTAAAAAGAACCTAAGAGTTGGTTTTTTAAGGAGATAAAATTGACAAACCTTTAGCTAGACTAAGAAAAAAGAAGACTCAAATGCAATCATAAATGAGGAAATATTGATAAATTCCTAGAAACATATAGCATACCAAAAGTGAATTATGAAGAAATAGAAAATTTGAACAAACCAATAATGAAAAGGAGATTGAATCAGTAATCGGATACATCCCAACGAGGAAAAGCTCAGGACCAGATGGCTTCACTGGTGAATTCTACCAAATACTTAAAGAAGAATGAATGTCAGTTCTTCTCAAAGTCTTTCCAAAAATTGAAGTGGAGGGAACACTTCCCAGCTGTATTATGAGGATATATTATACCCTGATTTAAAAGCCAGACAAGGACATTACAAGAAAAGAAAATTACAGGCCAGTATTCCTGATGAACATAGATGCAAAAGCTCTCATCAAAATACTAGCAAACTGAATTCAACAGCACACTGAAAGGTTCAGACACTGTGATTAATTGGGATTTATCGCTGGGATGCAAGGATGGTTCTACACACACAAGTCAATAAATATGTATCACATTAATAGAATGAAGGAGAAAAATTATATCATCTCAATAGATGCAGAAAAATCATTTGACAAAATTCAACATCTTTTCTTGATAAAACTTTCAATAAATCAGGTATAGAAGGAATGTACATCAACATAAAAAGGCCGTATATGACAATCCCATAGCTTAAGATCTTACAAATGCCTTTCCTCTAAGATCAGGAAGAGGACAGGGATGCCTTCCCAGCCAGAGCAATTAGACAGTAAAAAGAAATAAAAGGCATTCAAATCAAAAAGGAAAAATAAAATTGTGTGCAGTTCGCATGATCTTATACGTAGATAACCCTAAGGACTCCACCAAAAAACTGTTGGAACTAATATACAAATTCAGTGAAGTGGCAGGATACAAAAATCAACATGCAAAGATCAGTTGTGTTTCTATACACTAACAACAACTCTCCAAGAAACTTAAGAAAGCCCCATTTACAATAGAATCAAAAAGAATGAAATATGATACTTTGGTGTGAATGTAACCAAGGCGGTGAAGGATTCTTCTTCTTTTTTTTTTTTTTTTGAGACGGAGTCTCGCTCTGTCACCCAGGCTGGAGTGCAGTGGCGTGATCTCGGCTTACTGCAACCTGGAGGTGAAGGATTCTTACACTGAATACTTTAACAGTTGGTAAAAGGAAATAAAGAAGACACAAATAAATGGAAATATATCCCATGTGTATGAATGGGAAAAATTAATATTGTTAAAATGTCCACACTATGTAAAGTGATCTACACATAGGACAATCTCTATCAAAATTCCAATGACATGTTTTGCAAAAAGAAGAAAAACAATCCTAAAATTCATATAGACCCACAAAATATCCCAAATAGCCAAAGTAGTCTTGAGCAAGAAGAATGAAGCCGGAGCCACCCCACTTATTGATTTCAAAATATGTTACAAAACTAGATTATCAAAACAGTATGATATTGGCATAAAAACTGACATATAGACCAATGGAATGTAAAGTAGAGAGCTCAGAAATAAATCCATGCATTTGTGGTCAACTGATCTTTGACAAAGGTGCCAAGAACGCACAATAGGGAAAAGGGTAGTCTTTTCAATAAGTTTGTTGGGAAAAGTAGATATTCCCATACATGAGAATGAAATTCGACCCTTAACTCACGGCATATACAAAAGTCAACTTAAAATGGATTAAATACTTAAAGGTAAGAATTGAAACTGTAAAACTACTGGAAGAAAACATAGGGAAAAAGCTTCTTGACATTGTTCTGCTCAGTGCCTTTTTAGATATGACACCAAAAACATAAAACATAAGCAAAAATAGACAAATGGGATTGCATCAAATTAAAAAGCTTCTGCACAGCAAAGGAAATAATCATCAGAGTGAAGAGACAACCTATGGATTATAAGAAAATATTTGCAAACTATACATCTGATATGGGGTAAATGTCTGAAATATATAAAGAGCTCAAACAACTCAACAGCAAAAATGAAAACCAAACAAACTAAATAACCTGATGAAAAAGTGGGCAAAGGACCTGAATAGACATTTCTCAAAAGAAGACATACAGATTATCAATAGGTATATGAAAAGGGGCTCAACATCACTAATCAGAGAAATGCAAATAAAAATCACAACGAGTTATCATTTCACACCTGCTAGTATGGCTCTTACCAAAAAAACAAATGAGGCTGGGTGGTGGCTCACGCCTGTAATCCCAGCACTTTGGGAGCCTGAGGCAGGTGGATCACGAGGTCAGAAGTTTGAGACCAGCCTGGCCAACATAGTGAAACCCTGTCTCTACTAAAAATACAAAAATTAGCTGGGCATGGTAGTGTGCGCCTGTAGTCCCAGCTACTTGGGAGGCTGAGGCAGGAGAATGGCTTGAACCCAGAAGGCGGAGGTTGCAGTGAGCCGAGATTGCGCCACTGTACTCCAGCCTGGGTGGCAGAGCGAGACTCTGTCTACAAAAAAAAAAAAAAGACAAATGATAACAAGCATTCGTGAGAATTTGTAGAAAGGGGAACCTTTTTACACCATTGGTGGGAATGTAAATTGATATAGCCTTTATGGAAAACGGTATGGAGGGTCCTCAAAAAATTTAACACAGAACTGTCAGATGATCCAGCAATCCCACTTCTGGGTATATATCCAAAGGAAATGAAGTCAGTGCCTCGTAGAGGATATTTGTACCTTCGTGTTCATTGCAGCATTATTCTCAATAGCCAAGACATGGAAACAACCCAAGTATTCACCGATGAATGAATGAGTAATGAAAATGGGTGTGTGTGTGTGTGTGTGTGTGTGTGAGAGAGAGAGAGAGAGAAAGAGAGAGAGAGAAAATGGGATTGCCATGGCCTTAATGATCCCCAGAATGGATGTGTTGAAATGTAATCAGCAATGTGATAGTATTCAAAGGTGGGGCCTATAGGAGGTGATGTGATTCATGAAGGTGGAGCCCTCATGGATGAGGTTAGGGCCCTTAGAAAGAGGCCTGAGGAAGTGGGTTCACTCTCTTCTGCTATTTGGCCATGTGAGGACATGACATTTGTCCCTTTTGGCCGTTCCGCCATGTGAGGACACAGCAAGAGGGCCGTTGTCAGACACCTAACCTGCCAGCACCTTGATCTTAGACTTTCACCCTCCAGAATCGTGAGAAAAAATTTTCTGTTCTTTATAAATTATCCAGTCTCAGGTATTTTGTTTTAACAGTACTAATGGAGTGAGACAGTGATATTATTCACCCTTAAAAAAGAAGGTAACCCTGTCATTTACAGCAACATGGATGAGCCTGGGTGACATTATCCTACATGGAATTAGCCAGACCCAGAAGATATTCATCATCTTCCTTATATGTGGAATCCAAAAAAATTGCCTTCCTGGAAGTAGAGAGTAGAATGGTGGTTATCAGGAACTGGAGGGCTGCAAAGTGGGGAGATGTGAGCCAGAGAGTATAAACTTTCGTTTATACGATGAATCAGTTCTAGGGATCTCATGTACAGCATGATGACTATAGTTAACAGTACTGTATGGTATACTTGGAATTTGTTAAGAAAGTAGGTTTTAAGTGTTCTTACCACACACGCACACAAGGTAACTGTAACATGTGAGGTGAAGGATATAATTAACTTGATTTTGGTAGTAATTTCACAATGTCTACGTAAATCTGAATCCCATGTTGAACATCTTATTTGCATACCATTTTTACTTTTTGGTTACATCTGTTAAGCTGGAAAAAAATTGCATCCAGATATTCCTGGTATCCCTAATAATAACATTCTGTATTATTATTTGGCCCATCCAACATGAAACAAGGATAGATGGGTTTGTAAGTTACAGGTATAGGTATTTTTGCTGCAACTTAAAAACTTTTCCTTAATTTAAAACAGGCACCATCAATTTTGCATTCTTTGGTAAAGGCATGAAGAACCCAGAGCTGAAATAACAAGCTGCTTTCTTTGGGGCCATTTGAATGATAGGGACAACTAAGATGTGGGATCTCATTCGGCCAAAAGCCATATAGGCTGAGCAGTCATGGGTTTGGGTCTCTATGGGATCTAAGACTTGGAATTTATTTTTAACATTTTATTTGAAACTTTTCAAACATGGAGAAAAGCTGAAAGACTTGTCATGGCCATCCATTGAGGCCACCATATAGAGTATGTTAGGTCTCCTCCATCTCTCTTTCTGTCTCTGTCTGTCCATCCATCATTCCGTCTCTTCTTTTTGGATGCATCTCAAAGTAAGTTGTAGATATCAGTTCTCCCCGTAAACACTTGAGTATGCATGTCATTAACTTGATTTAGGGTTTTCGTGGAGGTAATATTTACACCATGAAATGTACAAACCTGCAGCACAAAAATCAGTGGGATGAGTTTTAACAAATGCATGACCTGTGCAGCGCGATCTCCGATCAAACTGTAGAACATCAGCCTTACTGCAGAACGTTCTCCAGGGCCCTTTGGCAGTGCACACACTGTGTAGCCACGCCCAGCGGGCAGCTTCGGGAGATGAGTTGGGGAGGGAGGGCTTTGGCGCCCTGACAGGTAGGGATGTTCCAGAGCTGCTGTTGCGTGCCCAGGGCATGCCTTGACAGCATCACAGTTGAATGGAGCAGTGTCTGGGTGACATCGATGAGAAGGGAGCTGAAGGAGGTGCTGCGGCCCATGTTCATGAGGAGATGGAAGGAGTGCAGAATGGCAGGGCTGGGATCCTGATGTACCCTGGGACTTGGCTGTCTCTGAGTGTCTGCAGTGCCTCGAGCACACTGTGCGTACCTGAGGCAGTTGGTGGGAAATGGATTTAGTTCCATGCGTTCAGCTGGGTGGCCGGATTTCAGGGCATCATTTGTGAAATGACCCACTGTAATGTGGTGGTTCAAGGGGAGGCACTGAGCCAGTTCTGCTGCTCGCCTTTAGCTCAGGGTCCTCATCTGTCAAGTGGGAATCACTTGCTTCTGTTGTTACGAGCATTCGGTGTACTAATACAGTAATACAAACCACCACCTGCACAGAGCAGCGCTCAGTCAAGTCAGCTGTTGTTGTTGTCATTGATTTTTATGATAATAACTCCCCTGCAGAGATAAAACAGCCACGGGTATACAGTGGCTGCCCGGCCGGTGCTGCAGCAGCTCTTCCTCCTGGGATGCCAGGGGATTGAGACTCGGCTTTATTCTGAAGCTGTCCCAAATATGAATCATTCACTGTTATTAAGCCACCTCAGCATGCCCCCTTTGTTATCTGGGCCCAAAAGAGCACAGAGTGTGGCCCCCAGTACATTTTGGGTGACGCCTTTACACCCATCCAGCAAGTTGGGGCTGGGAGTGGGTATCACGCGTTCTGTAGATGACGTCTGTAGACTTCTGGGGTTTTTCAATAGAGGGGCCATATTGTTTATCATCTGTTTTGGGGGTAAACGGGGCACTCTTAACAGTTTAAGAGGGGCAGGTGAGCGGTGAACTGGGTAAACTGAGATGTATGATATCCTAGTTCCCTGGGGTGAAGGAGGCCAAGCTTTTCTGTTAATGAAAATAAACTGCATCTCATTCACAGCGGATTGACCTGTGAGCGTAAACACAGCCTGGGGAGTAGCACCCGGCAGCACCCTGTGTTCTCACATCATCGGGAAGGACAGCTGCCTTCCATTCATCATGCTGGCAGATGCCGTTGGCTGTGCTGGGGCCAGAAAGCATTTGGGATGGGGTCAGGACATCTCAAGGCAGATAGATGTTTGTGGGGTTGTTCGGTCTTGAGGGTCACACGGTCTCTGTCTTCTTGGCTGTCATTTGCAAAGGAGTACAAGCTTGGGCTGGACTGGCCAGCCAGCCTTCCTGTGGGTGTAAACATGTGGGTAAGGCATGCTAGATGCTGGGCGTGGGCACTCTGGTCCAAGCACATTCTTATCAAGCCGTTCTAAGCATTCCAAGTAGGAGTCTCATTGAGAAGCATCCCCGTCTGTGGTCTTGCCATGCCACGGTGCCCATGTCCAGCAGTCACTGAGTACACCGTTAACTGCTGTGTAGACCGTGAACTATTCCACTGCGTGCTGCTTCCTTCTCTTCTTACTCTCCTCTTTGGAGAAGTTTATAAGCTTAGTTGCATTTAGTTATAAAGCATCTGGGCAGCCCTGTCTCCCTCTGATTGTACCCCCTGTGGGCATTCATTAAGCACCTCCTCTGTGCCAGGCAGTGTAGCCACCAGCATAAAGCTAGTGACTGAGTGTGTGCCAGATGTCTGTGTGGTTGAGTCGTCAGCTTGACGTGGTGGGACAGAAGTGAGTTTGCAGGAGACTGGGTATAAGGATGGGGAGAGCTTATGGGTGGGTAGAGGAGCACAGCACAGCCAGAGTGAACCAGGCAGAGGTGGGGCCGAGTGATTCCTGGGAAGGGTTGGGCTGAGCTGGATGCTTCCATCTGGGTCCCCCGTGGGGTCTGGAGCAGTCACTTACCCAGTTGTAATGAAGCCCTCCTGCTCACTTGCAGGCATCATAGCAGTTGACGGTCTGAGCACAGTGAGGCTGGCCTGGACGTCTGAGCGGGGTCATCCCAGGCCCAGGGGTCCTACTGGGCTCTTAAGTGGAGAGTGGTAGGAGACTGTTGGGTTGGAGATGCTGCGCCCTCCTTCATGCCAGCAAGTATTGCCTGGGTGGTCTCAAAAGTCCTGTGCCATAGTCAGATTTGGTTTCTAGGACTTCTCCAACTCTGGAATTCTCTGGAGAAGGGAGTCCTGTCTGTGCCTGGAGTCCAGTGGGCCCTGGTGTTTCTTGGTCATACCCTGGCGTCCAGTGACTGTAGTCTTTGATTCCTGCATTATCTGCAGGCGGTTGCCTGTGCCAGGAGAAGGCCATTTTGGTGAGACGAGGAATGTCTTTGTTGATCCGTGGAGGAAAGAACGTAACAGTGGGATATTGAGATTGTTAATCAATTGTTTTAGGATAAATACCCAACTTTCTCTCCTCTTAGCTGATTAGATTCCATCTTTCTCTGTGCTTGAGACGTAAGGACGTCTGTGCTTGGGCACAAGGTTGTATCTGACGTTATTTTCAGTCTTCTACATGGATCCTGAATAAGTCTTTTGTTCCATGGAGAAGATTAAGGGCAGTATTTGGTTGGAAAATTTTTAATGAAGCACCTAACAGAGCTATTATTATTCATTTCTGAAACAACTTGCTGCGGTTACCGTAGTAATATTAAGCCTTTTATTAAATATTTTTCCTTTCGGTTTTGAGGTAAGTTTTCATTAAATGCTGATGGGGGAGCTGGAGATCCACGAACCTGGTGTCTGGAAAGAATTTTCTAGCTCTGCTGAGTTAAATCATTCAAGGAATTTATGTTATGGGAACATAAAGCTTATAAATCTAGTTTATCATATCTATCATTTAATTGTTCATGCAAGCCAGCTCTTCATGTAGCGATTTACAGTAATCTCAGTGAAATAACAGTGTTGTGTCCCAAAATGAATAATGCATGCCAAGAAATTGTTGAGCTCCTTAAAATCATTATGCTCAAAATATTAGGCTCTTTTATTTGAAAGTGATAGAATGATGATCATGTACTAGTTGCAAGCTGGGGACTTCAGAGTCTGTCGTTCCTGCTTTGCGTTGGGTCGCCAGCCCTCAGGAAGGAACCGCGGCGAGCCGATTCCAGGAGGAGGATACGCCTTGCTGCAGTCGGCCCGCAGGAGCAGCCGGGGAGCTGGCAACAGCCAGGGCTCTGTGGGAGGGCTGGGATGTTGGCTTAGGGGTAAAAAAATTCTGTGTTTAAAAGATGAGATGCTTTTTAGACATCCATCTGTCTGGGACAAGAAATGGGTATCTTGCCATTAGTATTGTTGCCAGGCAGAAACCATGGAGTTTATCACAATGCATCTGGAAGGCAGCAATGTGCCGAGTGCTTTTTCTCCCCTCTCCTGTTACTCATCTATCTCAACAGCACACATATACCATGATGTGGTTTTAAATAATGAGGCAAACAGGCAATAGCTGTTGTGATCTTTCAATGAGAATGGTTTAGTGAGTTGGATTTGTTGCTAGCAGCACTGATCCATTTGTATGTATGTTTGTCAGTGGGCGTGGCGACATCGCTTACTCACCTATGCTTTCCGTCTTTGAAGAGCTACCCTGCAAGCAGTGTTGAGGTCAGAGGAGACAGTTCACTGTGGGCTGTGGGGTGCTTAAGTGTGGGAGGAAGGGTGACTTCTTTTCCAGAAGAGGGAAAGGCTCTGCTCCTCGGGAAATGGACGGAGTTTTCCCCAATGGGAATATCATCAATCATTGTCATCAGGCCTGGGCCACCTTTACCATCTCTCACACTTAAAAAACAAAAAAAACTGTGTTATAAAAAATTTCAAACATGCACAAAGATCGAGAGAACAGTGCAGTGAAGCAACACACCTATCAGCCAGATTCGGCGGGTATCAAGATACGCCACCAGCCTCTCATCTTCACCCGGATTCGGCGGGTATCAAGATATGCCACCAGCCTCTCATCTTCACCCGGATTCGGCGGGTATCAAGATATGCCACCAGCCTCTCATCTGTCCCATTCTTTTCTTTTTCTTTTTCTTTTCCTTCTCCTTTGCTGGAGTATTTCAAAGCAAACCCCAGACATCCTGTCATTTCCCCTTTCTGTACGTCAGTATACATTCCACAAAAAACAAAACAACTCCTGCGGTTTTCAGAACCCGGTGCTGGTGCCGTCGAGAGACTGTTTAGGCGGGTGTCCCCTTCTGTGGAATCTCGCGTGGGGTTCAGCAGTCCAGGGCCGGGCCTTGGAGGCCATCAGCCTTCCTTATCGGCTGTGCAACTAATGATCTTTGGTCAATTGGGACTGGACTGAGGACTCTGCAGTGTGGAAAACCAGTTCTGCGGTGACCTCTCCCTCATTTTTGGAGACCCCAGGTGGGCCTAACCTGGAGGCATTTGGTATGTTTTGTGCCATTAGTTTGACATTTAGATTCCCACATAGGAGAAATAGTGTAGAAGAGATTGCCACCATGGGAGACCTGGGAGGCAGGAGGCCTGGCCTCAGGTGTCCTGGAGAGTTGTAAAGGCCAGAATACACCTTTTCGGAGGAGCAGAAGTCACCTAGCCAGTGCTGGTTTACATATCTACCAGTATCTGCCCTAGACGTACCCAGTAGGTCCTAAGGCATGAAGGTTGGCCTGGTTTATGTTATGTGTCATTTTCCTCACTTCTGTTTGTCAAGAACATTTTCTGCACGTTGAGAATGATCATTGTTACGCATTCTGCTGCTTCTCTGCCTTTCTTCTATCCCTTCTCTTCACACGCTCCTCCTGCCCCACTGTGTGGACGTGTCTGTAGGAAAATGTGGGGTGTGTTGGGTTTTCCTGTTGGTCTAAGTCATGCCTGCCAGGTCTGTTGATGATGTCTGAGGTCTGTGTTTTTCTCAGGTTAGGACTTTTGAGTCCTTTCTTACAAAGGGCTTTATGTACAAAACAACCCTGTAGTAGAGGCACCCAGGCTTGTTGGTCCTCTGTGTTTGGAGAGGAGTGCCCCACTCATTCCAGGGAGGGAAAATGGGGTTTGAAATGAAAAAGTTTCCATTGTAAATGGACACTTTTATGTAAAACATCTAAAAACATGTAGAGGACCAGTTCTGATGGCACCTAGAGAAATAGTCAAGGTACCCTAGTGGGTGTGTGTGTGTGTGTGTGTGTGTGTGTGTGTGTGTGCGCGCGCGCACGCGCTCTACACAGTAAATACCCGGAGGGAAGACTGCAAACACTTCTTGAGCAGCAGATATTCTTTCTGGGTGACATTCCTTCTTAGAAGGGAGGGGTTGGGAAACTATTAAATAGTTGGGAGAGTGATCTAAGTTAGTTGGATGATGGCTTTGTGATAGGAAGTTTTTGCTCATTAAGAGCGGCTTTAAAGCTTTTAATTTTTATATACTTCTGCCTGTAACTTTCCCCACTCCCTCCAAAAAAATGGTATCGCGGAGGCGGTGTCAGAAGAGCCCCAGAAGTATTCTAGTGGAACTCAGGTCGTCCTCCACCCTTGCGGGCATAAATCTCATGCTAGAAGCTTTCCTTCAGGGACCCGAGAGAACAGGGAAGGAGTGCTTGCTGTTGGAAGGCAGTGGAGAGCCAGCTAGAGGTGATTCTAGGCTCATGAACTAGTCTATGACTAACTGCAGTGAGTTTTTAAAGCAGGTTGTATAAGAAGTTTAAGTGATGCCTCATCGAGGCTCTGATTTCAGAGCAGCCTGTATGGTTCTCTAAGCCGAGGGAGAGACCTGGCGCAACAGGGAGTCGACCAACCGTTTGCAGCCCCTCTGTCAGTGCCTTAGACAGGAATCCAGGTAGGCTCTCTCTGGTACAAATGTTATTGCCTTTTTCTTGGTAACAAGGGCTTTTTGGTTGGCATTGCTGAGTCTGTATGATGATGTTTATGCTGTTACTGTATATTACTTTTTTATGGCATACTATTTCTGTTGCAAATAGTCATAAATATTGTTACAGTTTTGAGTGCATTATGACACGTTGCTCTAAGTAGTCTCACGTACACTTTGGGTTGCAGGGCTGAGCAATTTGTATTTTTCCTTTGGTGTTTCTTTGAGTGTGTTTCAGCCCACCGTAATAGCACCTCACTGCTTCACCATGCAGTTTTTTTTTTTTTTAAACTCCTATGACATTTCATTGCTGGTAGGGACCTCATGGGGACCCTTAACCAGTGCACCCTCTCCTCCCTGTCCCCAGTCTCTGTTTGAGCCATTTTGTGATACATGGTTCACAGATCACCCTCAGATCCTGGATTCACCACTTAGTAGCTAGTTACAATACTTAACCCCATCTGTCTGGAGTGGCTATCTCACAATTTGTGTGACGCTCTAGGCAGAGGGCGTGGTTGTGGCCATTATTATTCTGATGCTGGACAATTCTTTCTTCTGTGGCAATGCTGTCTGCCTGCAGGTTGTCCCCGTTGACCTGGCCCTGGCTGCTGGAGTGGATGCCTCCGTCCAAGTGGGTCTCCAGACGGCAGATTGCTCTGTGGGTGACCTGCCATCACTCAGGCAGCCCTAGCCTGCCCTCAAGGCCCTCTGCCAACTGCATTCCTCCTGGACACCTTTTTGTCTCTCAGTGTTTCTCTGTGAAATTCTAGAACTGATTAGTGGAGGCCTCAGATCCCATTACCTCCCAGGACAGCTTCCACGCACTGTGGTCCTCACTGAACCTGCTGTTGACTAAGACACAGTCTCTGTCATCTTTATTAGAGAACAGCTAAGTCAAGTCACCTGTCCTGGGCTGGACAGGTGACTCAGATTCATCTGTCTTTTTACTCTCATCCCAGCCTGCAAGGATTGCTGGGAGAGGCTGGGCAGTGGGCAGCAGGCAAAGGGACACCTGGAAATGTGGGTCACACAACCCGGTTCATTTATTGTCTCTGTTTTTCTCTGATGGAGTGATCTTGGATTGGTTGTGCAGCTTTTGGGGAGTCTTCAGATATAAAAGTTGCAACGACAAAATGAGGTGCCGGATACAAGTGTCAGCTCTGCCGTGCTCCGTGACTGTCGCCTGGTCCCGTAGTTTCTCTCATTCGGTTATGATTGCTCTTTCTATGATGTGTGGCTGGTGGATTGCCGAACATGCCTTCTTTGTCTTCACTTTAGTTCTTGTTAGTTATGTATTTAGCCAGGTTGGTTTAGATGAACTTGGGTAAATGACAGCTGGTGATGATATTTTAGTTTAGTTATGGTTGCTACCTGGGGAACATTTGGAGGAAGTTAGCTGCCCCTGGAACAGCTCCTGCATTTGTGGAGACATAGCCCTTCTTTCCTGGGTGTGCATCTGTGCAGCAGCTCGACTGCATGCCTGCTGTGTGCTGGAGTGCATGGTGGATGCAGGCAGGGGCCACATGTTCCTGGAGCTTACAGGTCAGCAGAGATGGAGACGAGTGCTGAGGGGCACGCAGGAGGGCCTCTTCTCTGCCCTGTCTCTCAGGAGACAGGCTGCTGTGTGCCGTGGGGTTGTGGGTGCCTTTGAGGTACCCTGTGAAATGTCTCATTTCCTGGCATTGTCATGCACCTGATGCCAGCATGGTGGCTGTGTGTGTGTGCGTGTGCGCATGTGTGCATTAGAAATTCACACTTGCAAATGTGGTATGCAGAACTCTTTTGGGAAGGTTTAAAACTAGATCCAAAATCTTGGGAAATAACTATTATCCCATTCTAAAAATGTTCCAGTTGTACCCACTAGGATGATTATAATAAAAAAGACCAAAAAGAAAAAAAAGACAGGGATTAACAAATGTTTGCAAGGCTGTGGAGAAATCAGAACTCTTATACGCTGCTGGTGAGAATGTACGGTGACGCAGCTGGTGTGGAAAAGAGCCTGAAGGTTCCTCAAACAGTTCAACATAGAGCTGCCATGTGAAGAGCTGCCATGTGACCCAGCAGTTGGACTCCTAGGTATGTATATTCCCGAGAGAAATGAAAACCCATGTCCACATACAGACTTGTACATGAATGTTTATAGCAGCATTTTCCATAATAGCCAAAAAAGGGGAAACAATTCAGTATCTTTCACAGGTGAATGGATAAAGAAAAATAGTCTCTCCAGACAGTGGAATATTACTTGGTCATAAAAAGGAATAAATGGATGAACCTTGAATGCATTATGTTAAGTGAAATAAATCACAGAACCCCACATATTGTATGACTCCTATTTATATGAAATGTGCAAAATAGGCAAATCCATAGAGACGGAAAGTGGAATGGTAGTTGTGGGGCTGAGGAGTGACAGTGAACAGGCACGTGGTTCCTGTATGGGGTGATGGAAATGTCGGTGGTAAGGGTCGCACAGGTCTGCATATACTGGAAACCACTGAGTCCCACATGTTAAATTTGATGGTATGTGAATTATGTCTCAATAAAAAAATTCAAAACATACCTGTTGGCTTTGCCGTGGGATGTCCCTAAGGTGATCTGGAAGAGGCTCTGCCCTCAAAGAGGTTTCAGTCTGTTGGAGAGGTGAGGAATAGTAGTAGACCACGAGACACAGCTGAACAGGTTCGACTTTCACCGTATTCCTACCTGACATCACCTCCAGGGTTCAAACCCGGGCTGGGGCAGGCATGGCTCTCAGGTCACAGAGCCCCTCCTGCTGCTGCACTCATCTCTAGAGACCCCTTCCAGCGGGAGAGGCTCCCCAGAGCTTGGTGCCTGAGTGCCTGTGCCCGAGAGCCTGCTGGTGCCGGCCTGGCCCAGGCCCTGAGGCAGGAGGCCCTCGATGGTTTGAGAAGGCACTGACCCAGTTTGTTTGAAACGGTTTGCCTTGGCGCTCTTGCCTGGTCCTGGCTGTTCTGCCCGGTTAAGGACAGAGTGCGAGGAGTCCTGGGAGCTCTCCTCTGTGGCCTGTGTGAGCCATCAGGATTCAATGCAGTGATTAGAATTCCTCATCTTATCTTCAGATGGGGAGAGATGCCACTGGGAGAAGAATCAGAAATGGAATTTCAGAGGTACTTAGTGACCTCCATAGCTCTTTGTTGACTGTGGTTGGCAGGGCTAGGAAGGGGTACACGGCTCAGCATACAGTGGCAGTTGGGTTTTAGGCTCTTAACAGGGGTGTGCTCTTTCTGTCTTTCTGCCATGAATGTCATGTTGGTCAAAGTAGGGCACATTAAGAGGCAGGGGTCATGAGCTGGTGGCAGCAAGCCAGTGGCAGGCTCCTCACAGCCCCTGGCTTTGTTGTGCATTTGGGTTTGATGAAGACAGGAGGCTTTTCCTTGGACAAACTGGGCCTAGAAGATGCTTCGTGGGCACTGTGGTGGGGCTCAGGGGCGCCGCAGGCAGCTGTACAGCTCTGGTGGTTTCTGGGAGTCAGCCGTCTTTCCCAGGCGTGCTGCAGCTGCTCAGCTATTTGGGGGGATGTCGTGGGCATCACAGTGGCCTTGTATCTGTGTAAGCCCTTGCTGGCCTGTCCTTCTCAAAGTGAATGAGGGAAATACAGAAGAAAGGGTGCCTTGAAGCTCTTTGGAGGCTCCCTCCCATCCCAGGGCCTCCCGGCTTCCCGGCCCGCAGAGAACTTTAGCACCTCCCCTCTTCCAGAACCCCAGGGTGGCGGCTGCTGCTGCGTGTGCCCCCCTGTCTGTGGTCTGGCCTGTTTCTTCAGCGACACCATTCACATGCTGATCCCTTGGTACACGTTCCCTTGAGGCTGAGCACAAGCTTATGAGACTTACGGAATCTTCCCTCTGTATTTGGGATCCTGATAACGTTTGTCCGAATCTCAGTGGCGTGAGGTCCTTGTTTTCTCAGGGGTGGACGAATCTGCCTCTGGAGACATCATACTGGGTTGAAGGCTTGTTCTTGGTTCCAGCTCCACGAGGCCTCTGCCTTTGCTCCACTTCACTCACCTGACTTCTTTCTTGACCCCTTTGACCATCAGTGCCCAGCCTTTTCCTCACATCAGACTCCTGCTGAATCTATTGACTCCTGTCTCTCTGCTCCTGCTTGAGCCTCCGTCTGAGCTCCGTCCATCTCGCCTTGTGTAAAGTTGGCTGTTTCCTGGCTGCATCGCGAGCTCCTCTAGGGAGAGCTGCGCTTTGCTCATCTCCCTGTGCGCAGACCCTGCCCGTCCTGGAGTTCCATGTCACTGGCGTTTTCTGCATCTCTGCCGACTGAGGTCCGTTCCGTTTCTTGCATGAAGAGCCTGGTTTGGGTCCCCTGGCGCTCTTGTGGGACTGGACGACAGTCCATTGCCTGCACACTGTGACCTCCAATGCTGCTTCTGTTGGGAGCACGATTCCTTTGCAGCCCTTCCTGCTGAGGGGACACTTTGGAGGCCTTTTAAGACCAGGAGCTTAGCAGGCAGTTGTCTATGGAGAGATGGGGGCCTGAGAGGATGACGGGGCCTTTGCTGAGCATCCGTGTGTGTTTCCAAAGCATTTGCCCCTCTCTGCCTTCATCCTCGGCTCTGCCTCCCCTCGTCCATCCTTTCATGCTCCATCAGCACCCCAGCCTGGTCATATTTCTCACCTGCTGTGGTGGGGCAGGGGTGACAGAGGCACCTCTAGGATCTGAGCAGAACCTTGGGAACGTTGAAAGCAGGCGAGAGGCATGAAGCCGCCTCCTTCAGGATGTTCTACTCAACCGTACCGTGGAAGGATGGGCGCAGGAAATCTTGAACATTTGAAAAAAATGTCCTTTACGTGAGGGTAGGCCCCACGCCTGGCTCTGTGCCCACGTGGCTGGCCTTGACTCTTTCGGGGGCTTCCTCCAGCCTCCAATAGAGGATCAGCGTGAGGGAGTGAGGGCTTCACGTCAGCTGCTGTGAGGGATGACGTGAGATACGGGTGTTCTTAAAGTGCTGTTTCCCTTAAAATCTGGTTTTTACTTACTTCGCTGAAACTGGTCACCAAAGACACCACATTTGCCTCATTGTACTTGAGAGCGGAACAGGAACGGAGAAATTAATTAATTCAGTTTTATAGATGAAGAAGGGGAGCCTGAAGAGGTTCATTGTTCAACAGATACTTACTGAGCACTCACTCGAGGCAGGGCCTCGTCCTCTGGGCCCTGGAGACTCAGCAGTGAGCACGTGGCTGGTCGGAGTGATGGGCACAGAGCTGGGCGCAGGCAGTTTTGGAAAGCACATGAGACTCTTTTCTGCCTCAGGGATCACTTTCTCAGCCATGCCGCATGACCTCAGAGGCATTTTGCACCAATGGACACTTCGTGAAAAATTTTTTCCCAGGGTTCTGTGACATTTTGCCCCGATTTCCCCCGCTGTCTCCGAGTGTCCCCTGTGAGTGGACTCTTTCTCCTTCACACCCATGTGCGTTTCTGGACTTCTTGTTTTAAACACGCTCTTCCTTGGTTGGGACTCTGCCTGTCTTTCCGCACCTCTGAGCCTCATTGCCCAGTGTCCGTGTCTTCCGGAGGTGCCTACTGCACTGTCTTGGGATTTTGCCCTGTCAGAAATGTGTCACGTGTGATAGGAAAATCATGGACGTGGTTGAGAGTCAGGCCCCTGAGTTTCCTTTCCTCATTTGTAAAATGGGGATGGGAACTGCTCTCCAGGATGACAAATTGTCACGTGGAAACCAGTGCACGGCGCAGACACTGCTCCACAGTGTCGACATCCCTTCTCTCCCTCCCCTTCCCGTTCCCTGCTCCTCCTCCACTGAACAAGCCACCCCTCTCCACTTCCTGTTTACATCATAGATGGCGCCAATCTCTCCTACCCAGGGTAATGTTTGGTCATTGTCATTTTGGCCTTTCTTTTTCCCCATATCTAGTTATTGCTGAAGCCCACCCCCACCTGTTCTTGTTGTTTCCGGATGTTCTCGCGCTAATTCCTTCAGCCTTTCCTTTCTGCCTTTGATGGGTCTGCCCTAGATCAGACCTTTATGATGTCTGCCCAGGCATTGAAGTAGCTTCCCAGCAAGTCTCCTTGCTTCCCTCTTCCCCCTGCGATGCATTCCAGGTCCTGGCAGGAGGTGAATCACATTGAAACGTGGCTTTGACCTCTGCTTTTACAGCTCCCCGTTGCTTGCAGGACAAAGATCACACTCCTGATATTTAATGCCTTTCTTAATCGGACTCCTAATTACGTGTTCATCCTCTGTTTCATCCAGACATAGGAACCTGCTGATCCCCCGGCTCATTGTTAATCTCTGCCTAATACTTGTGAACAGTAACTATTAAAATATATGATAAAACATAGAATACTCCAATGACACAATAGATGGCAGGGTGTAGTAGTCATTATAATAGTTAATAATAAGTAACAGCCATTAATATTTTTCTTTGCCTGGACTGTGTCTTTCCACCCATTTTCTATGGGCCCAGTGCTACCAGGAAGCCTCCTCCACCTGTGCTACCCAAAGCACCTACGGCAGAGCCCTGGACACAGGTTGATCAGAGGCTGAGGTTGCTGGGAAGTGCTGGTTTATCCCTGCTGTCCTGGGATAATTATTACTTGTGCCCAAGGTGTCTGCTTTGGATGATACACCATATGGTCCCCTTACCTATACATAATACAGAGTGTGAATGGCAATCCACTGAAATCTAGCTTACCCAGAGCCCTTCTTTCTTGCCCATCTCACTAGACAGGTGGAGGGTTTTGTATTGTTACTTTTTGTGTTCTGTTTAACAAACCTTCCTCAGCACCTCATCTGTGCAGTGATACCACCAGGAGTTAGGAACACGGGGATGTGGGAGGTACAGACCATGAGCTTGTGGTTGGGGTTCAGAGGGGCCTGGAAAGAGGTACAGCTCTTGCTGGCATGAATGCAGGAAGGGAGTGATTGTGCCACTGTGGGGTGGAAGTGACCTTGTGCAGCCTGGGAGTCAAGGTGGGATCCATGCCGTCCCTTTCACGGAGTAGCAGTGGGCTGCTGGGTAGAAATCCAGGATTGATGGGGTTCTAGACAGAAGCGCTCTGGGGCACCAGATCCAGGCTCCCGCAAGATAAAGCAGGCCTGACCGTGCCGTGTGGGTTGTGAGCCAGCCGGGGGGGTTGATGGTCAGTTCTTGACTGTCACAGGGTCTTTCGTTGCCATCCGAGCCTTTCTTCTATGCTTCTGTGCGTTTTATTTGAAATTATATGTAGGGGACTGTGGGATTATGTTGCTTTGCCTTCGTAATTACATTGCATACTTATCTAAAATTAATTGAGCTTATCATGGACAAGACTCTCTCTAGCCTTTCTGTGTATCCAGCTTCCTGTCTGGTGGATTTCTCAGTCATGTGTGACATCTAGGCGTGTGCTCGCTGGCCTCCGGAGCCACAGAAGGAAAGTGGACAGAGGGAGTCCCTCGGCAGTGCTGAGAGGCTGCCCCTTTCCTCTGCATGTCCCCTGAGGTTTGTTCCGGGGGCTTCTAAAGGGTGACAGGTGTGGGAATGATGAGCCTGGGGTACAGCACGTGCCAGAGAGGTCTTGTGATGCCAGGGCCCTACCCGAAGTGTGGATGTGGTGAAAAGCTGTCTTAGGAGCCTCTGCGTGGCTGCCCCATTAATATTTACGTAGCGTAGCATCAGAACGATTATGCTTGCTGAAGCCAATCTTGTTATTGACTCTACCTGTTAAGAAATGGAGTAACCTGCTGCCAGGTACTGTTACCAGCAAAGGCTGCTAACCTCAGAAGGGGTTTGAGCTGAGTCCTGCTGTATATGTTTTAATGCTGAAAGTATAAGAGGCTGACTGAGTCCAACTGGAAAGTAAAAATGTGAACTTCAAGCTTCTAATTTGTTGAAAGGATTTAGATTTTTAACATGAAATAGCAGTAGCCTTTCCTTTAATTAAATGCCATGCAACATTGGCTGCGGGATCAATGATATTGAAGGAAAAAAACAGTGTAATTAGACCTTGTGAAGTGACTAACAAATGATTAGGGCTCTCTTTCAAGAGTGGGGGTGGGGGCTGGTACCAGACGTGCAGATTAGTTGCAGTTTGCCTTTCCTTGCTATAGACTTTGAAAGGCCAAAGTTTTCCCTTAAACATTTTGGGTCTGTTTCTTGATTTCCTGTCAGCAACAAATGGATATAGCTCTAATTTAATCACTTCCGTATTATTAGACATTTAGATCTTTTTTTGATGTATAAATAATGCTGTGATGACATAAATATTTGTTTGCATTTTGGATAATTTCCTTGGGACAGATTCCCAGAAATGAAATTACTGGCTCAGAGGGTGCAAGCATTTGAAATGAGGTTGGGATGCGAGCTAGAGGCATCTCTCCCCATGAGGTCTAGTCGTACAATTGCCTCCAGCCCTATTTCTTGCTTGATGAAGACTGGAGTGTTCCCTGGAATGCCTGTGTCTCCCATGTGTGGGGTGCCCCCATGGAAGGGGTGCCGTGGTCATCATTGGGTCACAGTGTCTTCCCAAGCAGGTTTGGTTTGCCCTATGCCAACCTCAAGCCCTCACAGTTAAAAACAAAAAACAGAACAACACAACCACTTACATCAGTCCTTTGTGTGGATTTCTTGTTAGCGTAACCAGGCCTGGGGTCTCTGGGAGAGCTCTCTTTGCTCTGCTGCCATCTTGCCATCCAAGAAGCACTGTCCAGACTGAAATCTCTGCTGCCCCTGGGTGGGGCTGGTCAGCCCTCCTCAGCCCTGACCCAAAAGCTGCACGTCAAAGCCCATCATCGCTGTAGTCCCGCAGCAGAGGGCCTCTGTTTCTGAGAGCTGCCTTTCTGAGAAGGTAGTTGGGGTTATAAATGTCCTTAAAACATCCTTATTCTAGACTTTTTTTAGACATCTTTACTGAGATGTAATTCACATACCATACAGTTCACCATTTAAAGTGTACAATTCAGTGGTTTTTAGTGTGTTTGCAGAATTGCTTGACTGTCATCACAGTCAATTTCAGAACAATTTCATCATCTCACAAGGAAATCCTGTACCCATTAGTAGTCGTTCCCCACTCCCCCAATCCTTCCCCCTGCCCCAGGCAACCAGGAATCTGCTTTCTGTCTCTGTGGATTCATATAAATGGAATCACACAATCTGTGGCCTTTGAAACTGGCTCCCGTTCCCTCGCATGGTGCTGTCAAGGCTCATCCGGGTTGGAGCACGCCTGCTTCATTCTTTTTTGGCCAAATAAGATTCCATTGAATGGATGTGCTGTGTTTTATTCATCCACTCTTAGTGAATGGACATATGGGGTGTTTCCACTTTTTGACAGTTATGCAGACTGCTGCTATGGACATTCATGCACACGTTTTTGCAGTCGTGTTTTCCTTTCTCTCGGGGATATACTGAGGAGTGGCGCTGCTGGCTCACGTGGTAACTCCATGTTGAGCATCGCCAGGAGCTGCCAGACTTTCCTGCAGCTGCCACAGCATTTTACCTTCCCACCAGCAATGCATGAGGGCTCTGGTCTTCCCACATTTAAACATTGTCACCATCCTTCTGTGATCCCACATTTAAACGTTGTTGCCATCCTCATGTGAAGGGGTATCTCATTGTGGTTTTGAGCTCCCGGATGGCTCTTAAGTTTGAGAATCGTTTCCCATGCTTATTGGCTGTCTGTATATCTTCTTTGAAGAAATGCCTATTCACATCCTTTGCCTATTTTTAATTGGGTTACTCATCTTTTTGTTATTGATATCCAAGACTCTTGACACTCAATACTGTCTTTTTAAGTTGGCTGCCATGAGGACCGGGCTGGAGGCAGCCGACAGCAGGCAAGCCGCCCTGTGCCGGCAGGCTTTGTTTCTTGTGGCAAACACCCCCCCCAGCTCTGATCCATGTGTATCTCACGGATGACCAAGCTGGGCCTTAGAGCTACGTTTCATGTTTATGATGAAGTAGTCGCGGGAACGCATGCCATCCGTGTTCCTGCAGAGGCGCCTGCAGGCATTTCTGATGCTTCCCCACCGATTGTGGGAGGAGACATCTCTCCTGCAGAAGAGCAGGTGGACCGAGGGGGAGCGCTGAGCGATACGCTGGCGGGTGTGCTTCGAGCGCTTCTTGGGAGAGGCGGCCTCAACCATTCCAGATGGAAGGGCTAAGGAGAGGGAGGACACCCACCGCTGAGTAGGGTAGAGGAGTTATTTTCCTAAGAGGATTTGTTTTTCCCTCTATGAATTGGGTGCGTTCACTGTGGCAAATTACTAAAAATAAAAGAATTCTATGTGTGTTGCACATGAGTGTTAAAACTAGCAAATTCAAACAAAACAAAAATGATGAGAAAAAAAAGTCCCACATGCCCACGCGCAGACCAGAATCCTTTTCGATAGAGGTCTGTGTAGTGCTGTGCCCCTTCCCGGGACCAGAATCCTTTTCGATAGAGGTCCGCGCAGTGCTGTGCCCCTTCCCGGGACCAGAATCCTTTTCGATAGAGGTCCGCGCAGTGCTGTGCCCCTTCCCGGGACCAGAATCCTTTTCCATAGAGGTCCGCGCAGTGCCGTGCCCCTTCCCGGGACCAGAATCCTTTTTTGATAGAGGTCCGCGCAGTGCCGTGCCCCTTCCCGGGACCAGAATCCTTTTCCATAGAGGTCCGCGCAGTGCCGTGCCCCTTCCCGGGACCAGAATCCTTTTTTGATAGAGGTCCGCGCAGTGCCGTGCCCCTTCCCGGGACCAGAATCCTTTTCCATAGAGGTCCGCGCAGTGCCGTGCCCCTTCCCGGGACCAGAATCCTTTTCCATAGAGGTCCGCGCAGTGCCGTGCCCCTTCCCGGGACCAGAATCCTTTTTTGATAGAGGTCCGCGCAGTGCCGTGCCCCTTCCCGGGACCAGAATCCTTTTCCATAGAGGTCCGCGCAGTGCTGTGCCCCTTCCCGGGGCCAGAATCCTTTTCCATAGAGGTCCGCGCAGTGCTGTGCCCCTTCCCGGGACCAGAATCCTTTTTTGATAGAGGTCCGCGCAGTGCCGTGCCCCTTCCCGGGACCAGAATCCTTTTCCATAGAGGTCCGCGCAGTGCTGTGCCCCTTCCCGGGGCCAGAATCCTTTTCCATAGAGGTCCGCGCAGTGCTGTGCCCCTTCCCGGGACCAGAATCCTTTTTTGATAGAGGTCCGCGCAGTGCCGTGCCCCTTCCCGGGACCAGAATCCTTTTCCATAGAGGTCCGCGCAGTGCTGTGCCCCTTCCCGGGGCCAGAATCCTTTTCCATAAAAGTCCGCGCAGTGCTGTGCCCCTTCCCGGGACCAGAATCCTTTTTTGATAGAGGTCCGCGCAGTGCTGTGCCCCTTCCCGGGACCAGAATCCTTTTCCATAGAGGTCCGCGCAGTGCTGTGCCCCTTCCCGGGACCAGAATCCTTTTCCATAGAGGTCCGCGCAGTGCCGTGCCCCTTCCTGGGACCAGAATCCTTTTCCATAGAGGTCCGCGCAGTGCTGTGCCCCTTCCCGGGACCAGAATCCTTTTTTGATAGAGGTCCGCGCAGTGCCGTGCCCCTTCCCGGGACCAGAATCCTTTTCCATAGAGGTCCGCGCAGTGCTGTGCCCCTTCCCGGGGCCAGAATCCTTTTCCATAGAGGTCCGCGCAGTGCTGTGCCCCTTCCCGGGACCAGAATCCTTTTTTGATAGAGGTCCGCGCAGTGCTGTGCCCCTTCCCGGGACCAGAATCCTTTTCCATAGAGGTCCGTGCAGTGCTGTGCCCCTTCCCGGGACCAGAATCCTTTTTTGATAGAGGTCCGCGCAGTGCCGTGCCCCTTCCCGGGACCAGAATCCTTTTCCATAGAGGTCCGCGCAGTGCTGTGCCCCTTCCCGGGGCCAGAATCCTTTTCCATAGAGGTCCGCGCAGTGCTGTGCCCCTTCCCGGGACCAGAATCCTTTTCCATAGAGGTCCGCGCAGTGCCGTGCCCCTTCCTGGGACCAGAATCCTTTTTTGATAGAGGTCCGCGCAGTGCTGTGCCCCTTCCCGGGACCAGAATCCTTTTTTGATAGAGGTCCGCGCAGTGCTGTGCCCCTTCCCGGAACCAGAATCCTTTTCGATAGAGGTCTGTGCAGTGCTGTGCCCCTTCCTGGCTCTGGCGTGGCCAGCGTCTTCTGGCGACAGGCGTCCTGGAGACTGGCTCTGGGACCACTGAGGAGATCCTGCTGCCAGGCGGGTCTCCTGGAGCAGTGAGCAGGACAGGTCCTCTCGGGCTCGAGTGTAAATTACACGAGTGTTTCCTGTGGTGTTGAGTGGGGGTTACAGGGTGTGGGACAGAGGGAGAAGGTGCACATCAGCTTCCACTTCCTTTGGGGGAGGCTCTGCTCATTCTGAGAAGCTCTTTTGGCGAAGGCATATTTGAAAACAGATAATAAATTAATTTTTTTTTAAGGCAGGGTCTAAGCTCTGTTGCCCTGGTCAATCTTGGCTCACTGTCTCTGCCTCCCGGGTTCAAGCCATTCTCCTATCTCAGCCTCCCGAGTAGCTGGGACTATGTGTGCACCACTATGCCTGGGGTTAATTTTTTATTTTTTTGTAGAGATGGAGTTTCGCCCTCTTGCCCAGGTTGGTCTCAAACTCCTGGGGTCAAGTGATCCACCGTGCCTCGGCTTCCCAAAGTGCTGGGATTATAAACTTAATTTTTAGAATTGTGTTTTATCTCACGTAAAATGACTTAACAGTTAATTGTAGGACAGTTTCTAGAATAAAATGTGTCTCTATTTTAATTTTTCATTCCTTTTAAAACATTCATCTTTTCAGGTTTTCAAAATCTAACAATGTGGCCAGCGTCTAGCCCAGGTGGCCTCTCTGTGTGTTTTACCAGTGGCTTGCAGGTTTCTGTCCTCTGTGAGCAGCTCAGGTGGCCGGAGACCCCAGGGGGCCCTCCCCTTTATTCAGAACTTGCAGGATTGTGGGAGTAGATGGCCTGGCTTCTCTTGTGGTTCTTGAATTTGTCTCTGAGGACATTGCATCCTCAGATTCTGTCTCTCACTGGGGTGGCCACCTGGGCCAGCGGTGCCCATGTTCTACTGGCCAGAATTGCGCACCTCCCAGGAGGGGGAGGAGGGCGGCTGTTGCCCTCACTCATGTCCCCCCGCTCAGAACCCATGGGCAAACTCAGAATTGTGTATCCCGGCCGCACTGGGGCTCTGAGCAGTCGTCTTGGCCATGGCTGACAGTGGGGCAGGAGGTGGGCTTCCTCAGCCCACTCTGCTTCTCTCTGGCTATGATCGGTGTTGACCCAGTTTGACTCTGACTTTTCACCTTGTCCTAAGGATCCCATGAGAACATGTCTGTAGAAGGCACAGAGCACAGTCCCTGGCCCTGTTTCTCCCTTCCTGTGCTTCCAGGAGGGACTGGGCATGTGGTGTCAGGACAGTGTACTGGGGCCTCTGTATGGCCTCCCTGGCCTTGTGGCTTCAGGAGGGACTGGACATGTGGTGTCAGGACAGCGTAGTGGGGCCTCTGTATGGCCTCCCTGGCCTTGTGGCTTCAGACAAGTGACTGAGCTCTCCTGGGCCTCAGTGATGACATTCAGGTGTTAATGAGTGAGTGTGAAGATTGGGTGGAACGCGGTATGGAACCTGGCGCACAGTAGGTGCTCAGTGAATGTCAGCTTTTGTTCCCCAGCTCCATGAGGTCTTCTCGCTCTTAGCACCCCCCAGGTGACTGGCCCTCACGAAGTGGGTCCTCTGTAGATCTCGGGTATGTGAAGTCAACAGTGGCCCAAGGAGGCTGTGGGCAGGAGAGGCTTGAATGGTTGCAGATGGAGGTGCTGGTGGTGCAGTTGGGAGTGAGATGAGATTTGGAGATTTTCTCTTGCCGTGAGCCTTCCTCAGCCCCCTCTTGCTTCTGTTCTCAGGGCATGTATGCACTCTGTGGCTTGTCCAGAGCCTGCAACCTTGGTTGAAAATGGCTCCCGAGGCCATTCTCCCAGTGAAGCACTTGCTTCCACTCACTGCTGTTCAGCCCCGGGAGCCAGCCAGCGAGAGCGGGGCTGCGGGAATTGGCTGTTTGGAGACAGGGTAGGAGGGCTGCAAGCTGAGGGTCTGCAGGGGTGGGTGTAGGGGGTTTCCCATCCAAGGCCGCAGCCCAGAAGGGTGGTGGATTGCCTCCCTGTAGCCATAGAGAAGCAGAGAGGAGGCTGTGGCAGGGCAGAGGCCCCACCCTGGGAGGTGCAGCTGAGAGGCCGGATGCTGGGGCTTTTTGGAATGGAGGGGGCTTCTGATTCTGGGGTGCAGGACTGGGGAGCATGGGAGGAAAGGGGACAGTCTCTTGAAGAGGCACCGTGGACCCGATTTTAGAAATTTCTAAATTAAAATTTCTGTTTTAGAAATTTTGCCTGTAGGTAGAGTGTCTCTGGTCCGTGGGCTTCCGAAGCATCTTGTCCAGATTTCTACCACTGCAGTTGCCATAGTCTGCGCAGGGTAAGCGTGGCATGGCTGCCCCAGCAGGAGCTGCCCTCCTGGGGGAGAGAGCAACTCTCACTTCTCTTTCTGTGGTTGCACTGGTCATGGGTTAGGTACTCACACCAGGTTTATGGAGTGAAGGCAACATGCGCCCCGTCCTCCCAGGGCCTTGAGTCTGATGGGCACCCATGACAAGCAGCCAGGAGGTGGCTCTCCAGGTGGTCACTCTCCAAGACAATGAGAGGAGGAGCTGGAGGCTTCATGGAGGAGATGATGTTCCAAGGATGAGCAGGGCTTGCCTCGGAGGAAAGCGGGAGGGGCAGGAGACATACTGGTATGCCAGTAGTAGATTCGGAATGTCTCTTCTGATCAAGTACTGTATTGGTGACATAGGTGGTGCATACTAATTCCCAATTGACCAAGGGACAGAAGCCACCAGAGCAGTGAGCTCAGAGCCCTGCTCTCTTTGATGCCATTTCTTTCAGGCTGGCTGGGTTCTGACTGGTCAGGATAAGTTGGTCTATCTGGTATCTCAGCAACTAGTCACCTCTAGTATTTAACCTTGTCATTTGATGCACTTTCTTGGTCATCGTGCTTATCCCAATTAGGATTTAATTAGAGCCCCATAATAGGGTTTTAAAAGTGTATTGGAAACCAAAGGGGTCATGCGATATGATTTTACACAAAACAAAAGCATTTCCGTCATTCAGGAGCCTCATTCAGTCCCCATGTCTCTGTCGGCTTTTCCCTTAAAATGTCCCCTTCCCTCAGCCCGGGTTGCACCTGCTTCTGGCCTGCATAGCTTTCTCAGATGCTCCCCCTCCGTGAAGAATGCCTCCCTCCATTCTCCTGTCTGCCGGCCTCATGGACATCTCTTATGTCCAGGGACATAGAGCCTTCTCTGCGAGGCCTTCTCTAGCTCAGCATCTAGCATTGTACAGAGGCCTCTCGAGTTGTCCCTGGGCCCACTCCTTGTGTTTATTCACTCAGGTAGCTGTTTGCCTCCTAGGGGTTCAGCACAGCACATCGCCTAGTGGAGCATTTGTCCAGCACCTTTCCTGACATTCCTGATGCCTCCACGTGCATATTCCTTCCTATTTGTAACCAGAAGCTGCCTGAAATTACACATACACACACCCCAACTTTCAAATAGAAGAAGAAGTTAAAGCTAGAGAAGTTATTTTGAAAAACTCTGTTATGTTAATGATAGCAATTAAGGGTCACGAAGCCTAGACTCCCATAACTCGAGAAAAGCTGCCAGGCAACAAGCATCTGTGGCTCTCTCATGGTCCTGTAGTGGAAGCAGAGACAGAGCAGCCACTATCCCTTGCTGCGGTTTGGGCTCCAGGGTCCTGCAGAAAGAACACCTTCCAAAAGGCTCATTTAACTCTATCACATGATCAGGGAAACCAGTTTCCCTCCTGGCTGTCTGTGGAAGTGAAACCTTGTTGAAATCTGCCAAAGGCTGGAGAGGAAAAGAACAAACTTATTTCTCAGGCCTCCTGTACTTTGCCCTCTGACATTCCGCTTTCCACAAACAGATTGGTGAGGAGCACACAATTCAGTAGATAAACGATAACAATCATCTTTTGGATTGGTGGTTTTCTCTTGCCCCCTATTTTCACCTGAGAAGAAACACAGCCTTTTTCAGAAAGTTAATTATTCCATTTTGAAAGCCTGAGGGTGATGGGGGTGTAGTATGTTTCTAGGTGTACCTGCACTATTTTGGGGACCTTATGGAGTGCCAGTGGTGTTCCCGAGGGAGTACCGTGGGCAGCTCCTGGCTGGATTGATTCCCACCTCTGTTGCAGGACAGTGCCCGGCCCATACCAAGTTCATCCTGTGTGTTGAGTGCAGTGGCGTGATCGACCGAGTGAGTGAGGAACTCAGGCCTAGGGATTTGCTGGCTCCCATTTGGGCTCTGCCATTTCTGGTTGCTATGAGCCTCCCATCACTGTGCTTGACTTTCATCTCCCAAGTCACCCAGCAATACCTGTGGCATCTGTCCAAATACTGGTGGTGGTCTCACCGAACCCACACCAGGTCATACCTCTGAAATCTTTGCCTAACATCCATCTCCCAACCTCCATTGGCTCCTCAGCACCTGTGTGTATAAATCCAGGTGGTTGGCACCTGTTCCTGGCATCTCTGCAGGATCCAGGCCCTGCCTTCCTCTCCAGTCTTATTTCTTGCAGGCACCACCCCCCGCTGCATCTCCACCCTCTGGATGGGTGCACCATACTAAGCTCTTGCAGTGACGGGCAGATGTTTTATTGTTTTACACTCTGTGCTTCTGTTTGTGCTGCTTCCTCTCTAGCTGCAGTGTCCTTGACATATACCTTACTTGGTTAGTTTTAGGTCAGATATTTATTTTACAAAGTCATCTATGTCCCTGGTTTTAAAAATGGAGTAGCGTAGGTTGAGCATCCATAATCCAAAAATCTAAAATCTGAAATGCTCCAAAGTCTGAAACTTTTTGAGCAGTGATTTGACACCACAGGTAGAAAATTCTACACCTGATCTTATGTGAAATCACATGTGAACTCCTAGGTGCACAACACACAGTTTATCAGTATCCCCAAGGGAAATGAGACCCTTCCAGCCCCTTCAGCTGTGATTTGTCTTGTCTGCGCACATCCAGATTCCCCTGCACAGGCATGTCCACAGGGGGTAATAAGACCACACGTGTGCGTTGGACACACCAAGGGCCGGTTCCCCCAATGCCCCCCCATGGGGGAGGCCTGTGTGCATTACTTGCTGTGGCTTTTTGCTTACTCTTTGTTCTGGGGCGTAAAGATACTATTGAAAATGCCAAAAAAGACCTGTAGATACCCCTCTGAGTAACAATGATAAGAACAAGGAGGATTTATGTTTATCTGTAGCACAGAAAAGTCAGGCTGTTGGAGAAACTGGACTGTGGTGTAAGTGAAACATCTTACAGCAGAGTGTGGTGTTGGAATGACCACCATATGGGACCTGAAGAAACAGAAGGAGAAACCGTTGAAGTTCTGTGCCGAAATTGATGAATAGAAGTTAATGAAAAATTAAAAACCAGTGCATAAAGCCAAAAAATAAAGATCTTTTAAAAATTTTTATTTTATCTATTTTTTGAGATGGAGTCTCACTCTGTCACCCAGGCTGCAGTGCCGTGGCGTAATCTTGCCTCACCGCAACCTCCTCCTCCTGGGTTCAAGCGATTCTCCTGCTTCAGCCTCCCAAGTAGCTGGGACTACAGGCGTGTGCCACCATGCTCAGCTAATTTTTGTATTTTAGTAGAGATGGAGTTTCACCATGTTGGGTCAGGCTGGTCTCAAACTCCTGACCTCAAGTGATCGGCCCACCGCAGCCTCCCAAAGTGCTGGGATTACAGGTGTGAGCCACCACTCCCGACCCCAAAAATGAAGATCTTGATTGGGTATTGAGAGAGTGAATCCATCAGCATCACACTGAACATCCACTTAATGATACACCTGTCAAGCGGCAAGCAAAGCTGTCTCTCCATGAACTAAAAGTTGAAAAGAACTGTTACTCTTCAACAGGCTGGTTGCAGAAATTTAAGAATAGATATGGCATTACATTTTTAAAGGTTTGTGCTGATCATGAAGCGGTGGAGAAATTCCTTAGTTTGCCAAGATCATCTCTAATGAGAAGCTGATGCCTGAACAAGTCTATAGTGCTGATGAACCATCATTGTTTTGGTGTTCTTGCCCCAGAAAGACACTGACGACAGCTGATGAGACAGCCCTTCAGGAATTCAGGATCCTAGGACAGAATCACTGTGCTGGGCTGTGCTAGTGCAGCAGGCATGCGGAAGCGTTAACTTGCTGTGATCCGCAAGAGCTTGTATCCTTACTGTTTTCAAGGAGTGGATTTCTTACCAGTCCTTTATTATGCTAACAGAACGGCATGGATCACCAAGGACATCTTTTCTGATTCCCTTCACAAACGTTTTGTATCCGTGGCTTGGGCTCATTGCAGGGAGGCTGGACTGGATGATGACTACAGGATTTGTCATTTCATGACAGCTGTTCTGCTTATTCTCCAGCTGAAATTCTCAACAATAATAATGTTTATGCCATGCATTTCCCCCCAGATGTGACTTTATTAATTCAGCTACGTGACCAAGTATCTGTAGATCAATGAAGAATAGATATCAAAACACTTTCTTGGGCAGCACGTTAGCAGCAGTGAACAGAGGTGGCATGGGTTTGGAAGGTTGCAAAAGATGTTTAGCACGAAGGATGCTGTATATGCTGCTGCCAGTGCTTGGAACACAGTGACAAAACAAACAGCTGTGCATGCCTGGCACAACCTCTGGCACAACCTCTGGGCTGTGACTCTGTGTTCAGTGATGATGATGAACCAAGTGGTGACTTTGAAGGATTCTGTGTGTCAAATGAGACAAAAACGATGTCTGACCTCCTTACATATGTAAAAAATATACCTTCAAGGTCCATCAGAAAACTGGGAGAAGTGGATATCAAAGAAGCCCTCCACATCGATAAATGAGGTACCAGTTGTTAACCATTGGAAGAAGTGGATATCAAAGAAGTCTTCCACATCGATAAATGCATTACCAGTTGTTAACCATCAGTAGATGTGGAAATAGCCAAAATGGTTTTGAGTCCAGGTAACTGTGATGATAGTGATGATGAAGATGATGACGTTAACACTGTAGAAAAAGCATCTATAGATGACATGGCGAAAATGTGCGACAGGCTTACTGAAGGACTAGGGCAGCATGCGATCACAGCAGGGCAAGAAATCACGTCAATTGACAAAATCAAAGAGACACTTAAAAGACAGAAACTGTTGCTAATAAGCAGATGACTCCAGAGGAAACATTTAAAAAAGCCACCCGGCAGAATGCCTTCTCATCCCTAGAGCACCCGCTTCCTGGTCCCTCAGCTGCTTCTGATGTTTCTTCTCACTGAGAAAACAAAAACCAAAAAGCAAAAAACCCACAGTGTCCAGGAACCTTTTAATGGAAACCCAGCACTGTAGATGGAGACTGGAAGCCGCCATTGTTTGTTGCTGCCGTTGCTTTACAGCGGGTGCGGGTGTTCTGGGGAGGCTGCGGTGCCGCTTAGCTACTCTGAACGCAGTTTTTTCACTGTATTAATGGTAGGTCATATTTTTTACTGTTAAGTACGTATGTGGGAATAAGTGTAAGAAAATGATTGCTTATTGGTAGCATGTAAATTTAGAGTCAGGAATGATGATGATGCCAGACAACCACAGATTGTCCTCACGAGTGGCTGAGATAGTGACACCTTGGCTTTTGGGTGGTTCAGTATACACACATTTTGTTTCACGGGCAAAATTATTTTAAAAAGGTATGAAATCACCTTGAGGCTATATGTGTAAGGTATATATGAACCATAAATGAATTTTGTGTTTAGATTTAGGTCTCATCCCCAAGATATCTCATTATATATATGCAAATATTCTAAAATCTGGAAAAAAACCCAGAATTCGAACACTTGGGATCCCAAGCTTTTTGGATAAGGGAGACTCAACCGGCAGTATAAGATTTGTACTGGAAAGAGTAGTCCTCCGTCCCCACCCTTCCTCATCCCTGCCTTCCGTCTCTGAGGTGAGGCTGTCATTGTACCTCTTGGCTATTGTTGCTGGTACTTGTCTTGATATTTCTAAATACTATGCTAATTTTGCAGATTTTTACAGTTTAGCCGTATTTATTAACTTTCTACTCTGAAGCAGAGGGTTTAACTCTCTTACCATGCTTCTTCCTCTTCTCCTTCCCCATCCTCTCAGTTTAATTTTTGGTGACATTGGGATTCATTGTTTGTGATGTTGTAACTCTAACTCTGGTTCATGACTGAGTACCTGTCACGTATAACTTGTTTTATCCTAGAGTTGTTCATTTGCGGGGTGAGGTGGGGGAGCTCACTGTGTGGGTAGGAGTAGGTGGGGGGTGCCCCTGTGTTCTGCTCCAACACAGCCCTTTCTGGGGGTTCTTTGCCCTCAGTTGGCCGCTCCGTGTTGGCGTCCCCTTGTCAGGCTGTTATCTGCGCCGCTCCGCTGCCTCCCACTGCTGTGTCTGCTGTCCATCCTTCACATTTCTGCTGACATTTCTTGTCTGCCTCCTTTACACCCTTGTCCTTGTTTATGACATTATTCCTTTACTGCCCTGTTGGTGAGAGTTAGGGAGTAGTAGAGATAAATCTGTGCTTTGCTTAGTTTCAAGATGGCTCTCCAGCAGCAGCTCACGGAGAATCTTTCCTGATGTCCCCTTCTTCAGAGAAGAGACCACCCCTCCTCTGGTGACTCACTGTACCTTGCATTCCTTTCTCCCATAGTCCTGGTGAACAGTGATTTCACTGGCTAGATTTCTTCTTGTTATTTGACAGTGAGCCCCTTGAGGGAAGGAACTGGGTTTAATCACTCCCTTGGAGGCTAGTTCTGGGCCTGGTCCGTGGTGAGTGTTGATTGGCACCCGCCAATGGGATGGATTAATGTGTGGGTGGACTCGGTCTGGGGAGTGTCTCAGTGGCTTTGCCCAGAGGCAGCTTACACAGGGGGCATGCTCAGCAAGTGCTGGCCACATGGAGTTGATCTGTGAGGCTCCCCTGTGTGTGGCTTTAGGAACAGGACATATGCGTATTTTTGTAGAACCTCTTTATGCTGGTGACACTCAGCGTTTAGCCTAGAACCACATGTAAGCCTAAGTGATTGCAGTGCACATGCATTTCTTACTATTGTTCAGTGTTTCTTCCAGATTTTATTATTACAAAAGGTTTTAAAAATCATAATTAAAGGCAGTTAATAAGAAATGAATCTTAAGAAAAAAAGACGCTTAAATGATGGGTTGATTTTTCTGTTATTCTTGGCTTTTCAGAAAAAAGGTTCTTATAATTAGGAGTTCTTTGCATACACCACTTTGTGACAGATTTCTGGTTCAGTCTCAAATGTGATATTTTACATCCAATTAGAATGAATGAGTCCCAGTTGCTTTATGGTTTGGGTTCACAGAGTGTGCTGAATAACTGCATCTGTCAGCATAACAGAAGCGTGCTCTTGGATTTGTACATTATGTCACAGTTCACCAATGTTTCCCCATGTATTGTCTCTTTGTTCCTTGTAAAAATTATGTGACTTAAGCAAGGCAAGTATTTTTATTTGTCCTGTGTTTTAGGGGAGGAAACTGAAGAGGGAGAGCCTCCAGATAGTCTTTGGCCAAGCTGGTCCTTGAACCCAGGTGCACTGAACCCACAACCAGTGTTTGTTCCTCTACCCTCTGCTCTCTGTCTGCTCTCTTTAGAGTTAGTGCTTGGTAATTTCCTATTGAGAAGTAAAGCTTTCACAGTGCAGATGAGCATGAAATTGTGATTTTGGTGGTGTTTTCCTGAAAATATTCCAAAGTTTCAGTTTTCAGAAAGGAAATCCACTGTTGTAGAAGAAATGCTATTTATTTCTCATTCACTTAATCTCATTCATTTTCTACTTATGTAAGTTTTTTGTACATTTTAGTTTTCTCTCTTAGAGCACTTAGGATTTTACTGCCTGACTGTGTGAAAATATAGAGACAGAAAGCTGAAAGGAAAGCTGTCTTAGTCTGTTTCATGTTGTTCTAACAGAATACCACAGAGTGGATAATCTGTAAGCAACAGAAATTCCGTCTCTCCCAGTTTCGGAGGCTTGGAGGTCTCGCATCAAGGTGCCGGCATCTGGTGAAGGCTTGCTTGCTGTGTCATCACATGGTCGAAGGCAAAGGGCAAAACGGGACAAAATCTGTGTGCTCACATGACAGAGGAGCAGAAGAGGGCAAATCTACTTTTGGGAGCCCTTTTATAATGACCTTAATCCAGTCATGAGGGTGGATTACTCATGACCTAAACACCTTCCCACAAGGCCACCTCCCAACACTGTTGCACTGGGGATTAACTTTCCAACACATGAATTTTTGGAGGGGACAAAAACATTCAAACCATAACAAAAGCCAGACACACATGTTTTAAACATAAAGACAGGCAGTTGAAATAAAAGGGTAGAAAAATATATGTCATGCAAGCTCTAATCACAAGAAAACGAATTTGCTTATAGTTACATCAGGAAAAGTAGACCTCAAGACAAAGAGTTGTATTAGAGACAAAGAGGAATATTTCATGATGATGAAAGGATCAATTCCTTAAGTAGAGAGATGAGTCCTAAATGTGTATGTACCAGCTTTACAATGCATGAAGCAAACATTGACAGCAATAAAGAGAGAAATAAACAAGTTTACAATCCTAGGCAGAAAATTTAACAGCCCTCCGTGAGTAATTGATACAACAGGTAAATTAAAATGTTAGTAAAGTGTAGAAGATTAGAATAACATTATCAACCAGTGGGATCTAATTGATTTATAAAATACCGCATCTACTAACTGATAATGCACGTCCTTTTCAAGGACATATGGCACATTCACCAAGTAGACTGTATGTTGGCCCCAAAAAGTTATAGTAAATATCAGAGGGTTGAAATACCACCAAATTCATCTGACCAAATGCTTTAAATTAAAAATCCATAACAACAAGATACACAGAGAATCCTCAGATATTTGGAAATTTACCTGCATACTTCTAAACAACCTATGGATCAAATAAATCACAAGGAAAGTTTGAACTGAATGATAATGACAACAGGTGTCAAAATTTGTGTGATGCAGCTAAAACAGTGCCTGGAGGAAACTTTATACTTTTAAATGCCTGTATGAGAAAAGAATAAAGGTTTCCAATCCATATTCAACGCTCTCATTTTAAGAAACTAGAAGAAGAACAAAAACCGAGTAAAAGAAGAGAAACAATTTAAGGGTGAAAAATCAATAAACTGAAAAATGGGTAAACAAGAAAAGAATCACTAAAATATAAAGTTTTTTTGAAGAGACCCTTGAAAAACCTCTAGTTGGACTAATGAACAGAAAAAGAGAAAAAACAAGTTACCAATATCAGAAATGAAAGAGGAGACATCACTACAGATCCTACAGACATTAAAAAGGTAATAAGGGAATGTTATTTACAATTTTATGCCAATAAATTCATGAAATGGGGATATTTCTAGAAAGACACGACTTAAACTAATACAAGAAGAAATGGAGACCTTTAATATCCTTATATTGATTAAAAAAATTAAATTTGTTATACAAGAGCCTTCACTCAAGGAAAACATCAGGACCAGATGGCTTTGTCGGTGAACTGTATCAAACATTTAAAGTCTATCAAACATTTAAAGAAGAAATAATAGCAATCTTCCAGGATCACTTTCAGAAAAGAGAGGAGTAGTAAACACTTCTCATTTTTTTTAAGGTAACATAATCCCGATACCAAAATCTTACAAAGACATTATAAGAAAAGAGAACCTGAGACCAATATTTATGATGAATATAGACAAAAAATTCTTTAAAAATATATTAGCAAATTGACTTTTGCCTTAACCTATGAAGGAGTAACTGCCAAAGGAATTGCTGTCCTGTTATCAACAGCTAGAAAACTGGACCAGATATGTGAAACAACTGTTTTCAGATGTTGGACAACAGGCAGTGCAGGGCTGTGACCCTGTGAGATAGGAGATAAGTAAGGTGAACTTTATAAGGACTCAATTTGCAATTGAATGCAGTTGCCAAGCAGCAGCATAAGTGGGGGAACCCTAATGAAACAGGCAGCTTTGCTGAGTGTAGGAATTAGGAAAGAGTTTTGAGGAGGCCAAAACAGAATCATATATGGAGCAGAGTGTTGGAGAGGAGGGAATTGTATAGGGAGAGAACCCCAGATGTCTGCAAAGTCCCATCAAGTCCTTAGCTGAGTATTGATCTGCTCAGGAGTAGGGTGGGATTCTATGAGCTGGGGAAAGTCACCAAAAAGCAGTGAGTTGAATAATCCCAAATGCAGTGGGAATCGAGTGTTGGAGAGACAGCACCTGCAGGAACCTGGCGAATGAGCCATATGAACCTGGAAGAAACCATTCGTGTCCCTCCAGCCCTCTCTATTGAATAGGATGAGATCATGCCAGCTGACAAAGGAGAAGTTTTTACAAGATCCAGTTCCAGTATCACAGTGGCAATAAATTGATACTTGGGATATCTGGCATTCAATAAAAAAGTAACCGGTATGCAATGGAACAGAAAAATATGACCCATAATCAGAAGAAAAATTAGCAATTAGAAACAGACTCATGAATGAATAATAAAATTTTGAACAACCCAATAAAATATGGGTAAAGGATTTCAACATACACCTCACAAAAAGTAGAGAGATGGCCAGTAAACACATGAAAATCTCTTCAATGCTCAACATCATTAATCATCATAAAATTGCTATGTAAAATCACAATCAGATACCCTTTAACACGTACTAGAATGGCTAAAATAAAAAGACTGACAACGCTAAATTTTGGCCAAGATGTGGAACAATTCAAATGTTCATACATTGCTGGTGGGAAGTGTAAAATGGTGCAATCACTTTAAAGACCCTTATGGCAGATTTATTTTAATTAATTAATTTACTTATTTATTTTTAAATTCAGGGATACATGTGCAGGATGTGCAGGTTTGTTACCTAGGTAAAATGTGTCATGGGGGTTTGTTGTACAGATTCTTTCATCATCCAGGTATTAGGCCCAGGATCCATTAGTTACTTTTCCTGATCCTCTCCCTCATCCCATCCTCTGCCCTCCAGTAGGCCTCACAACATGTGGTATTTGGTTTCCTGTTCCCGCGTTAGTTTGGTAAGGATAATGACCTCCAGCTCCATCCATGTCACTGCAAAGGACATAATCTTGTTCCTTTTTTTTTTTTTTCTTTTGAGACAGAGTCTCGCTCTGTCACCAAGGCTGGAGAGGTGCAGTGGCACGATCTCAGCTCACTACAAGCTCCACCTCCCGGGTTCACACCATTCTTCTGCCTCAGCCTCCTGAGTAGCTGGGATTACAGGTGCCCACCACCATGTGCAGCTAATTTTGTTTTGTTTTGTTTTTGTATTTTTAGTAGAGACGGGGTTTCACTGTGTTAGCCAGGTTGGTCTCAATCTCCTGACCTCGTGATCGGCCTGCCTCGGCCTCCCAAAGTGCTGGGATTACAGGCGTGAGCCACCGCGCCTGGCCAATCTTGTTTCTTTTTATGGCTGCATAGTATTCCATGGTGTATATGTATCACATTTTCTTTATGGAGTCTCTCATTGATGGGCATTTAGGTTGATTCCATGTCTTTGCTATAGTGAATAGTGCTGCAGTGAACATAGGTGCGCATGTGTCTTTGTAATAGAACGATTTATATTATTTTGGGTATATACCCAGTAATGAGATTGCTGGGTCAAATGGTATTTCTGTCTCTAGGTCTTTGAGGAATTGCTACACTGTCTTCCATGATGTTTGATCTAATTTACACTCCCACAGACAGTGTAAAGGTGTTCCTTTTTCTCCATAACCTCACCACCATTAATAATCACAATTCTGACTGATATGAGATGGTATCTCATTGTGGTTTTGATTTGCATTTCCCTAACGATCAGTGATGTTGAGCTTTTTTTCATATGTTTGTTTGGCTACAGGTATGTCTTTTTTTTTTTTTTTTTTTTTTTTTTTTTTGAGACAAAGTCTTACTCTGCACCCAGGCTGGAATGCAGTGGTGCAGTCTTGGCTCACTGCAGCCTCCACCTCTTGGGTTCAAGTGATTCTCCTGCCTTAGCCTCCCAAGTAGCTGGGATTACAGGTGCATGCCACCACGCCTGGCTAATTTTTCTATTTTTAGTAGAGATGGGATTTCACCATGTTGCCCAGGCTGGTCTCGAATTCCTCACCTCAAATGATCTGCCCGCCTTGGCCTCCCAAAGTGCTAGGATTACAGGCGTGAGCCACTGCACCTGGCCTTTTGAAAAGTGTCTGTTCATGTCCTTTGCCCCCTGTTTAATGGGGTTGTTTTTTTCTTGTAAATTTAAGTTGCTTATAGATGCTGGATGTCAGACCTTTGTCAGGTGCATAGATTGCAAAGGCAGTTTTTAAATAAAGGGAGATGTACATCTGCCCTATGACCCAGCAGTTCCACTCCTTCACACCTGCCTAGGAGAAATGGAGACATACACCCACAAAATGTATATCCACAAGAGCGTTCATCGCAGCCTATTTATGGTAAAAATCAGTGACACAGAAGTCTAAGAATGGGTGAATGTGTAAACAAGTTGTGGTATATTCTTAGAATACTTTTACTGCTTGTAAAGAATGAACTACTGGTACTGGCAACATGTGTGACTCTTACAAACACATTCTGAGCAAAATAAATAGGACACAAAGGATATATACTGTCTGTACTGTTTATATGAATTGCAAGAACAGGCAAGTCCCGTCTATGGTGATAGATACCAGAAGGCAGTTAACTGGGAGTGGGGGCCAAGAACGACTAGAAAAGGGCAATAGACATGTTCTGTGTCTTGTCTGAGGGCAGCAATACTTTTTTTTTTTCTTTTTTTTGAGACAGAGTCTCACTCCCACCCAGACTGCGGTGCAGTAGCGTGATCTCGGCTCACTGCAGCCTCCGCCTCCCAGGTTCAAGTGATTCTCCTGTCTTAGCCTCCCCAGTAGCTGGGACTACAGGCGCCAGCCATGATGCTTGGCTAATTTTTGTATTTTTAGTAGAGATGGGGTTTCACCATGTTGGCCAGGCTAGTCTTGAGCTCCTGACCTCAGTGATCTACCCACCTTGGCCTCCCAAAGTGCTGGGATTACAGGTGTGAGCCACTGCACCTGGCCTAGCAATATGCTTATTATATGTAAATTATACTTTGATTTCAAAATATCACGCCCCCCAACAAACAAACAAATCTCTAAAGGGGAGGAGGAAAGGATGGAGTATTGTGTCCAGCACTTAACTGGAGACAGACAAAAAGCCAAGTGGTGGAGTCTGACCTTCAGGAGCACATACATTACTTCTAGGAGACAAGGCTGGTGCTCATGACCCCCCCTGTCATTGGCGCTCACAGAAGAGATAAGTGAGTGAGGACTGTAGTTGTCAGGAAGGCATCTTAGATGTGGCAGGTCTTGCGATGGGCCCTGAGAGCTGCATGGAATTTGACAAATCGGAGATTAAAGTGGCGACGTCACAGAAACTTTGTAGTTTTGTGGGAACACCATAGGGCGTACAGTGGAACGTAAGTCTTCTACCATCCTTGACTCCATCCTGGGATCCCCTCCCCAGATTCTGCCTGTGCTTTCAGATTCTCGTATGTGCCTACAGAAATAATCATTGTATCTACAGATTGTTCCCTTTTCACTTCATAATTTAGATAAACTTACTTCATATCCGCACAAAAAGACAGACATTCTTTTCTATGGCAACAGTGTATTCTATTACAAAGACACATGTGCATACAAAGACCTAGCAATGTCATTACTGGGTATATACCCAAAATAATATAAATCGTTCTATTACAGAGAACATTTTTGAATGTTCCTGTATTTGGCCATCTTGCTTATCTCAGAACTCTGTTTCCTGCCATTCTCTCGGGTCTGCCTCTGTCTCTGTTGGCGTCATTCCTCAGGCTGGTTGGGTGCAGATGGTTGCAGCAGTTCTGACCCCCACATCTGACCCTGGTAGCTTTCAGGGGAAGAGGAGTGGGTTGCCTCCAGGAACTTCCCAAGAGCCGGGTGGAGTGTTCTCAGAAGCCCTCAGCTGTCTGTGCTCAGTGGCTTAAGTAGGCGCCTAGGCCCATTGCTGACTCAGCCTTTGGTGAGGTGTGGGCTAGCTCTGCGGGGCTCCAACTAGGCCCACCTGTGGGTTCAGCTGCCTCTGGGCTGACTCCCCACCCCCAGGGCTGCTGCAGGGAAGCATGGTTACTTTGCACAGCTGGGATTCTGCTAGAAAGATGTACCAAACACCTATGAGGATGGTCATGTGGCTTCCCTGTCGACCCCATTCAGCATGTGGGTAAAGCTACAAGATTTCCCGACGTTGAACCATCCCTCCTTCATTCTTTACCTGTATTATTCTTTGAATATCCTGCTGCTGTGCTTTGATCTACTAAGATTTTATTTTGGATCTTTTTGTCTGTATTCAGAAGTGAGATTTGTCTGTGCTACAAAAGTCTTTTTAAGAATGGAAGGGACGTAGTGGACAGACCCTGGTATTGAAGGTTGCTTAGTTCCTGTGTGACCTTGGTCAAGTCACTTAACCTCTCTGAGGCTCTTTCATATACAATAGTGATCACAGCCCTAAGTAACACAAGCTTGTTTTGAGGATCAAATAAGATAATATGTATGAAAGCTCTCTTTTAACACCAAAGCTTGAGCAGAGTTTGAGGCTTGTCTCATTATGTATATTCAGGATTTTTGAATTTTTGTGAATTTCTTCCAGTGAGGAGAGAGGTTCAGAGAACATTAACGAATGAGTTTCCTCTCAGCTTTTTCTCGTAAACCATAATCAGAAAACCAGAGTTATGCCGAGGGAGAGACACTGGGAACATGGTCGGTAAACATTACATTATTGGTGTTCAGATATGAGGTTCCTGCTTTTCATAATATCCTTAGGGTACTGGGGAAGATTTGATATTTTCTGAGATTGCTGTAAAATGCAAGTTATTGCTGCGACTATCGCCCAATTATTCTGTACTTATTTTACTTAGACTTTAGTAATTGGAAAAAGATTAGATGTCAGGACTTTGTATTTTGTTGATTATATTAGCAAAGTCTTCTCTTTAATCATTTCTTTTATTCCCGTTATTAATCATTAGCTCCAAGCTGTTAGGAAAACAACCTAATGGTAGATTCCTAACTTAAAGGAAAGAAATAATTACTTGAGTTTCCATGGGATTGGACAAGTGTTGCTATACCTAGACATTGAAATGGATTCTCTTGCCATTTGGGGCATGGGAGTGAGACACTCAAGGAGACTCGGAAGGTCGATGGAATGCAGGGCCCACAGCCTTACCCCTCTGCCTGATGCTTGTCCTTCCCTGCCCTTGGAGGTGCTGGACCTTGCTCCAGGACCCCTCTGCCTCTGGCCAGCGCCTCCCTACTCGTGATTTTTTTCTACTTGTAGGTATTTATAAAGCCTCATTGACTTGTATTAGACTACCTTGAAGACTTTGTTGTCTGTGTAGAATATGGCCACATCCTTAATTAATGGTGTATAAAGACAAGCTTATCTCCGTGAAACAATTTCTTTCAAAACCAGTAGTGAGAAAAACCACATCATATATGTATGCTTAAATAGCATATAGAAAGTTGAGATGGAAGAAAGAAAGGAAAACCAATTAACATGATCAGGTTGGGGAAAAAGCCTTCAGGAGAGAGTGGGGGGAAGGAAGAGAGAGAAGGAGGTGGGAGGGAGAGAGAGAAGGAGGTGGGAGGGAAGGAGGCCAGTGTACTCTGGACTTCTCTGGTTGAAGGAGGAAGGGATCATGGGGCCTCACGTGTTCCAGGGTAGCTCCAGGATTCTGTTGTAAACAGGTAACCTGTAGCTTGGTTTGAATAGAATGGTCACTTACCTTCTCTCAGATATTGAAATCAATCGTATCTGAAATGTTGATGATTTAGTTTAATTTGTTTATGGGGCTCCTTGCCTCCTAATTAAACAGGTGGAATGTGTTAAAGCACTGGGGAGGTTTGCTAACCTTTTGCAAATCTTGTTTTTCCTTGTCTCTTTTTTCATCAACAGAGGAATTACGGAGGTTGAGCTGGTCCGGAATCCCTAAGCCAGTGCGTCCAATGACGTGGAAGCTCCTCTCAGTAAGTCCCACCGCACCGCCCATCAGCGCCTCCTTCCTGTGCACAGGGACTGCAGGCGTCTGGCCTGAGTAGGGCCTGACAGCCACAGCCCACGGGTTTGCCTTGGCTTTGTTGCAGTGATAAAGGCCTTTGCTATGGCTAAGCTGACATTTTCCATTCTTTGCTTAATTTTAAGCTTGGTTTGACAGGACTGGCAGAAAACAAGAATAGGTAATAATTATGACAACTATATTTTTTCCTCAGATTTTATTAGAAAATCTTTCTATGTTCCAGCCTGTGATATAGAAAGGTTTCAGCATAGATGGTTGTTTCAACTCCGAGGAGTTGAAACAGGGAAATATGTTTTAAATTTGTTTCAAATATGCTGAAAACAAGGACATATGTTTGACCAAGTTTTTTTTTTTTTTTTTGTAAGTATTAGTAGCGCTGTTAGGAAAAGAGAAGAAATGGATGAGACAAGTGGTTTGTGTTTCTGTGGGTGAGAGAAGTGGTTTGTGTTTCTGTGGTGGAGTGTGGAGTTCTGGCTGCCGCAGCTCTGGCGCTCAGCTGCCGGTCTGGAAGTCCTTGGGGAAAGGTTGGGGTAGGCGGTGGTGACATCAGCAATGCCCTCGTACACTTAGCTCAGGCTTGCCGTTGGAAGTGAGTTTGGCCCTGCCCACCATTTCAGAATTGTTTATAGACAGTTTTCTTCTCTTTTCCTTTTTCATTATTTTTGGAGCTAAGTCAATAGGGAGCTCTAAGTGTTTACTCTAAACTGGGTCTGACTTTTAGTATTTAAGACTCTTTCTGGCTAATGAGCCTTAATAAGTTTGCAGCTTAGTACCTCGTAATCCTAAATGCAGACGCAGCTCTGAACAGCGAATATTTATTGATTAAATATTCTTTTGCAATTAAAATTAGACTTGCTGCCATTGCTTATGTTTTTGTTTTGTGCTTTTTTATTTTAACCTAGTTTTCCAGTTTATATCCAGTTTTCTAAATGTCCCCTAAGATAGGTTGCAGACTTCTCAGGTTGGTTTGTAGGAAGTTATGATGAAAACACCGAATTGCCGTTTTCTATTTATTAAGGATGTGCCGTGTCTAGGGGGAAAGTCTCATGTGAGTTATTTTATACTGTGCTTTCTCCTCTAATTCTCAGCCTCTGCGGGTTGTGGTTCCGCTTCCCTAATGTGTGTAGCACAGGGGTTGATGTGGACATGGACACTCTGATTTCAGTAGACAGAGGAGCACAAGGGGAGGTGACAGCCCCACTCTGCTGGTTGTGGACAGGAGGGCAGGTGGGTGTAGGTGGAGTCTGACCCAGGAACCCCGGCGAGGCAAGTGAGAGTGTGAACCCAGGAGATCTGAGACTGGTCTCAGTTGATTTAGAAAGTTTATTTTGCCAAGGTTGAGGGCGCACTGGCGACGCAGCCTTAGGAGATCCTGACGACATGTGCCCAAGGTGGTCGGGGCACAGCTTGGTTTTATACACTTAGGGAGACATGAGACATCCATCAGTACATGTAAGAAGTGGCGAGGGAGCTTCCAGGTCACAGATAGGTGATACACGAATGGTTACATTCTTTTGAGTTTCTGATTAGCCTTTCCAAAGGAGGCAAATCAGGTGTGCATCTGTCTCAGTGAGCAGAGGAGTGACTTTGAATAAAATGGGAGGCAGGTTTGCCCTAAGCAGTTTCTAGCTTGAGTTTTTTATAGTGATCTTGGGGGCCCAAGCATTTTCCTTCACAAGAGAAAGCCTGAGCATTCTCAGAGCGTTGACTTATGAAGGGACAGGCACATGTAGTCCTTTAACCATCATAGCTTGCAGGGGCCTTTGCTTGGGAGACGGAGATGAATTAGACACTAGCCTGCCATTAGGAGGAGGTCGGGTGCTGCAGACTTGTGGTGGGACAGTGGTGGTGGAGGCCAGACTGCATGCTATAGGATGGACAGGACACGAGTATGAACCAGGGGGTGGAGGAGTACCACAGCGTGGGGGCAGTTTAGTACAGAGGGTCAGCTTCTGCTAAGAGGGGACTTCACACCTGGGATCTGCATGGCCATGGCAGGTGGGGAAGGAGGGGAGGGTGTGGAGACTTGCAGTCACAAGGGATACGGATGAACGTGGTGGTTCTTGGCCCTCTCAGGGCTTGGATTGACAGATGAGTAGGAAATAAATGTTAGATCAGGGAGCAAAGCTTGTCGTTGCAAATGTTGGGTGCTAAGAAAGGGTTCATGAGGATGCCAAGTAAGGCTTCTTGGGGAAGGTGGCATCTTACGTGGCATCTCAAAAGTGTTGTTAGTGTTCTCTCTGCTAGTGGGAAGTGGGGAGGCCATGAGAGCTGGGGCACACAGTAGGGGTGGGACAAGCAGGAACACAGGCTGGGGTAGAGGGGCCCAAGAGGAGACCAGGTGACAGCCGCCCTACTGCCATCCCTACCCACCCCATTGCTTGGGTTTTATTCTGAAGGAGAAACTGGGAGTGGTGAGCCTGTGTTTCTGGAAGAGTAAAGCCTTGAAAGAGCCGTTGGTTGGTTCATTCATTCATCCATTCATTCATCCATTGGCATTTATTGAGCACTTTGTGTTTTAGGCACTGTGTCGGGTGCTGGGAAATAGCAGGCAGGGAAGAAGACCAAGTCGTCCCCCTGGGGCCTGCAGAACAGATAGTAGAAGGCCTGCCTTTTTCTCTTGCCCCCTCCAACCCCGACAGACCTAGGCTACGTGGAGACGGATCCCATTCTCTCAGGATCTTATTCCTGTGCTCCCAGTGCACTGCTGCCCTGTGTCTGTCCCTTACTGAGTGCTTGCCGTGCGTCAGACCACGCATTCAGAGATTCTTGTGGACAGGCGTGTGGCAGGCAACTCAGGGAACAGGCTGTTCTTGCCCAGTGTCTGGCTCGTAGGAGCAGTGCTGGTTGTAAGGGGAGGCTGCTCTTGGCAGGCTCTTGGGAGGGGACTAGAGCTGGGACAGGAAGAACTGGGAAGGGACAGGTAAGGGAGTTGAGGGGCCAAAGGCTACAGGGGTGGAGTAAGAGGACTCTGGCAGCTAGAGTAGGGGGCAAGCGTTGGTTCTTTTTCCGGGAACAAGTGCTCACTGTGCATTTGCCATGCTCCATGCCCTGTGTTGGTGAGCACTGATGCCATCCAGCTCCCCAGGCAGTCATGCTGCACCATGGCTCTGGGCCTTCTGTAAGAGGAGAGATCTGGGAGCACAGTGCACAATGCGAGTCACCCATCCCTGAGTCAGCATGTGCTGCTCACACATCTGCCCTCAGCCAGGCCCTCTGCAGGTGCTGGGGTTACAAGAACCTCTGGGACAATGGTGGGTACTGGGAACTCAGCAGGGAAGGGGTCTCCCCAATCAAGGATGCCTCTTTATCATTCCCTGAATCCCAAGGTTTAAACCTGGCTTCCCATTCAACTCTCCTGGGAGCTTTTCCCGATCCTGGTGTCCGGGCCCACGAAGCAAATTGGAATCTCTAGGGTGGACTCAGGCATCAGGGTGTTGACTGACTCTAGCATGCTGTGAACCATGCAGTCCACAGAGTGCCTACCCTGCGGCTAGGCAGGGAATGGGAGGCGAGGGTGTGGGAGGTTCAGGCCTGCCTTCTTCACCTGTGGGTTTCCATTCTGGTCACATGTCATTATCACCTTTGGAGCTCAGGAAATACTGTTACGTCGGTTCTTGGGGGTTCTCACGTGTGCCCAGGGCTGAAGACGGCTGCTCTAAGACACTCAGGCTCCAGTGGGGCAAGGTGGGGCATACATGAGCCAACTGGGAAGCAGGTCATTGAAAGTTATGCGCTATGCCCGCCACTGCAGGCAGCACACACCTGGGCTGAGGTACCAGGGCAGGAGAGCTGGCCTGGGGCGTTGGAGGGCCTGCGTTGGAGGAGAGAGGCTGAGTGAGACTCGCTGAGAGCCATGAGCGTGTTGTCTGGGAGGGTTCGGGTGAGCAGGGTAAGATGGGAGGGATTTATCCCAGTCTGTGAGTCCTTCCAGGATCCAGAGGTTAACAGTTACGCCCAGAATTGAGAATTTATCATTTGTCCAGCTTAAAAAGGCAGATAACCAAAGAGGCAGATAACCAAAGCTGTGCTTGAATGGGAACCTATTTCAGGGTCTGGCAAACATCATGACTCTTTTTCATTGTGTTTATGATTTGTCATTAACATGATTCTAGTAGCCTTATTTTTAATTGATGAGTGGGCAGTGCCACTTCAATGAAGAAGGACGAGAAACATGACTTGGCATTTATGAAAAACTAACATCTAGTCTAGAACATACCATTAAGCCACTAGTAATACTACTTAATGTTTACATTTTATGCAAGCAGGGTAGTAACTTTTTAAAAATTACTGCTATACAGAATCATATTTCTGGCTCTTTTTTAAATAAGTATTTCAGAAACGTGGCACAAAAACTACTTAAACATCGAACATTTGCATTAGTGAGTCTAATGGTTAAAAATGATGAGTGAAGCTCCAGTATTATCTTTGTTTTTGCAGTTTATTGAGGTAGGTTTGCATAGGAACACAGTGGGAGGGAACAATTTGATTTTTGTGTCACCGGGACAATTTAGATATAAGTATATGCATGCATTGTTTTACATTTATGATGAGTGTTTTTATAGCATGCTAATACAGCAATTAAGTTTTCTGTAGTTCTGTCATTTAAAATTCATTGCATACTTGAATGTATTTCATTTGCATAATTTCTAGTCTTGCTTAATTATTGAAAGGCCTCAACTTGCATATGTGTGTTTTCCTTTAGGGATGGGAGTGTCAGGAGCACGTGTAGGGTTTTTATTGCCTGCATTCCGATGATGACGTGCTTGCCTTTTAGAATTTGTGTTTCAAGTTAATTTACATTTTGGGGAGTGGGAAGTATTTCTGAGAGCCCTCTTGCAAGTTCACTATGGATTTTTTGTTGCCACTGAACGCAGTTGATGTCAGGCTGCCTACACCACGGCCTAGCTGATCACCCCTGCTGGCCCACGCTGCCCTGTGTTGAAGGCTGGGCCCCTTCACTGGCACACAGGCCTTCTCTCCTGGCTGCTGCACACAGCTTCACACCCATCATTGGCCAGGCTCTGTTTCCGGCCTTGCCCCTAGCCAACCCGGACACATTTCCCTGTGTCCTCTGTGCTCCGTCTCTTTCTCTCCACCTCTGTCTTCTCCACTATCAAAACCAAACCCAGAAGTGTATGCTTGGTCTTACTTGTCCCAAGTGAGCACACGCATCTTTCTCCCTGAGTCTCAGGGCTGTGGCCACCTTTGGGTCTGACAGGATCTCTGCACGTCGTGATCACTCTTGCACTCAGCGAGGAAGGACTGAGGTTCCGTTGTGGGGCAAACAGCGTTCCAAGCCCTTGGACGAACATTCCGCCCTCGTGGACCTCACATTTTGGTGGGAGAAGACAAACAATACACCGAGAAGTAGATTTGATGTGCTGTGGAATGTGAGGAGTGCTGTAGGAAAAGGGCTGGGATCAGCTTGGTGGGATGGTGAGGGCCGAGGAGGGGAAGGGGCTGTTGAAGTAGGTGGGTAGCGGTCAGGGTGGGCCGCACTGAGGAGGTGACTTTGAGCAGGGACTTAGAGGAGCAAGGGAGGCAGCTAAGCAGGTGCCTGGGGGTGCATTCCTGTCTGGTTCATTCTGTGGAGAGGGCTTACCCGTTCCCTCACTGTGTTTCCCATCAGGGAATAGTGCCCACCAGACACAGGTGATGAAGAGGGAGAACAGTAAGTAACAGGAAGCAGTGCCGTGGGCTCCTCCCACAGCCGGGGAGGTGGAGACCGAGAGAGGGTGCTCTTGTGGAAAGGCGGCTGCTGGCCCTGCACAGACTGAGAGCAGCGGCCAGCGGCTGTCCTCGAAAGGGCAGCCAGTCAACACCCTGGGCTTGGTGGCCCCTGTGGTCTGTAGCAGCTAATCTCTGCCATTGTGGCCCAGAGCAGCCACAGGGAATCTGTATAAAGGAAAACACATAGTTGTGTTCCCATAACACTTTATTTACAAAAATGGGTGGGCAGGATTGGCTGATGGTCAGTTTGCTGACCCCTGATCTAGATGAAATGGGTCCTAGCAGAGGAAGAGTAAGTTCAGAGAGGGGCACTGAGGCAGGAGAGGTGTGGCATTTAAGGAACATTTAAGCAGCGAAGTAAAAGTGGGAGGGGCCATGGTGAGTGACGAGTCTCGGCCTCTTGGTCAGAGAGGCAGGAAGGGCCAGGCCCGCAGGAGCCGTCAGCCTAGGCAGGGCCTGGGCTTTTATGCTGGGCATGATTAGAAGCAATTGGAAGTGTTTTCGGGCTGGTGGTGTTAAAATGATGTGATTGTCACAGAGTCTCTAGAGCCAGCGTGTGGAGAAAGGACCGTGGGGTCTTTGTCCACCCACTGATGGACAGTCACCTGTGAGCCCGGCCAGTCTTCAGCGTCTCTGTATCCAGGGCTGAGCAGCGGGTGGGAGAGTGGCTGGGGCTGGGTGAATGAATGTTGTTGTTGTGTGTATCTGTGGGTGGCTCTTAGCATGCGGATTTGTCCCCAGGTCTTCGGTGACTTGGGATCACATGGCTCTCCTGAGCAGTGTGGGACCTCAGGTTAGGAGCTGGGGCTTGGCTTGAGTTTGCCTTCGTGTCCATGTGACTCTGGGCACATTAACCACGTTTCCTGAGCCTGTCTCCTCGTCTGCAGATAGGGACAGTGACGGCCTTCTGTGATTAGTGGGATTAAAGCAGCACTGTGTGAAGCACGGAGCGTGGTGAGGACCCAGCCCTTCCTTAGTTCACCTGCGGGTATGGCAATTCGGGGGCAAAGAAAAAGAAGTAATCTTATGTAATTGTTATTGCCAAGAGACGGACAGGCTTGAAATAACAACAAGGTGCAGACGGGTCTGGATGAAGCCTGTGGCTCTGAGACGGTTATCTGTGAAGCTGGCTTGAACTTGAAGTAGAAGCTTGTTTCACTCAGGTCTGGCTGTCACTGCCCCCCCTTGTAATTTTATGCCTTCCCATCACTGTGGGCAGGGCTAGGTACCCAACAGAAGGAGCTCTGCGCCTGGCAATCCACCAGCACATCCCAGTGAAAGAGGCCTGATTCTGGAGATGCTCAGGTGGGTCATTAAATAATCACCCGGAAGGCACCGCAGAACCACGCCTGGCACTTCTGTGCACACTCGGGGCTGGTTATTCTTTTTGTTACTGTTAGAATTTTTTTTTTTTTTTTTGAGGCGGAGTCTCACTCTGTCGCCCAGGCTGGAGTGCAGTGGTGCGATCTTGGCTCACTGCACGCTCCGCCTCCCAGGTTCACGCCATTCTCCTACCACAGCTTCCCGAGTAGCTGGGACTACAGGCGCCTGCCACCACGCCTGGCTAATTTTTTGTGTTTTTAGTATTTTCACCGTGTTAGCCAGGATGGTCTCAATCTCCTGACCTCGTGATCTGCCCGCCTCTGCCTCCCAAAGTGCTGGGATTACAGGTGTGAGCCGCCGCGCCCGGCCAGTCACTGTTAGAATTATGTGAATCAATACGCTCTTTGGAATACTGCTATTTCCTCATTTTATGGGAAAACAGAGGCCAGGTGGGAATAATGGCCACACCTTTCCTCCATCACGAGGACTCTGAGTGTCCCTCTCGAGTGCATCTTGGCAGCTAGGCTGTTCTGTGCCCCTCTCCAGAATACTGTAATTCACCGAGCGATTGTTTTCTGGAGAGAGTGTTCTCCTCTGGGGCACCTCCTCCCATTGGGTTGGGGATGCGTCTGACACGCGTGTAACCAGGCGGTTGTGACCCGATGCCCTTTCTGCCAGGGCTACTTGGAAATCACGCATCGTGAACCTTGAAGGTATCCGGTATTCCTTTGAGCTAAAAGTTCACTGTAGGAAGTTTACTTCAGGAAGTAATTGACATTGTTAGCTGATGTGTGTTTGAGAATACTGGGCAATTAGAAATAATCAAAATACTCACAAATTGGGGAAAGGTGACATAGAAATGCGTATGATGGAAGCCAGTGTCACCTTCAAAATGGATGTTTTAGAGCACGGTTGGCAAATGTTTTCTGTAAAGGCCTAGATAGTAAATATTTGAGCCTGTAGGCCATGTGGTCTCCTGTAGCCACTCCACTGTGCTGCGATAGGGCAAAAGCAGCCACACACAGTACATAAACAGATGGGCCGTGCCCTGTCCAGCAAAATTTTATTTACACAAATAGGTGGTGGGCCGTAGTTTGCTGATTCCTGTTGTAGAACAGGACTTAACAACAGTGGGAATATGGCCATGATTTTAAAGGGAAAGGACCAATCATAAACTGGGCTACATTAAAGTTAGGAACTTCTCTTCATCAAAGACGTCATTAATAGAGTGAAAAGGCAAGTCACAGAAGGAGGCTGTTGGCAGCAGGGCTCACGTGTGGACTATCTGGATATGAACACCTGTGAATCAGAAAGGAGGAGGCAGATGGCCTCATGGGAAGGGACTCAAACATCTGTACTCATACTTCACAGATGCAGACACGCAATGGCATCCCTTTGTCTCCTGGGAAATTCAGATGAAAATGAAATGTAGCTTAATAGATACCACTGCAAAGCCATCAGAATGGCTAATGTGAAAAGGTTCCACAGTATCAAGTGTTGGCAAGGATGTAGGACATTGGGAATTTGCATACACTTCTGACAGGAGTAGAGTCACTTTGAAAATTCTTTAGCAAAGTCTTTCGGAGGTATGCAAACCTAGCAGGCCCACTCCCAGGTATACACTTAACAGAAATGCATCTCATGTACTGTAAAAGGGAGCTTCAAGAATCTTTAAAGCAAAAACTGGAAACAGCACAAATGTTTGTTAGCAGAATGGATTTCATACACAGCAGTGTTATGCGACAGTGGAGGAAGGAACTACTGTTACGCGTTATAACATGAATTAATTTTCAAGTGTAACACTGAATGAAAGCAGCCAGACAGAAAAAATGCCACTTAGGAGGGGAGGAGGTAAGGGGCGGTGACCGAGAGGCCTGCTAAGACGGTGATGGTCTGGCTTTGACCTGGGTGGTATTGACGGATGTGTTCAGTTTGTGATAATGCACACGATTTTGGGGTACACCTTTATCTAAGTATGCTATACTTCAATAAGCATTTATTAAAAAGAAGTTTCAGTGGTGTGATCCTAATGTGTTAACATGAGTGTGCCTGAGTGTAATTTATAATATGGAATAGATGACAGTGGAAGCTTAAGGAGGATGGAAGGAATGCCAGTGCTCACACAGCTGAAAAGATGGGGCTAGAGTCTGGCTTCATGCTCGAGGCCTGGCGGCTCTCTGAGTCCCGCTCTCTTTCAGGTCAGCTTTTCTCAGTGGACCTGTAGCTTGTGATTCTCCCCTCCCATCAGAGGGTGGCCGCCGCAACTCCACACTGTGCGCGTTCACTTTCATTCACAGCAGCAGCCAAGAAAAGCCCTGGCTTGGCTCCTATTCCTGCCTTGGGCCACCTCTCCACCTCCAAACTGTCAGTCATGGTGGCTGGAAGATGGCTTAGCCGTGTAGCTTAGCCCAGTTAAGACCTGTCCTGAAAGAAGAGGCTTCCCATCCGGACCACAAGGGTTGGGCAGAGGGTGACGTGGCTCCCAGAGCAGCTTCAGGGCTCTGTTCGAGCAAGGATGAGTAGATGTTTGGTGGCTAACACAGTGATGTCTACTACAGATGGGGAAACACTTTCAAAGGCTAAAAGTGCCATCCGGGATGTATTTGTTCATTCAGTCACTCGTTCATATGTGATTCACCCAGTGAAAGCTTGTTGTGCCCGCCATCTGGTTGGTACCATGAGGGCCTGGTCCTGAGTGAACTTCCTGCTAGATGCTGCTGGAGTGCCAGGTGACCAGCCCCACCTCGTGGGAGAAGTGACTACTGACCAGGAGCCCAGTCAGACTTCATGGGAGAAGTGACCACTGGAGACACTTGAGGGATGAGAAAGACATGGCCAGGCACAGCAGTAAGACTGCTAGGAAAAAAACAAGGAGAAAAGCCTTTTCTGTTTTTTTGAGACAGAGCCTTGCTCTGTTGCCCAGGCTGGAGTGCAGTGGCATGATCTTGGCTCACTGCACCTTCCCTCCCGGGTTCAAGTGATTCTCCTGCCTCAGCCTCCTGAGTAGTTGGGATTACAGGCATGTGCCGCCACATCTGGCTAATTTTTGTATTTTTAGTAGAGATGGGGTTTCACCATGTTGGCCAGGCTGGTCTTGAACTCCTGACGTCGTGATCTGCCTGCCTCGGCCTCCCAAAGTGCTGGGATTACAGGTGTGAGCTACCGCGTCTGTCCAAAAATCTTTTTAAAATAAGATACAGGAACACTAATTATAAAAGAAAAACTATCAACTGGACTTCATGAAACTTTAAGACCTTATCTGTTTGAGACATAAAAGCAAGCCATAGACTGGGGAGAGGAATGACAGTAAATACAAAGGAAAAAGAGATTTGTATCTAGAGTGTGTACAGAGCTCGTCAAACTCAGTGAGAAGACGACACACAACCTGAGTAAAAGCTGGGCCAAAGATTTGAACAGATACTTCACCAAAGAAGAGATGCGATGGCCCCACGAAGAGATGTTTGGTATCATTAATCATTATGGAAACGAAATTAAAACCACACCCAACTGCATGGCTGATAGTTAGATTCACAGTACTAAGTGTTGGAAAGGCTGTGTAGCATCTGGAATTCTCATACATTGCTTGTCGGAATGTAAAGTGGAGTAATTTCTTTAGAAAAAGAGGTGACATCTTAGAAAACTAAGCATATCCCAATGTTATGGCCCAGTAACTCGACTCCTAGGTATTTAACCATGAAAACCCAAAGCGTATGCCCACGAAAATCCTGTGCAGGAATATAACAAACCCCAAACCGGAAACAACCGAAATGCTCATCGACAGGCGAATCTTTAACAAACTGGTGGATCCGTTCAACGGACACAGCTAGAAAAAGGAAATCACAGCTGATTCACGTAACTTGGATCCGTCTGGGAAGGTGCTGTGCTGCTGAGTGAAGGAAAAGCTTGCACGATGTGTAGGTCCTGAGTGACTCCATTTCTGGGGAGTCCTAGGGCAGCCTCAGCCATGCACAGTGAGGAGGTGAGCACCTCCCCGGCCAGGGCTGGGATGGACTGCAGAGGATACTGGGAAGTATACAGGGGCGGGGGGATAGAAGTGTGTCTGTATCTTCCTTGGAGCAGGAGTTACATAGCTGGATGCCCTTGTCAAAAGCCACCAAACTGATTGCTTAAAATGGGTGCATCTTATTTTATAAATTAGAATTGGCCATTTATATCTGGGGGTTTTGCATCTGCAGATTCAACCAACTGTGCTTCGAAAATATTTGGGAAAAAAAGGCCGGCACGGTGGCCCACGCCTGTAATCCCAGCACTTTGGGAGGCTGAGGCGGGTGGATCACGAGGTCAAGAGATTGAGACCATCCTGGCCAACATAGTGAAACCCGTACTAAAAATACAAAATTTAGCTGGGCGTGGTGGCGGGTGCCTGTAATCCCAGCTACTCGGGAGGCTGAGGCAGGAGATCACTTGAACCCGTGAGGTGGAGTTTGCAGTGACCCGAGATCATGCCACTGCACTCCAGCCTGGGCGACAGAGTGAGACTCTGTCTCAAAATAAATGAATAAATAAATAAATGGTAACAGTGCAACAAAAGATAACATAAATAAAAAACAACACAGTATAACAATTACTTACATAGCATTTACCTTGTATCAGGTGTCATAAGTCATCTAGAGATTATTTAAAGTATTCAAGCAGATGTGCATAAGTTACATGCAAACACTATGGCATTTTATATAAGGGTCTTGAGTAGCTAAGAATTTTGGTATCCCCCATAGATACTTAGGGACAACTATATATTGTCAATAATGTCAAGTTAAAAAGTAGAAACAAGGCAACAGAAACCATGAAATCCTGGGCAGTCTGGCCCAGGAATCAGGCTCTTCGTGACCTCCTTGTGCTGCCTGGCCCTTTCTGACTTCAAGTCCCCTTTATGTACTGAGACTGCAGCTGCCATGGGCCCATGAGTCTTTGAAGATAGCACATTTGCATAAGTGAGAGTACGTACACACGTATGTGTGTATATGCATGCGTGTATATGTGTGTGTGTGCGTGGGGTGTGTGTGCGTGGTTGCTGTTAGAAGACAGTTCAGACTTTGGAATCCTGTCTGGTATATGAGGCCTCTAGAGAAGCGCTTGTTTCATCTCGCAGCCCTGTTGTAGAAGAGCCTTGGGCCCACCTGCTGCAGGGCCTGTGGGACTGTTGTCCAGGTGAGTGGGGAGGGCCTGCACCGGGAGGCTGCGGACGCAAGCCCAGGCCCCTTCCTGAGTGCTGTCGGGAGTGGTGCTTGCATTGTGTTCAGCTGGCTGACCTCCTCTGTGTGTGTTTCTTTTTTCCCACAATTTGTGCTCCTCTCTGTGTCAGATTTCAGAATGCCAAGCTTAGGTATGATGCAAGTCTTTTTATTTCACGCTTAATAATAGGGACTCCATGAATTAGCTATAACCATGTATATTTTTTGTTTATTTCTCACCCAGGGTTACCTTCCCGCCAATGTAGACCGGAGACCAGCCACTCTCCAGAGAAAACAAAAAGAATATTTTGCATTTATTGAGCACTATTACGATTCTAGGAACGACGAAGTTCACCAGGACACATACAGGCAGGTGGGAATCCTTTCTTTTTTTCGTATGTTGCCTGATGTACTTTGCTTTGCTGTGATTTATAGGAGGAAATGTTTTATCAAAACCATGTGGAGTTGGTCAGAGTTAAAGATGCAGGTCCCTGATTAGCTCACAGATTTTTATTTTCTAATAAATAAATTTTAAAACAAATAATGGCAAATTTCCTCTGCTAGTACTATCTTGCTTGTCTTCAGTTCCCTCTACAAAAGTAAAAAGAGTATTTTAAATTGAGGTTACAAAATAAATGCCTTGGATTCCTGAGACCGGCCTTGGGGTGATGGTGGGAGTTTGTATCACAGTGAGCTGCTGTCTGGTAATAAAAGGCCATTCCTAAAGGCCCAGGCCCAACCACTTAGCTGATGGCATCAGGACAGAGAGGTTGCCTGGGGTTCTCTGGCGCTGGGCTCTTCGGTCTAGGTAGGGATGTGATACCGACCCAGGAAAGGTGTGTTCATCAGTTTGGTTTTGCAGGGGACACACTTCAGATCATAGCAGAAGGTGTAGCCAAGTTACCATTTTGTGATTTAGTTTAATATAAAGTGTGTCTAATTATGGTTTCTTAAATAGTCAGTTGACAGATGATGTACATAATGGGAAAATACTTAAAATTGATTTATGATTCACAGTACATCCAGAATTTGCTGTTAGAATAGCTCTTTGAGGACTTTATAATTCTCACTGTCTTTGTAATATGTGAAAGGTCAAAATGGTGGTTCTTAATTGGTATTATTGTCTTAGCTATCTGAAACCAGCTTCTGGGTTTCCTGAGGCACGGCAGGAATGTTTCCCTCTGCAAACCCTGCTTCTAGGTGATGGAGCTTTGCCACATTTTCTCTTTCAGTTGTGGGATAGCCACATCTCTTTGTTAGTTGGTTTTATCTGTAAAAAAAAAAAAAAGTCCAAATATATGCCTTACCTCTGTTACATAACAAAGATTCTTTAAGTTAAATGCCTTCCTGGACAGCAGCTTCAAAGACGGATGGGACACAGGGCTGCAGGAGGAAAGGTGACTTGCTTAGGAGTGAGGCTGGGGCAAAGCAGCCATCTCCATTTCCTTCCAGGCCGGAGCTGCCCCTGGCCCGTGTTGCCTTCTGTCTCTCATCAGGGCCCCTGGACCGCACTGGACCGCCACCCAGTTACTCTGGGAAACTGATTTGATACACAGATTACTTTGGATTTGCTTAAGGAAATATTAGCTTACCTGGCCTCTTTTGCCACTCCACTGGTTTTAGGAAATTGATAAATTTGGCGTTGTTTTGAACCTATTTTTTAATGCATTTTAATTTCAGAAAAGATTTCCAAAGGATGACACTAGCATCTATCTGCGAGTTTTACCAAGTGGAATTCTGTTATGAGTGTTGGAAGAGAAAGTTAATTACGAACAGGTTGCATACATCTTTATTTAGTTACTGTGATAGGTAATAAAAAGGTTCCAGATTATTGTGAATTCCCAGACTATTTCTACATTAATATAGATGAGACACGCCTGTGGCAACGCGGTAGTTTTTCCTGTCTGCCTGATGCTTTGAGGCCTCTTAGAACTGCGCCTTCTGCGTTCTCGCCATCGCCATTTCAGGCAGAGCTGGGCCCGGTGGGGGTTTGGAGACCTTGGTTTCTCCTTTACATCCACTTGGGCGTTTGACCTGTGGACTGAGCCCGACCAGCCGTCTGACCCGCAGTGGGCAATGCCACCCCTGCACACTGGTGGAGGCAGCAGGAGTGGGGTGGCCTCGGCAGGTTTCCCGCTTGCTTTCCATCCTTTCTTCATTTGATTTTTATGTGCTCACTCTTCTGCTGAAGATGCTGTGTCAAAGCCACATGGAGAGCCACATGGAGTCAGAGTTAAACGTTCATCTGGTCTGTCTTTTCCTCCCTCAGTCAGCTCTCTTGTGGCCTTTTTCTGATTTGCCCAGTTCTGTGTATGATGGGAGGCAGGCGGGATGGATGGAGGGGTGCACAGAGCCCCACCTGCCCAGCCTTGTGGAGGACCGCCTCTCTAATGTTGGAGCCTCTCCTGACAATGGGGATGATGGCAGGGGTTGGGTCTGGTGGATGCTGCCTCGTCTGCTCAATAAATGTGTGACAGGAGCTCCTATGTAAGCGGGCTTTGCTGGCCCTGGTCATGCAGAGGTGGCTCAGACCTGGTTCCTGCCCTGCAGGAGCTTATGCTGCTCATGCTGGGGACAGATGTGTGTCCACACGAGTGTAACTGTATGGGAGAGCAATTAGGCCGCCAGGACACCCTGATGAGAGACCTGGGCCCTTGTCCCTGCTGGCACCTGGGCTCCTGCATGGGGCCAGCTTCAGTCCTTTGGCCCTGCCTGTCTGGATAGAGTAGTGCTGCTTCTGCCTCCTCCTCTTCCTCCTCCTCCTCGGCAGCACTGCTGCTGGCGGGCCTCCTTTGGCACGCATCACAGATGTGTGTGTGTGCCTCAGCTTACTCCATTTGGCTGTTGACTCACAATCTTGATGTTCACCAGTAACGTTTTGAGATACTTGGAGCAGGCATTTTGTAGACAAGGAAACTGAGGCCTGGCCACAGTGTGATAAGTGGCAGAGTGATGATGTCCCAGCCTCCTGGGTGTTAGAGTCCTCTGTGGAGATGTGCAAGGATGGGGCGAAATGAAATGCAATTGCAGCATCTCCCTTGGCATTAAAATGTGCCTGTCTTCCCTCAGTCCATTGGTGCCGTTGTCCTGGATAAACGGGAGCGTGGGCTAGTGTGAGATGTTCACGTGGGATGTCGGGAGCCTGCCTGTGATGCCAGGCCAAGCCCACAACACTCTTGTTTGGTTGCTTCTTGAACCACAAGTGTCCTCCTCTGCAGTGTTGGGGACTTTATTATGACTCTGATGTCAGACGGTGGCCAAGCAGGAACCAGCTGACACTAACAGAGGCTTTCAAAGGCTTCCTTTGAGAAATGTTCTAGATTCCCCCAGGACTTCATAAAGTGGAGAAAAATGTGGCCTCTGTCCAGGAAGAAGCTGTCACAGCTGAAAACTTGTAAACTATTGATGTACTTGAATTGCTGTCTGTGTCAGAGGCTGAAAATCGATGTTTACTAATTGCTATGGCTGATGTTACTAAGCAGCCGAGGCCTGCTCTGTTTCTAATCATGCAGCAACGGCTGCTGGATAGGGACAGTGTCAAGCAAGCCTGTCGCCTAGGCCTGGGCGAGCTGTTCAGAGAGAACAGGCTTTGGATACCTCCTTCAGGGGAGAAGGTGGTAACATGGAGAACGAGAATCCTCAAGGAGAGAGCGGGGTAGAGGCCGGGGAAGGACTTACCTCAGTATTGCTGTTTTAATCATATCGCTCGTAATGATGTTTGTTGTGACGTAACATAAATGTCCGTTTCTCCTGCTTCTCCAGATCCACATAGACATCCCTCGCATGAGCCCTGAAGCGTTGATCCTGCAGCCCAAGGTGACGGAGGTAAGAAGCTCTTGCCGTGGGGAGTTCCCCTCGTTGGGAGTGGCTGATGCCCACTGTGCTAACCAGACAGTGGGCGCAGCCGGAGGTGCTTCACCCAGAAGCAAGGTTGCTGTGGTGAGCTGCCGGTGCATCTAGCCCTTGTGGACACAGTTGCTGACAGGACTTCTATTTGTTCTTTAAATATTTTTACTGTATAATATTGACACACAGCGAAGAATGTATGTAATACATATGTGTGGATGTATGCACTCATGTTCCACCACCAGATTGAGGAAACAGAACCCCCCAGTGCTGCCCAGCTACAAACATGGCCTTGACCTCAGGCCTGACCCAGAGCACCAAGGCCGCTTGTGTATCCCCCACCCCTGTGCAACCCCCTTCCTGGATGACGCTTTCTTGCCTTTTATGTTTACGATTCTTTGTGACTTTCATTCATGGGACAGTAGGGACACAATGTATTCATTTAATTTGGGTCTTTTGGAGCTGCATAACTCTTTGTGTAGTCTGGTCTCTGCCTCTTGTTTTTTTTTCCTTTATTTATTTAGAGACAAGAGTCTTGCTCTGTCGCCCAGGCTGGAGTACAGTGGTATGATCTCGGCTCACTGCCACCTCCACCTCCTGGGTTCGGGTGATTCTTTTGCCTCAGCCTCCCTGGGCTGGGATTACAGGCACCCACCACCACGCCCGGCTAATTTTTGTATTTTCTGTAGAGATAGGGATTTGCCTTGTTGGCCAGGCTGGTCTTGAACTCCTGACCTCAAGTGATCTGCCCGCCTTGGCCTCCCAAAATGCTGGGATTACAGGTGTGAGCCACGGCGCCCGGCGTCTCTCATTGTTTTCTAAGATTCAGCTAATCTGTTGTATCTAGTTACATAATAGTTTGTTATTTAAATATTCCTCACTCTCCTTCGTCTTCTTCCTGTTGGACATTTGGGTTGTTTCTGATGTTTTGCTGTTAGGAAGGGTGTTATCTGGAGCCTTCACGTACATTTATGCAGGTGCTCACAGGCAAGATTTCTCTAAGGCTTTTACAAAGGAGTACAATTATTGCATCATTGGGTGTGGTGTGTGCCTGTTGTACCTTCAAGATAATGTCCACAAGCTTCCCAGACGGCCGCTACCAAATAAACTGTCCTCTGCAGCGTGTGAGTGTTCCCTCCGCACGCCGCACATCCTTGCCAGTTCTTCATGCTGTGGGACTTCCTGTTTTTGTTGCTCTGGTGGATATTCCTGTTGCAGTCCTCACGTTTGTTTCTCTGGTTACTCACGGAGTTAAGCATCTCTTTGTATATTTACGGATGTCTTCTGTCTTTCCCCCTTCTGCGAAATGTTCCTCCTGCCTTTTGCCCATTTTTCTTTTGGTTTGTCGATTCGCTCCTTTATTAGTTGTTGATCTTTACATGGTAAGAATTCTGATTCTTTGTCAGTTTGTATGTTGTAAAGATCTTCTGCCCTCTGCAGCTTTTCTCTTCCTTTTTTCTTGGTGGATCTTGATGATCAGAAGTTGTTAGCTCTAGTGTGGTTGAACTTAACAGTCTTTTAAGGTGAGCACTGATGCATGTTATCTAAAGAACTTTTTTCTACACATGAAGGTGTTCACCCAGATTTTCATCCAGAAGTTTTGCTTTTCACGCCTCTGTGTTCAGTTCATCTGCAGTTGATGGCCATGTGTGATGGGAGGCAGGAGTCTGTTTAATTTCCTCCTGGGACAGTGGCAGTCCCCATACTGTTTCTGGGTCCAGCTCATCTCCCATATTTGTTATGTCACTCCTGTTTTCTGTCACTGCCACATTCATATAGATCTGTGTTGTGTTGTGTTGTTTTTTTGTCGCAGTATTTACGTAGTGTTCCCTTCATATCGCACCCCGCAAGTAATTTAGCTTCATGACGTCCTCCTACCTGGTGGGGGTGCACACCGCCCACTGGTTTCCTCTTCACCGTGGACTGGCCAGTCCCACCCCTTGCTCTTCCACGTACGTCTCAGAGTCAGTTTGCCAAGGTCTTTCACTTGTTTTTTGTTTTTTGGGTCTGTTTGGTTTATGACTGGAATTGCATGGAATCTTTCTATTCCATGGAAAGTTAGGGGTCAGAAAAGACAGTTTTTAGTTTGGGAGAATGGATAGCTTTATGAAATTAAATATTCATTTTTGTGAATGTGCTAGTTCCTCTTTTAAAAGTCATTTTTAATGCTTTTCAGTGAAGGTTTTGAATTTCCCCTATGAAGCGTCTCGTACATGTGTTACCGGTGGAGGGTGTCCAGGTTCTTGGTGCTTTGAACAAAGAATTGGACAAAATGCACAAACAAAGCTAGGAAAGAATGAAGCAGCAAAAGCAGACATTTATTGAAAATGAAAGCACACTCCACAGGTCGGGAGTGGACCTGAGCAAGCAGCTCAAGGGCCTGGTAACTGGATTTTCTGGGGTTTAAATACCCTCTAGAGGTTTCCCATCGGTTACTTAGTGTACACCCTATGTAAATGAAGTAGTGGCCCGCTATCAGTCTGATTGGTTGCAGAAAGCGACCAATGAGAGGCTGAAGTGAAGCACCCTATGCAAATGTCTGATTGGTTGCAGAAAGTGACCAATCAGAGGCTGAAGTCACAAAATTATATTCCTATGCAGATGAAGACTTGGCCTGGGACCAGGCTGCTAGGTTGCTGGAGGGGACCAATCAGAGGTACTTTCAGTTTTTCATCTGCCACGCAGAAGAGGGGTGGATTGTGAAGGCAGTAGCCTCTGGTCCTTTTGTTACCTGGGCATGGAAAGTTGTTTTTTTTTGTTTTGTTTCGTTTTGTTTTTTTTTGTGTTTTTTTTTTTTTTTTTAGTTCTAGGAAGCTAGTGTGAATTGGCCTTAGGTTACCTGCCTCCAGACCCTATTCTCCTGCCTGACGTGTTTTATTAGATTTATTCTTAGTTATCACATGTTTTTCTTGTTATAGTAAATGTTATCTCTTTAAAGCTGAAATTTTTATTATTTGAGATATTTTGTTTTGCATGTTGATTGCTTCAGTAAAGGCACGTTTAAACTTTGACATTTCTTGTCTGTGCAGTAAATCTGTTAAAAAAAAACTTTAGGATTGTTAAAGCAAAAGTATTTACAGATTGTAGAATACAAAAAGAGAAAATTAGTATCCAACAGAAGTAGTCATTTTGAGACACTTCTCTTTGATTGTCCTTTTTAGTAGTTGTGCCTATCATACCTGGAAAATGAGATAATTTGTTATAACCTCCTTTTTACTTACGATTTTAAAAATGGGAAATAGAGCCTGCCACAGGACCTTTGGTTTATTCTTATTTATTTTTTCCTACCACTTGCTGCATTCTTTGTACAGCTGACCTCTCAGGCCTCTTGGTCTCAGAGTGTGGACCCTGAGTCACGGCTAGTGGTAGCAATTGGCAATTGGTCCTCTTGTCTCTGACCACCATGGGCCTTGAGCTGTTGGTTTGGAAAGCCTCCCCTGTCAATTGAGAAAAATGATGAGACAACGCTCAATCATTTTTAGGAGGTTTATTTGCCAAAGTTAAGGACACACGCCTGGGAGACAGGTCTATGTCTTTCTCCCGGGATGATTTTCAGGGCTCCAAATTTAAAGGGGACAGGGCTGGATATTGAGAAGTGCACAGTTTTCATATATGAGGGAGACAGAGAAAAACATTCATGCCTTTGTCTGGCTCAGTGAATCTGCATTTTTTTTTTAACCTAAAACGACATAGACAAATGGAGCAGAGGGAAAATGCAGGGAGTCTGCATGTTACATAAGATAACCTAGACACAATGGGGCAGGGAACAATCAGATATGCATTTGTGTCTGGTGGGCTGGGGTGCACCTGTGAACATAAGTTGTCCATTTACACTGCCATGGTGAAATTTTTACAGAAACACCTTAAAAGATCTTGCAGCTCACTAGGAATTTCCTTGTGGGCAAAATATGGGGGAGGCATGTAGCTTCATCGTGTAGCCATCTTATTTTGGAACCAAAAGGGGAAGGCAAGTTTGCATGGCCCAGGTCCCAGCTTGACTTTTCCCTTTGGCTCAATGAGTTTGGGATTTTGAAATTCAATTTCCTTTCACTCCCTCTGCAGTGGGTCTTGCTCAGGTCCTATGTGCTCCCCCTGGGGGTGCTGATCCTCTCCAGGTCCCAGTTCAGCAAGGCTTGGCAGAGTGGATCAACTTGGAGGGTAGATGAGCTTCTGGGAGAGCCAGGCTCCTGCAGGCTGGCAGAGTGTGAAGAGTGGGTAACCTGAGCACAGCCTTGTGTGTGTGGGGAAACTGAATGATGAGCAAGGGGCTTTAGGAAAGTATTGAAATGTTTGTCTTGGCCGGGCGTGGTGGCTCACACCTGTAATCCCAGCACTTCAGGAGGCCAAAGCAAGCAGATCAGCTGAGGTCAGGAGTTCAAGACCAGCCTGGCCAACATGGTGAAACCTTGTCTCTATGAAAAATAAAAATATTAGCCAGGCGTGGTGGGGCGTACCTGTAGTCCCAGCTACTTGGGAGGCTGAGACAGGAGAATTGCTTGAACTCGGGAGGTGGAGGCTGCAGTGAGCCGAGGTGGCGCCACTGCACTCCAGCCTGGGTGACAGAGCAATACTTCGTCTCAAAAAAAAAAAAAAATTTGTCTTGTGTTGGCCAGTAGAAAAAATTGAGTTATGGTTTCTGGCATTGTAGAGGTGCAGAGGTTAGATTTCAATACATCTGCAAGTGATGGCAAATCCCGAATGTGCCTTCACAGGCCAGAACTCGATTACTATCTCCAGTACGAGGTCATTGTCAGCACATTGTTTGTTCCTCTATATGCTTGGCTTTGACCTCATGGTCCAAGGTGGCTGGCCTAGCACTCTTTATCACATTTGCATTCCACTAGCAGGGATAATAAGACGTGGGTAGAGAATGCCATACCCCCACTTTAAAGATGTGTCCCAGCAGCTGCTCATAGCACTTCTGCTTGTTTCCTACTGGCTGTAACTTAGCCTGTCATCCAAAGTGACATGGTTGTATACTTAGCTGTATGGATCAGGGAAAATGTAACTTTGATTTTTTTAGTTGTGTGCTCCCCTAAAGTTTGGGCTGCTAATAGGAAGAAGGATTTCTGCCGTAAGCATCCCTCCAACCCCCTGCATCTATCGAAACATTTGCTTATCCATTCCACAGGTGATGGCTGGGTCCACTGTGATCAGTTTCTACTTTCCTTCTTCCTCCTTTTCTCCTTCCCTTTCTCTTTCTCTCCCTCTGGTCAGCTTTATCGAGGTCTAATAAAATTCACGTATTTTAGGTTTATAATTGGATGTTTTGACAGCTGTGGTTTTTTTTTTTTTTTTTGAGATGGAGCCTCGCTCTGTTGCCTAGGCTGCTGGAGTGCAGTGGTGCGATCTCGGCTCACTGCAACCTCCGCCTCCTGGGTTCAAGCGATTCTCTTGCCTCAGACTCCCGAGTAGCTGGGATTACAGGCACCCACCACCATGTCCAGCTAATTTTTATATTTTTAATAGAGATGGGGTTTCACCATCTTGGTCAGACTGGTCTTGAACTCCTGACCTGGAGATCCACCCTCCTTGGCCTCCCAAGGTGCTGGGATTACAGGCGTGAGTAACTGTGCCCGGCTTGACAGCTGTGTTTATAGGTGTGTACCAGCTCCCTAATATGTGATACAGAACATTTCCGTCACTCTGCGAGGTTCCCCATGTCCCTTTGTGTCAGTCTCCTCTCCCCACCCTTGCACTTGACAACTGCTGATCTTCTTTCTGTCTCTAGAGTTCTGCCCTTTTGTAGAATTTCATATAAATGGAGTCCTAGAAACTGTAGACTTTAGTCTGTGTCTTCTTTTACTTAGTGTAGTGGTTTTGAGGTTTGTGCATGCTGTTGCAAGGATCAGGAGTTCATTGCCTTTTCCTGCTGAGTAGTGTTCCCGTATGGCCGTACCACAGTGTGTCTGTCTGTGCACCCGTTGACGGACACTGGAGTTCTTTCTAATTTTTGCCCATTACAAAATAAATTTTCTCTAAACCTTCATGTACTAATCTTATTGGGGAAAGCAAACATCCTGTTCTCACTGCTGATTTTAAAGGGAAGTCTTTTAACGTTGCACCATTGACTTGTGATTTTAATCTTTACTATGTTAAGGAAGGTGCCTTGCTCTTAGTTTTAAAATCATAAATGGTTGTGGAGGTTTATCAAATCCTTTTTCCTCCCATCTGAGATATGTTTTTGCTTCTTTGATCTGTTAATGTAGTGAATTTTATTAGATTTTCTAGTATTGAGCCAACTGTATATTCCTGAAATAAATCCAGATTGGTCATGATGGATTTTTAAAAGTGTATTTCAGAAGTTTGTTGGCATCTAACGTGCCAGGCCACACTGCAGGATTAAGTTTGCTAACATGTGATGTGCCACGCTGCCAGACGTGGAAGCCAGGTTTCTCTTTAATTTGGAAAGTGCTTTCTGACCATTGTACTGATTCTTCAGTTATGCCCGGATGTGGAATCCTCTCAGCTGCGTTGTTTTCTCTGGTAATAGTGATGTGATCCTTGGTGTGAAAGTATTGTTTATTTTCAGTACTTAGTTCTTTGGACATAAGGAAACCTCTGTGTTTTGCTAACCTGTTAAGACACCTGACGTGGGCACAAAACGTGGGCTGTAAATTAACGTATTTGAATGAGGTGAATGTTGAGTAATTCACACACCAAATGTGGCATTTCTGCTCATCGCGAGAGAGTTCTACCCATTAATTAGGTTGTAAACATATAGTCAGTAGTTTTGGTATACTCAGTGTGGATTTTATGTGATATATGGTTGCCTTTTAACCCAATTCTAGATTTCTACAGTTCGATTTTGGTTTCATTCATCAAGTGTTATAACTCACATGGGGGGGGGATGTTCCTTGAATCATGTTGCAGAAACTTGAGTTGTAAATAATTTCTTCTTTCTGACGCTACGATGCTTCTGGATTTTGAGGGCTGTACATCCCACAGGTCTTCTCAGTAGAATTCTCTATTTTGCTCCTCTCCCAGAAATTATCTCCATGGCGCTTTGTATACCGTGATGTCACATTGCTGATGCATATAGAATTATGATGTTTTAAAATTTCTCAAATCAGATTGTTTATAAACGTGAGTACAGCAACATTTTCAATTTCAATATAGTTCCTTTTTAGTTATGCAAAATCTCTGAGCTCCCTCGTGTGCACTGAACTGCTGGTGTTCTGGGCCTGCCTTGGAGGCATGCGGGGTGTTTGTTAGGTGGACACGGTGAAGACCGGGGTCCTTAGTAGGGGACCTCAAGCCCCTCCTGGGAGCCTTCTGTGGGAGAGTGCTGTTGAGGTTTTTAGGAAGAACCTTTTCCTTCCGAATTAGCATGCATGTTCTGGCGTTCAGATTTCTGAAGTTTGGCAAGCAAGCTGGGAATACCTCTGGTTTTTAAATTTCTTCAGCCCTGGTGGTACCCAGTAGTAGCAACCATTTTTATTATTGTTGAGTATTAACTGATTTGCAGAAAAGATACTTTGGGAAGAGTTTAAAGTTTGTACTACTTTTAATGAATTCCCACTCTCTAACAAAGACGTGAACATCAAGAATGTTACTAGAACTTTAGTAGCTAATGATATCCAGTGAGTACTTCTTGTTTGAACCATTTCAGATTATTCTGTGTTGTCCTTAAACACAGCCGCATCCTTAGGGCGTCCTTCCTTTATTGCCCTTTGCTAGATAATATCACCACTTAAGCGACAGCTCACTTGCTGGAATGCGAGTTGCTGTCCTGGGACAGAGCCCCGCTGTGTCCGCTAAACCAGCCCTTCCACTGAGCTGACTCTTCGCCTCCACTCAGAGTCCCGTTCAAGTGGGCACGTTGTTTTCACCTTTCCTGCGATAACTGCAAGCAACACACCTGCATTTTTGACACACAAAGTTGTAATGGTTGTGATTCCCGAAGAACACCAGCAGACAGACACCCGGTGGGCACGTGGGGACACGAAGACTCAGATGTCTCTGTCCTCAGCAGCGCACAGTTGAAGTGAGGGATGAAGACAGATGTGCGTGAAACCCAGAGAGATCATATACAGTTGTCAATGAAACCACAGTTTGTATCCTGCCGACTGCATTCCAGGGTGGCTGAAAGAATTGGAGAAGACAGCCCGAGGAGGGGCAGCGTATGGGGCAGTCCACTCTGGAGGGTCATGCCCAATTGCTGGGGCCGCCTCACGTCTCTGCTCTGTGATTTCTTCTATTTCCTGGCCCGGTTGGGCCGTGGATCTCTCCCTGGTGCACCTGGAGTCTCTGTGGATCTCTTTCCTCAGGGGACTCTGCAACCCAGCCTCACGCCCTGCAGGGGGTCACAGACCTCAGCCTGGTGGGCGTTCGGGACCGAGGGCTGAGGGCCGAGGGTTGAGGTGAAGTGCAGTGGCACAGCCATCCCAGGCTGCAGGCGAAGGGGCTCCCCTTCGAGAACCCACAGGATGGTAGCAGAGCGAAGTTCAGCCTGCGGGGGCGTCTGTACTCGGGGAAGCTGTGGACCAGGCATGGAGCCAGCCTGTTTGCCCTCCCCGCCCTGATGGCTGCTCCGGCTGGCTAGGCCTCTTCTCTGAGATTCTTGGCTTAGTACCTCTGGCTTTTGCCGCTTGAATTTGGGGACCTGTCGGCTCTTCCTGTTTCGCTTCAGTGGACTTCCACCCTAGCTCTCGCCTCTGGTTGCTGCTCTGAGCGTGAGTCTAGAGGGACCAGCAAGGTCCTGAGGGAGTTGCGAGGAATCGGGCCCTGTCCAGGGGCATGGGGAGTCTGAGAGGCCCCCTCAATGTTTTGCAGCAGCCAGGTCTTCCCCCTGCCTGCCCCAGCAGGGTAAGAAGCAGCACACAGGAGTGTATTTCCTCTCGGCTGGGCCGCTGCTGTGAGACAGCCCCAGTGGACGGGGGTGGAAAGGAATCTCCTTGAAGAGATTCTTACCTGACTTCTTTTCTGGCTGAGACTGTCTAAGGCAGCAGTGGAGGCACTGGGTAGTGGTTGGGACTGAGGGGTGGTAGGAACTCCCAGCAAACCGGGAAAAGCATCAGTTGCTCAGAGCTTGCTGGGCTGCTGCCGAGTGCCCCGCTGCCCGTGGACGCACCTTCAAGGGAGGTGGCATGCTTAATTTTTACCCAGACCCCTTTAAGTGTCACCCTGTAGACTTTGAAAATGCTTATTTGGAAAAAAATGATATGAAATCTGTCATATATATGTATATATATATGTGTATGTATACATATATACATATCTAAATAAAATCTATCTATCTATCTATCTATCTATCTATCTATCTATCTATCTATCTACCTACCTACCTACCTACCTACCTACCTACCAGTCTGAGAGCAAAAGCTTAGAACTGGCTCAATGCGGTTTTTTGAAAAAAGAATAAAAAAAAAGGTACGATTATTTGATGCAGGGCTTCAGAGTCCCACAGCATGTGTCCTTTGGTGTTGGGGATGGGACCTCTTTTTCTTATAACAGGCTTTCAGTGATGTCTATGTGGCGAGCTCATTGTGGTGAAAATCACGCGGCAAGATAATTTCAGGGTAACCCTCGGCAATACCATCCGAGTGTGCTCTCAGCCGCGAGTGCTTTCCTGGCTTGCCTGCTGGTGACCAGGATGAAAAACGAATTTTTTTTTTTTGAGACGGAGTCTTGCTTTGTTGTCCAGGCTGGAGTGCAGTGGTGTGATCTTGGCTCTCAGCAACCTCTGCCTCCCGGGTTCAAGCCATTCTCCTGCCTCAGGCTCCCGAGTAGCTGGGATTACAGGCGCCCGCCACCACGCCCGGCTAATTTTGTATTTTTAGTAGAGATGGGGTTTCTCCATGTTGGTCAGGCTGGTCTTGAACTCCTGACCTCAGGTGATCTGCCTGCCTCGGCCTCCCAAAGTGCTGGGATTACAGGCGTGAGCCACTGCACCCGGCCGAGAAAATTTTTTTTTTTTTTTTCTGAGACAGAGTCTTAGTCTGTCACCCAGGCTGGAGTGCGGTGGCGCAATCTCAGCTCACTGCCAGCTCCACCTCCCGGGTTCGCGCCATTCTTCTGCCTCAGCCTCCTGTGTAGCTGGGACTACAGGCGCCTGCCACCATGCCCGGCTAATTTTTTGTATTTTTAGTAGAGACGGGGTTTCACCGTGTTAGCCGGGATGGTCTCGATCTCCTGACCTCGTGATCCACCTGCCTCGGCCTCCCGAAGTGCTGGGATTACAGGCGTGAGCCACCGCGCCCGGCTGAGAAAATGTTTTAAAGCCTCTGTGGCTTTCAGAGGGGGACGGTGGGGACTCTTAGGCACCACAGTACAAATCAGGTGATTTCGGAAGGAGTTTTTAAAATGATACTAAATTGCTTTGGGATTAGAACTAGTTTTTGCCATTTCAAAACACCAGCATAACTCATATGAAGTGATTCAAGACAAAAGATAAAAAGGAATGAGGCAGTGAAAACAACAGCAAGCAGCAAGGAAAGGGAAGCCTGGGCCTGGAGGAGGCCTCTGTCCTTTCTGATGGAGACAGTCATCCTGTGAGTTGGCTTCATAGCTTGCCAGCATGAAGAGGAGCTCAGGGTCTGTGCCTGTCGCCTCTGCTCAGAGCCTTTCATGAGCAAGTTGGTAAAGCAGCAGATTGATTTGGGTCCGTGCAGGGTGTCCTGAGTAGCCATCCCCTGGGCTAGCATCCTTAGCTTCCAGCCCTGCAGCCGGCCCCGGGGAGGAGGGCACGGGGTGGCCGCTGGAAGAGAAGCCTGCGGTCGGTTGGCGGGTGGGGGACAGGCGGGGCCTCTGGGGACTGAGCTGAGTGGGTCTCTCAAGGCGGACACGCGAGGGCCAGCGGTCCCAGAAGTTGGGGCCAAGGGAGCCTCTGGGGCATGGCCAGGGATGTCCTGAACCTAGGGGCCAAGCTTCCCCCTGCCTTGCTGGTTTCCCACAGGCTGTTCCTCAACCTGTGGGCGGGCAGGAATCAGTGGTCCTTCTCCATCCTTCTGGGGGCATGACCTTCCCGTGTCCCAGACGTTCTCTGTTTATGGAACCTTGTTTCCATTATTGTAGGTGTTGGGGATTTTCCTCCTGAGTCTAGACAAGGCTGATCTGTGGTAGCATTTTGAGGATAGGTTTCTGTCTGCTGTGTTGGTGGGATGGCTGCCCCTTTTGCAGTTTCCTGGTGGGTGGTGGGAGGTCCTGGCAGGTGGGGCTCACATTAGCCTCTCAGCCACGTGCGGGGCGCCTGGGACCTGCGACCTGCGTTTGGCTTAGTCCAGGGTGGAGCCATCTTGGTTCTTGGCTTGCCCTCAGCACAGCAGTGATGGGAGAAAGGGCAGCTGCAGGAAATTCAAGCAGTTATTTACCTTTTCTTCCCTACTGCTACCCAAAAAAATGTAAATCGTATATGTTTTCTTACTTTCTAAATTAATAGCTATCGTTGGAGGGAGATAAGCAGCCAGAAGGTGAGTTTAGATCCATAATTACATGGAGAGCAAGGAGAGCCTGCCCAGAATAAATGTTGGGGAGGGGCTGCACAGCTCTGTGTGGTTTGTGGCAGTGATTTAATTGGCGAGGCTGGTGTGCATTTAGGATAGGTTAGCTGCCTGGGCGCCGCTGTCTACAGTGGGAATGGTGGGCCTGAACACAGCTTGCAGGCAGCACATCCCTCAGCAGGAAAGACGCTCAGGCCTCCTCTTAGTAGCAGAGACTCTGCGCTGATGGCAGGCGCGGGAGCACTCACCATGGGTTTCATCTGGCAGGGCCTCTCCATCCCAGATCCTTGGAATAGGAAGGCTTGGAAATAGGAAGGCTTTTCAGGGAGAAAAGAAACAGCTCTCCACCTACGAGCAAGTCACTAAGGAAAGGCTGCTCGCTCCGTTTCTCAGCCACATGTACTTCCCAGATAGACCCTGAGCTGTTTCACTGGCCCGTGGCTGTGTGTGTGTCCCAGATGGACCCTGAACTGTGTGTGTGTGTGTGTGTGTATGTGTGTGTGTGCTCTAGGTGCATGTGTGTGTGTTCTTTTTTGTGTATGTGCACTTGTGCCTCTGTGTGTGTACATGGGCTCTTTCCTGCGTGTGTATATGTGCGCATGTGCTTTTCATGTGTGCGCGTGTGCTCTCTGTGCACATGAGCTTTTCTCTGTGTGTGTAGATTGGTGCACTTACACTCTTCTCTGTGTACACGGGCTTTTCTCTGTGTGCACGCTTCGTATGTGTGTACTCTTCTGTGTGCATGTGCTCTTCTCCACATGTGTGCTCTTCTGTGTGTGTGTGCTCTTCACGTGTGTGCGCTCTTCTCCGTGCGTGTGCTCTTCTTTGTGTGTGTGTGCGTGTGTTCTTCTCCGTGTGTGCACACATGCTCTTTTCTCTGCATAGAAGGCTCCTCTCCTCCTCCCTCCTCAGCTTTCACTACCCTCTCTTCCCGTCACCTCTCTGCAGTCTCCCTTCACCAAGTGCTTCTATCTTCCCTGTCCCTTTCAATGGAGTTACTTCTGCCCCTTCCTCTCTGTGCATTTTTCCACTCAGACAGGTGGGGGCCCTGAGGTCCTGACTGGTTGACGTTTGAAGTGCCAGGCTGCAGCATTGCCTGGTAGAGGAAACAGATGGGAGAGGCTGATCACAAACCCAGGCAGGCACCCATGGCATTCATTATCTGTCCACACAGACCCCCAGAATGAGCCCAGGTCCTGCCAATGGCACAAAACCTGGAGAAGGGAGGAAGGGGAGGGCTCACATGCAGGGCATCAGGGAGCAGCTGCGCCATCCTCGCCTCCACCGTCCTCGCCTCCACCATCCTCGCCTCCACCATCTGCGCCTCCACCATCCACACCTCCATTTAGCCACAAAGAGCTTCCCAGTCCTCCTCTGTGCCGGCCGTGCAGGACTGAGGGCACTGCTGTAAAGTGGGTGGAGGAAACCCTTCCCAGGGACCCACCTTGAACTGGGTGAGAGCCACAGGCCAGAGCCGGGGCAGTGCGGTGGAGGAGCTGCTGCTTTGGGTAGGGAGGTGGCAGAGGAGCTTGTCTCTGAGGAGATGCATGTGAACTAAGACTTGGGTGGAACATCGTGGGAGCCGTGGGAAGTTTGGGAGACGGGGATTCCAGGTGGAAAGAGCAGCAGTGCAAAGGCCCTGAGACAGCCGCAGAGTGGCTGGGCCTGGTGAGAGAGCACCCATTGCCGGCGAGGAGGCCAGAGAGCAGGGAGCGGCCAGGCACACACCTGAAGCCATGCTCAGGAGTGCATTGTCTCGTCAGGGTCTTGGAAAGCCACGGGGGCCGGATGGTGTGACCTGACATTTTTAGCAGCAACCTCTGCTGCTCAGCGGGATGTGGAGCATGGGGGTGTTAGCAGGAAGACCAGCCAGGAGACTGTCACTGCGGACCAGGCACAAGGTGATGGTGGTCAGGCTTGTGGCAGTGGAGTCGGGGGAAGGGGCTGGATGCCACACGCATCTGGGGTGTGCTATAGTGGTGATGGCGTGTGGGGTCCGCAGGTCTCCCTGGGATTCTCTGAGGGGCGGACCTCAGGAGCAGTGCCCTAAAAGCCTGTGCCTTTAGCGGCAGAGCCAGGCTTTGTGTGCAGTGTCACACGCCTCCACGGGACACCCACTTTTCACCGTTGCAGCCTGCTTGCCACGTTAAAGGTCATTTTTGTTCAATGCTTGAGCTGGCTGTCCTTTATTTACATGTCAGTTGGATGACAGCGGACATCAAGCCGAGTTAAATCTGAAGAATTTGGACTGACTGATAGCTTTCTTCAGTCAGTAAGAAATTGGAATTCTCCATTTTTCCTCAAAGTAATACAAGCGTGCTCTTTTAAAGTACATTACTACCCAGGCTGGTGCGGAGCGTCCCGGAGTCTGGGTGGGCAGAGGCCCTCTGTCCTGACTTGGATGAGGGGAAGAAGGTAATTGCTGGGTCTTTGGGTTGCCTGTGAAAGGGCACTCACTTGGCAGGTGCTTCAGCACTGTTTGTTTGCTAACTGAAGGCTTAGCCACCTCCTGCCGTGCCTGTTTGGTGGTCCTGATTTGCCCCGTAGTGCATAGTGCATTCCATGTCTCTCCCGAGGCTGTGCTCAGGCAGAACTCGGTCTATCTCAGGTACAGTTCAGAGATGCGGGCCTCATGGAGGCTCCTGCTGTGGAACCGAGTCGAGGCCCCGGCCTGCGCAGATCTCTCCCCTGCAGCAGCCTGTTTCATGGTCCACAGAGCCCGGGAGCTTGTTGTGCCGAGAGGACTTGGGCTCCCCTCGGCATCCTCCCTGGGTGAAGTTGGGTATGTCCTATTTGCCAAATTGGTTTTATCCAGCACTTAGGCTGCTGAGGAAAGTACTGCATTCATGCTTATGAGTAGATATAGCCTTGAGAAAGTGTGTGTTTGTGTGTGTGTGTGCGTGCATGTGTGAGACAGGCCCTCTGAAAGTGAGGGGCCTTGTTAAATGGTGGGGGTGCTCCACTGCCTAAATTCTTCCTATACACATACACACACACACACACACTCACACACTCACTCACTCACACCCAGCACTGCAGTGCGACTGCCCCCTGCTCTGGGCGGTGCCTGCCTTGACTCCCTCTGTCCAGGGTGCGTGCTCCTGGGGCGCTGCACTGCTTGTTCCCTGGGCTGTAGAGGATGCCGTGTGGCGACAGAGCTGGGTCCAGTGGCTGCTGGCTGCCGCGGTCCTCTGGACACACGTGGAGGGATGTCAGTGGCCTCAGGCACCCCGGGCCTTCTTGGTTAGGAGGTGCTGGGCAGAGTTTCCCCATTTCTTCCTAACTCTGTGTGGCCAGCTTCCGTGGAGTCACCGCCTCTGTGTCATTCCTTCTTCCTTCTGTTGCTGCTGCTCCTGTTCTTGTGTGGCCCCTGTCCCCTCTGCCCCCTGCTCCTGACCCTTTTGGGGGCTCAGAGGCCCCTCAGAGGCTTGCTGGTGAGTGGACCTAAGGGCTGTTGAGCTGGACCCGTGCCCCGTGCCTGCCTTCAGGGACCCAGCCTGCCTGTCTTCTAGTCACACGCCGTCCCCTGGGCTTGCTTCACGCCCTAGGGGCTCGGCAGGGCTGGGGCTGCGCGTTGGTGACTCGTGGTGCAGCACTGTTGGCTGAGGGGTTGCCGCCCTGCTTCTTCATCTCCCTCTGGCCCCACACGGCTCCTCTGGCCGCTACTTGCAGCTCGGCTAAATAGCATTCGCATCATTTGCTAAGCTTTGGTACATGAGAAATTCTTAAATGGCACTGTGTTGTTGAGTGGGTTTGGTCTTTGATGTTAAATATTCAGTTCTCTCTAGAAAGTTGTCAACTGAAAATGGAAAGCGTGTATGAATATATGTGCGCGAACATATTCCTCATTCCACCCGCGTCTCTCAGGTGCCTGCTGTGTTAGGTGGTGGCTCTGTTACTCACCTGAACAGCCGTGTGCACTGCATGCTAGCGTGGGGTGGCGGGGGGCCTGGACTTTAGGGCTGGTCATGCCACTCTGGGTAGTCTCCTTGGGTTGAGAGACTTCACCTGTCGGTCCCAGGTCCCTCCTTTGTAGGTCCCGGGTTGATGGTGATTTTGGGGATGGAGCCTACCAAGCCCAGTAAGATTTAGGATTGTAGGCAGGGTAGGAAGGGATCGACTCCCCAGGGTGCAAGTGTAGTTGGCTCTGCGGGGCTGAGTTTGTATGGCAGCGATGTAATTCATCCATCTGTCGGAGCGTGTGTTCCTGAAGTCTACCTCCTGTGCCTTGTTTGTATGGACAGGCCTGGACAGAGCAGTTGGGCCTGGCCTTAGCTGGCAGGCAGCCCGAAGGTCAGGCTGGAGCCATCAGCCAGTGACCCAGTGGAGAGGAGTGGGAACTAGAGGGCCACACAGTAGGGAGTGGTTGGCTCTTCCAAAAAGAGAGTGGGGAGGGAACAGGTGGCAGCAGAGTCTTCACGGAGGGAGTGGTGCTTGAAGTGAATCCTGAAAGCCAGGGGAGTCGAGACCCAGGGTGCGGGAGTGGCAGGCTTTCCAGGCAGAGGTAGGAGTACGGGCTGATCACTCAGGGGGATCGAGACCCAGGGTGCGGGCGTGGCAGGCTTTCCAGGCAGCGGTAGGAGTACGGGCTGATGACTGGCAGGCTCAGTTGGGGAAGAATGCTGTAGCTCAGTGCAGCCACAATGTGGGTGCTGGCTGGGGAGACCCTGGGGCAGGGACCAGACTGAGGGGCCAGGGGTACTGCACTGGGGGTGGTGGGGGCTCTGTCCGTGGGAGGTGAGGAGCATGCAGAGGTCTTCAGCCAGGTGTGCACATGTGCACGTGTATGGTGTGGGTGATAGGATTGTGTTGCACCTTGGTATAATGAAACCCTCCTTATGAGTGAAGATGGGAGCGAGTAGGTGGGAATAAGAGGTGGTGGAGAGAGGGTCCACTGAATATATTGAGAGTATTGGAGGGAGGAGGCCGGAATGACTCCTGCATGCCTGGCCTGCGTGCCTGAATGCCTGCTGAGATTTCGTAAGTGATGGAAGATGTTTAAGTTTGTCTTCTTGAATGGTGATACCTTTTCAGAGGTTTAAAGAAATCTGTTTACTTTATGAGGGAAATTTAGAGCATCCACCCACCCACCTGTCCATCCACTCATCTGCTCGCCTGCTCACTCATCCATGCCTCCCTCCCTGAGGAAGTCTCCACTGATAGGTCAGGTGCTGCTGCACGGTGGCCCGCGGGGTGTGGAGGAGCAGAGCGCTTCTGCTGGGAGAGCCAGCTCAGGGACGGACTGAGCCAGGGGCTGCTGAAGTGCTGCACATTGCTTGTGGGACAATAAATAATTTTTTTTAAAATCAAGTTTCAATTGTCTTAAGGGCCGTGCGTGGTGGCTCATTCCTGTAATCCCAGCACTTTGGGAGGCTGAGGTGGGTGGATCACTTGAGGTCAGGAGTTCACAAGCAGCCTGGCCAACGTGGCGAAACCCTGTGTGTACCAAAAAATACAAAAATTAGCCAGGCATGGTAGCGCATGCCTGTAGTCCCAGCTACTTGGAAGGCTGAGGTGGGAGGATTGCTTGAACCTGGAAGGCAGAGGCTGCAGTGAGCTGAGATGGCACCACTGCACTCTAGCCTGGGCAACAGAGTAAGACCCTGTCTCAAAAAAAAAAAAAAATTGATATTTGTTTATATTTGTATCTTAATATTAGGAGCAATGAGAAAATACAGTGTACATTTTAAGTAATAGAATGCTTTCATTTTAAAGTTTCTGCCATGTTTACTTTTTGCTTTACCACCTGTTCCATTTTCTTTCAGATTTTTGAAAGGATCTTGTTCATATGGGCGATCCGCCACCCAGCCAGTGGATACGTTCAGGGTATAAATGATCTCGTCACTCCTTTCTTTGTGGTCTTCATTTGTGAATACATAGGTAAGATTTCTTGCAAACATTAAACGTGAACTTTAGTGGACTTGCTGTGTGTTACTATGTATAATTATAACAATATTGAAAATTGCTACTAAGTGTAATGTTATTAATGATAGGTAATATTAGAGAATAATAGTTTTCTCATCAACAACAGCTTTCCAAAATGTCTTTAATCTACATGCTCAACTACTGAAGACATTAAATTGCAGTTATAATGATGAATATCTTCTTTTTAACAATATTTGAAGATAGATAATATATTTGGGGAGTGTAGTTTATTCTAAAGGCCATCACAGTAATGGCTTTAATGGTTTCAGTCATTCAATCGATCAGTCATTCAGTCAATCAGTCTGTCTGTCTGTCTATCTGTTTATCTATCTGTTTATTTTGAGACGGAGTGTTGCTCTGCTGCCCAGGCTGGAGTATAGTGGCACGATATCGGCTAACTGCAACCTCTGCCTCCCGGGTTCAAGTGATTCTCCTGCCTCAGCCTCCTGAGTACTTGGGACTACGGGCATGCGCCACCATGCCCAGCTAATTTTTGTATTTTTAGTAGAGACGGGCTTTCACCATGTTGGCCAGGGTGGTCTCGAACTCCTGACCTCGTGATCTGCCCGCCTTCGCCTCCCAAAGTGCTGGGATTATAGACGTGAGCTACCACGCCCAGTCAGTGGCTTGAATTTAAATGGATAAGATTAAGGTGATAGAGTGTCAGTCACATATTTTGCTTACAAGCTGAAAATCAAATCTTCTTTAATTGCGTTTCTGTGGCCTTTCATCACTTTTCTACTTTTGCTATACTAGTAACATTTGGTTTCATGAGAGTATTAATTACTTGTGAAATAACTGGTTGAACAGTGTTTTAGGTTGGGCTGTGTTTTTATGCTGTTTCTTTTTAAGTACTGCATATTTTTCCTTTATCACAGTCAACTGTAATGTAACTTAATCTGTTTTGAATATGTTTTTAAGTTAAAACCTCTGATAATAAAAGTGAGGATCTGCTTTTTAATGCGTCTATGGATAAAACATAAATAGGAAAGAGGGGACTTTACTGTTTAGTCACAGCATTTTAATTTAAACCTGGTTTTGTCTTCCTGCAAGCCTTCTGGACTTGGTGCTCGCCTGTTGTTATTACATGGTGTTTTTAGCCTTTCCAGGTTGTGGTCGGCCTCAGATTCCCATCCTTGCTGTGATCTGGAGAGATGAGCCTTACCCGAGGACAGATGAACAGATTATCCTCAGAAGATGAGGACATATCCAAGTAGTGAATTTTACTGCAGCCCTCTGACACTTTGTTTCCATTTGTGATTTCATAGGAGGTTGTCTCATTGCTAAGCAACTAATGAGAGCTGCCTCGGCTCACTCCCTAATCATCTCTTAAGTAGGGGAGAGGCTACTCCTGAGGGTGCTTGCTTTTCTGCCTCTTACCCCTCATTTGACAGATAATGAAAATGCTCTTAATGATCCTAGAACAGTAGGACCTCTGTCAGTAGACTTCAGAGTTGTTAATTGAAAGGAGAAGTTCAACTGAGATGTGATTAGAGAATTGATATTCCATGTTAAATAGACCATTTAATTAATGTGGTAAATAAGTTTGTTTTAACTACTTTACCGCCAACTTCTGTTGTAAGACCTAAGCGATTCTTAATGCATTTGCCTGATTATCTGCAAGACAGGATGAAGGGGCATGACCACGATCTTAATTGTCCAGAAGAAAGAAAGCCTGGAGAAAATGGAATTTGTGTCCTATAAGTGGTGTCTTCAGATGAGCTCAGAGACACTCTCCTTGCCTTCCTGCGTCCCCATCCTTCCTGCATCGCCGTCACACACGCAGGCACATGCACACACACATGCACACATCAGAACACAACTACACATTGGGTATACGGTGTCACTTTTGAACATCTGTGTAAAACATACCATTTATTTCTGTCAGTCAACTATTAAGTGGACATATAAAAATGTTTGGGCCAGGCGCTGTGGCTCACGCCTGTAATCCGAGCACTTAAGGAGGTTGATGCAGATGAATCACGAGGTCAGGAGTTTGAGACCATCCTGGCTAACATGGTGAAACCCCGTCTCTACTAAAAATACAAAAAATTAGCTGGGCGTGCTGGCATGCACCTGTAGTTCCAGCTACTCGGGAGGCTGAGGCAGGAGAATCGCTTGAGACTGGGAGGCGGAGGTTGCAGTGAGCCGAGATCGCGCCACTGCACTCCAGCCTGGGTGACAGAATGAGACTCCATCTCAAAAAAAAAAAAAAAAAAGAAGTTCGGTCCTGGATTTCACATGTGATTATTGCATTTGTAGTCCTTTTTAGATCTAGCTTCCTAGGTTTGGGGAATGTTCATTAGTACAGTCCAAGTCCGCCTTTCATTATGTTGTAAAGAAGCGTTTAACTTGCGTGGTGTGCTGTCCAGATTCCTTATGGGGCTGAAGTTGAGTCATTCACGCGGCCCTTCATGGAGCACCTGCCCTGGTGCTGGGTGTGGTGCAGAGCGCTGCGGTGGGGAGATGACTTCGGTTCAACGCAGCCAGTGTTGACAGAGCATCTCCTGGCCCTGTGCTGTGGGAGTGGGGCAGGAGAACAAGGAAAGCCTGATCCCTGTCCTCTTGGAGTTTGTGGTTGTAGCACGGAAGACAGATTTTAGAGGAGTAATTTAAAGTCTTAATTAAAGTAATTAACATTCACATTATCAAGAGGAAGCCTGGGCTGCTGTAGGGACCTGTCCCCTTATAGGGGTCAGGGGAGGCCTCCAGGGTGAGGTGATGTTTTAGCCATGTCTCGCGGGATGAGGAGGAGGCTAGATTGAGGCCGGGCATTCAGAGAGGGCAGCAGAAGGGCCGGCCTGGAATCCAAGGTGCAGTGACAAGTAGTGGCATTGGGAGGAAGGGCAGGGCGGCTTGGGCTGCAGTGCTGAGAAGGAGAAGCTTGGGGTCGAGTCCCAGGGGTGTGCGAAACCCCCAGCCACTGTGCTCAGGTTCTTATCTTTGAACATTCATTCTGGCAGCTGCGTGGATGAGATTGGAGGGTTTCTGGGGAAGCTCATAGACCAGGGACCCGCAGGGTCCAGCACCGGCAGAGGCACGGGTGCCCTCCAGAGAGGCTATTCTGGTTTGCTGAACTCTTAGTTTGCTGGGTCTTCAAGCCGGTAAACCTCAGATGCTCTGCTTAGTGAAGATCTTCAAGATTGACTGTTCCTTCAGAGAACAGAGCCTGGTAATGGGATTCTGTGGTTTCGACACCTGAGCACCTGCCAGTCCTTGGGCCTCAGCGTTCAGGTTATCATGTGACCGCTCATACACCTTTGGTGCAGCTGCCAGTGGCACTAGCCCGGGTGTGGCTACCTCCTGAGAGCTGCAGCTGGCCTGGTTCTGGGGATGAGCTTGTGTTGTTACTTGGATATTCCTCTTTTCTTTGAAGTACAGGATAGCATCCCAGTTAATCAAAGGTTTAAGAAATCCCCGGGGTGTGGGATTTCTCCAGGGGCTTTCAGGCAACAGCAGACAGATCTGTGATGCCTGAGTGGGAGCTGGGCTCTTTCTGGGGATGTGTGTTCGCCATGTGTCCAGAGCCTGTAAAGATCCACAGATCCTGGCCTGCCATATGCTCCCACTGGTTTCACGGGAGGTGGGGAATCCTGGAGTGTGGCATTGGTCCTGAGTAGGAGCAGCTCTTCGGGAGTGGCTCATCGTTCTGGCTGTCAGTGGGAGGTTCCAACTCTGCACATGCTGGCACTCAGAGCCCTCTCAGTGTTACGTTCTTTGACTTGGAAAGAAGGATGTGGTGGGCTTCAGATTCCCATCCTTGCTGTAATCTGGAGAGATGAGCTTTACCCGAGGACAGATCATCCCCCGAGGATGAGGACATATGCATGTAGTGAATTGTATTGCAACCCCTCTGACACTTTGTTTCCAGTTATGATTTCATAGGAGGTTGTCTCATTGCTAAGCAACTAATGAGAGCTGCTGTGGTTGAGGTTGACACACAGGACCTGGTCTGAAGGCAGACCAGTCGACTAGGTGAACTGCTTCCCAGCACAGAGGAGAATGTTCATCTTCAGCAGGAGGCTGGCCAGGATGTCAGAGTCAGAGAAACAGTTTGTAGTGGGGGAGCAATGCTCAAGCTGTGTGGAGGTGTGCTCAGAGGTGGGTTAGGGTTCGATGGGTCTCCATGGGTGCCAGGACACTGCCGGCCTGAGTCAGGAATACATGGTATGCATCCCAGCAGTCCTCGTGGAGCTCACCACTATTTGAGAAGGGCAGTTTGGTCCTGCTGTTGATGGATGCAGAGTCTGTAAATGCATGTTTAGGGCATGCTCTTGCACACACACATGCTGTGCACACAGGCGTGCAGGCACGTGCACGCGGACATACATAACCATACAGAGACACAAACCCACTTGCACACTCCTCACTAGTGCTAGCCTCAACCTCTCCAAGCAAATGGGGAACAAATCTGTAATCAACCTTTGTTTGAGTGGCACCCACCAGTTTCGCTCAGGCCCTGGAGGTGCCTGTCATTGGAGAAAGAGGTCAAGCGATCTTGCGTGACCTCAGAGGCAGGGGCAGCCGTGTGCAAAGCATGTGAAGACAGTGAAGTCCAGTAAATACAGCCAGTTCGACATCACCGAAGCTTGGGGAGAAAACTCTACAAGTGAAAACGAAGTGAGAGGGTATAATGTGATGGGAGAGATCGATCATGGAGAAGTTCTCTATGCCAGGAAGGTTTCGCAGCTCATAAATTTCAGAGGTTGAAGCCTTAGGGAGTGGGGAAGAAACTAGAGGCACATAGTGATACATTTGCTGAAGCTTGAATGTGCCCATTCCAGATCAGAGCCAAGCGTGCGTGCTTGTTCTTGCAGATTGCGTCCTTGACCCATGGGGCGGGCAGAGTGTGGAGGAGACTCCAGTTAGCACAGCCATTGGAGACGACACTCAGCTAGGAACAGGCGGAAGACACACTTTTTAGTCTAATCTTTTAGAATTGAGAGGAAACAGCAAGGCACGTGCTACTTTGGACTTAGTTCAGGCCATGGAAGAAGGCAGGTCTAGGATGAGAATAACATAGGGTCCAGGGCATCTTAGAGTTTGTAACAGCAGAGGAGTGACACCTGGTCTAGAGACACTGAGGGGTACAGGAGCAGGCCCAGACCAGAGGCCGGTGGAGGCAGGAGACTCGCTGACGGAGGACTGGGCCTGAGAGGAGGGCCTGGTCCTGGATGTCAAATAGGCTGCTGTGAGGGCACCAAGGTGGCTTGGTGTGAGTAGAGGGGAGCGTGAACGAGAAGGAAAAATCCAGTCACCTCCTAGATTCCTGGCCCTGTGAGGGGTGTGGTGCCGTTTACCAGGATGAGACGTGGAGTAGAAAGAGCGGGTTGAGGAGGCGGGATGGGGTTCTGATTTAGGATGTGCTGAGTGTGCTCTGTCGGCAGTGATTGAGTAGAAGAGTCTGTTGGGATCCGGGCCTTGGCAGGAGATCTGCAGTGGAGGTTAGTCTGGAAATTGTCGGCCTGGAAATGGCTGCTGACAGTCGCGGCTGTGGATGTGTGTGTCTGGGGAGAGTGGAGTGCAGCGGGTCACAGGATCCAGTGGCTCTCTGATGTGTCAGGGGTCTCCGAGCTGTGACTGTCTGTGACTCGAGGAGCTGGCAATGGGGCTGTCCCACAGGGAGGTTTATGGCGCTCTCCCATGCCGGAGTCTGGGCGTTGAGAGTCCAGGTGGCTCCTGCTGCTGAGGGCCGCCTTTGGGATCTGTGAAGGATGCAATGCAGCTCTGGGGCCTGACCGCTGGGGTCCAGATCCAGACGCTGCCCCTGAAGAGCTGCAGGCGGCCTTGGTGCCTCAGTGATCTCTGCAGTGGACACGAAATGGAGATCGTAATGGCACCAGTCCCTTGGTTGGTGTGAACACTGAGCGAGGCAAAAACAGCTTAGAACCAGGTATGGAACGCAGTAAGTGTCCAGTATGCGTTGCTCTTGTGATCATCGTTACTGTCACTTTCTTTGTTGCTGCCTGTGGCTTTCCTCTGCTTAAAATGGTGGCCGCATCTCTGCTCTGTCCCTGTCCTAGGTTTGGAGAGAGGGAGATGGTGCAGGGTGCAGGGCCGAGGCCAAAGCACGCCTCAGCTGAGCCTATGTGTTTTCGGAAGCTTTCCTGGAACCCACACAGCGATGTCCTCCATCAGCCACACCCTTGCCACCCACCAGCCACAGGGGACCTGGAGAAGATGTGGGTGGAGACAGGAGGCAAGGAAGAGGGTCTGTGTGTGTGTGCATGCAGGCTGCCAGACCAGTGTGTGCCCCGGGGAGAGGTATGGTGGTGTGGTAAGGAAATGGAGAAGAAGTGGTTTCAGAGGTAAGACAAAGGCCAGGCCTGAGGTATCACAGAAATCAAGGGAGGGGACAACTTCAGGAAGGAGGGAGTGGTCAGCAGAGCTCATAGGGATGGAGACTGAAAATTGGTCAAAGCATTTGATAGTGGGGATCTTGCTAGCGACCTGCCAAATCTGGCTGAAGAATAGTGGCAAGCAAACTGTCACATCAGCTCCCTGCCCTCCCTCAGAAATGGGGGCCTGAATGTTTCTGTGCTTGGGGAAGATTGCACTCAGTGGACCACAGCCTCTTGCAACTTTATTTTAAATAATTTTTTATGATGGAAAGTTTCAAACACAAAGTCAACAAAATTGTCCGAAGAACCCGCGTGCCCGTCATCTGACTCCAGCAGTCACCGTTCTCCTTCCTTCTGTCCCCCACCCACTCCCAACCTCCATGCAACTTTACTTACTACTGCTGTTTAAAAACAGCTTTATTGAGATTCAGTTTAGAAACCATAACGTTTACCCACTTAGAGTGTAAAGTTGAAAGATTTTTAGAATATTTAGAGTAGTGTAACCATCAGCACCTTTGTTTTTAGAATATTTTCATCATCCCCAAAAGAAATCCTATACTCATTGGCAGTCACTCCCCATCCTTCCCTTTTCTCTTGTCCACTAGCCCCAGGCAGCCTCTCATTTGCTTTCTGTGTCTGTGGATTTGCTTCTTCTGGACATTTCACGTGAGTGGAATTACATGGTGCGTGGCCCTTTGTGTCTGGCTTCTTCCACTTGGCATCATGCTTCCAAGGTTCATCCACGCAGCGTGAATCAGTACTTCCTTCATTCCGTAGCCAGGTAACGTCTCCGGGTACGGACGCAGCACGTTGTGTTTCTCCACTCATCTGTTGGTGAACATTTGGATTGTTTTCATTTTTCGACTAATATTGTTTCCATTTTTGACTAATATTTTGACTAACAGGAATAACGTTGCTATGAGTATTCATGTACAAGTCTTCGTGTAGATATGTGTTTCCATTTCTGTTGGTATATAACTGGGAGAATTACTGGGTCACATGGTTACTCTGTTTAACCTTTTGAGGACCTGCCGGACTGCTTTCCCACGTGGCGGCACCATTTTCCCTGCCCATAGCATTGTGGGAGGAGCGTATGTTTCCTCTTCCTGCAGGAGTGTGTCCACATCCTGGTCAACACTTGTCATCATCTTTCACTCTTTTTTTTTTTTTTGTAGACTTTACTGAATCTTATATTAATTTAAAGAGATTGAGTTCTGCCTCTTACTCTCAAACTGTGATAAAAACTCAGATAAGAAGGGATGTTGACTGTAGAAATCATTTGTAAAGAGGAATAAATTCCCCGGTGCTGCTGTTTTCCCCATAGCCCAGCAACTTCAGTGTTGACAGCCTTTGTGCCCAGTGCCAAATTCCCTGTCATAAGAGGGAACCTTTATGGCAACTGTTTAACCCCCTTAAAATGGATGCACATGCTGATGTTTTCTTCTAGGCTTAAAGCTGAGTGTTAGGTATATATGTGTTTGTTTGTATGTATGTATGTATGTATGTATGTATGAATGAAGGAGAGAGACAGAGTGTTGCTCTATTGCCTAGGCTAAGTGCACTAACGTTATCATAGTTCATGGCAGCTGCAACCTCCCAGGCTTAAGTGATGCTCCTACCTCAGCCTCCCAAGTAGCTGGGACTACAGGCATGCACCACCACGCCTGACTAATTTTTTATTTTTTGTAGAGGCAGAGTCTTGCTATATTGCCCTGGTTGGTCTCAAACTCCTGGACTCAAGGAATTCTTCTTCCTTGGCCTCTCAAAGTGCTGGGATTACAGGCACGAGCCACTGTGCCTAGCTCAAAGCTGGGTATTCTCCCATTCTAATAATCATTTAGTCATGTCCTATGACAATTATACCTTAACTTTTTAGAAGGGATATATGGAAAGGTAAAATTTCCATATATTCCCTAAAACTCATGGAGGCTGTGATTCTGTTTCATTCCTGATGTGTGCTCTGTTTTCTTTTTTCCTGTTGTGCCTCTCCCAGGTAGATTCGCTGCTCCTCGAATCTGGGGACTGTGTCGCATGCGTGTGTCATGCTTTGCACAGAGAAGCTTCGTGGATTAGAGAAACTCTGTTGAATTGGATCCCTACAGAAAGTTTTTGTGTTTATAGAGCACTTTATTAGTATTTGTTTAAACACTGAAACAATATATAATTTTTATTTATTTTTTGAAGTTAACATTATGTTATTTATTCATTTTTTTTTTTTGAGATGGTGTCTCTGTTGCTCAGGCTGGAGTGCAGTCGTGCGATATCGGCTCACTGCAACCTCTGCCTCCTGGGTTCAAGCGATTCTCCTGTCTTAGCCTCCTGAGTAGCTGGGATTACAGGTGTGTGCCACCATGCCCGGCTAATTTTTGTATTTTTAGTAGAGACAGGGTTTTACCATGTTGGCCAGGCTGGTCTCGAACTCCTGACCTCAAGTGATCCACCCACCTCGGCCTCCCAAAGTGCTGGGATTACAGGCATGAGCCACTGTGCCCGGCTACTATGTTGTTATTATTTTTTAACTTTTATTTTAGGTTCAAGGGTACATGTACAGGTTTTTTATATAGGTAAATTGTGAGTCACAGGGGTTTGGTGTACAGATTATTTAGTTACCCAGGTAATAAGCGTAGTACCCGAGAGGTAGTTTCTCGATTCTGACCCTCCTCCCGCTCTCCACCCTCAGGCAGGCCCTGGTGTCTATTGTTTGCTTCTTTGGGTCCATGTGTACTCAATATTTAGCTCCCACTTATAAGTGAGAACATGCAGTATTTGGTTTTCTGTGCCTGTATTGGTTCTTTTAGGATAATGACCTCCATCTCCGTCCATGTTGCTACAAAGGATGTGATCTTGTTCTTTTTTATAGCTGAATAGTATTCCATGGTGTATATGTACCACATTTTCTTTATCCAGTCCACCATTGATGGACATTTAGGTTGTTTCCATATTTTTTGCTATTGTAAATAGTGCTATGATGAACATACACGTGTATGTGTCTTTATGGTACAGTGATTGATATTCCTTTGGGTGTATACCCAATAATGGGATTGCTGGGTTGAACAGTAGTTCTGCTTTAAGTTATTAGAGAAATCACCGAACTGCTTTCCATAGTGGCTGAACTATTTACATTCTCACTAGCAGTGTAAAAGCATTTTCTTTTGTCTACAACCTCCACAGCATCTGTTTTTTTTTTTGACTTTTTAATAATAGTCTTTCTGACTGGTATGTGATGGTATGCAAATATGGTTTGCAAATATTTTCTCCTGTAGGTTGTATGTTTACTCTGTTGATAGTTTCTTTTGCTGTGCAGAAGCTCTTTAGTGTAATGAAGTCCCATTTGTTAATTTTTGTTTTTGTTGCAATTGCTTTTGACATCTTGGTCATGAAATCTTTGCCAGGGTCTGTGTCTGGAGTGGTATTTCCTTACATTATCTTACAGGATGTTTACAGTTTTAGGTTTTACATGTAAGTCTTTAATCTATCTTGAGTTGATTTTGGTATAACAAAGGGGTCTAGTTTCAATCTTCTGTGTATGGCTAACCAGTTATCCCAGCACCATTTATTGAATAGGGAGTCCTTTCTCCATTGCTTGTTTTTGTCCACTTTGTCAAAGATCAGATGGCTGTAAATGTGTGGCTTTATTTCTGGGCTCTCTCTTCTGTTCCATTGGTCTGTGTGTCTGTTTTTGTTATTGTGCCATGTTACCAGTGCCATGCTGTTTTTGTTAGTGTAGCCTTGAAGTATAGTTTCAAGTGTACTCACAAGTATATTCATAAGCATGAATATTGTAATGCCTCCAGCTTTGTTCTTTTTTGCTTTGGATTGCTTTGGCTATTCAGGTTCTTTTTTGATTCCTTGTGAATTTTAAAATAGTTTTTTTTCCTAATTCTGCAAAAAATGTCATTTATTGGTAGTTTAATAGGAATAGCACTGAGTTTGTAAATTGCTTTGGGCAGTGTGGCCATTTTAACAATAGTGATTCTTCCTATCCATGAGCATAGAATGGTTTTCCATTTGTATATTCATCTCTGATTTTTTTGAGCAGTGTTTTGTAATTCTCATTGTAGAGATCTTATATGTTACCTGGTTAGCTGTATTTCTAGGTATTTTATTCTTTTTGTGGCTGTTGTAAATGGGATTGCATTCTTGATTTGGCTCTCAGCTTGGACATTGTTAGTGTACAGAAATACTACTGCTTTTTGTACATTGATTTTTGTATTCTAAAATTTTACTGAAGCTATCAGATCTAGGAGCTTTTGGGCAGAGACTATGGGGTTTTCTAGGTATAGAATCGTATTGATTGCAAACACTTTTATTTCCTCTCTTCCTATTGAATGCCTTTTATTTCTTTCTGTTGCCTGATTGCTTTGGCAAGGACTTCCAGTACTCTATTGAATAGGAGTTTTGAGAGTGGGCATCCTTGTCTTGTTCTGGTTTTCAAGGGGAGTGCTTCCAGCTTTTGTCCATTCAGTGTGCTGTTGATTGTGGGTTTGTCATAATTGGCTCTTATTATTTTGAAGTATGTTCCTTCAGCGTTACAGAGTAATGTAAAAACATAGCTTTAGAAACAGTATAGAGATACTGGTAAATATAGATAAGTTATGAAGGAAGCAATTAAAATACTTGGCCATCCCACTGTTGAGAAGACTTATTGAAGCCTATCTCCTCACTGTGCAGCCTCCCCTTTGATTAAGATCCTTTCTTCCCACACAGCCACACTGGGAGGGCTGGAGAAGGATCTCTCTACTTTCTCTGCTCCCAAGAGACCAGTGGCTATCTGCATGGGGAGAGTCCTGGGCTCTACTTCAGTTCCTTGGGGGTGGCACCATGGTATCACCTCTGTGTGGCAAGCAGTGTGAATCTGGGCCCTTCCCCATCTCTTGCCCCGCCCAGGGCTGGGCCTCGAAGGTAGCCTGGGTCTCTTCTCTAGGTTGCTAGGGTCGCAGTGTCTAGGTCTGGGCTGGGAGGAAGAAGGACTCATCCAGCTTGGAGCCTGAGCTGTGGTTCCAGCCCGTCCTTTGAGCCAGGGTGCGGGGCACTTGCCCGCTCAGCGCTCACTCAGGGGTTACTGTCCTGTGTATGGCCACCAGGCAGCCGCCGTACCACTGTGCATAAGCAGCTGTTTTCTGTATTTCCTCTAAGTCTTGTTTTCTATGCATTGTATTTACATAGTCGAGTGCATATTATCTATAACATTTTGTTTCATGTTTTTTTCCCACATTTAACCTTACAATGTAGGCTTTTCCTTGTATTAAGAAATCTTTATAAAAATCATTTCTACCTTCTGTACATAATGCTCTATTGAGATCATGTAGCATAATTTCTGAAACCATCCAGTGTTGGTGAATCTTTTCTTTTAGTTTTTCTTTCCTTTAGGCATGGTGTAATTTTTAAGAAAAGCCTGTACTTTTCAAACAGCGACTGTCATATTACTTTTAAGTATGTTAAATTTGAAGATTTTGAATTAAGGAGCATTGTTCCATCACCTTGAATTCCACAGTTTAAGCAGACAATTGTATTTTAGCTTAAACATTTTTAGCAGAGCAAGAAACAAAGAAGTATTTGCCCCCCTCCCCATCTTTGATGCCTCCGTGCTATTTAAATGTAGAAACAGTCTTGACTGAGTCCTTTGGACTGATAGCTCGGAGTGGCTGGATGTCTTGACTGAGTACTTTGGACGGATAACTCGGAGTGACTGGATGTTGGTTGTGCTGCAGGCGAGCAATAGGACCACATTTTGGAAAAGGTGAAGAGTGTTTTACAATGGATTCTCACCATCAGTATGTTTAATATCTAATTGACTTGATTTTCTATGTCATTTTCTCTTAAATTACTCTTGAAAGCAAATGTGCAATGGGATTAGAATAAATAGTGCATTTACTTAAGAACATTAAGAATATTTATTTTGCCGGGTGCGGTGGCTCACGCTTATAATCCCAGCACTTTGGGAGGCCGAGGTGGGCATCAGGAGTTCGAGACCAGCCCGACCAACGTGGTGAAACCCCTTCTCTACTAAAAATACAAACATTAGCTGGGCATGGTGGCGCATGCCTGTAATCCCAGCTACTTGGGAGGCTGAGGCAGGAGAATTGCTTGAACCCGGGAGGTGGAGGTTGCAGTGAGCCAAGATTGTGCCATTGCACTCCAGCCTGAGCAACAAGAGTGAAACTCTATCTCAAAAAAAAAACAAAAACAAAAACATTATATTCCTGTTTGTAAGTCAGATTCTTAAAGTATAGATTGTTCTTAAGCATGTGGTTACCCAGAGAGGACACTCTAGCATATGGCTCCTGGAGCTGGAGGACTGCTAGGGTTGTGATGAGTGTGTGGTGGGGATGGCAGGTAAAATCCCCACAGCCGGTGGGACACATGAGAGGATGAACGCAGAGAACATGCTCACAGCTGGATTTTAGCAGCATAGTCATTCTTTTGCTTATTTCCATTATCGGAGTATTGATAGAGCTTTGAGTGACAGTGAGGGAAAGAAGAGCTGGTGCTAGTTTCTCATTGATAAGTTGTAGCTTTAGAATGATTTGTTTTAGCTTTCCATTGTTAGCATTTAAATTTTACTTCCCTCCACCTTGTTTTTTTTGTGTTGTCTAAACCAAGGCTACTGCCAAATACATCCTTTGCCTGACTTCCTTGAATGTTCCTCATAGCTTAGGTGCTTTTGTGCTCCACAGTTAATCTCGGAAACATTGAAAGGTAAAAACCAAAGCATCTGAGCGTAGCACATTTTCTGTAGCAGTTCTAGACCCACGTGAGACAAGCAGAGAGTTCCCTGGGGTTGCTCGTGTGTGGAATAGCGAAGTGGAGGTGGCTGGCTTTGCAGCCCCTGAACTGACTGTGCAGGTGCCACATCTTTGCATTGCCCACGACTCATATATATTCATTTTTTCTAGTTAAAAACATTTCGGAAATAATTAGTGTAATGGACTTACTGTTTAAAAGATTGGAAAGTTTAATAACAGTATGGCTTTGCCATCCCAGAAGCTGTCACTTGAATGTTTGGCTAATTTTTTTCTGGCCTTTTACTCTGTAGATTCTTTTCCATAGTAGCTATTATATTATGCATGCACATTTCAATATTGCTTTTTGCTTAGTATCTAACCATTTTCCAGTGTCATTCAACAGTTTTAAAAAATACGTGTTTTAAAAGTAGCAACATACTACTTTCAATAATGGCTAGAAAAATGAGACAAATCAGCAAGAAACTAGAAGAATAAACAACACAGAAAACCAACTAGATCTAGTAGATATCCACAGAACACTGCACCCAACAGCAGCAGGATACATGTTCCTCTCAAGTGCTTGTGGAGCATTCTCTACAATAGACCATATGCTAGGCCATAAAACAAGCCGTAATACTTTTGAGAAGATGGAGTTTATACAAAGTGTGTTCTTTGACCACAGTGGCATTAAGTTAGAAGCCAGTAACAGAAGGAAATTTGAAGAAAATGACAAATATGTAGACATTTTAGAACACACCCTAAATAACCAGTGGGTCAAAGAAGAAATCGTAAGGGAAATTAGAAATTGCTGTGAGATGAAGAAAATGAAAACACAATATATCAGCACTTACAGGATGCAGTTAAAGCAGTGATCCAAGAGAAATTTATAGTTGTAACGGACTATATTAAAAAAGACCTCAAATCATTAACTTTCCACTTTCCGAAACTTAGAAAAAGAAGGGTAAAATAAAGCCAAAACAAACAGAAGGGAGAAAATAATGAAGACTAGAACAGAAATAAGTGAAACAGACTTGTAGCTAGACTGACCAGAGAGAGAGAGAAAACTCAAGTTACTAAATTCATGAGAAATTTTAGAAATACACAGCATTAAAGTAATACTATGAACGACTCTACAAACCAGGCAGTGTATATGAAACAGAGAAACTCCTAGAAACACACAAATTGCCAAAATTGACTATGATGGTTAATTTTGTGCTGACTTGGCTGGGCTGTGGTGCCCTGTTGTTTGGTCCAACTCCAGTCTATTTGTAGCTGCAGTGTAGATGTATTTTAGATGTGATTAACATTTAAATCGGTGGACTTTGAGTAAAGCAGGTTACCCTCCACAATGTAGGTGGGCCTCCTAATCTAATCAGGTGAAGGCCATGAGCTTGAAGAGTGAAGTTTCTTGAAGAAGTAGGAATTCTTCTCAAGACTGCCTCACGGGAAATCCTGACCGAGTTCCTAGCCTGCTAGCCTACCCTACATATTTCAGACTTGCCAGTCCCTACAATTGTGTGAGCCAATTCCATAAAATAAGTCTCTCTTTGAGACTGAATTAATTATTAACAATTTAAAATTAACAATGAACTAATTTTCATCAATAATTTAAATAATGTTAACTTGTTATTAATTAGTATTAATTATTGAAACAATAATTTCAAAAATCCCCACAAAGAAAATCGTAGGACTAGATGACTTCACTTGTGAATTTTATCAAAGGTTTAACAAAGAATTAACACTCTTTCTTCATAGACTCTTTCAAAAAATAGAAGAGGAGGGAGCACTTTTCACCTCATTCTATGTGGCCGATATTACTCTGAGACCAAAGTGAGATGAAGACATAACAAGGAAAGAAAATTACAGAACAATATTCCTTATCACAATGGACTTAAAAATCCTCAGCAAAGTCCTAACAAACTAAATCTAGCAACGTATTGAAAGGATTAGGCATTATTACAAGTGGAATTTATTTGAGGAATGCTGGGATGGTTCAACATTTGAAAGTCAATCCGTGTAATACACTGTATTAACAGAATAAAGGACAAAAACTACATGATCATCTCAGCTGATATGGAGAAAGCATTTGACAAAATCCAACACCCTTTTATGAGAAAAACATTCAACAAACTAGGAATAGAAGAGAACTTCCTCTCTAATAAAGGCTTCCATGAAAATTCTGTGACTAACATCATGCTTAGTTGAAAAGACAAAGTTTTTCCCCTAAGATCAGGAGTAAGATATGGATATCTACTTTCTCCACTTCTATTTTAGTACTGGTTCTAGCTAAGGCAGTTAAGCCCAAAAATGAAACAAAAGTCATCCAGAATGGAAAAAAATAAAACTACCTCTATTTGTAGATGACAGGATCTTGTATGTAGAAAATCCCCAAGGAATCCACTAGAAAACTATGAAAGCTTATAAACCAATTCAGGTTTGTAGGATGCAAGATCAAGATTAAAAAATCGGTTACATTTTCATGCACTTGCAATGAAATATTTAAAAATGGAACTAGGAAAATCCACTTACATCAGAATGAATAAGATACTTAGACATAAATTTAGCAAGAGAGGTGCAACATTCGCACTCTGAAAACTACAAAATATTGTTGAAATAAATTAAAGAGGATCTAAATAAATGGAAAGGCATCCCATGTTTATGGATTGGAAACCTTAATATTGTTAAGGTGGCATTCTTTCTCAAATTGATGTAAAGATTCAGTGCAGTCCCTATCAAAAGCCTAAATGGCTTCTTAGCAGAAATTGTCGAGCTTATCTTAAAATTCATTTGGGAATTAAAAGAACCCGGAATAGCCGTAACAGTCTTGAAAAAAAAAAAAAAACAAAGATTAGGACTCACGCATTCTGGTATCAGAATTTATTACAAAGCTACATTAATCAAGACTGTGATGCTGCCATGTGGATAGACATGTAGATCAGTGGAGTAGAATTGAGAGGCCAAAGATAAACCTTCATATTTATGGTCAATTGATTTCTGACAAAAATGCCAAGAGAATTCAATGAGGAAATTTATGTTTTCCAACCAGTAGTCCTGGGACGGTTATTAGACATTGAAATGCAAAAAGATGAAGTTCCACTCCTGCCTCTCTGTAGACACACACAAAAAAGTGAATCATGACCTAAATGTAAGAGCTGAAATCATAAAACTCTTAAAGGAAAACATGAGGAAATCTTCATGACCTTGGGTTAGGCCATGGTTTCTGAGATATGACACCAAAAGCAAAAGGGACAAAGGATAGATAAATTGGATTTCATCAAAATGAAAACTTTGGTGTTACAAATAATACTCTCAAGAACATGAAAAAACATTCCCCAGAATGGGAGAAGATGTTTGCAAATCATATATCTGAAAAGAGACTCATATCTAGTATATACAAAGAACTCGTACAACTCAGTATTAAGACAAACCTAATTTTAAAATGGGCAAAGTGTTTGAATAGATATTTCTCCAGAGAAAATATACAAATGAGCAATAAATAAAAGATGGCCCACATCATTAATCATTAGGGAATACAAATCAGAAGCCACAGTGTGGTACCGCTTCACATCCACAAGGATGGCTACTATCAAAAAGATGAACAATAACAACTTAACAGTTACAAATGCTGGCAAGGATGTGGAGAAATTAGAATGTGGGGGCCGGGGGATTGACTGTTAATGGGTACAGAGTTTCTTCTGGGGGGAGGCAAAATGTTGTAAAATTAGATTGTAGTGGTGGTTACCCAACTTAGTGAATATATGAAAAACCACTGCAAATAATTTAATTATGTGGTATGTGAATTATATCTCAGTTAAACAGGTTGAAAAAGAAAGTGGAAGCTCATTATCCCGTTGTAAGGAGATGTAATTGGCAGCTTCCTATCGACAAACATTGTGTGGTTTCTGCTTTTTCACTGTTGATAATGCATGTGGTGGCTCCATAAACAAATCCTTGATTGTGTTTTAGGTTAGTCTTGTGATGCATTCTTAGAAGAGGCGTCACTGAATCAATGGCTGTGAGTGTTTTTAGGTCTGGATAACATTTGCTAGGTTGTTTTCCAGAAAGAAATGAATACGTATATTCTCACCACCATGTGAGAGAGTGCCGTCTTACTCTATCTTTGGTATTTTCTTTCCCTTAATTATTAATAGGTCTTTGATTGGCTTGACAGGACAAACATCTGTGTCTGTGTGCTTACAGATGTACTTCATTCATGGATAGATGCTTTAGTATTCACACGCAAGGCTGCTTCCACATGGGCACGAGCTCAAAGATGCTAAGTGACTCAGTGAATTGAGGAGCCAGGAGCAATTAATACACTCTCCAGTACTGACATGTGAGTTTTCAACCTCAAGGTACCTTATTCAACTGGCCTGATTAGAAAGTCAGCAAAGACAAGGGTGTGTGTGTGTGTGTGCGTGTGCGTGTGTGCATGCATGTATGTGCATGCATGCACATGTGTGGTAAAACAACAATTGAACAATTGGATTGGAATCCGTGGACTGCAGGCCTCGTGCTTAGAGTGTGCTAGTGTGGGAGAAGCAAGCATGTGCCCAACGGTCCCCTGGACCTGGTGTGCTGGGAACTTTCCACACAGAACTCTGCTCCTCAGCCCCTATGTGTGTGTGGACCCCTTTGGGAGGCAGCAGTAGAGAGCTCAGTTTGGGCCATTTTATGGAAATGCAGTGCCTGAGTCAGCATCTTGCAAGTCCCTGATGTACTTTATGCAGAGGACGATGTTAGCATTCCTTGTAAACAATGATGTGGAACCTGTATATTGTCATAAGCTCCCCAAGCAGAAGGTCAGCCCTTTCTTTGGCCTTGAGCCTGTCTTTGGGACCTTGCTGTCCGTTTTCTTGATTCCTGGCTCCTTCTCACTGTCTCCCCCATCAGACCACGCCGGCCTGCAGTCTGCTCCTGTGTTACCAATACACTGGTTTTGGTGAAGCATTTTGTATATTGTATTATAGTATCTGACATTTATTGAGTTTTCACTCCAGGCCAAGTGTTATATGTGTGTGGTGGTGGATAGGTTGGGTTAGGTTTTAAAGTGAAATTGTGGGGAGTCAAAATTACCCTCATAGTCCCTGAAGTCAGTAGGACTTGGGAACTCTGATACTCAACATCCAAGAATTAACCTGTTTTTTTTCCTTGCATTTATTTATTTACTTATTTAGACGGAGTCTCGCTCTGTCACCCAGGCTGGAGTGCAATGGCGCGATCTTGGCTCACTGCAAGCTCCACCTCCCAGGTTCATGCCGTTCTTCTGCCTCAGCCTCCTGAGTAGCTGGGACTACGGGCGCCCACCACCACGCCTGGCTAATTTTTTTTTTTTTTGTATTTTTAGTAGAGATGGGGTTTCACCATGTTAGCCAGGATGGTCTCGATCTCCTGACCTCGTGATCCACCTGCCTCGGCCTCCCAAAGTGCTGGGATTACAGGTGTGAGCCACCGCGCCCAGCCTTTCCTTGATTTTAAATCCTGGCTTCCATTTATTTGGAGCCAAAGCCAGTATGTAGTTTAAATGATGTGGGATTATGGGGATGAATAAGGGGCTCTCCTTCCTTCCTGCCTTTCTACCTTACACAAATTCACCTAAGCTAAATTTACAGTTTGATTAACTTTACCGTATATCTCCCTAATTCTCACAGCAGCCTTGTAAGGTAGACACTGCTGCTCTTAGTTTAGAAGAAGGGATATAGAGAGGTTAAGTGGCTTGTAAGGCCCCACCGTTTCAGTTCCAGAGTTCTAGTCCCTCCTGTTCTACCTCTGGACCGCAGGCAGCTTTGGAAGTCGCTGTCTCAGAGCCCGCCATGGAATTACTTGGTCATGTGGTTTTTATGCTTGCAGCTGATAGTGAAATCAAAGGATTCCTTTCTCCATTATCTGGCTTTTCTTAATGATACATAGCCAGAGTTCTTATTCATTTGAATCTGGTCCTCAAGGCTGAGATGTTGGGATTTTTATCCTTGTTAATTTGGACCTTTTCCTTCAGAGAACAAGTTCTATTTCTGTTCCACTCAAATGCAGTTTCATGTTTTTCCCAATTCATTTTCTTTTTTAAAAAATGAGTTTCTCTTCATTTCCAGTTTTAAAATTACAGTCATTGTTGAAGTGGTTCTGGCTCTAAGAGGAAATAAACCAACAAATACATAAGAGGTATCCTCCCACTTTTAGCCCTCCTAATATAAATGCCACATAATTTAATATCCAGGAACTTGAGTAATTCAAACCAGCACCTTTGAAAACTCTTAAGACTAAACTCACCCAAGTCGGCCACAGCCAGCAGAGGGTGCCTGCTTTGTGTTAGGAGTTCTTGTGGTTGGGAGGCGGCACCTTTGGGAATGTCCTGAAGACTGTGGATCCTCTTCTCCCCAGACAGACGCCTGGCCCCACACCTCACTTAAAGTTTCAGAAATTTCATGGACTCTCTTTCCTGGGTCTGATTCTTAATCCCTTTAAAGCCATACTGAGGAGCATGGTCAAGACTGATCTGACGGACCTTCATTTTTCGTGTAGTTTTCTCCATTCCTGGCTGCTGTTGCATGTTATGCATAATTTTTATTTTGTTCCTAGAAATGTTAATGGACTTTAAAAGCTTAATGGCATTTAGTTAGGAGATCCTTGTGGTATATTCTGTGATCTGTTGTTTTCTTTGTATTTCCAATTCAGTGTCACAACCTGGGAAAAATAAATTTCTGCTCACAGATTGATTCATTGTCGAGGAATGCCTTATTCTGATGTTACGCGGTTTCTTTCCTGGCTCATGCATGCCCCCATTTGTGCGTTTATAGAAAGTGTAAGTCCTGTGCTAGTCAGAGCAAGACTCTGTCAGTGAAGACGATGGTGACTAGTGGCGGGTTCACCGTGTCAGACACTGCGCTAAGCAGGTCATTACATGATCACCTGGAATTCTTAAATGCCCTCTGGCGACACCACCATACATGACTGTTGTGACTCCCCCAGGTTGCCCGTCAAGGCCGTGCTGTGACCGTTCTCCCGGCCCCAGAACTCATGGTTTCTCCACCAGCTTGTCACCTCAAAGAGTAAAGGCCAGAGAAAGACCTGTTGAGAATTCAGATGTGGTGTTGATTTTTTCTTGGTCATATATTTGCAATATTTGTCCTTCAGCTTTTGCATTTGTATCCACGAGTGACAGTGGTGTGTAGGGTTTTTTGGTGGAGTACCGTTTTCCTCAGGTTTAGGAATAAATGTTATGCTTGCCTCATAAAAGGAAGTAGGAAGTTTACTTCATTTCCCATGGCCCCCTCCCCGTGTCTTCTCCTCCCCATGGTTTTCCACCCATCACGGAGCCTTGGGTGGGTGGCAAGGGGCGATCGCGGTGGAGATGACTCCTTCTCACTGGCAGTGTGGCATTCTCTGAGGATAGGGTTTAGTGCAGTGTGCGTTGTCCTTCTTGCTTTTTTTTTTTTTTTTTTTTTTGAGATGGAGTCTCGCCCTGTTGCCCAGGCTGAAGTGAAGTGGTGTGATCTTGGCTCACTGCAACCTCTGCCTCCCAGGTTCAAGCAATTCTCCTGCCTCAGCCTCCTGATTAGCTGGGATTACAGGCACCTGCCACCACGCCTGGCTAATTTTTTTATTTTTAGTAGAGATGAGGTTTCACCATGTTGGTTAGGCTAGTCTTGAACTCCTGACCTTGTGATCCGCCTGCCTTGGCCTCCCAAAGTGCTGGGATGACAGGCGTGAGCCACTGTGCCCGGCCTCCTCCTTGCTTTTTGGCATCATTTGGGAGGAAGTGCTGGGAGCAGGTAGCTTGCTGGCTGCCATTGTCTTCTGCTACTTGCATTTCCTCCCTCTGGAAATTTTACATTTTCTGCCTAGCACCCATCTGCCTTCCATTCCTATCTTTGAGCTGTTAGGATCCATCAGCAGTTCTAGCAGGTGGCATTCTTCTCAGGACCACTTTCTCCAAATAAACAAAAGTTAATCATGATCACAACCACAGCGTGTGCTCTGAGCAGAGGGCAGAGGACAGTCAAGGTGAGGTGCAGGTCCTGGGCCTCAGGTGGGCCTTCCCATTAGGTAAGCAGTGTCTTCCGATCCTCAGTAGAAGGAGAGGTTTCTCCAGGTCCAGGATTTTCAGCATGGCTTGGAATTAGTCGAAGCCATGGAGATGAATTGAGGTGTGTGAAAGTTCTGCTCTTGGACAGGGCTTTCTCTTGGCCAACCCAGTGGGAGGGAAACGAGGCAGTCTCTGATGGGGTGAGAGGAAGTTCTTCTTCCTCTCCTGAGTCTCTGCCCTCTCTGGCCTCTTCCACACAGGGATGCTATTTAATTCTGAGGACAGAGACAGGGAGAGACCACTGGGGGGGGGTTGGCCCCCTGTGCCAGGGTGGCACTGGCCGGCAGCCTCTGCACTCAGATGCGTGTGTTCTCTCTCTGCACTGCCCGGGGCGGGTGTTGACTGCAGCCACGTGGCCCCTGAGCACGGGAAATGTGACCAGCACCACTGAAGGTTCAGTTCTGTTTCATTTTCATTTATTTCAAATTAAGTAGCCACACGTGGCTTGGTTCTGGTCTTGGGAAACACAGCTTTAGTGTGAGAGGAAGCAGAGGTGGGGACAGGGGTGTGGGGATGAGCCAGGCTGAGTTGAGGCTGTGTGGCCAGGTGGTCTCCAGCGTTTAGCCTTTTCACACTTGAGAAAGCTGGACTCCCACTTTGTGGGGTGTGGGAGTTTATATTTGATATGTGCCTTTTAATATTTTCTTTTTTCTATTTGCTTTTCTTGCCATCTTTATCTTCTCGAAAGGAAAAACAAAATGGCACAGGCAAGGCTTTTTGACCCAGTGAATGGGTGAGTTTGCAGACTTTTTATTTCTCATGATCCAAGTAAGGATTTGTAGTTTTCATGATCAAAATTAAATTTTCTCTTTGCAGATAACTAAGGAATCTACTTTACCTTGAAATTTTAAGTACCAGGGAAAAAGGACATGAGAGTTATGTGTTTATCAAAAGTGGAGACACTCAAGTGCGTAGCAGAAGGCACTGGGCTTTGGAGTCCTGGAAACCTCGGTTACATTCTCAGCCTTCGTGCTCTGGGGTGTGTGGTACGCGTGGGCACGCACCCTTTCTCAGTGCCGTAAACTCGGGCCAGTGGGAGTAGTGAGTATCTTGGAGGGTTGTTAGGAAAGTTAAAGACTCCAGTGTGCAGTTGGCTGTCAGCAAATTGCAGCTCCTTTCACTTGCCAGAGAGAGCAGGAGTCTCTCACCATCCCCCAAATCGTCTATACTACTCTTGGGGAAGACTCTTCTTTTTTAGGACTCACTTCATAAGACGGCAAGGACTCTGCCATTGCAGTCCCTTGGCAGTAGTGATGGAGTCCTGAGGGTGAGGCGCGTCCATGCTCTAGCCCGGGGACACGTCACCCACTTCCAGGAAGGGTCTGCTCTAAGTCTGTCTCCTCTCTGGTTCAGTGCAGGGCAATGCGTGCCGCCCCCGCTCAGCGTTGCCTCGAGTGTTGGTGTTACGCTGCTGGAGAGGGAGCAGCTCATGTGAAATATGGTCTGCCCACCCTTCGCCTGTCCAGGGGCCCTCCCTGGGCTCAGGGGCCATCAGCGTGTGGTGGCCACAGCGTTTTCACAAGGCCAGCTTGCCTGGTGAAGGGAGAGGGTGGGGAGGGGAGGTGAGTCTCCTTTAGAAAGCTGTTTGATATCATGGTTAGAGGTTTGGTGGTTTCAGTTAACTTGATTTTCTGTTCAATAGGGGCCTGGGTGTGCTGGGCTTCCTCTGAGTGTCTCATCATGCAGGTTTTCAGGGTGAGTCATCTGTGTGTCAGGCACAGCTGGTCACTGATATGACTCCCCAAGCAATGAAGGCATCAGTAGGTTTCGAAAGTGGCCTTAAGAAGGTACAAGTAATATTACCTCTGATGTCAGCCAAGCAGAGTAGAGTCCAACATTAGCACCTTCTCTCCTGTAGCTCACATTCAGAGGGCTGGGACGAAGCCCCTGTATTTCAGCAAATTAGAAACTTTGGTTGAACATTCAGGACTCTAAGTGATATCCTGGAGTACATGAGAAAAAATGGGAATTCTTGTTAAAAAGTGAGTCAAAAAAATTATAATCCTGAAGTTGCCTCTGGGTTACTGAGTTCGCACAGTGAATTCAGATGCACCCCCACTCCCCCGCAGCCCCTGTCACAAGGGCCGTATGGGCAGTTTGAAAATACAGTTAGAAACCATGAAGCTTCAGAAAGTTCTTGGAAAATGACCAGTCATTAAATGGATTCAAAGCTCGAAGTTTGGGTGACATTTCTCCCTGTGATTCCGTCTCGCCCCCCTCCTTTCCGAGTCTAGGAGTCTTGCAGCGGTCACTTCCCCAGGCGGCTCTGCTGCTGTGCTATGGGCCGTCTGTGGGCTGGAACCAGTTAGACTTCCTCCCTGTCCTTCTATCCCATTCTCTTCCTCAAAGATGCCCGTGTCTCTGTAGCCTTTGCTGTCGCGCTGTCTCCTGGGCCCTCCTCTGAACTCTGAACCCATGTCTCTGTAGCCTTTGCTGTTGTGCTGTCTCCTGGCCCCTCCTCTGAACTCTGACCCCGTGTCTCTGTAGCCTTTGCTGTCGCGCTGTCTCCTGGCCCCTCCTCTGAACTCTGAACCCATGACTCTGTAGCCTTTGCTGTTGTGCTGTCTCCTGGCCCCTCCTCTGAACTCTGAAGCGCTGTGCTTATGCAACTGTTTGCTGTCACTTGATCACTGTCAGCATTGGATTATTCTGTCCTCATCAGCTTTTGAGTTAATGCCAGGCTCTGAGTGCCTCATCCTCAGCACTGTTCCACCTTAGTGGAGAATTTATTAGGTGCCAGAGGGTGCCGGGCATGTGCTGGTCACCTTGACACTCATGGTTCTTTCCTTGAGTTGTCCCCTCACCTGTGATGGCTGTAGGGACTTGTTGCCTTTGCGCTGTGATTGGGTGAGGCCTGGGAGCCTCAGTGTGGTGGGTCCTCCTGGGGCCAGGCTCCTCGCGGTTCTGCACGCCCTCTTCCTGGGGCCAGGCTCCTCGCAGTTCTGCACGCCCTCGTCCTGGGGCCAGGCTCCTCGTGGTTCTGCATGCCCTCGTGGCTCCCCGCACAGCCTCCCTGCTGGGGAGCTTTCAGGATTCCTCCAGAAGCAACTCAGAATATACAGGCAGTGCCCCAAACAGTACATAGCACATCTCTTTAATGAACTGTGCCCGCTGGGGCCTGGGGCCAGGGCCGGCATTCCCATCCTCCTTTGATGATCTCCATTACCAAACAATTTTGGCGGACAGCCTGACAAGCGGAGCGTGAGACAGACTCATGGTAATTATGGATCTTTCTGTCGGATTCTGGACAAGGGCTGTCAGTTAACCGCTCAGGCTCTGCAATGGAGCCCTGAACAAAAGAATCAGGTGTGAACGGGAGCCTCACTCTGCGAGGACACACAGCCCAGTAGGGCAGAAAGTTATTCTTGAGTATTTACCAGGCTGGCAAGGAGCAGTATTTACCCTGCTCTTCGTAAGCCACACTGACCTAGTCTGCAGCAGTTTTAAAGTTTTTAACTCAAAGTAAAAACAAAACTACTCACCAAAAAGCAAACTCACAAAAATAAACGAATGAGACTAGTCTTGGGGACTGAAAATTGTTTCAAAATCTCTAAGTGTACAGCTGTTCTTGAGATTAATGTTTTCAGCTGACAGTCATCATGCTTGGCTTTTTTGTGGGGGGCAGTGACAGATAGGGTTCTTCTGTGGTCTCCTGAGGAGGGCCGCAGGGATTTGCATTCCGGCACAGGTATGCTCTGCGCTTTGCTTTTGTTTTGAAGAAAGGCATAATCTCGTGTCCATTTTAGGATGTTTGAACATTTCAAACTATTTTATAAGGATTGATGTTTTGTGATTTTTATCCTGTTCTTCAAAGAACAAGGAGAAAATCTTATTTTTAAAAAATAGAAGAAAATGCATTCTAGCCTGCAGTTACCACATGGACCCACCGCATCTGTGGGGAATCCAGGATATACAGTTCTGCGCCACATAATGACGTTTCTGTCAACACTGGATGGCGTATACCACAGAACTGTGTGCGAGCTGGAGAATTCCTCTCACCTGGTGACATCATGGCCATTGTAATGTCTTAGCAGCATGCATTAACCACGTGTTTGTGCTGATGCTGGTGTCAACAAACCTACTGCACTGCCGGTCTGTAAGAAATGCAGTTCATAATACTTGATCATGATAGTAAATGACTGTGTTACTGGTTTAAGTGCTTAGTATACTATAATCGTTATTTTAGAATGTAATACTTCTAAAAAAAAAGTTATTTAAAAAAAAAGTTAACTGTAAAACAGCCTCAGGCTGGTCTTTCAGGAGGTATCCAGAAGAAGGCATAGTTATCAGAGGAGACGATAGCTCCCTGTGTGCTGTTGTCCCTGAAGACCTTCCAGTGGGACAAGGTGTGGAGGTGGAATTAATGTGATATTGATGATCCTGTGATATGAATGATCCTGACCCTGTGTAGGCCTAGGCTAATGTGTGTGTTTGTATCTTAGCATTTAACAAAAAAGTTGAAAAAGTAAAAAAAAAAATTAAAGACAGAAAAAAGCTTATAGAATAAGAAAATGAAGAAAAAATAATTTTGGTACAGCTGTACAATGTATCTGAGTTTTAAACTAAGTATTATTATAAAAAAGTCAAGTTAAAAAGTTAATAAAGTAAAAAAGGTACATTAACTAAAGTTCATTTATTACTGATGAAGGAAATTAATAATAATAAATGTCGTGTGGCCTAAGTGCACAGTGCTCGTGAAGTCTCCAGCTGTGCACTGTAATGTCCCAGGCCTCGCAGCCACTCAGCACTCACTCACTGACTCACCCAGAGCAACTTCCAGTCCTGCACGCCCCACTCATGGTAAATGCCTTAGACAGGTGTACAGTTTTTTGTCTTCACTACTTTATCTGTAGTGTACCTTTTCTGTGTTTAGATATGTTTCGATACACAAAAACTGACCTTTGTGTTCATTTGCCCGCAGTATTCACTACAGTAACACGCTGCACAGGTTTGTGGCCCAGGAGCAACAGGCTATACCATATAGCCTAGGTGTGCAGTAGGCTTCGCTCTAGGTGTGTGTAAGTGCACTCTGTGATGTTAACGATGAAATAGACGAGTGATGCATTTCTCAGAATGTGTCCCTGTTAAGCAGTGCATGGCTGCATGATCACATCTTAATGGTATTTTTTTTTATCTTTATCTGGAAACATTTTGCTGTTTTCTCTTTCTTGATATTATTTTATCATTATTAATCAGTTATTTCTCTCTTTTTTTTTTTTTTGAGGTGGAGTCTTGCTCTGTTGCCCAGGCTGGAGTGCAGTGGCACAATCTCAGCTTACTGCATCCTCCACCTCCCGGGTTCAAGCAATTCTCCTGCCTCAGCCTGCAGGGTAGCTGGGATTACAGGCACCTGCCACCATGCCTGGCTAATTTTTGTATTTTTAGTAGAGATGGGGTTTCACCATGTTGGCCAGGCTGGTCTCGAACTCCCGACCTGAGGTGATCCCCCTGCCTCAGCCTCCCAAAATGCTGGGATTACAGGCGTGAGCCACCACAGCTGGCCAGTTATTTCTCACTATGGTAGAAATGGACTAAAATAATAGAATGGGAGAATAAGAGATGGCATCAAGAATCATGTGATAGTGGAATAAACCATATCTTTTATATGATCCTTGAATTTTCTTACTATGTTACCCATATGATTGCATTATCTTCCAAAAAGGTGTGAAAACAATCTGGAGACACCATTTTTGAAGTCTGTTTTTCTTTTAGCTTTCATTAAGCACAGAGAATTTAGAATTTTTTATTTTTCACTTGTAATAGCAATGACAGGAAAATTGGCAGAGGAAGACATTTCACCATTATTAAATGAATCAGAAGATGAATGCAGACAGATTGAGAGCAGCTCTCTAGATGCTAATGATGATGGTGAAATTGATCATATCAGCGAATTCGCAGACTGTGCACCTTCAGTGGAAGATAGCTTAGATGAATTTTCTTAAAATCAAGCATCAACGAGTGAATAGTATTCTAAGGATATGAAGGGAATATGGTTTCTCATCCAATTAGTCATTCAAAAGGATGGGCTTTATCACACAATATTTTATGACAAGAATGTGGACCATCCCCTTTTGTTAAACAGATAAGTGACAGTATTCTTTCATCTTTTAAGACGTTTATGGACCAAATTTGGTACACTTAGTAAATGGATAATTGCTAAAAGCAATCAAGAGATAATTGGAAGGAAATAGAGGCAGAGATGAAAATACCCATTGGCTTGGTCATTGTAATTGATGTTCATAAATCTAAAAAGGAAAATCTTCTCCCATTTTGGAGCATAGAAGATGACTGTCTTCGACAAAATTGTAAGCCATCAAAATTATCAAAGAGACTATGTTTTGACAATGAAAATATGGGAGAAATGACTAGAAGTAACGAGGAGCTAAAACCGATTAGAGATGCATTTGACATTTAGAATCACCGTTGCGTTTCAACAACATCAGTGCAAGAAGAACCCAAAGCAGTGACAAGAGGGGACCTATGAGAGAGGAATTGGAAAGCTGGCATCACTGCTTACAGATGTGACCCAGGCTCAGTCATGACAGTTGATGAGCAGTCGTTTGCATTCAAGGGATATTGCCCATTTTAGATCCACTATACAGGCATACTTTGGAAATATTCCAGATTTGGTTCCAGACAACTGCAAGAAAGGGAGTACTGCGAGAAAGTCACACAAATTTTTTGGTTTCCCAGTCCATATAAAAGTTATGTTTTGTACTATACTGTCATCTATTAAGTGTGCAATATATGTTTCAAACAGCAGCATACATACCATAATTTAAAATGCTTCCTTGCTAAAAAATGCTGACACAAAGACACAAAGCATGTACATGCTGTTGGGAAAATGGCACTGATGGACTTGCTCGACGGAGGGTCACTACAGACCTTCAGTTTGTAAAAAATGCAGGATCTGTGAAGCACAATAGAGCAAAGCACAATACAACAACGTGCATGAGTATATATATATACACACAGTCCACCCTTGAACAGCATGGAGGTTGGGGCACCAGCACACATATATATGTATATACACAGTCCACCCTTGAACAGCATGGGGACTGGGGCACTAGAATATATATATATATATGTATGTATGTATATATATACACACACACAGTCTACCCTTGAACAGCATGGGGACTGGGGCACTAGAATATATATATATGTATGTGTATGTATACACACACACACACATGCACACACACAGTCCACCCTTGAACAGCATGGAGGCTAGGGCACTAGCACACATATATATGTATATACACAGTCCACCCTTGAACAGCATGGGGACCGGGGCACTAGAATATATATATATATGTGTGTATGTATATACACACACACACAGTCCACCCTTGAACAGCATGGAGGCTGGGGCACTAGCACACATATATATGTACATATACAGTCCACCCTTGAACAGCATGGGGACCGGGGCACTAGAATATATATATATATATATGTATGTATGTATATATACCACACACACAGTCCACCCTTGAACAGCATGGAGGCTGGGGCACTAGCACACATGTATATGTATATACACAGTCCACCCTTGAACAGCATGGGGACTGAGGCACTAGAATATATATATATATGTATGTATGTATATATACACACATACACAGTCCACCCTTGAACAGCATGGAGGCTGGGGCACTAGCACACATATATATGTATATACATAGTCCACCCTTGAACAGCATGGGGACTGGGGCACTAGCATACACACACACACACACACACACACACACACACACACACAGTCCACCCTTGAACAGCATGGGGACTGGGACACTAGAATATATATATATGTATATATGTATACACACACACACACACACACACACACACAGTCCACCCTTGAACAGCATGGAAGCTGGGGCACTAGCACACATATATATGTATATACACAGTCTACCCTTGAACAGCATGGGGACTGGGGCACTACAATATATATATATATAGAATATATATACAGAATATATATACAGAATATATATACGGAATATATATACACAGAATATATATACGGAATATACACGGAATATATATACACGGAATATATATACGGAATATATATACACGGAATATATATACGGAATATATATACACGGAATATATATACGGAATATATATACACGGAATATATATACGGAATATATATACAGGGAATATATATACGGAATATATATACAGGGAATATATATACGGAATATATATACGCGGAATATATATACGGAATATATATACGCGGAATATATATACGGAATATATATACGCGGAATATATATACGGAATATATATACGCGGATTATATATGCGGAATATATATACGCGGAATGTATATACGGAATATATATATGCGGAATATATATATACGGAATATGTATACGGAATATATATAGAATATATAGAATATATATAGAATATATATAGAATATATAGAATAATAGAATATATGTATAGAATATGTATAGAATATATGTGTATAGAATATGTATAGAATATATGTATATAGAATATATGTATATGTATATGTATGTATGTATACACACACACACACACACACACACACACACACAGTCCACCCTTGAACAGCATGGGGCCTGGGGCACCAGCATACATATATATATATATATATTATATATATATATACACACAGTCCACCCTTGAACAGCACGGAGCCTGGGGCACTAGCATACGTATATAAATACACAGTCCACCCTTGAATAGCATGGGGGCTGGGGGCACCAGCATACATATATATACACACAGTCCACAGTCTTACAGGACTAGGCAGGCTGCCCGGCATGTGGTTCGTATTAGGTATCAGTGATGGAGCCAGCTTTGGTTTTTTTTGTTTTAACTTTGTATTGAGGTGCTTTTTCATTCTGAGCAGTAAATAGGAAAAAATCCTGTTCTGTATTTGGGTGAAAAGCTTAGCTTTATAAAGCTATCTTAATGACTTCACAAGGCCCCAAGCTTCACCACTCCTGTTGGTTTCTTTGGGGAAGTTTCAGTGACTTCCGTGGGTAATTAGACATGGCTACTCTGGTCACAGCGTTTCAGCTGCTTAGCTATGCCGCTAACGTCACGTGTCGAAGTTTTTACTTCAGTAATAAGAATTGTATAGTATTCAAGAAGGATTCAAACCGCGTTAATATTAAAGAGCTTTTCGGATCCAGAAAGTGCCTGCGAATCCCTTCTGAGTGTAATTTATACAGCACATGTCAATTAGGAAGAGGGCTGATGTGCGCTCGGCCACCAGTCCACGGAGGCCCCTCCAAGCCGGCTTCAGGAAGTGCCTCTTCCTGTAGCAGTCACGTCGCCAGGCCTCCCCGAGGGATCCTTGCTGAGAAATCAGGCTTTCTATTACTTTGCTGTTCTAAATAGACCTGTGTCCCAAATAGAAAGGAAAAATCAATTTAATTACTTATGAAACTTTTCCTTAAGGGTGAATGAATTAGGAGGAAAAGATGAAGTATCTGTATTTCAGGGCTTGACTAGGAGAGAAATTAATTTCAGTATGAAGATGAGGTGTGGGCCGGTTGGTGAAAGCAGAACATGCTTGCACACGGAGGTGCGTCACCCAGGACCGCAGGGTGGAGCAGCTTTGTGCTTCTGGGACCAAACGGGAAATGAGCTGGAGGACCCGTGGCAGCAGGAAAATGGCGTTGAACAGGAGCCAGAGGACTTCCGCAGGTGTCAGTGCAAAAGAATTATGAAGGAGGAGAGAGCTAATTGCAATTAATGTAATTATGAAGAGAGAAATGTCCTCCGAAGGGAGCTGCCCGCCTCACTTTTGGCTTATGCTCTCCTCCCAGCCTCCCCGCGGCATCCATCTCGGTGTAATTAATGAGCCTCCTCTCCCACTCAGAAGCCAGGAGGTGGTGGAGTTGGACTGGAGGCTGCCCAGCTGTCCTAGCCGGGGGCAGAAAGCAACCTTGTGTTTTTTCCGCACATGATAGACCTTTGCAATATGTCTGCTTTTGTAAGAACAGAATTTAAAACCCAAGGCAGACAAAGAATTTGTGTTTTAGCTGGTGAGGCTTTAAACGTTCAACCTTGAAGGCTGTAAGCACAGAGTAGCGGCATGGGCTGCTGGTCCGCCAGGACTGGAGCATCGGGGACTGTGCCTGGAAAGGGGAATAAACCCCTCCTCTCTCCTACTTGTGTATTCCGCCTGGTCCATCTGTCTGTCTCCCATTTAATGCGTATAATTCAGTGGTTTTTAGTGTCTTCACAGAATTGTGCAACAATTGCCACACTCTTGTTCCAAGACATTTCATCTCAAGATGAAACCCTGGTCCCTCCAGCAGCCACATGACCTTTCCTCAGCCCCTGGTGACCACTGATCTGCTTTTCGTCTGCATGGATTTGCCCTTTCTGACATTTCATGTTATATGTTCACAGCATCCTACGGCATGTGGCCTTTTTTGATTGGCTTCTTTCATTGACCGTAATGTTTTTGAGGTTCGCCGGTATTGTAGCACGCGTCAGTACTCCGGTCCTTTTTATGGCTGAATAATATTCCATATAGACCACGTCTTGTTTATCCATTCATCAATGGATGGACATTTGGGTTGTTTGCACTTCTGGCTATTATGAACAGTGCTGCTGTAAGCATTTAGTATAGTTTCTATGTGGGCATGATTTTATTTCTCTTGAGATATACCTAGGAGTGGAATTGCTGGTTCATATGGGAATTTTACCTTTTACCTTTGAAGAACTGTTTTCCAAAGTGCCTGCTCCATTTACCATCCCATCAGCAAAGGAGGAGGGTTGTGTTTCTCCACATCCCTGTCAGCACTTACTATTGTTTGTGTTTTTATTTTAGCCATCCTACTGGGTATAAAGTGGTAGCTTGTTGTGTTTCTGTTTGTATTTCCTGGATGATTACTAATGTGTTTATTTTTGTTTTGTTTTTTCTTCATCGGCAATTACATTTGATACTGATTGGATTCACTTAAAAATTTTTAAACTTTAAATCTATTTTACTTGCATTAAATTCTATGCATTCCTCTTTTTTTTGAGACGGAGTCTTGCTCCGTCTCCCAGGCTGGAGTGCAGTGGCGCAATCTTGGCTCACTGCAATCTCCGCCTCCCAGGTTCACGCCATTCTCCTGCCTCAGCCTCCCAAGTAGCTGGGACTACAGGCGCCCGCCACCATGCCCGGCTAATTTCTTGTATTTTTAGTAGAGATGGGGTTTCACCGTGTTAGCCAGGATGGTCTTGATCTCATGACCTTGTAATCTGCCCACCTTGGCCTCCCAAAGTGCTGGGATTATAGGCGTGAGCCACCGTGCCCAGCCTGTACTCCATTTTTTAAAAAATAAAACTTTTCATTCCATGCTCTTTGATCTATTATAACTTGAGTGGAATTGGTCTCACATTTTATACAATGAAGATACTTTTATTTTATCGTGATTACTCTTTTGCCTTTTTTGTTGGTTAGAGGAAAAAAGAATCCTTAAAGATGAGTGTGAAAATTTGATTTATTTTTTAATTCACAAAAGCTGAAAGTTGAACATGTAGATGATTTTTCTTTTAAGATAGATAATTAAATATGTATAGATTATCTCAATTTCTGTCATCTTGTGCCTGAGAGATTGAAGGAAAATCTGGAAATAAGAGGCAACCACTTCAAACTTTGCAACTTCATGCATTTAGCAACTGAGCCACTTCCAAATCTGTAGTTTGGTCATGACCTTAGTTCTTAAAAGTCAGAGTGGAATCCTCATCTTCTGGTCTCCTTGGATTTTCAGTTCAGTACCACAAACTTTTGAAAAACTACTGGTGGGTTTTTGAAATGCCAGATTGTGTGCCATGATCTTTGCTCTTAGGCAGTTTAAATTTCGGGAGGGATACATGGCAATTTATTGTATTCATTCACTCATTCATTCAGCGCTTATTGCTGGGGGCTGTAGAAACAGAGGTGATGAAAATTAGAAGGCCTGTTTGACCGTTGTGGTGGAGGCGGCAGCTGACGTTTATTTAGCACGTTGTTTCTGAAGCTTTTAAAGAACTTTCCTTGTTATTATGTCTTACTAATTCATGAAGATGATGCTGTTATCACCCCTGTTTTACAAGAGATTGAATAACTTGATCAAGGTCTCAGAGCTACTGAGGGTCTGAGCCAGGATCCTAACCCAGGCTGCAGCTGTGCTGACGGCATTTCTCGTTATGGGGAAAGGTGTGACCAACTAGCTGACATCAGAAGCCCCAGGGGGTTAAGGCTGTGTCCTGGGGTCTGCATTTGTCTCCCAGCCTCCGAGTCCTTCTGCCCTTTCCTCTGTGGGCCTGTACAGGAGCAGGGTTCCCCCCTGGTTACCCTCTGTCAGGGCACACACTTTGCTGATGCAATATTACCTGCCTCGTGCCTTCCTTGGGTTTGGTAGTATGATCCTTCTGTAGAGGCGGGTCGAGGCACAAAGAAGGAAATAACTCATCCACGGCCCACAGCTCAAAATAAATGGCAGTGAGCTTCATCCTGCTGACTAGTATTTTGTACCCTTTTCTTTAGAACTTACTTTTCTACTCAATGCTGCAGAACTGGGACCCCAAGTACTTTAGAATAATTTTTATCAGCGGCTGAAACAACAGTGACATTCTGTGTAATTCTCACTCTGGTTGGAAGAAGAGGTTTTAGGAGCCTTGTGATTCTGCACAGTATTGGCTCTTATCGTTTCTCCCTTAAAGGTGTGTGTACACAGCTTTCCAAAGGGAGGGAATGGAGTGTTGCTACCAGCTTCCTCCGTGTAGGTTCGTTTTCTCTTCCGGACGGGCCAGCATAAGCTTGTGCACCGTAGGAGCTGCTGGCCTCATCCAGCCGGTGTGACAGTACCCGCTTGGGCCTGTGTGGCTGAACTGAACCACGTTCCCATCCTTGGCTGCACAGAGGATGCTGTGTGGAATAGAGCTGGCCAGCACACACAGGCTTCTCCCACCAGGCTGTAAGAGGTTGCAGGAGAAAGGTGCCCCTGACGAGCAGAGGCCTTGGTGCTCCCTGCTCCCCCTTGTTCCTTCAGGAGGCTGGTGAGCCTCAGTGACTCTCCTTCTTGTCTAAAGGGTGGCACTGGGCTCACAAGCAAGTAGAAGCCTGAGGCCGGCCAGCCAGATGGAGAGTAGATAGAGCTGTAAGATCCAAGGGCACAGGTGGCCGCCTCACTGCCTCATCCACAGAAGCACTGAGTAGGTGCACAAGGAGGGCCTCTGGGACTGTGCTTGCGTGAGTCCCACGGCTGTGCGGGCACTGGGCTCCTGTTGATGACTGAGTTTCCCAGGCAGTTTTCATTTTGAGGTGAGTCTGTTTCATTCATTCAGTCACAGCATCCTCAGCTGCTGTTGCAGCAAGTCTGTGCTACCTGGAATGAGCCTGGGGCCCCTTCCTCTAGGTTGGTATTCAGACCAGCGTGCTTGACTGCATTAGGAAGTGCATTCTGAGCAAACCTCTAGAGGTTTCTTTGCAACCTGATAACACCTCCTCCTACTTGTATGTTGGCATTTTATGTCTCCAGTAGGTTTTAGGGAGAGATTTAAGCTGCTCCGTCTTTCTGGGATGTTTGTAGTACAGTCCAGTTGTATAATTTCAGTGGCCTGAATATTGAGCCGTGGCCTTCTCCAGGAGGAGCAAGTCTTCATCATAGGATTTGAGGCCGAGGGGTCTTTAGAGACTGCCAGGCCCAGCCTCCCCAGGCCACACCGTTATGTGGATGAGGTGATAGAGCTGTGTGCTGCCTCTCTGAAGAGTGCTGTGAATCGGTAGAAAGAAATGCTAATAGGTCCCCAGTTTGAATGGGGAAAACATTTGCTGTATCAGCTGATGGACCCTAAATCACCCACTTTCTGTGGGTTTTGTTGTTTGGACATGGTTCTTGGGTTCTTCTCAGTCGCTCTGTCTGGACCCAGATGTGTGAAGTCGAATGGCTAAGGGTGGTTGAAGTCAGGGTCATCCGAGTAGAGCCATTTGTTCTTAGTTAAAAAGGCCCAGGCCACATGGGGCTCAGTGACTTAGCGCTGCGCATTAAAGGTGGACGGTTGGACGTTTGAGACCCTTCAGTCCTCCACCGTCATCTAACAGGTGGGGCAATAAGGGCCTAGAACCTGCTGAACCTGCTGGTGGGACAGAGGCAGGTCTATAGCTGCCCCCTCCAGGCCACCACCATCTTCGTTGCGCTATTTCAAGGCCTCGTGGAAGCCATGGGCTGCTGCTCCCGCTTGTCTGTGTTGTGTTCGTCTGTGTTGCACGTCCTAGTTTCTTTCATACATTCCCTCTGGCCCTTGCAAGTGTGATCTCTCCCTCCTGTCTCCCTCCCTTTCTCCCTCCCTCTTCCTCCCTCACGCTGTTGCCAGGAGTGGGAGGTGGCAGAGACGCCTGCCCAAGGAACCTGGCCAGAGATATCATGAGGACTGCCTGGCTCTCCATATCAACCTGTTCAGTAGTCTGCCTGTTCTTTCTGAGGATTCTGTGGCCACCTTTCCATTCTGTTGCTAACTTTGGGGACCTGTTTGTTTAGCTCTTTCTCATCAAGAGAGATTCAGAAAAATTGCCAGGGCTTTTAGAATCCTGCCCTCACCTGATAAACTCGCCTTTTAATGCCAGCTGTGAATGAGAGAAGGACGCTCTTTGTACACTTGCATAAATGAGGTGCTCTGAGCTACGTTGGGTTGTCTAGGAAACATGCCTTTGGAGGGCGGCAAGGACGGAGGGCTGGGGTATTAGAGGCGAACAGGAGAGATTTGCAAAACAAAGCAAATAAAAACAAACCTGCATATCTTCAAATAAAACATTTTAGCTGAAAGAGAGAAAACAAGAAATCAAAGCCCCTTAAGCAGGAAAGATTTTCATTTTCATTTTCAGTCTTAAATTGACAAGTAAGATGGCATGCAGACCTTTTTCCCCTTTGTTCTACGCCAGAGCAAGACTTTGTTAAAGAAACAGTATTAGAGTTTCCCACCAACTCTTGACTGCTCACCATTTAAGAGTCATTTTTATACAGGGTCATGCCTTTGTAGTCAAGAGCCTACATTCTTGGTAATGCCCTTTGAGATTTTCCCACATGCTGGGTGCCCATGGGGGTAGAGTCTCCTCCACCAAAACCTTGGTTGCAGTCATGAGCTTTGCTCATCCCCCCACGGTGGGTTTCTCACTCCGGGTGTGTATTGGTCGATAACCCTTTGAGTCTCTGGAGTTGGTCTCTCTGTGTTCCGTGGCAATGGTTTGTGCTCAGCTTGGTTTGGGAAATCTTTGATGCAGCACAGAAGCTGTCTTCCCTCTTTGGTCTTTGTCCCCGTGGGGCAGAAGCTGCAATTTCTCAAGAAGAAAGAAATGATAGTTGCTGAAACGGAGCCTGCTCCTATTGTTAAGAGGCCCCGTGAGACAGGTAAAGACCGTGCCTTTCTCCACAGAATCAATTTCATCTTGTAAGCACGGCCAAACAGAAACATGCTACCGAAGTCAGAAAATCAGAAAATCAGAAAATCACCGGAGAGGCCCGTCACACACATTTACCTTATGCAGACTGAACACTATGTGCCGGGGGTGAGAGCCACACAGGTAGATCAGCCTGCTTCCAGGCACGGGAGTTCTGTCTGCCTTTCGCTGAGGAGCAGAAGCCCTGTGGGAAGCAGGAGTGGAGCGCCACTTCTGAGTGAGGGTCACTCATTTCATCTGATGTTGGGAAGAAATGACAGTCTGACCCAATGAGGGAGCACAAATTTGGGCTCCTAAAAGAGTCTTTGTTCAAGAGACTGATTGTGTCGCATTTTGCTTCTCTTCCATTTTTGAGTCCTGTCTTCACACCTGACCCTCAAAGAAGACGCAACATCAAGGTCCACCCGAATACCTGGAACCACCATGAGCATGACAACAGCCGGTCACACTCGTGTGGTTCAGGGAGTCAGAGGCTGTGAGTGCCAGAGGGAACCTCGGGATCATCTGAGTCATCCTCCCCATTCTCAGGGAAACCTATGCCAGAGAAAGAAGTTGGTTTTCCGAGGGCCCCATCTGTGATGGAGCTGAGCCTGACCCCGTCCCCCATGTCTGCTCTGATGCTCCCCTCCAGCCCTGCCTCCTGCCACAATGTTTGTGTGGGGCCTTGAAGAGGGCATGGCCTGCTTTAAATGTTCCCATGTAGATCTGGGGTATGTCTGGCAGTTATTCCTACTCGTTTGGTGATAGAGCAAATGGAGGCTTCAGATGGAAGCGTCTGAATGGATCTCTTGTTAGCAAATTTATATCATTTCATCCATCTGCCGACCAGGTATCTCTGCACGCAGGGAACTTTTATTCTTTTGGTGGGGAGAGAGAAATACTAAGTTGGATATTGGCAAGCACTAAGAAGCACTAAGAAGAAAGAACTGAGAAAGGAAAAGAAAGTGTTGCAGTCTTTAATGCTGGCTCAGCAAGGCCTCACTGAGCCGGTCAGCAGTGACGGGAGTGGTGAGCACCATGCGCAAGGGCAGGCAAGTGAGTGCGGAGACTTCCAGGGGGCCCTGAGGCCTGAGCCGAGGCTGCTGGGGCTGGAGCAGCCTGAGCAGGGGAGGGCTGTGCTCAGTGTCATCTGAGCAGCAATGACCCCCATGGGGCCTGGAGGCCAGTGGAGGGACATTGGTTAACGTGGGTTAACATGGCCTTTTTTGAAAAGGGTCGCCTTGGGAACGTACTGAGACTAGGTTGTAGGGAGAAGCTGGGTGGACTCCAGGAGACCAGTTAGGTCATTGTGCTAAGCCAAGTTGGAGTGATCGGTGGTGGCTTGGAGCAAGAGGGTGGTAATAGTGGCTGGATTTGACTCTGGTTTGAAAGTTGAGCTGATGAAAGGGTTTGCTTATGAATCAGAGGAACGAGTGAGAGGGTAGTTGAAGATGGCTCCAAGGTTTATGCCTCACTGGCAGGGAGGGTAGAGTTGCCATTCCTGAGTGGCTGGTAGGAGAGGTTCTGAGTTTGGAAGGATGGCAGGAGCTTAGTCTTGGATGGGTGCCGTTTGTGTGGCCTGTTGCACATCCTAATCATTCAACACTCTTAGTCAAAACCCCACGGGTCTTTACGTTGTCCTCCCAGGCAGTCGTTGATTTCTGCCCCCGTTTTGAGGTCCTTGTGTCCACTGTGGAATGCTGGACTGTCCTTTAGGGCCGATGGCTGGATGGAGGCTTTAGGGCCCACTGGTTCCCACTTTCCTGCCTGAGGTCAGAGCCAGCTGTCATCTCGGAGCTTCATGTTCTTCCTTTCCAGTGTGGACATGGCGATGTCTCATCAGGAAGTTGCAAGGAACAACAGGAGGATGGTGGTGGTAGCTTTCCTAGATTGAGGTATTCACGGTAGATGTGCGCGAATGACGGGTGAGTGTGGAGGAGAATCTGAAGAGGTAGAGAGAGCGCCTTTTACGAACCCTTGCGTCTCCGGGATGGATGTGTGCATGGATAACCGGGGACAATACAAAACCAAACACACCCCACACCTCTGCAGTTCTGTTATTTTTCTCCAGTTTACCAGTGTAGTTTTAATTCTGTTCCTTTTCTCTAGAGAAGTTCCTTATAAATAATCTCCCTCTCACATTCCTTGTAAGTGTTCGGGATATGTGTTTGTCCTGAAATACGTGTGTGAGTCTGCATCCATCCGTAGAAGTGTGTATGCATAGGCGCATGTTTGTGGACAGAAACAGCCCAGCACTTCCGGAGCTTTCAGCTGTCCCTGTACGTGGCATTGGGCCTACCTAACCTTTGCTTCTTTGCCGTAGACTCTCCATCTGCAAAATAGAGACAATCCTTGCAGCTTTTCTTCTCTCTGGGAGGTTAATGATTGAGTGTATGTATAGTGCTGGGAAGCCTTTGAAGTAAAATCACAAAGTACATGTGTATTATTTTTGTAGCTCTAATGGTATTTATATTTAAATCATTATTATTACAATAATAATACACTGGTTTGCCAATAAAACACAAACCACTTCAGAAGAACGTTCTAAAATGGTAGCATTTTCTGAGGCCGGGCAGCAGTGTCTAATTTTGGGCCTTCACAGTCAGTTTCGCGATTCATGTGTTATGCATTTTCAAAGAATAATCAAGAGCATGCAGGATTGCCCGGGGCAGTGAGTACTGAAAATGTACAGTTGGGCCAGTTGTGCTAAGAGAGTGATGGGACATCTGCACGGACATGGCTGTATTTCACGCCAGTTAGGGGCTGTCACTGCAGCCGGCGCCATCTTGGAGCCCTCGGAGCTTGACTTGGTGATAATGCGTCATCAGAGCTGAGCACCTTGTGTCAGCTGTCCAGTTACAGCGAGGTGTAAAGTGGACGAGTGTCTCAGTGATGACTGATGGGTTTTTTCTTTCAGATCCATGCAAAATTCATAAACCTGATTTATAACCAGTGGAATTTGTGCTGCCGGAAGCAGAAGGCTCAAATGCGGAGCTTTGTTTTGTAGGAAATGTCTTTCTTTAAGGTGTCCTGATGCTTTCATCCCTGAGCACATCCAGGTGATGACACCAGAGGCTCTGCATGAGGGGAGACGAGGAAGCAGGTGTACCTGGTCTCCTTTCATCTTGCAGGAAATCCCATTTAGCTTATTGGAGTTGGACCAATGATCACATTAAGAGCAGAAGTCACAGAGCAGGCTGTTTGTTACGAGTTTTGTAAATAAGATGTATCCTGCTGAGCCCCACAGCACAGGGCACGTGGATGTCCACAGGGGGACAGATTGTGGCCAGGCACCCTTGGCAAGCAAGTTCTTACTGAGGTCAGAAGTGACTGGCCTGCCCTGTGGGTGGTTGACACTTTGCAGCCATCATATCCCTCACAGCATGTCCACATCTTTGAAAGCATTTTCCTCCCAGGCTCCGGGACAGCAAGCCTTCCTGGCCTTGGCATTCCTGTGGACCCTGTCCCTCCTCACCATCATTTTCGGCTTCTGTGTGTGCCGCTTGTCCTCCTCTGCCTGGGCTGTTGGTTCTCTCGAGCTTTCTTCTTGACCTTCTCCCCTTTCATCCTGCGTTCTCCACTCTTGCATGCTAGTGTCTTCATTGAACTGTGTACTTAAAGGTCCACAAGTGGCTTTTAGCAGGTTTAGGAGCCTCCTGACATGATACCAAATGTTATATCTCTGTACGTTTTTCTGGATAAAGGAAGCATCGTTTTTATCAGTTTTGGGTGTGGGTGTTGGCCTGCAAGGTTAAGATGTCGTGCTCTGAAATGTCAGCTTTCTAGCCCAGATCTGTGTCCTGAGCTCCACTCCCTTGTATCCACCTGCCTCCTTGCCAGCTCCTTGAAGATGCTGGTACCACAGAGTCCAGTGCTGGAGGCAGAGGCAGCATGCTGTCCCACACCTGCTGCCTTGGCCATATTCTTTGGTCAGTACATCTGCCCAGTCTGCTGAAACCTGAGGGCCCCTGGATTCTCTCTCTCAACCCCTCAGCATTGTTGGTACCAGAGCTGACTCTGTCCCTGGTCACCCTCTCCTGTCCTCCACGTCAGGACCACCCCGTTGTCTCCTGCCTCTGGCCACCCTCTTGCCACATTGCTTGGATGGCCTTTCACCAGGTCTGATCCGAGGGTGGTCTCGTCTTTGTCTTAGCAGCCGAGGTCTGTGACCTTGACCACCTGGTGAAGTGTTTGCTGTAAAGTCACTCTTTTTTCCTTGCTTCCCATACTGCACTCTCTGGAAGGAAGTCACTGTGTGCAGCCCACACTGAACGGGTGGGGGTCATACTTCACTTCCTTGAGGGGAGAGCATGTTCAGAAATTATTTGGAATTTTTTTGCATGAGAGACTTTTCTGTTTTCCACATTTAATTTATCCAATTATTTATATCAATATGAATTTTAAAATACTTCATATTTCGAGTTGCAGTCAATATTACATTATATGTTTTATTGCTCAGATTGATTCACCTTTGCCATTGGATGGTCTTTCTGTTGGCCCCTGGGTTCCATGACACACTCTCATCTGTGTGTGTGTGTGGCCATTTCTCCAAGGAGCCCTAGTTCCTTTTATTGGTGGATTGTATTAAAACCAAGATCTGTATGCCTGGTATGTTCCTTGTCAATTATCTTTTAAAGAAATTATTTAAAAAATGCCTTTCATATTTACCTTCATTTTTATAATTTCCTGTTTTTTTTCATTTATTTTTGTAGGTCTGTATCTACTTGGCCTTAAACATGATTTCTTTTGCCTGAAGAACTTTAACACTTTTTGTAGCTTTAGTTTGTCTGAAAAAACATTTCACTTTGTTTTTGAAACATATTTTTACTGGGTACAGAATCCTGGGTTACCAGTTTTATTCCCAGTCCTTTAACACTGTCATTCTATTGTCTTTTTGTCCTGCATAATTTCGGATTGGAAGTCTTTTGTCATTATTATCTTTGGTCCATGGCTTAGGATTTGATAGAATTCTGTCAAAGTTAGCCAAATCTAATATTAACATTGACTGAGTATTTACCTCTATCAGGTGCTTTGTTCAGCTTAGCTGTGCATGTGTGTGATTCTCCCAACACCCTTAAGAGGGAGGCAGGGAGGGAGGTGGCATTTTTCCATGTATAGGTAAGGAAGCTGAGAGTTGATCAGGTTAACTGATTTGTTGAAGGCCACTTAACTAGGAGGTAGCAGAGCTGTGATGGTCTGATGCCAGAGACAGTCTGCATCTTAACCACTTTATTGAATTCATCCTCTTCAGAAGGTCGAGGATCAGGTCACGGTCACACTAGTGTAGTTAAAATGCTGTTACCACAGTAGCAAGTCCACAGGGCCCATAGGCACTAGAGTCAGACAGGTCCACAGTAGCAAGTCCACAGGGCCCATAGGCACTAGAGTCAGACAGGCCCCAGCCCCAGTCCCGCTCTGCTTCTTGCAGGCTGCGTGACTTTGAACATGTCCTTTGCCTTGCTCAGTTTGTGTTTTACCTCTTAAATAGGTGAGAGCTGCTGTTTGCTTTAGATCAGGATTAAGAAACGTGATGCGTGTATGTGAGTACTGCGGTCAACACTGGGAAGTGTTTCTTGGTTGGGGTGTGCTCATTCCTATCTGTTGAATGAACGAATTGGATTTTGTGCAGGTCAGATACGTTGATTTCCTTGTTCAAGGCGGAGAGTTGTGGGCATAGCACACACTCGAGCATCTTGCCTCACATTTCAACCCCTCTCATTGGCCCCCTCTCCTGGGCTCATCTTTCCAAAGCACAGCCCTCATGACGTCACTATGTCTGTGGCTCCATGCTCTGGGTGGAGAGCAGGAGCTGAGGACGCCGAGCTGAGTGATGTGGAGGATGGGACAAAACAGCCACCGAACGTGGCTGAGTACCAGCGTGTGTTCAGCTGATTCGTTTGGGCTGGAGTGAAATGGGTCATCTACCCATTAGGGATCTAATTGGAAATAATACTGTGCAATTTAATACAGTGATTTCTTAACATTTTTTTAGCCCAAATTAGCAAAATGCTTCAAAATGTTACAGGCAAGTGAAGTGGAAATAATTGAATCCCAGGAAAGGATAAATGGATTGTATTGGAATATTTCAAGGAGGAATTTCTGATCAGCTTAGGAAGCGAAGGGGTTATCCTTGTGATATTTTATTGAACCACAAAATGTTATTTATAACCCATGTCAGGAGCAATTAAACTGATTGATGATTAAGGAAGTTTAATAGTTGAATAATAAGACGCGGCTTTTGAGAGCTGTTTTTTCTCATTCTGGAAGCGTATTTCGTGAGTCTAGTAACAGTGTTAAGGACAGGCCATTGCTATGCTGTGGGGTCATTATGTGGTGGTAATGTTCAGCGTAGTGTTACGTGGTATGTTACTTATAAAAAATTAAAAATTAAAATACCAATTATGTTTGTTTGATTTGTTATTGAAGTGGTTTGTTAATTTTGATTTACCCAAAGCAGGGTTAATTACTACATATTGATATATTTGATTAAAAGTACGCTAACGATGAATAAGAAAGGCCAAACAAAATAAATTATTTTCCACTCACCCTGAATAGTTTCAGAATTTTAGCAGTCTTTCATGTTTATGTAAAAAGGCAGCTTCACACTGGAAGGATTTGCTGTGATTGGCAGCTTCTTAGGCATATGTATCAGCAGAGGCCGTATTTGCATTTTGAAAACAACCTATGCTACTCACCTTGACACGTTTTCGTTTGTGTGTGTGTGGTAGTATTTGTCTTTATGAGCCATTTCTTATGTTCGGGAAGATTAATAAATTAAAATTCTTTCTTTTAGAAATAAGCAGACATGTTACAAAGTAGGAAACACAAATGACTAATAAGCTGAAAAAACCGTCTAACTTCACAGGTAATGAAAATGCAAATTGAACCAATAATGCAGTTCTATTTTTGTCTATCAAATCATCACAAATTAAAAAAGATAATACTCAGTGCTCTTCAGGTGAGGTGAAGTTGACACTCTTCCAGTCTTTTGCTGTGAAACAACCATTCTGGAAAGCAGTTTGCTGGCCACTGAACAGCCCAGTGCCTCCCTGTCCCGAGGACATAGAAGGTGATGTGTGTGAAGGCTGAGCACGGGGCTCCCTGTGGAGGCAAATGTTTGCATGAGTTGAGGCTTGAACCAGCCCAGATGCCCACCGATAGAGGAAGTTTAAAGCCATTGGGTACATTGATTTCTGTGTCGCCCTAAACATGATTTCATAAAAACCTTTTTCAGTATGTGAAAATGATCAGGGTATAAATAAAAACAATAGGACATAAAACTTCATATTTAGTCTCAATTCTGGTTTATTGAAAATGTGTGTGTGTGTGTGAATGTTAGGGGGCTGAATTGCTTCCCCAGAATTCATCTGTTGAAGTCCTAACCCCTAATACCACAGAAGATGTTTGGAGATAGGGTCTTTAAAGAGGTAATAAAGATAAAGTGAGGCCATTAGGGTGTGCCCTAACCCCATGGAACTGATGTCCTAATAAGAAGAAGAGATGTGGGGCCAGGCACAGTGGCTCACGCCTGTAATCCCAGCTCTTTGGGAGGCTGAGGTGGGCACATCACTAGGTCAGGAGATCGAGACCGTCCTGGCTAACACGGTGAAACCCTGTCTCCACTAATGGATGATTTAATTTTCTTTTTTAAGCTTTTCTGTATTCTCCAAATTACTTACAAGTATCATGTAATAAAGCATTATTGGGAGGTTTCCTTCTTTGTCCGTATAGAGAGACTTAGAAGAAGCAGAGAGAAGCCACTTCCTTTTCAGGGGTCAACCTGGTCAGCTCTGAGTTGAAGGCGTTGTGCTGGGATGTGTAGTGCCCTGTCAAGCCCGAAAGTTGAGTGCGTCTCGTGTGGTGTGTGCAGAAGCCTGTGGGCCTGTGGTCCGCCGTCTGTGGGGCGCGTTCCCCTCAGCGTGGCAGTGGTGGTACACACAGGCCACTGTGAGATGGCCGAGGGGTGTGAGTGAGGAGACACTAGGGGCTTTAGGTGAGGCACTTCCTCTGTCTTTCAGATGGAGGCTTAGATTCTAAACCAGCACAGACTGTTGAGCACAGACTTTCCGGGATTTACATGTTTTTTGTGTTGCTGGTTAGGCTGGGGCCAGATCCGGCCTGAACTAAGTTCCAGAAGGGTGTGTGGGAGTCGGGCAGGTAAGAAACAAGGAACCCAGGGAAAGGCTGGGGTGCAGCCAGCCCTGGCAGCGCTGGGCAGAGGCCATGGCAGGTCCCTGAAGGCTCGCCTGTGGAGGCCTTGCTCTGAAGACAGTGGGGAGCCTCGAGACCTTTCTGTTAGAGAGGGACGCGGTCTCCACCTTCCAGCCAGCTGATGTACCCATTGCAGGCACCAGGTGTGATGGGCCAGGGGACCCCATGAAAGCACCCCTCTTCACCTGGGCATACAGCTGTTTGGAAATAAAACAAAAGTCTGCAGAGGGAGGTTTGAGTAGTGCTGTATTAGTCTGTTCCCACACTCTGTAAAGAATACTACCTGAGACTAGGTCATTATAAAGGAAAGAGGTTTAACTGACTCACAGTTCTGCAGGCTTAACAGGAAGCATGGCTGGAAGGCCTTAGGAAACTTACAATCATGGTGGAAGGCGAAGGGAAAGCAGGCATCTTCTTCACAAGGCAGCAGGAGAGAGTGAGTGCCAGCAGGGGAAATGTCGGATGCTTATAAGACCAGCACATCTCGTGAGAACTCACTGTCACAAGAACAGCATGGGGGAGACTGCCCCCCGATTCAATCACCTCCCTCCCTGAACACGTGGGGATTACAATTGGAGATGAGACTTGGGTGGGGGCACAGAACCAAACCGTATCAAGTGCCTTGACTACCAGTCAGCAGATGGGTTGGAACTGGCTCGGGATCCCAGAATGAGGACAGCGTGGGCCAGCTAAGCTGAGTGGGGCCTTCCAGCGCCAGAGACGCCATGCTGGGCAGGCGAGAGGTGAGGCTGTGCCTGGGCTGCTTATGTGAGGAAGCGGATCACACCTCTTGCAGCCACCCAGCACCCAGTTTGCCTCCTCGAGGGGAGGGACGGCCATCAAACAGTGTGCATGGAACACGTTTCTAACAATAGTGGACAGATCCATTTGCAGATGATGGAGGGTGGACTGGAGCTGGGGCATCAGAGGCAGGAGGCATAGGATAGCCCCCTGAACTGGTGATGGCAGAACCCCCACAGAGCACCCTGCATCTCCTGCATTTCTCGGGGGTTGGGGGAGTGATGGGGTAGGCCTGGGGGCTCCTGGAGGAGGGTGCTGCCTGGATGGGGTTTCTGCAGGTCGGGGAGCAGTTACAGTGTTGAGTGTGGCTCTCATCAGGGAGCCCTGAGGGCTTGGCCCAAGGATTGACCGTTTCTTTTATATTTCTACATGGCACCCTGCTCTGGCGGTTGTGACCTCCTGGGAGTTTCGTAGAACCAGGGAGGTTTATTGATCAGGTCCATTCAGTCCTCTATTTGGTTCCCTTTGGGGCTGGAGGTACAAGCTGGCTGCCTGTTCTGAGTGGCTGTGCAAACCTTGTGACCCCCAGCCCCTTCACGTCTCCCTGTGGCTGGGGTCCCAGGGCAGCCTGTATCCTCTCTGCACCGTGGCTGCTCAACCATCAGTCGTTACATTGGGATGGGACAGGGGGCTCGGCATATGCATGTGGAGAGGCCGCCACCTTGTCCACCTGGGTGTCCGTCTCACCGTTGGAGAGCTGGGAGTCCTGGCCAGTTCCACCTGTTCAATGTGTGATGCAGAGTTAATTCTCCAGCCCATCTTCACTCAGCCAGCCTCCGTGTCTACTTGGCACAAGGATTAGCTCTTCATGCATAAGCGTTTTGTAGCAGGGCGTCTCTAGCCCTGTGCCCAGCGTCGGGACTTTTCCCCCAGCTGCTGGAACAGTTTTCTGTGTTCCAAAGGAGACAGCAGGCTTTGCTTCTTTTAAAAAGTTGCTGTTCGACCTTTGCCTTACCCGTAGACTTACTGGATTGGAGGGAATTAGCATTTCTTTCTAGAAAGGAGAATCACTCTGTTTACTTTGAATGTGCTCCTGCCTAGGCCTGCGGTTCCTGAAACAGAGCAGCAGCCTTCTCATTGTCTGAGTACCTTCATGAAATGCATGGAGACACAAGATGTTTTCACGACACAATACACCATGCTCATTCTTCCCGCTGCTTGTGAAGCGGGAAGCTCTCCTTCTAATTCAGTATAAAATGAAACGGGCATTGGCTGTCGCTCACTGAGGTGGCTTCAGTTATGAGAATGTGTGCTCCCGGCCGTCTCTCCTGACAGCTCAGCCAGACAGAGCGTTTCTTGTTGGTTTTCGCTTTCCTGGATGAGGAACTGTGGGGCTTTAGGATCTTGCCCTGTGTTTTCCGTTCTACCCAACAAAAAACTAAAACCAAAGCAACCCCTAAACTACGTGACTGATGGATGATGAGTTTGTGAGGAGTCTGTGGTATGGGGCTGGTGTGAGGGTGGCACAAGAGAAGGACACACACACTTTGGGTCTTGCCTGGACTCAGCCATGGAGCTAGACATGCAGTGTTGTGAACAGTGGGTCCTGACACCGACCCGCAGGTTGGTTGGCGGGGCCAGGTGCAGGTGGTGTCAGGACACAGGGTGTGGGTGTGGCTGCCGCAGCGGGCAGCATTGCCGCCTCCCTATGAGCCTTGGCCCTCTGCCTCTGTGCTGTGACTTTTGTGGTCCCTGGTTTGAGAGGCCTGCTGGGAGTCAGGCTGTTTCCTTGCTGCCACACTGGAGACAGACAGACCCCAGGAGGGAAAGGTCCATTTCCTGGTCCCTTGTGCCGGTGGCCTCTCTGTCCCCTCCCCTGTCCTTCGGCTCGGTTCTGGTGCCCAGGATTGCCATGGACCTCTGATTCACTCTGATTCCGCTTGGTCAGAGCCGGCCAAGCCCAGCCGCGCCTCCTGGCTTTCTGGGCAGCCTGGCACCCGTCAGTTCACTCTTGTCGGGAGGTTTTCCTATGACTTACTGTCAGCCTGGACTTGGCTTTTCCAGACTCCACGTTTTCTAATGACCTGCCATCGGCATTTGCTTTTTTGACATTTACTTGGCTTCTTGGCCCTCGAAACTGACTGGGTTCACTTAGCCTTTTTAGCACTGCCTTCAGACACCTCTGAAAGTCTCCTTTAGCTTTGTCCACAGGCTCCTTTTGAATTCTTCTGGCCCAAACCTGCATCAGCTAAGAGCCCTGGTTCCTTGTAGCAGAGGATGGTGTCAAAGACTAACATCTCGTTAGTTAGCAGGGGAATCACACAGTGGGACTGACTGCTAGTGATGGAGCAGGCAAAAGGGCCTGAGTCTCTTCTGTTACCTCCAATTTAACTAAGTGCTTCTTACCTGCCTCCAACAGGAATGTTGTTATTAGTGCGTTTTTCACGGTCTTTGGTACTGGCCTGTTATATAGTGCCATATCAGACATTATGTAGGAGGTACAGTGTTGGACTCATCTTTTTTTTTTTTGAGACGGAGTTTTTGCTCTGTTGCCCAGGCTGGACTGCAGCGGCACGATATGGGCTCACTGCAACCTCCGACTCCTGGGTTCAAGCGATTCTTCTGCATCAGCCTCCTGAGTAGCTGGGATTACAGGCACCCACCACCACGCCCAGCTAATTTTTGTGTTTTTATTAGAGACGGGTTTTCGCCATGTTGGCCAGGCTGGTCTTGAACTCCTGACCTCAAATGATCTGCCGGCCTCAGTCCCCCAAAGTGCTGGGATTACAGGTGTGAGGCATCACGCCTGGCCTCTTGGCGTCTTTTGGCCCTTTGGCAGTGTCCCCAACCAGGCAGTCTGCTCTGCCACTACCACACAGGCATAGCTGAGGACAAAAGATACCCAGTCCAGGCCAGGCGCGGCGTGGTGGCTCATGCCTGTAATCCCAGCATTTTTGGAGGCCGAGGCGGGTGGATCACGAGGTCAGGAGATTGAGACCATCCTGGCTAACACGGTGAAACGCTGTCTCGACTAAAAAATACAAAAAATTAGCCAGGCGTGGTGGCGGGTGCCTGTAGTCCCAGCTACTTGGGAGGCTGAGGCAGGAGAATGGCGTGAACCCAGGAGGCGGAGCTTGCAGTGAGCCAGTGAGCCGAGACTGTGCCACTACACTCCAGCCTGGGAGACAGAGCGAGACACCATCTCAAAAAAAAAAAAAAAAAAAAAAAGATACCCAGTCCGTAGCTAAGAGGACACATCTCAGAGACAAGAAAAAAAAAAAACAAAACCCGTGCCCAGGACTCCTTCATGGAAGATACAAACACAGATCTTTGAAGCCTCATTTTGAGGCTTAAACTCTTCATTTTCTTGGTAATTAGTGTCAGTCAATTTACTTTTTATCCTAGGCAGCTTTCATATTGAACTCTAATTTCTAGACTGCTTTTGAGTAAACAGAGATATTCATTGTACCATAATATTAAGACAATCTTGTTTTGTAAAAAATCAGTCAAGAACTTTGGAAAATATGGCAAATGATGTCAAGAATCATCCACCTTCCTTATGTATTTGTCCTCAGATTCAATTTGAGTAATTGCTGTAGATTCACACCTAAGTTCTGCCGCAGCCAGCTCAAAGACACCAGCACCTTAGCTCATAGTGCATTTCCGTGTAATTTTGTATTCACGTTACATTTAGCTTTTCAAGCGACTCCAGACATTTCTGAGACCATCCTTAGAGCTTGTATCCACATGAAACAAATACAGAAACTTCAGCAAATGTTCATGTGGTTTTAGTGAAGTTTCCAGATTTCCGTATGGCTTGCAACATTTCATGCTTGCGGCCTTGGTTTTGCATTTTGTAATTCCCATGTGAACATGGCGAAGAAGCTTAAAGTCATTTCTTCAGGTAATTTGTTTGATGGAGACCAGGATTTGAACCCAGACTTTCCATTCAGTAGCCGTTTTCTTCACTCCAGGACGGGGGCACGGATGGCTCTGTCAGGGTTTGAAAGGGACCCCAAGAGCAGCACAGAGGAACTCGGTCAGTGGTCTGAGTGCGGCACAATTGATGGCGTCACCAGCGTCAGAGAGGCATGTGAGAGCCCTGGGGAATTTGCTAGCAGAGAGTATTGTGTGGGTTTGAGTGTGAGTGTGTCTGAGTGTGTATTTTGACAGATTTATCCAGATTGTGTGAGTTGGATTGTTTGGTTTCCTGCATGTTTTCAAAAAGTCACTGCAGGTTCCTGCAGATTTCGTCAGTGGCAGGTGGTTGAACGTACACTTCACAGGCCTCTTGCAAGTCAGCAGGGCTGACTGTGGCCGGCCCTCTGGTCCTGGGGGGAGTGTGCTGTCTGGGAGGAGATGCGGGTGTCTCTAGGATCCCAGCGGAGGACAGCTGGCTTCTGCCCAGGATCGGTGCTCGCCACCTCACTGCCCCTCCTGCTCTGCGTGGCTTTAACTGAGAACCACATGAATCAAAGACGGATTTAAGAAACAGTCACAACTGTGTGGAAAACAGCTAAACTTTACCAGACAATAAAGAATGTGAATTAGATCTCACTGTAATGAGAAGTTTTTACCTTGCCAGTGAGCAGAGCTGAAAAGAAGGTCAAGGTGCTGATAAGGGATTGGTGAGGTGGATGATCTTAGGCCCTGCTGGCTGTAGAATAAACTTCCAACATGTCTTTCACATATTTTACCAATATCTCTCAATAAAATGTTCTGCTCTTTCACCTGCCAATTTCACTTGAGATGTTTGTCTTAAGGAAATCTCTCTGTGTGGATCACATACCTTATAGAGAGAAGAGGCTTACTGGGGCATTCTTTGTAACAGTAAGATGTTTGAAACGATGCCAGCGTCCCACAGTAGGGGTGCGGCTGTGTAGACGAGGGGATTGCAGTTCTGTAGATAATTATGCAGCATCCTGAGGGATGGCTTCAAAGAGCATGTTATAAAATGGGAGATCCCTGTTACAAACGTCAGATTCTACAGGGCAGAAATGCAACTGTAGTCATGTAACAGCTGAACAAAACCTATGTAGAAACAAATTGGGATAAAATTAGACCAAGAGATATCCTGGCTGTGTTTTACATAACGTATCTGTGGCTAATTTCCCTCTTTATTTAGTATTGTGAGTTCCTAAAATTTTTTTTGTGACGATGACTTTAAAAGAATCAGTGCCTGGGCCGGGTGCAGTGGCTCATGCCTGTAATCCCAGCACTTTGGGAGGCTGAGGTTGGTGGATCACAAGGTCAGGAGATCGAGACCATTCCTGGCTAACATGGTGTAACCCCGTCTCTACTAAAAATACAAAAAAAAAAAAATTAGCTGGGCGTGGTGGTGGGCGCCTGTAGTCCCAGCTGCTTGGGAGGCTGAGGCAGGAGAATGGCATGAACTTGGGAGGTGGAGCTTGCAGTGAGCCAAGAAGGAGCGCCACCGCACTATAGCCCGGGTGACAGAGCAAGACTCCGTCTCAAAAAAAAAAAAAAAAAATCAGTGCCTGATCACCTTACCCCATGGTGTCTTGGACATGCCCTATAGACCCTGCCTGGGCCACGCAGTGCTCATCACACTGCCTGCCCTGGGTCCCGCAGTGCTCATCACACTGCCTGCCCTGGGTCCCGCAGTGCCCAAGGCTGGAAAGGCCCAGGGAGCCTTCAGAGAGCTCTCAGGCCTCCACGATTGTGTGGTGTTCTGCTTTCTCCCGGCCAAGTGTATTGGCTCTGAATGGAGCAGGCCCTTGTTCCTGTGCCTTCCCCAGCTCCCAGCGAGCACTACACATATTGTTCAGGAAAGTAGAAACCTTGGCAAGTATAAAACCCAAGAGACAGGCCATCTTGGAAGCCTGAGAAGGCTCTTCCTTTCTTTTCATCCTTGAATCAATGGTGCACAGGGCAATTTGCAGGCATAAGGTGGGATCCTTCTCCGGGCCCAGGTGCCACTCCGGGCAGGACATGGGGTCTTTGGGCTGAGCAGGCTCTTCTGCATTCTGGGGCCGTGCACCTCCCCTCCCGGCCTCCAAGCTGTATATTGGGGAGGACACAGTGTGGCTGGTGCCGTGGGCAAGCTTCTCCAGCCTTTGCCTCAGCAGTGGGGAGGCAGGCGCAGGAGCAGGGCATGGGCCCACAGGGACACCTGTTATCTGAAGGCTCTCGGGAGCTGGCTGGCCACTGTTCCTTCTATGTGCTCTGATCTTGGGTCCAGCAGGAGCGATGCACGTTTTCATGGGGTGCTGAGATGTTCACTTGTGATAACAGAGCACCAGGACTTGAGTGTGGGCAACACAGCTGCCTGTTAGTGTGAGGGCCGGGCTCCTGCCCCTCCTTGGCTGCCAGCGGCGTCTGTTTGATTTTCTGGCAGGTGCACAGTAATTGGCTGTGCACTTGTTGGAGCCTTGGTTTCATGCTGCTCTGTGTAGGAAGGCTGGGCCATCCGAAACACATTCTTTGTGTGAAGCCTACTTTAGGGTAGGCATGGAGAACAAGCAGGGCTGTTTGCAAATGATATAGGTATCTGTCACTTAGGAAGAAGTTTATTTGTGGGGCTGTTCTGCAGTCATGCCTTTTGAGTACCTTCTGGGCATGTGGAGGCCCCTCTGGCGCTCCCCCACCTACAGATGACCTGCAGAGCATGCGGCCTCTGCCAGCCAGGAAGGCCTGAGAAGCTGGAAGGGAAGGACCCTCTTTGTTAAAGGGAGGCCCGTATATTCTTTTCAGTGGATCATGTTTCTTTTTGTTGAGAAATTGAAGTGCCATACAATTGATTAAATTTTTTCAAGCAGAAGTATACTGAAAAACATCCCGAAAGGAAGCAGTCTTAGTTTGCCTTGGCTTTGTGCTATAATATACATGGACCGTCTGTCCAATTTTGGTTTTGATACAGTAGCCTCATATCCTTCTGTGATTATATCCATCCAGTTTGGATAGTTACAATGTAAGCAGTTTTTTACCTGATTTGTGTGGTCCATTTTCTGGATGTAATAGAGAGGGAGGAGTGTTTTGAAATGTATCGGTTCTGGATGGATGGGCCAGCAGGGGCACTGAGGGCTGAGGGGTCGAGTTGCCAACCCGATTCCTGGCAAGGCCATGCCTGTTGAGTGACCACAGCCAGCCTTTCACGTGGGCTCGTTAGAATTGCGACAGGGGCCACAGCCACGCTGGGCACTGGTGAGCTGCACGCCCGTTCTTGCTCTGAGCGGTGGGGTTCCCAGCTGGGATGTAAGCAGCACCCACACAGGAGCAGAACTTTGGGGCCGAGCGTCAGAGTGATTTATCGAAGACCAAGGATTGATGAGGAAAGGGACTTAGGCTTCTGTAAGTGGCTCCAACCAAAGTCACCTTGCTGGAGCGGTCAGTGAACGCTGGATTGTCAGAGCAGCAAGCTCTTCCAGTTAGCACTTTGGGATGCTAGCTGCCTCATCTGAACAGCAGAGGAACCTGCATTGTGTTTTTCAGTGGGTGTATTTCTTGATTTTTCGTTGTGTTATTAACAGTAAAGTGCAAGGACACCTTCTCCACACCAGCGTGCCATTTTGCCATCTGACCTGTGGGGGCGGGGTGCCCCGCCCATTCTCATTTGTTACGGGGCCTTGTCTTGTTGCCGACTCCCCTGCCAGACGGTGAGCCATGGATGTGCAGGGCCTGGGACTGTTTTTCTCCTGGATTCCGACGGCCCCCGTCTCGGTACCGGCTGCACTGTCTGGGCTCGGCAGAGCTCTGTGGGTTTTAAAGCCTTCGGCGTGCTTTGTCAGATTGTTTTGCAGAATGCATTCGTCATCTCCGGAGCAGCAAATGGAGAACTGTGTTTTGAGTGGTCCTTGTGCTTCAGAGGGTCTGTTTCTTGTTACTTGTGTCAGTGGGGGAATCTTGGCCAGTTTTATTGGTGAGCTTGGTGAATCTTACTGAATTTATTTAGTAACTAATACACACAGGCAGAGCCTTGAGCAGGGGTGACATCTCGGCAGCAGGCACGACGTCTGCCTCATCCCGTCCCTGTGGCCGGTGGCCTGGTGTGGGGTTTCGTGATGGTGCAGTCATTGGTTCTCCGGCAGTGTGTTTGCTACCTGGAGGGGCAGCTGTGGTGGGCCCACATCTTCCTCCTGTGCCTCAGCAGTGCTGGGCCAGCAGGCCCCAGGTGGCAGCATCTCCACCCGCCTGTGCCCACCTCGTTTCCACAGCGCTGGCTTCATCACGTCCCTCCCTGACACCTGCCCAGGTGCGGTGGGCTGGCTCCTCACACCTCCCGCAGCCATGGCACTCTCCTGGGGCCCTGTGCTGAGGGTACCACTCTAACAAACAGCTGTCTTCTAGCGCTTCCCGTCCCTCTACAGGGAAGTCTCTGGGGCCTCCGCATCACGCTCCCCACAAGCTCTTCCTCCTCTTTCCGTCTGTGAACTTTCTGCCTTCCTTCCCATCACCTGCGCTCTATCCGATCCTGCCGCCCTCCAGGCTTGGTTGGAATGCCAGTGGCCCTGTGCTCATGCTTTCCAGCCCGGTCGGGCTCCGTGCCTTCTGCCCCATCACCCTGTTCATTCTCCACCTGGCAGGTTCCAGCTCACACAGCACGGCTGTGTGAGCTGCGTCCCTCTGTAACAGACGGTCGAAAGCATCGGGAGAGCCCATGAGTCTGTGAGTCAGAGGAGCACATGGGCACGGCCTCTCTTCCAGGCACTAACATGTTCTTTGTTTCGTCCTCGCTTTTCTCCCCGTCCCACAGTTTCTCACACATAGAAGTGTTTGATATTTGTTAATAGAAGAAATCACTGTTTCAACAAACAGCTTTTCTATGAACCACAACTCCTACTCACAGCATTATTGAAACATTAAAGATCCACTCAAGCCACAAGAATACTATGAGATTGGAATTTTTGCTTTTTGCAAAAGTGACCTCATCAAAACGAGGACGGCAAAAGATACAGAAGGTTTCTTTCACTTTTTACCGCAGTATCTATCCCACAGTTGATATTTTCCCAAGTGTTGCCTGCAGACTTTTTCCACATGGAATTTGGTACCAAGTTCTTTGTACAAAAAGTAGGCCAGCTGCTTCACAGACACTGTCCTGTTCCCAGGCCCCGAGGCCTCCTGCTTTGGGTTTTGGGGTTGGAGACTCCTGACTGCGGGTCTGCTTGCGGGTGGTGGGATGGGAAACAGCTATGCTGTTGGTGAGAAGAGTGTGTCGGTTCTCATCATTTGGGATCACTCTTGGGGCTGGCAGTTGATCGCTGGAGCTGGTCTGATGCTGCCACCTCGTCTAGCCATGCTGAGGGCGTTGTCCTTGTCCTGTGATAATTGTCTGCCAACGTCTCGCCCTCCCACCGTATGCCCGCACTTGTGGGCTGCAGGCGGATGGCCCAAGCTTACAGCCGTGGAGCAGAGTCGGGAACTGTGACTGTGGTTCAGTCTGTGTAACCTTGATTGAGTTGAACGTTATCCATATAAGAATTAAACATTCCCGCACTAGAGCCATTTGATCATAACGTTAGTTGTTTTTGCTGAACCAAAGAGTTTGGCGAATTTATAGTCTTGAGTTGTTATGCCACTCTCACCAAGGCAGGACTTTTTTCTCCATCCTGGAACCCAAATGTACTTAATGAAGTGTTCAAATCTCTCTCACCAAAGTACTGGAGTTTCCAATTTAAAACTCCCAAGTTGGGAAATGCAAAAGATTAGATCCATAGAGCAATTCCATCTTGCTTATAAAACAGAACATTTTTGATTACCAGTTAAGCTCCTAATTAAGTGAAGAGGCTTATTGCAGGGTTTGTGCAGTGTGGGTGATGAATGTGGTGGTAACGGCAATAGCTCCCTCCTTGGCACTCCCCGTCGGGGCTGGCTCTTACCGACAGCGTTTGTGCTATAGGTGACTGCTCTCCATACCTTGCTACCAGTGTCCTGGAATTCTTTGAAATGAAAGGAGCTGTTTACATTGGAGGGATTTTCCCCTTTCCCCAGTACCAAGCTCTTCCATGTAGTTTAATATGAGAGAGAACTTAACCCGCATCAAGCCTTTTTGTTTTCGAGAACCCCCTGGTAATTACAAGCTACGATTCCATTGCACCCCCTGGTAATTACAAGCTATGATTCCAGTGCACCCCCTGGTAATTACAAGCTATGATTCCATTGCACCCCCTGGTAATTACAAGCTACGATTCCAGTGCACCCCCTGGTAATTACAAACTATGATTCCAGAGCACCCCCTGGTAATTACAAGCTACGATTCCAGTCCTCTACTCCAGTTCCAGAGGCTGATGTCGTCTCACAGAGGTGGGGTGGGGGGCCGTGAGGGAAATGAGCCCCTTAGGAGACCCAGAGCTTGGGTGGCCTTGTGGTGACGGGCTCTTTTGCTGAATGACAGGAGAGGCACCCACGCACTGCGTGGCATGGCTGCGGGGTTGTTGTATTTCTGGAGTTAGACCTGCCTGGAGTTGGAGCTGCACAAGGGAGGCTCCGGCATGGATGCTCCTTACTGAGTCAGAGGCCTCCATGCTGTGCGGGGTCCTGCTGTGAACCCGATGAAAAGCATGTAGACTAATCAGGCAGAGCCCTGGTTCATGGCCAGGCTCTGCCACTTCCTAGCGCAGGACCTGGGTGTGTTACCTGCAGCCTCCTTACCTGCGCAGCGTGGCATGGACCCCACAGGGGGCTTTTGGATGGAGTGGGATCATGCGTGGACGTGTGCGCCCCCACGCAGAAAGTCCTGCTGTGGAAACACACTAGTGCTTTGTCAGTTGGTGGGCAGGCGTCCTCACTGCGTGGCCGGCGGTCCTGAGTGGGCAGGCGTCCTCACTGCGTGGCCGGCGGTCCTGAGTGGGAGGGCGTCCTCACTGCGTGGCCGGCGGTCCTGAGTGGGCGGGCGTCCTCACTGCGTGGCCGGCGGTCCTGAGTGGGCAGGCGTCCTCACTGCGTAGCCGGCGGTCCTGAGTGGGCAGCCTTCATCACCAGGACCATCTGGATTTTTAGCCCATCCATCCCACTGTTTCTTTAATCTTCTGACCCTTTTTGTTTTCTGGATGTGGAAAGAGGGGCCAAGAATTTCTGCTCTTTGTTTCCCTAAAACAGCTTTTCGCATATTGCAGAGTAGCAATTATGTCTCCATGTGGTTTTCTCCTGACCAAGCTAAATATCCTCCATTTCAAAAACTTAGCTTTGTTTACCTACCCACCATTCATCCACCCGTCTACCCATATCCATCTGTCCACTCGTCCATCTCTCCATCCACGTGGACTGGTGGAGTCTCAGGCTGGACGTGGTGACTGTGCAGTGCTATCCCCACCTTGTAGCACCGGCCCTGCCCACTGGATGCCAGCAGCACCCCCCACCCTAATCATTCTGACCCCCAAATGCCCTGAAAGTTTCTCAAAACATTCACAAGGGGAGTACCACCACCCGTGGGATCTTCTGCTCTAGGGGTATTTATCTGAGGAAGAGACAGGCCTTATTTAAACTGTTCTAAGTGGCTTAAACATTGTTTTTTTCTGTTGCAGAAATAACTGCTCATTGTGAAAATTGACATTCCCTTTTACTCTCTGCCCTTCTGCAGAAAATAGTGCAAATTTCCCGCCCCACTCCCCCCACCTTGCAGGAGTGTTCAGACATTCCTGTGTGTGGCATCCCTGGATGATGCCCCTCTGTGTAGATTTCTGTAGATGCAGTGCTAGACTTTTCCATGTAAATGGAGCTGTTGATAAAGGGGGGCTTATTTTACAAATTGGTTGTTTTCCTTAATACTATAGCAGGGCAGCATTTTCAAAGAAGGTTAGTTAAATCATCCCCCAAAGCCTTTCTGTGGTCTAAGAAGGCAAGCGAGATGGTTTTTAACTCAGTGTCTGTTTTTATGTGCCATGACTTCACATTTTGTTGTGGTCCACTTGGGCCTGCTGATCTTCTGCCCTGGGCTGTGGGAGCCTCTTCTGCCTCCTCCAGGTTCCCTTGGGGTTAGCCTGTGCACTCGCCATCCCACCACCTTGCGGGCTCTTTGGGGTCAGGACTGACACATTTCTCAACTTGGTGTCCCCAGAGTATAGGGGACGGGGCTGCCCCTTGTAGGGAGGTGTGGTGACTGATGTAGGGGAAGAAAGGGCCAAATGCAGTCCCAGAACACTGTGATACATGCTGGTGTTAATGTTTATAATTAAATGAGAAAAGTAAAAGATACAATCATATTTCAGATGGAAACGCGCTGGTTTAAGTTTCATTATTTTTAATTATGTGTTTGCAAAAATGTCACTGTAGAAAGTCCCCACAGTGGCCCATCTCTGTCATGGCTCCCAGGCTGTCAAGGTCCTTCCTGGCTGGGAGGAAGCTGAGGTTGTATACATCTCCCCTCGCCCTCCCCACAGCCCAGGGATGCCTGTGAATTACCCACCTCCTGGAATCCAGCTGCTTTGAGGCAGCTTGGGCATGTCTTCATGACCCAGGAAGAAATCTCTAAGCCCAGATCTCCCAAGGCCCCGGGGCCTGAGAGCCGCCCCCTGCCTGACCCCCACCCCCAGGGCCACAGCCATGGCTGTCATTTCATTAGGCCCCACCCTCCGTTGATTGGCATCTGGTTCTGCTTCCTGTCTCTGCTTTCACCTGTGTATTGATCATTTTTTCCTTTCAATCGCGTTTCTTCCTTTGAACCCTGGGATTGCTTGGAATTACCATGTCTGTGTTTTCCTTTCTCATTTGTGATCTTACCTGAAAAATCTTTTTTTCGATTGGTGTCAGTGCTGTCATCTCTGCTGTCCTATGGAGTGACACATGTTTTGGGAGATAAACCTGTCCTCCTTGTTGTGGCTTGCCCGGCTGTGAGCATCCCAATGCTGGTCAATGCAGGCCCCAGCCATGGGGCTTCCCAGGTCGTGCCTCGTTCCAGTTTGCTCCCTTCTCGTTCTCCCTCCTTGCCTCATGGGTGGCAGCATGCCTGGCGGACAGTGTGTACCGTTGAGTGGGAAGGTCTTGGGTTAAAATCTGTCATGGGTGTTGGCCATCTCCGAGTCTTGATTCAGAGACCATTCTCTCCCCACAGTGGACTCTGGTTTTGTATATCAGCATCTAACAGATAGAAGCCAGGGAAAACCTGCTGATCTTGCCTGCAGTTCCGCCTGGGCCATACACCCAGGGACAGGGCTCCTCTGGGTGGCCTTGGACCTTCCCAGGCTATCTCCCCAGGGGCCAGACACACCAGCCCGTGGGTATTTTCTGCAGCTTGTCCTGGCCCTCACCCCGCTGTCACAGCCTGGAGTCCAGAGTGCCCTGTGCCACTCTGTGTGCCTTTGCCAAAGTGGGGGATGCTTTCTCTGGCGGGGGATATTTATCTCATTCTAACAATAAGGGTAATTCCAATTCTCCTGGCGTTTAGAAGACAAATCACCACGGGGGCTCTCTGAGTTAAATGCCATTACTTCATTACCTTGAAGAGTAACAAATGGCCCATTGTGAGAAATGACACCTAGAATAGGCCACTGACATTTCCTCAGATAAAATAACAAGCCAGCTAAACAGACCAAGAGAGCGAGGCTCCTGCCTGGCTCACGCGGCGCCTGGCTCTGCGAGTCGGAGCTGCCACAGCCCAGCTGCATCTGTGCACTCAGGCAGAGGCTGTCAAGGTCTGGGAGGCCTTAGTTCCCTGTTTACTCTTATTATCTCTGAGGAAATGTCTCCATGCTTGGAAGGCCCTTGAAAGAGGATACGTCGATGGGAAACTTCTCAGAGGAAGCCTGCTGATGATTGCTGCTGATTCAGTTCCCTGAGAAGAGGAAATAAAATCAGACCCACTCTAGGCCAGCAGAACGTTGAGTTGATTCTGCCCAAACTGTTTTCCCAGGGAGGAAGTGATGCCAGGGGGAGGCCACTTACCCTCCTGTCTATTTGCTTGGCTTTTGCTGCCGGTCCTTCCAGTAGGAAAGGCGTTACGAGGGGGCTGGACTTGGAGTCGAGGCAGGCCTGTCCTGCTCACTCCCACCATTGCCTCACAAAGCACACTGATCAGCGCGTGGAGGCTTAGTTTCTGCATCTGTGAACCGGCAGAAATAACACCTCCCACCTTGGGCTGCCGTGGGAAATTGGGAGACAGGGCCTTTCCCTGGGAGTCCCTGTGGGGGCTTCATCAGAGGGTGTGCTCAGGTCAACCCGGGCTCCTGCGCCAGCAGAGTTTTGAGACCAGACACCTTGCCACTTGCTGGAGGGAGAGCCTGCAGCCCGGCAGGGAGCCGGTGGGTGGACAGAACCACCAGGAGAGTGCTGGTGTCATGGGCACACCCGGCTGGGAGGAGGGTCAGGGGACAGAGCCATGGCCAGCCAGCAGCACTTGTCATCCTAGCCCCGCATTCGAGGAATGGGGAACTGGGACCTGCCTTTTAGGGTGAAAACATGGGCCAAGAGAGTGAGGGCCTGGTTGCACCCGGTATGCTGTGGACAATGGTGTCCTTCACAAGCCCGGGTCCCAGGAGGAACCCATCCATTTCCCCATGCCACTGGGTGACTCCGACACCTAACATTGATGTTTCCAATCTTTAAAGTCGCTTGTTTTCCCCTTTAATTCATGAGCATCTTGAGGGCGTCAGGTCTCTCACTCATGTCTGTGCCTGGTGCCTGGTGTATAGGGACAGATCCCGCCCACGGGACCGGCTCTCTGTGTCCACATTACCCCTTGGTGGAGACAGCCCAGGGTCTACCAGCCGAGGCATGCAGAGACGCGGCGTGGCCTGGCCGTAGGGGTGCGGCTCAGTCGTGAAGAGGAGTGAGGCATTGACACGGGCTGCCGCATGGATGACTCTGGAGAACATTGTGCTCAGTGAGAAGGAGCCAGTCACAGAGGGCCGCAGAGCCTGATTCCAGCAGTGTGAAATGTCCAGAATAGGCAACTCCATAGAGACAGAGGCAGGTTCGTGGTTGCCAGGCGTGGGGTGGGGAGTGGGGAGCGGCTGCTGAAGGGTCCAGGGTTTCTTTCCGTGGTGATGCAAAGGCTCTGGAACTAGCGGTGACGCTTGTGACCCTACTCAAGACCACTCTGTCGCACACGCTAAAGAGTGGATTTTATGGCGGATGAATTATCTCTCCGTTTACAAAACCCAGAACCAAATCAAAGCAATACCCATGGAGTGACTGAGGGTCCACCCCCAGCACCCCAGAGAGAGGAGTGATGTGCGAACTGGCTGGAATCCGCCCACCCTCCCACGTTCCCGCAGGTCCCGCCATGTTGGATGTGTCCAGGGCTGTTGCCTCCCTGTCCAGGCCCTCGAGCGCCCAGCTGCTCACTCCTGCTGGAGGGTCAGACACGGAGGCGCTCTTGCCCTTTTATCCTGCTGGTTCTGGGGTGAACCAAGAACCGTGGGAGGTGGCGTGTCACCTCGTCTCTTCCAGTCACACACTTCAGTGTGAGTTAGCAATTGTGCAGGGCTGCGACTGGGGAAGCAGCGCGATGGGATAGGACTGTACACGACACGAATGTGAGGTGGGCCTCTGGGTCCTCAGGGAGCACTTAGGGACCTGGGTTCTGGGACCAGTAGGTGGGGCTGCATCTGGCACCCCCCTCCCCATGTGTACCAGGCTGCTCGGCATAGCCACGGCCCTGCCCCTCTTTACCCCGCTGTTGTCCGGGGCTCAAGGGTGGTGACAGCAGAGTGGTGACAGCTGAAATGAGCACGCACATTCACAGTGCGCAGGAGAGGGCCTGGCGCGTCAGCAGACCCCGGTCAACACCAGCGGCAGCATCATCCGTATCAGGATTGTGATGTTTATCTGCTTCAACCTTTCTACATATATTCTGGGTTGAAATGTTTCTTTTCTTAAAGAACGTTTTCCTTGCGAAGATGCCATGCAAATAAAACTAAAGTAAAAAAAAATTAAAAATAGGGAAGATAATTTTTAAAACATTTATGAGTATTTTGCTGGATGACAACAGTTTTGTAAGGATCTAAAATTAGTTTGTTCAAATATCTGATAAGCCATTTCAATTAGGCATCTGTTTTGCATTTTAAAAACTTTTAGATTGTGTTTTCTCATTCGGTTTTTTGTACTTTAAGAAGGAAATTATTTAGAGCGCCATTGTCTGTTCTATCTTTGACGCACATCTGTGGTACGGCTTTCTGGGGTTTTGATCATAGCATGGAAGTATTTACCCAGTGCAGTTTTGGAAACTCTAACTTTGGAAAGAGGTTTTTAGAGGAATTATTGCCAAATGAATATGTAAATATATCAGAAGCAGAGTTTTCAAAATCTTAGGAAAAAACTTTCAGATCTGTTAGGATTAAGTAATATATTCTATTTTCTCTCTTATTAGAATGTGAAATGCCTGAGAAGCAATAGTTTATAATGTATTAATTATGTTAATTAATTGGAGAAGATTCAGAATATTAATTATCTGCAACTAATTAGGTGTTAAGATTGAGAAGCATTAAGTGATGAGGTGGAAGGCTGCATGAGTCATTTAGCTAGACTGATGAGAGTGGGTGGAGGGAGCTGGATGCAGGCTCAGCTCTGTTCCTCCGTGGGCCCCCTCGTGGGTCGAGGTCCCGTGTGGCTAAGTCTCCTTGTCTTTTGCATGCTCGGCGCCGCCCAGAGGCAGAGGAGGTGGACACGGTGGACGTCTCCGGCGTGCCCGCAGAGGTGCTGTGCAACATCGAGGCCGACACCTACTGGTGCATGAGCAAGCTGCTGGATGGCATTCAGGTGAGCGCCCGCGCCCACGGGACACAGCCCACGCCCACAGCCCCTGCGGTGAAGAGAGCCTGAGGCCTTAGGCTGCTCCTGAGTCTCAGTGTGGCCATGCAGTCCCTCCTGAAGCCTCACTTTTCTACATCTGGAATAGCACAGACCCCTCCGGGTTGACGAGGGGTGAGACACAGTGTATGTGCCCCTCGTTCTGGGCACGGTCACGTGTCCTGCTGAGGGCCCAGTGGGAAGGCGAGGTGCAGAGTCTGATCCCCTGCTGCCTGCAGACTGTAGCCACCACCACCAAATAGGGCACAGGCTCACGGTAGCTATGTGTGTGTGGCTAGCTGTGCTAAGAGGGATCCTCCTTAAAGGGCCTCAGATCGGGGGCCACAGCTCCTGGCCTCTGACACCAGGCTGTGAGCCCTCGCCTGCAGTATTGGTGGCCAGGGCTCCAGGTGCGTGGGGCGCTGCAGCTGTGCCTGCTCCCAGAGAGCAACACGAGCTGGTGGGAGTCCCCTGCACCACAGTGGGGACCCTGCGGGTCTCTGCATCAGCTAGGGTTAGTGGCTGAGATTTCTGTAGAAAAGCCACAGGTCTCCCAGTGACGGCCAATCCTATGGCATGGTGTAGGGGCAGATTCCCACACAGTACCTGGGAAGGACCTTGTTGGTAGGTGAGTCAGGAATGAGGACTGGAGCCAGCTGATACTACAGAGGAACAGCTGAGGGGGATGGATGGGCCCTGGAGTGGGTGTGGGCGTCTTAGTTTATTTGAGGCCAGTACATCCTTTCTAGACACTCGCTTCCTGTGAGGTGCTGTGCTCCACACCCGGGCATAGTGGCGAGTAAGGGTGAGGCCTGCTCCGGAAGCTCACTCGGGGTGGAGGGTAGACGGGTGAGTATGGCATGAGGGGACAGAAGGCACTCGACCCCAAAGACCCAAAGGTGGGAAGAAGTAGATTACAGGGGACAGTGAATTTTGCTGACAGAGCAGGACTTGTCAGATAGAGGAGGGTCAAAGCCCAGAGCGCGGTTTGGGTCGGTAATCGTTTTCTGAGGGACCAAACACCAAGATCATCACGGGTGTTCGCATGTAGATGGCTCTCTGCTGAGAGCTGGGGCCTCCCGGGAGGGTCTGCATGTTCTGCCAGCATCCCTGTTATCCCAGCTCAAAGGGGGGCCCTCATCTGAGAGACACAGAGATGGGGTTGTCACTTGACATCTGCATTGCCTAGCAGGGCTTGGCTTTTCCTGAGCCATTGCGGTAAAGGTTGTTCCTGATACCACTAAGTGAAGAGGTCTCAGCTCATCTACTTGATTCAGAATCATCAGAATATGGCTTTTATAGCCTGTGGTCTAAGGTTTAGACTCCAAGTTTAATTTGAATATATTAGCTAAAAGGTTCCGTTGAGGAAAGACGTGTGGTTTTTGCTGTTACTTTTCATGATGTAGGAATGAAAAAGGAGAAAGTAGAAGCCTGTTGTGCGGTTGGAGAATGGAAACCTCGTATCTATTGGCTGGTCCAGACTCCTCGTGACTTACTTTGTTCCTTGCAAAGAAAAATGTGCCCACTAGAGATATATTTTGGCCCAAGCACCAATTTGTCATTTCCCCTCCTTTACTAATATTTTCATACATTTTATTCTTTCTGCTAGATCTTTCGGCTTTTTGCCCCCTTAGAAAAAGGATTGAATCATAATGTAAAACTTTATAAATTTCAAATGTCGCTTCTCTGATGGTGAGTGATGGGACTTGTGCCATTTAAATACAAGATTATCTGCCCTCTATTTGTAAATAAAATCTGCTGTACAATGAAATCGATGCTGGCTTTTTCATTTTTCACCTGAGATTTGTGGTCTGATGCAATGGTTTATTGGCAGGGCCGATGAGTGTGAGGGATCATGCTTTCCTGGCGCGTGTGTTTATAGCACATCACCGTCCCGTGGCAGCCGTTGATCTTCTCTCACGTGCCACGATGGATTCCACATGATCCTCCCAGGAGCAAGAGTTGAGGGATGTCAGTTCCCACCATCCAGGGGACTTGGCAGCTCAGCTGTGATTCCTGTAGATAAGGCCGTCCGAGCAGAGCTCCTCTAGCGACTAGTGTTTACAAGCACTGCCGCTGTTTTAAGTTCAGAGAAGTATGAGGCTATGTACTCACTTAAAACCACGGCAACACGCAGACCGGCGTGTCAGCTCCCGGACGACCTGGCCGCTTCTGCCTCTTAGCTCCTTTTCCTACTCTTGGTCTTACTGTCTCCATTTCATTCTTTTGGAACTGCTCGAACCATCTTCCTTAAGCACCCTCTTCACCACATCATCGCCCTGATTGAAACCCTTGGGGAAGCTCTCTCTTGGTTTTCTGAAGTGCAGGCTCTCAGCCCGGCCTCCACCAGTTGTTCCCAGCGTTCTTTCAAGGGCGTGTTTGTTCATCGGCTCTGTGGCAGCCGTCCACGCCGTTGCTGCAGAGGCTTTATTGGAGCCGCTGAGCCAGAACTGTGTGCTGGGGGCTCTTCCTCACCAGGAAGAGGGTCTTCAAGGGCCTCCTAGCCCCACAGTTTCTGTGATTGGTAGGCAGTCCCCATGGGAATGAATGTGAGGAACTAACATTGTCTTCGCCGTGACGGTGCTTCTTGGCGTGGGCATTCCCGGGACAGGTTGGAGCTCGGTTACACCCAGCACACAAGGCTGAGACTAAGAGAGATGAAGCCCATTGCCCAGGTGACGTGGCTTGTATTAAAACCCACGTTGACGGCTCTGGGATCTTTCCTAGCTGAAATACATAGAAGTGAGTCCCATTTGCAGGGAAGTTCTAGAGGGCAGAAACCACATCTATTTTTTTTACCTTTGGATGTCCTGGATGGTCATAACTATGTTTTTGGCTCACTTTGGAGCCTCAATTTGAGATTCCGTATTCTACTTGTTTTCAGTAATTAGTTAACTTTGTCATTTTGGCCGAGATGTATGAAGCACCTGCCTTCTCTCTGCAGGTGCTCAGAGAGGCGGAAGACTTTGGGGTGAGTCAGCATCACCCCTCTGTCCCCAAGAAGCTCAGAGCCTGGTGGGATGGAGCAGGGGGAGTGGACAGCTGATGGAGGCGAGGACAGAATGCTGGGAGAGGAGGCTCTTAGCCCCCAGTAAGATGGCAAACTAGGAAAAAGAACAAACCACTTTTCTCCCGACAAATCCCTGGAAACGTTAGGTGATTGGTCTGTTCTCGCACTGCTTAAAGAAGTGCCTGAGACTGGGTAATTTATAGAGAAAGAGGTTTAATTAGCTCACAGTTCCACAAGCTGTACAGGAATCATAGCTGAGGAGGCTTCAGGAAACTTTCAATTATGGCAGAAAGTGAAGTGGAAGCTGGTGTGTCGTACAGGGCTGGAGGTGGAGGGAGGGGTTGGGGGAGGTGCCACACACTTTTAAACAACCAGATCTCATGACCCAGCGACGCAGCGCTAGCAGGGATGGTGCTAACCCATTAGAAACCGCCCCCAGGATCCGGTCACCTCCAGCCAGGCCACGCCTCCAGCACAGGGGATTACAATTCAACATGAGATTTGGGTGGGGACACAGATCCAAACCGTATTAGCGGTATTGACCAAAGATTGTTTAACACGCATTGTGGGACTCCTTAACAGCAAAGAGAGGTCCTCCAGGAGCGAACAGCGCTGACTCCACTGGCTGGAGGGAATTGTCAGGCCAGCTCATGGCTAGGAGTGCAGGCTCTCCTGCCCTGGCGAGGTGTGATCACAGAAGCCAGTCCTGCTCAGGGAGATCAGGTGCTGCCCAGAGCAGGGACACGGGCTCTGCCATTGACATGCCCAGGCCTGTGTGCCTTGGGACTCTGCACTACAAACATTATTGAAGAGCTTGAAGAGCTTTTGTTTGTGTGGGTTAATTCTCTTGATAACTGCCATGTTGGAAATTCAAATAGAGAAAATTAAAAATATTTAGTAATTTATTTAACAACAACAATGAAAATCCCATTACATATTATTATAAGTAACATTTTTATGATAGATTACTATTTTTCGAAACAAAAATGTTTAGTGAGAAGAAAGGCATTGTTTTACATTTTTGTAAATCTCCTTAATGTCTAACTTAATAGAAGAATTCTTGTATCTACTTCTACATTCAATTTGTTGTGGTATTTTTTGTTTTAGCTGAAGAATGTGAAGAAAATCCAGCATTACATAGATACATAGTTGGAAAAGGAAGCGTGTTTTTTGTTTGTTTGTTTGTTTGTTTTTTGGAGATGAAGTCTCCTCCAGGCTGGAGGGCAGTGGTGCGATCTCAGTTCACTGCAACCTCCGCCTCCCAGGTTCAAGCGATTCTCCGCCTCAGCCTCCCGAGTAGCTGGAATTACAGGCACACGCCACCATGCCCGGGTAATTTTTGTATTTTTGTTAGAGACAGGGTTTCACTGTGTTGGCCAGGCTGGTCTCAAACTCCTGACCTCAAGTGATCTGCCCGCCTCAGCCTCCCAAAGTGCTGCGATTACAGGTATGAGCCACCGCGCCCGGCCAGGAAGTGTTTTAATAGCCTTTTCAGGTAATTTTGGATTCTTTTTTCATTCATACTATACTATTACTCAACAAATGGTAGTTTCTTAAAGGGTAGTTGTGATATGAAATCTGAAACCTCATCAGTGAATGTTTTACACTCAGTTACATTAAAGTTGGTGGCCTATCTTGCACTTTGATAGGATCTTTTACCCATATATTGGCTCTGTAACATCATTCATTGGCGATTTGGAAAATATTGGCTGACTGAGGTGTGCAGATCTTTTAAATGTTGATAAGTTTCATCGTATGATCAAATTTGTTAGTATATTACCACCGTCTCATAAGAAGCAGCTGTCAGGCCCAGGGTGGCAGATAAAAGTCTTCCAAAATTCAGATTTTTAATTTAAAAGCTCAGATATTATCATTGGCAACAAACACAGTTCCTTGTTTCTTTTGAAGTGACAGGCCAACTTCATTCATTTTTGAGAAAATATCTTCCAGAGACCCGCGTTTGAATAACTGATTTGTCTGCTAGTCCTTCTTTCATGTAAACGTGATGTTTCTTGAAGAAAGTGTTCGGTTCAGCTCACAGCTGAAGCCAGCGCACCAAGTGCTCTCCTTGACGACGCTTCTGTTTCTGGATTTGCCCCTCAGGCTTTCCGTGTTCTTCCACGTGTTGGTCAGGGCTGAGCCTGAGCGCAGTGTTAATAGTAAGATGAGTGACCTTTCCTGCCGTATCCAGGGCGTCCTGAAGTGAAACAGCCTTTTGCTTTCACACCATGAGCGTGTGGTATTGGGAACACAGTGACGGTTGAGTGTGGTGAGGGCACTGCCCTGCCTGCTGCCAGCATGCCCGCAATTTTACCCACCACTGCCTGTGTACTGCCAGCACAAATGTCAGCACCGTGAGGAAGGTGAATCATGCCTTCATGTTACTATGACAGCAGTTTCAATATAACAGACCCCTTGAAAGGTCTAGGGACCCCCAGGAGTTGGCTGGCTACCGTCTGAGAACTTCTGCCCAGGAGGGATGATCTCCTGCCACAGGCCTGTGGCATTCCCATGGGAAGAGGCATCTGCAGATGACCTCACAGCAGACGAAGTACAAACCAAGCAGAGAAGGAGTGCGCCGGGAATAAATGTTAGCGATTGCTCTCGTTAGGAGGATTTGTACCCAGAGACCTGAGACACTAGAACAGCGATTTGAAAGGAACCAGACAATGTGTAACTTTAAAATATTAAGGAGAATGAAACAGTTTAAAATAAAGACTCTGAAGAAAGAACTCACAGATTTATTTATATTTATTTATTTGAGATGGAGTCTCGCTCTGTTGCACAGGTCGGAGTACAGTGGTGTGATACTGGCTCACTGCAACCTCCATCTCCCGGGTTCAAGTGATTCTCCTGTCTCAGCCTCCTGAGTGGCTAGGACTACAGGTGCCCACCACCACACCCAGCTAATTTTTGTATTTTTAGTAGAGACGGGGTTTCACCATGTTGGCCAGGATGGTCTCGATCTCTTGACCTTGTGATCCCCCTGCCTTGGCCTCCCAAAGTGCTGGGATTACCCAGGTGTGAGCCACTGTGCCCGGCTAGAAATCACAGATTTTAAATGGAACCAAACAGAACTTCTAGCATCGAAATTAGAGTCACTGAAATTTAAAACTCATTAGACAAAAGAGAAGAGAGAGTTAGTTAGAATTGAATGTAGTGCTGAGAAAATTACCAACTGGGCAACACAGAGAGATACTGAAAATATGGGCAGATTAAGACATGGAAAGATAGAATTTAAAAAATAGAACTAGAAAGAGAAATGTACTAGAGGAAAGCCAATATTTGTAAAGCTGTGGCTGGGAATTTTTCAGCATTGATGAGATGTTGTTACTAATATCTAATAAATCTCCAGAAAGATGAGTTGAAACTAATTACCTATGGAGACATGAGAGTGAAGCCACTGAATAAGAAAGAGAAGAGAAAGTCTCATAGGAAAGAAGAAAGGCCAGAAAAAAGTAGAATAATGTGTCTCATGTTCTGAAGAAAAATAGCTCTCCAATGAGATTAGATTTAAAAACAGAATCCAGCTATATGCTACTTACAAGACACCGAAACCACAAGGAGACAGGTAGAAAGGAAATGCAACAGAAGAATATTAACCAAAGTAATAGTTAGGTAGCTCTGTAGCCCATATGTAGCTGTGTAATAGCCGTGGAGCTATTAAATGAGATAGATTTTTAAGGCAGAAAGCATTCCTAGAGACAAAGAGTATCACTGCCAGTGGATACATTTACCAGGGAAGAGTTAATCTTGAATGCATGACCTTGACCCTGTATTTCTGCACATGTACATAAGTATGATGGGAGAGGGGTGGTGGTTGTCAATGCCTGACATGGTCCTGAGTGCTTCGTTGTAATATTAGTTCATTTTCCCTCACAGCAACCATAAGGCACTTCCAATTTTGTGGCTAGTTAGTTGCAGCATTGGGGTTTAGACCCACACAGTCCAGTACCAGCTTTCCTGCCTCTCAGTGATTAGTAGGTGATACGGTTAGGCTTTGTGTCCCCACCCAAATCTCACCTTGAATTGTAATCTCCATAATCCCCCACATGTCAAGGCAGAGACCAGGTGGAGCTGATTGGATCATGGGGGCGGTCTCCCCCATTCTGTTCTCTTGATAGTGAGTGAGTTCTCTTGAGATCTGACTGTTTTATAAGGGGCTCTTCCCCCACTTTGCTCAGTACTTCTCCTCCCTGCTGCCCTGCAAAGAACGTGCCTCTTCCTCTTTGTCTTCCACCATGATTCTGAGTTTCCTGAGGCCTCCCCAGCCATGCTGAACTGTGAGTCAGTTAAACCTCTTGTCTTTATGAGTTGCCCAGTCTCGGGCAGTTCTTTATAGCAGTATGAAAGTGGACTAATACAGTAGATCGAGCAGATAAGAATTAGGAAGATCTGGGAGGACGTGTACTGCACAGTTTGGGCAAATGGACATACCTAGACCCCCATATCCAGCACACAGAGAATATTCATTCTTTTCCAGTGTGCACAGAAGATCTGTAAGAATGGCAATACCAGCAGTTACTAGGGAGCCAGATAGACCAAGGTCTGGGTGGGGGATTAGCAGATTGAGAAGAGCATTCTAGACTAAGCTGGGACTCCATGGTGTGGGATCACTCAGAGTGCTTAGGGAGCAGGAGTGTGGGCTGGAGCTTGAGGCTGGGAAGCTGGGTTGATGTTTGACAGCTCTGGAAAGTCTGTCCTTGTGGCCTGCACCAGGTACTTGGGCCTGATCACTCATCTCTGGTGGATTGATGCCCTTCCTGCTAAGTGTTTAAGAGACAGTCTTTTTTTTTTTTTTTTGAGATGGAGTCTTACTCTGTCACCAGGCTGGAGTGCAGTGGCATGATCTTGGCACACTGCAACCTCTGCCTCCCGGGTTCAAGCAATTCTCCTGCCTCAGCTTCCCGAGTAGCTGGGACTACAGGCACCCGCCTCCACGCCCGGCTAATTTTTATATTTTTAGTAGAGACGGGGTTTCACCATGTTGGCCAGGATGGTGTTGATCTCCTGGCCTCATGATCCACCCGCCTCGGCCTCCCAAAGTGCTGGGATTACAGGCGTGAGCCACTGCGCCCGGCCAAGAGACAGTCTTTTTAGTCAGGGGCATTTGGTGTTGGGGGAAAAGGCAAAACAGCTACATTTCCAGATGTGCTGGTCTTAGGGGAGATGGTCTGTCCAGCGAGTAATGCCTGGAAAGCCACTGCTGGCCTACCGGTCGTGTGAACAACGAATCGATGTCATTGGCACTGCCCTGAGGGACGTCTAAGCTTGTGGAGGGATGTGGGATGTATTTGGATGAAGGAGGGGATTCAGGAGCCTAAACTAGGTGGTGGCGGGACAGGCATTGGCGGGCAGGTGCAAGAGCACTGAGGGCAGCTGTAGACCTTGTTGGCCATGCAGAGCAAGTGCCCAGTGTGGAGCGGTGGCAGCGGTGGGGCGCCCTCCTGCCTCATTAGGGCTGCTTAGAAATGTCTGGGGTGCTTTTCAGTGGTTGCTGTCACTGGGAGATGCCGCTGCGTGGACAGCTCCGCCTGGGAAGAACCTTTGTGGCACCGCAGTAAGAAGCATTATGTAGGAATGCTGCACTTGTAGTCATCGGGTCTGGGCTCAACATTTTCCACCTGCGTGACCGTGTTAGTGACTCCAGTTGGATGGGTTCATCTTGAGAGTGAATGAGGTTGTGAGACAAGTCCTGTATTTTGTGGTGCAATGGGTGGCTTGGATCTGGCACGGCAGACCATCTGGTCAGAGGTTTCCACAGTGCAGGAGGGTGCCCAGGCTGGCTTGTGGGCAGACAGCTGTGAGGTGGGGCAGGGGTGGGTTTCCCTCAAGGTGGGACACCACTAAGTGCAGGAGTGATGACCTTGAGCCTCCCATTTAAGCGTCATGGGGACTAATCCTCAATGTTGAGGACAGAATTTCTGTGTTTTCTTCCTGAGTTGTGTGGTAGCTTTGATTGTAAGTACTTTTAAAAATTCAGATAAGTTTAATTTGGAGAAATAATTTCTTTCTTGTCTTTATTTTTCACTTTCTTTCCTGATTGGGCTTTCTGCCCATTTGCCTGAGTTTCACTCTGTGTGTGTCTTGTTCTCTGGGTGATGTGAGTTGGGTGGGTGTGCACAGGTTGACCGTGTGTGGGTTTCCGGGGTTCTGGCTTTCTGGAGTAACCTGGGATGTGAGGTTGGAGGGAGGGTCCTTTGTGGCTCCCCCAACCAGCTGGCAGAGTAGCTGGTGCCAGAATGAGAAGACCAGGTTTTTTTTTTTTTTATATTTTATTTTTTTTCTACCAAGTGCACTATGAAGGTTCCAGCCAGATACTTAATTAAAAAAAAAATAATTTGGTGGGCTGTTTCTTTCAGTGGTTTCATGGATGTGTCCTTTTAATGCTATTTGGTATTAGTAGCTATGTTTCGGGGATGATTTTTAGTGTAGATCACAGAAACACACCTGGGCCGATTCCAGCTGAGGGAACACTTCTTTAAGAAGGATTGCTTTAACACAGCATGTTGGCTTCGGGGCCTGAAGATAACTGGCTTTGAGTGTGTGCTTTCTGGGCAGTGGAAGCTGCTGACCTAGTGCTATTTCAGCCCCTCCCTCTCTCTGGGGGTTTAAACTTGGTATCCAGTGAGAAGTTCCAGGCTGGGCTGGGCACGGTGGCTCATGCCTGTAATCCCAGCACTTTGGGAGGCCGAAGTGGGTGGATCACCTGAGGTCAGGAGTTCAAGACCAGCCTGGCCAACATGGTAAAACCCTGTCTCTATTAAAAATACAAAAATTAGCCGGGCATGGTGGCGCGCGCCTGTAATCCCATCTACTTGGGAGGCTGAGGCAGGAGAATTGCTTGAACCTGGGAGACAGAGGTTGCAGTGAGCCGAGATCGAGCCACTGCCCTCCAGCCGGGGCGACAGAACCAGACTCCATCTCAAAAAAAAAAAAAAAAAAAAAAAAAAAAAAAAAAAAAAAAGAGAAGTTCCAGGCTGGATGAGGCCCTCTCAGGCTTTTAGGGGATTATTCTTGCACTTTTGCCAGTCTTTTCATTTCACTAACAGCACTCATGCCAAGGTTGTCGGTTCGCTATTACTTCTTGAATTACAGCTTCCATATTTGCCTACCCTGAAGTCATACTGCTACTCTTAGGTTCACTACTGAACAGGACAATTTCTTTGAGTAGAAAAGAACCATTGCCTTTTATAATTAGTCATTTACATTTCCTTTCCTTGGGGAAGAATTATTGAATTCCAAGAACTGTTTGGTGGCATGGAGGTAATAGGAATATTGGGGAAAGTGACTAAATTATCTCAGAACTTGTCAGAGAAAAGGCCAGAAACGCAGTGGCGTCATGACTCCTTTAGAGAAAGGTCAGGAAACGGCCAGGCCCATGACTCGGGGTGGAGTGGACTCTGCCTGTGAGCAGGTATTGCCCTTCAGGTGGGGCTGGCGTGAGTTGACCATTGATGTTAATACCAGGGAGGCGACAGGGTAGTTGGGGGAAGCCCTGTCCTGCACACTAAGCTGGGGAGATGTGTGGCTTCTTACAGTGCTTGCTCCCAGAGGGGGCCAGCCAAAGGCAGTTGAGGGGGGAGCCTCCGCCATGAGTTCAGGAGCCTCTGCCATGAGCTCAGGCAGCTGGAACTTAGAATGGACTAAGCCCCGGGGATGTTGTTATCTGAAAGAGAATAACAAAGGAAGGACTGGTCTGATGCCCAGGAAGTTGGCAGAGAGAAAGCGCACTCCAGCTGAGCTCTGATTTGGCATTTGTTGTATACGTCAAGAAGCAGAGTCTTCACCTGGACGGGGCAGTGGAGCGCTTGGTGGAGGCCTGGGGTGGGGGAATGAATGCCTGGAGCGCCGAGTCCGTTTAGATGTGTCAAATCCACACCTGCCCCAGATGCCGGCTCAACTGTGCCCCTGTGGGGAAGAATCTCAGATACATGATTTCAGAGCCCCAGTCAATAAAATTGAGGACTCCTGCCAAGATTTTAGAAAGGTTTATTAAACAGAAAAGAATGTGTTAGTCACTGGGCTCTGACAGAAGGTTCATTAAGAATGAATCATTGAGCAGCAAGCAATTTAAAAATGAAAATTAAAAAATTCAATTTACAGTAGCTTTGAAAACCCTAAGAATCCGTGTCGTTGCCTGAATGAATAGTTGATTCCTTTTAATTACTAAGTAATACTCCACCGTGTGAATCTATCACAGTTTATCCATCCTCCTGTTGGTGGCAGCCGAGGCTGTTTCTGGTCTTGGGCTGTTGTGAATAACATTTCTGTGAACACTCATGTCCACATCTTCTTCTAGTGGCCTGTTAAGTTCTGGCTGTTCCACGTCAGAATGCGATTTCTCCAACACTGCGTTCCCCACAGGGTCTTCATTTATTCCGATTCTGATAGCAATCCTTTGTCAAGACAGATATTTTGAGAATGTTTGCTTCTGTGGCTTGTCACTTCATTTCATTAACAATGTCTTCTATGAGCCAACAGTTTCAACTTTGATAAAATCGAATTTATCATTTTTTTTCTTTTGTGGTAATAGTTTTCTGTGTCCTGCCTACCTCCACAATGCCAACATATACCCATGTTATGATTGATAATTTTAGTTTTTTGGTTTTAGGTCTACAACCTAGCTTGACTTAATTTCTGTATATGGTGTAAGGAAGATGTCAGGCTTCATTTTTTCCTCTACAGATATCCTGGTGAACATAATGCCATTTGTTGAAAACAGTTTTGTCCTATTTCACTTTTGCTGAAAATTAGATGATTGTATAGGTGTGTGTCTGTTTCGGGACACACTGTTTTGTCCCATTGACGTACAAATGGATCTTAATCCAGTTCACACTGTCTTCATTACTGCAGATTTTCATGGGTTGGGTAAGGCCAGTCCTCTTTGTTCTTTTAAAAAATTAAGTATTTTTGGTCCTTTGCATTTTTATATAAAGTTTGCTTTTGCCACTTCCTACAAAAAAAAAAAAAGCCTGTTGAGATTTTGAATGAGAATATGTGGAATTGTATGTCAGTTTCCCTCATACTGACAATATTAGCAATATTGAGTCTTCTTACCCGTGAGCGTAGTGTATTTCTTAATTTATTTAGATATTCTTTAATTTATCCTCACAAACATTTTGCAGTTTTTGGTATAGGGTTTTGCTCATACTTTGTCAAATTTGTTTCTGAATATTTTGTTTTTTTCTGACGTTCCTTCAAATGGCATAGCTTTGTTGGTATTTTTTGCTACTGATTTGTAGTAAATCAATTTTGGATTGATATGCTAGGGGTATATACAAATACAGTTGATTTTTGCAAGCGGACAGCTTTCCAGGGACTGCTGTAGCATAACAAATGACTCCCAAACCCTCTGACTGGAGGCAGCCATGCCTTTGTGCTCTCGGGCTCTGTGGGTCAGGATCTCTGTCAGGGCATGGTGTGGACGGCTGATTTGCGCACCATGATGTCTGGAATCTCAGGTGGTGGCTGGAAGCATCTAGACTCCCGTTCATTTAAGAGCCTGGCGCCCTGGGCCTACGTGACTCTAAGAGTAGGACTTTGGGTTGGATCGCCCACTCCTGGCCTCTCCACGCGCTGATTGTCCTCGTGGCATGGTGGCCTTGGGATAGTCAGACCTCTTGCTGGATGGTACAAGGCTCCCAGTGAGACTCTGTCCTCAAACAAGGTGGAAGCTGCATTTTTCATGACTGAGCCTCAGAAGTCACACACTGTACTCAGAAGTCATGCCCCCTGTACGCTTTTGGTGGAAGCAGTCACAAGTCTATTCTAATTCAAAGAGGGAGAAATTAGTCTCCATCTCTCGATGCCGGAGTGGCATTGGTCACCTCCTGAAAGAGCATGTGGGACAGGAGAGAATGTGGCCACTTTTGGAAAATACCCTACTTGTATCTAGTAATCTTGCTAGAGTCACTTATTATTGCTAGGAGCTTGTTAGTAGATGCCTTAGGATTTTCTGTACACGATGATGTTATCAGCAAATAAAGAGACTCTTCTTTCTTTGCAAGACAAATGGTTTTTATAGGTATACCTTGGAGATATTGCATGTTTGATTCCAAACCACCACAATAAAGCAACTATCCTAATAAAACTAGCCACACAAGTTTTTTGCTTTCTCAATGCATATAAAAGTTATATTATACTTTAATTTATTAACATACAATAGCATTGTATCTAAAAAGTGTACATACCGGAATTCAAAACTACTTTATTGCTAGAAAATGCGAATGATCATCTGAGCCTTCAGCAAGTTGTAATCTTTTTCCCAGCGGAGGGTGTTTTCTCGTCTTGACAGCTGCAGACTGATCAGGGTGGTGGTTGCCGAAGTTGGGGTGGCTGTGGCAATTTGTTAAATTAAGACAGCAATTTGAAGTTTGCCATGTCAGTGGAGTCTTCTTTTCCTGAAAGAGTTCCCTGTAGCTTGCAGAGCTACTCGATGGCATTTTATCCACAGTAGGACTTCTTTCAAAACCCCGGTCAGTTCTCCCAAGCCCTGCCACTGCTTTATCAACTAGGCTTATGGAGTGTTCTGAATCCTTTGTTGTCATTTCAACAATGTTCACAGCATCTTCATCAGGAATAGCTTCTGTCTCAAGAAACCACTTTCTTGGAGTCCAGTCATTCTGGGAAAAGAAAAGAAAAAAAAAAAGAAACCACTTTTTTTTCCTCATTTGTGAGAAGCACCTTCTCATCCATTTAAATTTTCCTGTGAGATTGCAGTAATTCAAGCACATTTTCAGACTGTTTCTAATTCTGTTGTCTATTTCCACCATATCTGTAGTTACTTCCTCCACTGAAGTATTGAACCCCTCAAAGTCATTCACGAATGTTAGAATCAACTTCTAACTTGCAGTTAATGTTGGTTTTTTGACCTCTTCCCATGAATCACAAATGTTCTTAATGGCATCTAGAAAAGCAGGTCCTTTCCACAGGGTTTTCAGTGGGCTTTGCCCAGTTCATCAGAGAAATCACTTCTATGGCAGCTATAGCCTTATCAAGTATATTTCTCAAATAATGACTTGAAAGTTGAAATAACTCCTTGATCCATGGTCTGCAGAACGAATATGGCATCAGCAGGCATGAACACAACTTTCATCTTCCTGCATGTCTCCATCAGAGCTCTTGGGGGACCAGGTGCATTGTCCATGAGCAGGAATATTTTGAACAAAATCTTTCTTTCTGAGCAGTAGGTCTCAACAGTGGGCTTCAAATACTTGGTAAACCCTGCTGTAAACAAATGTGCTGTCATCCAGGTTTTGTTGTTCCATTTATAGAGCACAGGCAGAGTACTGAGCATGCTTCTTAAGGGTCCTAGGATTTTCAGAATGGTAAATGAGCCTTGGCTTTAACTTAAAGTCACCAGCTGCTTTAGCCTCTAACAAGAGAGTCAGCTGGTCCTTCGAAGCTTTGAAGTGAGGCATTGACTCCTCCTCTCTAGCCATGAAAGTTGTAGATGGTGTCTTCTTCCAGTAGAAGGCTGTTTCATCTACATGGAAAATCTGTTGTTTAGAGTAGCCACCTTCGTCAGTTATCTTGGCTAGATCTTCTGGAGAACTTGCTACAGCTTCTCCATCAGCACTTGCTGCCTCACCTTGTACTTTTATGCTATGGAGACGGCTTCTTTCCTTAAACCTGATGAACTGACCTCTGCTAGCTTCCACCCTTTCTTCTGTAACTTCCTCACTTCTCTCAGCCTTCATAGAATTAAAGAGAATTAGGGTCTTGCTCTGGATTAGGCTTTGGCTTAGGAGAATGTGTAGCTGTTTGGATCTTCTATCCAGACCGCTGAAACTTTGTCCACATCAGCAAGAAGCCTGTTTTGCCTTCTTAACATTCGTGTGTTCACTGGAGTAACACTTTTAATTTCCTTCAAGAACTTTTCCTTTGCATTCACAACCTGGCTGTTTGGCAAAAAAAAAAGGCCTACTTTTGGCTTGTCTCAGCTTTTTGCATGCCTTCCTCACCAAGCGTAATCTTTCTGGCTTTTGATTTAAAGTGAGAGAATGTGCGACTCTTTCTTTATTTGAACACTTGACTTAACCCATTGTAGGGTTCTTACTTGGCCTAATATCAATCTTGTTGTGTCTCAGAAAATAGGAAGGCCCGAGGAGAGGGAGAGAGATGGGGAACTGCCGGTCAGCGGGGCAGTTGGAACACACACAAAACATTTATTAAGTTTGCTGTCTTAAATGGCATGGTTTGTGGTACCCTAAAACAATTATGATAGTAACATCAAAGATCACTCATCACAGATCCCCATAAAAGATCATAATGAAAAAGTTTGAAATATTAAGAGAATTGCCAAAATGTGACAGAGTCACACACACACACACACACACACACACAATAAATAAATATATATATATTATTTTTTATTTTTTGACAGAGTCTCACTGTGTTGCCCGGGCTGGAGTGCAGTGATGCGATCTCAGCTCACTGCAACCTCTGTCTCCCAGGCTTAAGTGATTCTCCCACCGCAGTCTCCTGAGAAGCTGGAACTGTAGGTGCTTGCCACCACACCTGGATAATTTTTATATTTTTGGGTAGAGATGGGGTTTTGCCATGTTTTCCAGACTGGTCTTGAACTCCTGGGCTCAAGCGAGCTGCCCATGTTGGCCTCCCAAAGTGCTGGGATTACAGATGTGCGCCACCGCGCCCGGCCGCAAAATGTAAGTTTTATTTAAAATGAACTCTTATAGATAGTTTATTCTTGCAACTTGCTTTCTTAACTTTTTAGTGTATGTTTAGACCACATATATATTCATCTAATCTGTCCAACCTAATTATTTATACGGTTGGGGTTTAGGTTGCCATTTTCCTATTTACTTTCATCTTTTCTTATTTGTTCTTTTTTCCCTACCTTCTTTGGATGAATTGATTATTTTTTTCAATTAATGGAGTTTGGTTTTTTTAGAGCAGTTTTAGCTTTCCAGAAAAATTGAGCAGGAGGTTAGAGAGGCCCCATGTGCTCCTCAGCGTCCTCCTTCAGCCCCAGCCTCCCTGTGATTAGTATCTCACATCACTGACTTCAGTGTGGCATATGTGTTACAATTGAGGAGCCAATATCGATACATTATTGTCAACTAAAGTCCACAGTTTACACCAGTTGTAGGCCGTGGGTTTTGAAAGGTGTGCAGTGACATGAGTCCACCAAGAAAGTGTCGCACAGTGTCGTCCCCTGCCCTGAACACCCTCGTGCCCCGCCTGTTCATCCCCTTCCACCCAACCCCTGGGCTTTTTACTGTCTCCATAGTTTCACCTTTGCCAGAATGTGACTTAGTTGAAATCCTGCAGTTGGAACCTTTTCATCCCACTGCTCCTGCTGCGGTGGCTTCTCTCCCCGTTGGCTTGCTGGCTGTCTCCCTCCCGCGCCGGCGTTCGTGACGGCTCTGCTCCTCGCCGTGTGCGTCTGGAAGTGACCATGGATGGCCTCCTCCTGCTGGTGTGCCGCTTTACTCTGCTGGTTGGCCCGTGTCTGAAGACAAGGGACAGTCACGTTTCCAGTGGTTTACAGAGGCACTGGTTCCTCTGGCCTGGCTGGGTTGGGAGCCTTCAGCCTTAAACCACTGTTTGATGGCTGACACATCATGGAAGGTGCGGAATTAGGGGGAGGTTGGGTTTGCACTCTATATGGGCATTGTCTTAGGTTCTTTTAGACACAGTAACTCAGTACCGCCTGTGCCCTTGTGATGGAGCCCTTCCTCTCTCCATTTCACAGATGGGAACACAGAAGATCAGAGAAATGAACCTGGCAGGTAGGAAAGCAGGGGGTTTGGTTAAACAAGGCTGCATAGAATCTGACACGTTTGTGCTCTGAGGGTGCTTTCTGAGAACATGCTGCCGAGCCCCGTCCTTGGCCCTGCCCTTCCCTCCTCTTGGCAGAGACTGTAGTGAAGACGTCAAGGGGATCCGTTTAACCAGTGCCTCTCAGCTGGGAGGGATAGCGAATGTGATAGATGGCACAATCAAGATTCAGAATGGGTTCAGCTGCCTGCAGTGCCAGCCGGGAACCAATCAAATGAATGAGCTAATAGGAACAAATGGCAAGTCCTACGTTCAGGTGCATGAGCCGAGCAGTCAGCTCAGCAGAAGGCAGTGTGGACAGTTGGGGTTCACTTTGTCTTCCGTGGGAAGCGCGTGTAGTCACTTTGCCTGGATTACGGCAGTTGCCTCGTGAATGATACCCCTCCATCCTCATTTGGCTCATTCCATTGTTTCTACATCATCTTTCCGTGGTGCAAATCTCTTACCTGCAGTGGCCTCCATTTGCATTTCATTACCTGCGTTTGAGAGCATTGCCTGGGTCTCACCGCTGACTCCGACGTGGCCTTCCAGCCTCGGAACGGTCTCCTCTTGCCTCAGCCGCAGCTTGCTCGCTGCCCTCCAGCTGCCCTGGCCTCCATTTCATTTCTGGGATGTGACATGCTCCCTCGGGCCGCCGGGGCTCTGCTGCATGGTGCCTGAACCCTCTCTCTCATCTCTGCTCAGACCTCACACCCTCCAAGTGGTCTTCCAGGACCAGCCCTGGTTCTGTGCTATGATGGTGTGGCCACCCAGGTCCTCGTTAGCAGTCAATGTGCACTTGCCTGGCGAGTGATGAACATTGGCTCAGCTGTCAGACTGTCATCCCTGTGAACAGAAGGGTCCTGTCTGCCTGTCCACTTTTCTCCCTGTCTGTGTCAGGGGATCCCAAGACGACCCCACAGAGCCACACTCGTGGCTGTGATTCTTCACAGTGCAAGGATGCAGAGGAGACTCCATCAAGGGGTAAAGTCCAGAGGAAGCGGTATAAGCTTCCAAGCCCCCTCCTGGCGGAGTCACACAGGACACGCTGGATCCCTCCAGTGCGGGGCTGGGACGACCCGTCCGAAACGTTGCCTGCTGGGGAAGCACATTAGAGACTCAGCACCGAGGATGTTACTGGGGACTGGGCATGCGGACACTCTCTGCTTGGCATGTGCCCAAATGCAGCCTCCCAGGAGGAGAGCAGGTGCCCAGGGTGAACCACCCTGCACAGTGTAGGCCCGCCGAGTCATCCAGATCAGTCAGGGAATCGTGGGAACTCTCCTGAAACCCACATTCTAGGCACCGGCCGGGGACCGGCCTTGCAAGCAGGACTCTCCGGGGATAGCATTCCCAGGCCTGCGTGTTTGACTCCTTCGCACACATCGATACTCAGGACTTGATTTTCTGGCACGTAGGAGGCTTTCAGAGTTGAACAGATGAAAGAACTAGTATCTGATGTGGTTCTGCCTTCCGCTGGACTGATGCGTTAATGGCTTTAATGTATTAATGGCTGACAGTGGAGTGCAGCTGTGACAGGAGGCTTCCTAGCTCTGTCCTTGCGTGGTCAGAGCCCAGCTTCTGTGTTCAGGGCTGGTGGCCAGGGGCCCCCGAGAGGATGTGGAAGGGAGTCTTAAGAGTTGAAGGAAATGGAAGTCTCTCAGGCCATTGCTTGCAGAAAAGACTTCCCGAGGTGTTTCAGAGGCAGGTCAAGGCCTGGGCGTGGAAGGCACATTTGGTTTCAATGTGGGGAAGACACTATGTTACGGTGAAATTAGCCTGGAAAGAAGAGGCTGGACTTTGTGGGGAGGTGGATCCCTGGTCCAGGTGGAAGAGCACTTTGTCAGAGAGGCAGGAGGGAGTCTAACTTCTCCGTGAGCTGGCAGGTTTGACTCTGGGTACTTCCAGGTGAGCTGATAGGAATTTATATTTCGACTCTTCTCTAAAATGCTCCCTAAGAAAATTTTATTCTACTTTTCTTCCAAAAAGTGCAGAAAGTGTTATTTGTTATCGGGAAGAGTGTGATGTTGTAATGGCAACAGGTGTAAGGCAAGCTGAGCGTATTTTTAAAAATTTATATTCACAGACTTCACCTTCTGTGAAACATTTCACAACAGATCGTTGTCTTCAGCCCTTCCTCTCTTCCCTCTGATGCATATGTTTTATAAATTATATCCTTTTTTAAAGATACCAGATCTCAATTGGAAAGGACATGCATACTTACTTTTTATGAAGGGAATAATGTTAATATTATTACTAATGACATTTTTATAAGTGTAGAGGATTCTTGCTTAGTTCCTGTTTTGCTGCCCAGGTACGTGTTCACCAGCACAGGTGATCTGGGTGCCAGGTGTGGGAGGCGGGGTGCTGGGCTGGGGTGTCCCGAGGGCAAATCTGGTTTCTGGGCCTTAAGCAGACAGAGCCTGTGATCTACCCAGGGGCCTTGGTGCAGCCTGCGGGCAGCTGCTGGGAGGGCCTGGGCGGTCAGTGCCTCCCTGGGACAGGCTGCTGCGAGGGCCATGGGACATTCTTTTCTCCCTCCTTTCCTCAGCCACCTGGCTCTGGATTCCTTGGCCACGGTGTCTGCCTCCTTAGAGTGCCCTTGAAGGCTTCCTGGCCCCAGAGCGGGGCCTTCTGCAGGCTGGGCTCACCTCCCGAGCCAGGAGCCAGGAGGGCCCAGACCGACCCCCCTGTGTCTTAGCCTTGGCGCCTCGCCCTCGGGGGGTGGGGCCGGGCGTCCCTGCTACAGCCTTCTGAAGGCTGGCCTTCTCCGCCCCTAGCCTGAAGCCAGAATGCCGAGGCCATAGCTGTCAGTCTTTGCAGGTCTTTCAAAATGCAAACATTTTCTCTTTCAAAATGCAGACCTTTTCGTTATTGGCTCTCAGGTGTCATTCTTTTTTTTTAATTGTTTGGATTTCTGAGAATCCGTCTTCCCTACCTGGGTTTTGAACAAATTGAGAAATAAAACAAAACTGTGCCAGATGGAGGCAAAGAATAACTTTTATTTCTGCTAACTGAGAGCCTAAAATCCTGTCTTAGTGGGAGAGCCACCGAATGGCTGACTGATCCCAGGACCCATCAGGCTCACCCACCCCATCAGAGCCAGTGTTGAGGGCCGGGCCCTGCCCACCTGCTGTGGAGCCTCTTGAGAAGTGCAAGGGGCTGAACCCACCTTCGCCTCTCCCCGTTTTGGCCTCCATGGGGCGAGCATTTCTGCGGCTAGAGCAAGTCCAGGAGAGGCAGCAGCTGCGCTCCAAGCTGACTCCAGGTCTGTCTGTTATTCACATAACCATCAGGGACCTGGACAGCCAGGGACGTGGCCTCTCTTGGAGTGGAAGAGATCGCAGTCCCTCAGGACAGACCAATGGGGTGGTTAGAATGTGCTCCCCATGGCTCCGGAATTTGTCGGAATAGGACATTCATTAAATAATCTTAGGACCTCTGTGTACTGGAGGCTGCCACACCACTCTCAGGTTTACTTCTCACCCTTAATTCTGTGCAGCTATATTGTTCAACCGGGCTCATCAGAATTCCTCCACGAGGTTAAATTACATGATGTAAACTTGCAACACACAGTGTGCCCTAAATTTTAACATCAGTGTGCTCCTGTTATCCAATCTCTGGGGAGAAATTAAGTCTTAAAGGCTAACCATTGCAAGTTCAGGACCAAAGATGATGACAGTCAAAGGAATTCAAGTCTGGAGCCAAAATTTCTTACTCCTGTTAAATTTCAAATATACGAAAGCTCACAATTTGTCCTTAGCTGTTGCTGCGGCTCCCTCTCAGCCGGACAGGTGCCTGGGTCTCACTGACACCATCGCAGCTCCTTCAGGGCCTAAAAGTCCTGCCCATTAAACACCGTATTTTGGACAGCCAAATTCAGGAGGCCTCCAAGCTTCTCCCTGAATCAGCCCACGACATCTAGGAAACATATCATCCCCAGGCCCGGGAGCAGTCACTCCAGAGATCCTCTCCCCGGAGCCCATCCCTCCTGCTACACAAGGTCACCGGAGGGCCTTGGCGTCATTCTAAGTGAAGGTGGCAAACGGAGTTTTCGTGGTTCTGCCCTCAGAGATGTGACAGTTTGGAATCCAGAGCCTGTCACTTGAAATCCACCTGGGAGAAATCCCTCAGCAAGCCGGCAGGTCTGACTCGGCTCATTTTCCATTTCTAGGGAAAGAAAAATCCTTAGGGCCTCGTAGGCATTTTTTGTGTTCTGTGCCACAGTGGCTGCCATGCCTGCTCTTGTTAGGAGATGTCATGTGTGCTCTGCGTGTGTGCACGCACTTTGTGTGTGTGTGTGTGTGTGAGAGAGAAACGTAGAGAGTGCTGGCTGCGTGTGTTCACATTTGACTTTCCAGACTTGGGAATGCTGCTGGCCCGAAGGCAGTCGCTCAGCTCCACGTTTGTCTTACCTGGGGTCACCTCCTGGGTTCTGGAGCTGGGGGTTCTGTGAGTGCTGTTTCCACGTCACTGGGGCCTCCCGAGGGCTGACACCCTTGCTGTGTGCCCTGTCACCCTTCCTCCACCTGCGGATTCTGTGAACTCTGTGGCCGCGTCCCCTCACAGCACAGGGAGGCCTGCCTGGTTGACCACCTCGAGGAACCTCTCTGTACTGGAGGCTGCCACACCACTCTCTGGTTTACTTCTCACCCTTAATTCTGTGCTTGAACCGTTTTCCAGTCCTGAGCCTATGGAAAAGGAGTATCAGTATCAAGCCCAGATCAGTCTTTCGACTTCCCTCCTGGGCTCTGAATGCCGGGTGCCACGTGGACAGCTGCCCGTGTAGACCTGCCCCGCTGCCACGCAAAGCAGCACCTCCCTCCTGCCAGGTGGTGCCTGCAGACCCCTGCCCCCTCAGGCGCACAGGCAGCAGATCATCCCCCACTGTCGGAAAGGCTGCCCTGATGCTGCCTGCTACGAGCCAGCACCTGCCTGGTGGCCCGAGCCCACTTGGTGAGCTGCAGTTGCCTGTGCCCAGCACCTCCTGTTTGGACCAAGACTGCATTACCTGTGCCCTTACTGAGGCCAGTGGCCTGCCTGGCTTCCCCTAGCTGAGACTCATGGGGCCATCCCCAGTGTCACTCCCTGAGGGCAGAGCTGCCACAGGCAGTCATCTCCCAGTGCTGGCCGGGCCAGAGGCCCTGTGTGCTCACTAAAGAGTTGGAAGCGTAGGCCAGAACCCACAGGAGCCCCAGGCACAGTGCCCGTTGTTTCGCTGCCTCCCGATTCTCCTTTCTCCACGGGTGGTTCATGGATTAGCAACCTTAGTTCCACCTGCAACCCTGGTTCCCCTTGCCATGTAAGGCCACACATCCACAGGTTACAGGGAGTGGAACCTTGGCATCTTTGGGGCTGGTTATTATTCTGCCTTCCACATTCACTGCTGTTGGGTATAGATTTAAGTCTGTTAACCACGAGTCTGGTTGAAACCCTCCTTCTGAAAATGCCCCCGACCACCGGCTGAGGCCCAAAGGGCAGCCTCCATAGGGAATGCCCTTCCCTTGTTGATGGGAGCTGCCTCTTCATGTTCCTGCTGTGGGATGAGGCAGCACCCCCTAGTGTCATGTGTGTGCTCCCTTAGGTGGTGACAGCAGGAGTAATGGACCTGTCACTGCCCCGGTACCTGCTGTGTCTTGAAATCTCTTCCACATTCCACTTGTTTGTTTCCCTGAGTCCTAGAAGGCAGTGTTATTACTCTCATGTTATTGGTAATGAAACGGAAGCCCAGAGAGGTTATGTTACTTGCCAAGGTCACACAGCTCCTGAGTCCTAGAGCTGGGGCCCCATTCCTGGGCTGTTTGACTTGAAACTGCCCAGGCCCCCTTCCCTTTGATGCTATGCAGACCTTCCTATGTTAGTGTCTGAACTTCACCTGAGTTCACCCAACTATATCTCTGAGAGTAAAGTCACATGTCCACTGTTTTCACCCATGCAGTGACTGTGTCATTAGCATTTGGACTGTGGCCACGATGATGGTGCTGTCAGCACCGGGCACCTTTGCCGTTGGTTCCCGGCAGGGCTGAGTGCTTAGGGTCCAGGTGGCCAGCGAGGTGGTCAGTTCCCACAGACGGTTCTGGTCAATGAGCTATGCCCATGGATGCCTGTTTTTCAATTTAGATGTAAGTGTCTTACATTTACAAATAGAAATGTACCATTCAGTGTTCCCTGAGATGCACGTGCTTATCACCTGACATCGGGAAATACTGGCCTTTCCCTTCTCAAAATAGCAGTCAGCGGCGCTGTGCTGTGCAGGGTGCATCCACTTGTGTGTTTCTCGAGATAAAATCTCTGTTTGTGAATTCGTCCTATTATAAAGCTGTTCACTTTATCCCAGCTGCCTTTTTCCCTTTTGGAAAGTTTGTTTTATTTTATATGCATATGATTCACATTATTCTTTTTTCCTTAGGACAACTACACCTTTGCCCAACCTGGGATTCAAATGAAAGTGAAAATGTTAGAAGAACTCGTGAGCCGGATTGATGGTAAGCCAGCTTCCCGCGCAGCCCCTCTCTGTGGGCGGGGGGAGGTGGCCCTCAGCCCTCGGTGGGACAGGGAGCTGTCCTCATCCGCCGGCAGCATCCTGGCCTGCTCAGGATCCCTCATGGGCATCCTTCTGAGACAGCTGCTGGTGCGTGAGCTGCTCTTATTTCTTCTTATTAAGGGGATATCATCAGAATTCAGTACATTCACTTTGCAGGACAGTAGTGAGTGTGCACCCAAAGCAGGCAGTGCTCACTCCTTATTAAGCCTGGTGATTGTCATAATCTAGGTGACGGATGGTTGTTTATGGTGGTCCTTCGGTACTCTGTTCCCTGCCTCTGTGCATCATTTTTCTATCAAGGATGCTAGAATAATTTCTCCATGGAATCTAACTAATTACTGAGTCTGGAAATAACATCTTTAATATTATAGAAAAATTATAGTATGTGCTCAGGCAATTTTAGATTGTGCTTTCATGTTTAAGTGGGGGCTTTGAAATACTTTTTGCCTTCATCTTTAAAATAATCCCCCCTGCGATGTGCTGACTGTCATATTACAATAGCAGAGTTTAATTAAATGGAAGCTGAGAGATAATGCTTGCCCGTTCCAGGCATATTCTCCTGATAGTTTGTTAAATTAATGAACAGAGCATTAACTAAGTGATGCCAAGCAGAACCGGGCATGTATTTGTGATACCAGCTGGTCAGTGATGAGGTGTGGAAAAGAGACATGCTCTTTCACAAAGAGTCCCATGCGCGCTTGGCAAATTATTTCACAGAATGTGGAGACAAATTGCACTTTGTTGGAAACTTAGCCCTGGCCACGTGCCTTGCAGGGCCCTGCCCGCTGAGCGTTGCCGGTCACTGTGCCTTTTCCCCTCCCTGCGCCTTTAGCACAGAAGGCCGTAACAGCAGTCTTCACGGGAAGGGCGCTCGGTTTGGGAAACTGCTGAGTGATATTCTAAAATGGACTCCTACAAATTACAAACTCCATTTTGTTCCTTGATTGAATCTGATTTTTAACTCTGTGTCTCATGGTGATTACCTAATTTCCATATTATGAAGTTGTCTGCAGTTCTTCTGATAATACTTTCAGTGTTACGTTTAGCTGCTTTTCAACCCATCATCTGTTAAAAATACCGTTTTTGCCTCCGTCAGTGCGTTCATGTGCGCTCACCGCACGCTCCACCGCGCGGTCTTGTTTGGGTGCGGCTGGGTTCTTTTCCCTGCCAGCACTTTCACAAGCATTCCCCAGCCTCACTGAGTTCTCTGAAGTATGATTTGCAGTAGATGTGAATTACACGTTCCTCTGAAGTATGATTTGCAGTAGATGTGAATTACACGTTCTGAGCAGGTTCCTCCTTTTCCGCTTGTGTCCCTTGGAAGGCGTATTTCGTGTTTTCGTGGAGGTTAGAAAGTTGTGGTTAGTGCTCGTTTGTTCCGGTGCTGCAGTTTGGGAAATACTTGAATTGATTTTCTCTGGTGCTGTGGTTCAGAAAGAAGCACATTGCGGATTCGCTGGATGATTGTTTAAGAGAGCAGCAGCGATAACCAAAGGAACCCCAACGAAATCTGTACTTTTTAGTAAATCATATTTTTATTTTCAGCGCAGTCTCTGAGTAGGCCATTTTCATATGGCAATTTTTTGTTTAAAGGATCAGTGCTTCACAACAGAGAAAGATGTGTGTTGCCGTTGAGAGGTTAAACTGTCTAACTTGTTCCTGTTCTTCTAATGAAACCTTAAGGAATTTCTATCATGGCCTCATAATAAGAATACCCAGGCTGCTAAAGCAGTAAATAGACAGAATTTCTCGCGTTTGAGCTCTCAGACTGGTGGGCGCCATCATCCCTGAGCAAACTTGGGAGAAGCATCTGCAGGTCTCGGCCACGTGAAGCTCCCCCTCACCTGTTTCATCACTTGCCTCCTAGAGAAAGGATTTGTGGGTTGGAACTTTTTGCAGGGATTGTAAAGATTTTATTAAGGGCAGAGGATATTCTAGGAAGAAAAAATTGCTTAAAGAAAAAAAAAGCTTCTCAGGCCGGGCGCGGTGGCTCACGCCTGTAATCCCAGCACCTTGGGAGGCCGAGGCAGGCGGATCACGAGGTCAGGAGATCGAGACCATCCTGGTTAACATGGTGAAACCCTGTCTCTACTAAAAATACAAAATATTAGCCGGGCGTGGTGGCAGGCGCCTGGAGTCCCAGCTGCTTGGGAGGCTGAGTCAGAAGACTGGCGTGAACCCGGGAGGCGGAGCTCGCAGTGAGCCGAGATCGTGCCACTGCACTCCAGCCTGGGTGACAGAGCGAGACTCCATCTCAAAAACAAAAACCAAGCCTCTCCCTCTTTTCTGCGTTTTAGGAGAAGGACAGCATTTATTTCAGAAAATTTTGATAATTCAGTGAAGGAAAACATCTTCATGGACTCGTTGATTAAGAATGGAGAGGTTTTGAGGGCATTGCCCAGATGGGAATAGTTCAGAAAAGAGCCGAATTGCTCTGCAAAGTCAAGCGGAAGTTTCAGCAGTGGTGGCGCGAGGATAAGGGCTCATCAGGAGCGAGCAGAGAGCTGGAGGAGGGGGAGGTCTTGGGGATGGAGGGAAGCCTGGTGAGGGGTGAGAGGGCAGATCGGAAGAGGGGCTGCATCACTCTTGTTTTCTTGTGGTAAGGAGTTGTGAAAGAATCTCTCAAAAGCACTTCTGAGTAGTTTCTTCCTATCTTGAGTAGTACTGTGACCCTTCTTTGTCATCCCTAAACCTTTAGTAAAAGTCTGCCGTGGAGACACGAAGGTGCTGAGAATGAAGAGAGAGGGCTGTGTCTGTAATGGAAGCCGCGTGGAAAGGAGGATGGGCGGCAGCCTTCGAGGGTGTGTGCTGGGCAGGGAGTAAAGCGACAGGCAAGCCCGCAGATGGGGAACTCCCTGGGAAGCCCCCTGTATCCTTCGGGACAGACATTGTATGAGTTCCCACAGAATCAGAGAGGGTGACTGGAGCCACTGAATTTGGAGTGAAAGAAAAAGGTGAGAGTAGGAGGAACGTGCGTTTTCAGTCGTGGCAGGCTAGATAATTTCAACCACATTTCCCACTGGATAAGACCTTTTTGTTTTTTTAAATTAAGCCAACAAAGCAAAAAGAAAAAAAAAAAAGGAAAGAAAAATAAATGTCTTAAAAGCATTGAATTGCTATCTACAAAATAAGGACTTCCTGGGCCAGAGTGAAGCTAGGACCTGGCTAGGTATGCCCAGCTCTAAAGCCACCAGTGTTCTGGGTGTGTGTTTCCTGATGCAGAAGAAAAATCATCCCAAAGCTGGTTGTGGTTTGGGCGCCTCATGTAGTGCCTGCATCCAACCCGATTAGTCAGGATAGGGATCTGAGAAATGCCCATACAGTTTGTGAGACCCAGAATAGTGACACGTGAGGGCAAAGTGGACGTGATACTCCCTCATAAAATCTAGGTTCCAACCTGAGAGGATCAGGGTTGTTTGAACCTCAGTTATGATGATTCTATACTGGAGTTCCCCAGAATGCTAGTGAGAAGCAAAACAAAATCTTGTCTGGAGGAAGTTACAACTGAAATTGTATTTTTTTCTTTCTTTCTTTTTTTTTTTTTTTTTTTAATAACTCCAAACACCTTTTTCAAATAAAGTGACCCACACACATGAACCCGGGAGGCGGAGGTTGCAGTGAGCCGAGATCGCGCCATTGTACTCCCGCCCGGGCAACAAGAGTGAAACTCTATCTCAAAAAAGAAAAAAAAAAAAAAAAAAAGTTGGGTGATGTTTTTGTGACCAGAAATATGCCATTGAAACTTACCTCTTGTTTCTGTCAATCACCCTGTGGTAAAATTGGTTTCATTATATGTCGTTTTGCTTCAGGTCAGCTTCTGAGAACCTGTGGATGATTGTAAGTGGGTATTTGGTGGCTAGTGCTGCCGAGCTCCACAGGCACCAGCCTAGAAAGGACTTCAGAGATAAGAGCATAAATCTGGAGTTTTAACCCAAATTTAATTCTTTTATATAATCTTTTGGAATATTTTAAGGGCTTGGCATTTTTCTTCAGGAAGAATAATTTTTCTGAAAAATTCTCGAAACAAGGCTCATGGCTAAGTGGAATTAAATAACTAAAAGTTAAATATAAGTCTTAAAGTTTATTTTGTTTTATGTTAGAATAGGGCATGTGTCCAGCAACTCCACAAAAAATAGAATTAGGATGTCGCCTAATCTGTATTATCCTGCCTTGTGTTACTTAAAATTTAATAAGCATTTGTAGGCTCAAAGAGGGTATGCTGTTCTTTCTAAAATTATCTAGCTAATGTGTTCTCAATATTTCTATTAATTGTCAATCTGTTCCCTACTTAGCAAAGGATTTTGTATATAAAATCAACAGTTCGCACCAATTATTTAGTAATTTACTGCTGTAATAATAAATGTACCTTTACTCTCCAACTGATAGAATTTCAGCGTATAAAGCACACGATGAGATTTCCACTCCGTATTACATCGAGAACGCTTACACCTACTTGAAATTCCACATTTTTGCAGTGAATCCTAATGACGTCCCCTGTACATTTTGTTTTTACATCTGTCACGTCTGATGTTAACCTCTGAAATCACATGATCCCTGTTTGTCCCCAAGATAGAATGGCCAGAGGAGTGGGCTTCAGCCCTAGCCTTTCCAAAGGCTGGAGTCAGAGCCCCTCTGTGTGAATTCTGGGGCCAGCCCCACCTGGTACTCAGTGTCATGCATCTTTTGTGACATAGATGACGTCTGTATAAATGAGATATTTGCTACATTTTTTGATTAAAAAAACCATAGAGAACTTTTTTCAGTATTTTAAAAGAATATTTGAAACCTCAGCAGATGTGTCCATTTGATTATGTCCATTCTTGATTTTTTCAGATTTAAGAGTAGATCATAAACAACTGCATTTCAGATCAGAGAATTGTCCCATTGGGGGTGACACTGGCACTAAAAGGGAGGCTCTTGGATTGTTTCTGGTGCCACAGTGGTGGTGCCAGGGCACCGTTGGATGAGGGGAGTGGGAAGAGCTGTTCCCTGGGGCCCCGGTTCTGGTGGGCTCCACCCTCACGTTGTTCTGAGGGGACTTAAGGCTGGGAGGCCCTCATGGGTCAGGAGGAGCTGCTGGCAAAACCTGATAGTTGCTAAGCTGATCTGAACTTAGCTTGCAAGGAGCAGCAGCCCAGAGGCCTTCCCAGCAACAGCATCGAAGCTGTCGCCAGGGCCGCCTAGGGGATGTAGGATGGGCCACAGCCATGTGCCTTCTGAGTTTTCTCCTGCAAACTGTGCCTTTGCCTCTCTTTAGTAAAAAATGGAAACAACTGCATCTCTCTACCTTCTAACCCCACGGAACCTCCAAGGGCTAGGGGCGCCAAACTGAGCAAATAAAAATAGAGAACGTCTAGTTAAACTTCAATTTCATATAAACAGTGAACAATTTTTTAATATAAGTATGCCCTGAGCAGTGTTTGGCACACACTGAAATTCAGAGTTCACTGATTCTTCTGTATTTATCTGGTAATCCTCCAGGGGTGAGTTCTGAGTGGGGTGAAGTGGAATTCAGACCCAGGCTTGAGCTCTAGGTTACCCTTTGCTCCCCGAGGTTACAGATGACAAGAATGTGGCCTTAAATGTAATGTGTTATTTGAAATTAAAGTATACGCACACACACCCTACACACACATGCCTGTACACACATACCCTACGCACACATGCCTGTACACACGCACCCTACGCACACATGCCTGTACACACGCACCCTACGCACACATGCCTGTACACACACACCCGCCAGATACATATACACACACCCTACACACACATGCCTGTATACACACACCCTACGCACACATGCCTGTATACACACACCCTACGCACACATGCCTCTATACACACACCCACCAGATACATATACACACACCTACAGATGCACCCCTGTATACACACACACCCCTACACACATGCCTGTATACACACACCCTACACACATGCCTGTATACACACACTCTACACACACATGCCTGTACACACACACCGTACACACACATGCCTATACACACACACCCTACACACACATGCCTGTACACACCCTACGCACACATGCCTGTACGCACACACCCTACGCACACATGCCTGTATACACACACCCACCAGATACATATACACACACCCTACACACGCATGCCTGTATACACACACCCTACGCACGCATGCCTGTATACACACACCCTACGCACGCATGCCTGTATACACACCCTACGCACACATGCCTGTATACACACACCCTACGCACGCATGCCTGTATACACACACCTACAGATGCACCCCTATATACACACACCCCTACACACATGCCTGTATACACACACACCCTCATATACACACACCCCTTCACAGATGCCTATACACACATCTGCTATATACACATACACACTCCTATACACACACCCCTGCACACATGCCTATATATATACTCCTCATACATACACACACCCCTACACACACCCCTATATACACGCATCTGCCATATACACATATACACACACTCCTATACACACACCCCTGCACACAATCCTCATACATACACAACCCCTCATACACACACCCCTATATACATGCGTCTGCCACATACACATATACATACACTCCTATATACACACACCCCTGCACACAACCCTTATACATACACACATGCCTGTATACACACCCAGCCCTACACATACCCCTATATACACACTCCTGCCATATACACATACACACCCTGCACACATGCCTATACACACACACTACTTCACATATGCCTATACACACACCTGCCATATACACAGGCAGGCTCCTGTACACACACCCCTGCACATGTGCCTGTATACACAGATACCCCTCATGCATACACACCTGCCATATACACATACACACCTCTGTATACACACTCAGATGCCTATATACACACACACCTACACACATGCCTATATACACACATACCCCTCATACATACACACACCTGCCATATACACATACACACACCTACATACACATCTCTATATACACACTCAGATGCCTATATACACACACACTCCTACACAAATGCCTGTACACACACCTGCCATGTATAGATACACCCACACTACTGTACATACACACACCCCTGTATAAGTGCCTATATACACACACCCCTATATATACATACCTGCCATATACACATACACCTACATACATATCCCTATATACACATACCCTTACATCTGTACACACCTGTCATATATGCATACACATACATGCCTTTATACACACACATCCCTATACATATAGACAGGCCTATACACACCCACCATATACACACACCTGCCACATACATATACATGCATGCCTGTATACATACACACCTTTGTATTCACACACTCTTACACACGTGTCTATACACAAACACATGCCTGTATATACACATACCACTATACACACGTGCCTATACACACCTGCTATATATCCACACCCCTCATATATACACACATGCCTATACACAGAAACACCACTATACACACACCCCCTACACACATGCCTATACACATATACACTCACTCCTGTATACAGGTACCCCCTACACACATGCCTATACACCTACACCCCTCATATATACACACACCTCCACACATGTCTGTACACACATACCCCTATGCACGCACCAATACACATATATACACATACCCCTATAACACACACCCTTATACACACATGCCTATACACCCACCATATACACACGCATACCTACACACACCTAGACATACCTACCTGCCTGCCTGTAACACACACCTTCCCATATTCACACATACCCTCCTACACACATATGCATATAAACATACACGCAAACCTATACACACACACACCTCTGTATACTCACATACCCCCTACAAACATGCCTGTACACACACACACACACCCACACACACACCCATATACATATACACATACACACCTACACAGATACACCTACATGCCTATATACACACATCCTCATATACATGTACACTCCCGTATACACACACACACCTACACACATATCCAATATACACACACAGCCTTATATACACACTCTCCATATACACACCCCCCATACACATACACAGCTACACACAGATGCCTATACAGACACCCCCATATACACACACACCTCCTACACACATCTATACACAGACACACACCCATATGCACACACACACACCCTTATATATACACACCCCTACACATGCCTATACACACACCTACACACAGTCCCGTATACACAGGTGCCTATACATGCACAAACACACCCCTATACACATGCCTTTACACACACACACATGTATTTAGACACACCCACTTTAGATATGTTTAATCTCATTGGCATGGTCACTGTGTTTGAGGCTATTTATGTTTCCATATTCTTGGGGAATGTGTTGTTGCTGGTCGCACATTTCCGTCGCTTGATGTGTCAGAGGAGGGTCACCCTGTCTCCTCCAGGAGAGGTTATTGTTGGTGGCCAAGGACTTCGATTGAGCTATAAATAAACTTTTCTCATTTGACTTTTCACAGTGCAGGCATCGCAGTGAGGCTGCTTACCCAGTGATTGCTTTGAAGTGAAGCTGCCCTTCATTAGTTTTGGTCAATTTCTGGCCCATTTCTGCCATCTTATTATTCTCTGAAAGGCTGGCTTAGGACTTCTTGACTGATCTGGTGAATGTATTCACAATCGGGTGGAGGTTGACCGCCCTGTAGTTGGCTGGATCTTGGCGGTGACCCCGGGTGGTGAGACCTTAGGCTGTGAGCCTGCGTCCACAGCACATCTTCTGTGGCCGTCTCAGGCCACCCAGGCCGGATGGCGGCCACCCAGGATGGTGGCCCCGTTGATCTGACCCTGTAGGAGCTGCTGACTTCTGCCTTTCAGCTCCTTAATCAGCTTTGCGTTTTCTCCCCCCGCTCTAGTGGCGGTTGCACCCCAGACCCTCCAGTCCTCGTTCTCCAGCCCTAGGCCATGTGACACCACAGCCAGGACTCTCAGGCCTCTGCCTTGGCGCTTCCTTTGTTCCTGACTGTTCCTTTGTCTAAAACCCTTTCTTGCCCTTCTGCCGCCTTCCCTGACAGGCTGCTTTTCATTTGTGCCCAACCACACCAGTTCTTGGTGCTGCTCAGAGGTAGGAGGAAGTATTGCTGGGTTGAGCCAAGGGTGAGTAGCATGAAACAAGTGTCACACAGGAGCTTGGGCTTCAGAGAGCTTGGAGCTGGGGACAATAACGCATAAGCAGGAAACAGCCAGATGCCAGCCCAAGAAGGACTCTGTGCCATGTGCTCGATGGTGCGGTACACCTGCTGGGAGGGGTCTGCAGGTGGCCCCTTCTTCAGGCCAGAGACAAAAAGGCGCTATCAGAATCCCAGAAAAATGTCACTGTCACATTGACCTCGACCCAGGGGTCCCAAAGCTCCTGGGTCCCTGAAGAGTTTTCTTCTGTGATGTTCCTCCTGGTTTGGGGCCATCATGAGTACTTCTGAATTGGGTTGGTAGTGTGCCACAGCTGGCTCGCTGTGCCTAGGGCACTGGGCAGGCACAGAACATGTGTCCTGCACCTCTGCAGAGCGTCTCCAGCAGGGTGGCCTGGGAACCACGCAGATGAAAAGGCAGCTGCTTCCGACAGTGACTGATAAGTGTCACAGAGCTACAGGTGCATTGTAAGAGCACATGGGAGAGGCAGAGGAGCCCTTGGGAAGGCTTTCCTGCCCCAGAGATAAAATGGCTTGTGTTTGCTTGGACCCATAATAACATACCACAGGCTGGTGGCTTAAAGCACAGTTTACTTTATCATGGTTTTGGATGCCACAAGTCCAAGATGATGGTTCTAGCTGCTTTGGTTTCTGGTGAGGGCTGTCCCCTAGGGTTGGGTTGCAAAAGGCTGCCTTCTTGCTCACATGTAGATATAGCCCTTCCTGGGTGGGTGCCTGTGGGGGTAGCGGTGGTGGGGAGGGGTGGCAGTGGGAGAGAGAGCAAGCAGGAGCTCTCTGCCATCTCTTATAGGGACACTAATCCTGTGGGATCAGGGTCCCACCCTCACAATCGCATTTAATCTTAATCACTTCCTTAGAAGCCCCATCTCCAGATACAGCCACACTGTGTGTTAGGGCTTCAACATAGCAATTTTGGGGAAACACTAACATTCAGCTTGGAAGTGTGGGGTTTAGACCAAGATACAGTTCATGGAAGAAATGATCATCATTATCATTCATTAGCAGGAAGCATGACTCTTGTCTTGGGCAGGTGGAGCAGAAGAATCAAGTTTCAAATATTTCACATTTTCCAAATCAAAATAATGCCATGAGGGAAGGAAGAGGGGACTCTTCATTTCTCTTTGAAATCGAGTCTTTGAAGCTTTATAATCAAGGGCACCAAAAAACACCAGCAAATTTGGATTTTGTCCATTGAAATGGCCGTTAAGGACTTACTCCAGAATGCTGGTTCATGATAGATGGCTATTGACGAAATGAGATCCTTCCAATGTTTGTTATGTTTGTTCTGTGTGGAGCTCTCAGTGTGCTGTGGGTTGAGGATGTGAGCATCTTGGGGTCAGGTGCCCTTTTCTCAGCCCTCTCCATTCATTTTCTAGCCTGGAGGGAGCAGATGCAGATAGCTGTGGGTGTGGCCTTGATAACTGGCACTTGCCAACTCTCCCCAGGTGTAGAGTTCCCTCATAGAGTTGGCCTGGAGACCCTGCCTGGGACCTGAACCAGGACAGGGCCTTCTCACACCTCCCTTGGATCCACATTTCAGGACCAGTCTTTGTGGAGGCTGATTTGTAAGGCAGCCTCTGTGTCCAGTGTATCTGCCCACCTGCTGTGCAGAGCATCCTAACCCTGACCTGGTCCGTATCTGCAGGAAGGATAGGACAACGATGGGCTGCAGCAAGGGGCAAGGCTGCATCTGGAAGGCAGCCTGTCCCTGCCCAGGGTGCTTCCTGATGATCTCAGGGCGGCCAGTGCTGGCCCCTTGGAGTGAGGCCTGGGTACAGGCATTGAGAGAGGCAGGAGAGCCTTCTGTCCCTTCTTCCAGGTAGAGCAAACAAGCTGGTGCCTGTAAACTGGTAGAAACCTCAGGAACAGGCTGACCTCCCACCGGGAAGTTAGAAGGAAATTAGTTCCCTATGTTTTGGTGGCTGAGTGACAGCGAAAATGCCAGGCCAGGAGCAACAATGGGAGATTTTGGTTTGGGGACTAGTTTGTGGGTTAGAGGAGGAAAGGACTTATTAGAAATAATTCTCGAACATTTCTGGCTTATTCTAATCTACTCTTCAGCTCTGTGGAGTAACAGCTTGGAGTTTGGAAGCTGGCAGAATTGGGTTGACTTTCTGGCTGTGTTGTATACTGGAGGATTGGCTTTGTGAGGAATGTCCCCACTCTAGCCCTTGTTTCCCCATGCATGACGGGTCATGGGAGTAAAGTACTTACAGGAGTGCCTGGCACACTTAAGTCTCATGCAGTGTTAGTACCCATTATTGTCATTATCATCACCATCAGCATCATCATCACCATCATCATGATTGTCATCACCAGCATCATAAACACCATCATCACCACCATCATGTCATCATCACCATCATTATGTCATCACCACCATCATCATCACCATCACCATCATCATTTCATCACCATCACCATCATTTCCATCATCACCATCATTGTGTCATCACCACCATCATCATCACCATCACCATCATTTCTGTCATCACCATCGTCATCACTATCACCATCATTTCATCACCATCATCACCACCATCATCTTCACCATCACCATCATCATCATTGCCATCATCACCATCATTACGTCATCACCAGCATCATCATCACCATCACCATCATTCTGTCATCACCATCATCATTACTATCACCATCATTTCATCACCGTCATCATTACCATCATCACCATCATCATCACTATCACCAGCATCATTTCATCACCATCACCACCACCATCATCATCACTATCACCATCATTTCCTCACCATCATCACCATCAACAAACTGTACAGCAGGATGGGTCCATGGTGGGGCTGAGTGTTGGAAGTTTAGTCTGAAGGCCTCTGCTTCTCCCACGTTGGACCTTGTTGAGCTGCCAAGGGCCCTGTCCATGCCTGCTCCTGAGGCAGCCTCTTCTGTCCAGCCCCCAGGGAGGTTGGTTGGAGTGGAAGACACTGGCTGAGTCTGAGTCAGGGGCACCGAGGTGACAGTGGCCATTGTTATTAGTCATATCTTACACTTTCACCTATAAGGAAGAAAATGCCAACAAAACGCGGTACTGGAGAATGGTTCCACCTGTGTGGGAAACGGCTTTATGTACCTGAACATTTTCCCTTTCCTGTGTTTTTAATTCAGGTTAAATGTGATTTTAATCAAATTTCTCTGAAAGTTGTCTTGACTACCTCGTAAGGTTAAAATTGACTTATTCTTTTAAGATAGAATTCAGTTACAGCTAGGAAACTAGATTCAGCTTTATTACCACCCTGGTGGAAATATTTTTATTACCCCTACAAAGTAAGCAGCCGAGAAGCAGAGGATAAATCAGCAGCGCAGCCAGGCCGGGGAACAGGCAGCGTGGCTCCCTCCCCCTGGCTCTCGTCCTCATTAGGCTCCAGAAGGGCAGAGCTGAGCGTTTGAAATGATAGTGATATTTCATCTGAGACGTAAGGACATGACAATTGGCAAGGCACATGCGTAATTGCTGTTATGTGCGACCTAAGGTGTGTGTGGACTTTCTGGGAGGCGTGCTGTGTGTGCTGGCAAGGGCTGCATTCCTGTGCTCCTGGTTTCCTGGTTCAGGCAGAGTCTTGGTCCCCTTCTGCTTAGCAGGTCTTCACAGTTGAACATGGCTGTTTATTCTGTGACCCAGGTGACTCTGCTTATCATTGTCTGTTGGAATCATTTTGGTGAACCTGTCTGCAGCCTGGGTTCCAGGCTACCCCAGGCAGGAATTTGCTCTCTTGTTGGATGGATGTCCTGAGTTTCTTAAGTCAAGCTGATTTAATGTGCTTTCCATTGAAACTCTAAATGGATATTTTGTTGCATTTTTGGGAAGAGGGATGCATATAGAACAACAACAACAACAACAAATCAAAGAAATAGAAGTTTCATGTAAACCCAAAAATAATATATTAGGAATATACACCTGGGTTCTAGTTCAGCCTCGGTCCCTGACTCTGGCCTTGGGCTGCTGCGGGGAATGATGATAATAGCAGCTAGCATTGATTCAGTGCCTGCAGTGTACTGGGCACTGTTCTCAGCTCTTTATCTGTATCATTGTGCTGACTTTTCATAACAGCCCCATCAACTGCATAAATGGGCCCCATCCCCGTACTCAGAGTCCTGCCTATCACTGATCTCAGCTTCCCCGCAGGCTGGATGATCTCCAGGTTGCTTCCAGCGCTGCCCATCCTGGGTTGGTGCACAGGAGAGAGCCCTCCCAGTTCCTCCCTACCTACTTGGGCAGCCTTGGGGTGTCCTGTGGGCTCAGGGGACTTGCCTGTCTCTGCTCCAGGGTTTCCTTGGGAGCCGCAGCCTGCAGCTGTGCCTGTGGTCGGGCCCTCTACCTCCACTCCCCGCGCTTCCTCCTGGGACTCCTGACCAGCATCTTGTGCCTTATGGTGCCCCGCCCACCTCATGACCCTGAGAACTGGGAGATTAGAAGGTCGAATGTGCCCTTTTGAAGTGAGGAGTGGTCGTTGCTTCTTTTTTGGCTTCGACCACATGCCTACATTTTCATCCCGATGTTCCCCATAACCAATGCCCAGTTTCTAGAGCGGCCTCAGCAAATGTTGGGGAACTAAGGGATAAAGTGTTTAATGGAGCAGCCTGCACGTTAGGGCTCCAGCAGCCTGTGTGGCTTCACATTGCTTCAACATAGCTCATGGGTGACACTCCCCTGCTTAAAGAGGATGTTTGGAGTGGGGATTTAAAGCAGTTTCTCTGTTGTTACTTTTGTCTCCAGATGTTTATGATTTTCTTTGGGTTTTCTTCTTAGCTTTTGTTTTCCCTGAGGATCTCAAATCCTCATCCTACTGCCCTTTAATTCATAGAATAGAAAATCTGCATGTGTGGAAAAGCTCTGTAATTTTACCAGTGCAGCCTATGCTGCTGCTACATCCCCTGTAAAAGTGACAGAATACAATGTTACGTATCTAGTATAAATGATGAGGATGCTTGCTGACTCCCTTGCTTACATCTGAGATTTGTCTTGCCTCAAAGTAAATCCTTTCCCACCCCGCTCTGCCTTGGTGGCCTTGTCCCCACCCCGCCCCCAGCTGATTCTGCACACCCTTCCCTGTACACTCACCTGTGGGCCCCTCGGGTTGACTGGCCTCTCCCAGCAATCGACCATCGTGCTGGGAGGAGAGGCTGTGTTTCCTCTTTGGAAGAGCCTTGATCTGGAGCGACAATCTTCACATTTATTTTCCACCACCCCAAAGTTGTTAAGGTGGTCAAAGGAGGTGATGCCTGCCAGGGTGCTTTGAAATGTTTGGTTCCGCTGTGAAAAGCTGGCAAAAGTCTGAACAGAAGATTCCATGAGTCAGAGGGTCCTGGGGCTCACATCCCCCCAGCCCTCCTGCCCCTGAGCCATTAAAACCCAGACTAGCCCAGCACTGGTGCGTTCTTCTCTGTCCCCGTCCTGAACCTGCCAGGCTTTCCCTGAGGTCCCCAGGCACCAGGGGATTATTGTCAGGCCCCTCACTGTCGTCCTGGGCCCTCGGAATCATGCCTCTGTGCCCAGAGTGGTGCTTTGGAAGAGGGGTATGGCCTTGTCACTGGGGTCCTTCATGGCCCTCACCTGTTTCTCTACTCTGTTTCTTTCTAAGCCCTGCTGCCTTCCCGGCTCTTCCTGCATTCCTTCCAATTTCAGCTCATTTTAAGGTATTCCTCCTGAACAAGTAGAGAGAGATTCATTTTCTTAAAACTGAGGGACAGCTTTCATCCCACTTTTGGACTGTGGCCTTCAGGTAGGACCACACTTCAGCCCCCTGCAGGACAAAAGGAGTAGCTTATTCTTTCAGAGCTCGTGCTGATGTGTAGTTGGCTCATGACCGCGGAGGACATTCTGCCCTACGTTAGAAGACGGGACATTAACAGTTGTTCCGAGAGCTCATCCTTCCAGGCCTGTACTTAGCACAGAATCATAAAAAACTTGCTGTTCGGAGCAGAGGGTCCTCTGAGATCCTCTGGCCACCCCCACCCAGTCTGTCGTATGGCTTTTGGAAAGCCATCGTGCTCCAGTTACAGCCGAGCTGGGGTGGACCGGGAGAGGGCTCCCTGCATCTGGCCCTCCAGCCTCCCGCCCCGTGCGCGAGTGGAGCTGGACATAGCACTTGCTGTGGAGCTGCTGGGCACTGCCTCTTCCACTGCATCTGTCCCAGTCGCTTCCTTCCCAGGATCTTTGAGGTGCTGGGAGTGGGAACAGCCAAATTGCGGTTAGCATTTTTCTTTTTAGCTGCTCAAGTGTGGAGTGTGTTTACCACCAGGAAGTGGTGGTGACCATGCTGTGTGTAATGAAATGCAAACACGTGAGGCCTCCCTGGCTCATGATCCAGCCACTTTTCTCCTTGTGATGATATCTTTGTGACTCTCCACACCGAGACTGATGTTTGGGGTTTATTGCTAAACTGAGAATAGTTAATTAAATTGTAAGTAGAGACATACAAATAAAGTGATTCTCCTTGACCTTAGCAAGAAAGAGCTGTCGTGGTTTCGAATATAGGCCGTCAGACTGGTTTTGAAGTGATTCCCAAAGTCGTTGCTGATCATGGTTACAAGTAGCTAGAGAGACTGTGTCTTTTCTCTTCTTCATTTTAAGGAACCAGTGTCCCTCTTAAAATCAGGCTAGGAGGCCGCATTGCAGGTGGAAACGCATTGCCTTTCCGGGCCAGGGCTTGCTGGGGATGAGGACAGTTTATTTTGATGGGGTCATTTTCCTTTCCACACCATAAGCCATTGGTCCTGAAATAAAAGGCATTGGTCCCAGCATTGGAGGGCACATCCCGTCTTTCTACTCCTCTCTACCCCCTCGTCTCTCTAGACCCTGGACTGTGAGTACCTTCTGGGTCAACCCTTCAGGGTAAGGGACATTCCCACTCTTCTCAGACCCACAGTCACCTAGGCCTCCCTCTGCAGTCAGAGGTCTGTGTCGCTGCACACGGCCAGTCCTCCCACTCTGCTGTGCCTGGATCTCCCCATCCAGAGACCCTCGGTTTGACCCTCTGCCGAGCGGAAGCTCTGGTGATCTGGGGGTGGGCGCTGGACCCAGGCAGTGGGGCGTGTGGGGATGTGCAGGGATGGCTGTGGGGTCTAGCTGCTGATTACAGACCACACTCCTGTGTCCCCGCCATGCCCCTCTTTGGGGATGCACAGTGCTGCCAGTCTCTGATGGGGGCTCATCAGGTGCATCCGGGCTACCCCTGGCTTTCTGCAGCGGTGGCCCGGGCTTTTGCTTTCTCAGGCCCCTGTGAGGACCACTCCTCCATCTGCTTCCCAGGTCCTCCCATCTGGCTTTCTCCCCTCCTTGTGTGCATTGAGTGTTGACTCTTCTGTGGTTTTTGTGAGGTGCTGGGACGGGGAGAGGTGAATACAGGTGTCCAGAGCCCTCTGATGACTCCCATAGCCGCAGGCCTCAGTCTGCGCTGCCCCAGACTAGACCCAGGGCCCCATCAGTCCCCGCTGGACATGCCGTGAGTGTGCTTTTGTATTGAGGTGGCTCCCGCTCGCAGCCATGTCAGGGCCCGGGGGTAGGGGCAGCTCCCTCCAGTGCTCAGCGCTCACTGCTCGTTAAGCCTACTGTCCCTATGCCCCACCAAGCAGCCCCATCCTTCACCTCACTTACTTCTCACGGCAGCTTGTTAGGTCCGAACTAACAGTATCTCCGCCTGACCAACAGGGATGCTGAGGCTGAGAGGGGACTCTTGTCCGAGTCACGCAGGTGAAACTTGGAGTCAGGATTGGAGCTTGGGTCTGTCGTCTCTGGACCTGTTGCCTGCTGCCCCTCAGCCAGGGCTCCAGCGCGGCCTGTGTGTGGGGTGGGTGTGGTGGGGGGGACTGCTCCAGTCTCTAGCTGTTGCCATGTGGGGGCCTCCCCCAGCCATATTCTGCCAGGGAGCCTCTTGATGTCCTTGGGACACGCCCAGCTACCAACAGAGCCTCCCTCTCCCTTCTGAGCTGCCTGGGTGACTGAGGGCCCCAAGGGGCTTATGTTCACTGGCCCTGTCCTCCCTGGCACCTGTGCACACACCTGCACAGAGCAGAAGGAATTTGGACCCATAGGTTCACCTCTTGTAACTCGTGTACATGGCCCAGGTGTTCCTGATGCCCCACCTGCGGGACAAACTGGACGCAGCAGGGTGTTTTGGGGGCACAGAGCCACCGTCGGAGTCACACATCGCACACACCCAGCAAGTGATAGTGTGTGACCGGACATGGTGCTGAAGGTGGCCTATGTCAGCCATGGGCTTGGTGATTTTGAGAGCCAGGATGCGGTTCCTGGCGCAGGTGCCTGGGGGCGCCTAGAGGAGTGCGAGACTCCCGAGGGTCCCTCTGCCTAAGCTGCCTGGGGAGGGCGGCTCGCTTTATTTAATTCACACGCTCAAAGCATTTCAGGAACAATGAATGCCTTCGGCCCTCTGTTTAAATGACTGAATTATAGAGGTGTGAGGGGGCCACGCCCACCCCGTTTTACACTTGGCGCCTCCCTTCTAATTTCGAGGAAACCTGCAATTCAGCTGGAATCTGTAATTTTCTACTTGATCTTGCTCTAGCTGTTCTCCCATCATAGCTCTGTGAGCACAGAGAGCTCCAGAAGGAATTGTTTCTTGTCTTGCGACCACACACATATAATTGTTCTGGTTGAACACGTTTTACTGTGCGGTGTCCATGCGGGCTGCTCCCGGACAGCAGCAGCCAGGAAGCCAGGGCCCAGCATCCAAGAGGCAGACCTGCAGGATGAGAGATCCAACATCCCTGGCCACCAGCCGCCTCGTGGTGGTCTCAGCCAGGAGGAGAAGGGAGCCTCCATCCTCGAAGCAGCCTGGCGTCTGGAGCATTTCGGGGTCTTGGCCTTACGCTGCCCTATGTAGCCTGGAGCCAGGCCAGCCGAGGAGCCTGGGCTTCTCCTCATGTCCATCTGTCTCTTCCTCTTTAATCCCTGGGGAATGCAGCCTCTGCTTATCTGCCACTCAGGCCCCTGCAGCCCCCTACCTGGTCTCCTTGGCGTCCACTGGCCCTCCACACTCCACGTGCCCCCCTGGGATGGCAGAGCCACTAAGGATGGAAGTAGGGGTTCCTGAAGAGTCAGCAGCATGCACTTCCCTGGTTCTGTCCCGGCACGCTTCCTGTGAGTCCAGCCCTCCAGTCATGCCAGGGTGCCTGGTTGTTAAGATTGTAGAAGCTTTTACAGTGGGCACTGGCGCCCTGAACTCCTGAGTGCACCCCCTTTGTTTCAGCCCTGGGAACTTTGGTGGGCAAAAGTTCCCAGGAAGCCCCTGTCACACTTGGTGACCTGTCAGGCAGCCTGGCAGGGTAGCCCAGACCCTGCTGTGGGTGCCATCATCCTGGCGGGCACGTGCTTGGTCTTCATCCCCCACCTCCCCGCTACATGAGTGGTTACCTACAGCTGGCTGGCCCTCCCCCAAGGAACCCTCATGTGGCCCAGGGAAGCTGCCTTCATGATACTCACTGTTAAGTGTTTTGAATACAGTCCTTGCCCCAGTCAGCTTGCTCAGGTGTCCCTGGAGAACGAGCCCCTCCATTGGCTCATCCTGAGGACTGGGCTGGGAAGGGCAGTATGTGCTTGTAGGACACCGAGCTCTTTGCCCGATAGTGTCAGTGGGAGGTTCCAGAACTCTGCCGTCCCGAAGCTCTTCCACTTAGGATCCAGGAGCCCACCAAGCTCCTGTCCTTTGTCCGCTGCACGAGTCCTTCCTGTGTCTGCCCTGCTGTCCTCTCAGGTGGAGCCGGTCTCACATTGCTGCGCTTCCAGTCACAGCCGTATTCGTTTCAGAAGCTGCTGCCGCGGATGTCATCGTGTCTCTGCCTGCCTGGGTGGCATGCGGAGGGGGCTACCGGCCTGCCTCCTGCAGAGCTGCTGCGTGGCTGTTGTGCTCCTCAGAGTCCTGGGCCAGGTTCTTGCCCTCTGGGGCCCGGCGAGCCTCCCACTGCTCTCAGGTTTGACGCACCTGTCCCAGTGTCCGCTGATGGTTTTGTCTGACGCGCTCAGGCCTGCGATGGTCGCCGATGGCGGCTTTTTCTAACTCTAGTTTTCCTCCATTTGTTAGTTGGTTTTCTGGCCGTGAGGAAAAGCTTTTCTTCTCCTGTTTATTGGGACTTGGGGATTCTCACTTTATTACCAGTTACAAGTCTTTCCTGTCATTAATGGTGTTGATGCTCTACATTTCCCAAGCTTGGTGCGGGAGACCTTTTAAGGATTTTTTCCATGGGAAGAAGGCAGTAATAGAGTTGCTCTAGAGTGGAAAATTGCATTTTGTATGAAAGTCACATGGGCGCATGGGAGGGCTAAGGAGACGGTCCATGCAGGGAGATAGGAGAAGACAGGAGGGCCACACATGACCAGGTAGTAAGCCCAAGGCTGCGGTCTCCGGGCTCAGGTGAGGGGTCGCCTTCTTCTCTGAGATGGGGTTGGGAGATGTGGGAGCTGCCCTCCCTGAGTGTTGGGGGAACCTGGAGCTGGGCGTTGGGCAGGCGCCATGATGGGGTTGGCGGCAGAATGCTGGCGAGGAGGTGGGCTCTGGGCACACCCAGCGGCTTCTGAGACACACATGCGCTCTGCCCTCCCTCGGATCCTGTGTGCCATGGGAATGCCAGGTGGGGAGGGAGTGAGGTGGGGACACTCAGGCTTTGTGTGACCCATCAGAAAACGGAGGAAATTGTGATTTGCTCCCAGTCTAAGGCGTTACGAGAAGTGAGAATTTTTCAGGGATCTGTGGTTACATTTCAGTGCTAGAAAAGTGAAAAGAACTCATTTCTGTCAGAATGGGGTAAGGGGCCTCTTAGTTCTTTGTATGTAATGGTGATGAATAAAACTTCCCTTGAAATTTATCCTTTGATAAAGGAATCTCATTTTTAAACACCTTCCATCTATTATTTAAAAGGTTTGGAGCTCAGTGCCCAAGTAACTTTGTCCTGCTCTCTTGGTAGCCGCGAACGTCCCTTTAATACGTTCCATTCCTGCATGCTGCCTGTGGACACCTCTGCAGTGGTGGGGCTGCTTATGGATATGGAGGTGGAGCAGAAGTAGTTTGTAATGGGCAGTCACATTCCCAGGAAGCTCTGGTGTGGACAGGTGCCCCAGAGATTGCTCAGGCACCTCGTTCTGGGCACTGAGGCCTGTGCCAGGCGTGGGGGCCCAGAGCGACCTGACTCTGGCCGTTCCTGCTTCCCCTGCGTCAGTGTGGCTGCTGGCACTTCTGTTCTTCCTATCCATGGAAGGGGCGCCCATGGAGGGGCGGAGTTTTCCCTGTGTTTCGTCTGCAGCGGAGTTTCTGCGTGTTCTGCTGGATGCGTGTGGATCTGTGCCGTTGGTCTGTTCTGGGCGCACATGCAAGCCCATCACGTCTCATTCTAGTTTTTGTCCTTGATTTGTTGTTTCAGTGACATCAGTCACTGCATGAAGAGTACAGGTGCCCCCATTTTAATGCAATCTGAGGAGACAGACATTGGCTAGACTGCTTTTAATTTAAGCCTCCTCTTCTCTGCCTGCCGTTCGGCTCGGCTGTCCTGCCTCTTGGAACCAGTCCGTCTGTCCGTCCCACTCTCTCCCCTGCTTGGGCTGACGACACACATTCATGTGAGTCAGTCACTGTTGGTGGCTGTTTAGTGAATGGCCACTTGGGCCACGTCGCTGAGCACCATGAGGCATTAAGAACATCAGGCTTAGGCTCTAAAGATGCGTGAGCTGGGACACTGGCTTGGTAGCACTCCCCCACCACCGTGTCTCCTGCTCACCGGTCGTCATCGCCATGAGGAGTGGGTCCTGGTGGTGGGCGGGGCCAAGGCTGCTGAAAATGGAGGCGACTGGGATCCTGGGTGGGACGAGTGGAAACACGGGATCCTCAGGGCCCTCGCCTGTCACTCACATTTTTCTGGAGGAATTCAGTATGTGGCATACTTAAGCAGTTCTCCTTTCCTTCCCCTCATCCTCCTCCTGTCTTAGCCAGACGTTCCTGTCAGCATAGCACTCACTGTGGGGTCCTGACAGCCCCCGTGCTCCTTGGAGTCAGTTACTCAGCAAGTCTTATCCAGCCCCTGTAGTGTTGGAGGCTCTGGTGCAGGAGACAGTGAGCAAGGCCAGCCACAGCCCCTCTTCACTCCCGCGCCTCCCAGCTGGCCTGGCGCCCACATCCAGCACAGGGAGGGAGCACGGAGCCTGCGTTTGTTCACTTTCCGAGTGGCCTCCCAGTGCGCTGGGTGGAGCGGGCAGCACCCCTCCACTGTCCAGCGGTCCCAGCACCTGCTCGTGCCTCCTACTCCCTCCCAGCCTGGTGGCTTCCGGATCAGGACATGAACACCCTCACACTTCAGCAAGCATCTGTGAAACGTCCACTGTGTGCTGGGACCTGAGTGGACAGTGATGAGCTAGACAAGGTCCTTCTTAGGGAACTCTTCTCTGATGAGATGGCAGATTGGGAGGACAGACGGGAGCCGTCACTGGCTGTAGTTTCTGTGACAGCGAGCGTGAAGGACTGAGTTGAAGAAGTGTCCAGAGAAAGCTGTGCAGAGGTTGGGACATCGGTGCTGAGTCTCGTATAGGTGTTTGGGGGCAGAGGAAGCAGTGTGGGTGTGCAGGGAGGGAGGATGGGGCAGCAGAATCAGCAGTGGGGGCTGTGGGCAGGCAGGGGTAGTGATATGGGGCATGTGGGATAGAGACGTTGTGGGCAGTGGTGTGAGCAGTCGGGGGTGTGCAGGGAAGGACGTGGTTTGGAAAGTGCTTTTCCCGGAAGGTATGCTAGGATGATCCATCCTACCCATCCATCCCTCACTGGCTGACCCATTTAACCCTCCATCCTTCCCCTCTGCCTTAACCCTCCATCCTTCGCTTCTCCCTTAACCCTCCATCCTCTCCTCTCTCTTAACTCTTCATCCTTCCCCTCTCCCTTAACCCTCCATCCTCTCCTCTCCCTTAACTCTCCATCCTCCCCTCTCCCTTAACCCTCCATCATGCCCTCTCCCTTAACCCTCCATCCTCCCCTCTCCCTTAGCCCTCCATCCTCCCCTCTCCCTTAACCCTCCATCCTTCCCCGCTGCCTTGATCCATCCCCCCACCCATGTCTCAGCCATCAGTCCATCCATCGATCCATCCATCCATTCATGGAAAACTTTTACTGGGTCTTGCTCTTTGGGCCTAGGGATGGAAAGGAATGGAAAGATTTCATGTCGTCATGAGCTTGCATTCTTATGGGAGGAACAGCCTTGCAAACCACCAAGGCCACTAATGTGCTGCCCCTGCCTCACACAACCTACAGGTCACCCAGTCAGCTGACCAGCAGCCGGTGGTGGGAGGCTCTGGGATCAGGGTCACAGCTCAGACTCTCAGTGGCAGGATTCTCAGCCATACAGTGCGTCGGGAGAGAGGGACTCTATCCGGGGAAGCTCTGCGTCTTCAACCTCGCTGTAGACTTGGGTTGCATCAGCAATTTCTTACTGCAGATGGGATGACTCGTTTATCTGAGTAATTTGTGCTGTTTTCACTGGGAGTTTCTTATTTCTCTGTTTCCTTCTCCATTTAAAACAAGGGTCCTGCCTGTTGGTGTGGCACTGTCTGTCAACCAGAGCTTTCTTGTTCCTCTCCTGATTCTCTGCCATGCCTGGGTTTCCAAGCTGGAGTTTGGGGGAATCCTGAGCCATCTCCTCCTTGCCTTGCTGCAAAGGAGAGTGCAGTGCAGTCGGTGGCTTTCCTTCTGCCAAGACAAATGCAGTGAATGAATGTGGTGGACAGGCCCTAGGTGACTGCCATGGGTCATCACCTGCCTTGGTGTCATCCCCTCTCCTGGAGTTCAGTTAGAGTCTGAACTTAATTCTAATCGATGGAACATGGGATTGTAGGATATCAATCCTGTAATTATATAATTACAGGATTATATAATAATCCTGTAATTATTATATAAGACTCCCCCTTAGCAAGCAGGAGCTAGAGATTTCCCTTTGCTTCTGAAGTAAGGGGCTGGCCAGAGAAGCCCACATGGCAGGGGCTTATAGGCAGCCTCCAGCCCACAGCTGGCTCAGTCCTGTAGCTGCCAAGGAGTGAATCCTGCCTGCAACCTGAATGAACCAGGACACAGGTTCTTCCCCAGTCAGGCCTCCTGATGAGGATGCAGGCCTGATGGCAGCTTTGTGAAGCCCTGAGCAGGGAACCTAGCAGAACTCCACCTGTAGCCTGGAGCCCTGAGCAGGGAACCTAGCAGAACTCCACCTGTAGCCTGGAGCCCTGAGCAGGGAACCTAGCAGAACCCTACCTGTAGCCTGGAGCCCTGAGCAGGGAACCTAGCAGAACCCCACCTGTAGCCTGGAGCCCTGAGCAGGGAACCTAGCAGAACCCCACCTGTAGCCTGGAGCCCTGAGCAGGGAACCTAGCAGAACTCCACCTGTATCCTGGAGCCCTGAGCAGGGAACCTAGCAGAACTCCACCTGTAGCCTGGAGCCCTGAGCAGGGAACCTAGCAGAACCTCACCTGTCGCCTGGAGCCCTGAGCAGGGAACCTAGCAGAACCTCACCTGTCACCTGTCACCTGAGCAGGGAACCTAGCAGAACCCCACCTGTCACCTGGAGTCCTGAGCAGGGAACCAGGCAGAACCTCACCTCGAGCCTGGAGCCCTGAGCAGGGAACCTAGCAGAACCTCACCTGTCGCCTGGAGCTCTGAGCAGGGACTCTAGCAGAACCCCACCTGTAGCCTGGGCCCATAGAGACTGTGACCCATACAGACTCATAAATATATGTTGTTTTAAGCTGCTAAGTTTATGGTAATTGGTTACAGAGCAACAGAAAACTAATAAAATGAACAAAGGACAAATAATCCCACAGAGTCCCTGTCTCCCTCCCGCCCCAGTGCTGGGGTTCAGGGCCTGCTCCTCTCACTTCAATGCAGCTCTGACGTTCCTGGGTCAGGAACTGCCACCCGCTTGCCACCCCGCCCACTGTTGGCAGGCACTGCTGGCTGTGGCAGTGTAGACAGGGCTGAGTGGCTTACAGTGAGGGTCTCAGAAGGGTCCCACCACCCCTTCCACTCCACAGGCTGGGCATTTTCCCTCAAATAGAGAAAAGAATACAATCAGGATTAATAAAAAATCACAGCCCCACAGTTCATTTACACTTGATCAGGGAAATGAGCACCAAATGTTGGACATTTTTCCTGTTTCCGGTCAACATTGATGTTAATGATCTCCAAACAAAGATGCTTTCAGGTTTGGTGACAGCCTGTACACCCAGTGCTCTAGTTCATGTTTTCAGGGAGCTGACTCACTCTGCTGCTTGAATCAACTGAAAGCTGGAAAAAAATATGTGAAACAATGGTTTTTAAGATACAGGACATAAGGCAGCCGGGCCATCCCTGGGAGGGAGGAAAAGTACAGGGTGAGCTCCATGATTGCATGAAAGCATTGCCTGGAGAGAGTCTCTGGAGCATGGTGTCAGGAGGCACCTGCAGGTCTCCCTGAGTTTAGACAGAACAGGGAGTCTGGGGAAGCCACGGCATCTGGGGGTTCTTAGGGCTGAGGCTGGGAGAGGAGAAAGCAACTCAGAACCAAAGTTCTGGTGACAGAGCGAGACTCTGTCTCAAAAAAAAAAACACCAAAACAAACAAACAAAAACACCAAAGCTCTGCACGGGTTCCTTTCAGGTATTAAGCTGAATACTGATCAATGCACGGATGTGAGGTTGGGGAAGAACCGCTTGAAATGATGACAGAGAACAAGCCTCAGAGCCCTTACAGGGTGGAAACTGTGTCTGTTCTCCAAAGCAAGAACGGAAAACTTTAGAAGTCCCCGGCATCAGGTAGGGGACTTAGAAGGGTTTTCCTTCAGTAGTGGTAGTATAGAAACCTGAACGAAATACTACTCTGGCCCCAAAGCTTAAAAACAGGATCCCACACAATTAATCTGTTCCCAAATGACTTAATTGCATCCCAGCAAAAATTCAAAGATATTTATAGGAATAAAAAAATATCAGGTTTCCAACAAGATAAAAGTGACAATATCTAGCTTTCAAAGGCATTGTCAGCCATGCACAGAAATGGAAAAGATCGCAGATAATGAGAACAAAAGTCAATCATAACTGACCCAGAAATGGTACAGATGTTAGACTCGTTAGTTAGGCAGAGTCATTAAAGCAGGTATTATAACTGTATTTCATATGTTAAAAATCTGGAGAAATAGATAAAGACATGGAAGTAGAGACATGGAAGTTATAAAAATGATCCACATTGAACTTACAGAGAGGAAAGACCATGTCTTAAATGAAAAGCATACTGTGTGGGATTATCAGCAGATTAGACTTTGTACAAGAAAAGATTCATGAACCTGCCAACACAGCAATAGAAACTATTCAAAATGAAAGAGAAAAAAATGAACAGAGTCAGTGAACTGTGGGACAATTTAAGTAGCTTTATATACCTGTAATCTGTGGTCCCCTAAAGGGAGGAAACAGAAAAAATATTGGAAGAAATAATACTCAGTTAAAAAAAATCATATGGAACCTATAAACCTGTAGAATTGAGAATGTGAATGAATGCCAACCGAGCAGAAAACATGAAGAAAACCAGAACAAGGCATGTCATAATCCAATTGCCCAAAACTACTAATATAAAGAAAACATCAGAAGCATCCAGAGGAGAAGAGACACCCTGCATTACAAAGGTAAGCATGACAACAGCAGTCTCATTGGAAGCATCAAGCCTGGAGACAAGGGAGCAGCCTGTTTGGACTATTCAAAGAACAGCAAACCAGAGAAACCTGTTAACCAGCAAAAGTATCTTTCAGAGATGGAGGTGAAATACGTGCTGTTTCAGACATATAAAAGCTAAAGGAATTCGACACCAGGAGACCGGGATACCTGCATGACAAGCAATAGGTAAACTTGCAGGTGGAAGGAATATGGTCCTAGATGACCGTGTGGACCTGCACAAAGATTGAGGAGTGCCCAAAGTGGCAAGTCTAGGAATGCATTGAAACACGTTTTCTTGTTATTGAAATATCTTCAAAAACAACCAAATGGTTAAAGCAGAAACAATAACAGTGTACTGTGGGTTTTCTAACACATGCCGCGGTGCGATGAAGATGACAGGAGCGTAGGCGTCGGCAGGGAGAGATGGAAGTACATCGTGGTAAGGCCCTCACGCTGTGCTGCCTGTGAAGCCGGGTAATCGTATCTGGAGGGAAACTGTGGTAAGGCAGGGACACATACCATCACCCTTACAGTCACCGCTAACATAACCAGACAGAGCTATGGCTAATAAGCTAACAGAGGAGATAAAGTAGATTATATAAAATACTCAATTAATATAAAAGAAGGCCAAAAAAAGGAAAAGTGGAACAAAGAACAGATGGGACAGTTGGGCCACACTAATAGTAGTATGGCAGGTTCTAACTCAGCCATATCAGTAGGTGTGTTCAATGCAAATGATCTAGACACTTTAATTAAAAGGCAGATCGTGTTAGATTGGATTAAAATCAACACCCAACTGTGTCCTTCACTCGAGGGTTCTTTGGGCTGAGGGTGGGAGAGGAGAAAGCAACTCCGAGAGAACCAAAGCTCTGCAGGGGTTCCTTTCAGGTACTAGGCTGAATATAGTTTCCATACTTTAGGGCATGGTTGCTCAAACCCATAGTCCCAGCACTTTGGGAGACTGACACAGGAGGATTACTTGGGCCTGGGAGTTTGGAACCAGCCTGGGCAACATGGTGAGACCCCGTCTCTTAAAAAAAAATTAGCTGGGCATAGTGTAGTGGCAGACGTGTGCCTGTGGGCCTAGCCACGCGGGAGGCTGAGTTGGGAGGATTGCTTGGGCCCAGGAAGTCAAGGCTGCAGTGAGCCATGATCACGCTGCAGCCTGGGTGACAGAGCAACACCCTGTCCCCTGTCTCAAAAGAAAAAAAAGAGAAAAGCCCACAAATATGAAGAAGCAAATAGTTTAAAAATAAAATGGTGGGAAAAGATATTTCATGCTAACACCAATCTAAAGAAAACGGTAATGTCTATATTAATGGCAAACAGTAGATTTCAGAATAGAGAATATTATCAAGTATCAAGAGGATCATTTCATATGATAGAGTGGGTCAGTTAATCAATTGGACATAATTTTAAGTGTTTATGCGTCCAATAAGACTGTATCAAAATACACAGCAAAATCAGATAAAAATGCAACAAGAAATGGACAGAGACACAGTCACTGAAGGAGATTTTGAGCTCCTCTCTTCAGGAAGTGTTAGAACAAGTAGAAAATCAGGTTATAAGAAGCTTGAAAACACTGTCAACAAACTTGACTTAATTGATTTTTATAGAAAATTCCAAGAGTGCACATTCTTTTTAATTTTGCACATGGAACATTTACCAAGATAGACCATATTTTGGGCCATTAAAAAAGTTTCAATAAATCTTAAGGGATTCAAGAAATATGAAGTATTTTTTGTTTTCTCTTAGCACAATGGAATTAAATTAGCAATCTTTAGCAAGATACCTGGGAAATCCTCAAATATTTCTAAATGAATTAACCCACTTTTAAGTAACCCATGTATCATAGAAGAAACAAAAGGGAAATGAGAAGGTATTTTGAAGTGAATGACAATAAAATCCAACACTTCAAAATTTGTGGGATGCAAAAGAGCAGTACTTAGAAACGTATAGTACTTCCCTTAGAGGGAAACCTATAGCACTAAGCAGTACTTAGAGGTCAACGTATAGTACTGAGTGTGTGAGAAGAGGCTGTATTTACAGGGAAACATATAGTACTGAGTGTGTGCGAAGAGGCTGTGCTTAGAGGGAAACGTATAGTATAGAGTGCGTGGCAATATGGCCATGCTTAGAGGGAATCATATAGTACTGAGTGTGTCAGACGAGGCTGTGCTAAGAGGGAATTGGATAGTACCGAGTGTGTGAGAAGAGGCTGTGCTTAGAGGGAAACGTATAGTGCTGAGTGTGTGAGAAGATGGCAGTGCTTAGAGGGAAACGTATAGTGTTGTAGAGAAGTGCAGACTGGTATCCATCATGAGCATAAATGTAAGGATCCTGAACAGATTTTAGTAAATCAAATCCAACAGTACACATCCCGATGATGTAGGGTTTATCCTAGAATGTGAGGTTGATTTTCAGTCAATGTAATTCTTATTATTAACATATTTAAAAAGAAGAACAAACCCATAAAAATCACATCTATATATGCAGAAAAATCATTTGACACAATCCAATATCCACTCTCAATGGAAACTCTCAGTAAACAAGAACAGAAAGGAACTTTTGAAGCTGGATAAAGAGCATGTTCGATGTTTAAACCCATAGCTGACATAATAGGAAAGGGAGGGTGTCAATGGAAAGCTTTCCCCCCAAATCGGAAACCTGGGACAGTGTTCCTTCTTTTCACTTCTGTCCGGTGTGTATACGGGAGATTCTGGTGGCAGAAAGACAAAAACGTACATTCATTTATTCGTACATACATAGAAATGTAAGTGGCATCTAGACCAAAAAGGAAGAAGTAAAACTCTCTGCTTTTGCAGACAACATGATCATCTTTTTTGAAAGTCTGATGGCATTTACAAAAAAGCTACTAGAAAGAACAAGAGTTTAGCAAGGGTTCAGGATACAGGATCTACATACAAAAATAAACTTTATTTTTGTATATTAACAGTGAGAAATGAGAAATTGAAATTGAATGAGCAATACAATTTATAATAGCATGAAAATGTGAAATATTTAGGGAAAACACTATGATAAAATATGTAATAGGCCTGTACACTGAAAACTACAAAACAATGCTGAGAGAAATGAAAGATGACCTAATCATGTTCAGAGATCAGAAGACTCAAGAGTATTAAATGTCAGCTCTCACCAAACTGATCATACATTCTACTCAATTGCAATCAAGATCCCACATGCTTTTCTATAGAAATTGACAAGCTGATTTTTAAATTCATATGGAAATACAAACTCCCTAGAATGGCTAAAACAACACAGAAAAAGATGAACAAAGTTGAAGGACTTTGTTCACTTTTTTCTTTTTTTGTGTGTTCACATTAGCTGATTTCAAGAATTATAAAGCTTCAGTAATCAAGACAGCATGTTGTTGCCATTGAGATAAGAAAAGAGATCAGTGGAATAGAAGAGAGTGCTGAGAAATGGAACCGTGCATATGTGCAATGATTTCCAAAAAGGTACAAAAGAAATTCAGTGGCAAAGCATATATTTGTTATGCGTATAATCGTTACATATGTTGAGCAAATGAAGAAGTTCCAATTGAAAATTCACATCAGAGGAAGGAGTTTGAATTCATATTTTGTGCCATGTTAAAAAGTTACCTCAAAATGAATCAGAGACCTATGTTTTGTTTTTTAAATTTATTTTTATTTATTTAACTTTTTATTTCTATAGGTTTTTGGGGAACAGGTGGTATTTGGTGACATGAGTAAGTTCTTTAGTGGTGATTGGTGAGATTTTGGTGTACCCATCTCCCGAGCAGTATATACTGAACCCATTTCGGGGTCCTTTATCCTTCACCCCCTTCCCACCCTTTTCCCCTGAGTCCCCAAAGTCCACTGTGTCATTCTTATGCCTTTGAATCCTCATGGCTTAGCCTGGTTGGGGTGGGAGACTAGTCTTCTAAGTGAAGTTAACTCAGAGACCTATGTTTGAAACCTAAAATTATAAAACTTCTGCAAGGAAACACAGAGCGTCTTTGTGTGACCTTAAGCTAGGCAAGCAAGATTTCTTGGAATAATGGCCAAACCCTCACACATTAAAGAAAATTTGGACAAATAAATCGGACCTTACCAAAATTAGAATCTGTTTTTCAGATGATACTATTAATATAATAAAAAGACAAGCTAAAGACTGGGCGAGCCTTCCAGAAGTGCGGGCTGCGACAGAGCCTAGGGCCAGGCCTGCCTTCTGGACTCTCCCTGTCTTGTCCAGCCCACTCCTCCCCCCTGGGCAGCTTTGAACTGCGGGTTCCCTGGCCGTGGAGCACAGTCAGGGCCCCTGGAGCTTCAGGCACCCAGGGAAGCGGCTCCGTCATCTGCATTTTTAAAGGAAGTAAATCAGATTTGTTGTTGCCTTCTCATATGGAAATGACCCTGTTTTGGAGGGGTGTGCTGAGTAGCTCGTGTGCACGTCTGTGAGGTGAAAATGATTTAATACCTTGTTGCTTCAGTGCCATGTAGCTCTAGAAGAAGTTGTATTTTAGATTATGTTACTGTCAAAAAAATAGACCTCAATACCTCTCTAGAGATGAAAAGATTGCGTGCTGTGGCGTCAGATAAACACCATTTCTTTACAACCTGCCAGGAGGATTTATTTCATTCTGCACTCATGTTTACTGAGATTCTGAGAGTGAGTGGTCGCGTTCCTGTCCCTCGGTCCCTGTCCCCCACGGCCCAGGTTCTGAGAGTGAGTGGTCGCATTCCTGTCCCTCGGTCCCTGTCCCCCACGGCCCAGGTTCTGAGAGCGAGTGGTCGCATTCCTGTCCCTCGGTCCCTGTCCCCCACGGCCCAGGTTCTGAGAGCGAGTGGTCGCATTCCTGTCCCTCGGTCCCTGTCCCCCACGGCCCAGGTTCTGAGAGTGAGTGGTCGCGTTCCTGTCCCTCGGTCCCTGTCCCCCACGGCCCAGGAATGAATCTGGTATGACCTCTTCTGTCTCGCCTGCCTGTGCATACTTAGCTGTGTCTTGGGTCTGACCTGTCTTCAGCCCCATCCTTGTGTTGAGCATGTGAGAAGACAGCAGTTGTGTGACACGACGTTGACATTAAATGAACGGTGGAGAAGTTATCTTGAGGGAATGTGTTTGCAGTTTGGCCTCTGCCTTGCAGTCTGGTTGGATCTCAGCCCTCAGGACCATTTAATGGTGGTGGGAGCATTCTGTTTGTCCCCAAATGTGGGACACCACCGCACGATCCTGACACTAACATCCCAGAGTTGGTGTCAGACTCTATGAGCTAAGGGCTCAGTCCTTAACAAGAGCACCCTCACTTCAGACTCCAGCTGCACCTCAGTGGTCCCCAGGCCACCTGCACCTCTGCCCAGCTGGCTGTAAATTCAGTGGTGTCCATGACTTCAGGTTTGATTATTCATTAGAATGGCTCATGGGACTCAAGAAAGCCAGTGATTATGATTCCAGTTTTATGTACAGGTTAGGGGGACCAGCCAAATGTGGAGAATCATGGGACGAAATCTGCAAGAGTCCCGGGGATGCAAAGCTTCCATACCCCTCCCCATGGGGCCCGGGGACACAGCGCTTCCATACCCCTTCCCATGGGCCCAGGGACACAGCGCTTCCATACCCCTTCCCATGGGGCCCAGGGACACAGCGCTTCCATACCCCTTCCCGTGGGGCCCGGGAACACAGCGCTTCCATACCCCTCCCAATGGGGCCAGGGTGCTAACTCTCCTGCCATAGCCATGTGTTCGCCAACAAGAAAGCCCCTCAGAGCTTGGTGACCGGGGTTTCTATTGAGGTTCATTGCATAGGCCAGATGACTGAACGGGGGCCGCCTGATGGAGCTCAGTGCCCAACCTCCCTCCTCTTCCCTCCCTTCCCTTCACCCAGGCTCACCTGACTCTACAACCTGAGGCCTTAATGTGCTCTCTGGTGTCCAGCCCAGACTCGGCTGCTGCCCGAAGGAGAAGACCTGCCGGCAGCCTCGATCTTGGCCAAGGCTCCTGGCTGCCGCTTCTGGGGCGGGGATGGCAGGAGCCCTGCCTGTTTGCCTGCAGGGATTTGCCAGCGAGTGTCCTGTGCCGGGAAAGTGGAGCTGTGGGTCCATGATTCTGCTGCTCTTCCTTGAGCCCCATCTCTCTCTCCTGTTCCCTTCCAGCTCAGGCGCGCTGTCCCATCGGAGGCCTTGGTGAGCGGCCACAGTGCTCTGTCTTGAGCTGTCAGCCCCAGACTGCTTCCCCCAGAGTGGCCTGGGCCGGGGCTGCTGCTCGTCCTGGGTCTCAACCCTTCCCACCCTCTGCCCACCATTGGCAGTGAGCGGTTCTTGGTGTTCTGGCTGGTGAGCGTGACTGGACCCTGCTTGTTGGGGACCTGGCTTTTCTAGCTGTCAGCGACATAAACCAAACCATGCAAATGAGAAAGGAGGTGGGCTCAGAGTGGGGGGCCTCTTGGTGCGGAGGGGCCCTGCTCACTGTCAGTGGCTCTTGCTTTTGTTCTTTTTATCTTTTTAACTGATTAGAGAATTGAAATCTTCCCCCAGAATCAAAGCCTATTCATGGCTGTCCCAGCCAAAGCGTGATGTATTTGTGTCTGTTCTCGGCTTTGTGCGGGGGGTTGAAAGGTTTTCTTTGTCAGGTGTCTAAGTGTGAGCCATTATGCTGCTCTTCGGGTGATAAATCTGAGTGTCTGGTCCTGCATAAACAGTGTGTGTTTTATGCCAAGTCAATGGGATACGTGTTTTTTCCATTTTAGCCTAAATCCTGGGACACAATGTGCTTGCATAATTTATTTTTATTTTTAATCAAGAAGACAAGATGTTTCAGCAGAATTTTCGGTCTGTGGATCTGCTGTTTAAAGTGCTGGGAAAAGTGTTCAACAAATATTGTGGTTGTTTCTCCAGCTTGCCAATATGACACATCTCTTCCTGGTGACTTTACAACAATAACGTTGCCTTGCCCTGCCACATAAGGGCTTTATGAAAAAACCTTTTCAGCCTGAAATATGACAATAATTACACCTGCCTGCTCATTCATTGTATGTATACTCTTATTTCCAGTGAAATGGAAATTTCAAATTCAGAATTATTGCCAACCAAATTACCTTTATCAGTGAAAGAGCATCTGCTCGCAATTACTTATAAAATAAGAAAAATGAATCCTTTCGGCATGTACATTTGCAGCTTTGATGTGTATAAATGGGAAGTAATGCCTGGAGTTTAGCAGCCCATCCTTCACCGTGCCCAGACGGGAGGAGGCTTTCCCGCTGGGGATGCACGTCCCGGCGGGGTGAGGCCCTGGCTGGCCACGCCCGCACCCTTCATGACGTGCTGCCAGAGAAGCCACGGAGTCGTGCTAAGTGACCACTTCCGTGTGAAGAAGGACACTCCCCGGTGCCTTCTGGATGGATGTCCCATGGGCTCCAGAATCAAGCCAGCTTAGCCAGGCTGTGTTGGGTGACTCAGCGGAGCGCTTGCCATGGAGTCCCTTGCTGTGGCCACCATGGTCTCGTGCTGTGCCTGCCATCACCTCTGGGTGGGCGTGGGTTTTGCCTTTTCACTCCTTTCAGGAGTTCAAGGTCCTGTGTCAGGCAGAAGGCCAGGCACTCAGGACACAGAGAGCTTGTAATTCGGGTGCAGTGCACAGCTTGGAGCCCGAAGGCTGGATTGCCTTGTCTGTTTCCTACAGGCTGCTGAGCCCCCGGCGGGCAGAAACAGGCCTTGTCTTCCTTGTAGCTTTGCTTTCAGAGGCAACCCTGGGAAGTGGAGGCCCTGGTCAATCTTTCCTTAAGGAACCAATGAAAGAGGAGCCTCTTGCCCTGGAACGGCCTTGCCTGTGCCTGTGAGGTTAACGCTGTGTCCGGTTTTCTGGTTAGTTCCTTGTGACCGGGTGCTCTTGCAGATGTACTGGGCTTTGCCCTGAGGAGGGTGGGTGGCTCTGCCCAGGGCGCAGGTGCCCAGAGATGCAAGGGTGGGTCCATGCTCAGCTCTGGTGGTGTGGGGTCGTTTCAAGGGGACAGAGTGGTGGCAATCCTCAGGCCCATCTTGGCTCGCCTGCCTCCTTGTGTGCACCTTTGGACAGGTCCCCTCACCTGCCTCACCTCACAGGTGAGGGGCCGGGGTCCCCAGGGTGTGAGGTGTGTGCCCCCCTTCAGGAGCTGTGCAGTGGGAGTTCGGTGCAGGTTAGCCGGCCATTGCACTCTGGCTGGAACGGGCTCCTTCTCCTCAAGTCAGCGTCCCTCAGGGAGGGGCTGAGGGCTTGGTGGCCTCTGTGCTTTCCACCCCTGAGTCCCTGCAAGTGGGGCAGGAAGGGTTAATTTGTACTCTGTTTAGTTACCACAATGACAGGTGTTCCAGAAATATGTGTTTAAATTTTCAAGTCTGTTTCTTGCCAGTTTGTGTTGGAAAGATGTCACCTGCTTCCCAGGCCCGTGGTAGAGTTGTCTGTTTTCCCAGGTGGGGACATGCCGAGCCCCGGCACAGGTGGGCTGCTGCTGCTCTAGGCAGGTGACAGACTGGCCGGTGAGCCACGGCTCCTCTTCTGCGTGTGACTCTGTGGTGTGCACCTTCCCCAGCAGTCACCTCATCCTCATCCATGGCAGCGGCTGCCCTGGGTGCCAGGCTGCCTGGTTAACAAATGTGTGCCCCGCACACATCACATGTGTGGTGGGCCATGGCCTGCCTTGGTGCTGGTCTCTGTTTCCGGACAAAGTCCCTGCCCTCGAGGAAGTCACAGTCTAGAGGATAAGACCCTCTGGCAAGTCCCACCCACACCAGGTCCCCCAGACTGGGTCCAGGGCCTGGCCCTGTGAGTGCTTGGTTGAGAGGCCTCATCATACACTGGATTTGTGCCTGGAGTGAGAGGAGAGAGGGAGTGGCCGCGAACACACACCCAAAGGGAAGAACACCCAGGCTCTGTAGCCCTGTCTAAAGCTCGCCTGAAGCCTCCTGTGTAAAATGTGGGCACAGCACTCGTGTCCTGGTGATTAGCCTGTGACTGTCCCACTGCTGCCTTGGTACACTGGGGCCCTGCCCTGGCAGCATTGGAGAACCTTCAGAGCAGCGGCCAGACAGGGATGTGCAGTGTGGCCGTGTGTCCCAGGAGGCCCCAGGCTGCTGACTTCAGCTTATCTCCACGGCAGAGCTTCATTCACGCCAGTGCAAGGCGGCACCCACTTGCTGCAGCCCAGACGTCCACGCAGAGCTGTGGGCTGGGAGTGGCCAGTGAAACCAGGTGCCACCTGCCAGGCCAGGCACCTGCCCTGGAACGTTCCTTTCACACTGCCGTCCCAGGCTGCCCTGTGTGGCCCCTCCTTCCTCAGGCGCTTTGTTTCAAGCAGTGATTTTCCTCTGGGGCTGTCGCTGTCGTCCTGGCTGCTCTTCCCCAAGTAGCCAACTGCTCCTTCATGGAAGCTCATTCTTTTTTCTGTGCAAAAGAGCCTTGTTGAGTAAATGGAGTCATTTTCTAAACAGCTGGTTTTAAGTGTTCAGACTTGAATTCCACGTGTCAGTGCGCTGGGGGCAGCAGAGTCTGGTAGCAGCTTGGGTGGACTTCCACCCTCCGAGGGGCATGGGCAGAGGTCAGGCCTGGATGGTGGAGCCCCCTCAGGGCTTCGTAGAACTTTCTATCAGTTTAGTTTTGTAGCTGCAGATTAACTTCAGGTTAGAAATGATTCTGTAAGTTCTTTGAAAAGAACGTCATGTTCTAGGGTGTGGCTGGAAAACTCCTCGCTATTGCTGTGTTGAGAAATAGAAGTAGAGGAGGACGGCCAGGCTGGGAATGTGTCCATCTTCCGGTTACCTGTTTGCTCTCTGTACTCATTCGTTCATCACAGTCACCTGACAGACACTCATGGATGCTCAGTTGTGTGTACTGGGGGCCGGGGAAACAAAGGCGACACAGACCTGGACCCACACCTGACCAGCTCACACCCCAGGGTGGGCAGGCACCCTGAGCACTTATGCCCCTTTCGTGATAAATGCTTCCATAGAGGTGTGTATAGAACGAAGAAGAGGGGGAGGCTCACAGCTTGGGGTGTTTCTGGAAGCATCCAGGAGTTTTGACGTCTGGGTAGCCTCGCACTGAGCAGAGACAGGTGCCCTGGTGGAAGGCTGCCATGAGGGTGAGCCCGGGGCGCGGGGAAGCCTGCGTGGTAGCATGGGTGTTGTTGGTCACCTGGTGCCACCGCAGGAGGCATGGCATTGCAGGGGAAGGCAGCGGTGAAGGCCGAGGAGGGAGTGGGGGTCTGGTGCCTTTCTTAGGCACTCTGACTTCATTCTGGGGGCCAGTGTCTCTTCATCTGTGGGGATCCTGAGACACCTCCTGGCACCCCCTTTGGTCTCTCTGTCCCCCGAGGGATGAGCAGCCGTGGGATTAAATTCTGCGGGGGCTTCAGCCTCAGGGGCCCCTCGGCAGCACCGTTTTGTTCTCTCCACTTGCCGCGCTGCCCTTTACTTATTAGAGACTATGGGAACCATTTTTTGGTAGTGAAATTAGTTTTATTTTAAAAATAAATGTCTTTAATAAAGCGGCAGTGGATTAGAAGGAAGCTGTTAAGTGAGCAACACGCTGGCGCTGCCTCTGGACCTGCACTGCAGCCCTCCCCTCCCTCAGTGTGGAGCTCTTGGAGTGGGTGTCCTGCGTGAGCCACTGGGACCTGTCCTTCCTGTCTCTGTGAGCCTGTGTGGTGCCGCGTCCTTGTGTGACCTGCCCTCTGAGGCGTTCCCAGTGCAGAGATGTCACTGGCACGTCAGCATCTTCTCTAGAGTCTCTGACATCCCACCTGGAAGAGTCTGACTGAGAGTCGAGATGAGAATCTGTATTTAACAGCTCCTGTGCTCCCGTGGTGATGATGAAGAGGAGGGGGAGGAGGAAGATGAAGACACGATGATGTCCAGCCCTGTTTGGGAATCCCTGAGGTCACTGCCAAGCCCACTGCACCCTGGCATCAGGCCTTCCTTGCCCTGCAAGCGGGCCCCTGCGTTCCCTGTGCCCCGGCTGTCTCTGGGCCTGGCTCCTCAAACGTTTCTAGCCCAACACCTTTCAGAAGTGCTCCAAGGCAGGGGAGGCAATCCCTGGCCTATGTGCCGGGGACTTTGGACGACGGAGCTCGAACAGGCCCAGTGCAAAGATGAAATTGCATTGAAATCGCAGTTTTATCCTAACAACTGATGACGATAATTGACTTTATGGCATATTATGCATTGGTTTTGGTTTTAATACACAAATAACATTTTCAGTCGCTCAGAATAAACTGTCCTTGCTGCTCGCGTGTGACGCTCTTTGCTTGCAGCCGACTCTGGCACTGATGCGTCAGGCTCCCTGAGTCCTGAGGCACCAGCGTTCCCAGCCACTCGTCCACCCAAATGTTCCACCTCTGAAGCTCTCCTGGGGGCAGGGGAGACAGGTGGGCTTGCTAATGAAGAAGTGTGGGCATCTGTGGCCGTGTGTGTAGTCTGCGCCAGACCTCTTCATAAAGCAAAAAGCCAACCAACCCCCTGCTGTAGCAACTGAGTATCTGAGGTGAGCAGATGCCATCTGGAGGAGCTGCCCTGCAGGCTGCTCTGCTGCCAGGGACCCCCACCCCCGCCTGCCTCCGGGGCCTGCCTGGCCTGCTTGTACCTGCTCTCTCTGCAGGCCTGGAGCCCTTAGTGCTCAAGTTTGTTACCGCAGAGGCAGCGCACAGTGGTGGGGGTGTGGGTGCCTCTGGGTCCAGGCAGCCTCCTGGAGGGCAGTCCTGTGGGTCGTGGGCAAGGCTGTCCAGCCTCCCTGGTGACTTCCTCCCAGGCTGGCCCCTGGGGCTCAGAACAGCCTTTGCTGTTCTGCTCCACCCAGTTCTGCAGTTTCCACAATTAATTATTCACTGTCGTGTTGGAATGGAGCGTGTATTGCTGCATCTACCCCACAGTGTGAAGCAGGCCTCATCCTGCAGGCATCCCCTGACACCCAGCCCTACAGGAGCCCCGCCCCAGCACGTTTGCCCTGGTCAGCTGAGGACAGCAGTGGTTTAGGGGAGGAGGGTGACAGTGAGGGCAGAGACAGTGAAGGGACCAGCTCCCGCCACAGCAGGGTCCCATCATGGGACCAGAGCTGCCCATGCTTTTCCAGGGCCAGCTTAGTGGAGCCTGCTTGGAAACCAGCCCCTGTCCTTAGGTGAGGGCAGCTCCCGGTCCCACGGCCCTGAAGTCCAGGCCGGCACCCGCATGTCTTAGTAGAGCTCCTGGTCCGTCAGGTGGACGGCATTGCAGGATGGACCCTCCTGTTCCTCTTCCCCCTGCTTCTCGCTTGTTGCTGAAATATTGCAAGTTACCAGGGACTTGAGTAAAACAAACCAGTAAACAGAACACTAGCTTTTCTCTGGTATTTGTTTATTTGCCATTTCTAGAACTTTCTTTGAGGGAATGGCGATCCCTGTGAAGTGTTTCGGGGTCACTTCTCAGGGCAAGCCAGGATTAGGTAAGCGTGGAGAGAAGGGAGGTGTAACTTGGAAGCAGGGTAAGGAAGTGAGCTGCAGAAAGAAGGCTCTCAGCAGCCCTCAGGTGCACCTGCGTTTTAAAAACCAAGGATCCACTATCCGGCTCAATTGGGCAATAATTAGTAATGATTATTTGTTTTTATAAAGCAGCACCCATTCTTCTAGGCCCTTTAGAGTAGGACCTCATGGGCAGAATGTTGGAAAGAGGAGCATAGGCACCATGATCACTGGGATTTTGCCTCCAGGAGTGACACCGCCAGGACTCAGCAGGGGGTGAGGCAGGGAGCACGGGGTCTGAGCTGAGGCTGCAAAGCTGCCGCCCACCACAGCTTGATGAGAGGGGAGCGCATGTGGCTGGTGTGAGCGTGTGCTTCTGGGAGTGATGCTTGGTAAAGCCTGGCTCTTTCCAGAGGCCCAGCTGTGTCAGGGGTGTCCCCATCCTGCAGTCGAGGGGTGTCCTTCACCTGGCCTGCAGGCCTTGTGTCCCACTTGCGCACTCAACGGTTGGGTCCAGGCATAGGTGGAGCATTTCCCTGGACAAGATTGGGCCCCTCCTGAGGAGCTGGCAAGCTCATCTCCTCTCTCTAAGCCCCTCCTGGGACACCAGCCTGGGTCTGTGGAGCTTCTGTGGAGCGGGGAAAGAGCGCCTATCTGTGGAGCCCCACGGTGTGGGTGTCGACTCAAGCCCCCCCATCTTCCTGGGTGTTAGGGCGTGAAGCACCCGAACATGTCCATGATTATAATCATCACTTCAGCAGCACCACCATCTTTCGCTTTCCTGTAGGAAGGGAGAGCTGTAGTCTCTCATTAATAGAATCAGTTCTTTGCTCCTTGGGGGTTGTTGCTTGGGATTCCCTGTTGGAGTGGGGTTCTGAGGCGGGCGCAGGCCCTTGGGGGACAAGTGACCTGGCTGCCAGTGCCTCCATAGGGCTCCCCTGACAGCCTTGGGGCCTGTGTTTGTTTTGTGCAGAGCAAGTGCACCGGCACCTGGACCAACACGAAGTGAGATACCTGCAGTTTGCCTTCCGCTGGATGAACAACCTGCTGATGAGGGAGGTGCCCCTGCGTTGTACCATCCGCCTGTGGGACACCTACCAGGTGAGCTCTCCTTCGCACCCTCCGCCATGGGGGTGCCAGGAGCCCGGGCCGTTTCCTGTCGCCTTCTGCCCTGGGCCTGTGTGCTGCATTCGATTTTTTCTTCCAAGCGCTCTCTCCATTGAAATGCGGTCTTTAAAAAGTATACTCCTGGCCGGGCGCGGTGGCTCATGCCTGTAATCCTAGCACTTTGGGAGGCCAAGGTGGGTGGATTGCCTGAGCTCAGGAGTTCGAGACCAATCATGGGCAACATGGCAAAACCCCGTCTCTACTAAAAACAGAAAAAATTAGCCAAGTGTGGTGGCCCACACCTGTATTCTTAGCTACTCAGAGGCTGAGGCATGAGAATTGCTTGAACCCGGGAGGCGGAGGTTGCAGGGAGCCAAGCTTGCGCCACTGCACTCCAGCCTGGGTGGCAGAGCGAGACTCCATCTCAAAAAATAAATAAATAAAAATAAAAGAGTATACTCCTGGCATGCTTTTTATCTGAGAAGATGTAAAACAGGGAAAAGAACTTCAGGCCGTTCTCTTTGTGGCTGAGTTTCATTCTGCCTGCGTGGTGACAGCAGCCTTGAGCTCTCTGGGAATTCACATCCTGAGCAGTGTGCTAGGAGGATGCGAGGGATGCTGGTGACTCTGCTGTGAGTTTGAGCTGCTTCTGCCAAAAAACTCACGCTCAGGACTCACACCTTGTCTATATTTTGAGTTACATATAATAAAGATTTTTTAAAAAATCACAGATTCAGTGTGTATGAAATTTTCTACTCTTCACCAATTCTGATGAAATTCAATTCTTCAGGAGGTTGAGTTTTCTGGAACAAGCCACCTCTCTTCCCTTGAGTGTCCCATCACTTATTCTAGCACCTTTTCATTTTGTTCGAGATGTTTGCTGAAGCGGAGGCGGTGCTGTGGGGGGTTTACGCGCCAGCCTTTCATCATCAGTTACAAATAGCAGGCACCATTATGTGGGATTAGGAATCAAATCTCTACAGAGTGCTAAAGAAAGAAGCGTATGGCTGGTTTTCATCCCGGCACCTCAAGAGCCAGGCTTTCTACCACAGTGAGCACAGCCCTTCATCGGCTGCACGTTCAGGATTTGCAGGGGGGCAGCTGCCCTTGGAGGTTGATGCTGGGGGACGGACGTTTCTGGAAAGGGGAGCTCTTGGCGGGAGGCTTTTTCTAAGGCGGCATAGGTCCCAGGCACTGCGTTGGGTCCCAACATTGGTGCCTTGCCCATGGAGGTGGGGAAGGCTGGGCATCACAGAGCAGCTAGGGAGGGCCTGGGGGTCATTCTGACCAGCTGCTCCCACAGGGCCTCAGGCTGCGTGCGTTCTTCCCACAGGACAGGGTGCCTGCTGGGCCTCCGTGCTCTCCAGTCTCTCATTCTGAGCCTGTTTTTGTGTGAGTCATCTAGAACAGTGCCCCAAAGCTTTGTTCCTGACACCGGTTGCTGGTCAGTGTGCCCCTTGGTGGGTGTGAGTGTTTTGTGGCTCTGAAGTCCTGTATTCTGACTTTGCTTTTCCTTTGCGCCGCTTGTCTGGTCTAATGATCTCACTACGGAAATTATCACCAGTCAGCAGACTGTCATTCGTGTCCGCGACTTGGGTTTTGTTCTTCCAAGTGTTTGGCAGCTACAGAATTTCTGGCCAGCAGCATTTGCTGGGACATAAAGCCTTACCTTGGGCTGTTTTGTTAAAGTAGCTGTCAGTCTAGTGCTATTGATCGGCTCTCTGTAACATGACAGGAAACAAAACTTAATATCCTGTAAATTGCGAATGCTGTCCGTTTTTGTGATTGGTTAGGCTGTTTGAGACCCAGACCTCCCTCATTAAACACAGTTCCTTGTAATACTGTCCCCATTACGAATAAATTAGGTATTAAGTCAATCGCATTTTTGAGGAGCCAGAAAATGGATCGGCTTGCCCATGGTTCTGCACCACCTACTTAAAACTCCTAATAGGTATTAAAACTTTAAGCACAATTGTGGCATCTTTATTGAGTTAATTTTCTTGAAATTAAATTTTGTCATGAATTGACTCATTTGTACCAGGGACTCATTCTTGAACTGATAGTACCCTGGTTATAAACCTCTTCATATCTTAAGAATCGGGGGTATTTCTATTTTACAGGGCCAAGTAACCATGAAATTGTATTGCATCTTTTGGCAATGAAAATACATAGTAATCATAGGAAAGCAATCGGGTGATTACTCTCCCCTAAACTGGGGGGTTTATTAGCTGAGCCATTACAGGTTTTAGTTACTCTTTAACCCCTTACAAGGTAGCTTAAAGTCCTCTTGGGACACGTGTCAATAAAAGGTTGTTTATAAGCACCTACACCTTCCCAGGCCCTGAACTAGATAGTATATAAAAATGAATGAGGGGCATTGTCATGAGGGTGACAAAAGGCTTGGAAGAGGAGCCAATGATGCAGAGATAGCCCAGATGGAAGAGAATGGCCCTGCTCCCCCAGGGGTCGCGTGCTCCCTCATGGATGCGTGCATTTCAGGAAAAAAAAAAAAAAAAAAAAAAAGAAATACCTGGGCCTGGGTCATTTGTAAAGAAAAGAGGTTTAATTGGCACATGGTTCCAAAGAGGCTGTACGGAAGGTATAGTGCTGGCATCTGCTCGGCTTCTGAGGAGGCCTCAGGAAACTTGCAATCATGGCAGAAGGTGAAGAGGAAGCAGGCGTGTCTTCCATGGCTGGAGCAGGAGCAAGGCGTCGGGGAGGTGCCACAGCCTTTTTTTTTTTTTTTTTTTTTTTTTTTGAGACAGAGTCTCACTCTGTTGTCCAGGCTGGAGTGCAGTGGTGCGATCTCGGCCCACTGCAAGCTCCGCCTCCCAGGTTCATGCCATTCTCCTGCCTCAGCCTCTTGAGTAGCTGGGACTACAGGTGCCCGCCACCACGCCCGGCTAATTTTTTTGTATTTTTAGTAGAGATGAGGTTTCACCGTGTTAGCCAGGATGGTCTCGATCTCCTGACCTTGTGATCCACCTGCCTCGGCCTCCCAAAGTGCTGGGATTACAGGTGTGAGCCACCACGCCTGGCCGGTGCCCAGACTTTTAAACAACCCGATCTCAGGAGAGCTCACTCACTAGCATGAGAACGGCGTGGAGAAGGGTGGTGGTAAACCACTCGGGAGAGTCTGACCTCCTGATCTCATCACCACCTCCAACATTGGGGATTACAATTAGACATGAGATTTGGTGGGGACACAGATCCAAACCCTGCGTCAGCAGTGGTCATCAATGGCTGAGAGCAGGTGCATGGGGGTGAATTCAGCCAGGATGAGGGGGTCGTCGAGCAAGTGGGGTCAGAGGGCATCGGTAAGTCTGAGAAGTGTGGCTCTGATGGGGAGAGGGAAGCTCGGATGGGGGGTGGGTGGAACCTGGGGAGGGTGATCCCACAGTGGGCGATCCCTGGGTGCATGAGGCTGCTGGGGAGGTGAGGATGCAGGGCGGCGGCTGACTTGATGGGGGGCCCTGTGGGAGGTTACCCCGTGCGGGACGTGACTCAGCAGCAGAGGAGCAGCTGGGGTAGGCCGTGGAATGAAAAAGAACAACAGGTTCTGACAGGACATTCAAAGCCAGGTTCTTTTCTCTAAATCCCGGTGACTTCTTCCTCTTGGGGAACATTCAGGGCTCTGAGTATGGTGAGTGAGCAGCAGCCAAGCCGGCCTCCTGGGCCTGGGAGGTTCCATTTCCAGTTTGGTGAAGGCCACCTCTCGTTTGAGATCCTCGGCTGCCTTCAGGGCTGCGGGTACACCTGAAACGGTTACTTACGCTGCTTTAGAATGGCTCCTCACACACATCCTGTGCAGGTGGCGGGGGACTCGCTGGTAAACGGGCGAACATCTCCACACTTTACGTTTCCTATCCCCTAGTGACTTGATGCTTTTTTTCTAAGGAAAGGGAACATTTATTTTTGGCAGGTGAGTATTGCAAGATGACTTCATTTGGCTTAAGGCCTTTATTAAATTCCTTTCTAGTGATATCCAAGAGGCCACTTGAATGTTAATCATTGCACTTCTACCACCCATATCCCAAAGTGTATCTTTAATCATCACTGCCCGCGCTCCTCACGCAGGGCTGGCTGTAAATTGCAGGGGATGAAAGATGGTGCTTGTCTCCCTGGGCTTCGGATCTGGTCATTCCTCTACCATTTGCTTCCTCTCCCGAGGGTCAGAGCCGCCTCACACCGCACTCAGGGTGGACTCCTGCTGAGGGCGCGTCCTCCCACTTCACACCCAAGGGCAGGTGCTGCGGAGGGACTGGAGTGTGAGAATCTGTGGCCAGGACACTTCTATACATGGAGGCTCTAGATTGCCTACTGGTCACCAAACAGATCTGGGTCCTTTAAGGAAAAGGTTTATTTGAGTATTTCACGGAAGCCCTGGTGGGTCCATGTTCTCTGCGGCGTCCTGGGCTCGGATGGAGGGCGTTTCTGCCCTAGTTCTGTGCTTAGCTGTGCATCCCTGGGCGAGCCGAGTTTCCGATCCTTGCCTCGAGAGGCTGCTGCTAGGACTGAGGAAGGTTTTTCGAGTGAGGATTGGCAGACGTTTTCTGTAAAGGGCTAGATAGTAAATATTTTCAGGCTTGTGGGCCATATGGACTTTTTCACAACTTCTCTGCTGTTGAAGCACAGAAGCAGCCACAGACGTGGACAGCGGGCGTGGCCGTGTCCCTGTGAGACTTGCCTACCGAGGCACCAGCGAGCTGTGGTTTGCTTGCCCGCCCTAACCTATAGCAAGTGCCTGGCCCTGCACCAAGCACAGAGCAGGCATCAGGCAAGATTGTCTCCCCAGCCCTTATCACCGGTGTTTTGTCCACTGTGTGCTGTTCACATTCTGGGCTTTGTTGCCAGGCAGTCATTGTTCTCTGAGAGTTTTTATAGAAGATGGAACTGGGAGTCTAGGAGCATAAGCACCTTGCCCAGGGCCACTTCCCTTTCATACTGTGTCACAGTGGCTTCTATTTCTGCCCCCCCCATGAGGCACTTTGGGCTCCAGGGCCCTGTTGAGGCACCGTGCGAATGGGGTTCCAGTCTCTCAGTTACCAGGCTGTGCATGGCTGGAGCAGAGACCGGGAGCCAGGGCTGCCACTGCCAGTCCACATCTCTGTCCTGGCCAGAGCCCCCATCAGTGCGCTGTGGCAGTGGGGGCGCCATGGCTCCCGGTCTGTGGAATTGCTACCTTGCCAGCCTGTATGAGAGAGAGAGAGAGAGAGGAAGAGAGAGGAGAGAGAGAGAGAATATGAATGAATGAGAATGAAGATGATGCGGGGACATTGGGACTCAGCATCACAGCCTTCTGATTTCCATGCGGGAGGAGCTATCTGATTGTGTTCCTCCTGCACCCTGTGGGTCTGGCAGTCTGGCAGTGCCATTTCTGAGATACAGCCCCACATTCCAGGACACCAGTCGTGCCAGCCAGGGGCATGGGGCAGAGGTCAGGGCCAGAGCCTCCAAGCATGTTGAATGCCAACTGCCTGATGGGACCCCCATCTGTCCACTGCTGAGAGGGGCCACACAGACCCCTGCGGGCCTTGAGGCACATCTCCCAGAGGTAGCTTTGATCAAGAAGCAGCCTGTTCTGCTGCCGCTGGTGCATCATCATGGCACCTGATCCTTGTTCAGTATCTTAGGTGAAATGTCTTCATTTTATTTTCTTCAGCATGGCCAGTGCAAGCCTCGCCATCCCTGGGGAGGGTGCGTCAGAAGGTCGCTGGAGGTGGGGCCTGCACTTTGCAGATGTCCCTGATATCTCTCAGGACAGAGCTTGATCCTGGGCACCTTGGGCCCCGAATCACTCAGCCCACGTGCAGTTATCAGCGCCTGCTCCGGGTTGGGCCCTGTTCTCAGCCCTCAGGCATAGCAACGGGAAAGGTGGGCCTGCTGTCGAGGGCTCTTTTCTCAGAGAGGGATCCTGACAGCAAACCAGCAGCATCTCTCAGGCACCTTTCAGGTGATGAGGCCATGTGGTGGGAGGCCACAAGAGCCGGCCCTCAGGCAGGGTGTCCATGGCAGGGGGTCCTGAATTGAGATCTGTGCTGCATGATGGGGCCCCAGGTTCTAGTAGGAGGATTCTGGCTTGGAGTGCCTGGGCCAGGACAGAGCAGGCGAAGGGTGTGGGGAGCAGCAGGTGGGCCGGGGCGACGGGCACGAGGTCAGGGCCAGGATGCGGCTGTCCCCGGGCTTGCTGGAGAGGCTCAGCACACCTGCAGTGCTCCAGGTGAGAGACATAGCATGGTCAGGAAAAGCTGTTGTGGGGACTGAGCGAGTGAGGGCCCTATCTAAGGCAGCAGCCCCTGCCACCTGCAATTTCGCAGCCCAGCTGGTGGCCAGCAGTCAGCAAGAGTGCGATACAGGTGCCCAGGTGTGCTGAGGACGTAGGGAAGATGGGGTGTGTTCATCTTTCCAGGGGAGGAGGAGGCTTCCTGGGGAGACATGTGAGCAGGGTCTGGGGGCTGAGTTGCAGCTGAACAGGAGGGTGGAAGGGTGCAAAGAGGGTCCTCCCATAGGGCATAGAGCAGGTGTCCAGGAAATGAGTGAGAGGTGGGTTGCACCAAGGAAGAGCATTCCAAGGCTCTGAGGGCAGGGGGGCGCAGTGTGCTCTATGTGAGGTGCAGTTGAGTGTGGCTGCACCAGAGTATTTGGATGCCAGGGCAGGTCCGAGGCTGCCAGACTCAGGTGGGGCCATGTGGGAGGCTCTGTGTGCCTTGCTCAGACATTGCATTTTATCTGGGGCAGGTGCTGGGGAGGAGCCTGTCTGAGCGGGGCAGGTGCTGGGGAGGAGCCTGTCTGAGCAGGGCAGGGCTCCGCCTTTTACCATGGGTCCTCATAGCAGCCCAGGCAGCTGGGCACTGGGGTGGAAGGGCATCGCTGAGGCCGTGCTGCCTGGCATTTGGCCCACCCACATTCCATCAGGGCAGAGTAGGGGGCCGATTGCTGTGTCTGTCTCAGGCCCTGCCCTTCCCTGCACCCTTCTGCTCTGTGCCTCTGTCCGGTGCCGTGCTATCCTGAGAGCCTCCCTCTGGCCCCTTTTGCTAGAGATTTATGCTGGATGTAAACGATTACTGGCTGGCCACTCACTTCCTCCACCATCTGGGTGTCCTCAGCCCTGCCTTTCCCCAGGAGTCCTTTGGACCTGCTGTCCCAGCTCCTTTGAAAGGCTGCCTCGGGTCTCCACTTGCCCTTGCCAAGCCTGGGTGAGGGTGGACAGCGTGCTCCAAGTACCGCACCTGCTGGGTGCTCTGCCTCGTGTGCCAGGCGACAGCCCTTGGGGCTCTCCTGAATGTCCCAGGTGCCACAGCATGGATTCTGTGGGTCAGGTGCAGTGAAACTGATGATCGGGTTAACCTAATGAAGCTGAAGAAGCTGGTCTCCGTACATTGTACTTTCTCATGAGCCCATTAAGATTTGAGGTCGTAAGCTTTCCATGCCTGCCCGCCCACAGGAAGTAGGCATAGATCACTGTCAGCTGGGGAGGGATTTCAAAATGAGACTATTCAGCAGGACGTGGCTCACTGCTGCTACTTTGCAGGGAGGAGCTGGAAGAGGGGTGTATCTATTCCTTCGGAGTGACAGTGAAGTCAGTGTCCTGGGGATTTAATGCTGTATTTAAAGACATGTCTGGAAAGTCCTTAGCGACTTTAAGCTTGCTTTCTTCATGTATCAATCATGTTGCTTTTTATTGGGGCTCGAGAACTCTACAGGAGATGGTTTCTTCCCCCTGCAGGCCTGGCGTGCTCCAGCACCTTTGGGCAGGCGTGTGAAGGCCCTGAGGTCTGGTCTGGGCGCCTCCAGGAAAGAATGACTCTCCAAGTGGGCGCTCGGGACCCCTGTCAGCCTCCATGGCCCTTCACATGGGGCGGTCTCTCCTCTTTGTGGACAAAATGCAGAGTTGTGCTTGGAGCAAGAAAAGTGATTTGTATAATGTTTTGGGCGCTGACTCGTACATTTATGATAGATAAGACCTTTGTTCTTTCTGAAAAGTTACGTGGTGAGGATTGTGAACTGTGGCTGCGTGGCACCTGGCTGCACACGCGGCTGTGTGTTCACTGTCCCTCGGACTCTGCGGGAAAACGTGATGCAGAGCCACGGTCACGGCTGCGCTCCTCCGCGGTTTGGAAGTCCCATTAATGCGACTTCTCTCTGAGAAGTCAACCTGGGCCTCCTCACTCTGCAGACGTCCAGCTCCCTCCCGGAAGCGGTCATGCAGAGGTGTCAGGCGGCACTGTTGTAATCGATAGTGGGTGACCAGTCTGAATAAATTTCCTTGTACTTGCTCCAAAGTAGACAAGAGTCCTTAGCCACCTCCAGAGTTTGAATTGAATGGTAATGACATTTCTTAAGGAGAGATTAAAGAGTTCTTTTTTAATAGTAAAAACATGCAGCAGAACGGGCAGTGTTGTTAGCGGGTTAGCGTTTTGATGACTCTTTTCTCCCATTGTGTTCATTTCTTGCTCACTAGTCCCTTACTGAGGCCCTACTGTGTGCTAGGCCTTGAACCAGAACAGTCAATAAAAAAGAAACCGCCCACCCTGTGGGGTACCTGCTGTGATCTCCAACCACAGCAACCTGTGAGTGGACCAGTTACTGCTGTTCACCCAGGAAGCTGCTGCTGTACGGATTGGTGTGGGGCTTGGTTTTGGTCCCAGAGTCCATGCTCCTTCAGGTGGCTGCAGCCTTGTCTCCACGTCCTCCCCACACCTGGCACTGCACCCCCACAGCACCCCCAGCATCCGATTTTTGGAGGCTAGTGAAGAAAGCAGCAGGTCTTAGTGGGGATGGCCCTGGGTGGAGGTGAGAAGACCTAGGCCAAGGAGGTTCCCGGCTGTGGGCCCTGGTGATGGGGAGACAGGTCCAGGGTCCCTCATATGGACTCGCTGATGCTCCCTGGGCCTCTGGGTGATGTGAGGTGTGGTCTACCTGTGGGTGTCTGTGTGTGTGGGTACAAAGGCCTTGCCCCACAAGGAGGGTGTCCAAGTCCAAGTACCTTACAGGATGCCGGGAGGGCCCCCGAGTGGGACGGTGGACTGTTTCTGACAGGTCACGGCTCGGTAGTGGAGTGGTCCCTGCACCCCACTGTGCAGGCTTCCCTCTGAGATGTGCTGCTTTGCCCTCGTGGGGGCATCTGTAGGTCCTGTCGCTTCCCTAGAGGAGAGCCACGGGCCTGTGGGTCCCTGGCAGTCTAGGAATGCTTTGGGCCCCAGAGTCCCTGAACCTCCCTTAGCGACTGGTTGGGATTTGTGCTGGGGGAGCGCCCAGGGACACCCTTTGAGTGAGGGTGTGGTAGAGGCCAGCTGGGGAGGGTTGCTCACACCTGGCCCTGTGAAGGTGTGGCCACGGGAGAGAAGCCAGGGACACAGTGCCACTCACATTTGAGAGCTGGGCCCTGGCATGGGCATTGGACTTGGTCTTTGTGGGACTGGGATCTGTGGGTAGAAAGAATAGGGCTGAACACGAAACATACCTTTCTGCCAGAGCTGCTGCTGTGATGGCGCCTGGGCCCCCTGAAGCCTCCTCCCCGCACTTGTCCAGGTTTTAACTGAAGAGGAGCCAGAGAGCCGTTGACATCTGAGTTGATCATCTCCAGGGACCCCTCTATCCCAGAGCCCTGGATCCCCCCAGATGCCAGACCAAGGCTGCGGGAACAGCAGTATGCCAGGTGCAGGGCCTGTGCAGGCAGCCTGGGAGCTTGTTCCCCAGGAGTGTAAGAAAGGCTGGCGGGTCTGCCCCACTCCAGGCCACAAAGAGTGTACTTTCTTTGGGGCATTTTTGGTAAGCTTTCAGATGATGTATTCATTAATATTTTATCTGCAGTGTGACCTTAAGCAACTTGTCTAACTGCTTTAGGCCTGTTGTGGGACGAAGCCCCAGAGGAGGGCTTGGTTTCGTTTGCTGTGAGGATTTGTGTTTCTCCTGATCTTAGCTTGTTCTTAGTGCGAGGGTGTGGCGGAGGAGGGCTCGGGGACCTTCCCTGCTTGCATGTAGCAATTCTGTGATATACCAAGGCCAGCCCTACCCTCTTGCTAGAAATGCATGGCCTGGGAAGATTTCTGACAAGATTAGAAAGAAAGGAATACACATAGCCTATTAATGAAGGCTGCATATTAAATACGAATCATACATTTTTAGGAAAATTATTGAATTGTATCTTTGTGGCCGGTGATTGAAATCATAGTCCTAAAGAGTTGAGTAGATCACCTGTGCAGGGCAGCGTGCTGGGCGCTGAAGGAGAGGGGCACAGAGGAGAAGTTCTTGCCTTCAAGGCACCAAACCTTCAGCACAGCTGGTTGCTGGAAATAGATGGAGACAGCCCCGAGCGGAGCAGCAAAGGAGAGGACCCAGAGAGGAGTAGTCCTGGGGCTGTCGGGAAGCACCGGCTGCCCCAACCCTGGGCAAGTGGCTGAGGCCTACTGCCCCAGGTTGGCCCCACCAGTGATGGTGACCAAGAGGTCAGGCCTGCAGTTTGATGGGACTTTGAGAATGAACACTCAGTTGACCTCATCCTTGATGGTGGAAGAAGCTTGCCCCATCCTGTGTGGAGGGTTCAGAGCTGGGGTCTTTCAGAGCCTGTCGGGTGCCCTGGCAAGGCCTCGAGGCTGTGCATTCTCCAGGCTCCTGCCGTCTGCCTCTACTCCTTGCCTTTGCTCGAGCTGTGCCCTGTTTTCTGCTGCAGACTCTGCTCCCATCTCTTTGTGGAGCTGCCCACAGGACTTCTCCAAAGTTTAGAGTTGACAGCCCGGAAGCCAAGGGCAGCCCCTCAGTCTTTCCCCAGACCATGTGGCTGGATGTCATCTTTGCAAGTTGGTGTTCCTTAAATGAAAGGAACAAGAAAAAAGCCAGAACAGGGTCCCAATGGAGGCTGAGGTGCCTTCCAGTCTGCCCCGGGCTGCCCCAGCTCCACTGCTGTTGCTGCATTTGCGGTTCCTGGGACTCAGCTCTCTGGGTGTAGTTGAGAGAGGAGCCCCAGGCTGGGCCCTGCTGCTGAGAGGTGTGTGTGGACCCGTCTTATGTGTGAGGTGTGGTTTTGGGGTTTCACAGTGCGGTAAGGCTCCCCTCAGAGCACCCCCTTAGCACTTACCGGGTCAGCCCAAGCCCAGGGTCACCCATGGTTGCTGTCAGGTAGGGAAAGGGTGGCATCCAGCCTGAGGTCGGGAGGTGGAGGACGCGTCACCTTCCAGGACAGGGTGGTCAGGCCCCAGCACATCCAGTTACTACGTCACTTGCCGAGACGGTGCTCAGGAGTCTCTGGTCAGAGTTCCTGGTTACAGAGGCCTCCTTGGCAGGCAGAGGACAAGGAGTAAAGGGTGAAGGGCACAGCAGCCTTGCCTTCCAGATGTTCACAGTGGCTGCCACTGGGCCAGAGGAGCATGGGGCAGACAGAGCCATGGGAAGCACTTACAGTTCCCTGAGGCCAGGCCTCTCCCGCCAGCTCCTGTCCCTCTCTCCTTTCCTCTGCCGTCCCCTGTGCAGGCCCCTCCTGCATTGCTTCTCCTAGTGAACGGAGCTTGCTGTGTTCCTGTGCAGGGTGGGATGGGGACAGGCTGACTTACTGTTGCCCAGCTCTGGGGGGAGGTGGGGCACCTGCCGCACCGTAATCAGGAGCAATGTAGGGGTGAGGGGCCCTGCACGGGACCCTTTGGACATCGCAGCCCCCATGCTGGGGCACACCTGACTGCCCGCATGCACCCTGGATTTATAGGTTCCTCTTTTAAGGTCTGGTGTAGCGTGGTAATGACCTTCATTTTTATGTGTTCTGGAAGAAATCCAAAAAGGAAACGTTAACCTGAGAATTGCTTTCAGGAGCTTGGCCTCCTGTGTCCCCAGCATGGAGAGTATTCTCCAGGTTTCCAGTCCAATTTTCTGTGACCTTTCGTTAATGGCCGGGAAGAGGAGGCCGGCGCTCCACCTGGGTCCCCAGTGTGGCACTCACAGCTCTGCCGGGTACACGTTGTGCTCTTCCTTTCCAGGCCCTACATGACCAGGCTTGTGATATTCAGACGGTTTCCTGGGCCAACCTTCGGCTTTGCGCCACTGTTCCAGTATTGACATTTTCCGATATTAACCTCCCAGCTCCTGGGCGAACCTCTTGGTACTTAATGGTTGAGCATGCGGAAGTGTGGGAAAGAAGAAGCGGGCATGGGCGCTGGGTTCACGTCCACATCAGGGTCCCCCTGGGCAGCGGGACCTTTGCACAGATGGCGCTGCTCTGAGTAAACCTGCAGGTGAATGCACTTCTCAGCGGGCCTCCTTCACTTCCTGTTTTCTAAAGTGTTAATTTTTAAAGTTTCATCATGAGAGTACATGCATATTGCTGAAACTTTACAGAGATGAAAGAAGGAAAACCTCCCCTTTGAATATATCCAACCCAACATAAATGGCCCCCAGTGGAGCAGGTGTTAGTGTCTCTTTTCCATCCTTTTCTACGAGTTTTTTTGTAAAACATAACACAAATCAAATAGTACATAAATTTCTCTTTGGCTCTGTCACACTGCCCAGTCATAATGCTTTCTGTGTTAGTTTGGAGTTTTTGTAGCTAATGTTTGCTTAATATTCTGGCCTGTGGATAGATCATAGTCTACTTAAATGTGGTGCGTGATTTTTCAGTGTATTTGTGACTGAGAGATGATATATTTGTGCTTAAAGCTTTTTCTGTATTTAGAAATAGTCCCGTAAAAGAGGTGTTCAGGAAAGGGGCTGCAGGGTGAACGGGTCCCCCTGTGTTTGGGGAACTTGGTGGCCACAGCCAAGTGACCCTGGGGCCCACTGAGTTGGTTTGCCCTGCAGCCAGCAGTTTTGTGAGAGGGGGCATTTCCTTTTTTCAGAGAAGTCTCGCCCTTGTCCCCCAGGCTTGAGTGCAGTGGCTCGATCTCAGCCCACTGCAACCTCTGCCTCCTGGGTTCAAACGATTCTCCTGCCTCTGCCTCCCAAGTAGCTAGGATTAAGGCGCCTGCCACCACGCCTGGCTAATTTTTGTATTTTTTAGTAGAGACGGGGTTTCACCCTGTTGGCCAGGCTGGTCTCAAACTCCTGACCTCAAGTGATCCGCCCGCCTCGGCCCCCCAGGGTGCTGGGATTACAGACATGAGCCACCGCGCCTGGCCGAGAGGGGGCATTTCTTTACCGTCACCATCACTGGGCATTTTCATTAACCTCGTTCTTCCTCATCTGGTTAAGCAGTAGACAGAAACACCCTGATTCTATTTTTATTTCCATGGCTGCTATTTAATTCCAAAAGTTTCCCGTGTTTTTAGCAGCTGGCTGTGCTCTGTTTTTTAGGTAACCTTTTAGTTCACCCATGGTGTCTTTCTGGGACATTTTAAGCTTGAGAGCATCCGTTCAGAGTGTTCACTGCAGCCAGCATTTGCTTGGGACCGCGTGTGAGGCCTCTCCAGGCGCCGCTTGGGCCCTGACTCTAGGAGCTTGCCTTCTGCACAAAGTACAGGGTGGCCACAGGAGACAGCTACTAAGAGCAGCCAGGGATGGGTGGGGCCCGGAGTCAGATTGCAGGCCATGGCGGGGGCTCGGGAAGGGTCTTGTGAGGGCAGAACCTTGGGGTGGGTGGGATGAGGGTGAAGTGCGCATCGGTGGAGGTGGGGGGATGGTGAGGACAGCCTGGGAGGAGCCTGTGGTCTGTCTGCCATGCCCTGGACAGGTGGACTGGGTTCCCCTCTGACCCTGGGTGGCAGCTTCTGCTCACAGTGTCTCTGGATGAGGAGGGCGGCCACACCAATGCGGTGGAGGGAGCAGGGGGTGGCGGGGGCAGTCGCGGGGACCTTTGCAGCCGCCTGGGAATAGCAGCGCTCCCTTTGCTAAGGAGACCCTGTCTGGGCGGCGGCTCTGGGGCTTCCCCAGGGGGCTTCCGTGGGTTCTGCCCTGTGGCCTGGCAGGTCATGTGGGAGGCTGGGTCATTGCAGGGGGACCTCTCCTCCCTCGGGGCTGTAGATTGTAGCAAAGGAGCTGAGGGAGTGGGAGCAGGGAGGAGTTCCCACCTCAGCTTCAGCAGAACATTCCAGTAATGTTGTTGTCTCTAAATACGTAAACCCTCCAGGTTCCAGACATAGAGCAAATTTCCCTAGAATTGTATTTATCAGAGAAGGTACCTGGTTATAGATAATTAACTACAATTTAAATTTTAAATATTTGTAAGATTTTTTTATACTCTCAAATGCACACATTTGGAAAATACTGTCTTTCCGTCCTTAAAGAACAGTCTAGTTCCGGAATTACGGTCCTCAGCCGTGCTCTCTGGATCCTCCTGGACTTGCTTCAATGCGGACCCTGGGTGCGGCAGGGGTGGCTTCGGGAGCCGGGAGCTAGAACATTCTTTGATCTCAAAACGCCCTTCCGGTGGAGGCCCTGGTGATTCTCCTGGAGGGCTGGGCCAGCCATGCTTTTCAGGTCCCCTCAAGGGGCCGGGCCCCTGCCAGGCTGTGGAGCTCTGTTGGAGGAGACCCTCTGTGGCAGGAGCAGTGAGCCCTGGCCGCTTGCCTGGGGTGGGGGCAGCCGGCACCTCCCTGCAGCCCCAGGACTGCTCCTCTCCAGCTCCCCTCCCTCCTCCTTTCCTTCCTCTCGCGCTCCTCTGCTCCCGCTGTGTTCTGTCATGAGTGGAGAAGACTCCTTCTCTGCTTTGTATTCAGGGATTCAGTTTGTTTCAGCGGTGCTCTCCTGGCCACCTGCTGTTCCAGAATCTTACCCTGAAAGGCGGTCACTGTGCGGAGGTGAACAGAAGCAGAGTGCATTGCCACTAGCACATCTCACAGTGTTTGCTTTCTCGGCCTCTGGGGAATCTGTGAGTGTGGACAGAAAGCACAGAGCGGGCGGGATGCCTCCTCTTCAGCGGTAAGGCAGGGTGGGGCAGGCTCTCACTGGGCCTCCTGCCCCCAGCAAGGTGTCCGCAGGTCCTCTGTCACTCTGAACATGGGTTCATTTGGAGAGCAGCAGACAGCACAGGGAAGCCAGTTCTGGAGTTAGAGTGGGATGTTTTTCTGAACACGTATTTAGAGCAATTTGCTTTCATTTTGAATACTTGAGTCCATCAGGAAATATTGAATCATTCCATAGTCCAGAGGCCGGGCCAGCGCCCTCCTGATGAGGGTGCCCATCGGCCATGCGGCCTGTGTGGCCTCCTGGTACCAGCCAGGGAGGCCCCTGGGAGGGGCAGGCACAGCGGGCGAGCCTGGGGATGCCTGGGAGGGACCCTCAAGGTGAGGAGGTGGGAGGCTGGGAAGAAAGATGGGCTTGATCCATTTAGAAGGAGACAGCCTGATGGATGGGCCCCCTGGGGAGCATTGTGTACAGAGAGAGGACCCTGAGACCCTCCCACAGTGGGGAGGGGACTCGCCTGAGGTCACACAGCACGGTGTGCCCAGGCCATTGCCTGCCAGTGTTGCACCAAGCTTCTCCGGGGATGGCCCTGTGCTTGCGGCAGCCACATCACAGCCCTCCTGCTCTGAGGGGCAGCGGCTGGAGGCTCTGCCTGTCCTGAGCAGGACTCCTGTCGGCCACACACAGCACTGCTCAGGCTCTGCTGGGGCAGCCAGGATAGCAGGAGGACGGCCTCCCACAGTACCCCCGGGCATCTTCCTGTCCTTCCAGGCCACTGCTCCCCAATCAGTGACACCAAGCCCACCACACGGTGGTGCCCGTCTGTGTTGGCACATCACTGCCACATGGCTGGCCCTCTGTGGTACCCGGTATCCCCGTGTTGATGGTCTTGGGGTCTTGGTGTAAACCTGGATGCCACGCAGCTGTGACATGCTGGGCTGCTGGCTGGGCCTCCTCACACCTGCACACTGGCCTCCCTCTTCTTTACCTGTGTGGTCATTGTCATGTCTCTGTCATTTGACTTGGGCACCTTCACTGTGTGTGAGTGCTGCCCCAAGCATCGTGCCCACCACCAGCCCAGGGCCTCACTGCTTCCTGCCCACCACCAGCCCAGGGCCTCACTGCTTCCTGCCCACCACCAGCCCAGGGCCTCACTGCTTCCTGCGTGTCCCCTCCGGCCTGGAGGGCTCCTCTGCCACTTTCTGCCTCCTCCTGTTCTGCTCTCTTCCTTGCCTGCCTGCAGGTGGGGTGGACGTGTCTTTGTTTCTCACGTCCGCAGTGGAGAAGGTGAGGGGTTGCCAGGGCCCCTCCTGAGAGGCAGAGCCTGGGGGCTTTGCTATCCCAGTCCCCCTTGGTAGGGCACCCCCTCCTCTGGAGGCCACAGTTACCTGCAGGACCAGCAAGCAGGGTGGCCTGTCCCAGGGCCGCCTCGTCAGGCGCACTCAGAGGCCTCAGGAGTGCTGCTCCCCAGTGCCCTTGAAGGAGATGGAGGGCGCTTCTCTCCCAGTCGGGGCAGCAGTTTGCCAGGCCTGTGAGGATCAGGAGAGCAGAAAGGCCAAGCCCTCAGAGACGCCAGCGAGGAGGGAGGCCTCTGTGCACAGCAGGAGGTTGAGAGGTTGGTTTGAGGTAAACTTGTGACATATTGTCGGGCTCATCTTTGGCTGAGAAACATCATTAGTAATTTTGCTGAGTCAGCTGACAACATCACATTCACTGGCGTTGGCTGAGCCCTTCTGCGCTCCAGGCGCTGGTTTGGATTCCCGCGTGCTGCCTTGTGGACTCAGACATATACCAGCGCATTTAATCTTCCAGGAACAACAAGAGGAGGTTCTGTGAGCCTCACCCCAAGCCATCGTTAAGAAATGGAGTTGAACCAAGGACACGGGAATGCTCCAGAAGTGGTAGCTGTTACTGTGGGGCTATCACTTCTCTGTTGTACAGAGGAGGAAACAGGCTGAGAGAGGCCCTGACTCATCAGTCATCCGGCTTCGAAGGGACAGACTCAGTGTGAGAGCTGCAGTTCCCTCCCTGAGCAATGGCCAGCGCTGCTCAGAGTCTCTGGGTAGCAGCCAGTGCCCGAGCTCTGGGCATGCATCCCTGACTCAAGAGCCCCCCAGCACCCATGGCTGCTAGGAGAGGAGGAAGGACGTGCAGGGACCCACAATGCAGTGAAAGAGGGATGCTGTTTCAGGAAAAAAGCAAGATGTTGGTGAGAGCACGTGGTGGATCCTGAAGTCTCTCTTGGCCAAGTTAGAAACGAGTGGACTTGCCACTGCTTGTGTTGGAAGAGCTGGTGGAGACGATGAGCAGCCATCCTTGGGCTTCATTTTCTTCTGCCTCGAGGCACCACTCGAGGTGAGGGGTCCTGGTTTTGCCTGGCCGTTCCTCCCCATCGTCTGTGTCCACTCCCGGCCCACTTCCCACTCTGCCCTGCTTCCTGCCTGCATGACTTACTCTCCACAGAGCTGGCTCCAGCATCTGCTTGGGCGCCTTTCTGTGGCCTCGCCATGTCCATCTGCTGGTGCGGCCAAGAGCCTTCCCAGCGGCAGCTCATTGCTATTCCAGCCACGCGGCTCCTCTTCCTTCTCAGGCCCTTCGAATCCTGGGCACTCATTTCCCCCTTGCTGATGCATTAAGAGAAGAAAGATGCTTTGCTGCTGATTGAAGTCAAGTAGCAGGGCCGGTGGTGGGCGCCTGGGAGGTGGCCAGTGAGGGCTGTTCCTGGGCAGGTCGGGCTGATGATTGTGTACACGTAGAAGTTGTGGGGCAAGGGCGAGGGGCTCATCCAGTTCCCTCAAGTCTCCCTACTTCCCGTTGTTAACTTGTAAACAGCAGAAATGTCGTGGTGTGTAGGGCACAGACCGTGGGGTGTGGGTGCAGTTGGCACTCTCACCCTTAAAGCACGGGCTGGGACTCACAGCCCAGGTCCAGCATGGCCCTGGGTCAGAGTCCTGACCACCCCTGCGCAGCTGGGTGGCAGTGGGCGGGGACCTGGCCTCTTAGCCGCTTCTTTCTTGCCTCCGAGGTGGAGGAGGTGAGGGGGTCTCGAGGGCACTGGCAGGAGCAGGTTGTGACACTGCATGGGTACTTGCTCCCTCCTGGGATGTTGGGGTCTACCCCAAAGCCCACACCTGCCAGGCTGGCCCTTGTGCCCTGCTTGGGGCTCTGCCCCTACTGCTCCCACAAGTCTTTCTCTTTTGTTGCCATTCTCTTTATCCCTGTGTGAGATATAGGAGAACGATGGAGTCAGGTGAGTGTTTTGCTGCCAAGCCCAGAGCTGATGCTCGGGTTGGAGCAGGTGGGTGGTTAATTGCACCAGCGCGTCTCTGGCAAACTGATGCCGGAGTGGTCAGCTGGACAGGGGAAGAGATGGATGGATGGGTGGATGGCTGGAAGAAAACTAGCCCCAGTAGTTTACTGTGTTAATACACACCCAAATCAGAGATCATATTGAGAATTTTGATTAGGGGTATGTACATTTGTGATATACAGCAAAGATCGATAAGGCAAGAATTTGGAGCCCGACCCTATGCTGTTAGCTGGGGTCATGGAGGGGTAAGGTGCAGCCCCTGCCCTCAGGGAATCTCAGCACTAGGTAGGTGTGGGGAGGCAGAGAGGTGCAGCCAGGCAGAGCAGCCAGCATGGAGAGGGAGGGAGTGGGCAGGCGCACCTAGGAGGCTGGGGAGGAGCTGTTCTGGCCCCTTGGGGCCAGGAGGAAAAGGCCATTTAAAAGCCTCTGTCTGCTGCTGGGAGCTGGGATGAGTAGGGCATAGATGTGATCCCTGCCTACATTCAGCCATAATTGGGTCTGAGTTCCTGGGCAGTGAGATACGCCACGGAGGGTTGATGAGATACGCCACTGAGGGTCGGTGAGATACGCCACTGAGGGTTGGTGAGATACGCCATTGAGGGTCCTTGCCATTTGGCTCCATGGGAAGGAAGGTGCCGTCCAGGGAGCAGGACTCCCCATCATTGGGACTGTTGGACTGAGCAGGGCTCCCGTCATCAGGCTTCATTACTTGCTTGAGTTAGGTGTCCCGTGCACACATCAGCGACTGCCCTTGTCTTGGGTCTGTTTGAGCAGTCTGGGTCGGGTAACGGTGGCCCAAAAAAGTCTCTCAGGAAGAGTGTGTGTGGGTGGTGGGCCGGGCCGGGCTGGGTAACGCTCCACACTGCTGCTCCCCAGCCGTGGTGTAGACTGCTCGCCTTCCTCCGCATGACCTGGGTGCCCTTGGGGCTCTGTATGTAAAGTTCTGCTTGCTGTTTAAAGGAATCTCCTCCGGCCGGGTGCTTGTTAGTGATTGACAGCGTTTGAGTTTGAGTTGGTTTTGAAGGCACAGGGCTGCCTGTGAGCTGACGGTTGATTTGACTTCACCATGGAGCCCTGAGCGATATCCTTCAGAATGAGCCTGCGCATTTTCAGCAGATGAGGCCACCCCCCTTCCTGATGCAGAAGCCAGAGAGAAGCTGCCGTTTGTCTTGTGCCCCGTGCCATCCGTCACCAACTCCTCCCTCAGATCTCTGTCTCAGATCCCTCTCCACCCCGTCTGTGCACAGCCACCATCCTGTCTCCTTGTTGGTCTTCTCACCGCTGCCTGAGCCGTGCAGCTGGCTGGGTCTTAAGGACACAGATGTGGCCACACTCATGTCAACCCCAGGGATTCAGAGGACCCAGGCCTTCTGTCCTAGAACATGGTCCTATGACAGGGGACCTTAGCAGACCAGCAGGAACTGTCTGAGCAGCATCTGGGGTGGATACAGCTCGCTCCACCTCAGGTTTCCTAGGGTGGTGGTCTTCAGAGTGGGGTCACGGCATTTTACCCGGGGAAGCTGCAGGGACAGACACAGAATGGAAGGGGCCTGGAGCAGAGGAGATGCAGGGGTGTCTGACATGGGAGGTGCTGGCGGGCTGCAGTCACAGGGAGGGGTCCAGCAGCCGCCTCCTACACTGCCTTTCCCTGCCTTGCTGCCTAGGCCCAGCCACTCAGGAGAGAACCCGTGAGGTCAGCCCACCTGGCAGGTGCCTGACCCTGCCTTAGCCCCGGGTCTGTGGCATTCTGGCCTGGGAGTCAGGCTGAATGCAGTGTTGTTGGATTCCGAGGCTGTTTTGATGTCAAGTTTGGTCATTTTAGGAAGTCGGTAGGTGGGTTTCAGCCAGAATCGCCCCTTCCTCAGTCAGGTTGAGGCTGCCGCAAATGAGCGCTGGGCAGCTGGCTGGGGTTCTCTCCTTGTTCCCCTCCCAGTCAGTCCCAAGCTCCTCCTTCCACGGGAGCAGAAGTTCTTGCCTCCCACCCCATGGTCCCTTAGGCCACCGTCCCGCCTTCCCCTGCACTTTGCAGCAGGATTTTACAAGTTTCCTTCCAGGTGCAGGGAACCAGGGTGGCTCGAACCCAGATGGACAGTGCTACACTTTCTTTCCGGGAGCCGTGGGCACATCCCTCACTTCACTAAGCCAAGTGGAAATGTGTATTAGTTTGTTCTGACACTGCTAATAAAGACATACCTGAGACTGGGTAATTGATACAGAAAAAGAGGTTTAATGAAGTCACAGTTCCACATGGCTGGGGAGGCCTCACAATCATCATGGAAGACGAAGGAGGAGCAAAAGCGCGTCTTACATAGCGGCAGGCAAGAGGGCGTGTGCAGGGAGCCGCCCTTTATAAAACCGTCAGATCTCATGAGACTTACTCACTATCGCGAGAATAGCACAGGAAAACCATTCCCGTGATTCAGTGACCTCCCACTGGGTCCCTCCCATAACACGTGGGGATTATGGGAGCTACAATTCAAGATGAAATTTGGGTTGGGACACAGTCAGACCACATCAAAATGGTTACCCCTGCCCCATGGGGGTTTATAAGGTGAAATGCAACTACACTTGTAAAGGGACCTGCTGGGCAGTTGATGGGTGAAGATCCTGGGCTTGTGGTCAGGCAGGCCCCACGAGGATCTCAGCTGCGTCATTGCTACTGTGTGGCACCAGCGCAGGGCCTCGACCCCCCTTGGGCTGCCCTAGGTGCAGCAAGGATTGCAGGCCAAGGGACTGGCACAGCAAGGACTGCCCAGCAGATCTGAGCTCCGGTGGCCACTGTTGTCTCAGCAAGCAACAGGCTAGCTTCACGCCACACCCTGCGTGCGGACTCCTGTGTCTGGCCCAGACAGCTGGAGCTCCCTGCCCTTAGTGGGTCTTTGTGTCTCAAAGGTGGCTCTGAGGGGCTGGCCTCCTCCCCATGCCGTGCAGGCCTGGAGCTGCTTGTTACTGACTTGACTTTCTTCTCGGACTCCTATGATCCTGTCCCTCTCCCTGCCCCCCAGCTTATGATTCCACCCGCCCGACAGAAGCCATCACAGGGCCAGTGCTCTGCAGCCAGGCCAGCCCTGCGAGAACGAGTTCAGCCCTCAGCCCCACCGTCCTTCCTCTTCCCGGCTCCTTGTGGTGGTTATGACCACCCAGTCTAGTCCAGCATTAGAGCCCTCCTTCCCCTCACCTTAGCTCTTGCCTCCCCTCCCTTGTCTACTCTTCTCTGATCCCTCTGCCCTCTCTTCTGCTTGCTCCAGGCCACTGTCCCCTGGTTCCGAGTTACACATTATCATGTACCTGTGATTCCCTGTTAGCAAGGAGGCAGGGCTCAGAGAGATGTCCAGGTGGACAGGCTGGGTCCCTGGAGAGCCACAGTGGCTCTGCCCCACCAGGCTCGCTGAGGCCCAGGCCTTGGTGGGGTTGGTCCGTAGGTCCCAGCGCTCAGAACAGCTTCTGACCCAGCCGTGTTGCTCTGTGACTGTTGGTTGAATAAGGTGGCATAAGTGAAATGGAATGACTAAGGAGCATGAATGGGGCCCGCTGGACCCAGGTGAAGGAGACAGATCTTGAGCAGTGGTGGGGCCCTGGGGAACCTCTCCCCATACCCCTCCCTCAGTTGAGGGTGAAGAAGGACCAGTCATCATCACACAAGAACTGCGGAGTGTCCAGGTCCTGCGCTGGACACTCTACACGTCCCCTGTCATCCTGGGCACTCCACACACCCCTGTCATCCTGAGAGCTGCTGCGTTCAGTAAGCGTTGTGATGGCCACCTTACAGATGAGAACATCAAGGCTCGGCCAGGGTAGGTGCTCTTGTCCAAAGCCATCCAGCTGGTAAGTAGCAAAGCGCTGGGGGACAGGCCATGCCGTGTGGGCGCCTCCACTGTCTGGCACCTGGATTTTCTGCCAGGGTCCTACTGGGCATCTTGAACACACTGGTGTGGGTGCGCACGCGTCTGGTGTGGGAGCCCTTTCTTGACGCTGTAAGAGAGCAGTGAGAACTAGAAGGTGCAGACAGGAGGGCGTTGCACTGGCAGCGTCCCCCCGGCCTCTCACACCAGCGCCCACTCTCACTTCACTTTTCAGAAGCCATAGCTTTGCGCCTTCTTTCCACGGGAGTCATTTGAGCTGCATGTAAAAGTTTTAAAGTTTTCTCCTGAGCACTAAATTGGGAGCGTGTATGTGTGTTTCCACCCCCAATGTGAGCAAGTCTGTGTCTGTCACCCAAAGATACTTGTTTAATTGAAGGATTCCTTAAATTATTTTAAGGAATGAAGAATTACCGATCTCCTGAAAGGCAGTTTTTTAAGCTCCCACCTCCAAGTGTGTAAGCCTCAAAGGTCCCTCTCTCTGTCATGAGCTAATTGGAATGAAATGCAGGTGCCGTTTCTGCCTGAGCTCCAGCAGCATCCCTGCGCTTTCAGGTCTGAGCCAGCACATGTTTCTGGCATTTAGACTTTACGGTAACAGCAGGGATCTTATGATTATTACTAAAGATGGTTTTGGAAGAGGACCATCTGTGACTATAAAAGTGCACAGTTTCAGTTATGCAAACGAGTGCTGTGGTGTTTGTGTGTTTCACAGAAGATGAGCTCCAGGCCAAGCTTCTCTGTTCCAGGGTACAGGAGGCTGCAGGAGCGTCGCACAGCCGCCCGATCTGCAGGGAACTGCCCATGACATGGCCGTCCTCCTGTCAGAAGAGGACTCTGGGGGCTCGAGATCCTGGAGAAAAGGCCTCATTTGGACAGGACTGTGGCAGTTTATGTCCTGATTGTTGGTGCATGTTTTATGCACGTGTTGGCTCCGTTTATCATTAAAACCAGGATGCCAGAAGCCAGTGCTCTGCGTACTTCCAGCAGGCAGATCAGGCCTCCCTTCAGCCTCTGCGGCCCCTGCTAAGGGTTTCTGACTTTTTTTTTTTTTTTTTTTTTGAGATGGAGTCTTGCTCTGTTGCCCAGGCTGGAGTGCAATGGCATGATCTCGGCTCACTGCAACCTCTGCCTCCTGGGTTCAAGCGATTCTTCTGCCTCAGCCTCCCAAGTAGTTGGGATTACAGGCGCCCACCACCATGCCCAGCTAATTCGTTGTTTTTTGTTGTTGTTGTTGTTTTGGTTTTTTCTGAGATGGAGTCTCGCTCTGTAGCCCAGGCTAGAGTGCAGTGGCACAATCTCGGCTCACTGCAACCTCCGCTTCCCGGGTTCAAACGATTCTCCTACCTCAGCCTCCCGAGTAGCTGGGATTACAGATGCCTGCCACCACGCCCACCTAATTTTTTGTGTTTTTAATAGAGACGGGGTTTTGCTGTGTTGGTCAGGCTGGTCTTGAACTCCTGACCTCAGGTGATCCGACTGCCTCTGACTTTCTTTTTGGGAGAAGTTGGTGATGGTTCAGCAGACAAATAATTGCCAAATTACATAGGAGGAAAATGCTGCCAGAAAGGGCACACAATTTAGCGGAGTCAGTCCAGCAGCAGGTGCCTTTGGAGGCTCCCCTGGTGTCCCATGTGTCTGAGGTTGCTTCCCTTCCATTAGCGCCATGCCGCTCGACTCCCATCATCGGGGCGGTTGCAGAAGACAGGTGGTCATTTATATTTTATTGTCAGGGGCCTTGTCTTTGCCTACTGAAGATATATTTGCAGCCCCTGGAATGACACTTGGGATCATTCAAGGTAACCACCGGAACCGCTCGCATGCGACCTCCTGGAAAGGTTGAGCCACGCTGTCTTCCTCGGTGCCCTCACCACGGTCCTGGAAAGGTTGAGCCACGCTGTCTTCCTCGGTGCCCTCACCACCGTCCTGGAAAGGTTGAGCCACGCTGTCTTCCTCGGTGCCCTCACCACGGTCCTGGAAAGGTTGAGCCACGCTGTCTTCCTCGGTGCCCTCACCACGGTCCTGGAAACGTTAAGCCACGCTGTCTTCCTCGGTGCCCTCACCACCGTTCTCTGTAAAGGTGCTCAGATGCTTTCCTTGGGGCAGATACGGGGCCTGGCTTGCTCTCCCAGAGATGCCCAGGTGTGCAGGGCCTCTTCCTCCTCCCCTCACTCTCTCCTCTGCCTTGGTCGTGGTCCCTGCTTGGTTCCCTGGTTCTGGTAGTCCCTCGAGAGGGGATGTCCTTTCCTGCTCGTCCTCAGCCACCAGCACTTGGCAGAGCCCTTGCTACACGAGCAGCTCTCACAGAAGCTTCGAGCGCAGATCCAAGGGTGGCTTCCGATCCCTCACCGCAGCTTCCCCACACAGTCCTAAACATATTTGCAGCGTTTTGTTTTGTCTCTTCTGTAGCCTTAGACAAGCTGGGCTCCAGCATATGCCCCTTTTCACCTGACTCCTTCCACTCTCCATAGTCATCTAGAGATTTAGCCAGGATTTTGCATTGTCGGTGGTTTGTGTCTTTGTGTAGTGGAGTGGTTTGTCATCGTAAAGGATTCTTTCCTTAAAAGTGTTCATCTATTTCCTCCCAGTCTTGAGGTTAGAAAGTGTGACAAGGGTGTGGTGGCTCATGCCTGTAATCCCGGCACTTTGGGAGGCTGAGGCCAGCGGATCACTTGAGGTCCAGAGTTCGAGACCAGCCTGGCCAACATGGCAAAACCCCGTTTCTACTAAAAATACAAACGTTAGCCAGGCGTGGTGGTGCATGCCAGTGATCCCAGCTACTCCGGAGGCTGAGGCAGGAGGATTGCTTGAACCTGGGAGGCAGAGGTTGCAGTGAGCCCAGATCGCTCTGCTGCACTCCAGCCTGGGCGACAGAGCAAGACTCCATCTCAAAAAAAAAAAAAAAAAAAAAGACAATGTGACAATGTCAGTCCTCCGCCCCCTTTGTTGCTGTCAGTCAGAACGCGGATTGTTTTCCCAGGGTTCCGGCAGTGTGGACCCTGGACCAGCAGCCTCAGCATCACCTGGAAACTTGCTAGAAAAGCACATTCTCAGGCCCTACCCAGGCCTCCTGAATCGGAAGCTCTGGGTGTCCCGGCAGTCTGTGTGCTCCTGGGAATTTGGACACCTGCTTGTGTCTGAGGTCTGAGGTCCATTCTCTGTGGGGTGAGGGAGGATGAGGGCTGGGCCTGCTGGCTTTACAGTCAGCTCGGAAGCAGCACGTGGCTGTCTGGACAAAGCCTTTGGTGTTGCTTCCTTTGTCCTGAACCAATGTCCGTGTGTTCCTTTCTGTTTTATTCCAGAATACGGTGCATGGTGGTTCCTCTAGCGTGAGTGCCGTAGTGATTTCTACAGTGCATGGTGCTTCCTCTAGCGTGAGTGCCGTAGTGACTTCTATTCCTGTCACGACATAAAATGCAGCCATAGGTGCAGCTTCGTGTGGAAAAGACTAGGAACACGAGGCAAATCCCTGGTCGACCTTAGGAAGTGGGTGAGGGGAGAAGCCTGGGGGCCCACAGAACTCTGCACAAACTGCGTATCTGTGAGCCAAACCATTGTTATTTTAAGTCATTAAGTTTGGGGTGACTTGTTTAATCCAGATGAACCTGCAGGCTGCCCAGGTTATCTATGAGTGGTGGGTGGTGGCAAAGAGCAGCCATTCCAAGCAGAGGAAGAAGACTGGCTCATAGGACCGCACTCCACAGCCCCCCAGGCCACCATGTGCAACGAGTTAGTTGGTACTGCATCTGGGAAAAAGCCTGAAGGTGAGAAACAGCAGCGAGCGCAGGAACATGGAAACAGGGAGAAGGTGCCACTGTGGTGACCCCAGAGGAAGGAGGCCATCTGAAGGCAGGCACGGTGGAGAAACAGGATGGGCAGTTCTGGGTGCAGGAGCAGCAGGACTCGGTGGAGGATGGACAGAAGGAGGAGTCTAGGCCAAGGGCCTCACCCCTGGCTGAAGAATCGCTGGGGCTCAGGAGCCACAGATGCTCGGATCCCGCCTCCAGGGTTCCCAATCTCATGGGACACTGGTAGTCAAACCACCCCGGATGGCTCTGATGCGCAGCCAAGGCTGTGCGTGACTCTGGGGCCAGGGCTAGTGGCTGTCACTAAGGGCCACCCAGCAGGAGCGGTCTGAGGGTAGGTGAAGAGGTTCCCTTAGGATTTGGGGAGATGGAAGTTAGGCCCGGCCTCGTCCTGGAGCCCCGTGGGTGGAAGGGAGGCCTCGTCTGGGTGATGGAGAGGACAGCCTGCAGAGAGACCGGCGGGGGTGTGCACCAGGGCATACTGAGCCTGGCCATTGTGGTACAAGGCCTGGGTACTACCAGCCTCGTGCCTGCTGGGGGTCCGGGAATGTTTGGGGAGCACTGTGTTGAGGGTGAGCCTGGGTGCCCCTCCAGTCACACCTGAGGAGGTGAAGAATGTCAGGACTGGGCTGTCACTCGCGTGGAGTATCCATGTCCTAGAGCTGCCATGTGTCACACACTGAGGGCTTATAGGCCTGAGAGTTCTGGAATTGGGGTGTGGGCAGGGCTGGTTCGCTCTGGAAGCTTCGAGGGAGAATCTGCCCCATGCTTCCCCTTCCCGCCTCCATGTGTTACCAGTCATCCTCGGCATTCCTGACTCATGGCAGCCTCACTCCAGTCTTTGCCTCTGTCGCTACGTAGCCTTCTCCCATTGTGTGGCTGTGTCCACGTTTTCCTCTTCTGTGAGGACACCCATCGTTGGATCAGGGCCCCCCTACTCCAGTGTGGCCTCCTCTGAACTGCATCTTCAGGTGCCCTGTTTTCCTCTTCTGTGAGGACACCCGTCATTGGATCAGGGCCCCCCCTACTCCAGTGTGGCCTCCTCTGAACTGCATCTCCAGATGCCGTTTTCCAGGGAGGCCACGTTCACAGGAACCACCAGGACCGGGGCTTGAGGGACACGGATCCACTCGCTGTGGACAGGCCCTCGTGGAGCAGGGCTGATGCGTTGCCGTTGCCGGGGAGCCGCTGCCGGCACCCGTGCTCTCTCTGTGGTGAACTGGCCCTCCTCTCCCGCTCAGCAGTTTAACAGGCCAGTGCAAGCTGCTCAGTTCCCGGGCAGCGGTGCCGGGCGGTCATGCCGCTCTAAGCCAGGCAGGTTTGTCCACAGGAGGCCACTTGTGGTTCAGCAAACACAGAATTAGAAAACCAGAATCCCTGTTGCACGTCTCTGCAGATGGAGCTGTTCAGCTCAGTATGGTTAATGTCAGGGAGGATTAACTGGTTCAGTCTGATCCATTTACCTGATGGTATTTTATTTTAAGTACAGAGGTGGTAGTACATTTTCAGAAAACATTATTCCTTTTCTTACTGCTGCGAATGCACTGTCATTAAACGTGGCTTTAAGGCCAAGCTGGGCCTGGCCCTGCCCAGCCGTGCTCAGCACTGCCCCCTCGTCCTCCTCAGGGCCTGGCAGGGCTCTGTGGTGACTGTCGCCATCACCGTAACGCAGGACCAGATGATTTGGAAGGAATCCTAGGGGCATCTGGGTATTCATAAACGCTGAGATTGTCCCTCTAAGTGTCTCCTGTCTACCATCTTACTCAGGATCGCTGGCCCATTACGGTGTCAGGAATGTGCTGCTTTTAATTAAATTTCACGAAGAATAAATGTTAACTCTCCAAGTGTCTTTAGTTTCTTCTCTGTAGTTGACAGTCCTTTTGAGAAATGGATTGTACACTTTAATCATTGTCATTATAAAGAGGCAGTTTCTAAGGGATGTATCAAGGTTTTTAAAAATTTGTTTATTATTTATTTTATTTTATTTATTTATTTTTTGAGACGGAGTCTCACTCTGTCACCCAGGCTGGAGTGCAGTGGCACGATCTCGGCCCACTGTAACCTCCGCCTCCCGGGTTCAAGCGATTCTCAACCTTCCGAGCGATTCTCAGCCTCCCAAGTAGCTGGGATTACAGGTGCGTGCCAACACGCCCGGCTAATTTTTTTGTATTTTTATTAGAGACAGGGTTTCACCGTGTTAGCCAGGATGGTCTCAATCTTCTGACCTCATGATCCGCCCACGTTGGCCTCCCAAAGTGCTGGGATGCAAGCGTGAGCCACCATGCCCGGCCTAAGGCTTTTTTAAGCAAGAGGAATCTCAATTATAAATTAAGGTTATTTTTTAGTTCTTTTTGGTTCCTCACTAACATTAGTGAAAAGCGAAGTTCCGAGAGTTCAGTCTCACAGGTGGGCTCTGTGCAGGTGGTAGCCTTTCTCCACGGGGCAGGGCTCACGACCCTCCTGCCAGCCTCCCCTGTGGCTGGACACTCCTGGACCTGCTTCTGTTGGGGGGCAGGCCTGGCTCCCTGCCCCTCCCCTGCCTGCCCTTGGGGGAGAGTTAAGAAACAAGTATTAGTGAAGATTTCATTGTGTTTTTGCTGTGGGTCTCCACGAGGACTTAGCAGGCCTCGGAGTTGGGACTGGGTTGGATTGAGGGAGACCTGCGTGAGTCACATCCTCAGTTTCCCCATCTGACTTGAGGAAGCTGCAAAGTTCTAAGGTCTAGAAGCAGCTGGTTTTTAGTGTTGTGTTTTGTTTCAAGTGAGTGACTTCAGGTGAGGAGATGCGGGTTCCTTGGCCACGTCGTGAATCCTGCTCTGAGTTCCTCAGTTCCCCCTGTGTCCAGCTGTGCGTGGGGTGGGAAGGAAGGAGGATCGGGAGAAATGCAGTGTCCCCCTGGGAATACACTGAGTGAGTGGACCTTGGGCACACTGGACCCATGCCTAGCAGACAACTGGACATGTAGATCCAGGAAAAGAGCCCTCCTCTGAGTCACGCCACCCTGTGCGTCATGGGAGATAAAGACTTGTATTAAACAAGCTGGTGGAAAGAAACACATTTATCGAGGATCGTTAGGGAAGGTGATTGATGTCATCAAAACACTTTGCATTGCAACATGCCAACAGCATTTTGGGAACTAAGCTGCTGGGGACTAGATAAACCAAGGCATATGGGTACAGCTCACAGGCGTTTCTTAAAAAGCTGGTTTTGTTGAAAAGGAAATGCATCTTAAAATTCACACAAACAATGGCAAAGCCACCTGGTGCTCACGCAGGAGGATGTGGTGCTGCCTGAATCCTGAAGTGGGTGGCACCCACGAGGGGGGTTCCTCGGAATGCTGGTGGCGTGTGCCGGGACGTACGTGCGGGACTAGAGGGCACATGAGGGGATGCTCGAGTCAGGGGAGGTCGGGAGGGAGGGAGGGCCAAGCTTTGGCTGCCCAAGGGTGCACAGTATATCATGGCTCAGCCCCGCGAAGAGACGCTCCTCTTGAGGGCACCTGTCCCTCTGTTTGCATCCCTTGGTGAGGGACCAAGCGTGTGCGGAGGGAGGCTGGGAAGCACAGCCTGGCTGTGTGTCCACTATAAGGTATTCCCGTGGAAGGCAAAGCACAGCGTTAACAGAGTGCTGGCCAGCTCTGTCCCACAGTTCCCTGTACCTTGGCACGCAGCAGCTCGGGAGGCAGCACTTGCCCAGGCAGCCAGCCTCTTTGAAACTCATCTACCTTGGGCATCGGGGAAACCCTAGGTCCCCCATGAACTTTGCTCGACCCCCTGGCATACCTGTACCTCTGCTCTCCTCCCTTGGCCCATTCCACATCTGTATTTTAATGCAGCTCTAACACTGGTGTCTGGATAGGTCACTGCAAATCCTGTCTCGAATGGGCCGTGCCTATTAAAAGGGTTTGACTCCCCACAGACTCTGTTGCCTGTACCTGGCTTGGTTTGCCCGATACCAGTCCTTTTAAAAAAACTCATTTTGGCCAGGCGCGGTGGCTCACGCCTGTAATCCCAGCACTTTGGGAGGCTGAGACGGGCGGATCATTTGAGGTCAGGAGTTTGAGACCACCCTGGCCAACATGGTAAAACCCTATCTCTACTAAAAATACAAAAATTAGCAGAGTGTGGTGGCACGTGCCTATAAACCCAGCTACTCAGGAGGCTGAGGCACGAGAATCACTTGAACCCGGGAGGTGGAGGTTGCAGTGAGCCGAGATGGTGCCACTGCACTCCAGCCTGGGCAACAGAGTGAGACTCTGTCTCAAGAAAAGCCCCCATTTTAACCACTCTGTCTCTTCTTCCAGGCCTTTAGAGGCAGAAGAGAACCATTGTAAATTCCAGCACAAGCTCTTTCAGGCATTGTTTATAGTTTAATAAATCCTGCCACCTCTATTCATCCCGGTAATGAAGGGGCGACTGCTCAGGAGAAAAGCCAGGGTGCACAAAGAGATGGGCATTAGCATATAAAAGGACAGAGGTGGGCCTTCCACCCTTTGCAACGATGCTCCTTGTACATCCACAGAGAATTCCCTTCTGATCAGTGCACAGTGAGTAAAGGCGCCGGCTCCAAAGATGCCTGCTCAGAGTGGCTGGGCGTGTCTGCCCCAGGCTGTCCTGTTGTTTCGGGTTCATCATGGTGGGAGGTGGTGTCAGGGATCAGAACAGGCAGAGATGCCTGGGGATGGATGCCACAGCCTCAGGAAGGGACCATCGTCATGTATTTAATAACTTGAAACAGATTAAGACCACGAGTGTGCGTGCACACACACACACTTGCGCTTGCATACGTGCACTCACAGAACTGTGCTTTGCTCAGCACTTTCCCAGCTGAATGGCCCTCTTCAGGTGCCTGAAGGCCTCTGGAACACACACTTGTCTGTCTGTCGACCACCTGTTCATGCACGATGCTTTGAGTGCCTCTGAACATTCGGACTCCATGTGTTCTAGTTCTGCATGCTGGACATAACAGACTGACAAGCACCATCCCCTGCTCTGGAGGAGCCTTCCATTGAGAGGGGTCAGGGAGTAGACATACCTCCACCAGAGTCCGCGAAAGCGCTCGGCAGGGAGAGCTGGGGAGAGGGGCTCCCCTGTCTGGCCACGGGCAGTGTCTAGTCACCTGGCTTGTTTTCTTCTTTGGCAAACCAGCAGCAGAGACCTTGTGGGCAGAAGTCTCCACTCTGGCCGGACCCTTGACTGGGGTAGCCACCCATCCATGGCACCACTGTCGAGGGGAGAGGAGCCGTTGCCCCCAGGGCTCTTCCCTCCCTCTCTGCCGGCATCATTGGGTAGAAAGCAGGCATCCTTGACACTGCTAGCCATCAGGAGAGCCAGTGTTACCAAAGGCCATCAGGAGAGCCGGTGTCACCAAAGGAAGTCATGTTTCTTTCTCTGAAGTCCGTGTGTCAGTCCCACAGGATGTGAGACGTCAGAAGATGAAGATAGCTCTTCTGGTGGGGACTTTGATGTTACGACTTGCAGCACCACAGAGCACCTGCTTTTCATATAAGTTCTTTCTGTGGACCTGAAATAATCCAAAATCATCTCATCAAGTGGAATATGCCATATGATATTTAAATACCTGTAATTTCTCTAAAACCCTGGGGCCAGAAACTCTAGTGGTTGCTCTATTCATGGATTCATGTTGCAGTAAAATGTGATAATTGATGAATATCTGTGGAAATGGATATGATTGTGTCCTTTTAAATGAGCTAACAATTTCACGCCGAAATCTCAGCAGTGCTATTGTTTAGAATAAAAGGAGACATGCAAATGAGGCCAGGGTGCAGATTGTGGTAGAACAATGCTGGCAGCCTCTTTATTGGACCCATTAATTAATTCCCCATCAGCCAGTTTCCCTGGGAATGAACTGGAAAAATAATTAAAATGATACATGAGGTAAGGAGTTTAGAAATTCAAAAGGTGAAGGCGAGAATTAGTTTAATACGTAATTAGACATATTATTTGTGACTCTACGTTTTTTTAAATGTGGCTCACTGAGGCAGTAGGGTCCTATTTTTAGTCCTGGATAGTTAATAAATATCACTTGGGGCTGTTTTTCAACCCACAATGGCTCATAAATTTTCTTAATAACATTAAGTGGCTAATTATATTGTACATTGTTAAAATAACTTCTATTGCAAAATCTAATAATACCACAAAAGTTTGCAAAAGCAAGTTTTTAGAGGAATTCATTTGACTCAATTTCCAAGTGAGATCTGGCACACGTAGACCAAACTGAAAAATGTATAGCAAAGAATCTGCAGGTTCACATATATTTTTGTTGCAAACATGATCCAAACAATCTCAAAACCCAACTTCGTTTTAGTGTGAGTGGTGCAGATGGAACGTCGTACCTCCCAGAGTTCAGACTGAGTGCTGGCTCCATGGCTCTTGGGAGTGGCGGAATCTTAACGGAACGTGCTTCCACTGCTGTGTCCTCTCGGTGAGGCCTCGGCCCTAGCCTCAGTGTTGCATATGTCAGGATGGACGAACGTGAGTCTTGGCATGGTGCAAGTGCATCTGAATTGCATGTCTCTGTCCTTGCTGGAGCAAAACCCTGTTGTTTGGATGGAGCGGAGCTGACCTGACGGTTCCAGGCTGTTCCCTGTTGTTTGGTTGGACGCTGTTCCCTGTTTGGATGGAGTGGAGCTGACTTGACGGTTCCCGGCTGTTCCCTGTTGTTTGGTTGGAGCGGGGCTGACCTGACGGTCCTGGCTGTTCCCGGTTGTTTGGTTGGAGCGGAGCTGACCTGACGGTCCTGGCTGTTCCCTATTGTTTGGTTGGAGCAGAGCTGACTTGACGGTTCCCGGCTGTTCCCTGTTGTTTGGTTGGAGCGGGGCTGACCTGACGGTTCCAGGCTGTTCCCTGTTGTTTGGTTGGAGCGGAGCTGACTTGACGGTTCCAGCGCTGTCCCCTGTTGTTTGGTTGGAGCAGAGCTGACCTGACGGTCCCAGCGCTGTCCCCTGTTTGGTTGGAGCGGAGCTGACCTGACGGTCCCAGCGCTGTCCCCTGTTGTTTGGTTGGAGCGGAGCTGACCTGATGGTTCCAGGCTGTTCCCTGTTGTTTGGTTGGACGCTGTCCCCTGTTGTTTGGTTGGAGCGGAGCTGACTTGATGGTTCGAGACTGTTCCCTGTTGTTTGGTTGGAGCAGGGCTGACCTGACGGTCCTGGCTGTTCCCTGTTGTTTGGTTGGACGCTGTCCCCTGTTGTTTGGTTGGAGCGGAGCTGACCTGACGGTTCCAGGCTGTTCCCTGTTGTTTGGTTGGACGCTGTCCCCTGTTGTTTGGTTGGAGCGGAGCTGACTTGATGGTTCCAGGCTGTTCCCTGTTGTTTGGTTGGAGCGGGGCTGACCTGACGGTCCTGGCTGTTCCCTGTTGTTTGGTTGGAGCGGAGCTGACCTGACGGTTCCAGGTTGTTCCCTGTTGTTTGGTTGGACGCTGTCCCCTGTTGTTTGGTTGGAGCGGAGCTGACCTGACGGTTCCAGGCTGTTCCCTGTTGTTTGGTTGGAGCGGAGCTGACCTGACTGTTCCAGGCTGTTCCCTGTTGTTTGGTTGGACGCTGTCCCCTGTTGTTTGGTTGGAGCGGAGCTGACCTGACGGTTCCAGGCTGTCCCCTGTTGTTTGGCTGGAGCGGGGCTGACCTGACGGTTCCAGGCTGTTCCCTGTTGTTTGGCTGGAGCGGGGCTGACCTGACGGTTCCAGGCTGTTCCCTGTTGTTTGGCTGGAGCGGGGCTGACCTGACGGTTCCAGGCTGTTCCCTGTTGTTTGGCTGGAGCGGGGCTGACCTGACGGTTCCAGGCTGTTCCCTGTTGTTTGGCTGGAGCGGGGCTGACCTGACGGTTCCAGGCTGTTCCCTGTTGTTTGGCTGGAGCGGGGCTGACCTGACGGTTCCAGGCTGTTCCCTGTTGTTTGGTTGGAGCGGAGCTGACCTGACGGTCCCGGCGCTGTTCGTGTAAGTTGTTTCTGTTTCCCTGTTATTTTGAATATACTTAAATGGCCCAATAATTCCATTTCTGTGAACCTAAGAGTATAAACATTTCATAAGATTATTGAACTTAAAGTGATAGGCCTGGCTGGAAATATTTTACCCCATACCTGTGCTTATTTCTTTTTAATGAGCAACTGAAAAGTAATTTTAGTAACCAACCTCCCATACCTTTGGAGAACAAATAAAACCACAGTAATTTCCACGTATTAAGAGCCCACATGCGCCTATCACTGTCATCCACAGTCTGCACCTGTTAGCTTGTTTAAGCCTCCCAGGAGCTTGCACAGAGTATGGCCAGATACCCGCCTTACAGCCTGTGCTGCTGTGGCCAAGGAAAAGAGGTTTTGTGCCTGGGGCAGTCAGACCTTCCAGTGGGAGTGACTCTTGGCTGCTCCCTGCCCGTCCTCAGTTGCTTTTTGGTGGAAGTGCAGGCCCCTCTCTCCCCACTCTGCCCTCCCAGCCACCTGAGCCACTGAGCTTCTGCAGCAGCACAAGCCCTTTCAGTCTTCCTGAGTCGGCCCCACTCTGGGGTGGGCTCCCGCTTTTAGGCTCTTTGCTTTCACAATCAAAGTTACAACGGGAAGCCCTTCACTCGGGGCCGGCGGGAAAGGATCCAGCCCTGCTACTTCCATTCTTTCCTTTTAAACAAGACTCTGTCCATTAATCATCCTCTGGTTTGATCTGTCAATCCAGAAACCCTTGCTAATGCTTTATGGCTGTGGTTTGTTGCGGTTCTGGGAAAGAGGAAAAGAAATGAGCCAGTCCTAATAAATGAAAGTTATTTCCTCATTTGAATTTCTGAGTCCTGAGAGTCAATATGATGCAGACATCAATCTTGTTATTCTCGGAGTGGAGAGACAGTTTCTGATTGTGCCTCTCCCTGGGTTGTGATGATAAAACGTGTGGTGTGTTTGGCTGGGCTCAGTCATGGCCTCTCCTGAGACCCCCTGCCTTTTTATATTGCAGATAACACACATGGCTTAATGCTGGAAACAGGCCTGTGTTCCCTTGGTCTTTACGAGTGTTATTCTAGAAAACTTCATGTTTCTAAGGTGGTTTCATTTGTCATGAATACTCAGATGCGGTTTTCTCTAGCAGCCCTCCGAGTGTGCTCGGAAAGGTGAGGCCCCCGAGGCAGAGGCATGGCCAGGACGCTGGTGGGCTTCTTTGGGAATTAGGAGGAAAAAGAGGAGTGGGGCAGAGCCTGGAGAGGCTGCCCTCCTGGGGTGCAGGCCGGTGGAGGATGTGGAGCTGCCCAGCTGGCAGGTGGCAGAATTGGGACTGAAGCTCAGTCCCCACTCGTCCAGGCCACAGCTTCTCCTTTGGGGCCACTCTGCCTCATTCACCATCTCTCCAGCACCAAGCAATTGTGTGATTCTTACAATGTGCCTGTCGTGCTTCTGGTCGCAGCCTCCTTGGCTTTGCAGCAGTGCAGTGCCTGGGCCTGCATTTGGCAGAAGTGGAGTTCCCAGTCCCATCCGTGGAGTGGCCTTCCCCTGAGAGCTTGCCTGGTATGTTTCAGATGCAGGGGCTTCTGTCTCTCCATGCCTTATGCACTTGGCCACACCCCTGTTAGCACCCCTGCCATTTCCCAGGGCCACTGTTGCAGGCACCCAGGAAGGTGCCTGACCTGGCTCTACATCCCACACCCTGTGCAGGGGGCCTAGCATGCTGGCAGCCTGCTAAGAGCTGGATAGGTATGTGGTGAGCACATGGCACCCCGATCCGATTTACTTGGTGTCCTGTCGGGCACACTTGTGAATACCCGCCAGGCCTGTGTGTGGGTGGAGACAGAACCTGCCCTCTGGCCATCGAGGCTGTGCCTCTTGGCCATACATGTCATGGTCTTGTTCATCAGACCTGCCCTGCCTGTCTGCTGGGAGGGCCCGCATGGAGCCTCTTGCCCAGCTGCAGACAAGGGAGGGTGACCGGCCCCACACTCCTATATGAAGGATGGATAGCTCTGGGCAGCTTTTTGGTTCTGGGGTCAGATTTGAATGTAAAACTGAAAAGTCCTAAATTTATTAAAGGCTTTCTTTTGGGGCTGGAATATGCAATAGATTTTCTATCCCTCTCAATTCCCTCTTAAAATTTAATACTGCCATAAAAATGATGGATAACAAATTATTCCAGGAAAAATGGTACTGAAAGACTCTTCTAACTGTTGAAGCAGAAGTACAGACTTGGCGAAGAAATAGACATGACCCAGAAAACTCACGAGGAAAGAGGAAATCGTGTACTTTGTGGAAACCATATCCACGTAATGTTGTTCCAGGCTGTAGAAAGCAACTATTGTTATTCCAGATACTGAAGCACAGAGTCTATTTTGTGCCGCTGGCGGTTTCATTAACATAGTAACACTCTGCCTTTCTAGAATTGGGTGAGCAGCCTTCCCTGTTTGGAACACTGCAGAGGGAGACTGAACCCCACAATTGATATCAGAAGGCCCCGTGTGGATGCCTCTTCAGGGTGCCTTCCACAGAGCTCTGCCAGCATGCTGAGGCTGCGGGGAAAAACCATGAAGCCTCATAAATATATACAATGATTGTGTGTACCCATAATCATTAGAAATAAAAATTTAAAAAAACACATAAAACCACAAGGGCTCTGATTGCTGGGTCTAGGACTTCCCCACTCCGACAGTGATGGTAGCAGAAACAAGGCCTGACAGCCAGACCCCAGGGCAGGCAGCAGGGAGGAAAACAGATTTAAAAATCGCACCAGACACTCATTTTCTACAGAAGTCTGCGTGTCGTTAATACATGGGCAAACAGCCCTTTGTTCCTTAGTAGGCCTTAAAGACACCACCCCATGGGAGCTTTCTAAAAAAGATAGTATTAAAAGACTATGATTCAGGCTGGGCACATTAGCACACACCTGTAATCTCAGCACTTTGGAAGGTCGAGGAGGGCAGATCACTTGAGTCTAGGAGTTTGAGACCAGCCTGGGCAACATAGCAAGACCTGATCTCTCTACAAAAATTAGCTGAGTATGGTGGCATACACCTCTGGTCTCAGCTACTCGGGAGGATCAGTCGGGCCCCGGAGGTTGAGGCTGCAGTGAGCTATGATCGCACCACTGTACTCTAGCCTGGGTGACAGTGAGACCCAGTCTCAAAAGCAAAACAAAACACCCCACAAAGTATATAATTCAGACTTAACATCCTGACTCTTGTTTTTACTCCAAGGCAATGAAGCAATGATGTGGACGATGCGTGTCCTAATCCGGAGCGCCTCCCAGGCTAGGAATCCAAGCCAGGTTATGGCTTAAATGGAGACCGATGGAGCTGCTAGCTGAGATCGCCCACATTGGCCTCTGCAGACTCCCTTGTTTTCCCTAATGTGTGTCAACACATCTATTAAGGGGAAAGGACTGCTCGGTATCAATGATTTCCACTTGGAAATGTCACCATGACAACTGAGGAGGTGCTGGAAGCAGGCACTTTGTTAATTCTGTCTTAACCCATCCCAGGCAACTTCAAAACTTTTTCTCTGGAGAGAAATAGGCTTATTTAGGAAAGGCGTCTCTCATTGATCCTCAGCTACATCCACTGAAGTGAATAATTTACTTCTTTGGCAGGTTTAGAAAATTAGATGCATACAATCTAATATCCCTTCTTTGTACATTTTCATGTGAAATCTTTTGGAGTGCTTTTTGATAGCCACCCCCTCGGGGACCTGGAAGTGGCACTGTCTGAATTCTGTTCTGTCGGTTCTGTGAGGGACAGATGCTCCATGTCATCCTGAGAGCCATCCTACCGCCTTCCTGCCCAGTCCTCTTCACTGGCACCTCCATTGGCCAACAGATCAAGTCTGCACACCGCAGCCTGGCTGCGAGGGTCCTTTTCATCCAGCCTCATTCATCAGTGTTCTTGTGAGCATCTACTCTGGGTTAGGCCCAGACCTCCTGGGTTAATCAGATTGAACAAAGGGGTGTAATAGAGAACCAAAGGGCCAGGTGCGGTGGCTCACGCCTGTAATCCCACCACTTTGGGAGGCCAAGGCAGGCAGATCACGAGGTCAGGAGATTGAGACCATCCTGGCTAGCACAGTGAAACCCTGTCTCTACTAAAAATACAAAAAATTAGCCACGCATGTTGGCGGGCGCCTGTAGTCCCAGCTGCTCGGTAGGCTGAGGCAGGAGAATGGCGTGAACCAGGGAGGCGGAGCTTGCAGTGAGACGAGATCACACCACTGCAGTCCAGCCTGGGCGACAGAGCGAGATTCCGTCTCAAAAAAAAAAAAAAGAGAACCAAAGTACTAAACTGGGAGTTTGTGGGGACATAGATCCCTGCTTTGCTTCTTGTGTGTGTTGGGGGAGGCTTTGTAGGGTGCTGAGCTTTCAATATCATATATCACATGATCCTGAGAACTCCCAGAGATGCTGATAGAGCATCAAAAACAGACTTTCAGCCAGGTGAGGGGGCCCATGCCTGTAATCCCAGCATCTTGGGAGGCTGAAGTGGTAGGATTGCTTGAGGCCAGGAGTTCAAGACCGTCCTGGGCATATAGCAAAATCCCATCCCTCAGTGTTAAAGGGTGACCACTATAAATGAGTAGAAATATAATATACAACTTCTAAATTAGTAGAGGGAAAAAGAGAGAGGAAGAAAACCTTGATCAATACAATAGAAGGCATAAAAGGAGAAGAAATATTTTTAAAAAGCAGTAAAAGTAAAAATCATGAATAAGATATTTTAAATAAATATTGAGATAGTTATTTAAATAAATGTAAATGGCCTAAATTTGCCAGTTAAAAGACAGTGATTTTTGAAAACTAAAATCCAACTATGTGGTATTCATGATTGACACACACACACACACACATATGGACACAGAAAGTTTTGAATTTTATAAATGGAAAGAAATACAATAGGAAAATCATGACTAAAGAAAGTTGCAATAGCTACACTGATATCAGACAAAATTGATTTTAAGCCAAAATGTATTAGTGTTAGGAGATCTCTACAGGATGATAAAATAAATAAGTCACTAGGGATATATGGCAGTTCTGAACGTATATGCACCTAAGAAGCTTGGCCTTACGGTATATTAGGTAAATGTTGCCAGAATTACAAGGACAGATTGACAAATCTGTAATCATTGTGGTAGATTTTATCTTACCTTTCTCATTAGTTGATAAGCCAACAAACAAAAAGTGAGAAGGCATAGAAGATTACAACAGTACAAAAACAAGCTTAATTGAACGGTTGTATATAGAAGTCTGCACCGGAAAACAGAGAATAACGTGAAGCATTTGTAAAAATTGAGCACATGGAAGGCCATAGCAATTCTCAACAAATTCCAGCAAATTGGGACTGATGTATATATATGTATATGTGTGTGTGTGTGTATATATATATATGTGTGTGTATATATATATATATATATACACACACACACACACACACACACACACATATATATATATATATGTTTTCCCATGGTGCATTTAAAATAGAAACCAGTAATACAAAGAGAACAACAATACCAAATCCCCTGCATTTGGACATTTTAAAATGCACTTTTTAAATAATTGAACAGTGTTTTGGTAGGTGATTAGGTATTTATTAAATAAATCTGGCAGATTGGAGTTCTGCAGGCCAGGGAAACTATGTGAGGACTGGTTTATCTCCTGCATTTCCTTCCACTTGTTCTCCCTCCCATTTTTCTTGTTTGTTCTCCTCCCTGACCTCCATTATTGGTCTCCGCATTTGTGATAGTTCGTTTGCTTTGACTGCATGTAACAGGTGGGGGAAAACAAACAACAACAGCAACAGCAACAGCAACAAAAAACAGTTAAAAAAGAATATCATCTCCCTGTGACAAGAGTGTAGAGGTAGACATCTGTGGGACTGTGAGATCATTGGTGGCACACATCTTGATGCTCTGATCCTCTTAATGTGCTACCTCATAGTCCATAAGGGCAGCTTGAGTTCCAGCCGTCATGTCAGTATCCCAGCTAGCAGGAAAGAGGAAGTGGTAAAGAAGGGCATCATGCCTTCTTCACTGAAGGATGCATCCTGAGTATTGCCTGTACTTCTGCCTGCGTATTATTGGCAAAATGTAATCACATGGCTGTTCTTAGCTGAAAAGGAGACTGGGCACATGACCACTTGTTCCTGGTGCCAATGGCTCAGCTAAAAATTGTGGATTCTCTTATTGAAGAAGAAGGGGAGAAAGAGTATTTGGTCGGAAGCTGGCAGACTTGGCCACATCATTCCACTGGCCATTCCCCAACTCTCTGTGTGCATTCACTACTCTTGTACATACTATCTCCTCTGCCTAGACATCTTTTCCTCTTTCCCTGGTGAGTGTGGACTCTTTCTGATGACTCAGTCTTCACCAGTATGTGAGTTCTGGCTTGGGATGTGACTTACTTGTGGCTAAGGGCAGTTTGTCCCTTTAACCTGTGATCCCAGGTTGCTGTGGCTCCAGAGTTGTCTGCAGTACTTATCTTTCCCCAAGGCCTGGTAGCAAGCCCTCCCGCCCTATTGGAAGTGGTTTCTTATTGCTTCGGTTCTGCTGGGGGGTCTGAAAGGTCTGTGTTCAAGTTCCGGCTCTATGCCCGGTGACCTTTAGTTGCACATTGAGTATTTATGGTGCTCTTTCTATGTGCCTGGAGCTGTTGTAAGGAGCCCAGCAATGAGGTGCTCACACTCTGGTGGGGAGTGAGACAAGTGAAGAGGCAGTCGCACTGCAGAGCACCGAAGGCTGCGGTGGCAGAAGCACGGGGACCATGGGATCAGTGAGCAGGGCCATTGGGCTTAGTCTGAGGGGTCAGAGAAGGCTTTCTGGGATAAAGCTCATTTTGTGGCTTATTTTCCTGAACCTGTGTCTTCATTTTTAAAATGGGATAGGAATGCCTGTGCGCCATGATTTGAAAAGGTTAAAAGGATTTGCACAGAACTTGGCCCACAGTCTGTACTCAGTACCTCACGGTTTTCTTTTTCTGCTCTCCTAATTTGCGCTCCTTCCTGGAATGGTTGTCTCAGTGTTGCCTTGCCTTGCCCAGCAGCATCTTGTATTTAGCACTTGAAATTTACAGAACTTGGTCATACATGCCCATCTGTTACAGCAGTGTTCTGGATCTCCATGCCAGGCCCATCCACGGAGTTGCTGTGTTTGGTCCCCCTAGACACCCTTGAGGGGGTAGAAAGTGTGATTTCAGGTTTTGTGGATGAGCAGGCTATCACTTGGTAAAAGTATGTGGCAGTGCCGTGGAGAGAAACAGGGAGAAGCCTGCTCTCCTGGCTCTGAGCTCACTTCTCTTCCCTCTGCCCTTGGTCTTTGTGTCACCTCTCTCCCTGGATGGACGTGAGTATGTTTCAATCTATACTGTAAGATTTTTGCTTTCAAAATAAATGTAGAAAAAGGGTGAGAATTGCAATCGTGTATGCAAGTGTGCCCCCTCCCCTCCCCGGAGAGCTAAGACAGGTGAGAATGGCTGGCATGGAACAGCTCCATGCCCCCCGCTCCCTTACCTGTAAGACACTGCTGGTGGTAGGATCCACTTCATGAGACCATTGTGAGGAGTAAACCAAATGGAATAGTGAATGTAACGCGCTTAGCACAGTTGTGGCACGCAGTGCCGTGTCACAGGCCAGAGCTGTGGCGTGTAGTTGCTATCAGTGTGATTCTTACCATCGAGGTTTAGGGAACCTACCACCCCATATACAATCCTTTTGTTGCACCCTTTTTTGCTGATCATCCAGTGTCTGCTGCACTACCTGTGGTGACAGTGAACCCATTACTCACAAGGCAGCCTCTTCCATTATTAATTGGTTCTAGTTAAGAAGGCTTTCCTTACATTCATCTAAGGTCTATCACATGGTAGGAATGCTCCCACGGAGACTGGTTTTCTCCTCAGGAGCTGCTGTAGTATGATAGAGAGTATTGGGGTGGAAAGGCTCACAGAAGGACGTGGACCGATTCCATCAGTTTACAGAGCTCTCAGCTACAGTGTCCTCAACTGTGCAGAGCTTCTCTCTTTGCCCTCTCTAAACACCCTGTATATATACGAACAAGAGAGCGCTACTTTACGTGGCTTGGGGCTTGTTGTCATTGAGTGGGTAAGTGAGAATGTAGAGCAGACTTTTTTTTTTTTTTTTTTTTGAGACAAGGTCTTACTCTGTCACCCAGGCTGGTGTGCAGTGGCACGATCTTGGCTCACTGCAACTTCCACCTCCCAGGTTCAAGCAATTCTCCTGTCTCAGCCTTCCTAGTTACTGGGATTACAGTCACCTGCCAGCATGCCCAGCTAACTTTTGTATTTTTAGTAGAGATGGGGTTTCACCATATTGGCCAGGCTGGTGTTGAACTCCTGACCTCAGGTGATCCACTTGCCTTGGCCTCCCAAAGTACTGGGATTACAGACTTGAGCCACCGTGCCCAGCCGGGACAGACATCTTGATAAAGAAAAATTGAAGTTTCATTTCTAGTAGGTTGGTGAAATAGCTACCTTCCCATGGAAAAGAAATAAAACTGCTAGAAAATAGCATTTATAATAGCACAGGGAAGGGGTAAATGGAAGTAAACTCTTGTAAGGTTCTTATATTTAAGTGGTGCAAAGTAACTGAAGATAAATTCAGATGAGGTAAGGATGTATTCTATAAACCCTAGAGCGACCACTAGCAAAATAAAACATAGGTATAAAATCCTAGTAGAGAAGATAAAATGGAGTACTGCAAGATATTTGATTGATCCGAAAGAGTCTGGACATGTAGGAAAAAAGAGGAGTACAGAAGAGAACATCAAAAGCAACAGCAATATAGTAGACTTACACTTAATCATATTAACAGTTATGTTAGATATAAATGGATTAAATACTTCAATTAAAAGATAGATTGTAAGAGTGAATAGACAAGCAAGATCCAACTATGTGCTGTTTGCAGATGAAGCACTTTACGTGTAATAACATGGATAGAAAAAATGATTTAAAAAAGGTGTATCAATGCAAATACTAGTCAGTAGAAGGCTGGCTACATTAATATCAAATTAGGGAGACTGCAAGACATACTTTGGCATACTACCACAGCTAAAGAAGGACTTTTTTCTTTTTTAATGATAAAAGATCTGTTAACCAAAAACGTATAAACTACCCTAAATGTGTTAACAGGACTTCTAATTACATGAAGCACAAATGGACAGACTTGAAGGGAGTAGATAAACTAGTTATAACCAGAGATTTTTACTTTTGTTTCTCAGTCATTGATGGCATGAAGAGACCAAAAATCAGTAAAAGTATATTTGATTTAAATAAAATTATGAAGTAGCTTGCTTGATCTCATTGACATTTATAGAATACTACATTCAACAATGGCAGATACCCAACAACATTCTTTGCAAGTACTCAGTAACGAATCACCATGATTTCCTGGGCCGTAAGACAAGGATCAAAGTTATATGGAGTATGTTATCTAACTCTAATAGAATTAAGTTAGAAATTAATCAGAAAGATAAAAATCTCAAAAATTTTGAAACTTAAGCAGCATGCTTTTAAATAATCCGCGATTCAAAGAAGTCAAAGGGAAAAGAGATTTTTTTTTAACCGAATGGATTATAAAAATGTAACCTTTGAATTTGTGGGTTATAGCTAAAGCAGTGCTTGGGGAGCTAACCATATACCTGTAAAAATATATATATATATATATGAATGAAAAGAAGAAGGACTTAAAATCAGGAATTTTAGTTTTTACCTTCAGAAGCCAGTAAAAGAAGAGGAAATTAAACCCAAAGGAAGTAGAGGGAAGGAAATGAAAATGAAAAGAACAGAAATCAGTGAAATAGAAAATGGGCAAGCAATGGAGGAGATCAACAAAATCAAAAAATCAGTAACATTGAAACATCTTGGCCGGGCATGGTGGCTCACGCCTGTAATCCCAGCACTTTGGGAGGCCGAGGTGGGTGGATCACGAGGTCAGGAGATCGAGACCAGCCTGACCAACATGGAGAAACCCTGTCTCTACTAAAAATACAATATTAGCTGGGCGTGATGGCGCATGCCTGTAATCCCAGCTACTAGGGAGGCTGAGGCAGGAGAATTGCTTGAACCTGGGAGGCGAAGGTTGCGGTGAGCCGAAATTGTGCCATTGCACTCCAGCCTGGGCAACAAGAGCGAAACTCCGTCTCAAAAAAAAAAAAAAAAAAAAAATGACAGTACACACTGAGTAGCATTTGTTCTAGGCTTGCAAGGTTGCTTTACCCTTCCAAAATCTACCCATGTGACTGACCACGTTAACAGAATAAAGGGGAAAACCATATGACCATGTCAATAGATGCAGAAATAGCATTTGACAAAATTCAGCACCCGCCGTGGTAGAAACGCTCCATAAACTAGGAGTAGAAGGGCACTTCCGTGTTGAAAGACACTCATAGAGTCTCACATCTTACCTCATAATTAGTGGTGAAGTTATCAAATGCTTTTCCCCCTAAGGTGAGAACCAGGCAAGAATTCTGCTCTCACTACTTCTATTCAGTATTGCTCTGGGGAGTTTAGCCGGGGCCTCCAGTCACGAAAGTGAAATAAAAGACATGAGGATTGACAAGGAAAAAGCTCAATTGTCCTTTGGATTATATAGATAGAAAAAATTTAAGAATCTACCAGAAAAAGTGGATGCAGGATACAAGGTTAATACAGAAAAATCAAATGTATTTCTGTATATTAGCAATAAACAATTAGAAAATAAAATTTAGAAGTTGATATCATTTTATAACAACATTAAAAATCCTAAAAATACTTAGGGATAAATTTAAAACTACTCAAGATCTTTACACTAAAAACTGCAAGACAGTGCTGAGAGAAATAGAAAAAGATCTAAACATATGGTGAGATATACCATGTTTTATGAGTACAAAGACTTAACACTGTTAAAATATTAATTGACGGCCAGGCATGGTCGCTCATGCTTGTAATCCCAGCACTTTGGGAGGCCGAGGCGGGTGGATCACCTGAGGTCAGGAGTTCAAGACCAGCCTGGCCAAGGTGGTGAAACCCCGTCTCTACTAAAAATACAAAAATTAGCCAGGCGTGGTGACGCATGCCTGTAGTCCCAGCTGCTTGGGAGGCTGAGGCAGAAGAATCGCTTGAACCCAGGAGGTGGAGGTTGCAGTGAGCCAAGATCACGCCACTGCACTCCAGCCTGGGCGACAGAGCAAGGCTCCATCTCAAAAATAAAAAAAAAATTAACTGTCCGCAAACTGATTTTTAAAGTCAGTGAAATCCTAATCAGATTCCTACTAACCTTTATTATAGACACAAATCAATTTATTCTAAAATTTATGTGGAAATGCAAAGGATTCAAGTTAATAAAATTTACAGAGTTTTTTAAAAGAACAACTAAGTTTGAGAACTTCTTGATTTTAGGACTTCCTACAGAGCGGCAGTTATCAGGACAGCGTGGCATTGACATAAGGATAGATAATAGAATAATAGAATCGAGTAGAGATCTGAATAGTCAAAGGACAGACAGGGAGGGTATATTTATAATACATACATCTGACAAAGTACCCATATCCAGGATATATAAAAACTCCTATAGCTAACATTACAAATAGCCCACTTTAAAAGTGGACAGAAGGTTCAGATAGACACTGCACAGCAGAAGATATTCTGATGGCCAACAAACACTTGAAAAAGTACTCAACCTTATTAGTCATCAAGGAAATTCAAATTAAAACCACAAACAAGGTACTACTACACGCCCTCCTTAATGGCTAAAAATGAAAGAACTGACAACACTAAGTGCTGACAAGTATGTGGCTCAGCCAGAAGCCCCAGGCACAGCTGATGGGAATGTTAAGTGGTACCACCACTTTGGAAAACTGGCACTTTCTTATAAAACTAAACAAACTCCATTCCTAGGTATGTGCATGAGAACTGAACATTTATGTCCACAAAAAAGTACTTGTACCAGAATGTTCATAGCAGCTTTATTCATACCAGCCAAAACCTGGAAACAATGCAAATATATGTCAGCAAGGGAATGGATTAACAAATTCATACCGAGCAGTGCTCTTCAATGACAACGTGGATGAATCTCAGAAACATTTTAACCAGCAAGAGAAAACTGCAAGAGAAAACATACCGCCTGATTTCACTTACGCTAAGTTCTAGAACTGACGAAAACTAATCAAGAGTAATAGAAATCAAAATGGTGGTTTCCTCTGGTTAGCCCTGGGTAGTGCGGGATTGCTGGCAGAAGGACATTTATATATCTTGATAGGGATGTGGATTCCACTGGTATATTCAATTGCAAGACTCAGCAAATAGTTTGCTTAGATCTCTGTGTTTTAAATTATACATCCGAAAAAAACTATTAAAATCATGTAAAATGTTGAAATCTAGAAATACTTAGAAGACACACACACACACACACACACACACACACACACGAGTCAAAACATGAACCCAAAGTAAGTGGCATCCTCGTCCTGTTTTCCAAATCTGGTTAACCTGAGCTTCCGTGGGCGAGACCATCTCAAGTACTTGGGACAAAAGGAAATGGTCACGGTTCTCCCCAGGTAGTGAGGCTGAGGGGAGAACCCTCTAAATAAAGCCGTCAGCTCAGAGGGCGCCGTCCTCAGTGAGGCTGCGTTGGGAGCAACTCCTGCCCAGCCCCAGGGGAGGCTCCTTACCCTTGTGCTGAGCTCTGTGAATCTGTCTGTGAGTGAGGCTTTGGCAGACCGTTTGCTTAAGGGTGAAAGATAAATTGTCATCTTAGGGAGGTAGGGTAGTAAGAACCATCCCACACACTGGTGGGAAGATATTCAAATGGCCATCAAACACTTGAAGAAGTACTCAACATTACTCATCAAGGGTATATTAAAACCACAGTGAGATACTACTGCACGCCCACCAGAATGGCTGACAACGAAAGGATTGACAACTCTAAATGCTAGCAAATGTGTAGCGCAGCCAGAAGCCCCAGGCATGCGGAAATGCAAAGGATTCAAGTTAATAAAATTTACAAAATTTTGTGAATTTTGTAAGAGGCAAAATAGGAGTGATAGTATTTGGATTTACCAGTGTACACTGTGAAAATCAACTGCAAAAAAGAATTTGGCTTCACCGGGGAGAGTTGATGAGGTGCATTCTCTACGATCCAGGTATTCCACACTTAAGTCATACGCAGTCAGGCTGCCCTGTCTAGTATGGTGGCCATTAGCCACATGCAGTTGTTTAAATGAATAGATTGAAACATGACATTTCTCAGTCACACTCGTCACAGTTGAGGTACTGCAGACCCATCTGTGGCCGGCGGCTACAGTATTGGGCAGCACAGATGTAGACATTCCCATCATTGCAGAATTCTTCCCGAGGTGCCACTTGAGAGCACTGATTCTCCAGGGGTGACGACTGGACCGGCAGCTTCCGCATCAGCAGGATGTTGCTGGGTGCATCAACAGGTTGCTGCATTTCTGTTAGAAATGCAGATTCATGAGTCTCATTCCTGAGTGATCTGCGGGGTCAGAGATGCAGGAGGCGGGGCCCAGCAGGCTGTGCTTAACGAGCCCTCCAGGTGGTTCTGGAGCACGCAGCAGTTGAGAGCCACTGCTCTAGGGGGACTCTTGAAAATGTGCACGCGGATTCCTGCAGTCCTGATTTTTAATAGCAAGAAAGGAGCAGAACCTAAGTATTCAGCAACAGAATGGATAAACTGTGGAGTATTGTTGGGGAAATGAAAATTAATAATAGTCTGCAGCTACACGAAGTAATGTGAATGTATGAAAAGTCCCTGATGAATACATAGTTTATGCTTATCTTTATCTAAAATTCAAAACCAGAAGAAAACAAGTATGGTACAAAGATAGAGAAAAGTGAGGAAATGATAAATGCACAATTAAGGACAGTGTTTACCTTGAAAGGATTAGAATCTCATGGAAATGGCTGGCTTCAGGGGAAGTTACCAATCCAGAGGTTCATTTTCTCCTTAAACAATAGATGGTAACTCTAAGCGTTCTTGGACTATTGGCATTCTTTTACTTTCATATTAAAAAAATATTTTGAGGCCAGGCATGGTGGCTCACACCTGTAATCCCAGCACTTTGGGAGGCTAAGGCAGGCGGATCGCCTGAAGGTCAGGAGTTTGAGACCAGCCTGGCCAACATGATGAAACTCCGTCTCTACTGAAAATACAAAAATTAGCCGGATATGGTGGCGTGTGCCTGTAATTCCAGCAACACAGAGGCTGAGGCATGAGAATTGCTTGAACCCAGGAGGCGGAGGTTGCAGTGAGCTGAGATCATGCCACTGCACTTTAGCCTGGGTGATAGAGCAAGACTCTGTCTTATAAATATATACATATATTGATATTAACTCAATATTTAAACCATTTAAAACTATAAAAATATCAGTTTTTGGTTGATCATGAATTTTTTCCAGAAAGTAACATAGAGCACCAAAAATATTCCTTTATCTATGGATTAGATAAATATTTTATCCATGCAGTCTTACAGTTGCCAATTTTTGCTTGAATTTTCCATCTTAGCATTTATTATTAGGCATGGAAGGATTAGAAGTAAAATGCTGGGCAGAGCTCTCCCAATCAAACTTGAGCTATAGGCAAAATAGGAGTGATAGTATTCAGATTAAAAAATGACTAAGGAAAATTGCATTAAGTTAATTACATAGAGCCATTTTATTGTGGTAAAACAATATTAAATATATATGTCAGAAGTCGTCAAGATAAGAAAACAGAAAGCCAAAATCTGATCGAAAGATTACAGTTGCAATAGAGAACTTTAATTCTTTCTTATCAGTGTGTGAGTTATCAAGTAGAAAAAAAAGGGCCAAGGATTCAAATAATATAGTTTTATGGTCAAATTAATATTTGTTCACCGGGAATCCAGAGATGGGAGAATAGCTAGACTTTTTAGAAGAAATCACACTACCATCTACATTCATGCACACAGATGCACTTGCTGTCCACCCATACGTACATGTGCACTGATGAATGTGCAGACCAGATTAAATTGTGATGTAAACAGTTAAGTTAAAACCATGTGCTTAGATTAAGCATTTGAAGCATGCCAGTGCCCACTAGAATCAAGAATTTAGTAGAATGTGTGAAATGTCAGTTGACTGTGGTGTCAGGACGTGTCCATTGGGCACTGTAGCCCAGCGCTCTTCTGGGAGCGCTGTGGCTCCCATGTGTACCATTTTCTACCGTAAATTAAAACTGTAGCCATGGCTGGCCGAGCGCGGTGGCTCATGCCTGTAATCCCAGCACTTTGGGAGGCTGAGGTGGGCGGATCATCTGAGGTCGGGAGTTTGAGATCAGCCTGGAGAAACCCCGTCTCTACTAAAAACACAAAATTAGCCGGGCGTGGTGGCAGGCGCCTGTAATCCCAGCTAGTCAGGAGGCTGAGGCAGGAGAATCGCTTGAACCTGGGAGGCGGAGGTTGCGGTGAGCTGAGATCGCGCCATTGCACTCCAGCCTGGGCGACAAGAGTGAAACCCCATCTCAAACAAACAAACAAACAAACAAACTAAAAACAAACCGTAGCCTTAATCTGGGTAAAGGGTCCAGGGGCATTGCTTTGTGTTGTTTCTTACAACTACATATGAAGCTACAATTATTTCGGGATAAAAGTTTAATAAAGTGTTCTCCTCCCCCTATATACTAACAGTGTATACGCGATAGTATTTTATCATAGGTAATATTATCTAATGCCCAACAGCAGAGAGCCGTCAGCCTATGGGGACTTTCCTCGTACGGTGAGAGGAAAGGAGGGCAGACAGCCGGGAGGGGAGCACAGTGCGGCAGCAGGGCGGACACAGGGACCCAGCAAGAATGAGCACAGACGGGTGGTTCACACACTCTAGCAAGTAGCATATGCCTGGACAACTGTTGGCCCAGGAGCCATCCAAAAGATTAGTTGGAGAAAAGAAAAAATGCTGTATCTACAGGCCTGTTCATCGTAGCACTGTTTGCAGTAGCAAAAGATAGATATCCATCAATGTGAAACTGGCTGAATAAGCTGTTCTACACCTGCCACCCCGCAACTGGAGTTCTGCACGGGGCTGAAAGGAATGTGGGTGCTCCGTCTGCAGCTAGTGAGCTCTTGGTTGCCTCACTGTTTACTGGAGGTGCAAGGTGCAGAACTGTGTGTGTCATATCCCATCACTTACCTGTTGATTGGTTGGCAGAGTATGAGCGTACACGCATACGCGCATGCACACAAACTTTCCTATTTGCTTATATTACAAACCAAACAAAATTAAAGAATAAACCAGAAACCAATGAAAAAGGGTTATAGTCTATATGGGGAAGATGAGATACAAAGGGTCAGATCTGAAGCCTGACTTCTCTTCTCTGAATGTACCTTGTTTTATAGTTTTTTACTTTGAATCATGTATTGCTTTACATAATTATAAAGCCAAACTAAGCCCAAATCAGAAAGCTATTCTTAAAAAGCAAGAACAAAATCAAATGAAAAGAGAACCTAAACTATGTGTCAAGTCGGTACTTTAATCACACAGAGAAAAATGACTTCAAACAGACTTTGAAGCAATTTGAATGTACAGCCCCAGTAGGATATATCTTAAGCAAAAAAGAATTGCAAAAGTTCTCAAACTTCAGATTGTTGGTAATATTATTAGTGCTGTTTGAAACTATGACTTATATACCTACTTACTGAAATACATATTTGCACATATATCTATTAAGACAAAGCAGATAAGTAATTATGATAATGTTAGAGGAACCACAAATTCTAACAAATTCTAACATAAAAGAGAATCAAGCATAAAATTAAAGAAGTAAAACACCCATAAGCTTAAATATGAATTAAGGTTCAATATAGCCAGGCGTGGTGGCTCATGCCTGTAATCCCAGCACTTTAGAAGGCTGAGGCGGGCGGATCACGAGGTCAGAAGATCAAGACCATCCTGGTTAACACAGTGAAACCCCATCTCTACTAAAAATACAAAATTAGCCAGGCGTGGTGGCGGGCGCCTGTAGTTCCAGCTACTTGGGAGGCTGAGGCAGGAGAATGGCGAGAACCCGGGAGGCAGAGGTTGCAGTGAGCCAAGATTGCGCCACTGCACTCCAGCCTGGGCAACAGAGCAAGACTCCATCTCAAATAAAAAATAATAATAATAATAATAAATTTAAAAAAGATTCAATATGAACTGTTGGTGGATTCTGCCCTTTGAAAAAATAACCTCTTATCTTCTGGCTGTGACCACTGAAAATTATTGGACCCAGTTATCAACCCCAGTGGAAATGAGCACCCTGCGGAGTCCTTAAGCCGTTTCCCATGAAAAGAAACCAAGGCTCCTTAGAGAAATGTTTGATGCCAGAAAATGTTTAAGATGAATCTGGAACATCTAGTCGTACAGAAAGCAAGGAACTTCTCATAGACTCTTGGGTCATGCCAAGAGCCCAATTTAAAGGGACCCTCTCTAGCCAAAAATAGGAAAACAAAGCATCAGAAAGAATTATGATGGCAGTTTATTAGAACATACCAAGAATGTTAAAGTCTATGAATTCATAATAACTTCTAAGTAAAGCCCTTACTAGTTCACCCGTGAAGGTTGCTAGGGCACCAACTGGTATATAAAAGGAAAGAGTCAAGAAAGTATTCTATTTTCCTGCTAATCAAATTTTTTTTTTTGACGGCAAGTTATTCCTTATGGAAGAACTGTGGCTGTAAATGGAGAGGCAGTGAAAGAATTGCAGTGTCACCCTAATGAAATGAGTCAAGCCAGTGCTCACCAGTAGCATTCAGAACCACGAGAGGGAGCTTGCAGGGGACTTGGTGATGGATGGTTCTGCCTGGTAACACCTGGACCTGCCGATCAATTGCAGCATCACCAGGAAGGAGACCCCAGACATTTCACACCTTCTGATGCGGTGAAATGTGAAGGCCACAGCTCCAACAGCGAAGCGTTCTCGCACACACACAGATCCCATCTGCATAGGATCCAGCCTTTAGACCGCAGTCCTGCTTGCAGGGAGTACCAGGGAAGGGGGAAACGGATGGAACTCAGCAGGGGAATAAACTAGCCAGAACTAGAGTGTGAAACATCCCACATGGCCATGACCAGATTGCTTCCACAAAAGCAGGACAGAGAAGCAAGAAAGAGGAGGGAATTCGAGATTTTAAATGAGTAAGAGAGTTGGCTCTCAGATGCATTGTGTATGTGTCATTTGGAGACTGATGAGAACAAAGTGACAGCAGAAAGACACATGATTGGGAGGCATGCAGGATCACATTAAGGAATCATGGTTAATTGTTTTGATGTAATAATAGGCTTGTGATTATGTGTCTAAGTTGTTGTCTCTGAGAGAAGCTGTGAAATGTGATGTCTGGGATTTGCTTTAGAATAACCTAGCAGCATGCAGGCAGAGCGGGGGTCGGTAATAAATGAAATGGCATTGGCCAAATATTGATCATTGTGGATCTTGAGTGATGGATGCAGGGCTGTCTTTCTACTATGCTTTTTACTTTGGGGAATTCTTGAAAAGTCTTATTTGAAAATGGTTTTACACATCACACCACACGTAGACGTACACACAGTCCATGCACACAGACATGTGCGCACAAAGGCGGAAAGCCTGGCCTGGGTGAGCTCGTGTGGGAGGAGTGAGGCCGGCAGGGTGGGAGGTGTCACTCTAGTCACCAGAGTGGGAAGCTGGAGGTGACAAGGGGACAGTTTGACTGTCTTAAAGATCCTGTCTTGTTTCTTATTGTTGTGCAGAACCTGTATAATTTTCCTTGTTTTAGATCGTAAGAAATTCTTCTCACTGTTCCATTTTCTGTAAAATCTAAGAATTCCCTGGTTAATGGTTATTGGGTGAATGTGGATTCTTTTTGTTCAAATTGGTTCAATAAGACTTTTATTCACAAGTCTTATTCACAGCCCAACTTACAAGGGGACAGGTTGAAGTGTTTGCTCAAGGTTGGTGGTGGGAGGTCCTTGTAAATGCTCAGTCATCAGTGATAAGCAGAGGTCAGAACAGCCCAGTGTGAAGCCTCCGGGGATGTGAACAGTCCGGAACTTTGGCGTGGCATTCGCTCACCCTCTGGATGTCTGTATCATTTCCCCGGGCCCCGCCGTGCGCAGCGGTCCCGTGCTAGGTCTGTGGGGTCCCAGAGGGGTGGGGGGGCGGTCCTCATCTCTAGAAGCTTATACCCCAGCAAAGTGGTTCTCCAGCTCCACCTCACCTGGGAATCATCTTGGGAGCCTGTGAAAGATGAAGATTCCGGGGCTTGCCACCCATTCATGCTAGGAAAGGCCAGCATCCGCCAGCTCATGTCTCCACCCGGCACACACTGAGCTGGGCAGGAATGACAAGGATATAGGCACAGGAGACCCAGTCCCAGCCCAGGGAGCGCTCAGACAGACGGGGCGTCTTGGAGGTGCATAGACATTTCTGCCTGGATGCCACTCCAGGGTGGATGTGCTCGTCCCCTACTGCCACTCTGCCCCGTGTTCCAGCAGCCGAGTAACTTCGGGAAATCCCAGTCAGTGCTGTCAGAAACGCAACATGCATGCCCTTTACTGTCCTGTTTAGAAAATGAGCACCTGTGTCCCCTCCAGGTGGATGCTGGGCCTGCAGAAGCTCTCCTGGGGGTGTCCGGTGGTGGGTCCTGGTAGCCACAGCCTCTGCTTCCTCAGCGTCCCCTTCGTTTGCTTGCTCCAGGTCTGGGTCGGTTGCAGTTGACAGTAGCGGGGAGGGGGTGGCTGCGTGTTGATAGAGACAGGCACTAGAAGTCATCTTTGGGGGAGTGGCCTCGCAGAGGGGGTGGCTGCTTGTTGATAGAGACGGGCACGAGAAATCGTCTTTGGTGGGGAGTGGCCTCGCGGAGGGGGTGGCTGCTTGTTGATAGAGACGGGCACGAGAAGTCGTCTTTGGGGGGAGTGGCCTCGCAGAGGGGTTGTTGATAGAGACAGGCAGGAGAAGTCGTCTTTGGGGGGGTGTGGCCTCACGGAGGGGGTGGCTGCGTGTTGATAGAGACAGGCACGAGAAGTTGTCTTTGGTGGGGAGTGGCCTCGCAGAGGGGGTGGCTGCTTGTTGATAGAGACAGGCATGAGAAGTCGTCTTTGGGGGGAGTGGCCTCGCAGAGGGGGTGGCTGCTTGTTGATAGAGACAGGCACGAGAAGTCATCTTTGGTGGGGAGTGGCCTCGGGGAGGGGGTGACTGCTTGTTGATAGAGACGGGCACGAGAAGTTGGTGGGGAGTGGCCTCGCGGAGGGGGTGGCTGCGTGTTGATAGAGACAGGCAGGAGAAGTCATCTTTGGTGGGGAGTGGCCTCGCAGAGGTTGTGGCTGCTTGTTGATAGAGACAGGCACGAGAAGTCGTCTTTGGGTGGCTGCGTGTTGATAGAGACAGGCACTAGAAGTCGTCTTTGGGGGGAGTGGCCTCGCAGAGGGGTTGTTGATAGAGACAGGCACGAGAAGTCGTCTTTGGTGGGGAGTGGCCTCGCGGAGGGGGTGGCTGCGTGTTGATAGAGACAGGCACGAGAAGTCGTCTTTGCTGGGGAGTGGCCTCGTGGAGGGGGTGGCTGCTTGTTGATAGAGACAGGCAGGAGAAGTCGTCTTTGGGGGGGTGTGGCCTTGCGGAGGGGGTGGCTGCGTGTTGATAGAGACAGGCACGATAAGTCGTCTTTCGGGGAGTGGCCTCGCTGAGCTTCTTCTCAGGTCCTGTGCACCTGGCAGGCTGCTTCAGCCTTCACAAAGCAGTGCTCTTGAACTGAGGACCTCACAGGTCTGGGTCTCAGAGGTCCTGAGACCTTTAGAGTTTATCCAGCTGGACTCTTCCTTTTTCCAGCTGAGGAAACTGAGCTTCATTTGCACCTAAGCTGCCTGTCTGTTTTGAGGAATTTTCAGTTTAGTGTTCACAGTGAGACAGGTATTAACACACCGTAGGCTTCACCATTCTCTTAATCACCTGTTTTGGGTACAGAGCTCTGTGATATGGTGATATGCACTCAGTGTCATCTCTAATTCTTACCATCATTTGTACTGGAAAGCGTGTACTCGTGTACTGGACATCATGATTGCCGTCTTACAGATGAGCTGTTGGAAGCTGAGGCAGGGACTTCAGTTTGTCCTGCACCATACAGGGACCATATGGGGTGGGAGTTGTGGGCCAGGCCTGAGTTCAGTGCCCCTGCTCTTTCCACAAGAACAGAAGAGGGCACGCTGTGTACCTGTGTCTCAGCTGTGCACTGGAGGGATGTCGGAGCAGGGCGCCTTACCCTGGCCTCAGGAGTCCCTGTGGGGAAGCGAGTACCTAGAGGGATGCACTGTGCGTGGGTGTCCTGATAGATTGCAGGGGGAATACAGCCCCAGAGCACAGGACAGAGAGGTATGGAGGGAGCCCGCAGCAGCCCAGAGTGTCTCAGTGAAGAGGGACAGGACTCACCATAAGGGATGGGGCCTTGGGTTGGTGGTGGCGGAAGAAGGCACTTCCCAGGCTGGGAGAGCAGGAATGAGTCCCAGGAGAGAGTGAACGAGGATGCCCAGGAGTGGAAACTGGAGTGGAGGGGCTTGGTGGGCACCTTGCATGCATGCCCTGGGAGCAGACTGCAGGCTGCACACTGGTGTGCACAGGGGTGAGCCCGTGTGTATGTCTGTGTGGCTGATGCAGACCTGTGAGCCTCAGCCTGTGGACATGCCCACCGGCGGGCCTCACAAGTCATTGCAGGGCTGGGGACAGAACGTGGGTCGCTCACTGAGAGCTGCCCCACACTTACTCCTTCTCTGACCCCTATGCTCTTTTAGCTAAGTTCAGTCTACAGAGAGAGTTGAGGCTTTGACGTATTAACTGGTGTGATGTCATTTCTTGCTTCAAAGAAAAAATAATCAGGGCTCACAGTGGTTCTCTTCCCTTTGAATTTGCCAAGAACATCCTTGACAAAAATTAAGAAAACAGCGAAGTTCATCAGTTTGGACAGGATAGCAAAAGTACCTTTAGAGTGGTGCTCACAGACCACATGGTGTTACAGCATTTTCTAGAAATGCTGAGTCATCAGACATGGAATGTTGAGATTTGGGAAATGGGAGGAGGAGCATCGAGGGTGGCTGAGGTTAGCAGCAGAAAGTTAATCCTTCTTGCAACTTAGTGGCAGCTCTGGCCCCCACAGTCTACTTGAGCTTGTATAATTCATGAAGTTTTGACAGAGCAGCATTGAAAGGATGTCTTTGATTTCATCCATAAAGGAGATAGGCGTGTGCAGGCGGTGCGGTACTTGTGACGGGAGCTTGTGAAGTGAGCCGCCTCCCTGATGTGTCTTGGCGGCCAGCAGGCCCTGTGATCCTGCGCCGAGTCTCCTGTGGTCTCCTCTAAGCACCTGCTGGTGACCTTGGATCTCTCCTCAGGCCCTTGCTAAAATATGTAAATCAAGGTCATTTTTTTTGAGTTTGATTCTTAGCTAGTTTTTGCTGGTGTGCATTTTTCTGGTTTAAGGATCCTTGCCTCCCTGCAGGGCCAGCAGCAGCAAAGGATGAGAGAGAGCAGGTTGGGGGAGGGGGCTGCCTTGTTCACTCTCCCAACTCTCAGCTGCCCATCGGAAAGGCTGGCTAGACCATTCCTCATCTGTGAGCCCTAGGAGTTCCCGGCTTCCCAGTGCATGTTGATTTTTCATTAATAAATTGAATATTTAAACCAGTCAATTGGTATATAAAAGGACCTAGGAACACAGCCCTGGGAAACGCCTTTCAAATTTGAACATGAAAACGATCTGTCATCACTGAGCACATCATTGATGACAGATGCAGTCATCACTGTAATGGTTAATTTATACGTCAACTTGGCGGAATCACCATTGCCAGATATTTGGTCAAACATTATTCTGGATGTCTCTCCGAAGGTGTTTTTTGGTTGAGGTTGTTACAGAAACACCAGGGGTTCTGTCTGGGTCCTGCTGCTCACTGCACAGAAAGCCAATCCCCAAGACAACAATTATTCCCAAGGAAGAAGGCTTTAATTGGGTGCTGCAGCCCAGGAGGTGGGAACTCAGTCTTAAATGCATCTCCCTGACTGACTAAAACATAGCAGGGACGAAAAGTAATGATGTATGGGAAAACAGGGAGGGGTAAGGAAGCAGTCAAGATGAATGAGGGGCTTGGCATCTAGCTGTCTGGATGCTATAAGCTGGTAGTTTCAGTTCTTTGATACTTTTTGAGAGGCTGGTATCTCATTGTCCGGATCTGGTGAGTTTCAGTCCTTTGATACTTTTTGAGAAGCTGGCAAGTCCTTTCCTGAGGAAGGAACTCAGATAAAACAAATGTTAAGTTTTAAGCTTTAAGATCAGAAGGGTCAGTTTCTAAGTTTGTCAAAAAAATGGTCTGTGGGACGATTGGGTGGGTTTCAAGGCTAACATTTAAGTCAGGGGACTTTGCATAAAGCGAAGGGTGACCCTCCATAATGTGCGTGGGTCTCATCCCATCCGTTGAAGGCCTTCATAGACAGAGACTGGCCTCTCCCAAGCAAGAAGGAATGCTGCCTGCTTTTGGGTGGACTTAAACTGCAGCTCTTCCCTGAGTCTCTAGCCTGCCTCCTACCCCACCAGATTTTGTTCTCATCAAGCCTCTACAATGGCATGAGCCAAGTCCCTAAGATAAATGCCCTCTGTCTATTTATATACATGTATATGTACATACGTCCTGTCGGTTCTGTTTCTCTGGAGAACCATGACTGATACATCAACCAAAGAATAAATATCCATTGGGAATTTTAAAAGTTCAGTATAGTTTATGTCTTTCTCTTATACTATATGGCTTTAAAAGGCTTATTTCAGTTAGAGAGTGTTCATACATTGGACCAGAATCCCAGGACCAAGGGACAGACCCTGTAGATCATTCCCTTCCCCTGATCAGCCCCCGAGGCTGTAGAGAGGAGAACCCGTCCTGTGACTCACTAGATTTGATTGGCTGTGACCTTTGTCTTTAACCAGTTGGAATGTTCTCAAGACCTGGACAGACACATGCCGATAAGAATCTGGCAAAAGAGAACATGGGTGGCATAGAGCTAATGGATGAGTCACTGAGGCCGGCTGGGTAGCAACAGGCTCATTTAGGCTTTAGGATTTGGCTGTGCCATGAAATGTGATGTACAGCTCTTACTACAGCCCATGCCGTAAACGTGGGGATGTTGGCGTGAATTTTAAAATGGCTGTGCTCTGCATTATGGGCTGGTAATTGTGAAACACAGTGGTCTGGTGATGAATATTTCAAAGGAAATCATAGCAAAGATTTTGCTTGTGCAGCTGAAGTTGGTGCACTTGAATCTTAGCAAAGAATGGGAAACAATTTCTGTCATTTGAATGGCCTCAAAACCACATCTATGTAAATACGCATATGCGGGGAAATCTCGTGAGGCCAGAAGGCCATTTGTTTTTATTTCGTGCCAAAAATTATAAGGAAAATCGAACAATGCAATTAAAGGTGAAATATTGTTCCTTTTATCACAGTTTCTCCATTATAAAAAATAGAAGGAAAATTGTTTCTTTGCCTTAGTTCCTACATTTTAAAAAGTTTATATCATATATAAGTAATTTGCATTTAATCTTAGTCATTTTGAACTTTCATTTTGTCATTTTATAAGCAAAACTAAATCCGCCACAGAACGTGTAGTGCAGTGTTAAGAGAACTCATGTGGTAAGGCATCAGGATTTCCCCGTCTCCCAACTGGGAACTGAAGGAGAGGAGCAGCTCGGCTCTGTCCTGCTGTCCATCCCTTTGAGCTTCTCTCAAACTCCAGGGCCCTGGCCCCTGAGGAAACTCATGGCAGTTCTTAAGGGAACAATCCTGCAGGGAGACCCTTGAGAGGAAGGTTACAGGGCTGTCAGGAGCTGCCCCAGGCCTATGCACCTTTCCCAGTGAGGGGATGCTGAGCGGGTTGAGTCTGAGTGACAGCAGAGGGGGCAGAACCAGAACCCTTTCCCAGGGCTGGGCTGGAGGCTGGCCCTGTCCACTCCTGGCTGACCCCAAGGCTGAGTCATATGGATGAGAGGTGCTGCTACATAGATGAGTCTGTTGGTAACTAGAAAAGACCACTTCAGATTAGTCCTTGGTCTTTTTGCTTTTTTTAATTATAAAAAATGTTAAATATACAGAAACATGTAGATAATAGTCTAATGAATGCCTTTGAACTTATTACCCAGCTTTAGCAAGTCAAAAAGATTTGTTTCATTTTTAAAAAGCTTCAGATCTGTTGTCTATTTCTTGTTTAGAAACACATTTCACATGTACTACGGAAGCCTCTTCTCTTCCTTTCCTCTCCTTGGCAGTCTGTGGTTTCGCCTAAACTTTGTATTCATCATCTTTTTAGTTCTTGCCCATCTGGAAACTAGGAACTGGCCTCTCACCTGATCCACTGCGCTGAATGCCCCAGATTTTTTCTCTTGTGGATTCTTTGGAGGATTTTGAAGTAGAATACATTCTGGATACGAATCCTTTGTCAGTCACATACCCACTACAAATACCTTTTTCCAGTTTGTGATTGAGAAATCTTAATTATAGTGTCTTTTGTCATACAGAAGTTTAAAATTTGGGGGTAGTTAACTTCATCAGTTTTTAAAATTTATCCTTTGTTGGCCGGGCACGGTGGCTCATGCCTGTAATCCCAGCACTTTGGGGGGCCGAGGGAGGCAGATCACTTGAGGCCAGGAGTTTGAGACCAGCCTGGCCAACATGGCAAAACCCCATCTCTACTAAAAATACAAAAATTAGCCGGGTGTAGTGGCGCATGCCTGTAAGCCCAGCTACTTGGGAGGCTGAGGCAGGAGAATTGCTTGAACCTGGGAGGTGGAGGTTGCAGTGAGCCGAGATTGTGCCACAGCACTCCAGCCTGGGTGGCAGAGCGAGACTCTGTCTCAAAAAAAATAAAAATAAATAAATAAATAAAGTATATCCTTTGTGTCCTGAAGTGTTGTTTTTAGGCGCCACTTTCTCCCCCACCCTCAGTTCGCGTGTGGTGTGCAACAGAGTCCAGTTTCATTCTTCCACGTGGATAGCCAGTTGTTTTCTCTGTACCATTGATGGAACGTTCCATCCTTTGCCTTCTGGCTGGCACTGCTGTGCCTGTCATGGATGATTGTGTGTCCACATCAGTATGGGCATGGCCACGTGGCCTCCACATGAGTATGGGCGTGGCCCCGTGTCCTCTGTTCCACTGCTCTTTCTGTCCGGGGCCTAGGCCACGTGGCCTCCATTAGTCCCACAAAATGTCTTGCTGTCTGATACAGTCTTCACCTTGTCGTTTTGTCTTTGCAGTTGTCATGCTAGTTTTGGCCCTTTGCTCTTCAATATCAACTTTGGAATATGCTTTAATTCTACAAAAATCCTGGATAAATGATAGGGAGTTTTTATTAGAAGTGCATTGAATTGGGTTGGGCACGGTGACTCATGCCTGTAATCCCAGCATTTTGGGAGGCCGAGGCAGGTGGATCACGAGGTCAGGAGATCGAGACCAGCCTGGCCAACATGGTGAAACCCCATCTCTACTAAAAATACAAAAATTAGCCGGGCGTGGTGGTGGGCACCTGTTATCCCAGCTACTTGGGAGGCTGAGACAGAATTGCTTGAACTTGGGAGGCGGAGCTTGCAGTGAGCTGAGATTGCACCACTGCACTCCAGCCTGGGCGAGAGAGCAAGAGTCCATCTCAAAAAAAAAAGAAAGAAAAAGAAAAGAAATGCATTGAACATATCAATTAAAAGGAAGATAATTGACATCTTTTCCATTTTGAATCTTTTTGTGTGTGAACCTGGTATATCTCTCTGTTAGGTTTTCTTTTATGTCTTTCAGGTAACTTTTACATCATTTCCAAAAGTGTCTTGCATATATTTGTGTAATATATTCCTGTGTTCTTCTGTCCCTCTCACTCAGCAAAAATTCTGCAGGGGTGGGCTCCCTGTGCCCAGAGGTTGCCTACCTGCCTTTGCCTTTGACTGGTCAGAATACCCTTTCATCTGTTTACCTGGAAGTAGGAGGGGCTCTGAGTGCTAGGTATCCCCTGGGAGTGGTGGGGGCCCCTGCTACTGTGCAGCTGTCCTTTGGAGCAGCTCTCATGGCATGCTGGCTGCTTTATTAGATACAATTTACTGGACGTAGTAAAGAAAAAAAAAAGAAAAAGAAAAAAAATCAGGATTGGGAGATTTCAGCTGTCTAATCCAATTGCAATAGGATCAGGACTTGTTAATGGTCATTTCCAAGGCACGTGGGCTCTTCCGTGAAATGTTTTTCCCTTAACTAGAGAGATGTGTTATTTTTAAAGATGGTGTTGGCTCTAAGAAGAGTATTTCTCCTTGACCTCCAGAACCCCCTGTCCCCAGAGTCCTACCCTTTTCCCAGGGTGAGCGTTTTAAGAGGAGATTCTTCTCATGGACTTGTTTTTCACAGGGGTGATGGGGCAGCATGGGGCGTGTCCAAACACAGCCCTGACCTCACTTATGGCTGTTCTGACACCCTGATGCTGCCACCCCCAGGTGGCCTGTGCATTGTGGGGCCGCACCACAGGAACTGGACACTCTTCCCTGTGTACTGCACAGCAGAAGCCATGCTCCCCAACCCCATGCACCAGGCTGCCCTGGGGAAGGGCCAGGCAAGGCATCCCCCCGACTCCATGTACCAGGTTGCCCTGGGGAAGGGCCAGGTGAGGCATCTCCCCGACTCCATGCACCAGGCTGCCCTGGGGAAGGGCCAGGTGAGGCATCCCCCCGACTCCATGTGTTAGGCTGCCCTGGGGACAGGTCAGATGACTCGCATCATGGGTGGCTTGGGGTCTGGAGGTTCCTCCCTGTTGCCCGTTAACTTTGCTGACAGTCCTGCCCTCGCTGGGCTGAGACGGGGACACCAGGGAGTCATGCAGCCATTAGTCGCACAGTGTCTCTGGCAAACAGCTGTGCTCTGAGCTCCGACTGGGACCTCCTGTGAGGACAGGAGCCAGGGTCTCTGGAGAGCCTGCAGGCGTAGGGGGCAGTCAGGTGCTGTTGTTGACTCAGCGAGCTTGCACACAGTAGCCCCAAACCCTGACTGCGGGGGCTCCTGAAGATGAATTTCCCATCCTAGCCAGTGGGGCTAATCCAGGGAAAACCCCTCTTTACTCAGACCCTGACACAGGGGTCCCAATGCCAAGGCTGCTGCAGAGGTGAAAGTTCCACCCTCAGAAAGCCAGGAGTCCTGAGCGCTTACCCTGTGCTGTGCTGGGTGTCACCGTGTGGAAGTGCAGACCCTGCTCTTCAGAGCCTTAGATGGCAGCTGGGAGGAAAAGGGCATACACAGAGGGAAGGGCCTGGCTGAGGCGCTGTCTATTCACATTACCAGATAAGAAGCCTGGGAGGGAGCTTGGAGGGTTTTCAGGAAGGCATGAGAGGCTGGGGTTGGAGGAGCCAGGGAGAGTTGGGTTTAGGGGCGGTCAAGAATGGTTTGGCCTACCGGAAGGCATGAGCAGGGGCAAAGACAGTGAGCAGCCTCGTCCCTGCTTTCTTTCTTTTTTCTTTTGTTGTTTTTTTTTTTTGAAACGGAGTTTCGCTCTTGTTGCCCAGGCTGGAGTGCAATGGCGCGATCTCAGCTCACTGCAGCCTCTGCCTCCCGGGTTCAAGCAATTCTCCTGCCTCAGCCTCCCGAGTAGCTGGGACTACAGGCATGTGCCACCACACCCAGCTAATTTTGTATTTTTAGTAGAGATGGGGTTTCTCTGTGTTGGCCAGGCTGGTCTTGAACTCCTGACCTCAGGTGGTCCACCTGCCTCAGCCTCCCAAAGTGCTGAGATTACAGGCGTGAGCTACCGCACCTGGCCTCGTCCCTGCTTTCTAAAGTTAGAAGACATCAGGGTGGCTCTGCCAGGTCTCACATGGCCCATTCTGTGTTCCACACCACCCTCCAGGGTGCCTCACACAGCCACTCCAGCTCTCCACTGTTTTCTCGTCTATAGAGAGAGGTGCAACGTGCTGACCTTCAGAGCCCTTCCAGCCCTGGTGTTTGACACGGGCCCCAAACAGTGAGGGCCTCGAGCACCAGAGAAACGAGGTGGGGCGGCCTGGGGCTGTGTGGACTGGGCTGCAGGCCTGAGAGTGGGTAGATGCTGACAGACAGAGCCAAGATTGCAGGTCAAAGGCAGTGTTTGCAATGAAAACTCTAGGGGGCTGAAACCCAGCTGGGTGGCTTCCAGGGTGCTGCCTGGCCCATCCCTGCAGCTGCAGGCCGGTCCTGGCTTGTTCTTAGTACTTCACACAGTGCCATGCAGGGGTGAGGCGTCAGGGCACAGGGGTGAGGTGTCAGGGCACAGGAATGAGGCTGTGGAGTGCAAGGGTGAGGCCTCAGGGCACAAGAGTGAGGCTGTGGAGTGCAGGGGTGAGGCATGGGGAATAGGAATGAGGCCTTTGGGCACAGGGGTAAGCCTGGAGAGTAGGGGTAAGGCCTGAGAGCACAGGAGTAAGGCTGTGGGGTGCAGGGGCAAGGCCTGGAGAGCAGGGATGAAGCCCTGGGGCACAGGGGTGAGGCCTCGGGGGACGGGTGATATGGTTTGGCTGTGTCCCCACCCAAATCTCATCTTGAACTCCCACATGTTGTGGGAGGTAATAGAATCATGGGGGCAGGTCTTTCCCATGCTGTTCTCATGATGGTGAATAAGTCTCCTGAGATCCGATGGTTTTAAAAAGAGGTGCTCCTCTGCACACGCTCTCTCCTTTTTTGGCCTGCCACCATCCACGTAAGACGTGACTTGCTCCTCTTTTCCTTCCGCCATGATTGTAAGGGCTCCCCAGCCATGTGGAACTGTAAATCCGATTAAACCTCTTTCTTTTGTAAATTGCCCAGTCTCAGGTATGTCTTTATCAGCCACGTGAAAACGGACTCATACAAGGGGTGAGGTGGGCCCCTCCTCCCCTTCCCGCAGTAGGCTGCCGTCTTCAAAGCAGAGTCCTGTCTACCAACAGCTCGCCTCAGAGGGATCGCTTGGTCTCTGGTTAGGCAGTTAGAGCCTCGGCTGAATGAGCTTTGGGCTTCTGTGAGCTTGCCAGGATCTGCTTAAAAGAACCATATTTCTCTTCCATTGCAAAGTGTGGAAACGTGCCCGATTTGCATGGCACTCCCGGGAGCCCTTGGGTATTGTGCTTCAGTGTGGCCCCAGCAGACTTATTGTTGAGTCATCAGTCAAAGCTGCTGTTTCTTTCATTAGCGATTAAGAGAGGGGAATATTGAAGTGATCTGAAATAAAAATTGTCAAAGTGTTCTTTTGTTGTATTAATCAGAACCATATTCATCATTCGAGGGAATCCTAAAATATTCCTGACTCGCTCGTTAAATGACACCTGAGTGTTTCCTCTGCAGACTGGCAGTGTGAGGAAGACTGGAAGTGTCCCCCTGCCCCCCAAACCAGAGAAGAAGCAGGGACAGGCTTGGGGCATTGTTTCACCAGGAGTGCTGGATGCTGGGCCGGCCTCTAGAGCCTGTCACTGCCCTGGTCGGGCTAGGTATGTCCTTCCAGCTTCTCCGTCTCTCTAGACCTTGGCCGGGTCCGAGACCTGTGGGAGTTTCCCAATGCAGCGACCAGCTGCCTCAGCCATGCCTGTGGGGCGAGGCGGCCAAGGCCCCAGGAGGAAAGGAGCAGTTTCCCCAGCATCCTCGGTACTCAGACGGGACATGCTTGGTTTCCAAGGCCAGTGGGTTCCAGGGTTTGATTGTGTGTTGGGGTTTTTCTCAAGTGCTAGGGCTGTAACAGACCGGCGCCAGCAGGAACAGGCCCAGCACTGGAGGCCAATGTGAAGGGGTCACAGGACAGTGGGGGCACCGAGTTAGGTGGATGGGGCCTCATATGCCTTGAGGGGAACTGGGGGCTTCATCTTCCTTGACGGGAGATGGGGAGCCTCTGACTGTTAGGATCCGCCCACTACATCGTACCCATTGCACATGGCACATGGCAGACAGCTGCCCTTGCTCCAGTGACGTCCAGAATTTACCTGGTGCAGGGTAGCTGAGCACTCCACTCCCAATCCAGAATATTCCACACAATGATGGTATTTCCTCATCTAGTCTTTTTGGCTTTCTGCTGGGAGAAGAAGGGAGAGCTTACGGTTTCGCAGGTGACCAGCTCAAGACCTTTGTTTCAGGGTAGGGGGAGGAAACCGTTTCCGTCCCCCAACCCCCACTTGCCGTTGCTGCAGAACAGTCCTGAGTATCTGCTGAAGGTTCATCGCTGAGGATCCTTTCTCAGTCTCTGGCGCCTTCCTTTACCTCCCCAAAGTAGCCCGGAGCCTGGAGAACGGGGAGATCTTGATTTTCAGGACAGGCCTGGTGGCATGGAGGTGGGGGATGCCAGAAGTGGCCTTGCGCTACGCACCTCCCTGTGAGTCAGCCAGTGCTCATCCCACAGCCCCGGGGGCTTCTCCACGCCACAGCCTCCTCCTGCTTGACCCACCCCAGGCGTGTGCCTCTCACTGAAGGGGATGGAGCCCCCGGTCCTGAGTGGGCTCTGGCCAAGGCCAGGTGCCCAGGGCTGGCCTGTGGCCACTGCTCACGCCTCCCTGTTTTCCCACTGAGTGCTGGGTGATATTTATTGTCTGGATTATGCCTCATTAAAGCAGAAGCCCATTTTCCATAGATGATATGAGTTTTTTATTTATTAAATTAGTTTTAAGATAATTTACCAAGTCATCCAAGACAAATAATCCACTTAAGTGATGCCGTAAAGCTCTGTTTTCCCCCAGTGCTGTGTTTCTGGGAAAGCATGCCCTCTCCTAAGTTCTGCTCCCTGGTTGGAGACATCTTGTGAGCGGCAGAATTTACAGTCCAGCCTTACTAATTCAGAGTAGGATTGGGTAGGAGGGCTGGCTGGGGGCTGACCTTTGCACTCCCTGGTTAAATAAAAGGCTGTTAAGCAAATTCAGAGTGTAAACAGGATTCCTTGGAGAACCCATCATTCTGGAACTTCCCAGAGTACTCCTGGAGACCTTTCCTTCTCAGTATTTGCAATGCTAATTACCAATCACGTGCTACTCAGGGCTGGTTCCCTCAGGGCCTCACATACCTGAAGGTTTTTGTTTGTTCAGGTCACCTAAGGTATTTAAAAGGAAAGACACACATTTCTTCCCCCCTCTCCCAAACCCTCACCCTCACCCCAGAAAGAGGTACGTTGCTCTAGGTACATTCTCAGTGCCGAGCTTCCATGCACCCAGCCTGTCCCTTTCCCCAGGCTCCTGGTAACCCAAGGTGGTGGATTTGGGGGTGTGTGTGTAATTTCGTTCGGTTTCCATTCCTACTCTTAGTCTTGGGGCTGGGATTAGAATGAAGAAGGGGTCACAGAGGGAAAGCTGACACAGGGGACACACTGGACCATGACAGTGTGGCATGTGCCGCGGAGACATGGCCAGGGCTCCTGGGAAGAAGGGGTGGAGACAGCCCACTGCCTGGGAGAAAGGGGGAAGATCCTGAAGAATGAATGGGTTTATCTAGGGGAACAAACCCAGGAGCATTCCCTCGTGGGGCAGCAGAATGCCTAAGACAGCCAAGGCTGCAAAGGGTTGGAATACCAGATGCAGGGTGGGTAGGGACCGGATGTCCGGTCTGCTCTGCCTCATTTCTACTTGATCCTGAAGGCAGTGGGTATTTAAAAATAAAATGGTGACATGATAGGAGCCCGCTGAATTAGAAAGGGCATCCTAGTTACAGTGCAGAGAGGGCTGACGTGCCCAGAGAATGGGATATAGGAGTCGCAGTGGCATTTAAACTCAGTTGAAATATTTGGTCAATTTTAATTCCAACACAAACATGTAACATTTTAATGGCTGTATATGTTTTAATGGGTATTGAGGACTAAGCTCTGATTTTTTTTTATCTTGCCCAAATTCCTGTTTAACGGGTCTGGAGAGTCAGGCCCTACAAACCATACATAAATTCTCATCAGATGGGTTTTAATTAACCGTATATATCATGACTTACTTTCCAGCCTGACTTTGGGATAACATTATATGACAAAGAAGAAATTCAAAATATTTTACCCCAAAACGTGTTTTTTTTGCCATATTTGGAAATGGCAAAGCTGTCCTTTGTGGGGGAAAATTTGCGTCTGTAAAGAATCTTGGCTGGGCACGGTGGCTCACGCCTGTAATCTCAGCACTTTGGGAGGCAGAGGCAGGCGGATCATGAGGTCAGGAGTTTGAGACCAGCCTGGCCAATATGGTGCAACCCTGTCTCTGCTAAAAATATAAAAAATTAGCTAGGTGTGGTGGTGTGTGCCTGTAGTCCCAGCTACTTGGGAGGCTGAGGCAGGAGAATTGCTTGAATGCAGGAGGCAGGGAGGTTGCAGTCAGCCGAGATCATGCAACTGCACTCCAGCCTGGGTGACAGAGTGAGACTCTGTCTCAAAAACAAAAAAGAATCTCTATTAACATAGCTAGATTTTTTTCTTCCAGGCCCTCCCAATCCTAAAGAGATTAAGAGTCCAGCACCTTTTAAAGATTCAATAGATGGCCAGGCATGGTGGCCCACACTTGTAATCCCAGCACTTTGGGAGGGCAAGGCAAGTGGATCACCTGAGGTCAGGAGTTTAAGACCAGCCTGACCAACATGGCGAAACCCCATCTCTACTGAAAATACAAAAATTAGCTGGGCATGATGGCACATGCCTGTAATCCCAGCTACCCCAGAGGCTGAGGCAGGAGAATCGCTTGAACCCAGGAGGCAGAGGTTGCAGTGAACTGAGATCACACCATTGCACTCCAGCCTGGGCGACAGAGAAAGACTCTGTCTCAAAAAAAAAAAAAAAAAAGATTCAATAGGAAACATTTCTCTCTATTGTCTCTAAGAGCAGCCACTATAAGACTTCAAAAGAACCTTGGTCTCCACAGTCTTTTATCTTAACCTGGACATTTCCTTTCTATTATCCCAGATCTTTAGACAAACTCAACCAGTTGTCAACTAGAACATGTATAAATTCACCTATCGCCTGGGAACAACCCCCCGACCGTTGCTGCTGCCACCTTTCACTTGTCCCCCCTTTCTGGACCAAACCAGTGTATTTCTTAAATGTATTTGATTGATGTCTCATGACTCCCTAAAATGTACAAAATCAAGCTGCACCCTGACCCCCTTGGGCACATGCTCTCAGGACCTCCTGAGGGCTGTATCATCGGCCATGGTCACTCATATTTGGCTCAGAATAAATCTCTTTAAATATTTTACAGAGTTTGATTCTTTTCGTCAATAATATCATAAAAAAAAAACCTAGCTCATCAAACCTATACTACAAAGCCACAGTAGCAACATATTTAAGATTCTTGAAATGAGTGGATTTAAAAAAAAAATAATAGGGCAGAGCCTCCTCTTTCCGGTGGTGTGGTGAATGTGGTGTCCGAAAGACCCTCCTGTTTTTGGTATGAATACACCAAATAATGCTGGTGTGCTTTTAAGAAACATAACCACAAAGGTGAGACTATCAGAGACCAGAAATCTCGAGAAAATACAAATCTAGAGAGTTAGGGGAGCAACATCAAAGCTGGTCTTTACCCAGGGGTATCTGCCAGTTGATTTTAATGAGCCACTGGCAGGAGTCAAAACCTGGGGACTGTTTTGTTCAGGGACTGAACAGTTGTTTGTGTTTGTCTTTCTTAGCCTTGGCCAGGTTAAAGGAGAAAGAAAGAACCCTCCCCTTCCTCAGAATTTCCAACTACAATCCTACATTCACATGGATTGGGGGAGCCCCCGTTCATGTTACTTATTTGACCTAAAAAAATTGCAAGCTAAAAATTTGGTTTAATGTAGTCTGGGATAACAAGGCCCTCAGGCTCTAGAGAAGCAAATATAGGTTTCCCACCCCCCCACTCCCCAAAGAAAAGCCTCAAAGAATTCCAATAGATATACATTCTAAGGAGCATAATGACAGGAGAAGTCACTGAAGTACAAGGAAGCAAGCCACTGGGGGCAAGAATCAGCAGTGAAAACAGACTGCAGAAAGAGATCTACAGAGATTTTAGAATTATCTGCGACATGCTATAAAAATAAGCTTATACATTTTAAATAATACAAAGAAAGGTATTGAATGGAAGAAGGAGGAGTAACTATCAATTTACAAGGCAGAATTGAAGAAATAACCAAGGTTCAAATGTAATAGATAAGTGAAACAAATTGTGACAAAGTTGAAGAGATTATTAATGAACTAGAAGAGATATTTGAGGAAAGTACTTGTCCCAGAAAGACAAAGAGATGGAAGATATAAAAAGAGAGGCTAAAGGAAATGGAGGATAGAATGAAAAGACCCCAACTCTATATGATCTGAGTTGTGAGAAAATAAAGAGAATGGGTGCAAATGGATGTTTGATAGGAGATAATGGATGACCATTTCCAAAACTGATGAAAACTACTTATTCCCCAGATTCAGAAAGACCAATATCTCTAGCAGAATAAATATCACAAGGAAACCGCAAAACATCCAAGACAAAGAAGTTATTCACAAGCAGCCAGAGAGGAAAGTTAGATTGCTTATGAAGGAATGACAAATAGATTGATAGCATTCAATAGCGGAGGCTAGAAGATGATAGAGTATCATCTTTTAAAATAATAACCAACTTAGAACAATATATCCAGCAAACTATCTTTCAAGAATGAGAATAAAGACATTTTTAGACAAATGAACTCTGAGAGGGTTTACAACCAAAAGACCCTAAAACCCTCTCATTAAAGGAGCTTCTAAAGGTTGAATTTAAAGAAGGATAATAATTTCCAAAGAAAGGTCTAGGTGCAAGAAGAAATAATGAGGAAAAAAAAAGGGTAAAGTCATGAATAACTCTAAACAAACATATATGAAAGAACAAGAAGAAGATCTCCATTTATAACTTTCGGAGGCTGAGGTGGGTGGATCACAGGGTTAAGAGATCGAGACCATCCTGGCCAACATGTTGAAACCTCGTCTCTACAACCTGGGAGGAGGTTTCAGTGAGCCGAGATCATGCCCCTGCACTCCAGTCTGGCGACAGAGCGAGACTCCATCTCAAAAAACACAACAAAACAAAAAACAAAAGTCACAATGGAACTGAAATTCTGGAAACCATGAGTACATAGCTAGGGAAGATTAGGTCAGTGTGTGGTGCTGGTATGACTAGAATTAAAATATTCTTAATTTTTTGTACTGTTTGGGAGGAGGATAAAGATAACAATTCATTTTAGATCATTAAGTTAAATATACATGTTAAAATTTGTAGAGGGGCTATTAAAATAATAGAAACAATTCATTAACTTCCAGATTCATTGGGGTTAGGGCATTAGAATGTAGAGGGAAGTAGATTAGTCCACATGTAGGCCAGAAAGACAAATGCTAGAAAAAGTAGAACAGTTGGAAACCTCGAAATGAGAGCATGTGAATTAACCTGAATGTATCAGGAGTCACAGCCAGCAGGGACCAAGATCTTTGGTTAGAAAGCATGGCTGGAGTTTAAAAACCCAGTGCTGTGCTAGTTATGAGAGAAATATAAGGAAATAAAGAATAGAGGGGAACCCAACAACTACCAACAAGCAGAAATCGAGGTTTTTAGGACCCTATTTTCAATATCATCAAAAATATGAACCTGTTAGGGAAAATCTAAAAACAGATATAATAGACCTGTAGTGAGAAAACTATAAAACACTGGTGAAGAGAAAGAAGATCTGATTAAACGAAGAGCTATATCATGGTCATGAGTCAGAAGACTGATTAAGAGCTATGCTATGGTCATGAGTCAGAAATCCCAGCAAGCTTTTCTGTAAAAATTGACAAAACAGGTTCTAAAACTTACACAGAAATGCAGAAGATATGGAATAGCCAGAGCAGCCTTGAAAAAGAAGAAGACACAAGTGAGGACTAGCACTAGCTGAAGTTTAGTCTTTCAGCAAATTGCTGGAACAATTGGATATCCATGTGCATACAAATGAACTTCCATACTTTTTACCATATACAAAAATTAACTCAAAATGGATTATAGATCTAAAGTAAAACTTTATAAACCTTCTAGAAGAAAACCTTTATGCCCTTGAGTTAGGCAATGATTTTTTAGATAAGACACCAACAGCATGATCTGTAAAAGAACAAAGTACTAGGTTGACCCTCACCAAAATTTAAAACCCACGATCTTCAAAAGTCACTATTAAGAGGACGAAAAGAGGAGGCATGGGGAGAAAACATTTGCAAAGCATGTATTTGATAAAAGGTTTATATCAAAACTAGTGGCAGTTTTTTCAAAAGGTAAATATACTCCTACCATATGATCCAGCTGTTCTATTCCTAAGTATTTATCCAAGCAAAATGAAAGCCTATGTCCATTCAAAGATGAGTACACAAATGTTCATGGCATCTCTCTGCATAGTAGCCCCAAGCTAGAAACAATTCAGTCCATCAACAGATGAATGGATAAACAAACTGTGGTATATCCAAGCAGTGGGTGCTGCTCAGCATGTATAGAAATGATCTATTCGTCCGTGCAGTGTCATGGATGAATCTAAGGTAATCACCCTGTGTGGAAAAGCCAGACCAAAACCAAATGTGTATTATATGATTCCCTTTATTTGAAAATATTGGAAATGTAAGCTAATGTATAGTGACACAAGTAAGTCAGTGATATTCTGGGACTGGGAGGGCTCAAAGGGAGGATTTACAAATGGGCACAAAGAAACCTTTGGAGCCATAGATATGTCCACTACCTCGGTTGTGATGGTGTTTTCACAGCTATATGCGTATATCAAAACTTATCAAATTATAAACTTGAAATATGTAAACATGTTTTGTTTTGTTTTTTGTTTTTTGAGACGGAGTCTTGCTCTGTCACCCAAGCTGGAGTGCAGTGGCTCGATCTCGGCTCACTGCAAGCTCCGCCTCCCAGGTTCATGCCATTCTCCTGCCTCAGCCTGCCGAGTAGCTGGGACTACAGGCACCCGCCACCATGCCCAGCTAATTTTTTGTATTTTTAGTAGAGTCGGGGTTTCACCGTGTTAGCCAGGATGGTCTTGATCTCCTGACCTTGTGATCCGCCCGCTTCGGCCTTTCAAAGTGCTGGAATTACAGGCGTGAGCCACTGCACCCGGCCTGAAATATATAAAGTTTATCGTATGAGAGTTATACCTCAGGAGAGCTGTTTAAGATACATTACCGAACAAAAACTGATAGGTAGTTTTAGTCATATTAGACTCCTTCCTCCTGACTAGAGACTTCAGAGCAAAAGCCCTGCGTGAGGTTAGAGGTCATAAGTATTTGTACTGTTTAGTACACCAGGAAGAGAAAACAATTTTGAATTTGTATGCTCCTGATAACATAGCTTCCAAACACAGAAAACAAAGATTGGCAGAACCATAAGGAGAAAGACATACACTCACTGTCATAATGGGAGTTTTGAAGCATACCTGTCAGTTATTGATAGATTATAAGCAGACAAAAAAAACCAGTCAGGATTTATAGGAAACTCGAACAACGCTGTTGATGAACTTTATTTAGTGGATGTATGCAGGGCACTGTATCCAGGAACTCTTAGAATATGCACCCTCTTCATGTTCTGTGGTCTGGCCCCAGCTCGCTGGTCATTCCTGTGGGTCGTTCAGTCCTTGGTGTTTATTTCTGGCCCGAATCACTAGCCACTCTCTGGGCTTGTCCAGGTGCCTCCCTGACATCTCCACCAGGATCCCCAAGTGTCTTAAACTTGGCAGTTCCAAAGAATAACTCATGGCCTTCCCACCAAAACAGTCTCCTACAGCCTTTTCCATAAACCTTTCCCCATCTTAGGAACTGGCAACTTCGCCCTTCCAGTTGTTGAGGCCCATAGTGTCAGAGTGGCTCTTGGTTCCTTTCTCTCCTACCCCAGATCTGTCATACGCGTTGGTGTGTTTTTTCTGCACAACCTTCAAAATACATCTCGAATGTGTCTTCCCACAAGCTTGCCTGCTCCGTCTTGGCCCAAGTCACTAGCCCCTCTTGAATTTCTGATGACCGTGGTCCCCTAACCTGCCTCCTGGTTCTCCTGGTTCCACCTCTCCCCACCCTGCCATGTGCCATCCATTCTCAGAGTGACAGTCGGAGGGATGCTTTTGAAGCCTGCATTTTTCCCTGCTCAGAGCCCCGAGGATCTGTACCCCAGATGTTCCTGCCATTGCTTGCCTCTGCTCGCCTCGTTCTGCGGTAGCTGTGCTGGTCTCCTCGCTTTTGGAACATTCCAAGCAGCTTCTAACCACAGGGTCTCTGTGTTTCCTGCTGCTTTTACCTGGAATATTTCTCTGCCATGTGTCTAAATGCCTTTTCTGGCCAGGCACGGTGGCTCACACTTGTAATCCCAGCACTTCGGGAGGCTGAGGCGAGTGGATCACCGGAGGTCAGGAGTTCGAGACCAGCCTGGCCAACATGGTGAAACCCCGTCTCTACTAAAAATACAAAATTAGCCAGGTGTGGTGGCGCACGTCTGTAATCCCAGCTACTCGGGAGACTGAGACAGGAACATTGCTTGAAACCAGGAGGTGGAGGTTGCAGTGAGCCAAGATCACACTACTACCCTCCAGCCTGGGCAACAGAGCGAAATTCCATCTCAATAAAGAAAATAATAATAATAAACGCCTTTTTTCTCTTTGGATGTTTGCTCATTTGTCACCTTAGGCGATTGACCGTTGTACTGAAGTGGCATCCCTCTCTTCACACACAAACCCCCTTGCTGTTCCTCGTCCCAGTCTTTGCCTTGTTTTCTCCATAGCACATCACCATCTAATGCACTGTGCATTGGATTTGTTTACTTAATGAACCACTGACAGTAGTCCTATAGATGTTGCATGGGCAAGGCAGAGAAGGTAGCACCCCAAGAACTGGAGTTTGGGGAACCCTCAGTCTTTGCAGTTGGCCGTGCGTGCTTGAACTAACACCATAGCCCCAAGGTGTGCAAGCCCCGAGCCTCGGTGTGGGAGGGCCTCTGGGAGCTGACAGTGGTCCTGGGTTTCCGGGATGAGTAAGGGGTAGATATCTCAAGAAGGGGGAGCAGGGAAGCCTTGTTTGATGACAGTGAGGAGAGACATGGGTGGTGATTTGAGGGGCGTGAGCCGTGTCCTTCCGCGTCCGTGGCTTCCGAGTAGCATCATTTCCCTGTTCATTTCCCAGGGAGACCCGGACCGGGTTGTGGTCCCAGGCCCAGTGCCTGATCTCCGGCTTGACTGGGCTCAGCCTTGTTTCCTCATCTGTGGAGTGGGAGGAGGCCTCCCTCACGCGCCCTTTGTGAGGAGTAGACTCTGTGTCTGGCATGGCACCAGCACACGTTGAATTTGTCTCTTATCCTTTTTGGCTATTGTCTGCGCAAGAGAGAAGAATGAACAACCGCTTCTGAGGCTGTCTGAAGCTTGGTCTGCTGTTCACATGCTGTTTATCAGGCTGCTGGAACTTAAAGAGAAAATGGTGTTTGTTTTAATGGAATGAGGATTTTGAAATTAAGGCATTAAGTAAAAGTGAGTCAACACAAGCTTTGGTTTCCTCTGAACCCTGACTAGATAAACCCTGACTGTCGCAGATAACCTCGCAGTGATGTTAATGGGTCACGCGTTACAATTTCTCTCTTGGTTATTTTTTCTCTTTTAGTCTGAACCGGACGGCTTTTCTCATTTCCACTTGTACGTGTGCGCTGCTTTTCTCGTGAGATGGAGGAAGGAAATACTAGAAGAAAAAGATTTTCAAGTAAGTAAATGTCTTTTCAAAAGAACCCAAGTTTGATTTTCTACTAGGAGAGAGGTTTATTACATTTTAGTTCACAGGGTTATTTGTGGAAGAGTTTTGAGAAGCGCTGCCTGCATTTCGCCGCTGACCTCCTGCTGGTTGAAAGCTCGTCCAGCTGAGGAGATGAGCCTGGCAGTGGTCACGTGGTCACAGCAGTGGAAACGCTGCCCACGTTATGAGTTATTAGATGTGGCTGTGTGACAAGCTCCCTGCAGAACCTTCCCTGGGGCAGCGTGCCCCTCAGCAGCACGACCCCTGCAGTGTGCGGCTTGTGACCTCTGGTCCCTGGAACCCTCTTTACAGCACGTGGACTGTGATGCTTTAGGGACAGGGCTGGGCAAGAAATCACACAGCCTGGGGTGCCTTCCAGCCAGGCCACTGGAAGCTCTGTGACTGGGGGCACATTGTTCAGCCTCACTAAGCTAGTCCCTGGCGACTTAGCAGGAGAGCCCTCCTCGCATGCCACGCGTCAGAGGCACGCCCTGCTAGGCTCCGTGCTTGACCTGTGGGACTCCCTGTGGACTAGTGTCCAGCCCCTGACCCACCCCACGTGTTCCTCTGTGAGGCGTCCCGGGCACACTGTGGACTGTTGGCCCCTTCATGGGGTGATACCCACTGTTCCCCAAGGTGCGGGCTGGGAAGTCCTTCTGCCCAGTGTTCACCCAGCAGAGGGCTCTGGGTGCAGCAAGGAAGACCCCAGCAGTGGGAAGCAGACCAGGCTCTGCACCAGCTGGCTGGGGTCAGCCACACTTCACCGCTCTCCCTTCTCGAGGCTCTCGTCTCTCAGATAAAGGGACGGACCTAGGTCCCCAGGGCAGTGCTCTGCGCAGCTGGCAGCCTGTTGTTCCCCAGCTCTGTGCTTGGCAGAGGCTCCAAGCATCCCTATTCCTTCCGAGGGCCTTGGGAGGAGCCAGGGACCTCCTGCCGCCCCGCTTCATCTCGGCCCCAGGAGAGACCAGACAGGTGAGGGCCATACCGAGGCCAAGAGCTGCCAACAGATCCTGGCCCAGCAGATGGAACCCAGCCCGGGTGTTCGCAGGTGGATGGGACAAGACGCTCCTTCTGCTAACTTAGCTCCTGCCTTTTTGTCAGTGTGGGGCTCGGTTGTGCCCTGCGGGGAGCATTGAGGCGGTGATTGGCATCTCAATCTCAGACACACGCCTGCCTTGCCTCTCCCAGCCATGGTCTGTAAGTGAGTAGGGTGCACCTGGCCTGCCCCTCCGCCCGGCTGATGCAAGGCTGCTGGGGCTGGGGCCTCCTGGCCCATCTGGCCCACTCGTCACTTTGCACAGGGGAATGTGGAGGCGATAAGAGGGGCCATGACTTGCTGTGTCACCAAGTAAGATGGAATGAATGGGGCCTAGACTGCGGTCTCCTGGCCAGCCTCCTGCTGTCCTCCACAGTAGGCTCTCCATCTGTGCAGAGAGCAGTGCTGGCTGGGCAGGCAGCAGGCACCCACTGGCCTGGCCACTTACCTGTAGGGAGAAGGGCCCAGCCTCTCTGGTGCACAGCGGCCACTCCTGGTAGGACGGTGCCCAGAGTGCTTGGTTCCCACCGGCCAGCACACACAACTGTATGCTGCCTCCCGGAGAGCCTCCCAGGGGACTTGCTCTCCAAATGAAGGCGGCTGGCTGCCGAGAGTCAGTCACTGGGCTGGCCATGGAGCTTGGATGTTCCTGCCTCGGTGGTGTCTGTGACTGGCTGGCTGGGGAGCTCTGTTCCCTGGAGGCCCTGGGCAGACATTGCTGCCCTCCTGGGTCAGCCATGCCTGGTGGTGGGAGGTGGGGTGGGAGAGGACTCGGGGTGTGCCTGAAGCTGCAGGGCACTGTGCTCAGGCCCATGCTAACAACAGACCATGTCTCATCGTCTCCAGAAATCACCCTGGGCCCCACTCTGGGCAGACTCTAAGCCACACATATGCGAGGAATGGACCCTGAGCACATTCTGGTTGGGGAGAGAGAACAGTAAAGAAATGATTGACCTTCAGCAAAAGGCTGTGCCTCCATTGACGACTCCATTTCTTCTGTCTGCTCCCAAATAGGGACAGTGTCACAAGGTGGCTCGAGGCAGACCAGACACACACTGGCCGTGGGAGCTTGTGGGCGGGGTTTCTTCCTGTTGTGAATACGTGCAGAAGTGTCACTCCGGCCCTGGAGGCTGAAGCAGGCCATGAGCCCCTCAGGGTGAAGGACAGGAGATAGGGACAGCTGTGGATGCCAGGGTACCTGAGCTAGGTCTGGGGGAGGTGGGTCATGAGAGGGTGGTGTTGGGTGGGCAGTGGGCCTCCTACCACCCTGTCATGTGGTGGTCCCATCCAGGGGCCACTGGCAGGGGCAGACTTGGACCAAGAAACGGAATTGATGGCAGCCTTGACAGATGCAAGTGACAAGGTGCCCTCATTCCTCACCCTGCCGCAGCTCATTGGGCTTTTCTGTGAGGGATACATTGTGTTTGCTGTTGGGCCGGAGACATTGCTCTGCTGCTATTAGAGGGTGCAGCGTGGGCAGCTGATTAAAATGTTTGGCCAGCCTTCTCTGAGCCCGGCCTACTTAACTTGAGATGAAGGGAGGACAGGAGTCAGGCAAAGCCACACGGCCAGGGTGTGGGGTGTGGGGTGTGGGGTGTGGGGTGCAGGGTGTGGGGTGGAGTGCACACTCTGAGAGCCTGTGGGGCCCCTGTGACTTGAGTGGGGAACCGGGAGGAGGCGCTGGCAGAGGAGCCATGAGATTGATTTTCTTCCTTTAGAGGAAGAGGAAGTTGGTTCTTTGATGCCATAGGGGTTGGATGGAGAGAATGCTGTGAGTGAGGGGTTGGATGGAGAGAATGCTGTGAGTGCCACAATGTGTTGTGGGCACTGAACCCAATGGGAAAGGAGGTGAGAAACAGAAGTTACAAACCTGAGGAGTCCTGGTGAGCACGGGGAATGTGTGTGTGCAGTTGTGACATTTTAGGAAGACGCTTCCGCATCCATGGGAGGCCACCTGAGCGAGTAGGGCCCAGAACATGATTCCCCAACAGTGGAACGTTGGTGGAAAGCGGCTTTAAAAGCCCTCATTTGTTGCAGCCTTGTGATTTGTCCCTTGGGAAATGATGTGTGGCTTTAAGTCATTTTTCCACAGGAACAGAATCCTTTTCTGATTCCCAGAAGAAAGGCAGAGACCCTCCTGTTGTTAAACAGCAGAGCCAAGCAGTTCAGGGGCCAGGGAGGGGGCGATGGGTCACGCTGCCCCTTAATTCCCGAAAACTTGGGCAGGCGGGGAAGGTGAGGGCGCTGCCTGTGTCCTAGGTCCCCTTGGCCTTTGAGCCTCATGCGGGCATGGTTTGCTTCCTTGCCATCTGTGAGCCACCTCCAGGGCCTGCTGGGCAGGGCTCGGGGAGCAGGGAGTGGTGGGGCGGGGCGGGGCGGGGTGAGGTGAGGTGGGGCGGAGAGGGGCACAGCTGGGATTGGTGCTGCACTCTGGGCCTCCTGGCCCCTGGATGGCGGCACCTTCTGGAGTGAACGTTGGCCCTGTCCTGAGCGCTGGGCCCCAGGAGGTGTGTGCTTCTCTGGAGGATTGCCACTTTGCCACCTCCCCTGCCAGAGCTTGCTGGTCCTCAGGAAGGGTGGTTGCCCTCAGGCACATGCCCCATGCCATCTGCATTGCTAATCCGCAGGCTATATGTATGTGGCTCCACAGCCCTGCCCTGGGCGTTTCCTAATGCCCCCCACCACCCCACCCCCGGCTCCACATGTTGATGTCCAGTGGGGCCTCTCCGCTGAGCCCTGCCCCGCCCCTTTAGCCACTGAGATTCAAGCCTCAGCCCTCACAGCATGGACTGTGCCTTCCATCTGCCACTCTCCCACCAGACTTTCGTAGGGTCTTGGGGGTGAAAGGAGCATGCTTGTGTGGAAAGTTGTGTGTCCCGCGGTGCCCGCTTGGTGCCCTCTACCCCGTCCTTGCCCTCTGTGGGTCATTTCACAGTAAGAGGACACTGGGGCCCAGCAGGGGTGAGGCGAGCAGGGACCCTGCTTTCCCTTGGGATCCGCTGTCCCCTCTGTTAGGAACCTGCCACCCGCCCCTGCTGATTGGGCCTGCAGACCCTCCTCAGGCACACGTGGCACGGTGAGTGCTAGAAAGGCCAGCTCCAGCATGTCATGACCCACGCGGAAACCTTCTGTGGCCCCCACTGCTGGGACACGAGCGCAAAACCAGAACTGAGCCATGTCCTGTGCCCATTCTGACCGGCTGGGGGTGTAGTTTAAGTGCCTGATGTCGGCATTACTGGGATCTTTTCCTGATTAATAAGCACGGCATTGTAAAATTAGAAAATAAGCTATCCCGGAACATCTTCATTTATCCATTTTACCCCCCAAGTCTAAACCTCTCAGTTTGGCTTCCCAGGGGACTGGGGGTCCAACTGCTAAACGCCCTGCAGGCCGCCCTCTCCCCGCCGGCCCCCATCCTCGCCAGCTTCCCCTCCTTGGAGCCCCACTGCCCTCACCCTGGGCTTGGCTGAGAGGGGGCCGCCCACGCGGGATCGATTGTGCTCTGCCAGCTTCCAGGAGTGCCCACCAGAAGTGGGAATGCCTTGTGAGGCTGGAAGCTCCACCACCTGCCAGGAGCTGGGACCGTTGTTTTTAATTTTAAAGTAAGCAAGCTGCTTAGACACAGTGGGGACGGCAGTTGGCAGAGTTGTTTTTCTAAGTAGAAAAAGCAGTTAATTTTATGGTGAACAGAGTGTGGCACCTCCATGAAGTCAGGAACCTCCTCTGAGGAGGCCTCGGCAGCTGAGAGGTCTGTAAATGTCTGATCAGTGAGTGCGCCACTGCCTGATGTTGATGCGTGGACAGCCTCGTTGGGAGAAGCAGCTTCCTCCAGCATGGTGGCTGCCTGCCTTGGGAGGCTGGTGCAGGCGGCGAGGAGGCACCAGAGCGGCATCGTGGAAGGCTGGGGCCCTTGCTCTGGAAGCATGCTCCGGGCAGTCTGTGGCCGCCTGGCCCTGGGCCCTGCATCTCTGTGGGAGCCCCAGCTGCTGGATGGGCTGCATGGGAAGGACCAGCAGGTGCCAGCCCGAGCTGCCCAGCCTGGGAGCCTTCACCTTTGTCCCCTTTGGCTCTGGGACTGAGTTGTGTGAATCTGCCAGCTGCTCAGTGGGGAAGCCAAACACACACAGGTGTGTGCAGTGCCTAGGTTGAGGGGCTCAGTCTGGCTTTGTGACCGTGGGCTTCACAGCCTCAGCTGGTCTGTTCATTCCTTCATTGAATGCCCCTGGAACCCTCGCCCTGAGCCAGGCCCTGTGCTGTCAGGTTCTGCTCTCAAGGGGCAGGGCGAGTCGGGAGGGGCAGGTGCATGAAGGGACTGCTCTGCGGGGGTCGGCAGGTGGGCAGGGACCAGGGAATAGAAGTGATAGATGGGGGAGAGGGGAGCCAGTTGGGGAGCGAGGCAAAGAGAGGATGGGGTGGCCTTCCCGTAACAGTGGATTTGTAACAGCCTGCTCTGCAATGTGAAGTGATTTGGTGAACTTGGCGCCGCGGGTGGATTGGCAGCTAGAATATAAGCAGCCATGAGCAATATGAAAAGACGAGCAGGGACGGGGCAGGATGGCGCATGGAGGAAGCAGGAAAAATTGTGTCCTCGGATTTCAAGAAGAAAACACTGGGTAGAGCAGGGAGTCACTCCACACCGTGGCATCGAGCAGGGAGAGTCACCCCACACCGTGGCATCGAGCAGGGAGAGTCACCCCACACCGTGGCATCGAGCAGGGAGAGTCACCCCACACCGTGGCATCGAGCAGGGAGAGTCACCCCACACCGTGGCATCGAGCAGGGAGAGTCACCCCACACCGTGGCATCGAGCAGGGAGAGTCACCCCACACCGTGGCATCGAGCAGGGAGAGTCACCCCACACCGTGGCATCGAGCAGGGAGAGTCACCCCACACCGTGGCATCGAGCAGGGAGAGTCACCCCACACCTTGGCCTTCTCCCAACAAGGGTCTGGCAGCGGCCGCAGGAGCGAGGAAAGCAGGACGCTCCCGGGAGCACAGGAGCCCAGCGCCAGCTTCGTCGGAAACCTCCTTGTAGAGGCTGTGATCTGTGCACTTTCCTGTCTTTGTATTAAACTTGAATTTAAAACTGTATAAAACATACAAAGATATTCAGTGAAGCAACCATAGGAGGAAAGTTTAAGCATATTTAGTTGGATTAAAAATAAGGCGGGGGCTGAGCACGATGGCTCTTGCCTGTAATCCCAGCACTTTGGGAGGCAGAGGCGGGCGGATCACCTGAGGTTAGGAGTTCGAGACCAGCCTGACCAACATAGTGAAACCTTGTCTCTACCAAAAATACAAAAATTAGCTGGGCATGCTGGTGGGCGCCTATAATCCCAGCTACTGGGGAAGCTGAGGTAAGAGAATCACTTGAACCTGGGAGGCTGAGGTTGCAGTGAGCCGAGATGACACCACTGCACTCCAGCCGGGGCGACAGAGTGAGACTCCGTCTCAAAAAAAATACATAAAAAATAAGGTGGATTGTGAATCTGAATGGCATAAAAAAGGAGTGGTTTGGGAGTTCTGGGTGGAATTTGTACCAACAAAGAATGCATCTTCTTTCTAAGTATTTATGGAATACTTACAAAAAGTAATCACCCAACCTAGGCCATAAACATTTCCAAAATAAAAAAACAGCAATGACATAAACTTTGTTCACTGAGCATAATACTTTAAAATTAGATCATAATAAAGTTAAAATGAAAAACCAAGCATTTGGATGTTAAAGAACCCCCTTCAAAATAATGTGGGTCACAGTGGAAATGACCCTGTAATTACAGAAGGATGTTCAAAAGCACAAGGAATGTGCCAGTGCTGGGCTTGCAAACAGATTCAAAGATGCAATGCTTTTATTAATTAAAAATATTAAAACAAGTAAACTAAGCCTTTAACCAAGAAGTTAAAAATAGAAAAATAAAGACAACTTATGATAAAGACAATAAAAGAATGAATGAGTAAAAGCAAATGAATAGATTAGAAGACAGGGTTTTTATGTAGAATTCCTAAGTACATCTTAGAGGGGCAGTTGGAAATGTTAGTGAAATAGGCAGACCTCCAGCAAGGAGGACCGAGATAGATGGCTGAAAACATAGTCCTCCTCTGTGTTAGGAAAGAGGAATTTACACACACACACACACACACACATACATTTAAAAAATGCTAAACTTGCCTCAAGATAAGCTTTAAAAAAAGCCCAACCTGGCCAGGTGCGGTGGCTCACGCCTGTAATCCCAGCACTTTGGAAGGCCGAGGCGCGTGATCATGAGGTCAGGAGACTGAGACCATCCTGGCCAACGTGGTGGAACCCCATCTCTACTAAAAATACAAAAATTAGCCAGGTGTGGTGGCGCATGCCTGTAATCCCAGCTACTTGGGAGGCTGAGGCAGGAGAATCGTTTGAACCAGGGAGGCAGAGGTTGCAGTGAGCCGAGACCACACCACTGCAGTCCAGCCTTGCGACAGCAAGACTCCATCTCAAAATAAAATAAAATAAAACTTGAATAGACTTATAATTTGGGAGTAAATCCAAACATTGCCAAAAGTCTTGGTTTTAAATATGATTCTAAGGCCAGAAAATGTCTTCCTAGTAAATTTGTTCAGTTTCAAAAATCCTTATGCTGTGTGACCTGCCCCGCTGGAAAGAAGCAGCAGGCTTGGCACTCCGTCTCACAGAGCTGGCCACCCGGACACATGGCTCCCAGCACCCTGTCTCAGCTGAATCATCAGTGACTTCTGTGCAGGATCCCACATCTGCCAGTTTCTCTCTCCACATATATGGAGTGTCTTAGTCCATTCCTGCTGTTATAACAAACTACCTTAGACTGGGTAATTTTTTTTTTTTTTTTGAGACGAAGTCTCACACTGTCACCCGGGCTGGTGTACAGTGGGGCGATCTCGGCTCGCTGCAGCCTCCACCTCCTGGGTTCAAGTGATTCTCCTGCCTCAGCCTCCTGAGTAGCTGGGACTACAGGCACGTGGCAGCACGCCCGGCTAATTTTTGTATTTTTAGTAGAGACAGGGTTTCACTATGTTGGCCAGGCTGGTCTCGAACTCCTGACCTCGTAATCCGCCCGCCTCAGCCTCCCAAAATGCTGGGATTACAGGCATGAGCCATCGTGCCAGGCCTAGACTGGGTAATTTATAAACAATGGAAATGTATTTCTCACTGTTCTGGAGACTGGAAGTTCAAGATCAAGGCGTCGGCCTCTGGTGTCTGTCCAGGGCGCCTCGTTACTGCATCCTTATGTGGTGGAAGGTAGGAGGGCAAGAGGGCTGGGCGCTCCCATCAGCCTCCTTCACGGCACCCATCCCATTCATGAGGCCTGCCTTCATCAATATTATAAAATAAAAAATATCCCATAAAAATACCACTGGAATGTAGCCATGCTCCTGGATGCCAGCCTAGAGTTAGCCTCAGAGATCAGGCCAGCACACCTGTAACTCTGTCCGGCTTGCACTATTAATAAAAATATCCTATCAATAAACCAGAGGCCCTCAATCCCATGATACCTTAAGAGATTCAGTAGCTTTTCCTGAGTTTAATGAAAAGAAAAAAACTTCTGCCCTTAAGTAGAACTAAAATTAATACTTTATTAACATGCTAAGAACATTTTAAATCAACAACCACCAGTACCTAGGGAAATGCTAGAGACAGCCCCACTGAGATCAGGACGATTTCTTCTGTTTTTGTAACATGATGAACAAATGTTCAGCGAAGGCTCCTTGTCCTCTCCCCATACAGTCTGCATGCACACACACACGCACACACAACATGGATATTAACAAAATGCTTTTTAAGTTCATGGGCTCTTGAGAAGAGTAAGCCAGCCCTAGAACTAGTGTTTGCCCTGAAGGTGTCTGCTGCTTCCTGCTCTGGGACCAGGTCCCCAGTGTAAGCAGCCTGGCAGAGGGCAGGGTAGAAGGCCTGGGGCTGGAGCAGGTGGATGTGAGTCAGAGACCCTTTGCCTACGTCAGGACCCCTGAACCCAAGCAAGTGAACCAGGACAGACAGACAAAATGGCCCTTGTAGGTTCATGCTTGCCTGAGGCTTAGCTCTGAAGGGAAGAGGAATAAAAGCAGGTCTCCTCTGAAAATTCCTGACCCCAGCTCACCCTTTCACTCATTTAGGTCTAGAAGTTACTTTACTTTTATGTCTGAAAAACCCTATGCTAACAAGTTAACTTAATATGGCCAGAGAGCCCCAGGTGCCTAGCCCAAGAAAATGCCAGTTCACTCTAGAGTGGCACGTTTTAAGCACAACATAGAAGTTGGAAATATCCGTCTACCAGAAACATCATAAACAAAATTCAAAGGCAGTTGACAAAGTTCTTCATTCACAACGTAGCTTATATCCTTAATATGCAGAGAACTCACACAAATAACTAATAAAAAGAAAATGTCCTCATAGAAAATGGATGAGGACAATCGGAACAGTCAGAAACCCACATGAGAATTTATGTAGCTATCCAGAAAATGTAAGTGTTTCTTCCAATCATTAGTAAAGAATCGAAAATGGAAGCAAATGCTCTCTCAAATAAGCACCGCTTTTAGCGAGGGGCCTCCTGGAAGTGGATGAAGTTGGCGTAAAGCAGGCATGCTGTTTCATTCTGATGAGGGGTGTGATACACAGCGTTTCTGCAGAGCTATTAATAATTTATATCAAGAGCCTTTCCTCGATCCAGTAATTCTCCTTGTTTATAATTATGGAAAAACAAATTGGCAGCAGCCTGCATATCCAGCTCTCGGGGTACAGTTACCTAAGTTATGGTACATGGCTGGTTATAATGTTTCATAACTACCAAAAATTACATCTTCAAGTAATATTTACTGAAACGAGCAAATGTTTTCATTGCGTTTCTATGTGGAGGAAAAGCATGACCTGAAATTGTATATATCGACATATGTAATACAGATAAAAATGATCCCAGATTTGCTTCTATTCCACGCGTGGACAGAAAGACCGAACAGAAACAAACCACGGTGCTAGCCTGACTTAGTTTTCATTAGTAGAGTTATGGATATTTTATTTTCTTGTTTGAAAAAAAATTTTTTTTTTTTTGTATTTTGCATGTTCTTTTCAATATGTGTAAACATGGTTTTCTCACTAGGGTTAATTCCCACGTTAAGGATGGTTGTGGGGATTCGGCTGCTTTGTGAGGTTCGTGGCTTGGAGCTGGAGCTCAGAATGCTGGGCTCTGGGTTCTCTGCCCTTCTTCTAGGATGTCGCACTGCGCCCGCCCCTCGGGTGTCCTGCCGTGCCTGCCCCTCAGGTGTCCCCACCGCATCCAGCCTTGAGGTGTCCTGCCATGTCCATCCCTCAGATGTCCCCTCAGCTCGCTGACATGCACATGTGCAAACACATCACTCAACACAGAGCACACAGGCCCATGGCCCTCAAGGCAAGAGGCGTGCCCTGCTCGTCTGGTGGAGACTTAGTTAGCAGATGCTTCCCTGGTAACACATGAGGGGCACTGGGGATGAGGAGCTGGGGATGAGAGTGTGAGAGGGTCAGAGGGGCTGTGGGAAGAGAGAGGTGGGTGGACTCTGCAGGTCACCCCAGCTCCTAGGCTGCACAAAGTGCCATTGAGGCTGGCTGTGCATTCCCTTTGGCTGAGCCACCATGACGAGGTTTCCCGAACTGCCCTGTACTGCCTGTAGATGACATAAGGGCCACATTTCATTCATGGGCCTGGGCTTCTTTCCAGGGTCCTCAGTGTCCCATCACAGAGGAGGGGGTGAGTGTGGTCATTTCTGAGTAACCTGTGAGGATCTGTGTGCACAGTGGACCAAATTCCAGTCCGTGACCTTTGAGCCCCTCCAAGCTGGCCACCTGGTCCCCTGGGCCCAGCCCCTACTTGGAGGTGGTCTCAGCCCATGTATGGCCACCTGATGAGTCTGGAAGTCACCCACTGCCCCTTAGGAGGCCGCCCTAAATGCTACTAGCCTCAGACTTCAGGGATCTTTGATAAGGAGATAAGCAATAAAGACATCACAGGTTCTCTTGGGCATCTGTGATTTACAGAGTAGGAAAGACAACAGCAGCAAAAGCCCTGTGCTCTGCAGAGACCCAGGCAGGCTTCACTGCGCAGAAGCAGCGGCGAGGCATCCCTCCTCACCCGTCCCCTGGCCTCGGAAGCTGGTGCCAGGGTGTGCCCAGCCTCTCTGGCTGTAGACCCCTGGAGTCCCTTTCATTTGCTTCATGAGAGGCCTCAAAGCAAATACTCCTTAGCTCGAGCCTTGGCCTATTTGGACTTTGGGGTCTCAGGGTAATTAAAGGTTGCTTTAAAGATCAATGGCAGCTTTAGAATTATACCTGGAAGGAGGCGGAGAGAAGATGGGGTTTGCACATGGAGATTTATCATTTCTAGTTTTTTCTTACCTGAAAGAACCACATTATTAATGACGATGAGGTCTCAGCCCCTCCAGGAGGCTGAGGGGTGTTCCCGTGAGGTTCCGTCTGCCAAGACTTTGGGGCAGGTGGGTGGAATCGCTTTGCTTTACTCCTGGCCACCCAGCCCTTCCCTTTGGCCTGAAAACAGAGAGCACCAGCTGCTTCCCGGGTGACGCTTCCTCCATTCTCTCCAGGAGGGTGTAGACTCCTGCTGGAGGCCCCTCACCTGTGAAGCCCCCTTGCTGTGCTTACTGGGGGTTTCAGGCCGTGGTTTTGCACCCAGCCGAGCACCTGGCGCGTGGTCGGAATGGAAGGGCTGTTTCCCGGCTGGCAGGATGTTTGTGCACCCAGTCCTGATAGACATGCTTTTCTGCATGCTTTCATTTGGAGTTCCAGCATCCTTTTGGGCCAGTCCATTGCTGTCTTGAGTCACTAGTGAACTCACACCCAGGACCCATTTAGTGAGTCCGTCAGGCCTCAACCTGCCCATTGGCTCACAGAATGGCCCGTGGCAGTGGGCCATGTCTCTGTCAAATGGGACTGATCTTGCAATGCTGCATTAGCCTTCGACAGGCTAATGGCTTCATGCAGGTTTCTCTTTCATCCTGTGTTCACTGGAAGCAGCAAATGTCATGAAATGCCAAAGTAGAGATCGTTGTCTCCGTCTTTATTGTTTCAAGACATTTTAAAGACAAAATTGGGTCAATTGAAAAGTAATCTCTGAAGTGAATTGTGCCTTTGTGTGCGGGTTGCTGCATGTGTGAAAGTGTGGGGTTTGCAGGGTCATGCGTGCTGTGAGATCAGGTTTGTGTTGCTGTGTGGGGTTTGTGTTGCTGTGTGGGGTTTGTGTGGCCATGTGGTATTAGCTCTTTGGACCATTCTTGAGCAGAAGCTCTTGGGGGCCCACATGCCTGCCTCCCATGTTCTGATGCAACACCGTGAAACAGGAAAGAGGACACCATTGACAACGGCTGGGCACATGGCAGGTCCATGGTGGGTGCGCTTACTGCCGGATTAGGCCTCCCCGAAGAGGGGTCCTTGTGTGGGAGCGGCAGAGAGAGAAGGGGACTCTTGGGTCAGCGGGGGAGGGCACGCCTGAGCTGAGCATTTGAATCCCTGCTGCTGCGGTGGGGGTGGGCGCTGCCCTTGTGTTTTAGCAAGAACTGCAGGGTAAATGCAGGAAGGTTGGGGATGGGGTGGTGATGTGCAGGGTTCAGAGGGAAGGGCGCCGTGGGAGCTGGGACCTGGGCTCAGCTGTGAGGAGGGAGCAGAGCTTTCCTTGTGGGAGAGCTGGGTAAGAGGACAGCAAACCCCTGAGTGAAGCAGGGCTGAGAGCCGCCTGGAGGACAGGCTGCCCACGCCAGGCCCTCGAGCCAGCCTAGGGGCGCATGTCCTGGGACGCATTGGGACCTTGCCTCTTCTTGACCTGGGCCTGGCATGGGCATGCAGGTGGAAGCTCTATGGGGAGGGGACCTGCCTGTGCCTCTGTGCACGTCATTTTCGGAGCTAACACATGCCTGGTGTGGAGTTGGCAAATCAGCTGGGCACGGGGTGCTGCCCTCTCAGCCACAGGTGGCACCGAGGGGCATGGAGGAGGCAAGCTGGTCCCAGAGGCAGGGCTTGGGGAGTGGGCCGCAGGGCGAGGGGGACAGACGGGGGGCTTCTATCCTGGAGGAGCGTTGGGCCTTCAGGAGCAGTGAGGGGCCCGCGGGGGAAGCAGGTGATGAGTTTGGGCTCCACCGAGGTCCGCCAGTCTGAGCACAGCTGGTGTGAGGACACTGAGGCAGCAGTGCCGCAGGGCCACTGGGAGGACAGGCGGGCAGAGGCCTGGAGGGGACAGAGGACAAAGATGGTGCCTGCAGAGATTGGGCCAGGCGGGAGTGGAGACATAGAGGCTGAAGGAGCGTGGGTGGGACAAGCCCTGTAAAGGAGGGAGGGGCAGGGGCTTGCAGAGGGTGGCGGGGAGGCAGCCTTCATGCTGAGGGTGAGCACAGGGACCAGGTGTGGCCAGCACAGTGACCACACTCCTGCCCCAGGCCCATGGGGCAGCGCCCTCCAGAGACCCAGGCAAGGGGCGACATCTCTGCCCCATTGAGTCCCCGAGTCCCCAGGCTCCGGCAAGATCTGCCGCCAGCATGGCCAAATGCACCCCCCTGGGTTCCTCCTCACACTTCAGGGAGGGCGACCGTCCCCGGAGAGCCCATGGGATTCCCAGTGTCTTCCAGAACACATTCTTTTGTTCCCCGGGGCGGGGCTTTCTCAGAAGCCGGCACAGCTAAGAGGCGTGCCCTGGAGACCTGGGGGAGCAGGGAGGCCTGACACACCCAGAGCATCTTCTGTTCCTAGTCCTCACACGGTGACACCAGCAGGTAACTTCTTTATACTTCGAAAAGCTCCCTATTAAATTATACCCCTCATTATGATAATGCAGTAGAATTGGAAGGTTCAAATCATTTCTGGGGAAAGTGGGGTTTGGGCTGCAGAGTTTAATAGCTTTCTTCCTGGAGGAAATGATGAAAGGTTGGGAAGATGAAGTGTGAGTTAAGATGAAGGAACAGGATTGTTGGGAGAGACTCTGGGGTGACTTGCAGGGATCTTTAAGTCTAAAACAAGTAATGAGATCTTTCTTTCTGTGGCTCAACTAAGGCAAGAGAAATTTGGGCCACTCTGCAAGAACTTCCCAGCATCTCTTTGATGTCCCTTGCCAAGGGCCCCCTACCGGCTGCTGTGGAGAGGGACCCGCATGCGGCAGGCCAACCCCAGCCTGAGCCCAGCTGGGGCTCCTGGAGCAGCCAACATCGGGTGTCCCAGGATGGTCAAGTACAGGTGACTCTCCTGGTGTCCAGATAGTCAGTTGCCAGAGGGCAGTGCCCACTCAGAGCACGTGGGAACACAAAGGAAGGTGATGATGTTTCCTTTTTTTGTTTTTTGTTTTTTTTTGAGACAGAGTCTCGCTCTGTCGGCCAGGTTGGAGTGCAGTGGCACGATCTTGGCTCACTGCAGCCTCCGCCTCCCAGGTTCAAGTGAGTCTTCCGTCTCAGCCTCCCGAGTAGCTGGGACTACAGGCACACGCTACCACGCCCGTCTAATTTTTGAATTTTTAGTAGAGACGGGGTTTCACCATGTTGGCCAGGCTAGTCTTGAACTCCTGACCTCAGGTAATCCGCCTGCCTTGGCCTCCCAAAGTGCTGGGATTACAGGCATGAGCCACCGTGCCCGGCCAGATGAAGATGTTTTTTAAGAAAGAGGGAGCCTTTTCAGGCCACCAGAAGACAGGGACGCCATGATCCCCTTCCCCTGTGGTTCCTGAGCCCTTTCCTGTAAACAGCATTGGAGGTGGCCCACGCTTCCCTCTTGTAACTGGGTGGAGGCCAGCATGCGGCCAGCAGTACGTAGGCCCCGCCGGGGCCCACAGGATCCTGTCTCTGCAGCCTGGTGGGTGGGCTGCTCTCCCCATCCACATGTCATCTGCTCCCTGAGCGCATCTCACTCTAGCAGCTCCAGCACTACACCGCCAGTGAGCTCAGGCCTTCCAATGAGGGCGGAGGGAGTGACCCCTGGCGCTGTCTTCTCTGGAAACAGGAGTGAGCATTAGGAAGCGGTAGGCTGGAGGCCTCAAGGACTGGCAGGGTGTCACCTGCTGGGATGGGAAGCCCAGGGACCCTGTGGTTCCAGGAAGCCATGTCAAGGGCAGAGGGTGGCCCTTTTGCCCTGCCTCTACTGGGGGCACCCAGGGAAATCCCTCCACTGACCCAGAAGGGTGGGCGGGACTGTGAGTGGGAGGAGTTCTGGAACATCTCTGAACTTCTCGTCCAGAAAGGGGAGATGGCAGCGTCTGGCTCACTGTACTTCTAGGGCTGCTGGAGGGTCAGGTGAGATGATGGACGGAGGAGAGGCTCAGAGCTACCGATTTTTCACACGCATAGGCACGGGTGCACACAATACACGCAATATCCACATACACACGTGTGCGTGCACACCCACCCACCCTCGGGGTCTCAGGAAACCAGGCAGGGGAAAAATTAATTCTGGTCTTTTTTGATCCCTGGAAAACACTCTTTCTCTCTTTGCAAATGGAAAATTCTTGGTTAGTGATAAAGAAAACTACTCCTTGCCCCATGTGGAATTGGCATGGATTTTTTTGTCTTTATCTTTTTTTTTCTTTTTCTCTTTTTTTTTTTTTTTTGAGACAGAGTCTTGCTCTGTCACCCAGGCTGAAGTGCAGTGACGCGATCTTGGCTCACTGCAACCTCCGCCTCCCGGGTTCAAGCTATTCTCCTGCCTCAGCCCCACGAGTAGCTGGGATTACAGGTGTGTGCTACCACGCCCAGCTGATTTTTTTTTTTTTTTTTTGTATTTTTAGTAGAGACGGCCAGGCTGGTCTCGAACCCCTGACCTCAGGTGATCCACCCACCCCGGCTTCCCCAAGTGCCGGGATGACAGGTGTGAGCCACCACCACGCCCAGCCTGGATTTCTTTTGACGTGGGCCTCCTAGGCTTTCATTATTGCAGCGAGAGTCTTCATTTGAGGGGCTCTTGCCTGCACCTGTGGCCAGCTTGCTCTTCCACTGCCGTCGGGGAAGGCGGCCCCGTTCCTGTGTGGAGAGAGAACATCCGCCTCGTCATTGTTCACTGAGAGAATGTGAGTGGCAGGCACTGAGCACTTTTCCCAGGTAGCAGGAGGAGCTGGGGCCACAGGGAGTGGGCTTCCACGCATCAGGGCTCACAGATGTGCTGCTCTTGGCGCCTGCTTTTGTGGCAAGTGCCTTATGTTGGTTCTCTTCAGGGCAAGTGGTCTTCGCCTTCTCACCTGAGCCATCCTGGCCCAGCCTTGAGGAGCCCCCTGAGGTGAGGGTTTCCGGCCTCTCCCACCCACCCATCCTCTCCTCCACCCCACCCGTCCTTCCCTCCACCCCACCCATCCCCCCATCCTCCCTCCACCCCACCCATCCCCCCATCCTCCCTCCACCCCACCCATCCTCTCCTCCGCCCAACCCATCCCCCCTCCCCTCACCCATCCCTCATCCTCCCTCCACCCCACACATCCCCCATCCTCCCTCCACCCCACCCATCCCCCATCCTCCCTCCACCCCACCCATCCCCCATCCTCCCTCCACCCCACCCATCCCCCATCCTCCCTCCGCCCCACCCATCCCCCCCCAACCATCCCCTCCGCCCCACCCATCCCCCCCGCCCCACCCATCCCCCCTCCACCCAACCCATCACCCCCCTCCACCCCACCCATCACCCCCCTCCACCCACCCATCTGCTCCACATTTTCCCCAGCTCCTCACCTATTTCAGCAGGGAGCCCCATGGTGGAGAATCAGGAGTGGCTAGGGGAGGGAGGAGGAGCTGGTCCTTCTGTGTTCCGTCCCTGGCTTCCGGTGCCCCCAGCAGGCTCCCTGAGTGGCATCTTCCAGGGAGAGGTCTGGGCAGCTTGCTGATCCCAGGTGTGCTGTGATCATTTTTCCTTTAAGAACTTAACTCATGAAGGCACTTTGCAAAGAAGAGAAATGGAGTCCTGCACGAGGCTGCAGAAAATCGATTTTCGTTCCATGACTCTGCTCACAGCTATCCGTGTGTTTATTAAATCATCCCTCTCTGTGATGGATACCACTTTCTCTGGGGAAAGAGCAGCTGGAACCCAAGCCCGGTGGCCCTGCTTGACCCAGTGGCCATGACCGTGGCTAAGCCACGGACAGTCACGTGGACTCCGGGCAAGCACCTGGCGACGGTGTAACTGGCTGTGTACTGCGTCCGAGGCAGATGGGCCCCAGAGTCCCATCAAGATCCCCGGCTCTTCATGAAGTCACACTTGGCAATATGCATGAGGCAGGCAAAGAAACAGGACCGTCAGCAGAGTGAAGAGAAGCGTTACTTTATTTACAGTGTGTGCGTGTGGGCCTTGCTGTCCATGGGTAGCCGGGTGCATGTCTACGATGCCAGCTCACCAGGATACGTAGGCCTCTCGTTTTTTGCCGTTTATCATGGTGAGTGCCGTCACCTCTTGGTGAAGACTCTTGGCCCTTCTGGAGTTACTAGGTCCTGTCACTGATGAGCTTCAGCAGATCTCCTAGGAACACATGTTCCACTAATGATTCAGTGTGAATAGTAATAAAAGTTAAGAGGCTGTTGGCCCGGGCATGGTGGCTCACACCTGTAATCCCAGCACTTTGGGAGGCCAAGGCCGGCAGATCACGAGGTCGAGAGATCAAGACCATCCCAGCCAACATGGTGAAACCCTGTCTCTACTAAAAATACAAAAATTAGCTGGGCGTGGTAGCACGTGCCTGTAATCCCAGCTACTTGGGAGGCTGAGGCAGGAGAATCACTTGAACCTGGGAGGCGGAGGTTGCAGTGAGCCGAGATTGTGCCACTGCACTGCAGCCTGGTGACAGAGTGAGACTCCGTCTCAGTAAACAAACAAAAAAACAAAAAACCGTAAGAGGCTGTTAACTTTTGAGTTTCGTGGCACTCACGAAGTGGGTGGTGACCCTAGGATCCTGAGGGTTATGGCATACAAATCTAGCCATTTTCCTGTCACCTTACATTCCTAGAGGAAGGCTCAGCAGAGGGTGTTTGAAACTGAAAGATGAGAGGGGCAGGCCTGGGGCTGTTCCCAAGTATTAATGCCCCAAGCCTACACCTTTTTAAAAAACAAAAATTTTTATTTAATCAAAGCTATGTGTTATATATTAGAGGAAATTTTGAGAGACTTTGACCAAAAAAGAGCAGCCCTCCATCCCAGCCTCCTCACACCGCCAGAGGCGCCGCTCAGCCTTTCAGGTTGCTGTGTCTACTGTTTTCTTGTTTTTTCCTCTCTCTCTGTCTCTCTCAATGCTGTTCTTAATTTCTGAGGTTTAGAAATGCATTTGTACAGCGGAAGAGGGAAGCTGAGAATTAGGCTTCCTTACCCTGTGGTCCCAGCACACGGCCATGCCCTCGTGCCCGGCCCTTCCTTCTGAGGCTCCTGGGGTGGTGTGCCTGGACTTGTCACCTGGGTGGGGCTGTGTCAGCGTCACTGCCGCTGAGTCACCACGTGCACTGTGCCTGTCATCCCTTTCTGGGACAGCATGTCACTTTCCTTGGTGTCACCAATCATCTCCCTTAGGAGTCTGTGAACCACCCACTCCCTCCCTCCCCACCAGACAGGTTACCGGAGCGGGCGTGTCTGGAGGAGCAGGCAGAGCAGGTGCTGTACACCTCGTGTCCTCTGGGACCCATCCCTTCTAGGCCCCTCCTCAGGACACCCCCTCCTGCCGGGCTCCCCCCAAGCGCAGCCCCCTTCCCAAACCCACGTTTGCCTCACTGTCTTCCTTGTCCGGTAGAGCACACCCCTCAGCACTTCTCTGTGTGAATGAGCCTGGCAGGGACCTACCTTGAGATCTACATGTCTGGATACCGCTGCCTTCTGGCCTCTCTCTGGATGGAGGGTGGAGGGTGGAGGTGGAAGCCACTTCCTCGCAGGCTTCGCGGGAATTTGCTCTCCTCTCTTACAGTGTCCAGCATTGCTTCTGAGAGATTCGCTGCCATGTGACTCTAGGCCTGTGTTTGCACCTTTTCGTTCCTTCCCCAACACCTCTGCCCTGAGTGTGGTGGTGACATGTCTTTTCCTCATCTTGCTGGAGCAGTCTGTGGGACCCTGCGGTCTGCAAAACTCAAGGTTTTCATCTCTAAGATTTTTCTGTGGGAAATGTCCTGAGAATTAAATTCCCTGCCATATTTGTTTCCGGAGTACCTACTAGAAGGTGGGCTTCCTGGATAGCCCCTTATTTCCGACCTTATCTTTGCATTGCTATAAAGGAACACCCTGGCCTGGGTAATTTATAAAGGAAAGAGGTGTATTTGGCTCAGGGTTTAGCAGGCTGTACGAGCATGGCTGCAGCATCTGCTCAGCTTCTGGGGAGGCTTCAGGAAGCTTTTCCTTATGGTGAGAGGCACGGGGAGCCGGCGTGTCACGTGGCGAGAGAGGGAGCAAGAGGGGAGGGGTGCCACGCTCTTTACACCACCAGCTCTGTCCTGAACTAACAGAGCAAGAGCTCACTCACTACCACAGGGAAGGGACCAAGCCATTCGTGAGGGAACCACCTCCATGACCCAGATGCCTCCCACCAGGCCCCACTGCCAACACCAGCTGTCACATTCCACCATGAGATTGAGAGGGCATGGACATTCAAACTGTATCACTGTCCTTGTACTCAGCAAGTGCCACATGTAAGACCTTGCTGTAACCTCGTGCATCCCTGGAGGGCAGTGTCCTCAGCCAGGTGGAGTCCGGGTTCTTCCAGAAATGCAGAAATGGTGAACCTGCCTGCTCTGCTGCAGAAACCAAGCTCGTTAATCGGCCAGTAGTGAACGTTGCACCACCTGGTTGAGCTGACGCTTCTGTGGGCAGCAGAAGGAAATATGAGCTCTGCGGCTGCTCCAGCCACAGGAGTGTTCCCCCTGCCCCCTGTGGGCTCCATGTGATCTGTGACTCCATGTGGGGGCAACAAGCCAGCTTCTACCCCTGCTGCTGGAGCAAGAAGAGTAGATGGCCTCTGCCCATGCGATGGGACCCTGGCCACCTGGGGAAGCAAGGGCATGTCAAGGCCATTCCTGCTGACAGTGGGGGTCAGAGCCTGGCGTTGGTCATCTTGCCTCACTCTGCAGTGACAGGCCCCTTCTCAGCAGAAGGGAGCATCTGCCCATCAGTGCACAGTGACCCTGGCTCTCTCGCAGAGGCCCCTGGGGTCTGCAGCCTCCTTGAGAGCGATCCCACATGGGAGCCAGAAGTGAGTGCACAGTCCCGGGGCGCCCGCCCCGTCCAAGCCCAGCTGTGCTTGGGGCTTATCCCAGCCTGTCTGTGGAGCCACTCGAGTTCGTGGCAGCACCTCCCAAACTCTCTGTGCTGAAGGCCAGTTTAGATTTTCTCCCAGTTCATTTCAGACTGATAAACTTTGGTCAAGTACGGTAATGGTGGCATGGCAAGGGTGCAGTGTGCGGCCAGTTTCTTAGCACCTCCCTCGGTTTCTGCACATACATCCTTGAGGGCCATGATCAAACAAGCTGTGAGACGCCAGAGCCCCGGACCCCAGCTTTAGGAGCCTACCTTTAGGACCCCACCTTTAGGAGCCCCCATTTGGTGCTGGAAGAGATGGGGTCTGCCTGGATTCCCCCCGAGTCTTGGTCGTCAGGCCTGGCGGTTGCACCCCATGTTCCTGAGCCCTCTTCTGGCCCCGTGCCACCCCGTTCTTCTGGGACTGTCACAGGAGCTGGCTCTGCCTGCCCCTACTCCTGCTTCCTTCCGATCCACCTTCCAGAATGCAGCCAGAGAGAGCTTTCTAGAATGTGCGCTTGATCCCTTCATGCTTCTGCCTGTAGCCCTTCAGCAGCCAGCTCTGCCGTGGGACCATGGGCACATGCCCGCTGCTACCTGGCTGCTTACCTGCCCGGCCTTAGTCCCTGCACCGCCCCGCCCTGCTGTCTCTGGCCTGCAACCCAAACTGACTCCTGCCTCCGACCCCACAGGACATGAGCTGCCTCCTTGCCTGGGTCCTGCTTCTCCCCAGTGCGAGTGGCCTTTCTTCCTCTTCCCTGGCCGTGTTGGGAGTCCTGTCCTGGCTCCTGACCTCTCATTGTCTGCCACGGTTGCTGTGCCTTGTCCCGGGGGAGGCTGTGATGGCCCCACCTTGTACAGCAGGTTGGGAGGTGCAGGTTCCTGCTCCCACATCACGTTGGCTTGAAGGCGGGCTGTTTGCTGGGGATGCAGGAAACTCCCGAGTGTCCGCGGAAACGCCATGTGATCTAAATGGCACCTTGAAACATAAACTGAGCCATTGGATTTCAGTTCGAACCAGGGCCTTGAACTCCCTGGGGTGGACATGGAGTTCATTTGGAGATTTCAGCCTCGCCGAAGGGCTCACTTGGATGTGAGCTCATGACAGAACAGCCACCACCGTCTCAGGGAGCCAAGTGTGCTCATTGAGATATGGAAAAAAAGGAACTCCAAAAATTGAAGTAGGCAAATGTTTAGGCGACGCCTGTAAAATGTAACAGCCTATCCACTTCATTCAGTGTTCAACTTTGTATTCATATAAACTTTGGCATTTGAGCATAAATTGTGGATTAGAATTTGTTTTCTCAGCGGTTCCCAAGTGTGCACAGGGACATCTTAGAAACCATAGCCAGTTTTCAGTTAAATGAATTGCAGCTGATAATTCCAAAGCAAAACTATACAGCTCTTTCCATGTTTTTATAAGGAAAAATAGACGTAGTGTGGAGTCTGGCTGCATTTTAATATGCTTGGGGTGGGGCCTCTGAAGTACTGGGGACAAGGACTGAGAGGAACGTGAGCCACCCTGCGGAGGCAGCCCCAGTACCAGAGCGGGAGGCTGATTCCAAGGATTTGCCAGCCCCAGGTGAAAGGGCCGCCTGTGGGGGGTGCTGGTTTTGATTTTCACTCCCAATGCCGTTGTGAAATTCTGGGTGATTCCAGCTGTGCAGCAGAGTTGACATACTGCTTAAGATGGGACTGTGGCTTTTCGACATTCGTTTTTAGGACTGTCGTCTGTCCCCTGTGGGAACTTGGCAGGTCCCTTCTGCCTGGGACTTACCGGCGGCTCCTGGAACCCTTGCCTGGAGCTCTCCCTTGTTGGCTGTCAGGAAACAGGAGGGCCATGGAGCTTTGGCGGTGACACTTGTGGTGTGGCCCTGTGCCTGCGCGAGGCAGCTTTGCCATACGTCATGCCAATACTTCATTGATCCAGCAGCGGCTTCAGGCTGGCAGCACGATCAACACGGCCCCGGGCATCCTCGCGAGCTCCAAACATCCTTCCGTGGGCTGTCTCTCTCTCTCTCTCTCCATTCCTTCCAGAGTAGAAATTCTCTTGACTGGGTGAAGGTTGGCATTTCAACCTCAGGACTTAATACCCTTTCTCGTGGGCCTGGAGCAGGTCCCCTGTGTCCACTCCAGTTATTCCAGAAGGTGCCCTGCCCATGCCTCCCTCATAAGAAAGCTGCCTGCCTGTGGGGCAGAGGGCAGGGGACTTTGCTGGCGTCTCTTCCCTTGCACGTTTCTGCCTGTGAATTAGTCTTGCCATTAAAGAAAAAAGTTACACCCCCATTCAAATCATTAATTGAAAAGCCCTTATTATCCCATTGGTGGTGTTTGATATCTAAGGCAGATAAACTCGGAGAAGCTCATCCGCTCAGTCCCTGAAGAAATGTGATTACATCCTGGGTCTTATTAAAACATCTCCCTCTCAGCTGTCACATTTTCCCACTTTGCAGCCTTTTCAGGACACGCGAAAGAATCTTGTATGGAAACAAATGACGCCGGCCTGAGGGTGGGCCAGGGTGGAAGGAAGGCGGGTTCTGCTGGAGCAGCACTGGTTGGTAGCCCACCGCCCCTCGCCAGCTCCTGGCCAGGACAGGCCTCACTCAGGGCTGGATCAGCCAGTGTTGACAGGCAGCGAAACTTGGAGAGACAGAGTCACTTTTGTGTGCAGCTAGGGCTGAGAGTGCCTGAGCTTTTTATGTAAACCTTGGGTGTAAAAGGAATCAAAAAGCAACTGGCAGCCTGGGAGTGTCCTGTGGGACCCTCCCTGCCCCACCCACCCACGAGGCTGCGTCCTCTTGTCAAATCTGGGGTCAGCCAGCTTCACTACCAAACCCCTGGACTTTGTTTGCAGAAAGAATTCCTCGTGCTGTGTGGCTGGCATCCTTTCTGCTCATGTCCTGGGTTTCTGATGTGACAACCGAGCACCCCCAAATTGAGATGGGGGGTTCAGCAGGGAGACAGCCTCCAGGGTCCTCTGCCTGGCAGGGCATGTTGCACCACAGGGGAGGCTGATACAGAGTTTCCCTGCCCAGCTCTCCCGGAGCCTTGGCTGATTCCAGCCTGGGCTGTGCCTTTGCCCACCACCTCCATGCCTGAAGGGCTGGCCACTTACCCGCTCCCTCAGGCCTCAGCCAGCCTCATCGGGACCCCTCTTGCACCTGTGGCCAGACTCAGACCCCCGCCCCAGTCCCCAGCTGGGAAGGGGACACTGGCTGTGGCTCTGCTGCCGAGTGTCTTCCTCAGGGATAAGCAGGATGGGGCCTCTTCCCTGACAAGAGTGGTGCAGAGCCCACCTGTGGGCAGCCGGCCTTCCCAGAACCCCCTGGCAGGCCGGCGCAGGGCTCGGCGCTGCTTCCCGTCATCCCAGTTAATCCCACGGTCCTTCGATGAGGGTCTGCGGTGGGTCCATTTCCTTCTTCGCTGATTCCTTCATTTAGCAGCCATGTATCAAGCACGGGTCCTGGACCAGGTGACACTCTGGGCATGGAGGTCCCAGGCATTGTGGCCTGGCAGGGAGGATGGAGTGAGAGTGAACCAGAAAATAAGCACAAGCACAGCCTGGGGTTCATGCGAGAAGGCAGCAGTCGGGGTAGGGGGAGAAGTGGGGTGGTCAACACTTGGTGCCTTGGGCACTGCAGAGAGTTCCACTCGGGGGGCGCAGGTGCCAGAGCCAGGCCCTGGATTGATGGCAGTAGTGGGGCATGGCCCAAGGCAAGGATGAGGGGCCTCGAGGCCGGGTCCCACAGGGCTGGTAGCCATGGTGGGGAGGAGTTGAAGGTGATTCTGCAATACTTCGGCTTCTAAATCGCCCAGAGATCCTGGTGCCTAGATTAGTACTTGTTGAAGGAATGAAAGTCGAGGGGAAGTGACCAAAAAGCTCTAGGCAGGGCGTGTGCGGAGAGTGCTGTGTTCATTCGCCCAGCGCTTGTTCACTGAGCACGCGCCACGTGCCAGGACCACCCGGACACACGTGGTGAGGTCACTGTGGAGTGCTGTGTTCATTCGCCCAGCGCTTGTTCACTGAGCACGTGCCATGTGCCAGGACCACCCGGACACACGTGGTGAGGTCACTGTGGCCGAGTAGATGGGCCAGGGACACCGGTTGAGGAGGCAGTGCTAGTTGCTCGGGTAGGAGTTTGCAGATTCCAGGGAGAGGGCAGTGGAAAAGGAAAGGAATGAGTGGCTGAGGTTCCTAGAACCTCACGTACGGAGGGAAGTGAGGCACGATGGTGTGGAAGGCCTTGGATACTCGGGGGCCAAGGCCCAGGCTCCCTCCACCACGTCCCCTGAGGCCTCCCAGTGCCAGCTGCGGTGGGGGCCCTTGCCCACTGTCTGCCCATCTGCCTTCTTCAGCCTCCTAGGAGCAGTGAGGGTCCTGGCCCCCGCCCCAGGTCCCCACAGCCCCTTTGGTGGACTTGGCTACTTGGCGTTGGCCCCAGGATTCAGCCGGTCTCCCCCCAACCTCAAGATCCTGGGGCTGGCTACCACTGACCTGGGTGGTCTCTCCTACAGCACCCAGCTCCACGCTTCGACCAAAGCTGTAGGACGTTGGGAGGAGTAGGTTGGTTGTCCTCAGTTTGTGTGTGAAATAACAGTGTAAATGTGGGGTGTAAAATGCCCTGGCATCCAGCCTTCCTGAGGGAGGCTTGTTTCAGTGATGGCCAGACCCGGGGACGGGGGACCAGGAGGTGAGGCTGTGGACCCAGTTCCTTGGAGCCAACCCTGGGCCATGTGGCACCAAGAGCCCGGGCAATCAGGGGTCCTGGGCTTGAGCCCCCTCGTCCCTAGGGATTCTGAGTGGCCTTTCAGCACTCACCCACCCTGAGCTTGTGCATGCCCCGTGGGACCAGGACTGCTGAGGTGAGCAAGGACAGTGGACGTCACTGCCTGTGCCCCCAGGACACCTGTGGCCCTCAGAGCGGGAGCTGCCTCATCAGGACCCCTCTTGCACCCTGTTGCATCGGTAGGGTGGTGGCAGATGTGTACTCGCCCCCTCTCCAGAGCCCCCAGACCTGTCCCGGTGTCCCATCTCACGGTAGGTCTCCTCCCAGTCGCCCCGGGGCTGTGGGTGTCGCCAGCCCATGCTGTGCAGGTGGCGAGTGTGAGCAAACCTGGTCCCGGGCCCTGGCTACGTCTTCACTCGGCGCGGGCAAAGAAGAAAGTAAAATAAGATAAAAAGAAGAAAGTGGAAGCTCTTGAGGAGGTCTTCGTGCCGTCTCGTGATCCACTTCCAGTCCAGGAAGCCCTGGATCTGTACGGTGTGTTCATTTCGTTACCCTAATTAGTTTGAGGATTTTCAGGGCAAACATGGTAGGATTTCTCAGTTCAACTTTGGGGTGTTTGTTTTTTGAGATAAAGCACACAGAAGAAGTTGCATTGATCTTTTAATTCCTCATGCAAAGAAAAAATATTTGCTCTTCTCTGATTTAGTGTGTCTGATTCTCACTGAGGCTGGAGGGGGTGGTGGGGTCCAGTCAGAGTGGACACTGGAGCATGGTGGCGTCCCGGCCCTGTCATCACTGCCCCCTCACTGCCCAAAGAGGGGACATGTACTGCCCCTTAGCGAGGAGCCGAGGACATCCTGCACCTCCCTGCACCCCTGCTTTCCTTCTCCCTTGGGGCAGCTTTCCTAGGTCTCCCTGACTGCAGGGGTGCTGGATACCTCTGCCCAAAGCCCCACATTCTGTGCCCCTTGGAGCCCTGAAGCTGCCCCTGCCCCTAGCAGCCTCTCCACCACTGTCCCTGCAGGCCTGCCTAGCCAGCTTCACCGGCCACACTGGGCTACACCCAAGCCTGGCCCCTGAAGCAGGCGGTATCTTCATGGCTGCTTACCACTGGGGAAGAAGGGTGGGCGCAAGTGGGAAAATCGTCATGAAAATGGGCCTCCCACGAGGTTGGAGTGAGGAGTGTGGGGTCCCTGCCAGTGGGGAGTCGGGAGTGGAGAGTAGGGAGTGGGGAGTGGGGAGCGGGGAGCCGGGAGTGGGGAGTGGGAAGGAAACTGTCTCAGACAGGAAGTTTGCATCTCTGAAAGGGGCTGGCCCTGCCTTCGCCTCCCTCTTCAGGGCTCAGCATCTCCATCCGTGTGATGTTACTGGCACCCCCTCTCAGAGTTGTTGCAAATGCCGGAGAAACACAGGTGCTCTGTGGAGTGTCATCGTCAGTGCCACTGTCACCTAATAGGATTCCTAGTCCCCCTGGCGTCCAGAGGCTCCGGCACTCATGGAGATACCTTGTGAGCCGCAGTCCTCGTGGGATCGTCCAGGTAGCGGCACCTCACAGCTGTCTCACGGCCCATCACTTTGTCGAGGAAGAAGTGGCCAGAGCTACTGTTTATAAAAGCGACAGCATCTGTGCCCCAGCCTCTTTGCAGTGTGCTCTGTGCCCCCAGCTAAGGATGCACAGACCCCACCCCAAGGCACTTTCGGCCTCTGGGGGACAGGGAGGACCGTGGACAGTGATGGACCTGCAGGCTGGGGAGGAGCGAGCAGTAGGACACACAGACCCCACCCCAAGGTGCTCTTGGCCTCTGGGGGACAGGGAGGGCCGTGGACAGTGATGACCTGCAGGCTGGGGAGAAGCGAGCAGTATGTCCTTCTGGAGAAGTGAAGCTGTGTGTCCCGGCACAGCTTCCCAGCCAGCCTCCCTAGTGAACCTTGCCTCTTCCCTCCCCTGAGCTGTAGGAGGCAGGTTTTGGCAAAGGCCGTCCTTGGAGAGCCCCCTTGGTGGGTCTTAGGGTGTTTGCCAAATCTGCGTGCTTTGCAATTGACAAGCATCTTAGTCTCTCCGGGCTGGTATAACAAAATAGCATAGATGGTGGGCTTAGAAACAGCAGTCATTTATTTCTCAGATCTAGGGGCGGGGAGGCCATAATCAAGGCACCGGCAGACCCGGCATCTGGTGAGGGCCCGCTCCTGGTTCATAGACAGCACCCTCTGCCATGTCCTCACACGGTGGAACAGGGAGGGGCCTCTCGGCGTCTCCTTCATAGAGGAACCAATCCCTTCCCCGAGGGCTCCCGCTCATGGCCAATCACTTCCCAAAGACCCCGCTTCCTAATACTACCACCTTGGCGTGAGGATTTTAACCGATGGATTGGGGGAAACACAAACGTTCCAGCCGTAGCACGTTATTTGGCCGAAACCCAGAATACCAGGAGGCCAGCCCTCGCTCTGCAGCCGTCTCCCCTGAGGGCCCAGCCTGGATTCAGGCCTTTTGGCTTGGCCAAAGCCCTTCTGAGTCCCACCCTGAGCCTTTGCGGGAGGGTGACGTCATGTGCTTTATTGCTTTGTTTATGTGCTTCAGTCACCGTTCCGCTCCTGCAGCGACCAGTCAGGCACAGAACACTGAGGCCGCCAAAGACTGGCCCTTGGTTCCAGTTGCCCGCACGGAACTGTGTGTCTGGGGCCCAGTTGCTGAGGAAGTACCTCAGAGGACACCGCTGACACAAGCCACAGGTGCTGACGTGGCCGCACCTCCCAGGGCTCCTTAGCAGGTGTGCACCTCGAGACAGGTGTTCACCCAAACATGAGCCGTGGAGGGCTCCCTGCTGGGTAGGCCCGGGGTCTGCATTGTCAGGGGCTGGTCGGGGCGGCCTCAAAGGGGCTCTGGTCTCCACCCAGCTCCTGCGTTCCCTCCTGTACATTGAGCAGAGCACCTCCAGGGGGCTTTGGGTCGGCTCCCCCTCCTGTGTTCTCATGAGAGGCTGCTGGAGCGTGGCCCACTGGGACAGGAGAGGGACCGCCATTCCTGGGTGAGTCTAGGACACTCACCTTCCAAGCCCCCTGCTTCCAGCCACTTAGGAGGAGGCGCGGTGTCCTGGCCGGGGAGGTTGTGAGTGTCTGCCCAGGGCGCCTGGGCTGAGCTGCGCTCGCTAAGACCCAAGTTCAGGAGTGGCGGCAGGAGAAGCCCCGCTCTCACTGCCTCACCGCCCTGCTTATGTCTCCAGATAATCCCGTTGTAATAAACTTAATTCCTGCCAGTCCGTGAGAACCAGCCTGTGGACCTGTTGCGAAGTCCACATCATGTGACTGCTCCTATTACACTGTCAGTCTTGATTAAGATCCCACTCTGAAATGTCAAGCTGTGGTCTTGTCTGCGCTCCCTGATTCATTCATATCTTTTTATAATCATTATCAGATGACACCTCTGTCACTTTGGAGATGTGTAGCTAGGAGCACTGGTGACACCCACAGTGAAGCCCAGCAATTTTTGAAGTGATTTCTCCTCATTGGGAGCCACAGACCTAATGTTGAGCAAAAACTGAGCTGTGTGTATTTAGAAATCAATTGAAAACATCACATTGCTCAGGCTCTGAATGCGCGTGCTGAGTCTGCCTATTCTTCTCGGTGGCCCAGGCTGCTCCGCTTATTTTAAGATAGAGCTCATCGGTTGTGAAAATGCTACTGTGGGCCGGGCGTGGTGGCTCACGCCTGTAATCCCAGCACTTTGGGAGGCTGAGGTGGGCGGATCACGAGGTCAGGAGATCGAGACCACAGTGAAACCCCGTCTCTACTAAAAATACAAAAAATTAGCCGGGTGTGGTGGCGGGCACCTGTAGTCCCAGCTACTGGGGAGGCTGAGGCAGGAGAATGGTGTGAACCCAGGAGGCAGAACTTGCATTGAGATCGTGCCACTGCACTCCAGCCTGGGTGACAGAGTGAGACTCTGTCTCAAAAAAAAAAAAAAAAGAAAGAAAGAAAGAAAGAAAATGCTACTGTGTGGCACCCATTTCAGGAGACAAGGCTCGTTTATCCGGAAGCTGGCCTTGCTTGGCAGCCAGCCAGGCCTGCAGGGGATGCCTGCCCCTGCCTTTGCTCCTTCTGCAGGCCCTGAAAGCCTGGCCCTGGCGGCTTGGGCCTGGGGGTTGTCCCTGGGGCTCAGTTGCTGCCCTGGCTTCTGCAGCCTGTGAGCATTCCCCATGCTGGGGCGGCTTATCACAAAGTGCAACTTGCCCCTACCCCAAAAAAACCTGCCTCCCACAATCGGCAGCACACAGCCTTGGGCAGGTGCTGGAGTTGGAAGGGTCTGGCATACAGACTCCGGAGCCCTGACTCTAGGACCGCTCTGGCTTGTTAGCATGTATGTTAGTCCATTTTCATACTGCTTTAAAGAAATACCCGAGACTGGGTAATTTATAAAGAAAAAGAGGTTTAATGAACTCACAGTTCCACATGGCTGGGGAGGCCTCATAAACATGGAGGACGGCGAAGGAGGAGCAAAGTCACATGTTACATGGTAGCAGGCAAGCGAGCATGTGCAGGGTTACTGCCCTTTATAAAACCATCAGATCTCGTGAGACTTACTGTCACGGGGACAGCCTGGGAAAGACCCACCTCCATGATTCAGTGACCTCCTGCCGGGCCCCTCCCATGACATGTGGGGATTGTGGGAGCTACAATTCAAGATGAGATTTGGGTGGGGACACAGCCAAACCATATTAGCCTGCAACCTTGATCAGGTCACTCTGTCCTTCCTCGCCCAGTCCCAGAAGCAGACAGGTTCCCATCGGTAGTCCTGAGAGTTGCCACCTTGCTTTTTGCCTTCCCCTTACGCACGCATTTATAATCCTCGGACCAGCTCTCCCACAGAGGGCAGTTGTCCCCAGATCAGAGCTGAACTTGCTTGGAGCCACACAGCTGGTATGTGGCACTGTGAGTGGAACCCAGGGCAGCCGACTCCACGTCTGGGCTTCCAGCTTCGTCGGCTGCCCTGACTTTCCTCCATGTCTTCCGGAAGGCCCTCCCAACTGCCTCACTCTGAAGCAGGGCACCATGATTCTGTAAGGAAATGAGATTTGAGCCACACGCCTGTTTGTGCCACACACCTGCTCTTTCCTACGTTGCTTGTAGTGTTTTCCCAGAAAGGTGGGAAGAAGGAAGAAGGGAAGGAGAGAAGGAGGGAGAGAACAAAGAAGGAAATGACGTGGATAATATCTTAAACACTACAGTTTTTTAATATCAAATTCCACTAGTTCCAAAATAGAACTTAGCTGGATAATATTCTGAGTTGTGGCTGGAATTTCTGTTCTACCAAATGGTTGTCTGGCATGAAACGTATTTGGATTTTTATGGATCAATTTTATCAGTAACAGTGCTAGTTGGACATAAGCAACATCAGCCTCCTGTGTGCTGGGCCCACTAGTAGGCACTGAGAATTCTTCCCACATCTGCCACAGCTCTGGCCCCTGTGGCTCTTTGCCAAGGTCAGCTCCTCATAGGACTAGCTCCCTCCAGGTTCCCAGTAGGAAGATGGGACCTGTGGAGCCTACTTTCAAGCCTACCCCAGAAGCTGTTTACTTTCCCATCCATCCACCCACACACCCATCCATTCACCCACCCACCCATTCACCCACCAACCCATCCATCCATTCACCCACCCACCCACCCACTCATCCACCCCATCCACCCACCCATTCTTCCATCCATCCATCCACCCACCCATCCATTCATTCAGCCACCCACCCATCCATCCACCCACCCACCCATTCTTCCATCCATCCGCCCACCCATTCTTCCATCCATCCTGCCACCCACCCATCCATTCACCCACCCACCCACCCATCCATTCACCCACCCACCCACCCATCCATTCACCCGCCCACCCACCCATCCCTTCACCCACTATGCATCCATCCACCTACCCATCCATCCACCTACCCATCCATCCACCCACCCACCCATCTATCCACCTACCCATTCACCCACCCATCCATCCACCCATCATCCATCCATCTGCACATCCATCCATTCACCTGCCCACCATCCATCCATCCATCCATCCATCTACTCACCCACCTATCTACCCACCCACCCCCATCCATCTACCCATCCCCCATTCATGTATCCACCCACCCACCCCATCCATTTATCCACACATATGTATACCACCCACCCCCCATTCATCCTTCTATCCACCCACCCACCCACTCATCCATCCATCCTCCTACCCTCCCATCCACCCATCCATTCATCCACCCATCCATCCATCCACCCATCCACCCACCCACCCGACCACCCACCATTCAGCATTTATTTGGACACATACTCTGTTGCTCTCAGTCAAGCACTGTGGAGTTCTGAGCCTTTGCCCTCAGAGGAGGCAGACTCTGGTCCTGTGAGGGCCTGCTGGAATCATGCACAGGCCTTGAAGGTGACTGCCTGGTGGAGACATTAAGAACCACCCAACTCCCCAGAGGAAGGTACTGGGAAGAGAGTGCCCCACCTAAGCCTTGGCCTCAAAAGGACCTTTTCTCCTGGAAGCCCCCGTCTCTCTCTCTCCCAGAAGGGGAATCATCCAGGTGGATCGGTACCCTGGAGCCACCCCTGTCCCCACCTCTGCCCTTAAGAGTTTGAGCCAGACTCAGTGGAGCAGACTCTGAGGTCTACAAATCGACGGAGACCTGACAGCAACTTTTGTGCCTGTAAGTCCATAAATCTCTGGCCTGAGTACTTGGCAGTGACCCTTTAACATTCCTGAAAACAAAGAAAAGGTGTCCCAATAGCAGAGGATTTGCAGCCAGGATTTTACTGGAATTAGGAAGTAGAAGCCCTGCCGCGCTGGCTAGCTAATGAGTTTTGAACCGCTTCCAGGAATAAGTGTGAGTTTAGAATATCACCATCAGTGCAGTGGCCCTACACCTTCCGGGGAATGGTGCTCCACCTGGAATGATACTTAGGCACTGCCTCACGTGCAGAAAGCCTGTGACTGAACAACAGAAACTGGGTCCTGGGAAATGCAGAGTTCTTTCCAGTGGGCAGCCCTGCCTGCAGGGTCCCCTGAGCTCTCTGATGGACACCCAGCTGACCCTAAGCTCTCTGACGGGTGCCTAGTAGCTCTGCATGCATCGCGTGTACCCAGCTGAGCTGTTGATGCTCCAAGGTCCTGTCAGAGGCAGCTGTTTGAGCATTGGTCCCTGGAGTTGCCAGAGGTGCATGAGGAGGGCTGGGCCCGGAGGTGAAGGTTGACAACTACAGCCCTCCGCTTCTCCTGCAGAGATAGAAACACCGGAAACACGTGGAGAGGTGTGCACTTACGGCAGGCCCGCTGCCTTCTTCTGCTCCAGCATCCTGTGTCCTGCTGGGCTGGCCGTGGTGCCTGGCCACACTCCGAATCAAGCCTTTAGTTGGTGATGTCCAAAGGCCCCTCCTCCAGCACTCTGCACCCCTGGTTCAGCCCGATGTCCCTAGACGGTGTCAGGGGATCCTGTACCTGAAGACATGGGAGACAAACCATTCCCAAACACCAGGGAAAGGGTGTCCCAAAATATCACTGTCTCTCTAGAGAAAGGAACCCCTGCACACACCCCACCTGAGCCACCGTGCTCACTTCTCATCGCTGTCAGAGCCGTGCACTTGGGCTGCCAAGACCTGTGAGGACCAGCGGGTTTCTAGTGGCCGCAGCCGCCCGTTTCCCTTTCCAGAGCTCCTCTCTCCCAGAGGACGGCGTCCAACCGGAAAGGTCCTTTGTGTTTGGAAAGGGCCCTTTTCTGGCACAGGCTACAGCATAAAGATGAAGAAGTGAGACCACTTCTACCATACTCCAGAACCCACCAGCCCCACTTTGGGGGGCCCTGAGGCCTTGGGTCGCCACGCAAGGCGGTCTGTGTGACTGCACCAGCGTCCCTCCTTGGCCCCTGTGCTTACTGAGCCCCTGTCTGCCTGGCGTGCACACAGTATACAAGCACATACGCGCATGCACTTAGGGCACACTCAGGGGCTCTCCAGAGTCAGTGCCCACCACCTGGAGGCGCGTCGGTGTTACTGTCTCCAGTCAGCACTGGCGGGACTTCACGGGTGCAGCCCGTGAAGGTGCCTGCTGGCTGAGATCCTGGGACTGGGTGCAGCCCGTGAAGGTGCCTGCTGGCTGAGATCCTGGGACTGGGTGCAGCCCGTGAAGGTGCCTGCTGGCTGAGATCCTGGGACTGGGTGCAGCCCGTGAAGGTGCCTGCTGGCTGAGATCCTGGGACTGGGTGCAGCCCGTGAAGGTGCCTGCTGGCTGAGATCCTGGGACTGGGTGCAGCCCGTGAAGGTGCCTGCTGGCTGAGATCCTGGGTCTTGGGGTCTGGAGGCGGCTGAGCCGTTTGGTGCCGCTGGACCAGAGCCATGTAGATGTTGACTGTAATCGGAACTACCTTGGTAATGGTGGCAGACGTTAATAAGCGCGCACCACGTGCCGGCTGCAGCGTTTTTCTGTGCATCTCCCCTTATTCTCACAGCAGCCTGGCAAGGGCAGGGCTGTTCACACCTGTTTACATCTGGGGCAGGTGAGGTGCCAGGAGGTGGATGACCTAGACCTAGCCCTGGATCCCCACCTGCGTCTTCTGCCAAAGGTTGGCCCAGGTGGATTGGGAAGGTGCTGGTTCCTCTGTGGAGAGGCTCGGCGTCATCCTTTACGTGCCCAGGTGACTGCCAGGGCCATTTTCTCAGGTAGTGACCCGTCTGGCTGGTGTTGGAGGGAGTCGAGAGGGCCGCTGCTCTGTGGAAGGAGGACCCTGAGTGGAGAGGTCCTCGGCCCAGAGTCCTTCTTAGCCAGCACCTTTGACCTCTTAGGACTGTCATCACAGGTGTGGTGACAACCAGAAATGCCCCAACTGAGAATCATTGACTGAGGGTCACTAGCCTGAAAGATTGAATTGCCTTTAAGACATGATATTACAAAAGCATCGTCATATGAAGTGGTGATCAAATAATACGCAGCCAGAAGGCAGGGAAAGGGCTGTCCTGGAGGCATGCTAGGCAGTTCGTTAGGAGAGGTATTCTTGTTTTAGAGTTTTTTATGTTTATGGTATTTGCCAGCTTTTAAATTTCATAGTTTGTTCTGATTTTTTTCTAAGTAAGCACCTACCTGCACTCCCAGTTTTGAACTCAGGTCTTACGTTCTTTTTCTTTCTAAGAGAAGGTTTCCACATTGTGTAACCTTCAGGGCTTACACAGCCTGGGTCGGCCTCAGCCCATTTGAGAGTCAGCGGAGTGGATTATCTGAAAAGTAGGGGTTGACTAGGAGGCCACGGTGTGGGGACGCACTGGATTGCTGGCCTGTCCCATGCTGTTCCTTAAAGCAGGGGTTGACTGGGGGCTGCGGCACGGGGATGCACTGGATTGCTGGCCTGTTCCGTGCTGTCCCTTAAAGCAGGGGTTGACCAGGAGGCCATGGCGCAGAGATGCACTGGATTGCTGGCCTGTCCCGTGCTGTTCCTTAAAGCAGGGGTTGACTGGGGGCCGCGGCGCGGGGATGTGCTGGATTGCTGGTCTGTTTGTGCTGTCCCTTAAAACAGGGGTTGACTGGGGGCCGCGGCGCGGGGACGCACTGGATTGCTGGCCTGTTCCCTGCCGTCCCTTTCACCCAGGGCTCCTCGCTGTGTTCTCGTGCTGCTGGCTTGCCTGATAACCTCCAAACCCGTTCACGCTAGTCCTTGGGTGGAATTGTTAAAAGGGTTGATGAACTCTCTCTCTCCCCAGCTCAGAGTCCTGCCATCAGGTTGAAGCCTTTGATTACAGTTGCTAGATAGAATTGATGAAGAGACAGCAGAAGAGACGTTAGAAAAAAATCTATAAGCTTTATTCCCGAAGAGAGAAAGCCCAGACCCGTGGCTCCTTTGGGCCAGGCCAAGAAAGCATTGGCAACTGTTATCTCTAATGTCCTCACCACCCATGGCACAACTCAATCTCCACCCCAGGCAGCCGGCACCGATGCCGCTCTGTAATCATCCAGAGATAATCAAATTGGATTAGCTTTCAGAGTGGGCTGCAGGAATTGATTTAGACTGTGTTACAGGACAGGCAGCGAGATGGTTCTTCCTGATATGTGGTCCATGACTCGGTGGCCCTTTCTTGATGGGGCGGTGGGAAGGCTTTGCCTGCCGGGACACAGGAGGTCTCCTCATCTGGAGGATGGGACGCCAGGGCTGGGGGATCTTCCCACAGACCTTGTTCCCTCCTCTGTCGTCTAGCTGCAGAGGCGGCTCTGACACAGGTCAAGAGGCTAGGAGAGGGCTGTCTGCCCACCCGGAAACCTCCACCCTTTTGGATGACACACATTCATTCATTAATTCACCCGTTCATTTGAAAAATACCACAGCCCACCGGCTGGCCCATGAGAGTGGCAGTTACATGGAGATTGCACTGACATGGTTGGGGAGAGTGGGAAGACACAGCGTCAGGTGAGAGGGAAGGGCCGCTGCGCAGAAGGAAGGCAGCCAGCCGCCCAGCCTGAGTCCAGAAGGGCGAGGGAGGAGCAGCGGCTCCAGCCAGGTCAGGCCTCGGCGGGTGGCGGGCACTGTCCATCACGGGGCCAACAAGGAGACAAGGGAGGGCTCCGCCACCTGCAGAGGGCTAAGGAGCAATACTAAACCAACTCGGAGTCGGTCTGCTTTTGCTATAATCAGTTGCCAAGCACAGGCAATGCCAGAGATTAAATATTCCTCCCCGTAAAAGGTGTTTTGTTCTCGTAAAAACCATTTCTGTGACTCCTGTTACCTTTTAATAACAGATGTGTAAGGCTCAAGTGGGTGTGTTTTGCTGACTTGACCTTGAGTGGATCCTGCTGCCGGCCTGGTATATAGCATGTGGTGGTCTGTCGGAGGGCTCCCCAGGGGGCTGCGGTCCTCCAACACACACACGTTCTGCACCCACCTCCTGGGACATCGTGAGGACCCAGGGGTCACACATAGTGCCCTCAGAGAGGCCTTGGGGCATAGGTGCGCCCTGCTGTTTCCATCCGGGCTGCATTTGGCCTTCTTCCATCCATACGTTGGTCGCACACAGAGCATTTGCGTTTCTGGCAGTTCTGATGTGGTGGGACAGGGCCGGGCTGGGAGTGAGCCCCGCCGCAGGGCTCCTGGTCTGTCCTTAAGGGTAGGAGCGGGTCCAGCAGTGAGCACAGGTGGCCTGGCTGCACTGTCTGCGGGGAGCTGTGCCCAGTGGCCAGGAGGGAGGATGGGACTCAGAGCCAGCGGGGAGCTAGGCTGTCGGTCCTGGGCAGAGGCCGGAGGCCCAGCCTGGGGAAGGATGGGAAGTGGAGGCCACTGAGGGCTTGGCATGAAGCTGGGACCCTCTAGTCTGTGAGGCTGTGCTGCTCCTGGGAGGGCTGGGGAAGCTCCCCACCAGGCTCCTCCTTCCTCCTAGGACAGTGCCAGGGAAGAGACTCTCACAGGCCCTTGATCCCAGAGGTGCCTCAGGGTGGGATGGAGACCAGAGTCAAAGCACAAAACAAAGCTGGTCTGAACTGATGAAAAATGAAGCATCTCAACAGAGGCAAAATAAATTTTAAAAAACCAGCCCCGAGAGGCCACCACCCCATCGGACAGGTGGGATTCCCGTGGATAAAGTGCCCCCGGCAGGTGTGCTCCTGCCATAGTGACAACGTCTGGGGAAAACCTGTCACAGAGAGAGGCACCTCCCAACACAGGGACCTCTGCAGCCGCTGGACGAGGAATTCCAGAGAAACCCAAAAGATGTAAAAAAAAAAAAAAACAGAAGCAGAGAAGAGAGACTATATGGCACGAGAAAAGAACAGTTGGATTTTAAAAATAGAAATCCTAAAAAGGAGGATGTGCCTAAGAGAGTTTGGTGATCTTGGTTGAGAGAACAAATGCCCACTCGGAATCGCTTGAGACCCTGGAGTTGGGTGCGTCTCAAGGGCCTGAACAGAGTCCCCTCCCTGGAGTCCCTCCCCCGGGGTTCCTTTCCTGGGGTCCCTCTCTCTTGGGCTCCTCTCCTGGGGCCCTTCTCCCAGGATTCCTCTCCTGGGGTCCCTCCCTCCCCTGGGTTCCTCTCCTGGGGTCCGTTCCTCTCCTGGGGTCCCTCCCTCCCCTGAGTTCCTCTCCTGGGGTCCCTCCCTCCCCTGGGTCCTCTCCTGGGGTCCCTCCCTCCTCTGGGTTCTTCTCCTGGGGTCCCTCTCTCCCCTGGGTTCCTCTCCTGGGGTCTTTCACTTGGGGATTTCTCTTGCAGTGCCTGCCTGTGCTTCAGGGACCCAGTACCTGACCCAGCCTTGCCACCTCCTGGCTGTGCTCCCGCCTAGCCACAGCTTCCCATGTGTCCCTTCATGCAGGTTCTAGGGGGCCACGGCTTCCCATGTGTCCCTTCATGCCGGTTCTAGGGGGCCACGGCTTCCCATGTGTCCCTTCATGCAGGTTATGGGTGTGAGTGGACGAGTAGGCAGAGATAAGGGAGAGAGTAAGTGTGGGAGTGGAGGAAGGAAGCTGGCATTTGTCACTGGCCGCCGAGTGATTGGTGCCCGTTGTTGGTCCAGTCCCCTGGGGCTGGGGTCACATGGCTCGGGGGCCCTTCCAGAGCTGCAGTCAGGGCTGGACCGCAGATGTGTCCGTGACATGTCGTGGTTGGGGGACAGGCTCTGCTGGCCTGTGGAGGTGAGCTCACGGCCCGGCGGCGGCAGGAATCACGGACGCTCACATCTGCTCCGTGGCATCCTGTGCGGCCTCCATTTATTTCCCTCAAATGGCTTTCAAAACCTTCTAAAAATAGGAGCTTAATGAGACGTTTAGCAAAATGCCACACAGTATTTATCCCTGCACTTGGCTGCATTGTTAGTTCTTCCAAAGAAAAAGCTCTCCCGTGTATACAGCGTGCCACCCCCACGGCCACAGGCCAGGCTGGCTGCCGAGAAGGCTGGAGGAGGTGGGCGGGACAGAGTTGTGATGGGACCACTCCCCCGCCCAGGTGGGCAGCTTTGTGAGGACTAGTGGGGAAGGGACACGACCAAGGCCACCAGCCCTGCCCCGGGAGCTCACAGAGGCCGGAAGGATGGCAGAGCCGGCAGGGCTGCAGGGAGGTACCCGCAGTGGCGAGTCAGGGAGGAAGGTTCTGGAAGAAGGGGCTGGCACTGGGGCCGAGATGGCTGAGGCTCTTGGGTTTTTAGAGGCTTGTTCTTTGGAGGATGTGATGTCCTCTTGGGAAGGTTTCCTGATGATGTGTCTTACTCGTTGTGGACTGGGGTGATTGTCACCTCCACCTTAATGGGATGCCTTGGGCCTTTTGGCCTAGCCCTCATCTCTGGTCTCTCTGGGGTATGAATCCCATCCTCAGCCTCAGATGAACCCCTTCAGAGAGGAGGGGCCTCCTCTCCCATAGCAGAAACCCCACAGCACTGACTCCTCAGGGGCAGCGGGGCTGGGCCTGTGCACCAGGAGCAGATGGGCCAGGGGCTGGGATTAGCCCCTCTGGTCTTACTGTTCCTGTCTATAAAATGAGTGGACTGCATTTCTCCAAGCCTGTTAGAGTCCATGAGGAAAGGATAGCGAAGGGCCCCACGCGGCACGGGGCACAGTCACTGGTGCACTGTAAACGCCCCTGAGATCAGTGGCAGCCACAGTCCGGAGCACCGCCACGCCCATTCAGGCAAAGCAGGAACCAAATACTGCCAACCAGAAGTCAGATTTGGAGGGCACTGGGGAGTGGGCGGCCCTCCTGGCTGCACTCACAGTGGGGTGGCGAGGGCTCCAGGCAGCTTGGAGCCGGCCTCTGAGGCCCCCCGAGTTCATCTTTTGGACATCTCAAAAGTCCGCAAACACGTGACCCAGGACTCACCCTGTGTGCTCCCATCTCTGCTCCAGGAGTGTCCCAGTTCCGTCTAGAACAGCTCTCGAGCCCGCGTACACCTGAGGCGGTCTGGGTGGCCGGGCTTGCTGGGTGGCACCGGAGTCCCTGTGCCACGGTACTTCTGCCGAGCCGCCTCTGCACCTGGGTGCCTGGGCCTTCTCGCCGAGCTGTCTGCTCGTTGGCTTGCCCACTTGTGGGCCACAAGCACGTGTGCCACAGCTCCACAAGAGCCTGGCATGGGCTGGTGGGCTGCAGCGCTAGCTCAAGGCCAGTACGCGGTCTCCCCAGCCCCCTTCTGAGCCAGACCCTTCTCTGTGGGTCACCAAGTGCCCCACTCCCACCCCCAGCATCGTCCCCTGCACCCACGGGGCTCCCGTGCGTGTGACCCTCCCTTGGGACCAGATAGCTAGAGACCTCCGCCCCCACCACCCTGCTGAATGATGGTGCCATTCTCTTCCTTCCGTGGGAACTCTGTGGCCCTCACGTGGCGTGCATGTGGCTGTGTGGCCAGCACAGAGGCCTTGTGCTTCTGCCTCAGGCACCTGGCGTGACTGATGGCCTTGCTCTTCCTGCTGTGATGCTGGGGCCATGGGGTCTCAGAGAGGATGTGGGATCCGCTGTGGCCCCTCAGAGGCTGAGGGGCCTGTGAGCTGCGTGGGGAGCAACCCGCTCCGCTTAAAGGAAAGGGACCTAGACCTGCTGGGTTCGTGCAGATTCCTGCGAGCCTGGCTGTGCGGGCCCAGAGCCTCACCAGACTGTTGATCTGAACACACTTTTAAACGCTGCGTGGTGTGGGGTTCTGTGTGACACTCAGCGCCCACCCGTGTACTCTCCACCTTCCCGGGTGAGGCAGGCCAGCGGCTTCCCGGCGCACTCACGCAGAACCGACCTTTCCAGATCGCAGCCCCACTGCATGCCTTCCTCCTGCCCTCCCAGGCAGCAGAAAAATCAATGTGAGAACGCAGACTTGAACAACTCGGGAAATTGAATAATTTTCACAATGTATATTACAAGGAAAAAGATCATTTTGCTAGTGAATCTATGAAATCAACTTGAAAATCAATATTGCTACATGTTTAAAGGTAGCCTTGGAAGCTTGGTCCATGGCTGGGAGAGGCTCTGGTACCTGGGCTCCCTCGTGGCCCCTCTCCAGGGGGCCTCACTGGGGGTCCTGAGCACTGGGCTGTGCTGGCTGCTGAGCCAGGGCTTCTTCCTGTGGGGCTCAGGGAGGTTCCATGAGTCATTTCCCCTGAAGCTCTTTCAGACCTGTGTGGTCACCAGTGACCTTACTCTCCTGGAAGCCCTGCGTCTGCTCTGGGGTTGAAGAAGACCCCTGGGGGAACGGAGAGCATAAAGCCACCATGCCGGCCTGTCGGGAAAGAGCAGCGTCACCCAGGGGACGGGGAGGACCCCTTCGCGGTGTGGACGTGGCAGTGCAGCCCAGTGACCTGCACTTTTCAAGCTGATGGGGCCAGCAATGTCACCTCTGGGGTCTCAGCTTCTGAAGATAGAAGGGCCCACTGCAGAGGGCCGTGTGCATAGGAGCGTGTGCGGCCGTGGTCTGGGCCTTACTCTGCTGGTGGCAGCCCGTGTGAGGGTTCCTCTGGGCTGTCTGCCTGCCTGGACCTCACCCACTCTCCTGCGTGTATCTGACTAGAACCCGGTCCTAGGGCTCCACGGTTCTCTTTTTATTCTGAAGACCTATTGCTTCCTGGTTAAGTGCTCTGAGATAAATTGTTACTAATGTTGGGAAGCAGATCTTTTTGTCCTCAGGTTGGGTTGACCAATACAAGGTTATATCTCTCAGTCATGCGTTCAAAACAATGGGTTCAAAAATCCAGACTGGGTCAGCGCAGTGGATTCCTCTTCCCTGGGTGAGAAACCACCGCAGCCTCCTACGGGGTTCCCCCCCTGGCCCCTGGGGGCACCGTGTCAGATCAGCGCAAGCTCAGGGTCCCCAGGCCGAAGTGGGTTCCTCCTCTGCTTGTGGCTGGCGGGCGTCGGTGGCTGGTCATGGCATCTCAGCTGCTCCCCGCTTCCATGGGATGGTGACCCCTCAGCCCACAGGCACATTCACTAGAGAGTTTCTGGCCGGCCACAACCCCCCACGTAGCTGGTCCTGACGAGGCTGTCGCAGTTGCGCTCTCTGTCGCTTCTAAGTCCCAAAGCCACACTTAGGGCCACTCTTGGTGGCTCTCCTTGCTTATGAGATGGAACTAGTATTTACTGAGTGTGCTTGGCCCATTTATATTTGTCATCTCATTTAACTCTCGTGATGAGAAAGGTGGCGTTTTCCCATTTTACAGGCCCGGGCACGGGGCCTCTGAGAGAGAAAGCATCGGCCGTGGCGGCAGAGCAGAGGAGGGACGGGGTCCAGATGTCTGTGACCCTTCGGGGGAGACGCAGGATGCCAGGGTGGGTCACGGGAAGCTTGCTGGAAGGGAGACCCCCTGAGAGCGTTAGCTGTGGGAGAAAAGCACTCGGGCTAATTGGAACGAGGATTGACTGAATAGGACAAGAAAAGGAAAAAAAAAATCACAGCCGATTTCATTCTGATATTAAAGGAGGTCCGAGGCAGGCAGTTCCAGGCTGGAACAGCAGCCTCGGTGCTTTCAGAAACACAGTTTCCTTTCTGTCTTCTCTGCTGTCTGTGGCTTCCATTCTCAGAGGCACCTCGTGGCCTGAGATGGCTGCTGAAACTCCAGCCATTGCATCCATAGTCCAGCCTGGCAGCAGGAGGATAAAAGGCACCTTTCCCTGCCAAGACAGCTTCCTCTATAAGCTTCTCCTGAATTCCACCCACTGCTTCCAAATGCAGCTCACGTTCATGAACTGAGTCATGTGGTCATATCTGACTTCAAGGGAGCCCGGGAAATGCAGTATTTTAGCAGGGCTTGTGCCTCCTTTCATGAAGAAAATTAAAGTTCTGTTCCTAAAGACGGGGAGGGTGGCTGAATGGCTGTTGAGTGGTACTTGGCAGCCCCTGCCATGGTGCTCCAAGCAGAGGAAACAGCATGGGCGGTGACCCAGGGGCCAGGAGAGGCTGCAGGCAGAAAGGCGTGAGAGAAGGGGGCCCGGTCTGCCTGGGGGAGGTGGGTTCGAGGGGGAAAGAGGTAAGGAGGCGGCCATGCAGGTGGACGGGCAAGGGAAAAGGGAGGAGCTGTGGCCGTCGTGCAAGCGAAAGATGAGAGATACCACCCAGGAGTGAGCCGGGAAGCAGGTGCGTTTGCAGGATGCCTAGGAGGTGTGCCTAGAACCCGCAGGGTGTGGTGACAGATTGCAATGGCTGGGGGAGGGGGCACAGGGCAAGGTCAGAGAAGAAGGAGAAGAAACTGGGGACGATGTCTGCATTTGTTTATTGGGTGACTGGCCGAGTGCTGTCGCCAGAGATCAAGGTAAAGACCCACAAGGGCAAAGGCAGCTTGACAGGGGTGACGATGAGTCCCGTGTGGAGGCGGGGAGTGGACAGAGCCTGTGGGAGGTCCGGGGACACTGGACTGGCCTGTGGCTCTGAAGGTCCGCAGAAGTCACTCTTGGGCATGGGAGGGTGGGCAGAGAGTAGGAGGAGGTGTGAGTGGCTGTGAGAGAGTAGGAGGAGATGTGAGTAGCTGTGACTGCGAGTGGATGAGGAGGGCCAGGAAGAGGGCGCGTGGCTGGCGGGAGCAGGGGAGCTCCGGGACCTCCTGGGCCTCCAGCACTGTCTCCAGGCCATGACTTCTCCTTCCTGCTGTTGAGGAACAGACATGTCCCCGGAGCAGGGCGGTCCTGTGTGCCCCTGTCACCCTCCCCTCCAGCCCACCTCCTCACACTCTGCGCTTTTGAGAGCTGTTCCTAGTGTCCTGGTATGGCCCTGCCACGCGCTGAGTGAGTCTGAGCCATGAGTGACCTGCTCACCCTCTGAGCTCTGTGTCGTGACGTTTGGCTTGGTTTCATCTCTGACTGACCGTAGCTGCAGCCTTTACTTGTCACGCGCGGGACACTGTCATGGCCTGGAAATGCCCCCCCGCTTGAAATTACGACTCTTTGACTGCAGTTTTCCCCCTTCCTTAAACATCACCTAGTATGGGGCTGGCAATGTGCAGACACTGTCCATCCCAGCCCCAAACCCGACAGCGTGCCAGGCTGGCTCCCTGAAGCCCTCAGGAAGCTGGGGGACCCCAGCAGTGCCTGTCCTGTCAGCCTGCCCTGGAGCAGGTAGCGGTTGCCTTTAGCAGGCAATGTGCCCGGAGCTGTCCGAGTTCAGACGGCAGCTCTGTTAGGCAGGGAGTGATGGCGGCTGCTCTGGGACATGTGCCCAAGGTCCGGGATGCCAGAAACACAGCCCACACGGCTGCTCTTCCCCTCCCCACTCTCAGCGGCCCCCTCCTGGTGATTTCTGCTTTAGGAGCAGAAGCAGCCTGGCAGACCTGGCCTTGTCCTCTGGCGTTTTCACTCGGGATCGCTGTGGGAAGAGCCTTGTAGATAAGCACCTGACTGAGGGTGCCTCCTCTAGAAGTGGGCGTCCTTCCCTGCTGCCCGCTGGGCATTTCTTGAGCGGCATCTCCAGGGATGACGTGGCCACAGCATCTTGGCCCCAAACACCGCAAGGCAGGAAGTCTTCACGGGCTGAAAAAGACGAAGGGCTGCGCCAGGATTTGCAGTGTCCTCTGTGTGTTGATCAGAAGTCTCAGCCGTGTGCCTAGGGATGAAATGGAAGGGCAGCGTGATGGGGACGCTCCATGCCGAGCCCATGTTTTCAGCACTGAAAGGCGCTTTTCTCTTTAGAATTCCTTTTTTGGAAAAAAAAAAAATGAAATGAATTACAAGGACAGTATACATCGCTGTGCCATGAGAGACTCCTCGGAAGGCGGATGTATTGAGGTGTCACCTTCCCAGGGCTGTCCTCCCGGCGGGCTGGCCAGCTCTGGCAGCTGCCACCCTGTCCCGGCTGGCTGTCACTGTCTTTTTATTTTTAGCCCTGGTTTGGTCCAGAACGTCACAAGATTTTCAAACTAATAACTGGATTGTCAAAGAAATCGGCTATCAGAGCCTGCACTCCGGGCTCCCAGGATGGTCTGGGAGTGGGAGAGAGGGAGGGAGGTGGGAGCCGCCCTGGGGATGCCCGGCCACTGTGGACCAGTGACCATGTTGGGCAGATGGTTGCATCGTCACTGACAGAACTCAAAGGCATGAGGGCCGGCGAGGACGCGTAACACTTGACATCACAGCAGCCTGCAAAGGGGCAAAGGAAGCCCCTCTTCCCAGACACCACGGCCGTTCTCCCACGGTCTCCTGTGCTCACAAGACAGAGGATGGGCTGGCGCCAGCGCAGACCCCCACCCGAGTGCCCACCCTCAGGGGCGGTGGTGCGGACGGGCGCAGCCTGACCTTTCTGTGCGGAGCTACCTTCTTGTCTTCTGTGTATCAGGTGGTATTCTGTATTCTTTGATCTCCTAGTTAAAAGGGCATTGAGTGTGATAGAAAGGTTAAAAATAAGGTAAATAAGGATGAACTTTTCATAGGCAGTTTTCCTACCAGGACCTCTACGGCCCTCCTACGTCTGTGGTGTGTGCCCAGCGTCGTGTTATGTGTGACACCGGGTTCATCAAGTGCCTCCCACTCAGCCCCTCCCCCTGCTGGTGAGCCCCCTCCCCACGTGGAGTTTCCTGTCCTCCCAGATGGCTGAAGGCAGGGCTTCTTATCTCTTGGAGAAGCTGGTCAGTGTTGACCGCCCACAGAAAACCCATACCCCATGGTTTCACAGGCTCTGCGGAAGGTGACAGGTAGTGTCTGGGCTGGGACCAATCAGGGGCTGGACTATCTGACAGCAGTTCAGGCTCCTGGCTTCCACGTGAAGATGTCATTCTAAGTTTCAGGGCCAAGTAGGGACACATTTAGTGGGGACAGCCCCTGTAACCCTCTCCGAGAGACAGGGTTGTATGGTAGTCAGGTCCAGTGGCTCGAGAGGGCAGCCCTGCTGATGGGGGAGGCGGCAGCCCTGCCACGGGCCGGCTGCTTGACCCTGAGCTGTCGCTAGGCTTCTTGAGCGGCCGTCTCCTCCCTCGGACATGGTGGGTGTGGAGGACACCTCACAGTTGTTAGATCGATGCCTAGCTTGAGGCTGGCCGGAGTGAACACCAGGATGGGCAGCCTCACAGAGGCGACCAGAAGAGGGACCTGGGGCAGGCTGGGGAGGTGAGGGTGGGCCTGAGGCTGTCAGAACTCCCCTCCCTGCACCCTTCTCCTGTCCACTCCTGGGGGTGTCCCTCTCTACCCTCACAGCACAGTCTCCCTCCCCGGGCTGGGTCACACTGTCACCTGATGGATCCGTGTAAGTGCACTTGCCTGCGTAGCCATCCGGCAGCCCTCCCCTTCTCCGGCCCCTCAGCTGCTACCCGGGAGCCACTGCTGCCCGCGCCGACCACCCGATGCTCAGCAGGGTCTGCATGCTGCACCCATTTGCCGTCTCCTTCTGTCGTCCTGGCCACAGCCCCATGGTCTTCAGTCCCATGAACCTTGGAGGCTTCCAAGGCACCGGGCTGCTTGTGCATCAGTGTGGGTTGCACCTGGTACCATTCCCATCCAGAGGGACAGATGTCAGCACTGGGCCCTATGGAGGGGCAGTGGCCAGGCACTGGGTGCCCCCGGTGTGCAGGTGATGCAGGATGCAGAGTGGCCATCTGGGGGTGCAAGGCGCCTCCTGTGGGGGTGATTCGTCTCCTTGCAGTGCTCCTGTGTTGGCTCTTTTCACGTAGGAATTATTTCAGCATCTGGGAGAGCAGCATGCAGAGTCACCGTGGCACACGTGCTGTAGTCCGCGGCTCCTCCCACCTGGAGAGAGAAACCACTCCGGGCATGTGAAGCCCTGTGGGACAGAGCTGCACTATCCTGCACCTCTCAGCCGCTTTCCCGATCTCTTTTTGGTGTTCGTGATTCAAGTTCGTGACTGCAGACTCTGACACCGCACACGTTATCTCTCATTATTTGGCGGCTTGGAACTTGTGTGTTTGTGGTGTGTGCACGTGTCCGTCTAGATGAACTGAAGCTGTGGCTGGGGTCTGCTGTAGGTGTCCTTGCCGCTGCACGGGCCAGGATGTGGTTCTCCCACCTTGCCTACCCATTCTGCACCTGGCCTCGCAGGACGGCGGGTGCGCTGTGGTGGCCCTTCCCACACGTGCGTCCCATGGCTCCTCGCTTCAGAGCGTGCCGTCGTGAGCTCCGTGTGGCCGTGCAGTTGCCCTTTCCGGTTCTGGTTCCACAGCTCGCTGACCCTCGCTCCGAGTCTGCTGGTGAGGCGGTGTGGCTCAGCTCCCAGCCTCACCTTCTCTTCCCAAGGGCTGGGTAGGGCCGGTGCCCAGATGGTGGCCCAGGACAGTGGGGATCTGTCTGGAGGCCCAGCTGTGAGTTGGGGGCATCTATACAAGTCACCCACCCCCCAAGCCCTCATTCTTTCTTTACTGAGATGCCAGTTACCCCTGCCATGCTGGGTGTGAGGCAGGGGTAACTGGGGGACTCCAGGCAGGTGCTCGGTGGCTGGATGGGCGTCGTGGCTCTTAACTGGGTCTTCCCTGTGCTGCCCGTCACCCTCCAGCCGGCAGGCGTGCCTGGGCTTCCCCTACGGCCATCCTTGCACCCCCACCCCTGCATCTGTGAGGGCGCGTCTCACCCAGCACCACGGCCTTCCAGGACGCCGCAGCTCCAGGAGTCAGGCTGAGGCTCTGGCTCGTGTGGGTTCTGCACCCAGCCCCTCCCTGACCTGGGGTCCAGTATGGCCTCGACCAGCACTCAGCGTTTGCATGCTTCTGCAGTTGACATACTAGAAACTTAGCAGGATCAGCTCTACGTGACCCAGACGCTTAAGCACATTGAGAGCTGCAACAATAAAGTGCTTAAGAAAGTCCCAGGTAGAGGAGTTTGTAAAGGAGGGTTCTTTAGCACTGTCATTCGTCTTGGATGAGAGTGGAGCACTTCTTCTTAGGAACACAAAAAAAGAAGAAAGGGGAGAGGAGAGGCACTGAGGGCGGAGAGAGGCAGCAGTCCTGGGTAGGGGGCAGTTCCCCCCCCAATCTGAAAAGCCCTGGGATACCCAGCCCCGACAGGTTCTTCACACATGGATCACGGCCCACCCTCTGCACAGCCCCGTGGGCAGGCTGTGCCCGCCCTCCCAGTCCTGTGTGTGGGAGGAGGGCCGGGAGCCCAACTGCCAGACCCAGCATGGGGCCTCTGCTGCGTCCTGCTCAGGACCCCCTGCAGAGGACACACCACACAGCTCTGGTTTCTTCGGCCAGGTGGCCCGTCCTGTGGAAGGGACAGGGCAGCGGAGCCTCACATCTCAGGAAGATAGCATCATTGGTGTCACCATCCTGCCTCAGCCAGAGGCACCTGCACAGGGTCCCGCAGCCACCAGCCAGGGCAGGACCTGCGTCCAGAAAGGAGGCAAGGCAGGCGCAGGTCCCCTCCCCAGGCCACACACACACACACCACAGTTACCACATAAATACACATCACATGCACTCACCATGTACACACACACACACCATGTATACACAGACACCACACACAACACACACCATGTATGCACACAGATAACACCTCACCATATATACACACACACACACCATGTATACACACACACCATGTATACACAGACACCACACACAACACACACCATGTATACACACAGATAACACCTCACCATATATACACACACACACCAGTTACTGTGTACACACATCACACACACCATGTGTGCGGATACTACACACACAACACACACCACGCACACACACCATACACCATGTATGCACACAGACACCACACACAAAATATACCATGTATGCACGCAGACAACACACACCATGTATACACACACTACACACCCCACACACACCATGTATACATACACACACATGTATACACACACACCATGTATTCACACAAAGCACATACACTCATGTATACACACAGACACACCACACACCACACTCTCACCATGTATACACACAGACACCATACAAACACACAGCATGTATACACACAGACACCACACCCACATGCCATGTAAACACACAGACAACACATACACGACATGCATACTCACCATGTTTACACACAGCACACACACGATGTATACTCACATTACACACACACTACACACACACCACAGTTATGTACACGTATCACACCATGTGTACATACACTATACACACACACCACACATGCACCACATACCACGTATATACACAGTACACACATGCACATAGACACGCCATGCACCACACACCACATATACACACGCACACTACACAAACACTGCACACCATTCATCATGTATACACACTAAACACCCACACCACACACTCACACAGACCCTACACATGCACCACATACACCCACAGCACACAACCCCCACACACGCACCACACTCCACATACAGACACAACATCCTCACATAGTGCACCCACCATACATGCACACATCCTCCACACCACACACATGTGCCACATACATGTGTCACATGCACATCACAAAACTACACAGCACACATACAAACCATACAGGTGACTCACACACACCCCACACACACACTGCACACCATATACACACATGTGCATCACACACCACACACACAGGACTTGCATACACTCAGCACGTGAGGTGGAGGAGGGTGGGGGAAGGGCAGGGGAGGCCGGGCCGCCCAACCCCTTCCTTGGTTTCCCCGCCGCTCCTTCTCCTTCACACAGCCTGGGTTGTGCTTCCCGTGCAGACACTCAGTGCTGGGAATCACGTGTGGACAGGACGTGGACACCGCCTGATCGAGGAGCCAGGGTGGGGTGGAGCTGGAGCACGTGGTCAGGATACAGGGTGGGTGCCCAGCAGAGTTCTCAGGTTCCGTGTGAGGGGCCCTCCCTTGCCGCTCACTGGGGATCCGGGGCCAGGCTCTGCCGTCCCCCTGGAATCATGTGGCCCATTGATCCTACCCGCCTGGGAGAAGGGAACGTCCTGGTCCTGGTCAGCGGGTGGAGGTCTTCACAGGGCCGCCGGTAGCTGACGCAGCTGCAGCCCCAAGCACAGGGCCAGGGCATCCTGCAGGCCACGTGGACACCTGGGCTCCGGGGCAGTGGGAGGTCTAGGCCTGCGCCTCCCCAGCCCCGTCCTCTCTACCTCACCCCGGACCACATGCTGGATTGAATATGAAAGTACAGGGGTCTTCGCTGGAGCCGTGCCATGACTCACTATTTTTAAATGTCTGAAATTTGAATCTTTGAATCATTTGCACCTTGACCTGTTCTCTTACTAAGTTTTCCATGACACCTGACACGACCAAGCCACGGGGACCGAGATGGCAAAGGGAAGGAGTATCCCATGGGAAAATGATAAAAACGGGCAGGAGATCCCAGGCGGGTCATTCCCTGGCACCCCATGCCCTCCCCCCAGCTACCCTCCTCTTCAGGACCCGCAGGCGCTGTGGAGCCCAGCAAGCCCCAGGAACCTCCTAGCCAGTCTTCCACCCTCCTGCGGTTTAGGAGGGACCCCGGGGGCCTTGGCTGCTCCCTGAGCCTTTCTCAGTTCTAGAAAAACTGAGGTTTCCAGGGTGCTGGGAAGAAGGGGGGCAGCCCACCTGCCACAGCACATGCTGGTCAGGCCCTGCCTCCCAGCTGGCCCTGGGGACACCAGGTGACCATGGAGGTGTACCTCCCTGCTGGGGAGGGAGCACTGCCAGGAGAAACCTCTAGAAAGAGACGGTGCCTGGATTGTCTTTTAGAAATTGAAATCATGTTTTCAATACATGCCCTTGTGAAAAAAAAAATGGAAAACAGAAATTGAAAGACGACAACTGGAGGACAGCTATTTTCCCTCCCAGGCTGGCGACTGTCGGGGGCGGTCCATCTCCTGCCCACCCTGCTGCCGTGAGTCTCTTGGTATGGGGGGCACTGGGCTTCCCGCCTGGCTGCCACCTCTGCTTCTCAGTAACCTTTACACTCACAGGAGTTGCCAGCATCGTTATGTTTTTTTCAACCACAGATTTTTTAACTGCTAAATAAATAAACATTTCGTTACATGGATAGACCAAAATTGCCTTCAACACACTAGCAGAGTTGGCTTTTTTTCCCTCTCACCTGTTACTGTGAAAAAGTTTAAAATACAGAGAGGCAGAAAGCATGATTCAGGGACAACCACCTAGTTTTAACAGCTGGCAGCATTTGCTGTGTTTGCTTGAGTGACCTGGAGCAAGGGGCTGAGTGTCTCGTCTTGGGTGCACACCTGGAAATGAGTGGCAGAGGCAGCGCCTGGACCCTGTGTGCCAGCCAGGTGGCTCCTGGGAAAGCCCTTCTGCGCAAGTGTGTGCCGTGGGCTTGTGGACCCGACAGTGTGAGCTTGAGCTCTCTAGCGTCCGCGAATACCCAGGGGCCCTTCGAGCATCCTCAGCTGTTGCCCAGATGTCCCTGGGGATAACTGAGCCAGCCCCAGAGTGAGCTGCCGGCGCTCTTGCATTTTTCGGGGTGGTAGCAAGCCCCGTCTTCTGGCACCGCTGAGCGCCTTTGCATTGTGTAAGGACTGCAGGGCCTCCTCGCTCCGGACACCTCTCCTGTTCCTGTATTTTGCCAGTTCCTTTAAGGATTTTGACCTGTTTGTCTCTTTCAAGAGCTCTTTCCATATGAATGCCAGCATTTCCTCCTTTCTAATAAAAATGACAAGTGTTTCTTCCATTTTTTCATTTATCTTTTGCCTTTATGTGTATATAAATATATGAGAGCTACCGGGTGTTAGTTTTCATTTGAAAGGTTTTTTTTTTTTTTTAAGGTTTTGTGTATTGAACTTACCGGTCTTGTATTCCTCCTGGACTGGGAGTCATAGTTCCCAAGGCTTTCCCGCCTCTGAGGGGTGAAGGACTCAGCATGTTTCACCTGGTGCTGTCATGTTTTCACTTTGTGCGTTCAATCTCAGGTCCCCGTGGCATTGACTGAGGCCCCCGTGGAGTTGCCATGGCGTGTGGTGTGAGGGGAGAGACGACTCTCACTTCTCCAGTACCCTTGACCGAGCCTCCTGCATAGCCCAGGGACATGTAGCCATTGGCCTCGGCAGCTTCGAGGTTTTCTTTCTTCCTTTGGCTGTGAACAACAGTGCACAGATGAGCACCTTTCTATAGTCATCTTCCCCCAAGCCTCAAGATTGTCCTCCAGGCAGAGTCAGAGGAGTGGGACTGTGGACCCGGTGCAGGGAGAGTCGTGGGAATGGGACTGCGGACCCGGTGCAGGGAGAGTCGTGGGAATGGGACTGCGGACCCGGTGCAGGGAGAGTCGTGGGAATGGGACTGCGGACCCGGTGCAGGGAGAGTCGGGGGAGTGGGACTGCGGACCCAGTGCAGGGAGAGTCGGGGGAGTGGGACTGTGGACCCGGTGCAGGGAGAGTCGGGGGAGTGGGACTGCGGACCCGGTGTAGGCACTTCCTCGTGGTCTTGATATGTAGGCCCTCCCCTCGAGCAGGATTTAAAGCACACACCATGTGTCTGAAAGTTTCAGAATTACAGACCACACCATGCCCACGCCCAATCTGCGAACCCCACCTCAGGTGGGAACCCTGCTCCCTAGAAATACCCTTTGGCCCCGGAGACCAAAGGAGACGGGGCAAGTGGAGCTGGGCCTGGGCCAGGTGGGCACTGACCAGGCAGGCGTGCCAGTGGCCAGGGTGGGCAGGTTTGCCTCCCCTGTGGTTCCTTTTCCAACAAGCACTGCCCCCCCGCCCGGCCCCTGGCTGCCCCACCCAGACAGAGGGACAGGAGGACCATGGCCATCGAAGGCTTGGGAGGCCCACCCTGAGCAAACAGCCCCTCTTTGTCTGGCATCCAGGGCAGAGGCCATGGGTCCCCTCCCAATGCCTGCACTCATCCTCATCCTCTCTGGGGACCCCATTTGTCTTGCTTGCCCTCTCCCCATAATTCCTGCTCACAATAGTCTCTGAACCTTTAAATGCCATTCTTAGGAGGCTGAAACCAAAGGTCCCTGGTTGCAGTGTCGAGACAGGCAGGGCCTCCTGGAGCACAGGTGCATCTGAAGGTGGTAGGGTCGGTGTGTGCGATTCAGTCCTCACGGAGTCTTGAAAGGTGACCTGGAGTTACACAGAAGGCAGACGGGTGAGGTTGCAATGGGAAAGGGACAGCCATGGTTGCTGTGGGAGCCTGAACAGCCAGGAGAGGGCAGAGGGTAGGAGGGAAGGGCGGTGGAGGGAAGCAAGGAAAGCACAGGCCTCTGTGCAGGAGCCTGGGACAGGCACTGCCTCTGAGGGGTGGGCACAGCACGGTGCTGCCAGTGCTACCAGTGCCTGCATGCAGCCGGGGCTCATGGCATCTGGATCTCAAGCCACCCGGTCCTGACACCTGCACCACGGGGTCGTTTCCTCATGCACACACTTGCACCACTGAGCAGGGTTCATGAGCACTGGGACGCCAAGAGTCCAGTGGGTCGCCTGTCCCAGGATAACTGCACATATCAGCACCAAGTTCATCATTAGGCTGTGAGCAGCCCATGGCCACCTTGGGAAGATGGCCGTACTTCTTTCCAGTGGCAACACCTCCAAGGCCCATGCTTTTCCTTGTACGAAGCAGCCATCACCGCGCCAGGTAACAGAGCTGAGCCCTGTGTCTCTGACGCTGCTGTGCGGAGGTCTGAGCCGGCTTCAGATGAGCCCGAGGCCTCCGTGGGCTGCGCCAAGGGTGAGGCAAAGCTGGCCCAGCCACGTGAAGCTGCGTGTCACAGAGGGTGTGCACTGGAGCAGGAGCCCCTCCCCGCAGGCCGTTCTCATTTGTACAGGAAAAGGCACACACTCTGCCGGCTCCTTAGACATGGGCCTCTGTGGCCTCGGTCACCAGCTTGAAGTCCTGTTTGACAAGCCCAGTGTACTCTCAGCAGGTCTTGTTAGGGAACTGATTTGGAGGCACTTGTCACTTATGCATGTCCAGGGCAGCCCCTCGTCACCTGAGTGTGAAGGACAGGCAGGACCTGGGGAGTGTCAGGTTGAGCTCCTCCTAGGGAGGTTTTTCGGCGAGGGTCCCAGCCTGCCTGGGGCATGGGACGGCCTGTGCCTTGGCATGGCCTGTGTGTCGAGTGCTGGGTCTCCCCTGCCCTTGCTGAGGAGACTGGCGGTCTCTCGGCCACAGAGGGTTCCTGGGCCTGTTTCCTAAGGCTGAATGTCAGTGTCGAGTCAGGAATTTCCCAGCCCAAATGGAGACACGGGAGGAAGGAAATGGCCTCATTCAGGAACTTGAAGTGGGCCAAGCACAATCTGCGGGTCTTCTGCAGCCTGAAGTTCACTGGGGTCGCTCCGCTGGCAGCGCTGACAGCAGCGGACCTTTTCGCCATGATTTCATCTCAGCTGGTCCCATTCCTTCCTCTGCACATGTACGTCACGGAAGCGGATACTTCATGTTGAATATGGATTCAGACCCTGCAGCCCCTGCGCAGGAGGAATACAAATGCTCCACTGTCTGCAGAAAGGCCCGGGGGTTTGGGTAGGATCAACGATCTTTGACCTCTGTAATGTGTGGTCCATGGAGACTGTTGTCATTTCGGGAGTAGGAGTGACAGTGAGGGGCCAGTGAGACCGAGAGGGGCCTATCCGGTGCTCACTCCAGCCTCTCCACAGGGCAGGGGGTGGAGTCCAGGCATGGCAGGGCCTTTGTTCTTGTTCTGGCCTCAGCCCTCCTGGCCTCCTCCTGCTCTGTCAAGTGTGGCCGTCGTCCCCTGTGATTGCCAGGGCTCGTGATTGCCAGGGCCCTGTGGTGAGGAGGATGTGTCAGGGGTAGGGGAGTGACTCGTGTTTGCCTGTCTCGCTCCAGGGGGTGCGCGGACCCCTTCAGCCCTCATGGCACCTGCGAAGGGCTCCTCTGCCACCTCCCAGGAGGTGCCTGCAACTCTTGCAGATAGAGGGCAGTGGTCATGATGAGCACGAAACAACAGGGCGAGTTTCTGGAGCTCTTTGCACCAGCACGGGTATCGCTGCCCCTCTCGCCTGGGGGTGGCTCCCCTCGCCATCGCCATCTCATAGACAGGGGCTTGTCCTCCAGGGACAGTGCTTGGAGAGCCAGGTCTAGCCTGCTGGGCTCTGGAGCAGGCATGTCGCCTGCCTGGCTCTAGAGCAGGCATGTCGCCCGCCCCACTGCCCCCGACAGTGGTATGGGGAATGGGACTGCAGTGTGGGTGCCACAGGGTTGCCGGGCTTGCTGCATGCCTCCTGGGACAAGTTGCCCAGCCTGTCCGCTCCTCAGGTTCCTCACCTAAAAGACGGAGGGGTCAAGAGAAATGCCCGAGGGCCTCCTGCTGGGAAATGTCATGCTGCTGCCCTGCCCCCCGGACCCCGGGGGTCCTCAGCGGCCTCCCCAGGTGGCATCAGGGCCTCCCCACTGCAGACAGCTGGCACTCCACAGCACCTGCTGTGGTTAGGGTTTCTCACCAGGCTGCACACGCGGAGTGTCAGGAGGCTGTGGAAAAGCAAATTAAACCAATTAACCCTGCTCCCCGCGTCGCATGTCACCGTGGTGAATCCTGTTTCATCTTTCTCTGTTAGGGGAAGAAAATAACAAGAGTAGGCAAATGGGCCTTTTAGCCCCATCGTGATTAATTTATTCATCTTTGCATGTTGGCAATTTGTAAACTTCTGACTTGAGTAGCTTTTAAGTGGACCTCTGTGTGCTCTCTGCTGTGCCCGGGAGCAGGTGTTGACGAGTTTTGCCACTGCACGCACAGCCCTTCCTGCTGCCTGGGGGAGCCTTCCGGTATCTTCAGTGTGCACAGAGGGTCCAGGGGAGGGAAGCACTGGTCAGTGCTGCCAGCAGACCCTGGCCTGGAGCAGGCAGAGGAGGGAGGCAGGATTTATACCTAGAACAGTGCTGTCCAGAAGGAATGTGTCACCAGCCACATAGGAACGTGAAAACAAAGAAAGAGGCAGGTGTCATTAATTTTAATAAAATATTTAACCAACACCCAAAATACTATCATTTGAACCTAGAATCAATATAAAAATTATAAAAGAAATAGTTTACATTCTTTTGTTCTTAATAAATATTCAAAGTCTAGAGTGTGTTCTGCACAGACCCGCCCTGTTTCAGACGCACCACTCATGGCCCTTGAAGGCGAAGTCTGCGGTAGCCTGCATCCCATGGTTCCATTACGCTTCTCTGCATAGTGCTGGACACTGTCTCTTTTCTTGTTTATTTCTCCATCTGTTGCCTGACCTACTGGCACACACACTCATACATGTACGCCCTGCAGGGCTGTGGGCTGAGTGTCCTCAGTGCCTGGAGTGGGGCCCGGCATGAGGCAGCCCTGGGCATGTGGTCACCCAGTGAACACCTGCAGTGCCTGTGAGAAGGTCTGGCATGAAGGGCCTGGACCTCAGGCCCATTTGCTGGAGGAGAGAGGCCGGGGTACAGGTGGGAGCTGGTGCTCCAGGTGCTCTAGCTGCAGTGTGGGGGATGCCCCACAGCACCTGGCCTTCTCCCTACCCTTGTAAGCAGAGCTCCAGCACCAGGCGGGGCACTGTCCTGGCAGCTGCCCAGCCGGACAAGGAGGATCCAGCATGATCTCAGAGCAGACCCTATACTTCTTTTATTTTAAAAATTATGTTTAGTATACAGCTAATGCATGTTTATTTTGAAAAGATTAGAATTTATGGATAAGTAAAAAATAAATCATCACGTTTTCTCCCAACGATGACCACGTTCGTCTTTGGCTGATGGTCCTTTTGGAGTTCTTCATGCAAATGCATGTCCTTGAATTTGCATATACACACAGAAAGGTAACACCCAGGTAACACCCAGGCAGGTGCACAGCGGGGAACCTTCATGTGCCTGGCTCATCGTGGGCACCAGAAGCCCCGTAGTGGAAGGTGTAACCAGCCATTCAAGCATTGCCGAAGGCACTTTGCACACATTCAACAACCTAATAAGGGAGTTATTATTTTTCTGGCTTTTTCACTCCAGCGGTTCACCAAGTGGGAAGGAGTGGCACCCAGCAGCTTCTTTGCTCCCATAACTCGGCAAGTGGGAGGGAGGGTTACAGCTCTTTTACTCCTGCCGCCCACAGCTCAGCAAGCATTACAGCTCTTTTGCTCTCGCAGTTTGGCAAGTTCTGGGTTCTTGTCCCACAGCCAAGAGGAATAAGGTACGTGGACGCCAGAGAGTAAGGCAGAGTAGAATTTTACTGAGGAACAGAAAGAAAGCTCTCAGCTGCAAGAAGAGACCTGAAAGCAGGGTGGCCATCTGTGAGGGTAAGTCCAGGGTTTTTATGGGCTTTGAATGGGGGAGTGCATGCTGATAGGTCCATGGATGGGCTTGGAAAAAGCACCATTCGATTGGATAAAGGGCATCATTCAGAAGGAACCAGTTGAAAGAGAGTGGGTAAGACGGGGATGGAAGTTCTCACTCCGGTCGTGGACTCTATCCAGAACTGGCAGTTAGGTGCTCAGGCTCTAAAAGTATCCTTGGCTTGAAGGTCAGGTTTCACTGGGGACCCATCCCTGTCTGTCTAGGAACTTGTCTGTCTCCTGTTGCTATCACTATTATTATCCCATTTTACAGATGAGGAAACTGAGGCATGGAGGGTTATGAGACTTGCCCAGGGTTGTGTAGCTAATAAATGCAGGGCTGGGATTTGAACGTGGCCGTGGGGCACATTCAGATGTGCTTTTAGTTGCTTCACCGGACTCTGCGACGTTCACTGCCCAGCAAAGTGCTGTGGGCTCAGTTTTGGGGATATAGGGACACACAGACCTGTTGAAGTAGTGGTGGAGATGCTGGGGAGAACTCACTGCCCAGCAAAGTGCTGTGGGCTCGGTTTTGGGGATATAGGGACACACAGACCTGTTGAAGTAGTAGGTGGTGGAGATGCTGGGGAGAACTCACTGCCCAGCAAAGTGCTGTGGGCTCGGTTTTGGGGATATAGGGACACACAGACCTGTTGAAGTAGTAGGTGGTGGAGATGCTGGGGAGAACTCACTGCCCAGCCAAGTGCTGTGGGCTCGGTTTTGGGGATATAGGGACACACAGACCTGTTGAAGTAGATGGTGGAGATGCTGGGGAGAGCAGCAGGGACGCATCTGCAGTGCTCGTGGGGTCAGGCAGCATTGGGGGCGGGCTCGGGCCCAGCACTCCCGCATCTAATCCAGTGATCTTGCTTCCCTCGCTGCTGCCCGTTCTCACATGAGCCTCAGCCCTGGGCCAGCCACTCAGAGCTCAGGGTCTCGAAGGAACCCAGGGTCTGCAGTCAACCACCCACCCACCCACCCACTGTTCTGGAGCCTGGGGCCCTAGGACACGGGCTTGTCACCGTCTCACCCTTCCTGGGAAGGCCTGGCACGCGGGGGAGGTCAGTGTCCTCCACGGATGGCACTAGGATTCGTTTGACTCAGGAAAAATAAAACCCTTTTGGTAAGAAGTAGCCAAAGCCATGGCGATATCTGCTCTTCAGTGTCAGGAGCCTCGCCTGCTCTTCAGCATCGGAAGCCTCACCTGGTCTTCGGCATCGGGAGCCTCAGCATTGGGAGCCTCGTCTGCTCTTCGGCATCGGGAGCCTCACCTGCCCTCCGGCATTGGGAGCCTCACCTGTTGGAACCCGCCCGGGGCAGGAGTGAGCGGCATGGCGGCTTCTGTCTAAGTGTGGTCCACTGCTGTGTGGTCCATGGGGGGAAACTGTTGGAAACATCCCAGCTTGGCTTCCCACCTCCACCCTGTGTCCCACTCACTGACGTTTTAGAGAGATGCCTTTGCCTGCATGGTGGTGTGTGAGTCAGGGCTCCACTTCTGCCTGGGTGGTGTGGGTAGGGCCAACCCCCACCCCCACCGGCCCTCAACTTCAACAGGGGTTGCCTGGTGGAAAGCGTGAGCAACTCTGTCCACTCTTGTGATTCATGATGTGTCCGAGAGTGTCTAGGGCACACCCAAGTCGCCCACCATCCTGAGAACCAACACATCCCTCTCCCCAGGCCCCACCTCCCAGATCCCAGGTCAGTTGCTTGGGCTGGGGCCAGGACAATGGGGCATTTTTTTGAGCTCCTTGGGTGCTGATGGACATGTGGTCAGGCCTGAGAACCGTCAACCTCCAGGCCATGCAGCGAGAGTCTGATTCTGTTGCTTTTGATCCCTCACTGATCACAGACCCCACAGCCTTTACAAAGGGCCCTTGCAGACACTCGGTGTCCACTGGAAGGATTCTCGGCACACAGGCTGATGGAGAAAGGCAGGGTGCACTCCACGCTGCCCTCTGGCTGTGGCTTTGTTGAGATGGTGGTGCCCCAGGGACCGGGGGAGGGACGGATTGCAGACCTGACGCGACCTTGACTTCTACAGCATCAGTGTGATGAGCAGAGCCTTCCTTTAACTTTTAGATCCACAGATGTGGCCATTAATTGTTTATGGAAAAGTTAAGAATGAAAATGCAAGTGCCGTCTATAGTTTTCTGGGCTGGGCCCTGGGCAGGCCTCTCTCCACCTGCCCTCCTGGACAGGCAGCACCGTCATTGCTGGGAGAGCCATGTCCCTGAATGTGACCGAGGGATGGCTTCGCCCGTGGTGGCCCCTCTGCCTGCCTGGTGTGGGTGATGCAGAACAGCTCTTGGCTAATAAATGTGCCGCGTTTCCCAGACAGGAGACGACGTGGCCTAGTGCATAAATAAGACAAGCCTTTTTAAAAAAGAAATCTGTATTTAAGGATGTGTTTGGCTGTGTTCTTCTCCTCCCGTAAAGGTCACCCAGATAGATTTTTCCTTCTTTAGCATTGCAGGCTGCGAAGAACTGGGCATTTCTATTCTCCCTCCATCCAGTGAACCTGGCGGACTAAATTAGATTCTGAAATTGAGTGTGCAGTAGAGTCGGTGAGTTACCGTAATGGGAGGGTACTGCTTCTCACCTTGCAAGGAGCGAGGTCATGATAATATGAAGCGAAGTGGATTAAAAATAAAACCAAAGGTATTTATTTATGACCTGCTCAGAATTGGATTGGCATCCATGTAAGTTGCATCTAATGGTGAAAGACAGCAGATTGATGTTGATATGTCCCCAGGGACTTTTAGCCAGTGAAATTCGCTCCCTGAATTCAATTTAAAGGCCCACTGAAAGTATCCAAAATGCGAAAGGAAATGGAATTGAGGAAGTGGGGGTGGAAGCCCAGCAACTGCGAAATAGCAATTGGAAGACGGTCCTGGTGTGTAACCCTCCTGATGCAGGACCGGAGAGAGGACAGTCCTGGTGTGTAACCCTCCTGATGCAGGACCAGAGAGAGGACAGTCCTGGTGTGTAACCCTCCTGATGCAGGACCGGAGAGAGGACAGTCCTGGTGTGTAACCCTCCTGATGCAGGACCGGAGAGAGGACAGTCCTGGTGTGTAACCCTCCTGATGCAGGACCGGAGAGAGGGCAGTCCTGGTGTGTAACCCTCCTGATGCAGGACCGGAGAGAGGACAGTCCTGGTGTGTAACCCTCCTGATGCAGGACCGGAGAGAGGGCAGTCCTGGTGTGTAATCTTCCTGATTCGGAAATGGAGAGCGCAGCTCCGGGATGGCCGGGGGGCCTGCCTCAGTGAGGGTGGGGCAACATGCAGACGGCAGCCTCCGGCACAGCCAGGATGTGAGCCCAGGTCATCTGTCCAGGCTCTGTGCCTGCACAGCTCAGCTCATCCTGGCTGTGCCTATGTGGAGAGCCTGCCATCCTTATCTCCAGATGAAGAAGAGTGTGGCTTGGAGAGCCAGGCCCACTGCCCAAGACCACCTGGACAGGAAGACAGGATGTGAACTTCAGAGCCCAGCTACCCCCCATTCCCCTCCATGCCAGTCTTGCTGGGCTGCGTTTTCTCGAGGCAGGCGACATGGGCATCCCGAGCCTGTGGCCCTCCCTGTCCCTTGTCACCTGCTAGGAGTGGGGAAGGGCAGTTCCAGCACCCTGAGGGCTCCTCAGCCGCCTTCCTGACTTCCTGGATCCAGCTTCTGTTTGGGGTGGGAGGTAGGAGAAGCCGGGGAGCCTGCAGGTGGCCCCCTGGGGGCAAATTCTCGAGGACCAGAGCCCACAGGGCCATCTGAGCAGTGTAGACCCCTCCCTCAGGGAGTCTGCCCAGCTTCATGACAGAGCCTGGGCTTGGGCTGGCCCTGACCTGATGGTCCCCTGTTTCTCTTCTGAGAACCCCCACTGCAGGAGGCTGTCTTGGCCACTCAGCCCTCTCTGATCCCTACTTCTGCCAAGCCCTCTGTGTGTTGGGGTCCCCGGAGACCTGCCCTGCCCTTGGTGGGCTGCCAGCAGCTGTGGATGTGGGCGTGGTCATGTGGGAGGGCGGGGCTGTCAGGCGGTGGTCGTGGGGGGTCCCCCGAGGACCTGTGCTTTTCCTTCCCCGTTGTGGCCTCAGTGGACGTAGGTCAGTCTCCATCTCCTCAGTGTCCGCATCCCGGCCTCCAGACCATGAGCTCTGGAGACAGTCGCCCATGTGTCTTTTGGGGGTGGGACTCAGTGCCCCCATAGCCCATCTGAGACACGGCCCAGCTGCAGGCCAGAGGAGCCCACCCAGCACTCCCAGTAAGCCCAACGCACCTGCCCAGTGCGCCCGGTGAGCCCAGTGTGCCTACCCAGCACTCCCAGTGAGCCTACCCAGCACTCCCAGTGAGCCTACCCAGCACTCCCAGTGAGCCTACCCAGCACTCCCAGTGAGCTGTGTGCTCACCCAGAGTGCCCAGTGAGCCCAGTGAGTCCGGTGTGCCCGCCCGGTGTTCCCACCCAGCATGCCCAGTGAGCCTTGTGTGTCCACCCAGTGTGCCCGCTCAGTGAGCCTGGTGTGTCTACCTAGCATGCCCATGGAGCCCACTGTGTGCCCACCCAGTGCTGGCTGTACTGCTGGCCGTATGTGTGTTTTCCCAGTCTGTCCAGCAGCCCTGACAGTAATTTACTACAGTAAATAAAAATTTGTACTATGTGAATTCAATGCAATAAATGCTGTGACTGGGAAGTAGAATGGGAGAATGAAGGGTACAGGAGGCGAGATTTTAAAAATACACATGTAAGATGATTTTATCCACACTGAACGACTTATAATTGTTGCTTATTCCCTATAGTTCCCTATTTTCCTACTTACATGCATGTCATTCACCTTTATGTAAAACCTTTTACCTCCTATCTTTACCTATGAGAATCCTACCTGAATTTTAAGAGTCTGATCAAATGTCACTTCCACAGAAAGGCCTTCTTTGGTTGTAACTGGAATTAATTTTTAAATCTCAGTCTAAGGCAAATAAGCACATTAGAAAGCAATAAATAAATAAATGGTGGCCCCATTTTGCAGAGGAGGAAGCTGGGCCTCGGGGTGGAGTCATTGTTCCAGGGCACCAGGTTGGACCTAGACCTGAAGCTGGGTTTGGTGGAGCCCTGCACCCCAACCCACTGGTGTGAGGTGGTCATGCAGGAGGGGCCAGTTGGCGCTTTGCTGTGCTCCTGGGCTCCCGGGGTGGGCCTGAGCCGGCTCCGTTCTGTGATCCCCTCGTGTGGGCTTCATCTGCTGATGGTGCTGGTGCCCGGAGGGGTCTCCTGGTGCACAGAAATCTGTGCTTAGTGGCAGTTCCAGGGGTGCTGCGGTACTTCCTGGGCTGATACAGGCTTTGTGGGAGTGGGAAGCTCCTGGGCGGAGGCTGCAAAGCTGCAGCAGGGCCCCGAGAGCTGGGTCTCCCCCTGAGGGGCAGGGGATTCAGTTAAATGAAGCTCTGGGCGGCCCCTGCCACGACATCTCAGATGCCGGACTTGGAGCTGCGCAGTGGGCCTCCTGCCTGGCTGCTGGGATGGGGCGGTGGCCGTGGGGCGAGGCCTGGGGCCCTTCTGGGGTTGAGCAGGGAGCAGCTGCCGGCTGGGCAAGTTTTCCTGGGTCACCCACCCTCCACTGTGGGTCACCTCCTCTGACCTGGGCTTGTGTCTTTCTCTCCAGTTTTCCTGGATCACCCGCCCTGCACCGTGGGTCACCTCCTCTGACCTGGGCTTGTATCTTTCCCTCCAGTTTTCTGGGGTCACCCGCCCTCCACCGTGGGTCACCTCCTCTGACCTGGGCTTGTCTCTTTCTCCCCAGGAGCTGCTGCTCTTCCTCCAGAACCTGCCCACAGCCCACTGGGATGATGAGGACATCAGCCTGTTGCTGGCCGAGGCCTACCGCCTCAAGTTTGCTTTTGCCGACGCCCCCAATCACTACAAGAAATGAGCCCAGGCCCACCCGCAGCTGGCCTCACTGTCCCGGGTGGCGCGCCCCACCTGCCTGGCTGGTGGTAGGCCCCTGTGAGCTGGTCCCGGGCTGCTAAAAGGCCTTGTGAGGTGGCCCCACCCTCCAGGGGAGCTGGTGAAGATGGGCCACAGACCTGGTCTAGGGCTGACAAAGACAGGGACAGCCTTTGTTTTCTGAGATACCAAAGAGAGCCAGGGGAGGGCCCCGGGTTCGGCGGCCAGAGGCAGGTCAGGGGTCCCCTCTCCCTCTCCCTGCAATGTCCTTGCCAAATGACTGCCTCGTGCTGCCCCTAGTCCGGGGCAGCCTAGGAGGCCGACCCTCTTTGGAGTCCTGCTGTCTGGGTGCCAGGGCCGGAACGAGGTAGTGGCCATCTCATACCTACTCTGAAATGCAAAACTTCTATTCTGTTGAGTGAAAGAATAAAATGTAGACAAAATCTAGACCGAGACGTTGCGCTGACCCGGGGTCTCTGTGCCGCGAGGTCCCCTCACAGCTGTATTTCACTGCTGCTGGCCCTTTCCCTCCGTGTGTTTTCCTGCTTGCTTGGTTTAAACGTGGCTGGGAAGCTGAAGGCTGGAGTCCAAGCCGTGAGCCCGCCGAGTGCCTGGGAGGCCGTGGGACCAAAGGCTGGGAGCAGAGGGAGGCCTCGCCATCGCCTTACTTTCCACCTTGAACCTCTTTTACAAGAGAGAAACCCCCACCTCCCTGAGGTCCAGGGCCAAGTGGCCCCGCCACGCAGGTAGGCGCCGGCCTCAGCCAGAGCCCCTGGAGGCCCACCCAGGCTGTCGGGCCATGTTGGGCTGGCAGACGGGCAGGGGGTCGCGTCCCTGTCATCAAAGCCCTGAACCACAGTGCTCTTCTCACCGCAGCCTGGAAGCGGAATGAGCTTTTGGAGACTTCCTGGGACTTGCTGTCCTTGTCCAGGTCTGCCAGGTGTAGGGGAGGTGTGACTGGTTCCATCATGGACCGGTTCCTCCATGGACCGGTTCCTCCGTGGACCGGTTCCGCCATGGACCGGTTCCGCCATGGACCACTCCTGCCCTGGACCACTCCTGCCCTGGACCGGTTCTGCCGTGGACTGGTTCCCGCCGTGGACCAGTTCCCGCTGTATACTGGTTCTGCCCTGGACTGGTTCCCGCTGTGGACTGGTTCCTTGGGGCTCTAAGTGCGGAAGGGCCCAGAGCTGGTCCCTGCCCAGCGCCCTGCTAGGGCTGTGTCCTTGGCTCCAGGGGCCTTGGGACTGGCTTCCCAGCGTTCCCTCGGTGTGTCACAGGCTGCATGACCCCTGGAATGCGGGCAGGGCCACAGCCACAGTCTGTCTGATCCCTGAGCCCAGGACAGGCTCACGTCCTCAGCGACCCACTGGTGACTGACTTCCCAGACTCTCCTCTGTCCCTCAGGAGCAGCCGTGTCCTCTCCCAGGCCCTAGGACACTGCCAGAGACTGTGGGACATACAGGCATAAGTGATGTGTGTGTTTCTGCTTCTGTTTTAAAAATCCAGGGTCATTACACACAGCATGGAAATTAGCACAAAATGCTGTGCAAACGTCAGATGCTCCCAAACCAGCAAAGGGATGGGCTTGCTTCACATCAGATGCGGGCACGCCTTACCCCTGCCTTCCGTGTCCCCACCCCAGGGTCAAGGGTTCCTCAGACCAGCCATGCCTCCTCCTCCTGCCGCCTCCTTTTCTAGATGGGGAGGGGATTCCGTCACAAGAAGAGCCGCCCCTCGGCCGTGTGCAGGAAGCCCCATGTCGCTTTGCCGAGATCAGCCCTGGGAGGATCCCCTTCTCCAGCTCAGATCATGCCGTGTGGCCAGAAGGCTGCGGACACAACTGACCTGCTTCTCGAGGTGGTTGATGTTTTAAACAGGAAGCTCCACGGAGTTCAGCCCTGTGTGCATTTCCTCATGTATGTAAACGCCAAGACTGAATGTGAGAGGTGTTGGCCGCGGGCCTTAAGTCTGAGCAGATCCATCTGGAATGTTCGGGGTGTGCTGTCTGGATGTGGTGCGCTAAAAACACGGAATAAAGATCAGTGACAAAGCCGCGGCCTTGGCCTGTGATTCGAGGACTTGCCCATCGAGGACAGGGGCACCCTGGCCCAGCCCTGCCGAGGGTCTGAGCTCAGGGCCATTGCGGCGCACCAGCGTGGGCCCGGCAGCACCCGTGATCTCGCTGCCCCCCGCAGGACCTCTCAGGGAGATGGGGCTGCAGCTGCTCAGGTGGTGCAGGGATGCCACTTGCCCGGGCGGGGCAAGACTCAGAAACCAGTCTGACCCCCGAAGCCCGGCTCTGCACTAGCTGGAACACGGGAGTGTGGGGTCCAGGCTGGCCCCTGTCAGGCTCCTGAACAAGGGACCTCCCCTTGGGCCACATCTGTCAAGCACCTGCTTTGAAAAGGGCTGTTCCGGGGTAGGCACCAGGGTCTGGGGTCCCCCCCGCCTCTCCTGGGATACACTTGCCTCACCCTCACCCACACACTGAAACACCCTCCTTGCCCTGTGTTACTGAAGCAAGGCCCTTCAAAGGGCCTCAGTTTCTCAGGGCAGCTTTCCAGGTGCGCCACACCCCTCTGAGTAACCCCGTCTGGGTGCCCCACCCTCAGGTACCCCACACCCCCCTGGGTGCCCCACCCTCGGGACCCTCCCTTGGCAGCACTTGGCTTTCCACTGCCTTGTGCTGTCCGCTGACGGGTGTGGGGTGTGCTCCTGTCCCCGCGGGTGTGGGGTGTGCCCCTGTCCCCGCGGGTGTGGGGTGTGCCCCTGTCCCCGCGGGTGTGGGGTGTGCCCCTGTCCCCGCGGGTGTGGGGTGTGCCCCTGTCCCCGCGGGTGTGGGGTGTGCCCCTGTCCCCGCGGGTGTGGGGTGTGCCCCTGTCCCCGCGGGTGTGGGGTGTGCTCCTGTCCCCGCGGGTGTGGGGTGTGCACTACTGACCGGCTGTGGGGTGTGCTCCAGTCCCCACGGGTGTGGGGTGTGCTCCTGTCCCCACGGGTGTGGGGTGCGCACTACTGACCAGGTGTGGGGTGTGCTCCTGTCCCCGTAGGTGTGGGGTGTGCTCCTGTCCCCACGGGTGGGCTGGTGGCTCCACAAAGTGGGAGTAGCCTCTTCACCTCTCTTTCCACAGTGACCCAGTGCGGAGCTGAGCCAGGCAGGGCTGCCTTCCTGGGCCCGGTGGCCCGGCACATGGGCTGACCTCACTGTTGCCTGGCTGTGGTCTGCAGGGTCGTAGGCTGCAGGACGGAGATCGGCTGTCCCCAGCAGCCACCAGGTGTTCAGCTCCTGACTCCAGGTCACAGCCCAGCAACTGCCATTCACCTTCACGATTCCCCGGAGTTTGCAGCTCAGCAGTTGGCTCCTCGGGCCCAACTTGAGGTCTTCACAGCCTGTGCAGACTCTGCTCCTGTGGGTGGCCCGAGCCCAGGGGTCCTGAAATCAATCCCTGACCTGTGGTGGCTGCTGTCCTGTGCACCTCACCCTGCCCGGTCCCAGGGAGAGGCTCGGCCTGCTGGCACCACTGCTGTGCCCTTGGCAAGGTCAGACGCGTCGGGGAGCATTGGGGTCCTGGGGAGTAGGAGATGGAGAGTCTCTGTGGTTTGTACTTTTGGAAGAACTAGGAGGTGGGACGCTTCTGTGCCGTGTCACCGATGGATGGAAACAGGAGGAATACTGTCTGTGTTCAAGCAGACCCACTCCGCTGAGGACTTGGGGACAGGCTGCAGAATGACACGCGCCATCGCAGGCTGCAGCATGCCAGCCTCCATGCCGCCGTCCTCCAGAGCTGGAGGCTCCTCGTCAGCCCTGTGGCCCCAGTGATCTGCTCTCGGCCGCAGTCCTGGGGAGTTTGCCCAAGACTCAGACCCCTCGGGGTGTGGACCTCCCTGGGGCCTTCCCAGCCCCAGTCCACCCCACCGTTCCTCTCCTCTCTCAGCCCCAGCCCCTTGGCTTCCTTCTGGCTCTGCACTTTGCCCTGCGGGATTGCGGGCTGCTTGGGGTGGCCCCCACTCAGCTGTGAGGCCTTTCCACACCCACCCTGCAGCTCCTTGGCATGGAGGGTCCCCAGCACAGGATGGCCTCCACCCAGGAGGCACACGGCCGCTTACATGGTCCTGTGTGAGTGACCCAGCCGTAGTCCATTTTGTTGACAAGATGAGGCTGGCTATTCTTTCTTTTTTTATTTTTTTATTTCTTGAGACAGGGTCTTGCTCTGTGGCCCAGGCTGGAGTGCAGTGGTGTGATCTCAGCTCACTGCAACCTCTGCCTCCTGGGTTCAAGTGATTCTAATGCCTCAGCCTCCCGAGCAGCTGGGATGACAGGTGCCCGCCATGACACGCAGCTAATTTTTTTAGTAGTTTTAGTAGAGACGGGGTTTCACCATGTTGTCCAGGCTGGTCTCGAACTCCTGACCTCAACTGATCTGCCCACCTCGACCTCCCAAAGTGCTGGGATTATAGGTGTGAGCCATCGCGCCCGGCCTGATTATTCTTTTAGGAAAAAAAATTATATTCAACTTCCAGATAAGTGGATGTAAATATAAAAATTACCCCCAAATACTCAAAAATACATGGCTATTTTTATCATTGGGAATGGTAAAAGGCTTTCTTAGCATGACGCCAGTGGCAAAAACAAGATAGAAAAAGACTGATGATATATATCCGTAGTATGCGCTACCAAAGCAAATGGCAGGGACGACTAAGACCCAACCTTCATCACCAAAGACAAGTGTGAATGACACGCTGGTTCACCTAGGCAAGGCGGATTCAGATTCCTCAGCATGCGGAGTTCCTGGAAATTGATAAAAATGGGCACAGCACAGAAAATGGGCAGTTCACAAAAGTGGTGCAGGTGACCCATGAGAAGTTCACATCACCAATGGTTACAGAAATGAAAATCATTCACCAGCCACTTGCCCCCACCAGGGCTGGCTGCGTGACCTTGGGCTGTGTCTATGATCATCTGTTATGCAGCAATACAAAACAAATACCCTCTCTCTTTTAGTCTGTATTTTTTTCTGAATATTTTGCAGTGGTTTTTCGTTGTTGCTGTTTTTACATTTAAGCTGTGAAGTGGCAGACACAACACAAACCTAGCTCTCGGAGAATCATTACAAAGCAGACACCCCATGTGATAGGGTTTGGATGTATCCCCACCCAATTCTCATCTTGAATTGTAGCTCTTGTAATTCCCATGTATTGTGGAAGGGACCTGGTGGGAGATAATTGAATCATGGCGACGGTTTTCCCCACACTGTTCTCATGGTAGTGAATCAGTCTCACGAGATAGGATGGTTTTGTAAGGGGAAACCCCTTTCGCTTGGCCCTCATTCTCTCCTGCCGCCATCCATGTAAGACATGACGTTGTGCCTCCTTGCCTTCTGCCAGGATGGTAAGGCCTCCCCAGCCACGTGGAACTGTGAGTCTATTAAACCTCTCTTCTTTATAAATTACCCAGTCTCACGTATGTCTTTATTAACAGCATGAGAATGGTCTCATACACCATGTAACCACAACCCTGGTTGAGAAATAGAACATGACCCACACTGGATCTCCCTGTGTGCTCCCTCCTCCCAAACATGACACACCGCTGACTTCCAAACCATCCTTTAGTTCTGCTTATTTGTACACTTTTATTATATGAATGGAATTATACAATATATACTCTTGTGAACAACTCTTCCTGCTCAACTTTCTGTTTTTTGTTTTGTTTTGTTTTTGAGATGGAGTCTCACTCTGTCGCCCAGGCTGGAGTGCAGTGGTGCAATCTGGGCTCACTGCAAGCTCTGCCTCCCAGGTTCACGCCATTCTTCTGCCTCAGCCTCCCGAGTAGCTGGGACTACAGGTGCCTGCCACCACGCCCGGCTAATTTCTTTGTATTTTTAGTAGAGACGGGGTTTCACCATGTTAGCCGGGATGGTCTCCATCTCCTGACCTCGTGATCCGCCCGCTTCGGCCTCCCAAAGTGCTGGGATTACAGGTGTGAGCCACCACGCCTGGCTTCAACTTTCTGTTTGTGGGAGTATCTGTGTGGTATTAAGCATGGTTTCTTCTTTTCCATTGCTGTAAAGTTTTCCATGACATGGATAGATTGCAATTTGTCCCTTCTACTCCTGCTGGACATTTGGATTGTGTCCAGTTTGGGGGCGTTATAAACAATGCCCCTCTGAATATCTGCGTGCCTGTCTCTCGGTGGACACGTGCCCCCGTTCTGTGGTTTTCTTTCCCCTAGAAGCGGAATTGCAGAGCCATAGGGCATGCATCCTTCCCTCTAATAGATCATGAGAAATGATTTTACAAAGCACCTTTTCCAGCTTACATTTCCACTGGCAGGTCGATGGTTCTCGTTTCTCCACATCCTTGCCCACACTGGGTGTGGTCGGTCCTAGCCCTTCTCATGGGTGTGTCTGCATCTCTGGGTAATCGTCCTTCCCTGCTGCTCACAGAGCTGCATACATGGGCTCTCTCAAAACTCCCATTGTGGTGGAGCACCTGTTTCCTCCCTGCTGCAACCAAAAGAGACAGAAAGAGACTGACTCGGGATTTTTTGTGATGCTATGATCATAAGCATTTTCTCATATTATTACAATTCTTCAAAAATGTGATTTTAATGACTGCATAATATGCAGTTGCATGGATTCACATAATTTATTCCTTTATTATTCATCAAGTTGCTGCTATTTTTTTCCTCTAGCAAATGGTGCTGTGATAAATGTCTACATTTCTGGGTACTTTTTCCATAATACATTTTTAGTAGTGGGATTCTTCAGTTATTGCCGAATACAGGAGTCAGCAAAATCACTGCCGCCCTCCCCACCCCACAGTGGCTTGCAACAGTGGCTGCAGGTCTGCTCATCTGGTTTTCTTTGGAATGTCTTAGAAAATATAAGTTTGAGAAATTATTTAGAAATTTAAAGATAACGTTGGAAATTGAGTGTGTAACTTCCAGGAGAGGGGAAAAAGAAAAAGAAGGAACAAAGTTGAGAAGGCAAGAAAAGAGGTAGGAAAAAAAAGCAAAGAAAAACTATGATAAATACAAAGCATTAATTACCAGCGCCCAAGCAAGTTCAGCTATGATCATGATAGATAATTTACACTCACCTATTCAAAAGGAGATACATTATGCTTTTAAAATCTCCATAAAAGCCAACAACATACTATTGATGAGAGATACATCAAGACTAAAAATTTTGTTTGAAATGGAGGGATGGAAAAAATATGGGGGAAATACTACCCACCTCCCCAAATGTGGTTGGAATATCTGTATTCCCCCAAATCACATTTGAAAAGCATTAACAAGGACAAAGAGAGCTTTGTCTCATGACTGAGTGAAGTGCTTTGTCATATGACCAAAAGCGTTTCACTCAGTCATGGACCTGCGTAGATATAACAACATAACCTAACCTCAGCATAAACAAGGCAAAAGTGGGTACAATGATGATGAAATACTGACCTATCCACAAGTATAATGGGAAATTATAACTCATCTGCAGAAAATGATGGACCAATGAGAAAAAGGTTTAAAAAGACAATCAAAATAATAAATACAGAAACAAAAGTTACTGGAGTAGAAAAGAAAACACAAATAATGGAATTGACTGAAAAAAACCCAAAAGTTTACTTTTAGACAAGACTAATAATGGAGGCTTGAGAGTAAGCATCTTTGCCTTTTCTGCAGTTGGTGTATCTCCAGCATTCAGAAACAGGACCTGTCTATAGTAGGAGCTGAATAATGTTTGTTGAATGACAAATAGATAAACTCCTAAGGATTAAAATCCAACTGTAATAATGAAGGGAGGTGAAACTGCAGATGCTGAAGATATTTTAAATATTACAAGCATCAAGAGAACCAAAATCAAGCCATAGAGTGGGAGAAAATAATTGCAAAAGACATACCTGATAAAGAACTGCTCTCTAAAATTTAAAAAGAACTCTTAACAATAAAAAACAAACAGCCCAACTTTAAAATGGGCAAAAGATCTGGACAACTCACCCAAGAAGATACCCAGATAGCAAATAAGCACACAAAAATATGCTTAGCATATTGCAAAATATGCTCAACAATGAAATACCACTACCCACAGAATGGCCAAAATCTGATAGAAGCAGGAGAGGCAGAGCAAGGTGGCAGAATAGAAATCTCCACCAATCAATCGTCCCCTCACACAAGGATGCCAAGTTAACAACTACCTACACAGAAAAAACAGCCTTCGTAAGAGCCAAAAATCAGACACACCCTAGACCAGAAGGGAATCCACTGCCCTGAAGGAAAGGACCCAGTCCTGTCAGCATTCATCACCTGCTAACTGAAGAGCCCTTGGGCCCTGAATAACCAGCAGTGATACCCAGGTACTATATCAAGGGCCGTGGTGAGCCTCTGAGACTTGCTGGCTTTAGGTACCAACACTGCCACAGGGAGTTAAAGCATCAAGTGAGCTCTTTGAGTCCCCAGTTCTAGGACTTGACTCTTGGATGGCATTTCTGGGCTTGCCCTGTTCCAGAGGGGAGCCCACTGCCCTGAAGGCTTTAGGTGGCTCAGAATTGAGACAGAGACTGTGCATTTGGGAGAAAGTAAGGGAAGAGAACAAGAGTCTCTGCCTGGTAATCCAGAGAATTGTTCTGTGTCTTATCCAAGACCATCAAGCTGGTACCTCTATAAGTCTGCAAGAACCGCAGTGTTACTGGGTTGGGGTGCTCCGTAAAAGAGAAATGACTTAGATCATAACACCCAAGTCCTTTCAAATAACTCGAAAGCCTTGCCAAGAAGGATGGCTACAAATAAGCTCAGACAGTGAAGACTACAACAAATATGTAACACTTCGATACCCAGACATCAAAGAACATCTGCTAGCATCAACACCAACCAGGAAAACATGACCCCACCAAGTGAACTAAATAAGGCACCAGGGACCAATCCTGGAGAAACAGATATGTCACCTTTCAGACAGAGAATTCAAAATAGCTAAATTGAGGAAACTCAAAGAAATTCAAGATAACATAAGGAATTCAGAATTCTATCAGATAAATTTAACAGCTTGAAATAATTAAAAAGTGATTCGCAGAAATTCTGGGGCTGAAAAATGCAATTGGCCTACTGAAAAATGCATCAGCTTCCTTTAATAGCAAAATGGTTCAAGCAGAAGAAAGAATTAGTGAACTTGAAGACAGCCTGTTTAAAAATACACAGGAGGCCAGGGGCGGTGGCTCATGCCTGTAATCCCAGCACTCTGGGGAGGCCAAGGCAGGTGGATCACAAGGTCAGGAGTTCGAGACCAGCATGGCCAATAGGGTGAAACCCCATCTCTACTAAAAATACAAAAAAATTGGCCGGGCATGGTGGTGGGCACCTGTAGTCCCAGGTACTCGGGAGGCTGAGGCAGGAGAATTGCTTGAACTCAGGAGGTGGAGGTTACAGTGAGCCGAGATTGTGCGACTGCGCTCCAGCCTGGGCAACAGAGCAAGACTCCATTTAAAAAAAAAAAAAGCAGGAGACAAAAGAAAAAAGAATACAAAATAATGAAGCCTGCCTACACGATCTAGAAAATAGCCTCAAAGGGGCAAATCTAAGAGTTATTGACCTTACAGAGGAGGTAGAGAAAGAGATAAGGGTAGAAGGTTTATTCAAAGGGATAATAACAGAGAAAGAGATCAATATCCAAGAACCAGAAGGTTATAGAACACCAAGCAGGTTTAACCCAAAGATGATTACCTCAAGGCATTTAATAATCAAACTTCCAAAGATCAAGGATAAAGGATCCTAAAAGCAACAAGAGAAAAGAAACAAATAACATAGAGTTGGGCTTTAATACGTCTGGCAGCAGACTTTTCAGTGGAAACCTTACAGGCCAGGAGAGAGAAGCATGACATATTTGAAGTGCTGAAGGAAAAGAACTTTTACCCTAAAATAGTATATCCAGCAAAAATATCCTTCAAACATGAAGGAGAAATGAAGACTTTCCTAGACAAACAAAACCTGAGGTATTTCATTAATGCCAGGACCATGCTACAAGAAATGCTAAAGGGAGTATTTCAACCAGAAAGAAAATTACATTGATGAGCAATAAATAGTCACCTGAAGGCAAAAAAACTTACTGGTAATAGTAAGTACACAGAAAAACACGACGTATTATGACAATGTAACTGGGGTGTGTAGACTCCTCTTACCCTAAGTAGAAAGACTAAACAATGAACCAATAAAAAATTATAACTACAACAACTTTTCAAGACATAGTATGATAAGATATAAATAGAAACAACAAAAAGTTAAAAAGTAGGGGGATGAGGCCGGGTATGGTGGCTCACGCCTGTAATCCCAGCACTTTGGGAAGTCGAGGTGGGCAGATCACGAAGTCAGGAGTTCGAGACCAGCCTGGCCAACATGGTGAAAACCCATCTCTACTAAAAATACAAAAACTAGCTGGGTGTGGTGGCACATGCCTGTAATTCCAGCAACTCAGGAGGCTGAGGCAGGAGAATCACTTGAACCTGGGAGGCAGAGGTTGCAGTGAGCTGAGATCATGCTGTCCATTACACTGTAGCCTCCAGCCTGGGTGACAGAGTGAGACGCCATCTAAAAAAAAAAAAAAAAAAAAAAAAAAAAAACCTCTATTACCATAGCTAGAAGCTGTAATGAAAAGTCTTCCAGTAAAGAAAAGCCTGGGACCTCATTGCTTCACTGCTGAATTCTGCCAAACATTTAAAGAAGAACTAATACCAATCCTCCTCAAACTATTCCAAGAAATAGAGGAGGAGGGAATGTTTCCAAACTCAGATTTCTATGAGGCCCAGTATTACCCTGATACCAAAACAAAGACATATCAAAAAGAAACCTACTGGACAATGTATCAGTGATGCAGAAGTCCTCACAAAATACTAGCAAACTGAATTCAGCAATACGTTAGAAAGATCATTCATTATGACCAAATGTGATTTATCCCTGGGATGTAAGGCTGGTTCAACATATGCAAATCAATCAACATGGTACATCATATCCAAAGAATGAAGGATAAAAACCATATGATTATTTCATTTGATGCTGAAAAAGTATTTGATGAAATTCAACATCCTTTCATAATCAAAATCTTCAAAAAAAAACTGGATATGGAAGGAATATACGTCAACATAATAAAAGCCATATACTACAGACCCACAGCTAGTATCACACTGAATGGGGAACAACTGAAAGCCTTTTCTCTAAGATCTGGAACATGACAAGGATGCCCACTGTCACCACTGTTATTCAACATAGTATACTGAAGTCCTAGCTAGAGCAATCAGACAAGAGAAATATATAAAGAATATCCAAATTGGAAAGGAAGAAGTCAAATTATCCTTGTTTGTTGATGATATGATCTTATATTTGGAAGAACCTAAAGACTTCAGAAGGAAACTATTAGAACTGGTAAACAAATTCAGTACAGTTGCAAGATACAAATCATCATACAAAAATCAATAGCATTTCTATATGCCAACAGCAAACAATGTGAAAAAGAAATTTAAAAAGTAATCTAATTTATCATGGCCACATAAAATTAAATACCTAGGAGTGAACTTAACCAAAGAAGTGAAAAATCTCCATAATGAAAACTATAAAATGCTGATGAAAGAAATTGAAGAGGACGCCAAAAAATGAAAAAATATTCCATGTTCATGGATTGGAAGAATAAATATTGGTAAAATGTACATACTACCCAAAGCAGTCTACAGATTCAATAAAATCCCTATCAAAATACCAAAGACATTCTTCACGGAAATAGAAAAAACAATCCTAAAATTTATATGGAACCACAGAGACCCAGAATAGCCAAAGCTAGCCTAAGTGAAAAGAACAAAACAGGAGGAATCACATTACCTGACTTCAAATTATACTGTAGAGCTATAGTAACCAGAACAGCATGGTACTGGCATAAAAACAGACACATAGACCAATGGAACAGAACAGAGAACCCAGAAACAAATCCACACACCTACAGTGAAATCATTTTTGACAAAGGTGCCAAAAATACTGGGGAAAAGATAGTCTCTTCAATAAATGGTGCTGGGAAAGCTGAATCTCCATATACAGAAGAATGAAACTAGACCTGTATCTCTTGTCATATACAAAAATAAAAAAAATACAGTCTTAAATCTAAGACCTCAAACTATGAAACTACTACAGGAAAACATTGGGGAACATCTCCGGGACATTGATCTGGGCAAAGATTTCTTGAGTAATACCCCACAAGCACAGACAACAAAAGCAAACATGGACAAATGAGATCACATTAGTTAAAAAGCTTCTGCACAGCAAACAACCAATAAAGTGAAGAAACGATCCACAGAATGGGGGAAAATATTTGCAAACTACTCCTCTGACAAGGGATTAATAACCAGAGTGTATAAGGAGCTCAAACAACTCTACAGGAAAAAAATCTAATGATCTGATCAAAAATGGGCAAAAGATTTGAATATACATTTCTCAAAAGAAGCCATACATACAAATGTCATACAGGCTTATGAAAAAGTGCTTAGCACCACTGATGTCAGATAAATGCAAATCAAAACTATTAATACAATGAGATATCATCTTATGCCAGTTAAAATAGATTATATCCAAGGGACAGGCAATAACAAATGCTGGCAAGGATGAGGAGAAAAGGGAACCCTTGTACACTATTGGTAGGAATGTAATTAACTACAACCACTGTGGAGAACAGCTTGGAAGATCCTCAAAAAACTAAAAATTGAGCTACCATATGATCCAGCAGTCCCACTATATATATATAAAATCTCCAAAAGAAGGGAAATCAGTGTATGGAAGAGGTATCAGCACTCCTGTTTATTGCAACACTGTTTACAATAGCCAAGATTTGGAAGCAATCCAAGTGTCTGTCCAACAGATGAATGGATAAATAAAATATGGTACATATACACAATGGAGTACTATTCAGCCATAAAAAAGCATGAGATCCCATCATTTACAACAACATGGATGGAACTGGAGGTCATTATGTTAAGTGAAATAATCCGGGAACAGAAAGACAAACATTGCATGTTCTCACTTTTTTGTGGGATCTAAAAATCAAAACAGTTGAACTAGTGGACATGGAGAACAGATGTTTGATGACCAGAGGCTGGAAATGGTAGTGGAGGGTTGTGTGGGAAGGTGGGGATGGTAAATAGGTACAAAAAAATAGAAAGAATGAATAAGACCTACTATTTGATATCACAACATGGTGACTATAGTCAATAACAACAATTGTATATTTTAAAATAATGTAATTGGATTGTTAGTAACTCAAAGGATAAATGCTTGAGGGGTGGACACCCCATTCTCCATGATGTGCTTAGTTCACATTACATGTCTGTATCAAAACATCTTATGTACCCCTAAATATATACACATATATACCCACAAAAATTTAAAAAATATTTACAAAATTAAAAATAGAATGGCCAAAATCCAAAACACCAACACCACCAAATACTGATGAGGATGTGGAGCAACAGGAACTCTCACTCATTGCTGGTGGGAATGTAAAATGGTGCAGCCACTTTGGAAGACAGTTTGGCAGTTTCTTCTAAAGCTAATTGTATTCTTATCATATAATCCAGCAGTCATGCTTCTAGATATTTACCCAATTGAGTTGAAAATGTTCAAACACAGAAAACTACAAATGAATGTTTACTTATAATTGTCCAAACTTGGAAGCAACAAAAATGTCTTTCAAGAAGTGAATAAACAAACTGTGATATACCCATGCAATGGCATATTCTTCAGTGATAAGAAAGAAATGAGCTGTGAAGCCATGAAAAGACATGAAGGGAATTTTAATGCATACAGCTAAGGGAAAGAAGCCAATCTGAAAAGGCTACACACTATGACTTCAAGTATATAACATTCTGGAAAAAGCAAAACCACGGAGACAGTAAATACATGAGTGGTTTCTAGGGGCTGGGGGTAGGGGGATGAATAGGCAGAGCGCGGAGGATTTTTAGGGCAGTGAAGCTGCTCTGTACGATTCTGTAATGGTGGATAATGGTGTACATTTGTCCAAATCCATAGACTGCACAACAGCAAGAGTGAACCTAATGCAAACTGTTGACCTTGGAAGATAGTGATGTGTCAATGTTGGTCATCGATTATGTCTGTGAAATGTGTCTATGGTTCAGGGCGCCGGCCTTGGAGGGGGCAGATGTGGGTGGGGTTAGGTGGGAACTACGTGTACTTTCTGCTTATTTTTGTTATGAACCTGAGTGCCCTAAAAACTGTAGTCTATTAATTTTAAAAAATCATAAGTGCATCCTATGAGCAGCTTTGTACCTACGAATTTGAAATTCTGGCTGAAATGGGCAACTTTCTAGAAAAATACAGATGACAAATATTGACTCAAAAAGGAAATAAAAACCCTGAATAAATCACAAATCACTCCGTAACTTGAAAGGGCTGCCTCAGATCTCTCCTTTCCAAAGGCCCCATGCTCAGATGGTTTTATGTCAGCTTTCCCAAACCTCAGGGATCAGAATTTAGGGCATAAAAGAATGCATGAGATTGGAGTCGCTGGCACAGTCGGGGTGGGCTCAAAGCCATGGCTGCATCTGACCAGCCTCAGGCCATGCCGGGGTCTTGCCTGGGTGGCCTGCTGGGACTTCATTGGACCATGAAGCTGGGTTTTGCTGCCTTGCCGTTGGCTTTTACCGCCTGTGGCCTGGGCAGGGGCTCCGGCCTCTCAAGAACTGCATACAGCCAGTGGTGGGGGCTTGAACCAAGGCATGTCTTGGGGGCTGGACCTCGGGAGCAGCTGCTGGCTGCCGCGTGACCTGGCCACATCCAGCAGAGGTGTGTGGGAGGTGGGGCTGGGGCAGTGGGGTCCAGACGCAGTCACAGAGAGGGTCATTGGCTGCTTGTATGATTTTAGGATATGGTTACATCACGTCTGCTGGCTGTGGGAGTCCACAGGGTTCCCAGACCGCCTATGTACTGTCTGTCAATCCTCAGGCCAGCAAAGCCGGCAGGTGCAGGGCAGCCACATCCTGTCCTGGTGCTTTTGAACTGGATTCAGATCTAAGGAAGAAAACGTGGGGGGACCCGACCAACCTCTCCTTCAGATTGTTCTGGTTAATTAAAAACCTGAGGCCGTGGCCTTAGTGTTCAGTGGCCCATACTGGCGGTGGATTTTATTTTAAAACAAATAAGGACAATGAGGTTGGGGGTGGTGCTTACAGTCAAGAGAATATGGCATCTGTTTACATGGAGACAGAAGCAGCTCAGCAAAGGTCTCCCCAAGCCCACGGCCAGGAGGGAGCCTGAGGAGGAGGGGCTGGGCTTCCACGGAGCAATGGAAGCAGGGACCAGAGGGAGCAAGAGGTTCCCATGAGAGCCTGGATGCACCTTAACTGGAGAAGCCACCAGAGAAACACGGACAGTGCCTCAGATGTGAGGCTCCCAGAGAGCGCCCAGGAAAAGGGGGACCTGAGGCTGGGACCAGTGACGGCCAGCCAGAGACCTAACAGGACCGGGGAGGAAGGGACTCCTCCCTCAGGAGGGACAGAGGGGCGGCACACACTCCCAAGAGCCACCTCAGAGTCCAGGGACAGGTGGGTGAGTCCCAGCTTACAGATCTCTCTTATAGGCGACTCCCTGCGTGCTCTGCGTGGCTGCAATAGAGAAAAGTGGACACACCCTAGTCATTCCATAGGAAATTAACACAGTGTCAGGTGTTCCTTCGCGTGGCGGGGTGCGTACGATGCCCGGTTAAGATGAGTAGGTTCATAAGGTCCTCATGTGGACACCAGTAACACCAGTAAGAAAGCAGTGGAGCATGGAGCAGGGCACTGTGACGGCTGCCGCCCCCTTGCTCACAGCCAGCCCCCCGCATGCTCACAGCCGGCACACAACCCCCTAGTGCTCACAGCTGACCCCCTGCCATGTCAGCCGGGGAGGCATCCCCCACCATGCTCACAGCCAGCCGGAGGGTCTCTAGGATCTCACCAGGACGACCCCAGCCGCCCTAGCACTAGCGAGGAGGCACTATCCTTGTTCCCTTACAGAGGGAAAACCCAAGGCTCGGAGAAACCACAAAGCTGCCCAAAGAGACGCAGCCCCTCCTGGGGGCCGGGATGGGAACTCGGGCAGGGGCATCCACAGGCTCAGCCCCCCGAGCTGCTGTTCCCCTGCCACATCAGCGACCCACGTGTGTATCATTTGTGGACATGTCTGTGAAGACGGAAAGCACAGGATGGAGAGAGGTGAGCCAGTCAGCGTGACCGTGGGAAGGCGGGCGAGGTGGCGGGGAGGAGGGCAGCGGGAGCTGTGTTATTTATTACCTGATGTTGTATATGCATTTGAGCTAATTATATCTCTATTATATTTACATATTATACGTTCATATATTTGTATATTTTTGTATATATTTAAATAATTATATAACTTACATTTATACATATTAAGTTACACTTTCTTATAATCTGAGTGATTCAGATACAACCAGATGTATGTACAATACAACCAGAGAGATGTTAATGGGTTAATCCCGGGTTGTGGGTATGAGAGTGTTTGTTAAATTATTCATTTTCTTTTCTGTAATTTTTAATTGATTTTTTCAAAAAAAGACTTGGCCTGGCCCTTGGGAGCCGGAGCCTGTGGCTTGTTGAGCCAAGGGGTGAGGGGCCAGGAGGGCTGGTAGCCCCCTGTGCTGCACAGACGTGGGGGGATGGCACAGCGGCCTCGGCCACTGTGTCCCAAAGTTTGCCTCTCCTTCCTGGAGGGAAGCCGCGTGGCTGTGGCATAAGCCCCGCCCCGCCCCATCTGTCTGTCCCTGCGTGGGGTCTGGCCTGGAGAAGCTAAGAGGCCTGCTTGGGAAGGAGCCAGGGGGCAAGTGCTGCCCTCCCCAGGAGCCCTCCCCACCCAGCGCCCGCACCCTCCCCCTGGCCGTCTCTCTTAACCCGTTCCATTTTCTTCAAGGTATGACTGTCACCTACAAGGATCCCGTGTTGTTGACTAGTCTAGGGTCCTCTCTCCACTAGGCCACCAACTCCACGAAACAGGACCGTGTCTTTCTCGTCCATTCCTGTCCCAGCATCTAGAACAGGGCTGGACATGTGGCTGGGCCCGTGGCGGGTCCTTGACAACATTTGAGAGGTGAAGGAATGAGCTCCAGATAGACCAGGGAGCTCGGCCCAGGGCTTTGCACCGAGGGAGGCCGGGCGGACCCACATGACCTGTTTTCTGCACCTGGCTTTATTCCATTGCAGTGAACCTGGGGCAGCTTGATGGTTCCCCCATCCTCATCTGTCGAGGCTGAAGGCCCAGGGATATCCCTCCAGCTCTTGTCTTGGTGATCAGCTGGGCAGGAGAGATTTTATCCAGCAGGTGGCACGACGAGGCTGGCCTGGCACCGAGGAGGGTGATTGGTTGGTCATTTAACTCCACAAGCATTTATTGGACACCTGCTGTCTTCCAGGCATGGATCTGTGGAGTGACTGATGGCCCCTGGGGTGGGGATTATGGTTCCACTCCGGTGTCAAAGAGCAGAGTAGGACATTGGAGGTCACCTGCCCATGAGTGAGGACGCTGGTGTCAGGGCCCACACCTCTCCACCAAGTCAGCAGCTGCTAGGTGGATGTGGCCGGGGCTTCACAGCAGTGAGGGTGGCCCAGCCTCGCTCTTCCTGGTGACAACCAGCAGAAGGTCATCTCTGCTCCCCACACCAGGTCAGAGTCTCTTAGTAAACTTGGTGACCACCATCCTCATGCACCCGCCACCAGGGAATGCTAATGAGGACAGAGGACCCAGGGACAGCCACTGCTGACCCGGCTATTAAAAATAATTGGCCACCCATAAAGTGGACGAAAAATGTGTTTGCCTCCAGTTTGGCTGGGAAATGTGAATTATTCTCATGTTGCCATAGAAACCAAGGTAAGTTCCTAACATCTTTCAGATACTTAATTTTGTGAGCCCAGTGATGGTCATTGTTCATTGTTCAGAAAAGCAGGAGGAGAGAGACGGAATGAGAGGGAGAGGGGAAGAGACAGAGAGAAAGAAAGAGAGGGAGAGAGAGAGAGAGGGAGAGAGAGGTGGGGGAGAGAGGGAGAAAGGGGGGGAGAGAGGGAGAAAGGGGGGGAGAGAGGGAGAAAGCGGGGAGAGAGAGGGGAGGGAGACAGAGAAAAGGAGGGGAGAGATGGAGAGAGGGAGAGAGAAACAGAGACGGGGGAGAGAGAGATGGAGAGGGAGAGAGAGAGGGAGAGAGAGGAAGGGAGAGGGAGAGGAAGAGTGAGGGAGAGAGAGAGGGGGAGGGAGAGGAAGAGACCCAGAGAGAAAGAGAGACAGGGGAGGAGAGAGGAGGGGGAGAAAGAGAGAAAGAGAGAGAGAGGGAGGGAAGGAGAGGGATAGATGGAGGAGGCAGGGGAAGGAGAGAGAGAGAAAGAGAAGGATGCCATCCCTGCGTCTCTGAGTCTGCAGCACGCGCTGGCTCCTGGAAGCCTCCTTGGCAGCAGCCTGGACTGGACGTGGGGGGATTCCGGCTCACGGGGGCCGTGCACTCTGTTTCCCAAGCGTCCCTGGGGGCCCTGCTCTGCTGTCTCTCTGAGGATCCCTGATTCTTCCTCTCAGGCCTAGTGCTGTCCCTAGCCCTGCGTGCTCTGGGCCCTGCGCAGCCACCAGTAACTTAAGGAGTAAAGGGGCCAGGTCAGCATGCCCGTCTCTGCCTCCTCCTCACTGGTGTGCGGGGGGCCCCCCCGCCCCCTGTCCTTCTGAGAGAATGCATTCCTCCGCTGGGAGCCGTGGGGTCTGGCTCAGCCTGCCTTGGGCCTGCCAGCTGTGCCCGTGTGAGGACGGTGCCTGCCAGGGCATCATGGGGGTGTGGCGTTGCTGGGGCCTGGCACCGATGGCTGCTCCAGGAGTCCTTGCTCTCCAGTGACTTCCTGGGACAGCGGGGCGGAGGCTTCTGGCTTGGGCTGCAGCCACTGGCTGTGGGATGTGGGGTCAGGGCACTGCTCAGGACCCCGGGAGGTCAGGCTGTGTCCAGGCGTGGCTTGCTGGGACACTCCTCATCTCGCCCTGACCAGCCTCTTTCCCCGGCCCCTCCACAGAACCAGCCGATCCTGTGGCGTCTGAGCCCTGGTGCTCACTCCTACCCCTGGATGTGTGGCCTGTCTGCAGTTCCCCTCTTGCCCGCCTGCCCCGGACCAGTCCCCTGCATTCTAATTGCCGGGACCCAGCGGCTGTCCGCACCCCCCACCTCTGCCTGGGCTCCTCCCTCTGCCCGTAAAGGCTTCTGTATCTGGAAAACCCCCGGGCGTGTTTAAGGGCCATGGTCGAGGGCTCTCCTGTGGTAGCTCCATCTGTGAGACCCTGGAGAGCCCCGTCCTGCTCTGTCCAGCCCCCACCCTATGTCACGGGAGTGCACCTGCAGCCTTTCGCCCCCTCCTCCTGGCAGGGACAGGCTCCAGCCTGGCCACTCCAGCCTCGCGGGGTGGACCAGGGGGAGCACCTCGGTAGGGGTTCCCCAGCTCTGCAGTAGCAAGGGGGAGGCCCAGCTGCCTCCATGTGCAGGGGAGTGGACCCCCACTTCCTTTGCAGAGCAGAACCATCCTCAAGGTGTCTGGGGCCGGTGGGCGTGGCAAGGCAGAAAGGGGGCGGGGGCGTGGTCATGGGGCGGGGCATCTTGAGGCATGGCATCATGGGGGCGTGGCAGTGGCGTTGCTGGGGCCTGGCACCGTGGGGTGGGGCATCTTGAGGCGTGGCATCGCAGGGGGTGTGGTGTCCTGGGGGTGGCGTCGCAGGGGCGGGGCATCACCTGTCAGTCCCCAGGTTGGGCTCCACTCACTTCCTGGTCTCTCCTCACAGCCCAGTGGAGACCATTTACTGCTTTTATTCCAGTTTCAAATCATTTACTTAGAAATTGTCTAGCATCCTGCTAGTAGTGGTAGGAAGAAGAGAAAAATGATCAACCTCAAAAATCCCAATTTTAAATTGAGTTGTTTGAAATAGCACAATTTCCAAATTACAGGCAGGTTAGAATATAGGAAAAACACATTGATCATTGATTTGAGAGAGAGACAGAAAGAGAGAGACAGAGAGGATGTGCCTCGGGGACCCTAGGGAGGAGGGGCCGTGTCCTGGGCAGGGGCCCGGTGCTGCTGGCCGAGCCCTGAAGGCTGACAGGCGTGAGCTGTGCACTTACCATCAAGTCTTATCCATACTTATACCTGTATGTATGTTTTCCACCATGAAGGTAGTAGAGGCCATTAACGAATTGGAAACTAGAGAGTAGGAGGAAGACAGGGCGAGTTCCCACCAGCCACCCCAGGGTTCCAGCCTCGACAGGCACTGCCTCAGCCCCAACCCTCCCGGGTCCTTGGAAAGTGTCCCCTAGTCACCTGAGCTTTCGGCTCCAGGCTTGGGGTGTTCACCGCTGCCCTAATTGTTTCTGTCTCTTCATCAAGACATCCCCGGTTTTAAGGTGGCACGGAGGGTGTCTGATGACGGACTCAAGGCCACAGACCAGTGCAGCTGAGAGACCGTCCAACGGGGAGGGGAGGTGTGGGCCAGCTGGACCTTGGCAGGGCCTTGGGGGAATCTGGGGGGCGCTCCAGGGGTGGTGCTAGGGGAGCCCTCCCTGGGTGTCCATACCCCAGCCTCCAAGCTCTTTCCACCCCCCAGACTGGGGGTTTTTTCCCTGAGCATTCATCGGGGCCCCGGGGCAGAACTTGGAAACCCCAGCTCCTGAAAGATTTCCATCGATTTTGCCAAATTAATGTTCTAGTTCTCCATGTCTCGGGAGCTGTAATGAAGTGTCAACGGGAACAAGAGGACGAAACGGATGAATAAAATGTCTTTTATGGTGTCATTACACTTTTATAATAAGATTTACTTGTCAACTTAAAATGTAATAATGTAATAATTTATTTGGTAACCTAATGAAGACCGCAGTTCAAGGTTCTAGGAGTCATAATTGCCCCTGGAAAGGTGAGGGCCCTTTCTCCGCACTCCACACCCAGCCACCCTTTTGTGCTGTCCAGATCCCCAAGGCGGGGGAGTGCAGAGCTGTTTCCGTCTGGCTGGGCCCATCCAAAGGGGTCAGTGGTTTAGAGACAGCAGGAAGTGCAGGCTAGGGCATAACCCACCCATGGGTCTCAGGCCAAAGCTTTCTCCTGATAAAGGGAAATGGGTTTCATATACTCAGCATCACTCATGCAGGCACACCCTGATCCCAGCCCAGAGCTGGGCTATGGGAGTCATCACAATCTGGGCTCATTCCAACCTGGGAGGGTCAGGGTTTTCAGAGAGATGGGACATTTCAGCTGGGCCTTGAAGAATGAATAGGAGTTTGTTGGATACAAGAGAACATTTTGGAAAGACAAGAGCATGAACAAAGGTGGAGGGGGCCTGGCTGGAGATCCAGTGTGGAACACAGCGTGGGGGAGTACGGAGATGGGTAAAGAGGAGCAAGAGAAAATTCTGGAAAAATAGACCAGGACCAGCTGCAGATGCCCTGAGGCTGAGGTCCCCAGAGCTTAGGGCTCTGGGAAAAGGAGCAGATGGGGTGTCCTCAGGGTGAGCTTTGGGGCTCTTTTTTGGGACTCTTGGTGGCTGCGATGCTTCTTGCTGAGCATGACTCTCTGCAGAGGTTGGGACCCGAGGCCTGGCGTGTCAGGAGGCAGCTGCAAGAAGCCTGATGGCTTGATCTTGGTGGGACTCCGAGGCGGGTGGGCATGGCAGTGCCGTCCATCAGGGCGCCCTGCTCTTTCTCCTGCACCCTGGAGCCCGAGCCTGCTGGGGGCCCCGCTCCTTTCTCTCCCTCCCAGAAGGCCTCAGCCCCTCCAAGCTCTCAGGGCAGCCCCCTCCTCTGTGCTTCCTCCTGGCCCTCTTGGAATCCCAAGTCATCCCCTCTCCCTGGGTGGGGAGTCTGGGTTTCCAGGCAGGAGTCAGGGTGGATTGTGGTGATGATGGTCCCCATCTGGTTTACTCCTCCCTGACCCTTGTGTCATCTCCTCCATCCTAACTCCGGCCCCTCCTCCTCCCAGGACAGTGTCCCCCCCACCGTCCTCCTGGTGTGTGCACCCCTGCACTGGGAGCTTGGTGGGGAGACGCTTGGCCACTAGGGCTAGGTCGGGACAAGGTTCCTCCCACTCCATGTCCGTGACACCCAGTCCTCCTCCACATTGAGCTCCTCGGCCAGGGCCCGAGGGGCTGAAGCTATTGCTGTGAGGTCCCAGCTGGTGGTGAACAGCGTCTCCAGGCTGTTGGGCTCAGTTCCAACCCTGCCTGCCCTCCCCCTGGGCTGCAGGACACAGGGTTCCACTTGGACTCATTCCAGTGACTCTTAAGAAAATGAATTTAGGACAGGAGGCAGCGAGGGAGGGAGGGAGAGGAGACTCAGTGTCTGGGCCATCTTGGCCTAAACCTGCTTGATGTTCCAGGTGGGTCATCCCTCCCGGCACGCTGGTGTCGGCTCGCCTGTGAGCTGACTCACCACTCATTCAACTCGCCACTCACCTCCTCTCTCTCCTTCTCTTCCGTAAGACTGAAGATGAACCTGACATCTTGAATAACTGGACAGAGGTTATCTGCGGCTTGGCCCTTGGGGACAAGTGGGAATGGGGGGCATGGTGCAGAGGGACCCTCGGCTGGCCTGGCTCTCATTTGATGGCTGCTGATTGCCTGGACAGGCTGGGCTGCCCTCTCAGTGTCTGGGTGGAAGGAAGGAGGCTCACCAAGGCCTGGGGCTGGGCTGATCCTGCCAGGTTAACCTTGCTGGTTCCATATCCCTCTGTACCTCTGCCAGGAAGTGCCTTCCTTCTCCCCTGGCATCCAGGGACCTTGTGAAGAAGGAAGGAGCCCTCCATTAAGGTAGAACCTGAGGGTGTGTTGAGCCCTGACCTGCATAGCTCCCTGCTGTGGGTGTGCAGACATGTATATGTATGCATGTGTGCATGTATATGTGTGACGTGTGTGCATATGTGTATGGTATGATGCGTGTGCATATGTGCATGTGTGTGTACACGTGTATGTATGCATGGGTACATGTGCATATGTGTGGATGTGCATTGATGCATGTGTGCATGCATGCATATGTGTATTGTGTGTGCATTGGTGTGTGTATGTGTATGTATGCATGGGTATATGTCCATGTGTGTATGGATGTGCATTGATGCATGTGTGCATGCATGTGCATATTGGGTATGTGTGTGTGTGTATATGTGTATGTATGCATGGGTATATGTGTGTATGTATGTGTATGTGTATGTATGCATGGGTATATGTGCGTGTGTGCAGACGTGCATTGATGCATGTGTGCATGCATGCATGTGCGTATTGGTGTTTGCATGTGTGTGGATGCCTTCTCTGGGAACCTGGAGAATGAGGCCTGGGAGCAGGACAGAGCCTGAGGACTGGCAGCCCGAGACATCCCCAGACCCGTCCCTGTGCACAGCTTCTCAGTGGAGAGGGCTGCAGCTTCTTGAGGCAAACCTCACTCCAGTTTCTGGGGCAGCCAGACACAGGGGACTGGGGCAGGAGCAGCCTCTCTGGGCACCAGAGCGATGTTCCATCAAGGCTGGAAGTGAACCACGTGCTGCATCCAGCCCCAGCTACCCCCTCAGTCCCCACGCACCCTTTGGGGTGCTCTTGGTGCCCTTGGTCATGCAGATCTGACCGGGGGGCATGGTGCCCGGGGTGGGGGGCATCTTTGCTAGCCTGGAACACATCCGCATGTGCTGGCTGTGAGCAGGGTCCCCTCCCACGTGGGCAGCGCCTGGCAAGGCTTTGGGTGTTGGAGCCTCTCGGTGGGGCTGCTCCGCCCCTGCATCCGGGATCCTGCTCCTGCCTGGGCCGCCCCCGCCCTGTGGGTGCCGGGACACAGAGCCCCTCTCTGCGGCTCACTGCTAATGGCTATTTCTCCAGTGTGGCTTTGGTCACAGAGTTTTTGCTGACATGCAGGATTTCTGGCAGGGCTGGGCAACGCTCCTAGTGATCCTACCTGAGGTCATTAATTTAAACAACCTGAGCCGGCTTCATCAGAGAGGGGTTTTTGCAATAACATTAACAAACCATAAATATCTGCCGGCCGCAGAGAAGGCAGCGGCTGCGTCCCACCTTCCCAGCGGGAGGGGCTGGCTGGGCTGAGCACCATATTTCTTGGCTGTTGGTGCAGTGGGGGGAGGCGCTGTCTTTCCACCGAGGTCCAGGTGCTGCTGAAATGACACAGATTCAGGCAGCCACTGTCGAGCGAGGGCCTCACAGCCCTGCTCTTCTGCCTGTTGTTCTGGGATGGTTAGGCTTTTGCCTGGAAGCTCTGTGTTCCCAGGGCCCCGGGGCTTGGCTCCACTTTGGCAAATGTCTGCTGATGGATGTGAGGTGAGAGCCGCGTTCCATGGACTGAGACCCGTTATGGGGCCCTGAGAGCTGCGGGACCCTAAGCCCAGGCCTGAGTTTCCAGGAGGATGTCTCCAGGGCACACACTCTCTACTCTACCTGGTTCTCCCGGAGCCTGCTGGCCTCCTTCCCGAGGGGAAACAGGCCCCAGCCTTACCTGGTGGGTAGGGCCATCGCCAGTCCCCAGGTAGCTCACACCTGGATGTGGCTCTGCCTGCTTGCTCCTGGGGCGCCCTTCCTGGTGTGTGATGCAGGGAGGCTGTGCCAGCGAGGAGGCCAGGGCTGGGAGGGCGGCACAGCACCATGTGCTCTCACGAATGGCATCATCCGTCTTCCTCTGGACCTGGGAGTACGGCGGGCGGGGACTGGAGTGTCCCTTTCTCACACCCCAGGGGCCTGCACGAGGTGCTAAGTGGAGAGTTACACTGTCCACTTGGTGGGGGCCGCGTGCTGAGGGTGCTGGGGACATTAACAAACGTTCTCCAAGTACGCAGTAATTGGAGTGTAGTGAAATTGTAAATTATGACAGACGAAGATGACAATAAAATCATGATTTCTGCCCTTTCTGGAAGGGCCGCTCACTTCACGGTGCTTTAATGCACTTGCCTTATATCTCTGCCTGTTGGAAGTTGGTGACAATTCGCATTTGGCTCAGCGGATGATTCCTTTTGGGAAAAAAACATACAGTAAATTGGCCCTTATGTGTGGAAAGCAGCCTGAAGAACTTTACTCTGGAAGTGTAGATCCAGGAGCTGTTGCCTTGCAGTGGCGCAGCCCCGCCGCCCTCATGCCTTTCGGAAGGTGCAGGGCTGCTCAGCTCACCCCACTTCAGCTCGGGGTCCACCCACGGCCCCTGTGGAAGGAGGGGCTCCAAGGGCTGGTGCATGGGCCTTTCAGACTGTGGTGACTCGCGGGCCCCTTGTGCCCATGAGGCTTCAGGAGGTCATATGCGTCTTGGCAATGGCTTGGTCCTGAGTCAGGGGACTCCGGGCTCCTCCGTGGACGCCAGTGCCGTGGTCACTGTTGTCAGGACCCCTCCCGTGTCCCCCTTCCTGGCCCTCCATGCTCAGGGGTCTCACCCGGGCCCAAACCGTGGTCCTCGCATGGCTGGACCCCCGCCCGGTCTTCCTCACCGTCTCCCTGGATGGTTTCAATCCTACTCACTGCGTGACTTTGGGCAGCAGACTTAATTAACCTCTCCATGCCTCAGTTTCTCCACCCGCAGAATGTGAGTTATGCAGAAAGGGCTTCCCGTAGCCCCTGGGCCTGAGAGCCCGCTGTAGTCTGACTCCTGGTGGCGGTGTGAATGCAGCCTCACGCACGTTCTTCAGCATAACTGGGAAAGGCTCGCCTAGCGTGTCCTACCAGCCCCACCCTTGCACCAGAGGAAACTCGCAATCCTCCCGTGCTATCCCCAGCCACGCCCGCGCCCTCCCTCTGGCCACGCCGGCCCTCCTGTCCCTGGAGCCTCTGCACTAGCACTTCCCTGGCTGGAATGTTCTGTCCCCAGACGTCAGCGGGTGGAGGGGTCCTCCTGGTCATTCAGGCTCAGCTTGGACCACCCTGAGCCCCACCCTGAAGTGGTCCTCCCCCCGTCACTGTGGATGCATCACCCTGATCTTGCCCCCAGCACTTTTCGATCCTGGAAAGTGTTTGATTCCATCCGATTGTTGGTGCGTCTGCTGAATCTGCACCCACACCACCCGCCGGCCCTGCCCCCGGCCCTCACCCCGCTGATCTCGCGCTGTTCAGGGCTCTGTGTCTCCCTGAAGGCAGGAGCCCAGTGCGGGCACAGGAGGCTGCTCGACCCCAACAACTGCTGGCCCTGCCCCTGGGCATCATCACAGCCCCACCTGGGGGCCTCCGTGAGAACGCCGCCCAGCTGTCTAGACACTGTCGCTCATATCTGGAAATAACCCGTGGAATGCAATTGATTAACCTGCTCACACCCACCGGGACCACCTCACTGATGGACACCCTGTATCCAGTCACCGACTTTTTTATTCCACGTGAACTGTGTGTGCCCAGCCGTGGGCTCAGATTTCTTCTCTAGGTGTTGACACCCCTGAGGGCAGGGACCACATGTCTGCGCCGTCCACTGTTGATCCCCAATAGCTTGATGTAAACGGCCCTGTCTCCCACGAGAGAAATTTGAGGAGCAAAATACAGACCCAGGATATTAGAGGGAAATATTGCAGGTGTGTTTTGACCCGTGGATTCTCTACAGCGGGGAGGTTTCCTCTTATCTGGGAAACTGCCAAGAAGCACCGTGGTATCACAGGCAGCTTTCCTTGGCCTCTGCTCCCATCCGCCCTCGGACAGGGAGTACATTAACATCTGCAAAGACAGTGCTTCCTGCGTGCCGTGGATCACACACTCAAAGTCGGAGGGCGTGGAGTTCAAGGCTGCTCAGCAGCTGGGATGAAACACGTGGATGTGGTCCAGGCATCCCCAGCAGTGACCTGGTCTCCACCCAAGGCCAGGAAATGTGTGGAGGCTCTTCCCTGCTTCAAAGCAGGAAGAATGCAGGGCTTTGGAAAGAGACATGAAGGGGCCAGCAGGAGGAAGCACAAACGCAGAGAGCTGAGGGGCTGGCTTTGCTCCTCAGTAAGCGGAGGGCTCGGGCCAGCAGATGTGGGACGGCTCTCCAGAATGGCCATGCGGCGCAGCTGTTATGGGATCCTTGGGCTGTCACTTTTCTGGCCAGAAACCTCCATGGCCAGTGGCACCTTTGTCCAGTTTTGATTGGGTCTGGGCTTGTGCTGCCCACTCGGCCTGGCAGGCTGTACTCAGCTCACGCTACCGGTCTGGATCCCACGCCTGCCAAGGGCAAGTCAGGTACGGAGCAGTGAGGGGTGTGTGAGTGAGCGTGGGGTCCGGCCACTGCACAGTTAGACATGCCGGTGGCTGCAGCGGGGCGGGGAGCTCCAGGTTCTGGCATGGGTGCCGGCTCTCTGTGAAGCTGCGGCTGGACACACAGCTTCCACAGCTGGCACTGGGGAACATGGTGGTGCCTGGAAGCTTGGAGATGCCAGGAACTGCAGGACCCCAAACAGGGTGTCACAGCCCTGGCTCAGGGAGCTCCCAGGTCTGGGATTCTGGAAGGGGCACAGCTCTTCTCACCCTCTCTTTGCCGTCAACGTGGTGAGCAAGGGGCGTGTCTCAGCCCTGTTTGTGTTATGGCTCTTTTAGCCTTGCCATTTGGTGGGTCCCGAGTTCTTGTCCTGCGACCAGGAAGAATGGGGTATACCTAGACAAGTGGAAGGTGAGCAAGATGAAAAGGAGCTTCATTGAGCAATAGAACAGCTCAGAGAAGACCCACAGGGGGCAGGTCCTTTCCACAGCCGGGGTGTCCCGACAAATGTTCAGCTATCTGCAGAGAGGGTAGCTCCTCTCTGCAGCTGGTCGTCTTGTCGTCTTTTCTGCTCTGGCTGAGCTCAGGGTTTTTATGGATCTCAGAGGAGAGGAAGTACATGCCAATTGGTCCATGGGTGGCCATGGATGGGCCCAGAAAAGGCACCACAAGTTCCGACTCTGGTCCGCGGGACTGGCAGCCCAGCCCCCAGCCTTCAGGCCTTCCCTGGCCTGAAAGTGGGGACTCACCGGGGACCCGCCCCCTTCGGCCCAGAAGCCTGTCTGCCTCTTGCCACCATCCATGGTGTCCAGGCTGCTTGTGCCAAGGGGTACCTACAAGCCAGTGCCAAGCCACCCTCAGCTCCCTGCTTGGCTTCCCTCCTGCACTTGTTGGCATCCAAAGTCCACAGGGGGCCGATGTGGCAAGAAGCTGGCATTGTCAGTGCTGCCCTCAGCGTCTGCACACCCAGCCAGGCTGTGACAGCACCTGGGCTCAGCCCCAACCTTGGTCCAAGATTGGAGCAGGTGCTGGGAGCAGGGAGAGGCCAGGCAGCTGGAGCAGACACCCTGAGCCTGTGGAGGCAGGGGTACCTTCTCGGGCCCCCAAGGGTGCAGAGCACAGAGATGTCTAGATCCTGCTCCTGAAAGGGCGGGACTCCCGCCTGCTCCGTGGAACATGTGGGCAGCCCTGGCCGCACCTCCTTGCAGCCTGGTGCAGGGGCTCCAGGTCCTCGATGAGCCCAGGCTGGCATCTGGAACAGGGGTGACATTACTGCAAGTTCTTGCCATGGCCCCAGCACTCAGCCCGGGGCTCCCCCTTGCTCACTTATAGCCTTGCGCGGAGGGGATGCCCGTGGGAGTGGATCGCTGGCCCTGAGCCCGGCCATTGGGAGTGTCAGGTTTGGTGATCACCCCAGTGCAGGGTGGACCCCGGGGACTCGGCCCTGTGCACAGCATCCTCCTGAGGTACAGGAACCTGGTGCCACTGGTGGGTGGGCACAACGGCCATGCCCCTGGCCAGGTCCCCCAAAGCGGGAGCCACTCCCACTTCCTGCCCTGGGACCCCAAAGCACAGCCCCAGCTTTGTGCCCTTGGCCTGGCCCCCATGCTCCACGTGCAAGTGCAGCATCACCCCGGGGCCAGCTCTGCCTTGGGGACCCTCTGTGCCCGCCCCTCCATGCCTGGCCACACTGCTACCCTGCTGGCAGGCAACTAGGCCTGGCCCCATTACGGTGGCCCCCAGGGTGGTGGGTGAGAGCGATGATGTGGGGCCAGGGTTGGGAGTGGCGGAGGCTCTGGGCCTGGGGGTGGGTCCTTCCCAGCCGTGTGAGGGTAGGGGTGGTGCAGTCAGCTGCCTTGGGGATGCAGTGCACAGGGAACATGCGGCACAGGGGTCTCACCGCTGCCACCGCTGCTCCCACCGCTGCTCCCACCGCTGCCACTGCTGCTCCTGCAGCCACTCCTGCTGCCATCGCTTGCCCCTTCCCGCTACAGCTGGCTGCTCCGTATGGCCCACCACTGCCATCACAGGCCTCCAGGACAGCCACACAGTGCAGGCCTCTAGAACAGCATTGCAGTGCAGCTGTGATGAGCAGCGTGACAGTAGTGAGATGGTCCCGGGGGTAGGCGTCCCGGTCAGCCAGGCTCAGGTTTTGGAGACCTGCGGTAAATACCCTGGAGACAGGGACCTCCAGTTAGCAAGGCAGGAACTTCAGGAACTCGTGCCCTTAACGCCCCAAAAGGGGGCCAATGAGCTGACTCCCTTTACCCACAGCCTCCAGCGTGGGGGCCGTGCTTGGTTGTTATTTGGGAAGCTGGGGAATGGCTTTCTTTCATGAAAATGCTCCCAAGAAGGGCTGCAGTGGTAGGGCCTGATTCTAATGAACTGCATGAAGTTCACATCGGAGTTTCTGGGTGCCACATGCAGGGTTCTGGCAGGGGTAGCAACATCCATACACTGTGTCTGATTTCAGGGTAGATGTTTGGGACTGGCAGGGAAGGCAGCTGGCACCCTCTTCCCTTCATTTCCCTGCTCATGGCCCACAGATGTCCGTATGGGGTCCTGTCTCAAGGCGGACACAGCCCAGCATCCTTGGAAGACTCTCATCCTGGTGCTGATAAAAGCCATGAAACCGTGGAGGACAGAGCTGGGGGAGCCTCTTACATGAAACATGTGGAAGGTGTCAGCCTGCAGGCCCCTAGCATTTGCCAGGCCAGCATCTGCGTGAACCCCCGGAATGACAGTGAAGAGAGAAACCTGTTTCCCTGGAAGGAGAGGCCCATTTGGTGACCTTGAGATGCTGCCTTTTGGCCATGGCAGATGGGACTTAGGCAAGGCCTGGTTGGGCAGCCGTCCACGGGTGCATCCCTGTCTCCATGGTAGTGAGGCAGCTGCTGTGTCCCCAGGGCCAGCAACAATGAACGTGCTCCTCAGCCCACCTGTGTACTCAGGGGTCTCCACCTTGCCCTGAATTGGCTCCACTCCAGCAAGGCCGGCCCCTTCCCTCCCGCACAGAAGCCTGTCTCTTCTCACCTAGTGACAAGGATGCCCTCGTTGCCCGTGCTGGAGTGGCCTCCTCGGAGTCCTCCTCTGAAGAAGCTTTGCCCTTGGTGGGCTGAACCTGTTTCAGCAAAGACCCCCCTAAGCCCACTTATGAAGAATCTACACACTCTGAAATCAGATGAAGTCCCTTATCCCCCAGCCTTGATATCTGGTGAGGTCAGCTCCTCACTCTGCACGCTCCCGTCTCCCCGCTCCGCTTGCTGGCTGTGTGCCCCGACGGCATTGCTCTAGTGGGAGTTGAGCTCAGCTCTGTGCACGAGTCTCCCCTACAGCAGGAGCTGGAGTGGCATCCGCCTTGCTGTCTTTAACAAGCGTCCAGCGAATCATTTTTCTTTGGCATTATTCCGGGACTCCTTTCCAGCTGTGGTCCCCCTCTCTGTCCTGCATCAGGAATATTTCTTCCTCTCCTGGGCCACTCCCATCAGCATCCAAACAGGCCGCCTCACCAGTTTCCACCCCATTCTATCCCGTGTCTCTGCTTCCCTTCACAATAGTGGCCCACTGGCCATCCTGCCACTTCTCAGCCACACCTGACCCTCCGGTCCCGGCCTTCACTCTGCCCTCCGCCTGCGACCCTCCTCCCCACAGGCACACAGGGCTCGCCCCTTTGTCTTGTCAGCTCTTTGCCCCAGCGTTGCCTTTTTGGAGTTCCTCTGTGCTTGGCCCATCTCAGTGGACCCCAGCCTGTTCTCCCCATCCCTCCGCCCTGCAGCTTTGTCCCCTGTGTGCCCATTGCTGCCAGCCATGCTGCTTGTTTGCTCAGGGTGTTCTCCTCGGAAGTGTTGGCCCCTTTTGTTCACTGTCGTATCTCAGGGCCTGGAAGGATGCTGGACACACAGCGGGTGTTCACTGTGTGTTCTTAGACTGATGGGATTCTTTGACTTGGGAACTCGGGCTGGACACTAGAGCAGCGAGCCCTCAGGTGGCAGGTTAGATGTGGGTTTACGGAGAGAGAGCAGGTGATCGGTCAGGGTTAGATGTGGGGTGACGGAGAGAGAGCAGGTGATCTCTCAGGGTTAGATGTGGGGTGAGCTAGAGAGAGCAGGGGATCTCTCAGGGTTAGATGTGGGGTGACGGAGAGAGCAGGGGATCTCTCAGGGTTAGATGTGGGGTGACGGAGAGAGAGCAGAGGTGGAGGGAGTGGCTGGGTCCTCCTTACTAGTGGGAGCCACAGGTGAGGGATGAGGGATGCCTGCCTGGGGTGGGGTCAGAGTGTCCAGTGGGCTGGTGAACATTGCCGGGTTGTGGGGACGCTCAAAATACTTTCCTGTTCAGCCCACGGCCACCCCCAGAAGCTGAGACATCCTGACGGGGCCTCCGTTCCTGGCCACCTCCAAGCTCACACATCACGGAGCCCCCAAGCCTGGAGCAGCCCTCTCTGGTACTCGCCCCATTCGGCCCAAACACACACCCCGTTCTTTTGTTGGGCTCTCTTGAAGGCTGGGCCCCCGCCCTGTGGGTCTCCTCGCACTGCTTGGTCCTGTGTGGCAGGGCCACTTGTCCTTTCCCCTCTTCATTCCTCCCCGGCTCCCCGATGTCACCCTCCCTCCCAGGCTCCCCCATGTCACCCTCCTTCCCCAGCCTCCCTGCTGAGGCTACTTTCCCTCCCTGGGCACTTCAGGGACACTTCTGGAAGGCAGACGTGACCCTGCCTTCCCCTGATCAGGGACCCTCTGAGCTCTGCAGGGTTTTGGTGTGGGCACCTGTCTCTAATGTGCTCACAGCCCAGGTGCCCTCTCCATGGCCCATCTCTAGGCAGGGGCAGGCCTCTGCAGCAGTGTCTGCAAGGTGGTGGGCGGTGGTGCAATGGCAGGCAGGGGACGGGGAGGAGAGCATGGCTGCTGTGGTCCCCCAGGACAGCTGCGCTTAGCCCCTGGTGTGGGTTTGTGCATTCACGGGCTCCGTCCCTACCGTGGACATCATCTGGTCATGGCAGATGTGGTTTGTGCAAGCCTGGGATGGACGTGGGTGGTGTGGAAACCCAGGCTGGTGGCAGGGCCTCTCGAACTCGGCCAGGCTCTTGCACTCCACGTTGTGTGGCTTTGGACAACTTGCCAGGCCTTTTGGAGCCTCTATTTTTCCATCCGTGAAATGGGCGTATAACACCTCCCAAGGCTGGAGGCCACAGTTAAAGGAATGTGACCATCTCCTGTTGCAGGAGGATCCCTGAGTGACTCTTGGGGGGAGATGTTATAATTCGCTTGGTTTCAGTCCCTCCCTCAGAATCCTGGGAAGATACTCCAGCCTGGATATTCCAGTCCTTTTCATCATTTTCCATTATTCAATGGAATTACTGAATTATTCCATTATTTAATGGAAAATGGAGAGGTGGCAGGAAAGTGCCCTCCAGGGCGGGAGGCAGGAGGCAGGGCTTGGACTCTGGACCAGATTGAAGACTAGCTAAAACAGGGAAGAGCCTAAAGCACCTCCTATAAGACACACCCACCGGTGCCATGTCAGTTTACCATTGCCATGGCAACTCCTGGAAGTTACCACCCCTTTCCATGGCAACAGCCCAGAAGTTATCATCCTTTTCCTGGAAATTTCTGCATAAAGTGCCCCTCAATTTACATGTAATTAAAAGTGGGTATAAATATGAGTCCAGGCCAGGCACAGTGGCTCACGCCTGTAATCCCAGCACTTTGGGAAGCCAAGGCAGGCAAATCACCTTAAGGTCGGGAATTCGAGACCAGCCTGGCCAACATGGTGAAACCCCGTCTCTAGTAAAAATACAAAACTTAGCCAGGCATGGTGGTGGGCGCCTGTAATCCCAGTTACTCGGGAGGCTGAGGCAGGAGAATTGCTTGGACCTGGGAGGTGGAGGTTGCAGTGAGCCGAGATTGTGCCGCTGCACTTCAGCCTGGGTGACAGAGCAAGACTCTGTCTCACAAAAAAAAAAAAAAAAAAAAAAAAAAGTGGGTGCAGCACTGCCTTTGAACTGCCGCTCTGGGCACACTGCCCATGGGATAGCCCTGCTCTGCAAGGAGCAGCACCTCTGGTACCACTTCAATAAAGACTGCTGTCTAACACCACCAGCTCGCCCTTGAATTCTTTCCTGGGTAAAGCCAAGGACCCTCCCAGACTAAGCCCCAATTGTGGGCCTGCCTGCCCTGCATCATGGGTGTTGGACTCCGGGTGGTTTGGAAGTGCTGGTTCTAGTATCAAAGACCCACACATGGATGTAGCTCAGAATGCTTTTGTGCCCGGGAAAAAGTTTGGGGTGATGTGGTTCTGTCACCTAAAGGGTCAGTCAGCTGGGCTGGTGAGAACAATGCTCTTGGCTGGAAGTAGCAAAGAAAATTGCGAGTCACTTTCAGTTATTTTCTGCCTCTTTCATGGGCTTTTCTAGACAATTTCCTTGTTTTCTTCCCTTGAGGTCTGGTCTCATTCTTCCAGCAATGACGTGGTGGATTTAAAAAACGTCCACCATAGTCTTTTGCCATTCCTCCCTCCAAGAAACAGAGGCTAATTTCCTACTCTCTTCACACATAGAATATGGAAGAAGTGGCAGTGAGGAACTTCCCAGGCCAGGTCAGAAAAGGCACTGTGGCTTCCCCTCTGTCCTCTCTTGATCACTTGCTCTAGGGCTCCTGCTGCTGTGGTGTGGGACCTTCGAGCAGCCTGTGGAAGTCATCCTGTGAGGAACTGTGGCCTCCCCCAAGCAGCGCATATTGGAGGCAGAGGCTTCAGCCCCAGTCAAACCCTCAGATGATGGCAGCCCCAGCCAACGTCATGACGCAGCCTCTGGAGAGACCCTGAGCCAGGGCCACCCACCCGAACTTACCCTGGATCCTGACCCACAGAAACTGCAAGTCGATAAAGGTTTGCTGTTGTTTTAAACTGCTAAATTTTGGAGTACTTTGTTATGCAGCAGGAGATAACTGACACAAATACTAAGAGTTGAGAACTTTTATTAAGCCTTTTCTTTGTGCCAGGCACTGGGCTAAATGCATCAAAAGGATCTCACCATCTTCCCAGCAGCCCACAGGGAGCAGAGGTTTTCATTACCATCATTCTCAGAGGACACGACTGGGGCTCAGAGAGGGGAAGAAACCTCTCCAGCTTGCACAGCTGGTAAGTAGTGGGGCTGGCGTTTGAACCCAGGTCTGCCTAATTTCAGAGCACTTGTTTGCGTCCAGCACGTGATCCCACCTGTGGTGTGATTCTGTGCCTAGCCGTTCCCCACCCCCTTCCTCCAAACATAGGGCTGCTTTCCTGTCCCAGGTGCAGCAGGTAAACCCCTTCGCACCAGGTGTCAGCGATGGCTGCAGACTGGGGACTCCCCCATTGGCGCTCCGTGCAGGCTGGCCTCGTGAGGAAAAAGTTACCAAGTTTGGGGCCAGAAGATTTGATCATGAGCCCCAGCTGTCAGTCAATGGTTACTGATCCCAAGCTTGCTGGGCTTCAGTTTTACCATCTCTGAGCTGAGAAGGATGTTCAGGGCTGGGTCTCCTTGCAGGGTGGCTCTGAGTGCTCCCTGCAGAGAGAAGGACCGTGGCTGCCTGGGACGGAGAGGGGCTCAACCAGCTGGGAGTCTTCAGTGCTGGGCCTAGGGCCACCTTATCTTCATCTCCCAAATGCCACTTTCAAAACAGAGTCATTCCCCAAATGGATGAGACCCCAGCACAGGAGAAATGCATGACAGCCAGATAATAAACCTGCATATCAGAACTGTCAGATCGTCTTCAGAGCAAAAGGCAACATGCTCTCCCGAGGTAAGATCCTAACTGTTGTCAGGAACATATGCCAGGGGTGGGGGGTGGGGAGCGGCTCAGGACGCGGCGCTGGCAGCCCCCAGCCCATCAAATTCACTCCATCTATCTCGGGCTGGGCCGTTTCATCTTGAAAGTCGCAGAGCTTAAGCATTTATCAGCAAAGCACCTGCTTCTGTTTGTTCTGCGTGATTTAGTGTATTTATCGCTGTGCTTTTGAAATGCCTCTTTGGTCTATCTCTGAGATTTTCCCCCTGGACTCCCCGTTAAATTAATCAGATTCTGCTCCCCTCCAGTCCTACCTCTGCCTGCTGGCACTCCGAGGGTGGGTCATTAAATGGCCGTGCATTTTGTTTTTTTTTTTCCTCCTGGCGAGGGAGGTGTTTGTTGAGGGGCGGTGGGGAGGGGGTCCCTGGGGATGGTCGCTCTGTGGGCTTCCCCAGTGCAGGCCGCACAGTGAGCAGAGGCGTTTCCTGTGATGAAGCTGGACAGGCCCCTTATGCGTCATCTCGCCTGTTTACATGGCCTCAGCGTTTCCCACATTTTCTCTCTGGCATGCTCTGGAGCGTAGTGGCTTGGGGAGCAGGACATGGGACAAGGTGACAGAGCAGGTGGATACCGGGGTGGAAGTGCAGACCTTTGGCCCTCTGGAGGAAGAATGTGGGGCTGGGTGGGTTGGGCTGGCCAAGGACCAAGCCCGGGTGTCCCAAGTTTTGGGGACTGTGGCCATGTTCCTCCTGGCCACCAGCCAGGGGCCACACCTGCCAGCCCGAGTGGTGGTCTTCAGCCCCTTCCCCACAGGGCGGTTGCCTTTGTGGGATGGGATGCTTTAGGAAGGGAGGCTCAGAACTGTCCTCTGCCCTGGGCAGGAGAGGCCTCCTGCGCCTGCCCCACACTGTGGGCCTTACCAGAGGGGCTTATGGGGAGAAGCTGAGTGGATACTTTTATGGAGGGCTGGGGACCGAGCCCCAGAGAGGTCTCCACACTCTCCAGGGATGCACCTGCCCACAGGGGAGGGCCAGCTCCTGCCATCCAGGGCCTGGGCAGGGGCCCGAGCAGGAGCGAAGCTTATGGGGCCGTCGGTGTCTGTGGGATGAGTGGGCTTTGCTGGGCCTGAACCCAATGTCGTCAGCCAGCTGCACAGCTGCTGTGGGCACATGCCGCCCGGGAGGGTTGGTGACGATGGGTCCTGTGGGGTGGCCATCCAGGGCTTGCCTCTGTGGTGGGTCAAAGTGCGGGCCCTGTAGTGGTGGCTGCCAGGGTGTTGTCGTGTGGCTGCCGGCCCCACCTCTCCAGGAGCCATCCTCAGTCATTATTTGACATTGGGTGGGGCATGGGTGGGGCAGTTCCAGCGGGAGGTGCACAAGCAGCCCCAGCCAGGCCCACATGATGGCCACTCTCAGGTTTAATTCCTGAACCCAGAGACAAAGGCTGGAGAGTGGATCTTCCTCAGAGCCCCTTAGCTTCCACCCTGCCCTGGTGCCCCCTCATCCTTGCCCTCTTCTCCCCTGGACAGGACCCAGAGTCCTCCCATCAGTTCCCATTGCCCACAGCCAAGAAGCCCCACTGACCCCTCATTCCTCCCACACCAGCCGCGAGGGGACAGTAAAGCTTTGAGCCTAGCAGGAAAGGGACAGGCTGTGGGACCCCCATCTCGTGGACACCCTTCTTCCCTCGGCTTGGAGCGCTCTGTCTGCGCCATTTTCCCAGTGCTTTGGGAATTCAGCCGGGGCCTGCAGGCTCTGAAACATCTTACAGAGGCCCACCACTCACGGCAGCTCCGCCGCACACCCACGTCTCTCCATACTCCGAGACGGTTGCTTGTACCCATTTTGCAGATGGGCCGAATGGGCTCGGGGATGATGTCATTGCCTTGTCTCTGCCTCAGTTTACTCTGTTTGAAGAATGGAGCGCGGAGGGAGTAAATGAGTTGGGGCACAGGGAGCTCCTGGAACGATGCCTCCCCCACACAAACACTCGTGAGGGTTTGCTGCTCTTTAGTTGTGAGGATTTAATCCATTATTATTGTTATTATTTCAGCATTTGCTGTTATTTTCCAATGATGATGAAGATGATGGTGAGGAGGGGCTGGCATTTCCGGGGGAGGAGGGGCAGTCTGTCTGCCTTCACAGTGCATACTCCTCCCTGAGCTGTGCACAGCCCCTGTCCTCAAGTATCGTAAGGTTTGGGAGACACGGACCTGTGTGTAGACAATTGCGAAGGCACATCCACCCCTAACAGGGTCAGCAAGGTCCAAGTCACCTGCAGGGGCAGGGCAGGGAGGAAACAGCCACGCGAAAGTGTAGAGAACGAAGGGAAGTAAGCGCAAGCTCTAAATAAAGCCCAATTTTAACTGTTTTAGCTCCTTTTGGGACATCTCCCAGTATGTTCCCAAGACAGCAATGAAAAGGCACCCTTTCCACATTGGGACCTGGTGCCGTGCTGTTGTAAATGCTGGGACTCAAACATGTGCGTGTCCACACTGACCGTCCACACTCAAATATGCACGTGTCCACACTTAAATATGTGTGTCCACACTCAAATATGTGCGTGTCCACACTGACCGTCCACACTCAAATATGTGCCTGTCCACACTGACCGTCCACACTCAAATATGCGCGTGTCCACACTTAAATATGTGCGTGTCCACACTCAAATATGTGCGTGTCCACACTGACCGTCCACACTCAAATATGTGCATGTCCACACTGACCGTCCACACTCAAATATGCGCGTGTCCACACTTAAATATGTGCGTGTCCACACTCAAATATGTGCGTGTCCACACTGACTGTCCACACTCAAATATGTGCATGTCCACACTCAAATATGTGCGTGTCCACACTGACCGTCCACACTAAATATGTGCGTGTCCACACTGACCGTCCACACTCAAATATGCACGTGTCCACACTTAAATATGTGTGTGTCCACACTCAAATATGTGCGTGTCCACACTGACCGTCCACACTCAAATATGTGCGTGTCCACACTGACCGTCCACACTCAAATATGTGTGTGTCCACGCTGACCGTCCACACTCAAATATGCGCGTGTCCACACTTAAATATGTGCGTGTCCACACTCAAATATGTGCACGTCCACACTGACCATCCACACTCAAATATGTGCGTGTCCACACTTAAATATGTGCATGTCCACACTGACCGTCCACACTCAAATATGCGCGTGTCCACACTCAAATATGCGCGTGTCCACACTCAAATATGTGCGTGTCCACACTGACTGTCCACACTCAAATATGTGCATGTCCACACTCAAATATGTGCGTGTCCACACTGACCGTCCACACTAAATATGTGCGTGTCCACACTGACCGTCCACACTCAAATATGCACGTGTCCACACTTAAATAAGTGTGTGTCCACACTCAAATATGTGCGTGTCCACACTGACCGTCCACACTCAAATATGTGCGTGTCCACACTGACCGTCCACACTCAAATATGCGCGTGTCCACACTTAAATATGTGCATGTCCACACTCAAATATGTGCGTGTCCACACTGACTGTCCACACTAAATATGTGTGTCCACACTCATATGCGCGTGTCCACACTGACCGTCCACACTCAAATATGCGCGTGTCCACACTTAAATATGTGCGTGTCCACACTCAAATATGTGCACGTCCACACTGACCATCCACACTCAAATATGTGCGTGTCCACACTCAAATATGTGCGTGTCCACGCTGACCGTCCACACTCAAATATGTGCATGTCCACACTTAAATATGTGTGTGTCCACACTGACCGTCCACACTCAAATATGTGCATGTCCACACTTAAATATGTGCGTGTCCACACTCAAATATGCGTGTGTCCACACTGACCATCCACACTCAAATATGCGCGTGTCCACACTGACCGTCCACACTCAAATATGTGCGTGTCCACACTGACCGTCCACACTCAAATATGCGTGTGTCCACACTTAAATATGTGCGTGTCCACACTCAAATATGTGCCTGTCCACACACTGTCCACACTCAAATATGTGTGTGTCCACACTCAAATATGTGCGTGTCCACACTGAGTGCCCACACTAAATATGAGCGTGTCCACACTGACCGTCCACACTCAAACATGCGCGTGTCCACACTGACCGTCCACACTCAAACATGCGTGTGTCCACACTCAAATATGTGCGTGTCCACACTCAAATATGTGCGTCTCCACACTGACCGTCCACACTCAAATATGCGTGTGTCCACACTCAAATATGCGCGTGTCCACACTCAAATATGTGCATGTCCACACTCTGTCCACACTCAAATACGTGTGTCCACACTCAAATATGTGCGTGTCCACACTGACCGCCCACACTAAATATGAGCGTGTCCACACTGACCGTCCACACTCAAACATGCGTGTGTCCACACTGACCGTCCACACTCAAATATGCGCATGTCCACACTGACCGTCCACACTCAAACATGCGCGTGTCCACACTGACCGTCCACACTCATATATGCGCATGTCCACACTGACCGTCCACACTAAATATGCGCGTGTCCACACTGACCGTCCACACTCAAACATGTGCGTGTCCACACTGACTGTCCACACTCAAATATGCGCGTGTCCACGCTGACCGTCCACAAACATGTGCGTGTCCACGCTGACCGTCCACACTCAAATATGCGCGTGTCCACACTTAAATATGTGTGTCCACACTGACCATCCACACTCAAATATGTGCGTGTCCACACTTAAATATGTGCGTGTCCACACTCAAATATGCGCGTCCACACTGAGCATCCACACTCAAATATGCGCGTGTCCACACTGACCGTCCACACTCAAATATGTGCGTGTCCACACTCAAATATGCGCGTGTCCACACTCAAATATGTGCGTGTCCACACTGACCGTCCACACTCAAATATGTGCGTGTCCACACTGACCGTCCACACTCAAGTATGCGCGTGTCCACTGTGCCTCAGGGTCTAGAGCATTAATTTAACCCATGCAATTATTTGCAAGTATTAATGTCTCTCCTTCCCTCCAGGCTTGGGGCACAGGAACGCATCTATCTTTCCCGACCGTTGTATCCCCGGTCTGCAGCCCCGGGCCAGGGATGCTCCCGCAGCTGTTGCAGGGCTCAGACTGCCCACTAGTGGGAGCTCCAGGCCTCTCATTTCCCACGTCTCTGCCTGGCCCAGATACTTCGGTGGGTCAAATTCTTGAACTGATGTTGGACCACAGTCCTCGTAGGAACTTAAAAGGTTGCACTGTATCCAGCATATCCAGGGAATTGTATGTGAGTGGGTGTGAGCCCACATGTGCGGGGCAGACAAGGGGTGGACTGCAGGGGCTACTAACGGGCCTGTTCACTCCAGCACCCATCTTCCAGGGCGTGACTTCCCTTTGCTGACACACTTTGTGCCCCTGAGTCAGCCACATAAACACTGTGATCGGGCCGTGTGGTCCCAGCTGATTAATTGATTCTGCAGTGAGCACTTGATCCAAGCTCTGCCAGTTAGAGTCTTTCCAAGGGTGTTGGAACCGGAGCTGAGAAAAAAGAATTCAACATTGCTTTGAGTGGCTATGGAGGTGGATGCAGTGTGCTCACACTGTCTGTGGCCACATCTTGCACTGTGGATCTCAGAAGCAGAGGAAGCAGATCTACTTAGAGAGGAGAGGGGCACCCACACAGAGGCAAGATGCAGGATGGAGAGAGACGCAGAGATGTCCCTTGGCCTCTAGAAGCCCTGGTCCCATTTGTCCCTGAGGTCCAACCCTGGTCTTCTCTGTGAGTCCTATAAAACATTCTCATGTTCTTGCAATGGATTCATAGTTTTGCTTAAGCTGGGTTGAGCTGGGTTTCTGTTCCATGCAACCAAAATAGTCCTAATCAGTAAAATATTAAGACACATTTCTATCCACTTCAAGAATTAATCGTATCCATAAATTACCACTTGACTAGGACGAGATATTTGGCACTTTTTTTTTGCAATCATTTGGAATTTTGGTTCCAGAATATGATTTTTTCCTTTTACATTACGTCAATTACTTTAAGAACATGATGTCTTGTCTATGTGGGGAATATTTTTTAACAGCTGCATTCTTCCTCATTTTCTCTGTAATTATTAATAATTGGACTTAACTCTAAATTTTAATGATCTATTTGCTCATGATTATTTTTTATGCCAATGCCATTCCTTTCTCATTTTTCTTTCATTCTAATGACTTTTACCCCATAATTATTTTTTTCAGAGCTGTGTACGGTATGCTGAGTCCTCAAAAAGAGGTCAGCAAGTTCATTTTGCCCTCACAATAGTTTTGTCCAGCTATAGAATTCCAGTTTGAGGTCCTGTTTCCTCAGAACCTTGTAGCTAGTGCACAGATGTTATCTTCTAGCATTTTTGAATTGCAGACAAGAATGACCAGTGTGAGTGGGATTTTTATTCTTTTTTTTAAGGGAACCTATTATTTTTACACTCTGGAAGCTTAAAGGGGTTTTTAATCCATTGAGTGAGAAGTTTCCCCAGAATATATATAGCAGCATGTCATTTTTCTATTATTCCTTAACAGTTCACCTGTGATTTGAACGCTCTCATCTCTTTCCATTCCAGGGGAAATTTTCTTCTCTTATTTCTTTAATTACTTCTTTCTCCCCCCACTCTCCTTTGGGCCCCCCATGGGAATGTGATCACTTCTCCTGAGTCTGTACCTATCTCTTAACCTAACGCTCATAATTCCCATCTCTGTCAATTCTTCTTATGCTCCAAGAGATGTTAATGACTGCCTTCCAGTTCACCAGTTTGAGTTTCAGTCATGTTATTCACAGCACCTGTTATTTTCATAATCATGTTTTAAATTTCAAAGATCTCTTTTTTGGTATTTAATCCCTCATTTAAAAAACTGTGGCCAGTTCCAATTTTATTGATGTAATAACCTTTTGAGTCTCTCTGTGGAGGCTAATTAGAAGTTTAACGTCTTCTGTTTCCTGCATTAATCCTGATTCATCATGGATTAGTTGACTGCCTGGTCATTTTGGAGATGTGTTTTAGAGGATTGATTTAACCCATCGGGGGCACAAATACGCTTACCTACAGGACAAGTGTATTTGTATCCATGTCTGGTAAAGTGACGCACAGTGGCCCTGGTAGCTAGTGCCACAGTTTTCTCTGTAACCCGGGGATTGAAACCTTTTCCACAAAGGGCCACAGAATAAATATTTTCAGCTCTGGGGGCCATTCAAGCCCGGGGGTGACTACTCAGGTCTGCCATTGGAGCAGAAAACAGAGACGAGAGGTAAGCAAGTGGGTCTGGTGTGTACCTCTGTAACTTTATAGAAATTGGTCATGGGGTTTGGCCTCTGAGTTATAGTTTGCCAGCCTCTGCTCTAGCCTGTGGCTGCAGCCCTTGGAGCCACATGCTCAGCTTTATTGGAGTACTGGTCTTCACTGGCCATGTGCAGTCTGGACCAGGTATCCACTGTGCTGCGGGGAAGCGACCAGCCCCAGCTCTGTCATTTGTCTTTGTTTCTTACATTCCACGGCAGCTTCCTCTTCCAGCTTTTGTCCACCAAGTTTTGGGGTTTGAGGATTGCTCATTGAGAAAGCAGTGCCCATTTTTGCAGGGGATTCTTCCAGTGCTGGAGCAGCCTTCTCATGCTTTTCTGGGCAGCCCAGTTTCTGCATCAGTTCATCTCATCCATGTTATTTATCTCAGATTTTCTCAGCACTTCTAATTCACTAATTCTCTCTGTTTTCCAGTACTGTGTTGATGCTTATGTTCCTAAATCATTTACACAGGTTTTGGGGAGGGGAAGAGCCAGACACGGTGGCTCACGCCTGTAATCCCAGCACTTTGGGAGGCTGAGGCAGGCGGATCATGAGGTCGGGAGATTGAGATCATCCCGGCTAACGTGGTGAAACCCTGTCTCTGCTAAAAATACAAACATTAGCTGGGTGTGGTGGTGTGAGCCTGTAATCCCAGCTACTCGGGAGGCTGAGGCATGAGAATGGCCTGAACTCAGGAGGTGGAGGTTGCAGTGAGCTGAGATTGAGCCACTGCACTCCAGCCTGGCAACAGAGTGAGACTCATCTCAAAAAAAAAAAAAAAAAAAAAAAAAAAGCTTTATGGAGGCTTATTTTGCATATCATCAGATCCACCCTATCAAGAATACATTTCCATGATTTACGTGATTTCACCAAGTTGTGCAACCATCACTGTAAATCAGCTTTAGAATATTTCCATCACCTCCTGAAATCATTCTTGATAGTTCATTTATTTATTTATTTATTTTATTATTATTATTTTACTTTAAGTTTTAGGGTACATGTGCACAATGTGCAGGTTTGTTACATATGTATGCATGTGCCACGTTGGCGTGCTGCACCCATTAACTTGTCAATTAGCATTAGGTATATCTCCTAACGCTATCCCTCCCCCCTCCCCCCACCCCACAACAGTCCCCGGTGTGTGATGTTCCCCTTCCTGTGTCCATGTGTTCTCATTGTTCAGTTCCCACCTATGAGTGAGAACATGTGGTGTTTGGTTTTTTTGTCCTTGCGATAGTTTGCTGAGAATGATGGACTGGATAGTTCATTTATTGTGTATCAAGTCTTTAGATACATTAAGGCCCGTTTCAAGTCTATGCATTTCAGCTCAATGATCCACTTGTTCTTTTTGTGCTAGCCCCACAGTGTGTAATTACTGTTGTTTTAAATATACATCTCAGTAGCTGGGAGGGAAGGGCATTCCCCATTTCCCTTCTTTTCCAAATGTCCTTTTCATTTATCTTCTGCTAGTGCTGGGCAGGATTGTTGCAAAGTTTTGTTGTTGTTTTTCAGTTAGGACTTCAATTGGGATTAGGCCAAATATTTGAAATATTTTGGGAGAATTGATACAGTTACAACGTTCAGACTTTCCATCAATGTAACATGTTCTTCTATGCTTATGTATTTTATCAGTAAAGCTGATAGTTTTGTCTTCACACAAGTACTGAAATATTGTATTGCTACTATTTCGAGGTCATACAAACATTTTACTTGTTATTTTGAGCGGAACCTTTTCTTTTCCCCATGTTAGTAACTAACTGGTTATTACTATTACATAGGAAAATTATAGATTTTAACTTTTTTTTTTTTTTTTGAGACAGAGTCTCGCTCTGTTGCCCAGGCTGGGGTGCAGTGGCACGATCTCGGCTCACTGCAAGCTCCACCTCCTGGGTTCATGCCATTCTCCTGCCTCAGCCTCCTGAGTAGCTGGGACTACAGGCGCCCACCACCATGCCCAACTAATTTTTTTTTTTTTGTATTTTTAGTAGAGATGGGGTTTCACCCTGTTAGCCAGGATAGTCTCAATCTCCTGACCTCGTGATCTGCCTGCCTCAGCCTCCCAAAGTGCTGGGATTACAGATGTGAGCCACCGTGCCCAGCCTTTAATTTCTTTAAATCTAGCCAAATTGCTAAACTATCAATTGTGTTTTTACAAAATGTTTCTTGACATATAATTATTGTACATACTTACAGAAGACGTGATATTTTGATACATGTATACAGTGTGTCATGATCCAATTAGGCATTTGGAATATCCATCACTGCGAGCATGGACCATTTCTTTGTGTTGGGGACATTTCAAAGGTTCTCTTGTAGCTAGTTTGAAATAGACAATATATGGTTGTTAGCTACAGTCCCGGACTGTGCTATGGAACACTATTTTTTTAAAAAGTAGCTTCTCTTGGGTTTTCTGGGCAAACTGAAAGTGACACCCGTCTATCCTGGGCAAATTCAATATACCGTTATCTTTTCCTTTCCAGTCATTATACACAAGCCCCCCTTTATCTGTGGGGGCACGTTCCAAGCCCCCCAGTGGCTGCCTGAAGTTCTGGGTAGTTCGGACCCCTGTGTGCACCGTGCTGTGCTTTGTCTTCTACATCCATACCTGTGATCGAGTTGAACTATAATTAGGCACAGCAAGAGATGAGCAACAATCACAATAAGAAAATGAACAATGCTAACGATGTACTATGATGAAAGTTGTGTGAATGCACTCTCTTAAAATGGCTTTCTATGTTGTACTCACTATTTTCCGACTGCAGTTCACTGTGGGCCACCGAAGCCACCGAGAATGAAACTGCAGGTCAGGGGTGGACTGCAGCCAGGAGGTCTGTCTAATGCTTCCTGGCATCTGCTAAAACCTCAGAAAACGGCCATGAGCCAGAAGCAGGTGCCCATCCTTGGCCCACGCCTGTCAGGAGTGGGGGTGCCTCTGGTGCGTCACGGCCCAGGGAGGTGTGGGCGTCCCCGAAGGAGGCGTAGGTATCACTAAGGGAGGCGCAGGTGTCATGGAGGGAGGTGTGGGCATCACTGAAGGAGGCCGGCCGTCGTGGCTGAGGGAGGCGTGGGCCTGAGACACCTTCTCTGGCCTTATAGCAGTGACCATGTGCATGTCTGGGAAGGGGCAGGCAGGTAGATGACCCCATGAGACCATGGATGTGGTTGGTGTGTATCTTTAGTGTTAATCTGTTTTCTTTTCAGAAAGCATCCCGGCTTTGCTGAGATGTGCCCTCCTTGGTTTTTGTCACTGCCAATGGGTGGCTTCATTCCATTTGCTAACACGTCTGTCTTCCCTGGCAGTAGGAGGGGCCCATCGCTTTATCTCCTCAGGGCCTTTTTTTTTTTTTTTTTTTGAGACAGAGAGTCTTGGCTCACTGCAAGCTCTGCCTCCTGGGTTCATGCCATTCTCCCCATTCTCCTGCCTCAGCCTCCCAAGTAGCTGGGACTACAGATGCCCACCACCATGCCCGGCGAATTTTTTGTATTTTTAGTAGAGATGGGGTTTCACCATGTTAGCAAGGATGGTCTCGATCTCCTGACCTCGTGATCCACCCGCCTTGGCCTCCCAAAGTGCTGGGATTACAGGCGTGAGCCACCGCGTCCAGCCCTCAGGGCCATTTTGTTGGTTGTTCTTTCTCCCCTACTCCCCTCCCTCCTGTGCCGTCACCAGCCCACCCCTCCCTCCCTCCCTGGCCCGCTGCGTCCTTGTTTCCACCCCATCACCTCCAGGCCCAGCTCACACCGAAGGCCCCAGGGTGCTGGTGTCTCCAAAGCCTCCTCGCACCAGACGTCTCCTGCTGCCATTCCCCAGAGCCTCTTCCACTCTCCGAATCCTTCTCTGTCCTTATTCAGCCCTTGTGTTTCTTTTAGGATCAGGGTGGCCCTTTCCTGGCCCCCATGCAGTCTCCTACCTGGGCATTCTCGCTGCAGTTTCTCACGGCTGCCGCTAGTCCCTTCCTGTTCTTATTCTTTGTCCCCACTCAGATCACACTGAGGCCAGGGGTTAGGGTGCTGTCCATGTGCACAGGGCTCCCAAGATGAGATCTCCAGCTCGGAATGCTCCGCGGAGCCTCCATCCGTGTACAGATCTGCCCACTGATGCCCGCACATGGATGCCCGGAAGGCTCCACACCCTTACAGTGGCCCAAGGTGCCACAGAATCTGAGCCCACCCCGCACCCTCCCACCCCACAAACCTGGTCTCTCCAGGAGAAGTCTGCCTTGTGGTCCAGTTTGAGGCATTGGAAACCCAGCTCTTGCCTGCACCTCCTCTGCCCTGTGCCACACCCCCATCCCTCTGTCACCCCTCCTCCCTGAGGCATGGGGCTGCCAGCTCCTTTCTCAGCATCCCTCCCCTCACCCCTTCCAGTCGCGAGTGACCCCCACACACCCCCAACACTGCCCTCAGGCACCTGCAGCAGCCTTGCAATCTGGGCCAACCCTGCCCCCTCCAGGCCTTCATTCCTTTTGCAGTCAGTGATCTTTGAGGAAGTTAAATCTGACCTGTCGGTTCCCTTCTCCTGCCCCCCACATCTATGTACACACGTGATGAACACATCCACATCTATGTACACAGGCACACACATGCAAAACACCTGTACACAGTGCATGCCAGCATACACATACATGTACATAGGCACACACATGCAAAACACCTGTACATATGGGCATGCACACATACACATCCAGGTACACAGGCACACACATGCAAAACACCTGTACATATGGGCATGCACACATACACATCCAGGTACACAGGCACACACATGCAAAACACCGGTACACACGTGCATGCACGCATACACATCCATGTGCATAGGCACACACATGCAAGACACCTGTGCACACGTGCATGTATGCATACACATCCATGTACGTAAGCACACACATGCAAAACACCTGTACACATGTGCATGCACATATACACATCCATGTATATAGGCACGCACATGCAAATCACCTGTGCACACGTGCATGCACACATACACATCCATGTACATAGGCACACACATACAAAACACCTGTACATATGGGCATGCATGCATACACATCCATGTACATAGGCACACACATGCAAAACACCTGTGCACACGTGTACATATGCATACACATCCATATACATAGGCACACTCATGCAAAACACCTGTGCACATCTATGTCACACACCCATGTACACATGCATACATACACATCCATGTACATAGGCACACCTATACCCAGGACCTGCACACATGTATGTCATACACACCCATGTACACACATGCACACATATTCACATCTATGTACGTAGACACAGTCATACACATCTGTCATATCTGTCACATCCATGTGCACATGTGCAAGCATGTATACACATCTATACACAGGCACATACATGCAAAACATTTCATATTTGTCACAGCCATGTACACGTGTGTGCTTATGTATATATCTATGTACATAAGCACACACTTGTAAAGCACCTATATACACATACTTATTTACCTACAAACACCCATGTACACATGTGCATGCACATGTAAACACCTGTGCACATAGGTGCACACATGGAAAACACCTGTACACATGCAAGCCACATCCACAAGCTCCTATGTATACACACGCACACACACCTACATAAACACTTCCACACACACGTGTGTAGCTACAGCCGGTTTTTAACAGCTTCCTGTGCTGGGCTCTGAGGATCTTCCTCATCCCCTCTGTTGTGGGTTAAATTGTGTCCCCTCAAAATAGATGTTCAGGTCCTGACTCCCAGTATCTATAAATGTGACCTTATTTGGAAATGGGGTATTTGCAAATGTAATCGAGTTAAGATGAAGTCACAGTGGATTCGGGTGGGTCCTAATCCGTGACTGGCATCCTTGAAAAGGGAAATTTGGACAGAGGGCCACACAGGGAAGAAGGCCATGTGATGAGGGAGGCAGAGGCTGGAGTGTGGCCGCTGCACGCCCAGGAGCATGGAGGAATGCCAGGAGGGAGCCCCCAGGAGCAGGAACGGGTGTGGAAGGATCCTCTCCTGGGCCTTCAGAGGGAGCGTGGCCCTGCTGACGCGTGGACCCAGCCTTCTGGCCTGCAGAACTGCGAGTGAATAAATGCCTTTTGTTGAAGCCACGGGTGTGTGGGGCTTTGTCACAGCAGCGGCAGGACACAGTCATGCCACCCTGCATCCTTCACTCCTCCTGTCCTAGCTCCTTCCCCTCCTCCACCTTTGCTTCATGGGCGCTGCCTGGCACCTTCTCTCTTTAACGCCTCCCCTCCTCGCTGGGATGCCCCTCTCTCAGGCATCCTTCTTGCCCCGTAGCTCTGCACACCCTTCTAGGTGTGCGGTGTGTGTTTAGCGTGCAGCTTCTGCCTCCCCACAGCGTGCTCCCTGCTGTGTGCCGGAGACACAGCCCAGTACCTGCCACACAGTGAGCCTGCCCATTGTCCAGTGAGAAGAGGGGGCTTCGCATGTCTGTTAATCAGTGAAATCAGCCTGCGGTTTTCTTTAGTATCCTGCTGCGAGGTTTTGATTCAAGGTTAAATGCTGTTATAAAACAAATGGGGAGATTTGTCTTAATGGCCTGGAACTGTTTATCTGGCACTGGAGGGATCTGTTATTTGAAACCATCTGAGCCTGGAACAACTTAGAGATTTCTAAATTAAATTTTAAAATTTCCTTGCATTGTTATTAGTCATTGACATTTTCCGGAATTTTTTATGATTTATATTTTCCTAGGGAAACGTCTCATTTCGTTGAAAGCTCAAAATATATTAACATAAAAGTATACATAGTACTTTTGTAATTTATGCATTTTTGTTTGTTTTTCTCTTACATTTTGAATTACATTTTCCAGAGACTTATCCATTTTCTCACACAAAAACAAAAACACCAGCAGTTGTCATGTTAATTTATTGGTACTTTTTTCTGCTTTTCTAGTTCAGTAATCTCTGCTTTTCTTTCCCTTGTTTTCTTCCTTGGTTTTCTGGGGTTTATCTTGTTTTCTAATTACCATTACATGAATGTACCCTGATTCTCTTACCAGCCCTGAGTGGGGATATTGGGAATCTTTCAGAATTTCAGACAATGCTATAATGAATGCGTCTTGCATATATTTCACACACACGAGAGCGTATTTGTAGTATTAAATTTCTGGAAGTAGAATTGCTATTTAGAGGCTGTGTGCATTTTTAATTTTAATTTTTTTTATCCTTAAGATTTATGCCAATTTACGTTTTCATCACCAATATATTTTATTTATTTAACATTACACACAACACATATGTTACAGGTATTTTCTTTAACACCACGTGTAACATATCTGTTCTAGGCGTTTGACAAATTTCGACTCAATCCTCAGAACAACCCCATTTTACAGATTAGGAAATTGAGGTTTACATAGACTAAGCAACTTTCCCAGGTTTATTAAGTGATGAAACGGAATCTGAAATCTAGACATTTTTGTTCCAGAACCCATGCTCTTAACCAGTGCATTGAGCTGCCTATTTTCTCACACCTATAGCAACATGAAATTGACAAATATTTTGATCATAGCCAACTTGGTAAGTAAAAAAAGAAAAAAATCTAATTTTAGTTTGCATTTTCTGTACTATGACCAAGGTTGAACATTTCTTCAAATGTTTAAGAAATATGTTTTTCCCTTATGTGAACTGTTTTTAATTGTTGTCTTTTTTTCCTTTTATCTATTGACTTTCTTATTGGTTTATAGAAGCTCTTTACATATTAAGCAGTCCTTCTGTGATATGGAATGCATGCATTTTTCTATTCTTTTATGTCTTTCAACTTTATGGGTTTTTTAACATCACATAATTAAAAAACATTTATGTAGTCAAAATGTGCACATTTTTTGGTATGTATTTGTGTCTATGTGTGTGTGCATATTTAACATGCTGAGAAGTTCTGGCCGTCCTGAGATTTAAATAATTCTCTTTTGTCTTCTTCTAGTACTTTTATCAGTCCATTGAAGTCTTTCATCCATCTGGAGATTTTTTTTTTCTGTAAAATGTGAGGGAGGGATTCCGTTTTTTCCCATACACCATTAATTGTATAATCTATCTTCTCCTTTCACTGGACATTTTTCCTTTATAATATAGTAAATGTCCTCATGTGTTTGGGATCCTCCAAATGTGTGTATGATCTGTGTATGAATGTAGGTGGATCACTTTAAAAATTCTTGTAATTTAACACATTTTACCAACTGATAGAGCTAGTCACTCAACTAATCTTTTTGGTGAGAACTTTTGAATCAGCATATCTGGTTTCTCAAAACATCCAGTTGATGTCTTTTATGAGGATAATTAACATCTTGATGTTGTCTAGCTTTCCTTTTCTAAAACATGGCATGTATATACATATTTTAAGTCTTCTTTATATCTAGTTCCATTTTAATTTTTAAAAAGTAGAGCTTGAACATTTCTTAGGTTTATTAGTAGATATTTTAATCATTTTTATTATAGCTTCTAATAAATTTTGTTTTAATATATAAAACCTATTGACTTCCATATGCCAACTTCATGTCTATACTCTTAGTGAATTCTATCATTATTTGTAATAGTTTTTCGGTTAATTTTCTTGGAATTTCCAGATATATAATTATATAATCTGCAAATAATAATAATTGCATACTTTCTCAATTTTCATATATCTTATTTCTTTCTCTTCTTTATGTTGGTATTTCTAGGATAATGTTCAATAATAGTAACAATAGTAGATCTCTTTGCCTTGTCTTAACTTTAACAGGAATGTTTATAGATATTATCTTATTAATTATAATGCTGACCTTTGGGATGAGATAAATGCATTTTATCATATTAAGTATCCTGTCATTTTTGAGCAGTTGCAAAAATAAAAATATGGCTGTTGAGATTTATCAGTGCTTTTCCAGCATAAATAAAGATGATTATATGATTTGCCTTTTGATCTAATAATATGGGGAATTACATTAATAGATTTCCTAATGTTGAAACATCTGTGCGTTTCTGGAAAAAGGTAAGTTGTGTTTCTATTTTTCATTAAATTTCCTAAAGATTTTGCTTTATGAATGTGTATGCTTTGTGGTTTGTGTTACGGGATCTTTGGGGTGTCACTTTTCTGGCCAGAAACCTGTGGCTGGTGGTGCCTTTGCCCGAGTTTTGCTCGGGCCCGCTGGGCTCATTCTGCCTACTCAGCCTGGCAGGCTGTGCTCGGATCATGCTACCAGCCTGGATCCTGTGCATCTAAGGGAGGCTGTGAGTCAGGTATGGAGCAGCAAGGGGTGTGTGAGCAAGTGTGGGGTCCAGCTACTGTGTAGTCAGACACGCTGGCTGCTGCTGTGGGATGGGCAGTTCCAGGTGCCAGTATGGGTAGGTGCTGTAGCACTGTAGGTGCTGGAGTAAGGCTGCGGCTGGACTGGGTGCACTGCAAGCAGCTTCCCCAGCTGGCACCAGGAAATGCGGTGGCCCCCAGAAGTGTGGAGATGCCAGGAACCGCAGGGCCCCAAAGAGGGAGTCACAGCCCTGGCTCGGGGAGCTCCCAGGTCTGGGTTCCCCAAAGGGCTGCAGCTCTTCTCTCCTTCTCTTCACCTGCAATGTGGCGAGCAAGGGGCATGTCTCAGCCCTGTTTGTGTCACAGCTCTCGTAGCATCACCGTTTTGGTGGGTCCCAAGTTCTTGTTGTGTGACCAAGAAGAATGAGGTATGCAGATGAGTGCAGGGTGAATAAGATGAAGATTATTGAGCAATGGAACAGCTCAGCAAAGACCCATAGTGAGCAGCTCCTCCTCATGGCCAGGGTGTCCCGATGAGTGTTCAGCTCCCAGCAAAGAGGGTGGCTCCTGTCTGCAGGCAGGTCATCCCAACAAGTGTTCAGATATCAGCAGAGAGGGTAGCTCCTCTCTGCAACTGGTCATCCATCATCTCTCTGTCCTTTCTCTGCTCTAGCTGAAACTGGAACTTTTATGGGCCTCAGAGGGGAGGAGGTATGTGCTGATTGGTCCATGGGTGGCTATGGGTGGGCCTGGAAAAGGTGCCACAGGTCCCCACTCCAGTCTGCGGGACTGGCAGCCTGGCTCCCAGCCTTCAGGCCCTCCCTGGCTTGAAGATGGGACCTCAACAGGGACCCTCTCTGCTCAGGAGCCTGTCTGCCTCCTGCTGGCATTCATGGCGCCCAGGCTGTGGGTGCCAAGGGGCACCTGCATGCCAGCACTTAGCTGCTCTCAGTTCCCCATCGGCTTCCCTCCTATGCTCGATGGTGCCCAAAGTCCAGAGGAGGCCAAAGGTGGCAGTGGGCTGGCGTGTCAGCCCTGCCCTGAGCATTTGCTCATCTGACCAGGCTGTGACAGTGCTTCGACTTGGCCCCGACTTTGCTCCAAGATCAGAGTGGGCACCGACAGCAGGGAGAAGCCAGGCAGTGGGAACAGGCATTTCTGAGCCTGTGAGGGCAGGGGAGGCCCCGAAGAGTGCAGAGATGCCTGGGTCTGCAGCCGCGGTTTGGATGGCTGCAGCTGCACCCAGGAGGGTGGGGGTCCCGCCTGCTCCCAGGCCCTGAGAGCACAGGGATGCCTGGGTCTGTAGTTGTGGCTTGGGTGGCTGCAGAGGCACCCTGGGAGCTCCCACCGTAACTCAGAAGGGTGGGGCTCCTGCTTGTCCCGGGCTCCCGCTGGCTCCATGGAGTGTGTAGCCCCAGCCATGCCTCTCTGCTACAGCTGGTGTGATAGCAGCAGCTGCTCCAGATGGCCAGCCACTGCAGTCATTTGGTGCATAGGTATTTGTAGATGCTAGGTCTTCACCATAGTTAACATCCTTTGTCGTTATAATGGGCTCCATTTTGTCCCCTTTAATGCTTTCTGTCTTGACTTCAACCCTATCTGATATTAAGATTTTAAGATTGAGACCTCTGCATTTTAATTTCCTCCCAACTTTTCTGAATCACTTTGTTTTAGGTGTGTGTCTTACATGTAGCATAGATTTAGGTTTTGTTTTGTGATCTAATCTTAGAGTTATTTTGTTTTCTTTTTATGAATGAAAAGCACAGTCTTTGAGACAGTCCATGAGTTATCAGTGCCTGGCATGGGCAGTTCTCCAGGGGGTGACCACTCGTCAAGTTTCTAACCAAGATTTTCTTAGTCACTTTCTTTTCATAGGTAAGTTTAGCCCATATAAGTATCAATCTATAGATATATTGATAGTTTGGTTTTTATTCTGTCGTAATTTTTTAGTTATGCCTTCTGTTAAAACCTTAAAAATCTTCCACGGTCCGTTTTCTTCATTCTTTGTGTCCCTATTACTTTTGATAATTTAGAATGTATATATTTTGTTTGAGGGATCACATTTTGTAACTGATGTAAAATTAACATGACATGAAATTAACCATTAACCATTAACGATTTTAAAGTGTACGATTCAGTGGTGACCATCGTTTTTTTTTTGTTTGTTTTTTGAGACAGGGTCTCACTCTGTTGCCCAGGGTGGAGTGCAGTGGTGTGATCTCAACTCACTGCAACCTCTGCCTCCCAGGCTCAAGTGATCCTCCCACCTCAGTCTCCTGAGTAGTTGAGACTACAGGCATACGCCACCACACGTGGCTAATTTTTGTAAACACATTACATATGATCATAAATATTTTTATGAAAAACTACTATATTTCCAAAACAAAAATTTAGCATTAAAGAGGGGCATGGTTTTACATTTTTGCAAATCTTTTCAGGGTCTGGCTTAAGAAGAGAGCTCATTTTCATATCTGCTTCTGCATTCAATGTGTCTTTTTTTTGAATTTTGAAGAAAATCTGGTTTAAGAAAGATGTGTAATTGGAAAAGAGTAGTTTGGAAGTCTTTTCAGATAATTGTGAATATTCTTTTGTTAAGCGGTGGTTTTTAAAAGGTTGGTGGCATTGTGGAATCTGAAACTATATCAATGACATTTTGGTACTCTGTTACATTGTAATTGATTGTCTATCTTGCATTTTGAATGGATCTTTCACCCCTTTATAATTGTGTAACATTGCTTATTGGTCATTTGGAAAATGGTCCTGACTTATGCACATCTTCCAAATGTTGACATCTTACATTATACAGTATTAAAAAAATCACATTTATTAAACTTAACCAAGGAGGTAAAAGACTTGTACACTGAAACCTGTAAAACCTGGCTGCTAGAAATTTAAAAAGACAAAAATAAATGAAACAATATCCTATGTTCATGGATTGGAAAGCTTAATATTATTAAGATGTCCATACTACCCAAAGTGATCTACAGGTCCAATGCAATTCCTATAAAAACCCCAATGGCAGGTTAAATTTTTTTTTTTTTTTTACAGAAATGGAAAAGCTCATTCTAAAATTTATATGGAATCTTAAGGGATTCAAAACAATTTTTAAAGAGAAGAACAAAGTTGGAGGACTCACATGTCCTGACTTAATACATATTACAAAGTTACAGTAATCAAAACAGTGTGGTATTGGCATAAAGACAGACAAATAGACCAATGGAATAGAACAGAGAGTCCATAAATGAACTCTTGAATATATGGTGAAATGATCTTTAACAAGGTTGCCAAAACCACTTGATGGGGAAAGTGTCTCTTCAACAAATGGTTTTGGGAAAACTGAATATCCACATGCAAAATAATGAAGTTGGACCCTTTCTTATATCATATACAAAAATTAACTCAAAGTAGATTAAGGACCTAAATGTAAGACCTAAACTATAAAACTCCTAGAAGAAAGCAGAGGAAGAGCTTCACAACATTGGACTTCACAATGATTTCTTAGATATTACATCAAAAGCTCAGGCAACATAAGCAAAAATAGACAAATGGATACAATAAACAGAGTGAAAAGGCAACCTATGGAATAGAAGAAAATATTTGCAAATAATATATCTGATAAAGGGTTAATATCCAGAATACATAAAGAACTTCTATAACTCAACAACAAAAAGCAAATAACCTGATTTAAAAATTGGCAAATGAGTAGACATTTCTTCAAAGATGATATACAAATGGCCAACAAGCATGTGAAAAGATGCTCAACGTCACTAGTCATCATAGAAAGGCAAACCCAAACCACAATGACGTGGCAAAGATATGGAGAAATTGGAAGCCTTGTGCATTGTTGGCGTGATTATAAAATGGCACAAATGCTATGGAAAACAGCATGGTAGTTTCTCAAAAAATTAAAAATGGAATTATCATATGATCCAGTAATCCCACTTTTGGGTATATATCCAAAAGAATTGAAAGCAGGGTCTTAAAGAGATATTTTGTATACCTATGTTCTTAGCACCATTATTCACAATACCCAACAGGTGGGAGCAACCCAAATGCCCACTGACAGATGAATGGATAAACAAAATGTGTATGTAGATACAGTAACTATTATTCAGTCTTGAAAAGAAAAGTCCTGTCCCATGCTACAACGTGGATGAACCTTGAAGATATTATGCTAAATAAAACAAGCCAATCACACACAAAAAAATACAAATACTGCATGCTTCCACAATGTGAAGTGTCTAAAGCAGTTAAATTCATAGAAACAGAAAGTAGGATGGCGGTTACCAGGAACAGAGGGTAGGGAAAGGGGAGTTAGTGTTTAGTGGGCATGGACTTTTAGAATTGCAAGATGAAGAAGTTCTGGAGAGCTGTTTCTCAACCACGTGAATGTACTCACTGTCATTGAACTGTATATTTAAAATGGATAAGATGGCACTTCTTATGTGTTTTTTACAACAATAAAGATGATCACACATGTTAATATCAGCACTGATCACATCAGAAAGGCCTTTAAATATTGAGAAGCTGCTATTCACAATGGTGATCACGCATTTTCCAAAGCTCTAATTTTCACAAGAAAGTCACATTTTATTGACAACTACTGTCAGTTGTTTTCCTTGCAATGACAGGGTTACTTTATTTATTTATATATATATTTATTTATTTATTTTGTAGAGATGGAGTCTTGCTGTGTTGCCTAGGCTGGTCCTGAACGCCTGGGTTTCAACAATTCTCCTGCCTTGGCCTCGCAAAGCATTGGGATTACAGGTGTGAGCCATGGCGCCCAGCCACTTTGTTTATTTTTGAACGAAGAAAATATCTAATACCCAAATCTGTATAATCATATTTTGTCAGTTGTTCTTTCATGTACAAATTGTGTTCCATGAAAAAGGAGCTAGTCCAGCTCACCACTGAAACACGTGCACAAGAGCTTTTCCTGAAGGCAAGCATTGTGCTTCGTCTTGGAGCAGAATGCTTTCTATGTACCCCTCATCTTGACATGTAGAATGTTAAAAAGTTGTGTATTCAAGCACTGCAGTTTAACAAAATTAATAATTTTTACTGTCATCAAGGACATATTTTTTCCTCTTTTGGACAAGCATGTGGCCATGATGAGCGCCGTGACTGCCAGTGTGGCTTGCTGTCTCTGCCTTCGTTGTGTAAGTGTTGGGCCAGTTTCACCGGGCATTGCTCTGACACCGTCAATGTAAATGTCAGCACAGTGTTCCAGAATAAATCATGAGATTTTAAAAGCCATTCCACAGCCTGAATATTTCAACATCACTTGTGTTTGCTGTCAAGAAGTCACAGAAAAGACCTTCTTTGGTGATAAGTTAGTGCTGATGCCAGACCGATGCAAGTACATAGCAACTCTAGCTATGTCTAGAGTCTTCCATTTGTAAGGAAAAAGCACAATTCTGCCAACAAAATATTAACTCGATCTTCATGTTTGCAGCTCAGTATTTATTCAGTGAGTTACCATATCATTGGGAAGTGGCAATGCTGTGATTTCTTCCATTGACTTTTCAGCCAGCAGCCATGAGCGATGTCCACGTTCATGGCTATACTCTTCTCTTGGTTGTTGTACAGGCTTCTCCAGCCAGTGCGATGCGGCGACTCTGTAAGATGCTTCATTGGCTTTTTCATTTCTGCTTTGAAAAGCTGCAACAAACAATTTTTGGCTTCTAAAGCTCTCATCACATCCATGTTTAAAATATTTCATTCGTTTTTTCTTTAAACTCTGAAAGATTGCTCTCAAAGTGCTGCCGCTACTTAACTGAGAGCATAATACTCTTTGAAAATGTTCTGTTGCATAAGACACAATAAAGCAAATATCAACATCTATAAAGCCAAGGAAATAGCTCTTGTCATATTTTTGTTTTTTACTTACAGTTTCACCCAGTTTCCTTGGAGTAGATTCCTCCCTTTCATCATTTTAGCATTTTTAGACATTGATGGTGCAGATGGGGATTGAGAAAGTCTTTTGATCTTCCTTGTTAAGCCACCAACTCATCTTTAAGTATAAATAACATTATAAATAAATATTAATTTTAGAATAAAATATTAGATTTTATATGTTTTTGACAAAATTTAAACACTTGGAAAATGTTCAAAAAATAAAATACTATTGCAAAACAAGACAATAAAGAGAAACAGACTTGAGTTAAGGGAAAAGGAAAATCCTTCCAAGAACTGTTTAGAGCTGTCCCCAAATAGGGCAATTGTCCTTGGGAGGAGAGAATTGCCCATCAACAGAGGTAATCAAGTATTAGCTGGATAACAACAGGCTGGGTTACCGTGGAGGAAACTTATCACCCATTGGGAACTTGCACTCAGTAACTGAAGGTTCCCCAGCTTAGTGGTCTATATTCTGTGCCCTGCATACCCCTGCTCCCCTGAGGTCTCCAGCAGCCCCCAACCCCCACACCCCATTTTCAAATCCAGTTCCTTCCCCATGGCTTCTCACTGCTCAGCCTTTTTGCATCCTTGAGGGCTTGGCACACATGCTCCATCTTGGTGCCTCCTCCTCCCCTGGCTTCCATGACACTAAGCATCCTGGATTCTCCCACTACCCCAACCACCAAGCTCTGTCACCTCCATCTTCATCCCTCGAAGCTATAGGACTTAGTCAAGCCTGGTCCCAAGCCCTTCTCCTTGTTCCTACCCCCATTCTTCTGGGGGCCTCACTCCTTGTCTCAGCTTCGTGTTGGAGCTTTCTCTGCAGCTGCAAAGAAATGAGAGGCCATGTCTTCACAGTCACGGATTCTGAAACCCAACTGGGAGACGAAAGATGCCAGGAGGGAGAAGGGAGAGCCTTCAGAGCACACTGTGCCAACCAGAGAGAGCTGCGCTGTGATGATTACAATGCCACCTCCTCCTGAGTCCCTGCCAGTGCCATCCACGGGCCAGGGCTTTTACCTCGTTAATCCTCTCAACAACCCCAGAAGGTCATGCTCCACTATCTTTGTGGAGCTAAGAAAATGAAGATTCCAGATAGACGATGAAATGTGTCCCCCATCTCCTAGATGGAAAGAGGTAAAGCCAGGACTCCAGCCAGGGCTCTTCTCCCCTAGAGGCCTGTGCTGTTAACCTTCACGTGTCTCCTTAGGGAAATCCTCTGTTCTCCAGGTGGAGAGGCCAATGGGGGCAGAGGAGAAGGTCAGGAGGAGTTCACGGGAGGGAAACCCGGCAGTCAAGGCAGATAAGACATGGCGTGGGATCACACCTTTGGGGTCAGAATCCCATCCCACTGTTTAGTTGCTGCCCATGAGGGGTGGGTTTCATCTCTTCTCCTGTCCCTTGCATATGCAATGGGGTTTGGTGTCCCCACCTCACAGGGCTGTTGTGGGAGTTAAACAGCATGATATGTGTGAAGGAATTGCCCCCAGCTTGGCAGGGCAGGCCCACAGCTTGTGCCGTTCCCTTCTGCCTCGGAATGTTTTTCTCTCGGAACATGGTCTTCCTTTACAGGATTGGAGCACCCTGCATATAAATGACAGCCAACATGGGATTTCTCTTGCTTTAGCAGAGAGAAAAAATAGCCTTCAATTACTCAGTGTGCATTTCCATTCAAAATGCTTGGTTGCTATAGCAAAGATCATCGACCCAGAACTCGGGCACACATGCTGGATGGCAGCTTCTCCTGGGGCACGATGACAGCTCTGGTATCGACAGACCCACCGGGGGCTGTTCTGGGCCAGGGCCAGAGCTGACCAAAGAGGCTCCGTGGGCAGGCACAGTCAGAGGCTGAATCAAGAAGGGAGCCCAAGGCACTGGTCTACAGAACCACTGCATTCCTCCAACCCAGCTGCATCCTGGGGAATGGGCCCTAGGCATCTGATCTTCCTGATGCATCTACTGCCCCCAACATTTCCACTGGTGGTAGGGTAGTGATAGTCGCAGGAGGCAATCAAATGCCTCAGTAGATAGGGGTGGGTTCCTGGTGAAACCCCACCTTCAAACCAAAGGCAGTTTAAAGCCTGAAGGCCAAGCTACAAGTCTCAGATAAATCCACGGACTGGCTTGAGAACCTCTCTTCCCATTTGGCGCACTTTCCTCTGATTGATCCCCACCCTTCACCTATTTTACATATACCTACCCTTCCCTAATTGGTTTTTTACACTGTCTTGCCCACCTTTGAATGTTGCCTTTGTTTTAGCCATTTTTGAATACTCACAAACCAATCAGCACACACTCCCCCATTCTGAGCCCATAAAAAGCTCTGGACCCAGTCACACTGGGAGAGAAACCACCCAACTTTGGGTGGGGTACCATGCTCACATCCTCTCTCCACTGAGAGCTGGCTCATCACTTAATAAAACTCATCTCCACCCTTCTCAATTTTTGATTGTCAGCATAATCTCATTCTTCTTGGACATGGGACAAGAACTCAGGACCCCACCGAATGTGGGTATGAAGAAGGCAGTAACAATGTAGCCCTCTGCCCCACCATCGGTGCTTGGCAGCTGCCCCATATGATGGAAAGCAGTGGTGGGGCTGGGCCAGCCCCAGAGCCACAGGCTGGAGTGGGGCAATGGGACTGACAGAGCTGTTAACATGCCCCCATTCGTTGGGCTGCAGTGGGACTAAAAGAGCTATTAGCACCCTGTAACACCCCTCTGAGGCTTCAGGGTCATGGGCTTCCCTGCTTGGGTGCCACCGCCTTCTGCTTGTCTGGACACTAGAGTCCACCATGGGAGTTGCTTGCAACATGCCTGGTCCAGCCACAAGCCTTGTACAGGGCCCGCTCCTGTGCCAGTGCTTGGAGTGGCCAGCCAGACCCCACACTCACTCGTCCATACACCTCCTCCTGCCAGGGGCTGAGTGTGCAGTCATGGAGGCCGTGGGATCTGCACTGGAGTGCAAGCCAAGTATGGCCCAATGGGCCAAGTGGGTGGGGCACCTCCTGTGGCAAGCCTGGGGCTGAGTGAGGCCTGGGCATGGGCATCGCCAGCTGGAGGTCTCCAGCATTCAAAGTGGCCAAGAAAAATCCTGCGTCAGTAGGGGATAGGGAGGTTGGTTGCTGAACAGAGAGTGGATTCACTATTTTTCCTTAAAAGGAAGAAGTCAAAAGAACAGCTCATTCTTGTCTTTGACCTGTAGAGACTTGTAAACTAAAAAACAATTTTAATAACTGTATTAGTCTGTTCTCACACTGCTATGAAGAAATACCCAAGACTGGGTAATTTATGAAGAAAAGAGGTTTAATTGACTTACAGTTCTGCATGGCTTGGGAGGCCTCAGGAAACTTACAATCATGGCAGAAGGCACCTCTTCACAGGGCAGCAGAAGAGAGAAGTACTAAGCAAAGGGGGAAAAGCTCCTTATAAAACCATCAGATCTCATGAGAACTCACTATTTCAAGAACAGCATAAGGATGACCAGCCTCATGATTCAATTACCTCCTGCCAGGTCCCTCCCACAACACGTATGGGTTATGGGAACTACAATTCAAGATGTGATTTGGGTGGGGACACAGCCAAACCTTATCAGCAACATAAAGGTAATCTCTTATAGAATGAAAAAAAGCCCACAGGATTCATACTTTAAAAATCACTGGTTAGGAATAAAACCCCCAAATGACCATATTCATACTCACATAAATTTTTTTTTTAGGAAAAAGAAGGAGCACAAAAAATAAGCACAAAACCTAAAAAGCATAAAGCAAAGGTTTAGAAGATCAACCATATCAATTTGGGTCATAAATAAATAAGCTTAATTTTTTTACTCAGAAAAAATACTTTCAAATTGGGCTTAAAAATAATAACCTACATATACACCTATTGTCCACTGAAGCATCCACCCATCCATCCGTCTATCCAGGAATCTGACCATCTATTTACCCATCAACCCACCCATCCATCCACCCATCCATTCATCCATGAATCTGCCCATCTGTCCACCCATCACCTAGTCATCCGTCCATGCATCCATCTATGTATCCATCCATCCATCCATGTATCCATCCATCCATCCACTAACCCACCTAGCCATGAATGAATCTATTCATCCATCTATCTGTCCATCTGTCCATCTATCCATCCATTCATTCTCCCATCCTCAAATCTCTCTCCCACCTCTCCATTCGTGTATCCATCCACCCATCATATATACATGCAGGCATGCACACATCCATCCATCTATCCAATCATTACTTCATTAAACACTTTCTGAGCATCCCTTTGTGCCAAGTCCTGGGATTCAGAGATGGTTCTGCTGTGGTTTTCACCCTCGAGTCTTTCAGTGCATACTTGGTGGATACCTATTTGTAAACAGAGACATTAGCAAAATCTAGTCAGTGTAGTGGGGGGTCCAATGGAGGTCATGTCTGCTGGAGAATCAGGAGGGCTTCCCAGAAGAGGTGACTTGTGTAAGGTGAGACTTAAGAAATGATTGAATGCTGATCTGTGAACACAGGGGATGGGGACGAGGGCCTCCTTTACCAGAGGGAAGAGAATCCATGCACATTTTTGGCATGGAGTGTGGCAGGAACTGATATGGGCAGGGATAGCCAAAGACAAAACGGAAAAGGTTGAGGCTGAGAGACAGGTCCTGGGGGTCACTGAGTTTCAGGCTGAACAGCTTGCACTTCATCTCATTCACAGTGGGGACCTGATCGCATTTGCCTTTTAGAAATCTCATTGGATGGCTCACGCCTGTAATCCCAGCACTTTGGGAGGCCGAGGCAGGCGGATCACGAGGTCAGGAAATCGAGACCATCCTGGCTAACATGATGAAACCCTGCCTCTACTAAAAATACAAAAAATTAGCCTAGCATGTTGGTGGGCGCCTGTGGTCTCAGCTACTCGGGAGGCTGAGGCAGGAGAATGGCGTGAACCTGGGAGGTGGAGCTTGCAGTGAGCTGAGATCGTGCCATTGCGCTACAGCCTGGGTGACAGAGTGAGACTCCGTCTCAAAAAAAAAAAAAAAAAAAAAAAAAGAAATCTCACTGGAATAGTGACAATGTGAAATGTGAAGGATGGACTGGGGGAGGCAAATCTGGAGCCTTGGAGCTAGACAGGAGGTGGCTGCAATCATCCAGATGAGAGATGGTGGGGCCTGGGTCATGGCTTGGCAGTAAAGGTGTCAAATCCTCAGCATGTTGGGAAGACACACCTGGAAAAGCCTGGGAACATATGGGTCAGGTAGTTACTATGGAAACATCAGATGTACCAGGTTAGCGTGGAGTAGACTAAAATTGCCTTGGGTTTTATAGGCATGAAGGTGGAGCTGGGTTGCTCTAAATGAATATTGCCAGTGAGACATGTGTCACCACTTTCCTTTGAGTGACACTTTGCTCAGAGAAGGCCATTGGGTCAGGGATGAGCAGAGAGGGAGCAGCCCTTTCATTCTGAGGGCGGGATGGGAAGGCACTGAGTTCATTAAGGCTGCTTAGGTCAATTAGTCCAATGGTGCAAATGACCTCAAATTCATCTGCAATGCAGCAGTTACTTGGCAGCAGAAATGTGTGACAAGGATTGAGAGCAGAAGCATATCTAAATTCCAGCACAAGAGGATCCACTTCAAAGCACCTATTGCAAACTGCTCATCTGATGAATGAAAAAGTGGCATCAATGATACAATAATGATCATGGTAATGGTGGTGATTTAATGATGATGGTGATGGTAGTGGTGGTGATGATGATGATGTGACAATGACAATGATAGTGATGATGATAATGATGACAACGATGATAATGGGATAATGATGGTGATGATCATGGTTGATGGTGATGGTGAAGATGACAATGACAACAATGATGGTGGTGATGACAATGATATTGATGATCATGATGACAATAGTGATAATGAGGTAATGATGGTAATGATGATGGTGATGGCAATGACCACCATCATTATATATTAGTATATATTGTGGTCTGTATTGTGCTTACTATTTGCTAGTCACTATTTTAAGCATGTTATCTAAATTAACTCGTTTAGTTCTCACAAAAGCTCTATGAGGAGATATTATAATCTTCACTTTACGTGTGGGGAACCTGAGGCACAGGGGGGCTATTATGACTTGCCCAGTGTTAAGTAGCTCATCAGAGTTATTAGCAAGGGCTGGGTACCAGCATTTGCCTCATCTAGAAGTTTATATGATGAAGGCAGGAAACATTTTGGAAAACGTTATTAGCCCTCAAAAAGGAGTGAGAACTGGGGTTTTTCTTACCACCTGGTGATTCTGCAGAAGCTTTGCCCTTGCTGTGAACCAAGGCTGGATATTCTAGGCATTGTATGGAAGATGGAAGGGAGAGGGAGTGAGGATGGCAAGGGCTTAGAGAAGTTGCTCCAAACCACGTGCACTCTGTGTGGCTTTAGGAGAAAAGAAAGAAACTTTGGCTTGATATAAAGAAACCTTCTTAAACCCTCAGATCTGAGGTGAATGGCCTAGAGATGTAGTGAGTATCCTAACTCTACAGGTGTGCAAGTAGAGACTGATCATAGTTTAAGGGGTTGGGTTTGGTAACTTCTGTGGCTCCTTTAAACTTTTATATTCTATTTGTCCCCATTTCACAGATGGGGAAACTGAGACTCCATGAGATGACTTGTCCATGGATTCCATGGCAGTAAGAGGCAGATGCCAGACCCAGGCCTCTTTCCATTTTGCCTCAGCTCAGAGCTGGGAGATGGGAACACTTCTTCCTGATCCCTCATGTTTCCATGTGGAGGGACATCCTTTGGTGTAACTCCTGGACCCAGGTGGGGAACCGGGTGGTGGTTCTGCAAAACCAACTCATTGGATCCCAAGAGCCAGCTCAGTGTGACCTAACCTCTGCCAGGGTCTCAGGGACCAAGTGGCTCATCAGGGAGGGGGTCTTCCAGGGAAATCCAGGCAGGTCATGGGGTAGAAAGGGGATAGCTTTGGAGCCAGATGCTGTGTGACCTTGGGAGATCAGTTGCCTGCTCTGAGCCTGCATTCCCCGCCTATAAAGCCAAGCCCTCATGAAGATGAAGGGAGGTGGAGGGGACGAGAGTTCTTTAAACTCTGGGCATGAGAACAAGGGTGTCTGATTAGGCCCTGACCACCACCCAGCTCCATCTTCCACACATGCACTGCACAGCCCAGCCACACTGACCAGTCACGGTTCTCACTGAACTTGTTGCCTTCTTCCCTCAGCCTGGGTGGCCGTTCCCTGCATTTCCATCCTCTCATCCACCTCGTCACACCCTCAAGGGTCATGTTCTCAGGATTCCCGTCTAGGCTTGTTCTCCTCCCAGCCTGAAAGAGAGCAGTGTCCTGTTTCCCAGCCTGGGGTCATCAAAGTCCTGACCACTATGTGGTTGCCCCCCATGCAGGCATCTCTTTCCCCAGGAGGACAGAGCTACATCTGGTGCTCATCTGTTCCCTGCACATGGAATGTTTGTTGAATGAATAAATGATGGTTACGAGATGGGTCTGCATTGCAGGGAGGTTGGTGAATTTCCCCCCAGGGACTTTCTGCTTCCCCTGAGGGTCCCTGGCCCCCTAGCACATCTCTGGCTGGGAGTAAGAGGGTCCCTAGTTCTCCTTCCTCAGAGCACCCTGCCTCCTTGCTCAGACCAGGCACCTGCCTAGGGGGGGCCCTGCTTCCCTCCCACCAGCTGCCGGTCCTGCCCCTCCATTTTCAGTTGCAGTCATTTATCCTTCACATTTCCTGGCTCCTCTGTTCATCTAAACAGCTGGTGCTATTTGTTCTGGGTGATTTCCCTTATTTATTGCCACATTTTCGGGAGGCACATAACTCTGTCTTCTAACCATTTTACTGCAGCCTCTTTAAATTGAAACAATTGATCAGGCCTTTGCTTTCCCTCTTTTGTTCCAGTCCCTCCTCCCCAGCTGCCCCCACCCCTTCTCTTTCAAGCAGCAATTAAATTTAAATCCATTTTCTCTGAAGAAAAGAATTCATCATGGTCCCAGGCCGAGGAGCACCCCAGAGTCCAGGGGACATTTCCGGATGTGCAGGGTAGACAAGGGGCAGCTGACTCTGCTCTTTTGGGGTGCAAGACAAATTCTGAGGGTTGCAGGGAGAGTGGCCAGAGTCTTGCTGGCGTCACTGTGTGGAGTGCAATTACAGCAGGGCTGTGGGTCAGGGCAGGACGTACAGATAGCTCACTGGCCTTTAGCGATGATGTTAAGGCCGTTGTCCACGGGGAGTCACAGGGTCCCCTGTGAACATTTCCTTGGGTATCTGAGTTCCAGGCCAGGCATGGATGGAAAGAGGGAATGGACTTCTCATGGATGTGACAGCTGAGTCATGTTCCTACTTATCTCTCCCCGTTTTGTTTTAGCTACAAGGAAGCCAAGGGTCAAATGAACAGTTGGAATCTAAGAACTGATGGTGACCTCATTCCCATCCGATCCTGTGGATGGGGTTAGGTTGTGTGTTACCCACTCATAGCATCGGGGCTCTTGTATTTCAGCTCCCATCCCAAGTGCAGGCATAAAGGGATGGCTAACTGGTCACTGCTCGGTGGGCCTGAAGGCTGCAAGTTCCTGCCTCATCTCCTGAAGCCCAGAGAGCTGGTGAACGCCTCGTCACTTGTGCATTTAAAACAGAAGCTGTGATTTCGTTGGCCTGCTTAAATCTCCTAGGAGTTGGGGATGCTATGAATCCACCTGCAGCATCATTTTCTGTGGCCAAGTTCAAAGGGTCCTGAGAGGTGAGATGTCAGGAATACAATGAAAAGACTGAAAGCTGAGCAGGCAGCAGAACCCAGGGTCAGGTCCCAGCAGGTGGGGGTCCCAGCCAAAGTTTGGGTACAAGTCTTCCGCTAGGAGGGTGCCCCTGCCCCAGCCGCTGCAGGTGCCAGCCTCCAGGCCCCCCTAAAGGAACCTCACCTGATCCTCCTGGGGCACCTAGGAGGAAGGAGATGTTGACTCCTGTTCGCAGAAATTTACATCAGAGGCAGACAAGGCCCTGTGATATTTACTTTGTCCTTTGCAGAACAGAGGGTGGGAGGAAATTCTTAATAAGGACACGTGAGCAGAATCTACCTTCGTGCTTGACCCTGCAGTGGGGAAAACCCCTCCCCTCAGTGCCCACTCCCGGTTCCTCATGCACCCCCCAGACACCAGCCCCCCCAACTGCAGATGGTCCTTCCTTCACTCAGATGGGGGCCTTACGTCTGATCAGCACCACTGACGGTCCCAGGAGGCTGCCCTTTCCCTAGAGCATGGCCGCAGCCCTGGTGGGCAGGAGGAGGGAAATTGGCAGCAAACGGCGGGTTCCTTGTAATTTTTAAGTAGAAACGAGGTTTCTACATGTTGCCAGGCTGGTTTGGAACTCCTGAGCTCAAGCAATCTACCTGCCTCTGCTCTCCAACGTGCTGAGATTACAAGCATGAGCCACCATGCCTGACAGGGTTGTCTTTTTATTATTGGCTTATGGCAGTTATTTAGATATTGTGTTTTTGAGTTCTTTGTCAGATATTTGTTTCGTGAATATTTTCCCTTTATCTTTGAATTGCTTTCATTTTATGGTGGTTTTGATGACCAGGAGTTTTAAATTTTGATGAAGTTAAATATTTTTCTTCTATTATTACTTCTTTGTGACTTCTCTAAGAAATATTTTCTTACTCCAAGATTGTGCAGATGTTTTCTTTTAAAAGATTCATGGCTCCATGTGATACACCTTGAATTAATATTTGTGTATGTTGCAAGGTAGGGAACAAAATGTATTTTTCCCCATACATTTAGCTATTGTTCCACTATAATTTGCTGAAAAGACTTTCCTTTTCCTATTGAATTGCTCTAGTGCCTCAGTGGACTCTTTAGGTGTGGATCTATTTCTGGACTCTATTCTATTTCATTGATCTACTTGTCTATCTTTGCACTAACACAACCTACTCTTTTTTTTTTGTATTTTTTTTTAGTATTATACTTTAAGTTCTAGGGCACATGTGCACAACGTGCAGGTTTGTTACATATGTATACATGCACTATGTTGGTGTGCCACACCCATTAACTGGTCATTTACATTAGGTATATCTCCTAATACTATCCCTCCCCGCTCCCTCCACCCCGCGACAGGACAACCTACTCTTAATTATTGGAATTTTATAGTAAATCTTGAAATTGGAAAGTGTCCTTTCCAATCTTTCAAGATCTTTCCAAATCTTGAAATTGGAAAGAAGAATTTTATTCTTCTTTCTTCAGATTTTCTCGGATGTTCTAGACCCTTTACATTTCTAGATTAATTTTAGAATAAGCTTTTCACTTTCTACAGAAAGCCAGCTAGAATTTTGACTGAGGCTGAATAGATGCTATAGATGAGTAAAGAGCATCAATATCTTAACACGATTGCATTTTCCAATCTATGAATATGGCATATCTGTTCATGTATTAAAAAATTAATTTCTCCCAACCTTTTTGGTTTATAACACAGTGATCTTACACATTTAAACATTAAATGTATTCTTAGGCATTGAATGGTTTTGGATTCTGTTACAAATTGTATTTAATTTTTCAGTTTTTCAATTATTTCTTACTAATACATAGAAATTAATCTTTGTATATTGACTTCATATTCTGAAGTTTTGCTAAATTCGCCTGTTAATTTTAATAGTTTCTTTTTTCTTAGGATTTTCCATTTGCACAGTCATGTCTGCCCATAAAGACTCTTTTACTTCTTTCTTTTCAATCTTTTTGCCATTTGTTTCCTTTTCTGATCTTACTGCACAAACTAGGGTACCTCCGTTAATGTGGAGTAGAAGTAGTGAAAGAATACATTTTGCCTTTTTCTTAATTGCAGAGTGAAAGCATTCAATGTTTCATCAAGTATGATGTTAGCTTCAGAGTTTTCTTTTGCAGATAATCTATTAGATTAAGAACACTTCCTCTATTCCTAGTTCACTGAGAGTTTTTTCTTTTTAAAACCTTGAATGGGTATTGAATTTTATCAAATTCTTTCTCTGCATCTATTGAGATGATTTTTTTTCCTCCTTATTCTGTTGATTTGGTGAATTATATTGAGTTTTAAATATTAAGCCAAACTTGCACCTTGCACCTGGGATAAATCTTACTTGTTTATAATACGTTAAAACACGAACACACACACACACACACCACACACACACGCACAGAGGTTTTGACTTGCTAATACTTTGTTCAAAATTTTTGCATCTATGACTTAACAAGAACTTTGCCTATAATGTAATTTTATTTTAATTTTTATATCATCTGACAATCTTGATTGCTAATTGGATTGTTTATTCTATTTACCTTTAAATAAATTACTGATAAATTTGGGTTTACATTTACTTTCTTATTATTTGTTTTCTATTTGTTACATCTATTCTCTGTTTAGTGCTTTCTCATGGAGTAGCTGAGTATTTTCTAGTATCCCATTTTATGTCCTTTCTTAGCCTTTTAGTCTCTCTTTTCTTTAAAGGGGTTGCTCTAGGTATTACAACATGCACCCTTAAAAGATCGCAGTGTACCTTGCATTAATATTATACCATTTCCGGTATAAGAACGTTACAACAGTATAATTTCCTTTAACCTCTCATGCTTTTTGTGCTATTGTTGCCATATATTTATTCCAATGTTATAAACATCATAGTTTGATAATATTATTGCTTCAAACATTCAATAATCTGTTGAAGGAAGTTCTGAATTAGTCTTTTATATTTATATATTTACCATTTCTGACTTTTTTCATTTTTCCCTGCAGATCTGGGTTTTCAATTATTGATCAAATTCCTTTAGTATTTTATGTAGTGTGGGTTTGCTGGCAATTTATTATATCAGCTTTTGTTTGTCTAATTATGTCTTTATTTTGCCTTCAATTTTTAAAAGATGTTTCTGCTGGACATAGAATTTTAGGTTGACAATTTTTTTTTTCTTTCAGCACTTTAAAAAGGTCATTCATTGTCTTCTCACTTCCACTGTTTTTGATGAAAAGTCAGCCATTATTCTTTGTGTCCTTTCACTAAAACTAATATCTTTCTCTCTGTTTTATCTTGGCCTGCTTTTAAGATTTTTCTTTTTTTCTTTTCTTCCTTTTTTTAAATTTTTTTGAGACAGAATCTCGCTCTCTCACCCAGGCTGGAGTGCAGTGGTGCGATCTCAGCTCATTGCAACTTCCACCTCCCAGGTTCAAGTGATTCTCATGCCTCAGCCTCCGAGTAGCTGGGATTGCAGGCATGTGCCACCATGTCCAGCTAATTTTTGTATTTTAGTAGAGATGGGGCTTCACCATGTTGTCCAGACTGGTCTTGAACTTCTGGCCTCAAGCAGTCTGCCCACCTCGGTCTCCCAAAGTGCTGGGATTACAGGCATGAGTCACCACACCTGGCCAAGATTTTTCTACTTATCTTTGTTTTTCAACAATTTGACTAGGATTTGCTAAGTATGATTTTATTTAGATGTACTCTGCTTGGGGTTTACTAAAATTTTTGGATATGTTGATTAGATCTGTGTCCAACCCATTCAATACATTATCTGCCTCATGAATAATATTTTATAGTTTTATAGTTTTATTTTATTTTGTAGAGCTTTCATTTTGCTGCTAAAATTTCCTCCTTGTTAGCTCATTCAGACCATATTTTTCCCTAAATTAGTTTAAACATTTATAATAAAAATTTAACATTATTATGTGCTAATTCCATCTGGGTCATATGTCTCTGCCTCTATTAACTGTCTTATTTTCTTAATGATTGGTCATATTTTCAACCAAGAGTTCAACTGAGCTGGGAATGGGCCATTGCTTTCATTCATTTTAGTTCCTCTCTGATTCAAAAGTATTGAGGCTGAGGTTAGGTCTTCTGATACCCCCAGGCCCAGCCCCTGGGAGACTATGACAATGTCTCTTTGCCCTCAATTCCAACCCCCAATTTCTCTTGCTACCTCCATGGAGGGCCTTATTTTTGTGGTCTTATCAGGAGTCGAGTTGATTGATTCAGTTACAGCTTTGGCTAATTGCAGTTCACCTGTGAATTCAACTGTTCTGAGAATGAAGTCAAACATCTCCCACCCTGCCTCCATCCCCAGGACGGTCCTGGAATCTGGAATCTAAACATCATGAGACTACAAGAGCTCTATCTGCTTTCTGGCCTCACCCGTCTTTGCCTCTTACTTAGAATTGTCTGAGATTATAGTAGAATTGTCGAGTAATAGGGATTATTTTTATTTTATAGGCTCTTTCAAATTCCACTCTGTCATTTAAGCCTACAGTGCTAAAATGTTCAGCTGGTTTCTCCTTGAGCTTGTAGCCTCCTTGCCTGTGCCAGGCTCATGCCTCCGCCCACCCAGCTCCCAGCCTTGGTAACCATCCTAGATGTGTTGGCAGACATTGGTCTCTGCTCACCTATGAAGGCCTTGTATTTATTTGGAATTTGGTTCATTTAGACTTCTCTGCATTTATAGCTCTTTGAAGGCTTACTATTATGATTTTGTTGTTTATATGGTGTTTTCTTGCTGTCATGGTGAAGTAATGATCTTTATCTTCTAAATCCTCACTAGAAGCAGAACTCTGCTGCAAACATAGTTTCTGGTGTATTGCTGACAAATGGGAGACATCACTAAAGGGAAAATTAGGACAAAGAAACCTCCTAAGCATTTATAGAGCTTCAGTATGAGCCCTAAGTGTGTGGAGAACATTTGTCTCAAGAGCTGCTATTTGGAGGGTGGGGCTTGAGTCCCCAGCAAGGCGAAGGAGTTGAACTCAACCCTTCCTCAGCAGCCTGAGGCCTTAAGGGGATATTGTGATCCTAGGTCCGAATCAACCCCAGGGTACTGGAAGAAGAAAACCAAATCCTTCTTGGAGGAATGCACCCTCAATGTAAGCCTTCAGGACACCCATAGATTAAGATCAACAGAATATGAGCTCATAATGAAGATTTTACCAACACACCAGGAAACACTGCCATGATAGAGTCAGCAAAAATAACAAGCACAGATTTAGACCCCCAAGGAGTTCATGTACTGGAGTTGTCAGATACAGAATGTAAAATGCAGATGCATAAAATATTTTAGAAGTGGAAGCCGGAATCTGCCCATGGGGGAAACCCCCTGACTGAGGGGATTCTGCACAGGCAGGAGTGACTGTGGTCCTAGGTGACCTGGAAGGTTCCAAGGAGGTTACCTAGGGAGGAAGAAGGTTTTTGGAGGTTACTTCGGGAACCTAAGGGAAGAGATTACCTAAGAAATTATCTAGGGAGGAGGTTACCTAGGAAGAAGATTCCAGGAGGTTACTTAGGGAGGAGGTTACCTAGAGAAGACATTACCTAAGAAATTATCTAGGTAGGAGGGTACCTGGGAGGAGGTACCTAGGAGGAGCTTACCTAGGGAGGGTGTTACTCAGGAGGAGGTTACCTAGGGAGGAAGCTAGGGGGAACCTCCCCAGATTCCCCCAGCAGGTGTCTCCAGTCCTCAGGTAAGCTGGGAGGATCACACGAAGACCATCCAGTCCAAACATTCAATTTTACACATCAGGAGACTGAGGCCTGAGAGGTGAAGGACTCACTCAAGGCCTATTCCTCACTGTGGTAGGACCCAAACGGTGCTCTCCTGACCCCCAAGGGCCCATGGGTTTCCCAGGGCTGGGAGGCCCTGAAGCCCTGTGACGGCCTTGGGACACAGAGGTCAAGCAGGACCATGCAGAATCTGAAGGCAGGCAGTGTTCCAGGACAGGAGCTGTCAGAAATGTCGAGTGCTGCTGAGCTGCCAGAGAAACCCTCTTTAGAAATGGAGGTCTTCCATGGCTTTCCACTGCTTATGGAATGAACCCAGGCTGTCCCAAGGCTCATGGGTCCCATGGGATCCGGCCCCTGCCCACATCTCCAGCGAGTCCTCCTAGGGGCCAGTGCTGGGCAGATTCACTTCCTTTGAGGTTGTTGGACCTGTTTGGTTTTCACATATGAACACGTACGACAATGACCAAGCCACAGCTTCAGCGAAGCCATTGCAAATACTTGCCACTGATGTTCTGTGGGGCATGGAAGGGAGCGGGGGTTCCTCAAACTCCAGAGAACTAAAGACACTTCCCAGAAGAAGGGAGGTCAGTGTGGGGTGGAGTGTGGGAAACTTGGCTCTGCCATTTTTACCAGTGTCATCTTCGGCAAGTCAGGTAATCTCCATGCACTTGGTTTCTCCATCAAGTGGAATAATGAGACCTTTTGCACTGTTCTGAATTAGAAGTAAGGTCACTAAAGCTGCTTGCACAATCTCGAGCCCTGATACTGTCATTTCAGCCATCGTAATGATAACAACACTATTTTATTCTATTGTTTTATTTGATGCTCACGGCTCCTGTGAGGGGAGTACAGGTGAGTCTTGATGGTTTCTACTTTACAATGAGAAGTCTGAGGCACAGAGAAGAGTTCAGTGTGCAAACTGTGCCCAGAAAGGGCTGTGACTAACTACAAAGACATGCAGCCAACCTGGGGCAGAAGCTAACTGCTAACTGGAGACCTGGAGTCACTGGGTCCTGGTGCCGCCTCTCTCCTCCAGGGGTGCTGTGTGTGTGTGTGTGTGTATGTGTGTGTGTGTGTGTGTGTGTGTGTGTGTGTGGTCTGTCCCGAGCCAGCCATAATGTAGGACCCTGAGTTCTGGGAGGCAGCACCAGGGAACACGTCAGTCCGAGCACCCAGGAGATGGGGTTGTCTTCTAAGCCACATCGACAGGAAGAATCCCAGAGGCGGCACTGGAAGGATGTTGTCTCTGTGGCCAAACTCAGCCCTGGTTTTGTTGGGACTCAGTGATTCATTTAGGACAGATGGTGTCATGGCCGGCTTAGGTGGCTGTCATTGCATGAGAATGTGACCAAGACAGCACCATCAGGAGAAAGAGTTTTACCTGAACAGTAAGAGTAGATGTGAGGCTGAGTGCCTGCTTAGGAGGGGAGCTTTGGGCTGGCTGGTCAACCTGCAGTGCCTGTCAGTGGTGAAATGGGAAGGCCGCTCAGACACAGCTGATAGGAGGTGTGAACCTGGCCCTGGGGGAGAAGAACTTGGAAAAGCAGGGCTCAGGGCAGGGAGCACTTTCTCCTCCTCCGCACCAGCTCCGAGTCTGATTTATTTCTGCAGAATTGCGTTAGAGGGATGAGCTGTACCGAATGACCAAGCAGCGGGTGTGCCGAGATTCGGGGCCATCCTGGACTTCCAAATGGCCTGTGCTCTGAATAGACCTTTTGTTCGGTGTGGCAGTAATGAAGGAGGGGAATTGGCAGCAGATGCCCAGAAAGGGCTGTGACTAAGTGTCCATTATAAGTGGAGCAGTTTAATAAAAAAATCCATGTAATTTATTTGAATAAAAATATGTGTTCTTTCACAAGCCCATTCTCTCCCCAGTCTTTCCACATTAATAGATCATTAATACTCCATGAATGGGTAATCATCTTCTTGGAAAACAAATGCAAGGGCATAAAAGGAAAATTATGGTCGTTTAAACTTAAAAAAAAGGATTGTTGGGGGAAGGAAGAGCTGTGTTCACAAAAACAGCCAGCTCCTGTCGCCGGCTTTGGGAGTGGGAAGGTCTGTGGATCTGCACCAGGGGACTCACGGTGGACAGAGCCTGGGTACTCACTGCACACCCCGGCCTGCGGAGGGTGCCCTAGGTCCACTGCAGCAGGGGGCCACCCACAAAGGGCTTGATACAAGGTCAGCTGTCCTGAGCAGGTCCCACCAGGGCAGGTCCAGGTGAGCAGATCTGGGTGAGCAGGTCTGGGTGAGCAGGTCTGGATGAGCAGGTCCAGGAGAGCAGGTCCAGGTGAGCAGACACAGGTGAGCAGGTCCGGGTGAGCAGGTTCAACAGGAGGGAACCCCAGGATGGGATGCATCGCCACAGACCAAATATCTGGAGGGTGTCCCGGAGAACCTGTGCTTTTTTGGAATTCCCTTGTTGCAGCTGCACCTGGGCCCTGCTGCTCATGCTCTGTCCGTCCAAATGGCCTCCTTTTGGCTTTCGAACCCCACAGTGGGAGAGGACCCAGCCTTGGACCTGATGCCCTGCCCACCTCTTGCTGGAAGACTTCCTTGAATCCGACCCTTTTGAACAATTCAGCAACTTCAGATGAGACTTCCTCCTTTAGAGTCTCCATTTCCTCGTCTGTAACCTAAGGTGGTTGGACTGTGCGATACATTTGTTCATTGTTCATTCACTCACTGATTCCACAATCACAGCAGGCTGTGAAGTGAGCAGCAGGCTCTGCTCTTGTGTGGCTTCTCTGTAGCTGTGGCTTTCACGAGAGAATGGATAATGTTTGAGGTGAGGGAGAAAATGGGAAATCCAGCCTTTTGACGGCTATTTGGAACATCGGGTGTTTGCAGTTCCAGCCACATGTCGTGAGCTTCCCATGAGCTCTGCATTTTGACAAAGAAATGGTTTCTTGAGCATTTATCATCACTACCTGCATCTTGAGCTGAGCCATTGATATGGTTAGGCTTTTTGTCCCCATCCAAATCTCATCTTGAATTGTAATCCCCATAATCCCCACATGTCAAGGGAGAGATGAGGTGGAGGTAATTGAATCATGAGGGTGTCTTCCCCCATGCTGTTCTCATGATAGTGAGTGAGTTCTCAGAGACCTGATGGTTTTATAAGAGACTCCTCCCCCTTCACTTAGCACTTCTCCTTCCTGCTGCCTTGTGAAGAAGGTGCCTTGCTTCCCTTTTGCCTACAGCCACGAGTGTAAGTTTCCTGAGGCCTCCCCAGCCATACTGAACTGTGAGTCGATTAAACCTCTTTCCTTTATGAGTTACCCAGTCTCAGGCAGTTCTTTATAGGAATACGGAAGTGGATGAAAACAGCCATCAATGGTGCGGTGCAGGGAGTGTCCACCAGTTCATGAGCATGCTTTGCACACTGAGTCTACTTCTTTCTCCAACATTTTTTTTGGGCATCTCCGTGTGCCAGGTAGAGGCATGAGGCTCCAAGATGAGTAAAGATGTGAGCTCCAGCCATGGGTGTCGGTCTGTCTGCTTTGCTCTTAGTGTATCTTCAGCACTCAGGACAGAGCCTGGTGCCTGCTAGGTGTTGAAGAAACATCAGGAGTGAAAGAATGAGAGTCTGTCTCTGCCCTCTAGACCTTCCTAGTACAGAGAAAGTCAATGGCCACAGAACATGTTCTGCAACGGGCTGAGGCCCCATGCCTGGGTCTCAGCTCAACTCTTCCCTCCCCTCCTCTCCTCTCACTTCCCTGCCTTTATTTCCCCTCTTCTCCTCCTATTTCTCTCCCTCTCTTTCTCTCCTTTTCTTCCCTCCTATTCCCTCTTCTTCCTTATCATTACCCCTTCCCTTCTCTTCCCTTTCCTCCCCTCCCTCTCCCCTCTCCCTACTTCTCTCCCATTTCCCTTTCCCCTTCACCTCTGCCCTCTCCTCTCCCCTCCCCATTGACTCTCCCACTCAGTCCTTCCTTAAGGATCCCGCTGGATTTAGCCACGTGCCCCACATGGCCCTCGGCATGCTCACATCCCTTTGTGTGTCTGTCCCCCAGGGTGGAGACTCCCCAGGGGCAGATTCCATAGCTAGTTGTTTTCCTTGGCCCAGCACATAGCACGGAGTCAGAATGTCTGCTATACCAAAGACGTGTCTGGGGAAGTAGGAGACCAGAGGGCAGAGAGGGCTTCCTGGAGGAGGGGGCACACACATGTCCCTGGGTTATCTCACACTACAAGCTGGGGTCAACAGCGGCATTTCAGGCTGCAGTAGCCTCTCCGGGTTGAGCACACGATGGTCTGAGCAAGTGGCAGCAGCTAGCTGCCTGGATTTGTGGCTGTGGGTATTTATGCAGTCCTGATACACAAATTGATTTGGGTCTGATCTCAGCTGCTGAGGCATCCGTTATGGACCGGCCCACCCTGTCTGAAATGTCATCTTCTCTTAAAACATCCTCCAAGCCTCTGTCCCCATGTCATCCTCCAAGAACAAGGACGTCAACATTTACTCAGAGAAACTGAGGTGCAGAGAGACGCATCAGCAGCTGGGAAGGAGCCACCTTGGGGGAGAGGAGCCCTCCTCTCTGGCAGTGGAATACAGGGTGGGGCTGGAGGGTGAACCTGGCTCTGCTGTTCCCTAGCTATTGTGGGACCTGGGCAATTTCTTATGCTCACTGGGACTCACTTTTCTCATCTACAAAATGCGGAGATGGGGCTTAATTTATAGGGTTATTTTGGGGATTAGATTTTGGTTAGTGCAGGCAAAGTGCTTAAAATAGCCCTGTGAGGTGGTCGGTGCTCCAAGCATGCTGATCCTCCATGAGCCATCCTTTCTACAGATGTGAGCAGTGGCTCCGGTCTAGGCACTAGGCAATTCACACATGTTGATCTTTAATTTACAACGTCCTAGGCTTCCTGTGGAGTATTAATAGCTTCATTATGCAGAAGAGGAACAACTGAAGCTCAAATACAGCTGGGAAGCAGTAAAACAAGGATTAAAAAGTAACCAAAACCCGTGTTCTTATTTCATTTTAGACATCAGGCCGCTTCACAACAGAGACACGGCTGATGTTTCTGGGTTACAAAGGCACCTGTAGCCTAGCTCTGGAACCAGAGCACAAGAACCTCAAAGCCTAAGCGCATTCCCCACTGGGTTCTGGAGGGGGAGCTCAGCTTCCCCTGGGTGATTCCACATGGAGATCACCACATGGAGATCCCACGTGGAGTTGGATCTCCAAGGAGGACAGTGACACCATCTCCACACTCTGGGACACCATCTTTCAGAAGCGCTCTGGGGTGCAGGGCCCCTCCATCCTCACACTGCCCTGCTTAAATTCTCTCCTTGAGTGAGTTTCTTTTTCTTTCTCTGAACTGAATGGGGAGAAACTTTCAGATGGGCATTTTCAGAGCCCCTTTCAGAGGTGAAGAGAAGATAAGATATCCAGGACAAGTGTTTCTGAAAAACTCATTTGTCCAGGCAGCTTGTGCACGCATGTGTGGCCTCAGGAGAGCCTTCCCCGGAGGCCCCTGTAGCTCCAGGCTGGACTCACTGCATCACCGCCTCACTGCAGCCAGTGCCCAGCTCCATGCCACCTGGGCATGGGTCGTGTCTGCAGCTGGTCCTGGGCTCACTGTAGCAGGGGCAAAACCTGGGTAGCTTCAGCCACAGGCAGAGAAAACAGGAGACGTTGCCGGGGCTGGGACCCTCCACTAGGGCTGTGTGACCTCTGGTGAGTGACTTGGCATCTCTGTGCCTCAGTTACCTTGTCTGCATGGTGGGGGACTACAGCGCTGTCCTCACAAGCTCTTGGAAACATCAAGTGACGTATTTCATGAGGAGCCCTTAGAACAATGCCTGCACTCAGTGAGTGCTGGGGTAAATGTCACCCGCTCTGCAGTCCCCTGGGGCCGCCATAACAAAATGTCACAAACTGGGTGCTTGAAACATGAGTTGACTCTGTCATTGCTCTGGAGGCCGGAAGGCCGCAATGGAGGTGTGTGCAGGGCCTTGCCTCCTCCAAAGGTCCTGTCACTCAGGGCCTTGGGTAGAGGGAGGCTGGAGGCTGAGCCCCTGTCCTGGAGGTGGGGAAGTCTGTCATCCCAGGGGACACCCTGAGTCCTTACCAGCTCCTTACCCCATGGGCAGGAAATGTGGCTTCAAGATGGGCATGATGGGCTGTGGCCTGCAGTTTGGAGGGAGCCCTGGAGGAACCTGCTGCTGTGAGGCCTCCCAGGGAGGCAGATCCGGAAGGGAGGCTGAGGGTCTTCTGAGAGCTGGCCCCATGTTGGTGAGTGCTGTCTTGAGAGTCTGTGCTGCTAGCCATTGCTGGCAGGTCCTTCCAGCCTGTGCTCCAGGATAAGCAGGAGGCCTAGGGGAAGCCCTCTGGGTCCAAGGCTGGGAGGGCCCTGCTTGGGGCTCCCATGGCCATTGCCCTCAGCCATCCCTGCCTGGCCCACTGTGTAGCTGTGCCTACATGCCCCTCTGCCTGTCTGACACATGCACACACCCACAGGGCAGGGCCACAACTGTCTCCTCTGGGGCTTGGCCCAGCCCCTGAGAGTGTTTGCTGCGCCATGGGTGGTCCCTGAGCCTGTGCTTGGGCTGCACACAGTGAGGAACACACCCCACCCCACCTGCAGGAGCCCCACACTCAGGTGGGACGACAGACATGGGAACGGGACCGAAAGTTAGGACCAAGGGCTGCTGGAGCACAGAGGTGGATGTGGAGTCAGGAGCCTTCCAGGGCCCCTGAGCTGAGTTTTTAGGGCAGCATCCCAGAACCAGGAAAGAAGAGGAGGGAGGGCTCCCAGCCGAGGAAGCAGCCTGTGAGAAGGCCTAGGGGTAATGACAGCAAGGTGCTTTCTGGAGACCAAGCAGTGCCTCTGCTGCTGCTTCAGTAAAAGTTGCTGTCTAACACCTCCATCTCACTCCTAAATTCTTTCCTGGGCAAAGCCAAGAACCCTCCCAGGCTAAGCCCCAATCTTGGGACTCACCCATGCCTTGATACATATGCTCTACACTATGGCAGCATTTACATACATTGATCTTTAACTTAATACATCCTAAGCTTCCTGTGGAGTATCAATAGCTTCATTTTGCAGAGAGGAGAAACTGAGGCTCAGATAAAGCTGGGAAACAGTAAAACGAGGATTAAAAAAATAATCAAAACCCACGTTCTTATTTTGATTTAAACATTATCAGGCCACCTCACAACAGAGCCACAGCCAATGTGTTCTTGGCTACAAAGGCACCTATAGTCTATCCCTGGAACCAAAGCACAAGAACTTCAAAGCAGAAGTTGTACCACTGTGCCTGGCTATTTTTTTTTTTGAAACAGAGTCTTGCTCTGTCACCCAGGCTGGAGTGCAGTGGCACGATCTTGGCTCACTGCAAGCTCCACCTCCTGGGTTCATGCCATTCTCCTGACTCAGCCTCCCAAGTAGCTGGGACTACAGGTACCCACCACCACACCTGGCTAATTTTTTTTTTTTTTGTCTTTTTTTGTAGAGATGGGGTTTCACCATGTTAGCCAGGATGGTTTCAATCTTCTGACCTCGTGGTCTGCCTGCCTCAGCCTCCCAAAGTGCTGGGATTACAGGTGTGAGCCACCATGCCTGGCATGTTTGTTTGTTTTTTTAGAGAGATGGGGTCTCGTTTTGTTGCCCAGGCTGGTCTTGAACTCCTGGCCTCAGGCAATCCTCCTGCCTCAGCCTTCCCATAAATATATGTGTGATTAACAATTAAGTTCTAAATGTCTACATTTCAGTTTCTCCAGAGAGCTGATGACAGGTGTAGGACTTACACAACACGTTTGTCGGCATTTATCCCTGGGTGACGCAGGGACCTCCCCGAGCAAAGAAACAGTAGAATAACAAATCCCTGGAAAAAGCATCAGAGTGTTAAGGAACCTGGCCCGAGGATGATGGACCAGCATGTGTCCACAGAAGGCGTGTTTCCATTTCACTCTGTGGACCATGACTTTTCACTTAGATCCAATGCTGAGTCCTCGAAATTAATTGTGCTCATTTTCCACTGCCAAGTGTTCTTATGCACAGATGAAAAATGAAGTGGTGGGTGCGAATGTGTTGGCTCTGTTTGTAGAAGACCTTTAGAAACAGCTAAATGATTCCAGTTTTATATCATTGTTACCAGATACTTCAAAGAGGAAATCAGTTAATTCCAATGACAGTTTGATCCTTTTCATCTGATTTATGGAATCAGTGAAGATTTAGAAGTTCCTTCTGTTGCTGGTGATACAATGATGTTGTCATGAATTCAGTGGAAAAACTTAGTGTGAAAGGGTACATTATTTGTTCTTGTAGTTATGATAGGAACACAATTTTTGGTGAAGCTAGTGTCATGGTAAAAACAAGATTCTTTCTAAATTAAGTACAGAAATGTGCTTGGGATTACTTGTGGCCCATTAAAACAAGCTGTGATAATTCACCAACCTAACAGGTGCTGTAGTTGTCAAAATTTACAGCTATTATATGTGTACCCAGAATAACTTGAAATAAACGTTTTTGTGATGACTTTAACATTAAATATGAAAAAACCCTGTTTTTTTCCAAATAGTAGTACTCACCTTCTCTCATTTTCCTCATTATCAATCAGATTTGATAAATGTTGGAGCTTCTGAAAAATTACTTCATAAATCAACTTAAGTGTCTTATGATGGTACTAAACTTTTTGTAAACAAATCCTTTAAATTTTGGACGCAGTTGTATGAAATCAGTTAGAAATTTTTTTTTTTTTTTTTTTTTTTTTTTTGAGACAGAGTCTCACTCTTTTGCCCAGGCCGGACTGCAGTGGTGCTATCTCGGCTCACTGCAAGCTCCACCTCATGGGTTCATGCCATTCTCCTGCCTCAGCCTCCTGAGTAGCTGGGACTACAGGTGCCCACCACCACACCCAGCTAATTTTTTGTATTTTTAGTAGAGACGGGGTTTCACCATGTTAGCCAAGATGGTCTCGATCTCCTGACCTCATGATCCTCCCGCTTTGGCCTCCCAAAGTACTGGGATTACAGGTGTGAGCCACTGTGCCTGGCCATCAGTTGGAAATTTTTAATTGAAGGAGTCAATGAATAAAAGCCCCCAAATGTCACTTTTTAATGTTGTTAGCAAATTGTAGTTATTGAAAACAAAGCTTGCTACGCAGAAGGACATTGAAATATTCCTCTAGGAGAGCAAGGGAGGAAGTGAACATATTACATTGTGATGTAATATACTTTTACAAGATTTTATTTAGAAATTCTTAAACTTTGGTATATATTGGCATATGGAAAGAATCTTTAAATGAAGCTCCTTTGTTTAATTGGATAAATGTATGATGTGGACTGGAATGGAATCTGGTGGAGAAGGCCTAGAATTTTATGGCATCTAAGTTTGGTAAGACATTTAAAAGAATCATGAATAGAGATGATGCATTTGACATGTTTTGTTGTGAAAAAAATATGTCAAGGCACCCTAAATAGATGCAAAAGGCAGTCTCTATGACAATGTTTCTGCTGAAATATTTATGTATTTCAATGAAAAAAATATTAGAATTGAAAATGTTCTCCATTTAACAGAATTTACTCTGAGCTTACCAGCTACCTCCATTCCCATAGAGATAATAGTTTCTAAATTTAAAATGTTATGCCCTTTCGAAAAGAATCAGTTGCAATGTTAACAGCTTAGAATTTTTAAATCATAAAATATAATTTGAAGAGAATTACATGCAATTTTATGAAAAATTTAAAATAATATAGTCACATTCTTCTGAAAAATGCCACTGACACAGCATTAGGATAATGTAGGAAGGAAAATGACTGAAGTATTTAGTTGTGTACCAACAATAAGTCTTTTATTGATTTTTACTTTTTTTTTTGAGATGGAGTCTTGCTCTGTCATCCAGGCTGAAGTGCAGTGGCGTGATCTTGGCTCATTGCAACCTCCGCCTCCCAGGTTCAAGTGATTCTCATGCCTCAGCCTCCCGAGAGCTGAGACTACAGGCATGTGCTACCACACCCGGTTAATTTTTGTATTGTTAGTAGAGACAGGGTTTCAGCTGGTCTCGAACTCCTGACCTCAGGTGATCTGTACATCTTGGCCTCCCAAAGTGCTGGGATTACAGGCGTGAGCCACTGCATCTGGCCTATTTTTACTTTTTAATATATATCTATTTTTTTTGAGACCAAGTCTTGCTCTGTCACCCAGGCTGGAGTGCAGTGGCATGATCTCAGCTCACTGCAACCTCTGCCTCCTGGGTTCAAGCGATTCTCCTGCCTCAGCCTCCCGAGTAACTGGGATTACAGGCGTGCACCACCATGCCTGGCTAATTTTTTTGTATTTTTTAGTAGAGACAGAGTTTCACCATGTTAGCCAGGATGGTCTCGATCACCTGACCTCATGATCTGCCTGCCTCAGCCTCCCAAAGTGCTATTTTTAAATATTTGAAATGTGTAATTGTTTAAATAATTTAAAAATTTAGCTTTACTATACATAGATATGTCATATTTTCATTTTTTAATTAAAAATTTTTAATAGCTTTTGAATAAAATTATTTTAGGCCCACCAACATAATAAACCAATTTATTTGTCAATAAATGCACATATAATTTATATTGTATAAATATGTATATATATAAAACATTTACTACCTATGTATAGATAATTTAAATTAAAACAACACCTCAAATGTTTAGCTGCTGCATCAGCAGGAAGTGGAGCCTCCAAGGAGGTTAAATAACTTATTCAAGTCCTCATGATGGATAAGTGGTATAATATTTTGGCATTTTATTGAGTGCTTTTTTTGTATTATCAAATCTTTAAAAAATATTATTAATAAAATTTTATTAATGTAGCTAAAGAGTCCCATTCCTCTCTCTGTCCTTCCCAAATTTCTGCCATTTTAAAATATCTTGTTCTCTATTGTTTTCAAATTAAATATTGAGCAAAATTAAAATAACATTATAAAGGATTGTTGGGGTACCAAGATGAACCCTTCACTGTACACCCCGGCAGTAAGCATGACCTTCAGGAGTTGATGTTACCTCTGCAGCCCGGAGGCTTCAGACTTTATACTTATGGATAATGTAAATCCTATCCATCCTATGCATCTCCCCGCTCCCTAAAGGTATTTTGTACTCACCAGTCTCTGAATTGGCCACTGAGTTCTACTGCAAGTGCTGATCTGTCGACAATGGAGTGTATGGCTTTGCATGTTTGTGCTACACACATTTGTGTTACTCACCTTTGCCTGTGTGTAGCGGCATCCTGTGGTGTGTGGAGGGAGTCTCAATGCCACTTTAACCAGACGATTATGTTCCTGGGGACCAGCGTGTTGTACTGGGCTGTGGCTTGTTCATCTCCACTCACCAGTGGGGTTCCAGGATTCCATAACATGACTATGGCAGAATTGAATATGTCCATTCTCGTCGATGGACACCGACCGATTCTAGGTTTGTTCTGTTTGGTTTCCTCTGGGGAACCGTGCGCCTGTGGTCACTTGTGAGAAGGTTCCTGTAGGGTGTACCCCTAAGTGTCCAAGTGCCGTGTGACCCTGTGTGTGTTGTGAACGTCACTAGACCATGACAACCTGTTTTCCAGATGGTTGTGTCAACACGACGCTCGCCGGCAGAGCACAGGTCACTGTTGTCGCAGGTCCTAGGCAACACTCAATGTCATCAGATCTTATTTTTTTTCAAATTTAGTTGGGGTGAAATGACATATTATTGTTTTAACTTACATTCTCATTCTTTTTAATGACGCAGAATTTTTTTTCGAATGTCCGTTGTTCATTCCGATGAGTCTTTCTAAAACAGCTCTGTTCCCATCCTGTCCTCCCCATCTCCCCCAGAAGTCCCAGTGGCTTTCAATTGTTTCATAAATTTGTCCCTAACATTAGGGGACCCCTTTCCATTCAGACTCCCGTCTTACTCTTCTCCTTACACCTCAGAAGATGATTATGGCCCCTTCACTGGCCATTCCCATGTGCCGTGTGCTCTCTCTTTCCTCCAAGCCTTTGCTTGTAGTATTCACTCTTCCAGAAACACCCTTCCTGAGGGCTTCCCCTGCACCCCTTCAGCCTCAGCTCAGGGCTCACCTTCTCCAGAAAGCTTTCCCTGAACCTCCCTCGGCTCTCCCCTCTGGTTGAGGCAGCTCTCTGTGTTATGATGGGCTGCTTCTCCGTGTCCCCGCTCTGGACTGAGCTCATGGGGGAGGGACCCCATCTGACTCACCCATGGTGCCCAAGGTGGTTCCCCAGCAGACATGCAGGGAGTCATTCTTCCCATTTTAATGTGATTTTGCAGTTTTGCCGAGGCAGGTTCTGAGGCTTTGAGTGACCACTGACTTTTTAAGTGCAACTGGCTCACTGGACAGGATATAAACTGGGGCCTGTGACCTCCATCAGGAGGCTGGTGGCTAGGCTGGCGGTCCTGCCGAGCTCCGGGAATCATCCCCACTCCCTGATTTCTGGGTTCTCACCAAGCCCTCGGACTCTGCATCCAGCTCTTCTCTGCTTCCCCAGCACTTCCAGACTCTCCCCTCTGGCTTCCCAGCGTGGGCCATAGCTGCTGGGGTCCGTTGAGAACAGAATCCATGTCCATCTGGTTCACAGTTGTCTTCTGATGCCTGCCTCGTGCCAGAGACACAGTCAGTAGTCAGTGCTCAAGCAACATGTGCTGCAAGCTTTACACAAGCTTCCTCGATTCTGGCGATTCAGAGAGAAAATTAAGGTGCACTCCCTCTCCCCACCTTCATCGAAAGCAGCGATCTCACACCAGGCGGATCCTAACAGAGGCGTGGGCATTGATAGACCTTGGCAGATTCCCCCAGCTGGGGCTGGAGATGTGCGAAGCCCAGGGAGGGGGGATTGCACTGGGAGCCCATAGATGGAGGAGGGGGCGTCAGTGGATACACAGTCAGAAATGGTCTCCCCACCCCAGCCCCTTTTCCTCAGCAACCAGGAATGTTTACCTGAACTTCTCACAGGTGCCTCTGCAAGCAGAGAGAGTGTCCAGGAGACCCCAGCCTCCCCTTGTATCCACCTGCAGGGGTGGAGCTCTGTGGAAGCTGTGCCTGTGCACATTCCTCCCTACTCCATCACTCACCACCAGAGAGGAACCACAAAAGGAAGCCCTGGAGATCTGGAGCGAAGACATTTCATCATGTCCCCCTGCGTGCCAGCTCACATCTTATTGAAAAATTCTAATCATCTCAGAAGGCTCATTTCCATTTGTGGCGCAAATGGAGCCTGTCCTCAAGGGGATGGATGTGCATGCAGCCAGTGCAAAGCGAGATGTTCCACAGGCTGGCAACACAATGTGCTGCCCGGCGCTGGTGGGCCTCACAGTCTTGGATACAAAGAGCAGCCGCAGGGCTGGGGAGGAGCCTTCTGTTCATGGGGGTGAGCAGGGAGGCAGGAAGGAGAATTTGAGGTACACATGACCTTTGAGTTCTGGCAAAGGACTCCCCAACTATGCCTCACCAATCTGTGACAGGGACTGAGCCCTCACACCCCAGCTCAGGCAACGCACACACACATACATACAAATATACACATATGCACACACACACACCCATAAACATGCACACATGCACGCACACACACCCATACACACATAAATACATGCATGCATATGCACACACACATGCACACACACATACACGTCCATACACACCTAAATACACGCATGCATATGCATACACACATGCACACATGTACACACACATGCACATATACACAATACACACATACACACAGTACACATACAGATTCATACACGCACATATATGCACACACATACACATACATGGATACACACATACACATACAAAGATGTGCACACACACATACACATGCATACATACATGTGCAGACACACACACACGGTGCCCTACAATTCAGGGCAGGGGGAGGCAGGTGCCCTTGAGAGTGGCTCGGCTGCAGCTGTGGTTGTCCTCCAGGCTGGTGGTTCCCTGACCTGGCTGAGCCTCAGAATCACCTGAAGCTTTTAACAAGGTGTCCCCAGCCCTCCATCTGAGATTCTGACTCCTAGGGCCTGAGACATGTCCAGGGATCTTGATTTGCTCTACCTCTCTGAGCTCTTGACCACTCTACCTCCAGATAGTAAAAGCCTTCAAGGCATAGATCAAATAGCCTCTCTACTGTTGGGCCCTCCTTGACTCCCGGAAGGTTAATTGTCCTCTCTTCTGGGTTCTCATGGTTTCTTTTTCATTCTCCGACACAGCATTTGTCTTAGAATCCTGTGTGTGTGCCTTTCCCTAGGCTGTGAGCTCTGCAGGGGCACCATTATGTCAGATTTCCCTCTGATCCCAGCAGGGCTTCCTGACCTTCAGAGTGTGGGTCTCACTTGATCTGAACCCACCTTCACAGCTCTAAGGGAGTCAGTCCAGCTCCTGCCTAGTTATTTCTGCCAGTTTTTATGCCACACTGGCTCTGTGCTTCTAGTATCTGCATTTAATGCTTAGATTCTACCAGAGCTAGTTTGGGCACAAAGTTTCCAGATGCTCCTCACATCCAAGTATTTGTGAAGAATTTGAAGGCTGGGGGTTTGTGGGAGGGGTCACATTGCAAGCTCCAGTGTCGGCCATCTTGCTCGCGACAGCCTCCTTTTCTGGCTCCTTCCTGGTGCAGCTTGGAAATCCTTCCCTTATCTCTCACAGAGAAGTTCCGCCCATCTTCAGAGCACTGAGAGCTCAGCTTCTGCCCCAGGAATCTCTTCTGAAAAAACGCAAAGGAATTCTGGTGACTGGATTTGATCCACTTGGCTACTTTGCAGGAGGTAGAGACATGTATCAGCTCCCACTAGGAGTGTTCTGCTCAGCATGAAGTGCCACCTATTTAGGGAGAAGAGGAGTCGAAGATGTTTCCTTGAGGGAAGTTCACAATCACAGAAAGAGACCAAGAGGAGGCTGAGAGGGGATGGCAACCTGTGCTAGAGGTAGATAAAATAGTTGCTCTGGAAGTTTCCCAGAGTGACCACACCCTGAACCAAGAGGTTAGACTGAAGCCAGCTGTTTTCTTCAACCAAGAGGTTAGACTGTGGCCAGGTGTCTCCTTCAACCAAGAGGTTAGACTGTGGCCAGGTGTCTCCTCCACCGAGAGGTTAAACCATGGCCAGCTGTTTCATTCAACCCAGAGGTTAGACTGCAGCCAGGTGTCTCCTTCAACCAAGAGGTTAGACCGTGGCGAAGTGTCTCCTTCAGCTGAGAGACCACAGCCAGTGCCTCCTTCAACCAATAGGTTAGACCACGGCCAGGTGCCTCCTTCAACCGAGAGGTTAGACTGCAGCCAGGTGTTTCATTCAACCAAGAGGTTAGACCATGGCCAAGTATCTCCTTCAATCAAGAGGCTGGACAACAGCCAGGTGTTTCCTTGTGGAAATCATTTGCAGGTGGCAAATGGTTTTTGGGTCATGAAATCAGCCCAGTGTGTCACAGCCAGGTGAACTGTTTACTTTTTAATGACATAGAATACAAATCATAAGAATAAATCTTGCACAGTATGTATTTTTAGTGGAACTTTTATTCTAGTTGTGAGTATGTGTGTGTATGTATGTGCTATGTCAGAATGTGTATGTCCCCTCTTCTCAAATTCCCATGTTAAAATCCTAACCCCAAGGTGGTGGTATTAGCAGGTGGGACCTGTGGGAGGTGATTAGGTCATAGGGGTGGAGCCCTCATGAATGAGATTAGTGTCCTTATAAAAGAGACTACAGAGAGATTGTTCACCCCTCTGCTATATGACGATATATCTAGAAGAGGGCTGTCTACGAACAAGGAAGCAGACCTTCACAAGACACTGAATCTGCTGGCTCCTTGGACCTTGGGTCAGCAGGGTTGAATTCATTTCTGGATGCTCCAGCAGAGAACCCATTTCCTTGCCTATTTCAGTTTTTAGAGACCATCATGTTTCCTGGCTAATGGCCTCCTCCTCCCTCTTCCACTTGGTCTGCGTACCATCTTCCCTCCTCTCTGACCCCCTCTCCCTTGCAAATGCATTGAGCCACCTGGGATGATCCAAGATCATCTCTCCAGTTTAAGACCTGAATCCTTAACCACATCTGCAAAGTCCCTTTTGCTACATAATGTCACATTCACAGGTTTTGGGGATTAGGGTGTGGACATTGTTGGAGACCATTATTCAGTCTAGCATAGTCACGGGCAAAAAAAAAATAGAAGCCACTAGGCTAGATGGTCCTGAAAGTCCTTTCAAACCTAGGGCTGCTGTGGCCTCAGGTCACGTAACTAGAACCCACATGAACCAATTAGCAGGCCTCTGGCATCTGCATCAGCCATCCTGTTTCCTGCCCTGTCATTCAAATTCAGTCAGCATCACTGAAACCTGCTGGGTTCAACAATCGATTAGCTGATCATTAAAAAGTCAGGAAACAACAGGTGCTGGAGAGGATGTGGAGAAATAGGAATATTTTACACTGTTGGTGGGACTGTAAACTGGTTCAACCATTGTGGAAGACAGTGTGGTAATTCCTCAAGGATCTAGAACTAGAAATACCATTTGACCCAGCCATCCCATTACTGGGTATATACCCAAAGGATTATAAATCATGCTGCTATAAAGACACATGCACACGTATGTTTGTTGTGGCACTATTCACAATAGCAAAGACTTGGAACCAACTCAAATGTCCATCAGTGATAGACTGGATTAAGATAATGTGGCACATATATACCATGGAATACTATGCAGCCATAAAAAAGGATGAGTTCATGTCCTTTGTAGGGACGTGGATGAAGCTGGAAACCATCATTCTCAGCAAACTATCGCAAGGACAAAAACCCACACACTGCATGTTCTCACTCATAGGTGGGAATTGAACAATGAGAACACTTGGACACAGGGAGGGGAACATCACACACCAGGGCCTGTTGTGGGGTGGGGGGAGGGGGGAGAGATAGCATTAGGAGATATATCTAATGTGAATGACGAGTTAATGGGTGCAGCACACCAACGTGGCACATGTATACATATGTAACAAACCTGCACCTTGTGCACGTGTACCCTAGAACTTAAAGTATATATAAAAACAAACAAAAACAAAAACAAACAAAACCAATTGATTAGCCCTAAAACCCAGGAGTCTCAGAGCTTCAAGGGCAGTTTCCTTGTTTACATCTGAAGAAAATCATGCCAGAAGTTGGGGAGCCTTGTCTCATGTTGATTCAAGCAGTGGGGGCAGGGTGGGACCAGAGTCCAGTGGCCCTGACTCCCAGACCAGTGTGAAGACAGGTAGAGTGATGGATGTGCTAGAAGCTGATGTGTGTCCAGGCACTTGCCAGCTAGATGACATCGACCAGGTTGCTTCTGAGAACTTCAGTTCTGCATCTCTTAATGGGAATAATGATGCAGATTATGAAGAATGATAATGAGATTCCTTGAGGGAATGCATACAAAGTGACTGTCCTAAAGGAGGTGCTGGAAAAGTGTGACTTCCTCTGGAAGCTTGAACGATCAGCCTCGTTTCTTTGTCCTTCCCTTCAACTACACCCTTACCGTGCTTCATCACTGGTGCCCTCCTCCCATCTTGACTTGGGACTTGGCCAGGTGACCTGTCTTGGCCAGTGACTTGCAGGTGCAAGGGACAGTGTGCTGGTTCCAAGCCTAGGCCTGAAGAGGCTCCATGTGCTTCTGCTGGTCTTCTTGGGCCTCTCCCATTACCCAAGAAGAGCATGCCCCAGCCAGCCCCCCGATCTCTGGAGGAGCATGAGAGGGAGAGGAGCAGCAGAGCTGCCTGGCCACCCCCACTCCTGCTTCTCGAAAAACAACCACTGAGCCTAGCCCAGCCTAGGCCAGATGATCCAAGCTGACCTGCACACACAGGAGCAAACCCAGCTAAGATCAGCAGACATCCAGCCCACCTGCAGATGCCTGATAAATCAATGCTTACATTGTACACACCCTACTGAGTTTTGGGTTATTATACGCTGGTAGCTAACCACTACAGCCCCCTTTCCTGTTTAGTTTTCTTTTAACTGAGAAGATATCATACTATTGTGATATTTTAGAATCCATTGTATCAAAGCCCCTTCTAGTCCCTGGTGAGAACACCGTGTGCATTCATCCTGAGTGGCTGCTTGGTTAGCCAGGGGACTTTGGTGGCTGGGACTGTGTCTCTCTCATCTCTCTGCCCGCAGCACATAGTGGGGTTCACTCAATATCTGCTCAGTCAGTGAGCCTTGGGCCTGAGCAACTCATTTTCACCTCTAATTTAATTACTGATTGATTCTGTCTTGATGGCAGAGAGGTCTCTGTGAAATGCAATTACTTCCTTGTACCCAAGCATTTTGATTGTCTAATGATTGTCTCCAACAGGAGCCAAGCATCCATCCTGCTTTTAATTAAACTAATCTGTTAGAGAGGGAGCCAGCCGGCCTCCCAGCCCAGCCAACTTCAGCCACACCTCGGGGAGAGAGCTCTTCTACTCCCTGGATATAGGCTTTGGGATCCGAGACCCTGCATGGTATTTATGAACCATGATATCATCCTGGAATGGACATCCCAACGAGATGGGTCAGCTTGATCGCCCTGTCTCTAACACACCATTTGCTGCCCTTAAAAATGTGCTGCTCTCACCAAGCTCTTGCTCCCGGAACTCAGAAGTCGGGGGACCCATCGTGTGGCATTAAGGGCAGGAGCAGAGATCAGGATCAAGCCTGGGTCAAGAGCACTGGCACTGGGGTCAAAGTTTAGTTTCTTGCCTTGTCCTTTAACAGCCGTGCATCATGGGCAAGTTGTCAATTTCTCAGCCACAGTTTCTTCATCCGTAACATGGGTGACATCCGTAACTGATAAAAGTCTGCAATTTCTTAGCCATACCCTCAGGGCAGCTAGTTTTCACATTTCAGCCTTTTTCTTTTGGATTTTGCAGGTAATACAGTGTGTATTACCATTGTTAACCTTGCTAGAAGGGTCTGGGGTAAATACCCCCAAATCGAATTGGATATTTTAGCATCAAAACTTGACTAGTCAAACGAAGGCAGTAAACAAAGACTATAAATGGTCTCATGAGAATTCATGATAGATATTGGTGCCCAATGACTTGTGGAAACTCTTTTGGATTTTAGAACTCTTTGGACTTTGGAATTATGGAGTGAGCTAATGGATGCATACCTAATTCAGCAGGTTTTCGTGAGGGTGAAATGAGACCCTGTGAGCACATTGTTAAGCACAGCGCCAGGCACATCATCAGTGTTCAATTAATGATCATTTCCACTCATCCATTCACTCTGAATCCCCATGGATGAGGTGGGGATCCACACTAGTGAGGAGCTGCAGAGATACAGAGACTCCCTCCTCCAGAGTGCATGGCTTTGGGACGGAGATAAAAGGCCACAGACACCAGTAACTACCCCAGGGAGAGGAAGTGCACACACCAGCTTTTCACAGAAGACAGAATCAAATGGCTGATGGACGTTTGGACAGATGCACATCCTCGCTGGTAATTAAAAGAAACCAAATGAAAACACAATGAGATTTTTGTAGCTATCAGTTTTGTAAAAGCTTTACATATTGCTAATGTCCAGGACTAGTAACAGTATTAGCAAGTAGTTGCTCTTATAAATTTGGTGAGAATGGAAACCAATCACATAGTGTATGAGTCTGTTTTCACATTGCTGATAAAGACATACCTGAGACTGGGCAATTTACAAAAGAAACAGGTTTAATTGGACTTACAGTTCCATGTGGCTGGGGGAGCCTCACAATCATGGCAGAAGGCAAGGAGGAGCAAGTCACATCTTATGTGGATGGTGGCAGGCAAGGAGAGGAGCTTGTGCAGAAAACTCCCCCTTATAGTAACCAGCAGATCTCATGAGACTTACTCACTATCACGAGAACAGCACGGGAAAGACCTGCCCCCATGACGCAATTACCTTCCATCAGGTCCCTATCACAACACGTGAGAATTCAAGATGAGATTTGGGTGGGGACACAGCCAAACTGTATCACATAGACACAGCTATTTTTTGAATAGATAACATTTTTACTTTATATAAAAACTCAACATGTATGTACATTTTTTTTCTTTTTTTTTTCTTTTGAGACAGGGTCTCACTCTGTTGCTCAGGCTGGAGTGCAGTGGCACGATTTTGGCTCACTACAGCCTTTGCCTCCCGAGCTCAAGCGATCCTCCCATCTCAGCCTCCCTAGTAGCTGGGACTACAGATGTGTGCCGCCATACCAGGCTAATGTTTAAAGTTTTTTTGTAGAGGCAGGGTTTCGCCATGTTGCCCAGGCTGGTCTCCAACTCCTGGGCTCAAGTGATCTGCCCACTTTGGCCTCCCAAAGTTCTGGGATTACAGGCATGAGCCACTGCTCCTGGAAGTACATATTTTTGACTCTACAACCCTAGTTTTGGGACTCTACCCTGCAGAAACAGTAGCCAAAGACGGTAAGAATGTATGTTCCAGGTCAGCAATTGCAGCATTGTTTGTAATTCTGAAATATTGGAAGTGACTGAAATATTTATTGATAAGGGGATGGGTACAGATACTTAGCTGCATTCATACTGTGGACATTATACAGATTTTAGAAAGAATAAGGTAGATTTACACTCGAATGAAGTAACATGAACCCAGTCTTCTCACCTGTAAAATTAGGGCTGTCTTACCTCACAGGGTCATATGAACAGTGGATAAAAGACTACAAAGCATTTGACACAGTGTCTGACACAAATAAAATAATCAATAGCTGTTAGCTGTTAGTTGCTGCTTTTTAAAAATCATGAACTCATAAGTGCTGGCTTCAGTGAAAACTCACTGCTTGTTGGGTCCTCTCTATTTGCTACCATTAGCTGTTACAAAGTTGCCTGGCAGAGCAATAGGACCAGGCAGATATTTGGAAGGCATGGATTCCATAGTGGGCTCTGTGATCACCTTCTTGATTTCCAAGCCACTCAACCTCCCTGAATCCTGGCTTCCTTATCTATCAGTCAGCTCAGGCTAAGTTCTGCTGCAGTAACAAACATCCCTTAGGATCTCGCTCCTGTGACACATTCATCAGGAGTGGCTCTTGCTGTGCCCCCTGACACCCAGGCTGGGGCGCAGCCCGATTTGGGACATTGCTGGTGTCAAGGCACATGGAAAAAGAACAGAACCATGCAATGCCTCGTAATGCTTCTTTGGGAAGCAGTACATGTCAATGCTGCTCAGATCTTCATGGCCAAAATGAGTCACCTGGCCAAGCCCAGTGTCAGTGGAAAACAGAGGGCCTCCTGTGTAGGGATGGCCTATGTAGGAAGCATAATAAAGGCCTGAGAATAACACCATTTACCACTCCAAGTTGGTCAAAGTGTGTACAGTCGCCCTTTGGAATGCACAGGGGGTTGCTTCTAGGATATGTCCCTCTGATCCCTGCTGCTTCAGGTGCCAAAATCCAACAATCCTCAAGTCCCTTATATAAAATGGTGTAGTATCTGCATTTAACCAACACATATTCTCCCATATATTTATGTATTTATTTTTGTTTGTTTGTTTGTTTGTTTTTGAGATGGAGTCTTGCCCTGTTGCCCAGGCTGGAGTGCGGTAGTGCGAAGGAAGGTCCTCTTCCTTCCTCCTGGCACTGGGTCCCCTCCTTGGCAGACCCCTTCCTCATGTGTCATCCTGCACTTATGCAGACTGTCCCATATGCATCTGTCTTCATGGACTGTCAGCTCCTTGGTGACAGCGCTCCGCCATCTGGGGTTACCCTCATCGCTCCTGCGTAGAGTCAAGCTCCACAAATGTCTGTTGAGTTAAGGAACGGATGAGCGAATGAGCACATTCCTGGATGCCCCTTCCCACTTTATTTATCTGTGAATCCCATTTGTTCTTTAAACCCAGGCATCACTGTCTCTAGGGAGCCCTCCATGATTGCTCCCAGGGCTGCGTGAGGTGCTCATGTAGTCCTTGAGGTCCCCCTTGGCATCATGCACTTGCCTGAGGCTGTTCTCTGCTTCCCTGCCTCGAGGGCAGCATCAGCTTTGGTCCCTGTCATTGTGTCTGCCCTGCTGAGGCCAGGGCCAGCACATAGCAGTTGCTTCGGGTGTGTTTATGGGGAAATTCATTATCATTAGACTCATACTTAGGGAGTGCCTGGGATACAGCTGTGACCAAAGAGGCCTGCCCTCGAGGTCCTTTCTCTCTAATGGGTGTACAAATTGCTGCTGCCCACATTGCACCAGCTGGGCCTCTCCCAGAGTGTGACATCAGCAGACACTGTCCAAACACAGATAGGACTTCTGTTTTGTCACTGTCTGGTTGTAAAAGCTGCATTTTGATATGTTTCTACCGGCTGAAGATTTAAGATAATCTGCCAGCTCTGCGTCTAAGTGACTGTGAAGGTTTAAATAATGCTGTTTAATAGACAGTGGCTGTTGGAGCCTTGGTGTTTGCCAGGAGCCAGTGATTCTCCCTGCAAGTCCCCATGCTGCTATCTGAAAACCTCCCTCAGGTCCACCCTGGCAGCCCCTGAGAGGCCAGCGAGGCTCTGGCCTCCTTTCCTGCGAGTGACCAAGGAAATGGACTGAACTTTGCTCCCCCTTGCCTTAGTCCAGTCCTTCCCTCCACCCACACAGGGAAGCAGTCTCAGGAGTGGCCATTATGATCTAGAAACAGCCCTGGATCTCCTTGCCCTATTCATCTCCTCTCTTCCAAGCATTTCTTTCTGCCTTTGAAGTCAGCACGGTTTTGAACTACACTTTGAGATGCTTCCAAGGAACGGGCAAATTGGGCAAATTTCAATATCCCCTGTCTACAGTTTTTCAGAACCAAATCCTTAAAGGAGTGCTAACTTTAGTTCTCCTCATGAGGTGACAGAACTACTGTCACCAGAAGGGGTTCAACCTCAGCAAGGACATCAGACCAGGCAGTTGTGCCCAAACTTTGGCTGAAATGAAGCAAATAGGAGCTGGAGACAGGCTTTGGCAAAACAGCAGGACTTGCTCTTCCGAATGGATCCCTGGCTGGAAGACCTGTGCCAGCAGCCCAAGGCGTCGGTTTCCTCACTGTCAAGGTTGGTGGATGAGATGATCTTGAAGGCCTCTCTTACCCTGACAGTCTATGATGTATGGCTCCCATAAAAGAAGTGGTTGAACTGAGTTGGGTTTGATTATATTACAACCAGGGATTCCAGGAATAGGCAGGAAAGATCCTGCCCTCCCTCCTAGTAAGGAACCCAACGGAGCTGGCAATGCCAGGAGAAGTGGGCTTGCTTGCCAACGGGAGCTGTAGGCCAGCAGAAGTCAGCCATAAAGGCCTAGGCAGAGTCTCAAGCCAACACTGGCTGGAGGGGTTCCTTCACTTATTTGCCCATAAACCCTGACCTTAGTCTCAGGACTCAGCACCCCCAGGGGTGGTGAGGGTTCTATGGCTCTTATGCCCAGGTGGGCCTGTTGGAGAGTGGGAGGGGAGGGCCTGAGCAGGAGTTACCTAGAGATTCGTCTTTGCTCAGCAGAAGGCATCATTTGAAACAGGTGCATCTACCTGTGCAGAACCAGTGGGATCTAGTCCCCACCAAACATCAGGATTGTCAAGGAGCTTTTAAAAAAAAAAATCAATCATTCAGTTGTACAAGTCCCTGGATCAAAATCCCTGCATTTGGGTGTGGAGATCTGAGTCTTTTGAAGTCCTTCTATGAGGGGTGTGGTGCCGGGTGTTGTTCCTCCATCTTGTCCACCACTTGGCAGTCAGCACAGTGAGTTAACTGAGAATTCATCCTCCATCACGCCCTGTCTTGGGTGCCAGGGACGTGGAGATTGAAGCCCTACCTTGGGCATCTTACAGTGGTGTGTGGGTGACAGGAACACAGCGGGCATGATAGAGGAACCCCAAGGAGGTGGACATCTGGGGTCTCACAAAGACTATCTTTTGGACCAACGCAGGCTTCTCCTACCCCTCTCTCAAGGAGGCCTCAGCCTTGGCCTCTAGAAACTACAGACTCTCAGCACAACTGATTTCATCCACCTCCCAACACTGAGAGACTGGAACAGACCCTGGCATTTTTTCTCACAGTTCAAGGCTGCCTCCCCTGCTTAAGTTCATCCCTGGGAAAGTTCAAGGCTGCCAGAATAATTTACTGTCTGTTCCAGCCAACACCTTAAGAGAGGGCCCCCGTGTCCCAGTTGTGGTGGGAGGGCAGGCGCCTGGCTTTGATAAGTCCTAGGTAGCAATCACAATGGCCTAAGCACACTGACTACCCCTCCTGCTTTTGTAATCTCCCCTTCCCTGACTCTGCTGGAGCCCCACACACTCCCTCTCCAGCTCCCTCATTCTCCCTTTAAAACGCTCTGTCACCTCTGCATGAACTCAGTTTTGCAGTGGACTCTGTTCCCTGCTGCAGTGGCCTGAGACCTGCCCTTATTGTCTTTAGCTAGTGACCGGCATTGTTTAATCTCTGACAGGGCTCAGGGAGACTTCTCAGAGGAGGGGGCTTTTGGACTGGGCCCGGTGTTGGAGGTGGGTGGCAGGTTCGAGTCCTGTCAATGGAGGCTGTGCACAGTTTCCTAAAGAGGCACTGGTTTTCCTAGGCAGTGAAGCCTTTGTCTCCTCAGGATGGAAACTCATCCCTTTTCTAGATCTGCCTGTAAATTCACATTCTTACAAGGCTAGAAAGATTTTCAAGCTCAGTAGGGTCAACCAGCCTCCAGGCACAGCCATCTTGGTCTTTGTTTTGTTGTTTCTTCCTTCCCCTATAAATTCAGGCAAGGGTGATTCTCCCATGTCCACGTGGTGTCAGGGTCATTGTCTGGGACCCAGTCCTTTCCCAAGCAAGCAGCAGGGAGGCACTGTTAGGGAAGCCTTAGGCATCTGTTGTTTTTGCTTGTCCACCTTTCCGGTAACAGGATTCCTTTCTTTGGGACCCACAATTCCCACTCCCCATGGTTCAGGTAGGGATGACCCTGCGCCCCATTCCAGCTTCAGAATGAGCAAGAGACTCAGGACTGGCCAATCAGAGGCCAGGGTAATTGGCTGGGGGGTAGGGGGGGGACAAGACTCCAGGACTGGCCAATCAGAGGCCACAGTAATTAGCTGAGAGAAGGGCATGTGACTCCAGAACTGGCCAATTAGAGTCCACAGTAATTGGCTGAGAGAAGGGCACATGACTCTAGAACTGGCCAATCAGACTTCATAGTAATTGGTTAGGGGAAGGGCACATGATTCCAGAACTGGCCAATCAACCTCTACAGTAATTGGCTGCGGGAAGGGGGCGTGACTCCAGGCAGGCTGATCAGAGTCTTCCCTGGAACTTTTTGCTGGAATAATTAGGAAAGAAGCATTTTAAAAAGCGTTCATGTGAGTCATCATTTATTGAACACTGGCTGTGTGCCAGGCATTGGGCTAGGCAGGCGCCTGCGTTGTTTTTAATCCTTACCAGTACTGTGCCTGGCAGTCACGGTTCTGTCTTTGTCGTGGCCAAGGAGCATGAGGCTTAGGGAGGCTCGAACTCGCCTAAGATCTCCAGACAATGCCGTGCAAAGCCAGGGTGCGACCAGTCCGTCTGGTTCCATGTGGCTTTTAGACTTAGTAAGTAATGCGGCATTCCATGGTGATAGCACATCAGTGCCCAGATGGGAAAGGCCAGCGGCATGTACCTATAACATAAATGCCTTCAATAGCTACATTTGGAATCTGAAAAACTCTCTGAAGCTCATTTTGAGATATTGATCCTAAGAAACGAATTGGAAGTCCACACAAAGACTCGGGAAGACCACTGTTTATTCCTCACAGCGTAATTTGTGATAGTGAGTAATTAGAGTCTGTCTAAATGTCCTATAATGAGGAAATGATTAAGTAAATTATGCTCCGAAGATGCTTACAATGAGTTTGTAATAACATGGGGAAAAGTCTGGCATATTAAGTGAGAAAAACAACAAGGCAAAAAATCATATCTGGAGGCTGATCTCAACCATCTCAACCATATAAAATTATAGTTTGAAAGATAGACACTTTTTTGTTTTGGAGATATGATCGCATTCTATCGCCTAGGCTAGGGTGCAGTGGCATGATCATAGCTTACTTCAGTCTGCATTTCCCAGCCTCAAGTGATCTTCTCACCTCAGCCTCCCTGGGACTATAGGTGCACACCACTATGCCTGGCCATTTAAAAAAGTTTGGTAGAGATGGGGTCTCTGTTGCCCAGGCTGGTCTTGAACTCTTGGCCTGAAATAATTCATCTACCTCGGCCTCCTAAGTGCTGGGATTACCAGGAGTGAGCCACGTTGCCTGGCCTAGACACATTTTTTTTTTTTTTTTTGAGATCGAGTCTTGCTCTGTTGTCAAGGCTGGAGTACAGTGGTATGATCTCAGCTCACTGCAACTTCTGCCTCCTTGGCCCAAGCAATCCTCCCACCTCAGCTTCCTGAGTAGCTGGGACTCCAGGCATGCCCACCACACGCAGCTAATTTTTGTATTTTTTGTAGAGGTGGGGTTTTACTATGTTGCCCAGGCTGGCTCGATCTCCTGGGCTCAAGCAGTCCTCCCACCTCAGCCTCCTACGGTATTAGGATTACAGGTGTGAGCCACCATGCCTGGCTAGACACATTTTTTTTTTTAATACTGAAATACTGTATGCCACTGTTTCTGTAGTTATTTTCTCTGGGTAGTGACATATATGCTTGCTTTTTATTCTTAGTTTCCACATTTTCCAAAATATGCAAGTAATGTATTTAGAATCAGTGTAAAAGGAAAACACATTAGAAATTCCGGTAAGGAAAATGTCAACAAGATTTTCATTCTCAACGGAGCTGACAATGTTCGCCCCCACCTTCCCTGCCTGGTGTCAGATGAACAGTAAAGGACAGTTTGCTCCAGAGCGAGGTTTTCTCTTTACAATGCGTTTTCCTGTATATGATCTCATCTGGGATTCATGACCTCTGTGAATGGTAAACAAGGTAAATCCTTTTTCTTACCCTTATTTTTATTTCATTTTGTTTGTTATTGTCATATATACCATGCATTCAAAAGTGCATAAAATAAAATACAGTTTATAGGAAAGTAACAAGACAAATGCCCATGCCTCCACTCCCTAGTATGAGACATAGAATATTCTAGAAACTTAGAGGCCTCTGTGTTCTCCTTCCTAATTCTATCTCCCTCCCTCCATGCTCCTACCTGGGCCCAGCCCTAATATTGGTGGGACTTGAGACAAGATTACAAACATAAGTCCACATATCTTATGTCTAAATATTTATAAATTATAAATCAAGTAAAATTGTTGAATAAAAAGTATTCCAGCCTCTTGCTTTGACAAATATACCTTCATAATAACAAAATAGAGATGTATGAAATTATGGCTTTTTGATAGCTGAAAGCTGGCAAAATATCATAGGAAACTGAATTTAATCATTATTGCATATACCTGGGTGTTCTGTTGCTGGGCCAATAATGCTTGGATGAATAAAAGTACAAAAACATGCATAACTTATAGATTATTATGCTTATTCTAAAAAAATTTTTCTTGCCTTTATTTCATCAATATCGCTAATCATGCAATTATAATTAAGATTTTCACATAATTTGACAATAATGACAAATTAGGCAGCCTTTCTTGAGGCCTTGTAGCTCTTAGCTAGTTTTCAAAACTTTGGAGAAACTTTGTTCTGCAGAGGGAGTAACAGCTGGGATTGTCAATAACATTCTTAGAGGAATATTTTGATTTGGAAATAAACCAAATTTCTTTGAAATTTTACTTACAGTGTTTAATTGTTGTAATGGGGTTGCATCTTGTATATGATCATTAGCAAAGAAAAATTCATAAAATATTTTAATTTCATCATACAAAACCACTATCACTTATGTCAGAGCTTTCATTGTGTTTTACTGTCAATCTCAAGACTCCTACAATCGTGCAAAGAACCAGTATCATGTTTCATTCATGTTACATCTAATTCTATATAGACATAAGTGTAAAAGTAGTAAGCGTTGTCTAACATAGAAAGATGTCTCTCAGCTTCTAAATGCACCTGTTCTATGTATCACCCAACGTACGAGGAACTTCAGAACCACGGAATGGTACCCAAGGAGCAGCGAGAGCGCAGACTCTCAGCATGACTTGGAAAGAGGTCTTCCTAACAGCAAAATGGAAAAGATACGTAAATGATGGGCTGGGTGGGAGCTGCTGCACCCTGATACTGGCGGGAGGAACTTGGCAATGGCCCGGCTTTTCTCCCACCCAAGGGTTTTCTCCTCTCAAACCCTCTATCTCCAAAGCAGCATCTGCCTGAGACAGATGCTGGCACAGCCCACTCGCCTTGGCATTCTGGGTTCAAGGTCATACAGAAGGTCAGGTGGGGATGTACTTTCTGGGGTGTTTAGAACTTGTCAGGGGCCAGGCCTGGATTGGAGTGAGAGGGGCACCCAGGGGTTCCTTAATAACTGACTTTTGTGGTGTTTTTATAGTATCCAGTGCCCTAAAGTGCCCAGAGTAGGGGCCCTCCTCCTATAGAGGCAGGAGCCTGACTTGTCCCATCCTTCCTTTGCTTTTCTGGAGCCTCCAGGGATGCTCTGTTGTGCAGTAGTGAAGGCTCAAGGAACAAGCACAGAGGTGATGTGTAAGGAAGGGCAGTATCGTCCTTCAGATGAAGAGTTCCAGAGAAGACACAGCCAATGGCCTCTGAGCCACCGTCTGACTTCAGCTTCCCGAGGGTTCACGGGAGTCTCCCTTGGGGAAATCCGTGGGCAAGACCTGTTGGCGAAGCCAGGGCTCCCCACATTTGAGGCATCCATAAATGCCACAGGGTGGCCCTGTGCTTTGGTTTCTGGGATTCTAGACTACGTCATGGCAGAACCCCGCTGCAGAGTGTCTCATGTGCTCTCAGCTGGTCCTGCCAGCGGAAGATGGAGGGAAGGTTGGGGCTCTTTCTGTCTATGGCCAAGACAAGCCCTGGTCACAGCTGGGCAGTGTCGCCTGGGCACCATGTTCTTAGTTCAAAGGATGGTGTGGTGACCTGGAGCAGCGAGCGTGGTACAATCTATTAATATTCTAATATCCCAAGGTCTGTCTCTTGGGCCACACGCTCCCAGACTGGCCTTTGGCCGTCCATGGCTGGAGCACAGCTGTCAATCTTGGAGCTCCCCTCACCCCCTCCTGGGGCTCCTCCTCTTCCCTCCTGTGGGGTCATCTCACTCTAGGCCCTGCGCACCCCACAGCGGCTTCCTGCGTCTCATCTCTTCCCCTTTCTCCTTTCACACTTTTGTTTGGGCAGAGTCTCCCACCAGTATCTGCTTGAGGAATGACGTATGGAAGTTAAATTTTTGAGACCCTGTAGGTCTGAAACTCTCATTATTTTACTCTCATACTTGATTGTCAGTTTTCCCTAGCTGGGAATTATCTTCCCTGAGAATCTGGAAGGCTTTGCTTCGCCACGTTCTAGATTTCAGGGTTGTTGCTGAGATGGCTGAATCTGTTTTGCTTTCTGGTTCTTGTATGTGACCTGTTTTCTTCCCCCCTTTCTTTGCCCCATGTGGTAGGCTATAGAGACTTCTCGTGTCCTGGGCTCTGAAACGGTGAAGTGTCCTGGTGTGAGTTTGTTTTCTTCTGTGGTGTTTGGTACCTGAAGGCCTTTTCAGTTTGTCAATGGGTCATCTTCCTTCTTGGGGAATGTTGGTGCCTTTTTAATGATTTCTGTTCCTCCATTTTCTTTGGAACGCTTGGTTTTGTTTCCTGGATGCAATATCTTCTTTCTCTGAGAATATTAAAGATGTTTCTGGAAGTTATCTTCTCCTTCAGTCTTTGCTTCCTCCCGCTGAGCTTTGCTGTGTGTGTCTCAGGGTTTAATTTGTCTGTGTTCCGTGCTGGAGGCAGATGTCTCTTGATCCTTGGAGCTCAGCTGAGCATTAGGAATGGGGGTCTAAGAAGCTGATTGGAAGCTCTGAGCTTGGGTGTGGCTGGTCAACACTGACTCATTGTAGGGCCATCTAGGTAGACCAAGTTTCGGGGGACCCCAGCTGTCAGGAGTTTGGGACTTTCCCCTTGCACTAGTTACAGCTCCAGGGTGGTTCTTCCAGCCTCCTTTCTGTAGGGAGCAGGGCTGGCTACCGCCTGAGTGGTGTGGGGGGATTTCTGCATGCAGAACCCACTCCTGCTTTCCCAGAACCCGCGCCATCCATGTTCGGGGGTGCCCAATCCAGAATCTGTTTACCTGCTTCAGAGAGCAAGCCTCCAGTCTCCACCAGGACAGACGTGAGGCAGTCCCCCAGCCCCAGAGGTGAGGAGAGGATCCAGCTTTTACAGCTTCTGTCTCAACTGTCACCCAGTTCCGGGAGTGCCCGGTCCTCTCAGTTACCAGCCCTCTGGCCAGTTCTCAGATTTCAAGCTGCAGATTTGGGGTTTGGCTTCCTCAGTCCTGCCAAGCCACCTACTGTGCAGTGACTGCTTTGCAGCTTCCAGCATTTTGTTGTGGCGCCTTTGAGCCTGTTCTCCTGTATCTTAAAACCTCTCTCCACTGCTGTTTTGGTGGAGCCTTGGGGCTTTGGGAATGAGGGAAGTGTTTTCTTGGCTTTCTAAATTGGAATTGCCAAGAGTCCACTTCCTCACTGAGATAGCTGAGGAGGGGAGGCAGGCCCAGGGCTTCTGGTGCCCGATGCCGTTGTGACCTGGAGAGGGCCTGTTGGAAAAGAAAGAGTGAAGTCAAGAGGTGGTGATGGGAGGCAGATTTCTGACAAACTGCTGAATTCAGCCATTCCTCAAGCCAACCACACCCTCAGTGCCCAGAAATGTGAGCCAGCACATCCCATTTCTGTTGTTTTTGTTTGTCTAGTCTCGTTTTATTTGGAATTCTGCCATGTGCAGTGGAAGGAGCTCTCGCCAGTCCTTGTTGTAACTTTAAGTTTTCTCTAAAGTTTATCTTCCGGGTCTGCCATGTCCTCCCTCCACATGAGTGCAATTCACACAGGACCTTCTCTGAGACACCTTCTCTGGCCAGCCCACTACACCAGCACCCTCTGCTCCTTCTGCCTTCTGACCGGGCTGGTTTTTCTGGCTTCCCCCACTGGGCCAGGACCCCTCCAGAGACACTCGTGAAACTGTATGTCGCCTGCATTCAGAGAACTGCACATGGTATGATAAGATGGTAGAGAAGGGCTCAGGTAACTACAGCCGGTGGGCCCGTGGTCTGTTTTTTTTCAATAAAGCTTTATTGGAACTCAGCCACGTTCATTTGATTAGATATTGTTGATGCTACCTTCACTCTACCATGGCAGGTTTAAGTAGTTACGACAGAGTGTGAAGTGTTTACTACCTGGGTCTCGACGGAACAAGTGCCTGAGAATCTGACAACGCAGCAGAGGTGTGTTCACACCTGGGCATTGTCGCCTACTCGTTGTGTGACGTTGGGCAGGAATTTAGCCTCTCTGAGCTACAGTCTGCTTATTTTCAAGCGGGTACCCACCTCATGGGTTGTTGAGATTCAGTGCAGTAACAGATTATGCTAAGCCGGACGCCTTGAGGCCCTGAGCCCAAGGGGCTGGCCTCTGAACCCAGTGTTAGTGAAGTTCTCCTCAGCCGTGTCCACCTGGTGTCCTCAGCATCTGTGACCTGGTCCCCGAGTGAGTCAGTGGGGTGAGCAGCAGGCCAGGGCTCCCCTGTTCCCTGCTGCCGGGGTCCAGGTGCCAGAGGGGATGAGACCCAAATCTTCTCCCTGCTGCACACAGGCGGGCTTCCCCGGGCTGCGAGAGTGGGACGGGTGCCAAGTCTCCTCCTTTGCCTGTTCGTACCCTCAGCACCTCTCCCCTCGGTGACAGCTGACCAGGTGCAAACCTGCGTGGGGCCATCACCGAGCAGGGTCACACTCACAGTGGGTGCTGAGTGGCACCCAGGAACTCAAGACGGCCGCTGAACACATGGTGAGAACCACAAATTTGCAGGCTTAGACTCCCCCGGTTACACTGTCTCTCCATGTTCTGGAACATCCTGAGCTCTGTGACTCCCCCTCCCTGCCCACTGGGAGAACAACCTCTCTGTGGGCCTCTGTGAGAGAGAATGGACATTCTAGAAGAGCAGGCAGGGGTCTCCTGCCAGTGGCTGGGTCAACTTCGAGGCAGCAGATCCCCACAGTCTCTCTCCAGACGTGGAAAGTTCTAGATGCCTGGCAACATGGCTCAGTGGCTGGGCCTCAGCGGCGTCCATGCTTTTGTACCCCGTGCTGTTATTAGCAGCAGCCTCCTGGGGCCCGCCGCCTGTGCTCCAATTTATTAATCATTTTCCTCTGTACTCATTGTTCTCTCTCTGTTTGCAGCTTTCCCCCAGCTTTTCACAGTGCAGAAGGGGTGCCTGGTTGCATATGTAAATACGCTTCAGTTATTCTTTGCAGTGTTATCTTCCCGCAGCTTTAATTTTCTTATTCTTTTCTTCCAAATAAGACTGAAACCCATTTTAGTGAAGAAATTATTCGTTAAGGGAATGGTGTTAGTGTTTGGTATAGGTGCCACCTGAAGTCAATTAGGGATCAGCGGAATTAATTATTTTCTCTGAGCTGAAATCAGGAAGTGGGAACTGAGAGAAATGGGTCTCCTTAACTCATGGCAGGGAAGAAACAGGATTTTAATAGACCTAAGTGGACTCAGTCCAGGAACAGTGTGTTTTGTGTTATCAGCTCCACGCTAAATGGCTGGAGTAAATTTTAATCTAATCTGTGGAGCTGGCTGGGGCTGGTGGTCCTCACCACCCGGCAGGGAACTGAATCAAACCTGGGCTTGAAAAGGGGAAACGGCACCCACTCTGTTGGAAGCTCCAGCTTCTAGGTCAATGGCAATGGGAGGAAGAGGACGAGACCCCGAAGTCAGAACTTGAACACCACAGGCGCTGGATTCAGGAGAGGCAGGTGTGTGCCTAGCGCACAGAATTTAAGGGGTTCTCAAAACCAAGTCATCAAGATAGATCATATTTCAGTGCAATAATGTAAAATATCAAAATTAAGATAGACAAAATATCAACATTTTAAATAAGAACAGGTTGTTGTTTCTTGTTTGGTGACCTTGTCTATCCTGTAATGGGGATGCCACTTCTGGTCAGTCCCAGGCTCCTGGGGCTGCTGGCTGGCGTGTCCAGCATGATACGAGTTTACGAGGGTTGCCGATGGTATGCGAGCAGATGGGGCAACTCGGGGCTCTCTGGATAGAGCCGCGATTTTGGATTGTTGGGCAGTTATTAACTTTTCCAACTCAGTTCAGAATGCGAGAGGCAACTGTGAGAAGTGGATGTAGGAGCACGTGTGTTTCCTTTGGCCTCAGGCACTGCTGGGCCCACACACTGATCAGGCGTCACCCCTTGGCTGTCCTGAGTCTCAGGCTGGGCTCTCACCTCACAGGCTGAGCGATCTCACTGCTTCCAGACCTCTCTGAGTCCCAGGACAGAGCGCCGCTGATGGACAGAGCGCAGCTGTGGGGTCAGCTGACAGAATGTACTGGAATGCAGCTTGGTGGTAGTGGGGGGCTCAGTGCAGGACAGTGGCCCTTCCGTCTCCTTCAATCACCTGCACTGTGGCAGGCGAGGGGGTGCCGGCAATGACAAGGTTGCTGGATCTTGGGACTGAGCTAGCCAGAAGATCCCTAGTTTTCAGTCTGGCCTCCTTGACTCCTGAAGGATTAAACCAAAAGTGCACCTGGTGTCAGCGAAAGGCTGCAGAAAGAGGCACTGGGTCTGTCTGCACAGAGCACTTTTCCATGAAGGTTGTGAGCTCCTGGAGAAGCTGCCCAGGGGGAGCGAGGTGGGGACAGTCACTCGGTGAGGGAGAGGCTGCCTTCCTCTCCAGAACTCTGCTTTCTGCTAGGGTCCTTCCGTCTCCAAGCCTGGTGTCTCCGGGGTGCAGGCACCCTGGGACCGCCAATGGTGTAGCCTGGGCTGGCCAAGGGCAGTGCTCATCTGCAGACTCTGGGTCTTTAGGGAGGGCACATGCTATGGGCCTCAGGCAGAAATGGGCCTCCCAGAATGACAGATGGCTACAGTGAAGGTATAAGCCCCCAGTCGGGGACGCCAGGTCTCATTGCCAGCTCAGCCAAGGGGTGACTCCATTGAGTCCCAAACGCTGTGGATTGCAGTGGGCAGTGGGCGTCTGGGTGGAACCATAGCCGGTTCTGAGCAGGGCCGTGAGAGAGTTTGTTTTTCAGAAGTTTCTTCTTGTGAATTATTTAGGACAAGGGGAATTTTCACTTAGAGAATAGCTTGTTTGTTGGACTTATATCAAGAAAATATTGAAATACATGCAGGACTCTGAGTGACAATAAACATCTTCCCGAAGTTGGTGGGCTTCTCTTGCCATTCTCGCTTGGGAGGGCTTTCTCCAAAGGGGCAAATGTCTGAATGAGGACTGGAACACAGACACATGTTGGAAACTCTTAGAAAAAAAAAAGTTAGTTTCTTGAACAGTTCAGCATCCCTTGAGAGCGAATTAGGACTGGAATGAGCTAGTGGAAAGCGCGTACCTCGGTCTGAACTCAGAACCGACTCTAGCCACATTCCTCTGTAGTTAGGGAAAGGGGACGGAGACGGATGGTTTTGCTCTTGAGAAGGTGAGAGCAGGGTGTCTGTGCTGCTGTTTGCCGTTTGCAGCTGGGGATCCCCAGCATCTGCTGCCCCAGGCACGATGCTGGATGCTTTGCAGGTATTTTCTTATTCAACCTGCGCAGAGCAGTGAGGCATTACCATCTGCATTTTATAAAGGTGGGGAACCGGGTTCAGAGGTGGGATGTGGCTTGCCCAAGACACAGAGCTGATGAAGTGTCACAGCCAGGTTTTGAACCCATTTCTGTCCGACTTCAAAGCTCTTCCTAAACAACTCTCAAAATTCAGAACCATGAAAGAGCCTCTCCTGAAAAAAATCAGCCAGGTTCTTTTTTTATTCCAAGTAAGAATTAAAAACACAACGCGTTTCTCTTTTTGCCCTGGCTACTAGTAAGCCCAGAGCTAGATTTTGGCAACCTCTGAGTTAGCTGAAGTTTTTGGAATTTTTACTTCTTTACCCATCTGTGGATTTGCATATTGTCAAAAAGCCCAAATGAAGATTTGTTCTCTAGGAGACTCAGCCTCCAGCCCTCTTCAGAAGTCCTCGATTATATTTCCAGATCCTTCTTGTGTAGAAACACGTACCTAATGTGCACCTGTTCAGATTCCAGCTGTGTGGAAACAGTGGGATGTGCGGATGGCCGTTGTCCAGGAGAAATGAAGCTGCGGTAGATGATGGAGGATTCCAGCCCAGTGAATGGCACTAGTCTTGCCTCCATCTTTATTCACTTCTAAATCAACTTTAGAAGTATCTGAACTAGCAGGAGGAAAGAAAAGACTTAAAAAGACAAAGTAGATTACAGGAAAGCAATGATTTCTCTGGCTGTTTGTCACTTCGAGTGCAATACATTAACAAAGTGCTGTAATAAGGAGAGCTACTAAAAAATGATTTATTGATACTTTAGACCTGTTAAAACAGGTTAATGTCAATACAATTAGCTCCTGGATCAAGACAATCCCCAAGTTGATAAAAGAGCATTAAATGCCACTCCATCAAAATGGGGGAGGGGCTGAGGACTTTGCCCGCAGGGAAGAGAGGAGAGAAATGTTCTCTGACAGTGTCCACTCTCCCACCCCTGGGGTCCCCTTGGGCCCTCGCCCCCCAGGACTCCATGGACTGGAGTCTGAGACTCGGGCTGTTCTAAGAAATGGGCAGTTTTTGTCTGGAAGGCTCGCTGGCTCTGCTATTTCATGGATGAGCGACTCCTGAGTAATTTGGGAGAGTATCGAGCAATTGTTATGCTGGGAAAATGGGCAGAGAAGAGCAGGTGAGTCACCAGGAGACTGCCAGAAAATGAGAGTATTCTCAGAAATGAGCAGAGCTCCGGAGCCTGGTAATGGATGGATGGGTCAGGGCCTGGTCCCTGGGCGCGTCCCCTCACCTTGCTGAGCCTGCTCCCTTCTTGGCCAGTCTATGCAGCTGTGAGCCCTAAGTGTGGCCCCTGCCTGGCACTGCATGGACCCTGGACCTGCAGACCCCCTCAGTGCTATCTTCTGCTCGGAGGGATCTGTCCTTTGGGGAGTGAATCGAGGCTGCATTGGTCTTCAGTGCTCCCCTGGGTGGTCATCAGGGCATCACTGCCACAGTGTGAGTTGGGACGATCTTAATGTCATCATCCCAGTCCTCAAAGAGTTGTTTGAAAATGGTTGCCTTTTAAGGCAACAGTGCACAGGATGAGAATTCAGATGACACAGCCCTGAGTGTGAGGCACCTCAGTCTCCCTCACCCACCCCTCCCCACCTCTTCTGCACAGGCAGCCGCTGCTTCTGGGCCTGGTTTTCCTTCCAGAGTCAGCCTGCATGTTGACATGCACATGGCTCTGCTCTGGGCATGTTTGCCGGACACGCCAGGCAGCTTCTGCGGGTTATGTTGCAGAGCCAACGACACCCAAGTCTCGGGGGCTTTTTCTGAATCAAGGGTTGATTTCTTGCTGGCTGTGCATCTGCTCTGCATTCTTCTTCATTCCCGACCAGGCTGAGGCCCAGCCCTGATGAGGCATGGCAGAGGGAACACAGAAACAGTGAAACACACAGTGGCTCTTGGAGTGACGCGAGCCACTTTTGCTCGTGTTCATTGGCCAAAGGGTTGGAGCTGAGGGTTCCTGGATTCTGAGCTGGCGGCTAGTGGAGAGGAAGGGTGTGTGGACAGAGGGCAAAGCGGCAGTGATGGTGTGACATGGGATAAACGGGGTGCAGGGCTGAGACTGGCGGGGGTGGTGGCAGGCCCGCGTGGCCTCTCCCCTTCCGGGCCTCTCTGTGGAGGCTTTGGCTCTGCTTCCCAGGCAAGGTGAGGGTGTGGTCCAGGGCTCCCAAAGGCTCAGAAACAGCAGGGAGTAGCTGTGGCAGGGTGGGAGCCTCATGGCCACCTCCCAGCCCTTCACAGAATGCCAGAGCTCCAGAGGACATGGAGCCTTGGCCGCTGGCCTTTCCTTACCCAGGCAGGGGGGCTGAGTCCCAGAGCTGGCAAGGCAAGAATGGAGACCAGAGCCCCGGGATCCTGGGTCCTGCCAGGCGGGGTCCTGTGTCATGCTGGCCTTCCCTGCATCTTCACCCGGCACCAGGGGTGGAGAGCCCCGGGCACCCTAGAGTCGGGAATAGGGGGCACCCAGGCCCTGGTGCCCAGCTCAGGGCAGGAGCTGGTTTGCCCCAGGCTCACTCTTCCCCTCCCTCCGAGACCCCCAGCCTCCAGCTTACTCTGGGGTCTGTGCCGTCGCGACTCTGTCTTCTGGGGTCTGACCTGTTCCTGGGCCACCTTGGGCACATCTGTTCTCAGCACCATGGCTGCAGAGCCTGGGGCTTTCAGATGGACTAAAATTCTCTTTCCCAATTCCAAGTTCTCAGGAGAGAGGGTTGGATGGGGCCAGCTGGGGCCCCTGCCCAACACACGTCCCGTTAGCCTTGCCAGGTGAAGGCAGGCTCTCCATGATCCGGGTGGACATCATGGCTGTGCTGATTCGGCAGCTGCATCCAGTGTTTGGATAAGGTGCAGTTTGGGGACAAGGTAAGTGCCCCAAGAGCGGAGGCCTAGTTCATCACTGAGGCCATGACCCCAGAACTGTGCCTGGCAGGGGGCAGCAGGTGTTTCTGAATGAATGAATGGGTGAGGAGAAGCCATCTCAGCGCTGGGAGGGAGGCAGGCTCAGTGAAGATCCGGCCCCCACTCTGGTGAAGGGCAGCAATCCCTATCCCTGTGGGGTCGGGGGTTCCAGGGGTGGCTAGGAGCTGTGGCCCTGCCCCTTGTCCTACCTAAACCCCCCAGGACACCAGCTCTGACACCCACCTCTGTCTGACTCACCCTGGATCAGGTGGAAGGCTCTGGCCTGTCCCGAGCCCCTCCTGCTGCTGTAACAAGGAAGCGGAGATGAACACAAAGACAAAAGCGGCCCCTGCCCCCTGGGCACAGTGGACTCGTGGAAAAGACCCCTTGTTTCCTTCTTTGTCAGAAGCCCAGGAAAGAGCAGCTCTTTCAGTTTCCAGGACTGATTGCTCAGAGTGTTCTAAGGGATGTCTCTTCCTGAAGAGAAATTCTCCTCCTGAAAATTACCCATCACAGTACTTTGCGGTCTTTTCTCATTTCTCATCTCAGACCCTTAATAGCCTTGCCAGCGCCAAAGGCCTCCGTGTGACTGTCAGCGGCTATTACCCTTGTCACCTCGAACGCTGCCGGTCCCCAGCTCTGCAAAGGCCCAGCAAAGCTCTCGCCCCCGTCTCCAGCCCTCTCCAAATGCTCCTGAGCAGCGGCATTGAGGATCTCATTTCAGCGAGTGATGCCTGGCCTGTGCGGGGGGGACCCTGGGCCGGGGCAGGGAGCCTGGAGAAGGGAGATGTGACCCAGGTACCCCAGCCAGGCCTGGAAAGAGAAAATCTAAGTCCAAAGGAGGTCTCACCTCTGTCCCCAGCAGCATCTTGGGGTGGGTCGGTCTGCCTCTGAGACCCCGAGTGCAGACCCTGGGGCAGACAGCACTTAGCTGGAGGCGTGACCCAGGGGTCCTGGGGGCACTTGGGGAGACAGGGAGGTGCCTTCCCAACACTTGGGGAGGGAATTCAACTTGTCTCTGTCCAGATCGGCCCCGCTCTGGAGAGGCAGCCTGTGGTCCAGAACAGGGAGAGCCATGCCTCAAGAAGCAGGTGCATCTGCTGGAAGGGAGGCTGGTCAGCAGGGTGCTAGGGTCAGGCTGTGTCCAGCCATCCCTGTCCCCACAGTGTCTGGGGTCCTGGGCAGGGAGCTGAGCATGGTGAGGCTGTGGACTGGATGGTTCCTGAGGCTGAGGGACCGTTCAGGGGTCCTCAGTGATGCCTTGCTGTTCTAGCCCAGAAATGTTCTCCCTTGCTCTGCCTGAACTTGATGTGCAGAGCTGCGGCCCCTCTGCTTCCACTGAGGAGTCCTCGCGGGAATGAGGGTCTCGTGCCCATAGACAAACTGGCAGCTGGCTTTGAGTCCCTCCCTCCATTCCTCCAGGGCTCACCCACCTCGGCTGGCAGGCAGGTGGGAGACAGTGTGCTCCCCCCACACAGAGTCCCTGCTCCTCTGTGGCCAGCCCAGGGCTCTGACCACACCTGTTGTCATCATCCTTGCAGGAATTCATCCCCAGCTCTACCCAGGCCACGCGCCAGGCTGAGCCCTGCGTGGTGGTTCTGTGAGTCCCTGGTGCTGGCTGGGGGCCTGGCTCTGAGGAAATGGTCAGCAAATGGTGAGGAAAGAACAGGCAATCAACAAATGCATATTAATCAGCTATTCATTTGATATGGACAGCCCGCGAGCAGCTGACAGACGAAGGGATGCTCTGCTGAGATGGACGGGAATGGCTTGTCTGAGATTCTGAATAATCCGAGACCTTGGAGATGCATCCCCAGGGCAAGAAGTCTCTGCCTAGGACAGACCAAAGGGGCATTAGTTTAGCTGGGAGGGAAATTTGCTGAGCCTTCAAATCACACTGTATCCTGTGTGGGTCCCGGCTCTGAGCTCACCAGCTGCAGGGGCCTCGGAGTCCCGGGCAGATCTGGTGGGCAGTGGGGCTGCCTCGGCTCATGGGGGAGAAGGAAGTACTCCTGCCCATGGCTGCTAACTCTCTCTGTCTCTGTCTCTCTGTCTCCCTGTATCTCTCTGTCTATCCGTCTCTCTCTCTGTCTCTTTCTCTCTCACTTACTCAGGCTCTTTTTCTCTCTTTCCCTCTGTTCCTCTTTCCCTCCTTCCTTCCCTCCCTCCCCATCCCTCCTGCTCCTCTTTTTCCTCCATCTCTCTGCCTGTCTTCTTCCCATTTCTGTTTTCTAATTTGTTAGGAGGAGGAGTCAGTGATGGCCTTGATGTTGCTGGTTTTACGTATTCTACCCACCAGGTATTCTGGGGTCCACTTTTATCTGATCAAAACTTCGTATAAGTCCTGGCATTGAAAACCCGCAGGATCCCTGAAATGTTTCTCTTGGTTTAGATGGTGGCAGCTCTGGAGGGACATTCTGTGAAGGGATTTTATTAGTGATGATGACCCAGGCACTGATGTTAGAGCTGAAGGGAACCGAGTCGTCAGAGGCCCTGCACCCGCACCCCATTTACTTCATGGCGGGTCTCCTGAGAAGAGCAGGGCCTCGCAGATGGCCTTGGAGTGGGTAGCAGTGCTTTGCGGGGACTTTGTTTTTCCTCCGTGCCAGGACATTAAGACTCATCCTAGAACAAAGCGCTCCTGGCACAGCAGAGCCTCACCTTGGACCCGGCGACCATCATCTGTTTCTGCAGCTCTGCTCTTGGGCTGGTGAAGAGCAGGTTCAGCAGCAGTTAGGGAAAAAGTGATGGGCTCAGGAGGAGGGGAGACAAATGTCTGTCTCCATGTGCATGTGCTGCAGGCGCTTAATAGATAGAGGGCCTGTCTCAGCCACTAGAAATGCCTGCTGACCATGGGGAAGCACTCGCCTCTGCGAGCGTGGGCAGCCATCATCAGAAGGGCAAGCCCTTGAAGAAGGTCCCCACGTTCTGCAGGATCTGTGACCTTCTCAGGTTCAGGCCTGAGACGGAGCCTCCACAGCTGACCCACATCAGCAGAGGAATCAAGGGCTGGGCCCTGGGAATCAGACTGTCCAAGGACAATGAACATAGTCCCCGGCTGGTGGCGTCTTTCAGTTTGGTGGCCTGGGGCTGCTTACAAGTCAACCTGGAGCCTGACATTCAGCCCAGCTCTGCACCTCGGTGGCCCAGGCGCCTCCACACAGAGCTCGCTGTGCTGACGGGGAGTTGGGACCCTGTGCTGGACACCTGCTGGTGGTCCAGGCATTGCGCCTGGGATGTACGAGGGCAGCAACCCAGGACTTCTGGCTCCTGCAGGCTGGCAGGAGAGGGTTGGGGGCATTTTGATGAAGTGAAATGTGAAATGGATAAGATGCTGTGAGTGCCATTTGGAGGACTGCAGGAGGGGCATTGCCGGCAGGTGCAGGGGCTCAGGAAGGGGTCCAGGGGAGTGGTGGCTGTGAAGCCAGACTTGATGGAGAAGCAGCCTTTCATCAGCCGCACATGTGGGTCAAGGTGAAACCGCATCAGTGGGGTCAAAGCAGCAGCAGTTTCACGTGGGTTCATGTGGCTGGAGGAGATAGCCGGGGAGGTGGGGTGGAGTGCCTGTAGTGGTGGTGACAACCAGGACAGGAAAGATTCTAGCAGGGGCCAAGGTCTGCAGGCTCAGGGAGCCACGGGAAACTCCTGGTGGGCAGCTCAGGAAGGTGGGGCTACGTCTCCCTTGGTGCAGCCACAACCTCTGCCTCCCTGGGACCTCCGCCTGCTCCCCATCATCCTGGGGTCCACAGTGAGGGCCGTAGGCTCAGGCAGGTGAGGTGACCTGGTGAAGGACGCATGGTTGGTCAGCAGGGGTGCTGGGACTCAACCCTGATCCTGGATGGTTCATCCCCTCACACCCAAAGTAGGGTGGGGTGGGTATCCATTCAAAGTGCTCAGAGTGTGTGCAGGCTCTACTGCACATGACCTCACCAAAGCCTCACCGGAAGTGGCAAGTGGGTGCTGTTGGCTCCGACTCTGCCCCTGTCTCCATTGTGACCCCCACAACGAGCTGAGAGCTGCAAAGGGTGGGGTTGCTGGAAGCCCCCGGGGTCTCAAATTCCAATGACTACGGCTCTCAGCTGGGTGGTCACATGGACGTGTTTTTGTTTGTTCTACCAAGAGCCAGACGTTGAGCTCCACTCAACCTCCCCCATTCTGTTTTTCTTTTCTTTTCTTTTTTATTCTGAGATGGAGTCTTGCTCTGTCACCCAGGGTGGAGTACAGTGGCATGATCTTGGCACACTGCAATCTCTGCCTCCTGGGTTAAAGCAATTCTCCTGCCACAGCCTCCTAAGTAGCTGGGATTATGGGGACCCGCCACCATGCCTGGCTAATTTTTGTACTTTTAGTAGAGATGGGGTTTTACCATGTTGACCAGGCTGGTTTCGAACTGCTGGTGATCCAGCTGTCTCAGTCTCCCAAAGTGCTGGGATTATAGGCGTGAGCCACTGTGCCCGGCCCCTATTCTGTTTGTTGCATTTTGTGCAGGCGTATTTAATGCCTTCTGTTTTGGAAGGCACAGCTGTGATCCTTGTGTGCTGATGAGCAGCCTCCATCTGCCCGTGAAGCAGGCTGCATCTCATGCAATTTCAGAAGCTCCTAAGGAGGTGGTGTGGTGAGACAGCAGGAGTGCTGGCTGGGAAGCAGTGTGGTGAGATGGCAGGAGAGCTGGCTGGGAAGTTTGCAACCTGGGTCAGCTTCCAACCAGCTGGGTGACCTTGGACTTCTTTCCCCTCTCTGGGCCTTGAGTTTTCTAACTGGAACATGATGATCTTGGGTTTGATGTTCTTCAAGACTTCCTTCGAAGTAATAATGATATTCCCTCTTTCTCTCTTTTGTCTCTCTCTCTGTCTCTGTGTGTGTGTGTGCATGCATGCCCACAGAAGCATACATGTTTTGTCAGAGTTGGCATACCAGATATGGAGAGTTTCTCTCTAGGAACCATATTTCCTTGTTGACATCATAGCATCACGCTTTGTAAAGACTCCTGTTCCAGGAGATCCTTACTTGATCTACCTAACCAGGGTCTCAGTTCAACAATTGGCATCTTGGCTGAGTCCATCCAAGGGCAAACTCCTTCACCACCTACCCAGTCATTCACTGATCCCTCTTATCCATTCACCTTCCCATCTAGCCATCTCTTCTATTGATTCATCCCTCCATCCAATCAACCCATATCCATCCATCCATCCCTCCATCCACCTGCCTGTCCATCCATCAGTCAATCAATCCATCCATCCATCCATCCATCCCTCCATCCCTCCCTCCCTCCATCCACCCACCTTCATCCTTCCATCCATCCCTCCCTACATCCACCCACCTGTCATCCATCCATCCATCCCTCCCTACATCCACCCACCTGTCATCCATCCATCCATCTACCTACCTGTCATCCATCCATCCATCCATCTACCCACCTGTCATCCATCCATCCAAAATCCATCCTCTTTTCATGCATCGGTCCTACCTTGTCACCCACTCATTCTTCCACCACAACATGGATCTAGGGTTCAGAACAACCAGAACTAGAATCCCAGATGTACTGGATTCTAGTACATCTGATTGTAATCATTGTTATTTTTGTCTGTGTGGTTATCTTTCCCCCACACCCCCTCCCTGACAAGTGTGCACTTTCCTGACCACAGAGGTGGACCTGAGGTGCAAGCTGCATCAGCCAGAGTCCCTCTTGTGAGTCTAGTGAAGGAGGCTGGTGGGGCTGGGCCAGGTGGGGGCAGTGCCCAGAGGACAGGCCAGTGGGTGCCTCCGCCCTAACCCGGAGCTGGCCTGTCTGGTCTTTTGTCTGGGCCACTCAGCCTTGCTCTTGGGTTCTGTGACCCACCCAGTGTCTTCCAATAAATGTCCTTCTTTGCCGGGCTTAGCACTCAGCTCTGCTGCTTATGCGCATGTTTACTCCTTCCGCCCGGGAGGACTCTGCTCTGATGGCGCTCACACTCTTTGAGGGAAACAGACAACATGAGAGAGAGAGTGAGCGCACAGGCTGACCTCGTGAGGTCAAGTGTTGAATGAGGACAATCAGGGAGACTGGCAGGTGGGGGTGGAAAAGTGGGGTGGGAGGAGCACCTCCAATGGGGTGGTGAGGGAAGGTAGGGGGCAGAAGGTGCATCCAGAAATGATACCTGGAGAAGTTATTGTAACATGGGAATGTGCAGGAACAGCTCAAGGGTTAGTTGTGGAAAAGTGTGGTCATTCATGACACAAACTGATTCCTGATGTTGAGCTAACCCTCTGGGCACTGGCAGGTGAATGCTCCTGAAGGCTGTCAGGGGCAGCCCCTCATCCAGCCTGACCACCCCCGAGGCCCGAGAGGCACTCGGTGTGCTGGGGAGGGCAGCTGACTGGGCTGACTGGCCATCTGGCATGGGGTCCAGCCTTGTCCCCTGGCAAGCAGGAGATAGGGTCTGTGGCCAAGAGATCAGCTCTGGCCATGCCTGCAGGTGGCTGATGATACCCTCTGGGCTGTGGGCTGGTCTGGTGGGCTCAGGACTGGCAGAGGCTGGGCTTGGAGCTGAAGTGGGGAAGGTAGGGGGACAGGCCCATCCTCTGCCCCATGTTCCGAATTCCCTGTGTTGGGAACAGCAGGAGGCGCATGAGAGAGCAGCCCCGATGCCCCCAGGCTGTCGGGCACCCTGCTGGAATCCGGAGGTCACCCAAGCAGGAACCTGCTGTTTCTGGGTTCATGCCCCCATGTGAGAGCCACACCGTGCAGGGACCAGGAAGAGCCTGGAAGTTGTCTGACCTGGCTACCTCTGGCCAGACCCATCTGGGCCCCCCGCATGCATGAGCACATCTGGAAGGGGAGCAACAAAAACGTCAACAAGTGCAACAGCTGGAGCTAAACAAGTATGTCAATTGTATGTTGAAAGGATGCACGAGAGAAATTTTTAATACACAGCACTCAGGGAAGGAAAAGCTGTCGCTTTGCTCCATTAATTCCCACAATTAACGACAGCAAATCTGTCCCTATCTTTATCTCCAGACTTGACCAGAAAGCTATTTTCTTAAAGACGTTATTTCCCAATTACGGAAGTAAGATGTCCCCCTTACAGGTAAGTTCATAAAGTGCAGAAAAGTTTACCGGCGACGGTTCCATATTGTGAGCGTTCGTGCCAAGGCAAAGATCTTGGGAAGCACAGTAGCTGCCTTCATCACTGGCTTCTCATGAAAACCACGAGGAGGGTATTATTATTCCCCAATTTCAGATGGGAAAGCTGAGGTCCAGGTGAATTAATAACTCTCCCGGCCAGGTGCGGTGGCTCACGCCTGTAATCCCAGCACTTTGGGAGGCCGAGGTGGGCAGATCACGAGGTCAGGAGGTCAAGACCATCCTGGTTAACACGGTGAAACCCGGTCTCTACTAAAAATACAAAAAATTAGCTGGGCGTGGTGGCGGGCGCCTGTAGTCCCAGCTACTCCGGAGGCCGAGGCGGGAGAATGACACGAACCTGGTAGGCGGAGCTTGCAGTGAGCCGAGATCACACCACTGCACTCCAGCCTGGGCGACAGAGCAAGACTCCGTCTCAAAAAAAAAAAAAAAAAAAAAAAAGGAAAATAGCTCTCCCAAGGTTGCAGATTCGGTCACGGGTGGAGCCAGGAAGCAAATCCAGGCCTCATCACGACAAATCTTGATTCTGACGTGTGAAGAGAGATGGTTACTGCCAGCCACGCCAGCCTCGCCAGCCTCGGGCTAACCTGCCCCAACCCTGGAGGATCCCTTCTACTCACCCAGCACAGCTGCAGCCAGGTAGAGCCAGCCATGTGCTAATTCCAGCTCTGAGTCCAGCCAGGCTGCCTGGTGGGGGAGACCTACTTTCTCCTTAGCCCCAACGCCTGCGCCTGTGAAGCGTGGTCCACACTGGATTCATCTTCTGGGGTTGCTGTGAGAATTGCGTGAGAATAAGTGTAGGTGCCCTGGCCCCCAGAGCCGCCCCCAGCGCAGATGAGCTTTTACGGGGACGACATAGGTTTCTGTTTCTCTGTCCTTGTGGTAATACTGGCAAATAATTTTGACACACCCTATTTAATCTCAAATGAAAGATGAAGGCTGGCTGCTTCTCTGCCCACCACCTCTCCAGGACTCACCTGTGGTCCTGGAATGAGGCCGCCCTTGCTTGGGCCGCTGCCCAGCAGGCAGAGGTGCCCAGCACAGAGGCCTCTGCACACCCAGACATGGCCCAGGTTCTGATAGCCTGGCCAAGATCCACACAGCCCCCTGGGATGGGAACGACACTGGCCAAGCTGCGCGATTCCCCAGGAGGAGGAACGGGGTATTTTTTAAAATGGATACATAATAATTGTACATATCTATGGGGTGCGGAGTGATGTTTCCGCACATACAATGTGTAGTGATCAAATCGGGATGATTAGCACTTCCATCATTGAACATTTCTTTGTGTTCAGAACATTCGAAATCCTCCCTTCTAGCTTTCTGCGCACATGTCATGGTTTTGTCCGTTGCTGTCTTCCCCACAGGGGGACAGTGCATGGTGCGAGGTTTGCCTTCAGAGAAGTGAATCTCTGGGAAAACTTCCTGGAGAAGATGGCATCTGTGCTGGATCTCAGGAACCCGGGGTGACTTCAGCAGGGGACAGTGCTACGGAGAAGGTCTCCTGCAGAGGGCTGGGGAAGCCAGGGCCTAAGCTGGGGGGTCCTGGGCATGTCCAAGGCCTGGCGGGGCCCAGGGAAGGTGGCTTGTGCCCTCACAACGGAGGGCCTTGAATGCAGTGGGGGGTTCCCTCAAGTACCTTTGGCCGATCACCACTCTTGCTTTGGAGGGAAAATGCAGAGTGTGCTCGCGTGATTCTGCACGGGAAGCTTCATTTTCAGTATGGGTGATTTGGGCATGGGATGAGGACCCCGTAGGGGATCCCTTCCTTAGCCGCAGGAGAGGAGCAAGGCTAGGAGGGAGGGGCTGGAAGCAGAGAGACCTGACGCCTGGATTCAGGCATCAGGGAGGGTATGGCCAGCTCTGTTCAGAGATAGCTCACCTGGGTGAACTCGAGGCTGGTGGGGACCTTAGGAGGGACAGGAGGCCACCTTAGGGGGAGGGTGCTGTATTTGGACTGATCAATTCCTCAACCCATGAGTATTGAGTACCTCCTCTGGGCCCCATTCTGTGAGACCGGGTGTGGCCTTCTGGTTGACCCATCTCAGAAGCATTTTGCAAAGGTGGATGGATGCTCCTAGCCCCACAAGCTCTGGCCCTGGCATCTCTGTGGGTGCCAGGATGCAGAGGTGGGCTGCAGAGGCCCAGACTCTGCGGAAGTGCCCTCGCCTGTTGAGTGGAGCTGTTTCAGCCTAAGTGCCCTCCACCACTCGGAATGTGGATTAGCTCTGGAGAACTCATCTGAAATAGATATTTCTCTCCACCGCTGGAGGGATTTATTGGCAACACTAGCCATCTATTAGCATTATCTGGGGACTCTGCACTGGTGAGAATAGATACTATAAATCTTAGTTGTATAAAAACCCAGGAGCTAGAAGGCTTTAGTGGACGGCAAATAGAAAAGTCCAATGAGTTCAGACCTGTTTATTTTACTTAGAGGGAAAGAACATTCCGTACCCAGCCAGGCAGGAAATGGGTTTTGGGGACGGCCACTTAGCCCAGCTGTTGGCCCTGAAACTGTGGGAGTAATCTCTGCCTGCAATTAGAGCAGGAGGCTCAAAGGACCGTGTTTGGGAGCCAGTGATGGAGTCCTGCGGAGAAGTGAGGCCTGGAACTTCAGGCGGCGGCTGTGGGGCCTCACGGGAAGGAGACTCTGCGGGCAGGCTGTGCGCTCAGCTCTCAGCCACCCGGTGCCTCGGATGGAGAGGACTGTGTGTCCTGGTTGCCTGGGACAGTCCCATGATGCCAGTCACCCTGGCATAATTAGCCATCGCTCCCTCTTTCTCTAAGTGTTGTGGCGTGGATGAGAAATTGTGATATTTACCAGTTCCATCTCTGACTGTCCATTGCTCCGCCTGCAATGGTAGATGATTCTGCTGCCCAGCTTGTCATCCTGGTCTTGGGGGGGCTCCGAGGAGTCCTCTCTGAGCACGAGCTTTGGGAGTTGGACCCTCTCCACTCTGTCCCTAAGCAGGACCATATGAACCCCTCCCCTCTGTGGGACATAGAAGGAGCAGAGGTTCAGGGTGTGGGTGCCAGACCCAGTCCTGCTGCCTGCTAGCTGCTCACCTGTCACCTCGGGCAAGCTCTTCACTGCTCTGAGCCTTAGCTTTCTGATCTGCAAAATGGACAGGATATGAGTTCCTATGCATGACAAGCAGAATTTCTAAACATGGACCTTGTATTATCTTCTTTTGGCTGCTGTTGCAAAATACCCCAAACAACCGAAATGTATCCTCTTATAGTTTTGGAGGCCAGAAGTCGGAAATCAAGGTGTTGTCAGGGCCACGCCCCCTCCGCAGGCTCTAGGGGAGAAGCTGTTCCCTGTCCCCTTCATCTCCGGGGTTGTGGGCAGTGCGTGGTGCTCCTTGGCTTGTAGGTACATCGCTCTGATCTTGGCCTCCGTCACCACGTGGCCTTCTGCCTGTGTCTCTGTCTGTGTGTCTCTTCTTGTAAGGACATCAGTCACACTGAATGAAGGATCCACCTACTCCAGTGTGACCTCATTTTAACTAATTATATCGGCAATGACCTGTTTCCAAATGAGATCGCATTCTGAAGTTCTGGGAAGGACATGCATTTTGAGGGAACAGGTCAACCCAGTACAGCACCCTGAGGATGTTCTGTGCTAATCCCTGGAGCTGACGAAGATGAGATGTCATTCCCGGGCATATGTTCTGCTTATGCCCAGTCGACTTCATGGTAGGGAGACTAGCTGGGTGGGTCTGGTTTAATCAGGTGATGCCTTTAAAAAGCAGAGGATGTGCCCTCGTGGAAGGAGGAAGAGGAAGTCAGAGGGATTGGAAGCATGAGGTTCAATGTGCCGTTGAGAGTGTGAGGCTGGAAAAGGCCACATGGTGAGGAGTGTGACTGCCTCCAGGGGCACGGTGGCCCCAGCTGACAGCTGCCTAGGAACAGAGACCTCAGTCCAACAACTGTAAGGACTTGAGTGAGCTCAGAAGCACATTTCTCTCCAGAGCATCCAGACGGGACTCCACTGGGCTGGCACTTGCATTTTGGTCTTGGGAGAGAACCCGGCCACACCCTGCTGGACTTCTGACCTACAGAACTGGGAGCCAATAAACTGGTGGTCATTTGTTATGCATTACTCATGGGCTGGCTGGAAGGGTGATGAGTTACCTCAAGCAGAGTTGCGACCCTGGCTGGGAGCCGAGCCTGCATTATGACTGACCTCATGAGATTATTGTTGCTACAGACTCAGAGGACACCACATGGGCACCCAGAGAGTCACTTTGGGCCCATCCTGTCCTGGGTATGGACAAGAAACGCCCCTTGCTCGTGAACTTGACCCGTTTTCCTGTCTCCCCTGGATTCCTTCCTCAACACCGAACCCCGAACACTCCTTGTGTCTCCCAAAATCCAGGCTCCCCATTGCCCTAGGGGTGAAGCTCATCCCTGGACTGGCATCCTTGGTCTTCCTGAGCACCCTTCTGTTCCCATGCCCTTGTCTCTCTTGGCCCCAGTGCCCTCCATCCAGCCACAAGAAACACGGGCCCTGCCCCATAGCCTCAGCCTCCCTCTCGCTCAGCTCACCATTCCCCTCTCCAGGAGCGACCTGCCTGCAGCCTCTCTGGGCCACTGCCTCCCTTTTCGTGGTTCTCCCTCGTCTGGATGCCCCAGGGTGGCTGGAGACTGTGCCACATCCTCTTACTGCCCAGCAAGAGCCCAGGGTAGGCAGTGCCCAGAGCTTAGCCCATCCATCAGCTCTTCTGCTCTAGGACTTTGCATCTTGAGTGGTTGGGGGCAGGCGTGGAAGAAATGGGTGAGCTTTGTCTTTTCATTTATTTCCTGCACAATCCCCAAGGCCTGGGACGGTGCTTGGTCCAGGGTAGGGACACAGTGAGTCTTGGCTGAAAACAGCGTGGTTAATTTCAGCAGTGGTCCTGGGTGAGGTGGTTGAATGGCTCTTGCTGCTGGCCCCACCTCCTTGAGAGCCTCCTCAGCCCCAGATCCACTTCCTTGGCCTTACTTCTGTCCTGTGACCCAAATGTCCTTCAGTAAGCTCCTTCTTTGTTTGCAGCAGTCGGAGTTAGTTTCTGGTGATTGCAGTCGGCCCCCAGCAGATCCCCAGGAGTGAGGGCCCCATGGACCCGGCATCTGGACACAGGAATACCCGAGAAACTCGAGCTGAAAGATCAAAGACAGGAAAGGTGGGCAAAGGCCATTGAGGGACTGCCTCCCTCAGTGAGGGGCTGTGACTAGCCCAGAGCCCCCAGCTGGGAAGGAGCAGGGTCCAAAGTGAGCTCAGGGCCAGTGCCTGTGCAGCAGCTGTCCACACAGAGGGTGCCCACTGCCCGAGCGCCTGGAAGAGCGGGCTCTGCATTCGCTTTTACCCGAGACCAGAGGAGAGCCCTCGGTGGTGCTCTGTGGCTACACACCTGCATTTTGGTCACACTTTCGGGTCTTTGTGGCCTCACATCCTCTCTCTAACGTGTGCTGAGTGGCAGGGCTTGAGTGGGGGGGCCCATGGGGAGGCCCCGCTGGGTAGCAGCACTGTTCCTGTCGATAGCGGCTGGAGGGGTATTGATCCCACTCATAAGCACACAGGAGCCCACTCGGGCCCAGAGTCACATGGGGTGTTCAATACCCCTTCCCGCTAATGAGCAGCAGCTTCACCTGCTCGAAGCCTGGAGATGGGGCTCTGCTCCGTGGACGCTCTGTGCAGATCCAGCCTCACGGCTTCACAACTTCACAACTTCATAGGTCACTTCAACACCCTCCTCCTTAAAGAGCAACACAGCAGGCTGGGTGCCTTGGAGCCGATTCTGAATTACTGTCCTTCAGAAATGTCAGAAAAGGATCCTTCCAAAACTCCTAGGACTTGCTAGAGACCCAGAAAATAGAACAGAGTTGTGTTGCCCCTCCCAGCCCTGGGTCCTTCCCTTCGCTCTTTCTCTCTCTGAGATGCAGACGTGAAGCAAGCCTCAGGACCTGAGACACAGCGCTGAGCCTGGGGCTGCTCCTTGGTGTGTGATCCCGATCGAGGCGCCATCCCTCTGGGCCTCAGTTTCCCCATCGCAAGGACCGAGGGCAGGACTTGGGACCTCCAAGGTCTCTTTGAGCCCCCTGGCACTGCAAATCTATCTTCCTCCCTTTGAGAAATGGACATGCCCTTTCCTGGGTGAGAGGTGACTCAGAAAACGGCAGCAATGATTAATATTGATGCAGCTTCAAATGTTAAAAGTTAGAATTAAATTTAAAAAAAGGGAAAGGGTCACATGTAACCAATTAAACCACGACTTCTCCATGGCCTGTCTCCCACTTTAGGGGTAGAACAATCCTCGTATGGCTCTGCCATTAATCTCCTCCTCACCTTCCTCTACCGGGGAGCTAACGCTGGCTGCAAATTGAAGGGAAAGGAGAAATTGGCCGGTCGCAGACACATAGACTATCTCCCGTTGTGCAAATGCCAGGGAGGGGGAAGCACCAATCAATCTGCAGGCCGAAGACTGCAGACAGCTCTGGGAGGAGAGGGGGGCACACGCACCCCGGCTCGGGTGTGAGAATTAATGAAGGAGGCTGGGAAGATGAAAGAGCACGGGCATTTGAAATGAAGCCCAGCGGGTTGCGGGAGTTCAGGATGAATTTCAAAATGCAGAGATTGCAGGGTCATGGACTAATTACCTTGCAAGGATGGGGCTCAATGGTCGTGTCTGTGCAACTCCAAATGTCCAGGTAGGAAGTGGGAAAGGCCGCCTGCTGGGACCCACCCATCTTGCAGGGCGGGTGACTGCCCAGACCCCGCCTGCCACACCCAGTGCTGCAGCAGCAAGTCCTGCCCTTGACATGCATTTTTTCTGAGTCCCAGATTTATAAATCAGTGGGTTTGTGGGGACTCCAAGCCTCCTGAGGGCTCTTGGACCGCCCTGTCCTGGAGGGCTGAGAAGCCAGGCACAAAGCTCCTCCCCTCGTCTCTGAGTCATCCCGTGGGTGGACAAGACGTCCTAGAGATGTCTTGTAACCTCCTTGCATAGATTTCAGGGGTCGGCGCTGCCTCCTGAGGGTGCCCCGCCCCCACCCAGCCCTGGTTTCTGGTGTTTGTCCTCCATTCCTCCGTTGTGTGCTGCCTGGCCCTGCGCTGTCCTCCGCGTGGAGGACCTCACTCCCATGACAGCACTGTGAGGAAGGCTCTAGTCTCACGTCCACATTAGAGATGGGAAGACTGAGGTTCAGAGAAGGTAGGATGCCCAGCTGGTCGTTGGCAGAGGCAGGCTCCAACCTTAGGAGTTTCCTGTACCCCTAACCACTGTGCAGTGCAGCTGTGCCCGGAGAACTCAGCAGGGGGTGCTGGTGGTGGCTGCCGGTGGGCAGGTGACGCAGAGGAGCCCTTGGCTCTGAAGATGGAGCAGGTGCCTGCTGGGAGCTGGAGGGCCTGGGGAGGGGCATTTTCCGGGCAGAGGGAACAGACAGTGTGGGGCTCAGAATGAGAGAAATGACGGCGAATTTGGGCGGGTTTGGGTGGCACAAGGGGTGGGTGACGTGGGAGATTCAGCCCCAGATAAAGTGTGGGGGCCAGATCAGGAAGGGCTCAATGTCCTTACTAAGAGGTAGGACATTCTCTGGGACCTGAGGTGCCCTGGGGTAACTCAAGGCACGCATGGGGTCCTGGTCGGGACTTTCGGAGGCCCCTCCAATCTTTAAGTGTGTTTCACGAAGTTCATTTTTTTTTTCTTTTTCCTGAAATTCAAGCACTTTAGGAGGCTTTTCCTGGTGGCCACTCCGTGGAGGAGGCGGGAGGAGCCAGGGCTGGAGAGGCTGCCTGCATGATGGACTCAGGAGGGATTTCAGTGACCATGTTATAAGGACTCAGGGGCTGTCCTGGGGCCTGGGGTAGGTGTCATAATCTCCATAAACACCCTGGTGCTTATGGTTTCTGTGTCAGTTAGCTACTCATGTGTAACAAACGTCCCCAAGTTTCTTTCTCAAAATCAGCATTGCTCATCATTTCTCTGCACCCCAGGTCTGCTTGGCTGGTCTGGGCCAGGCTACTCCGGTCCTGGCTGGGCTCGTTCAGGCATCTGGGGTTGAAGGGTGGTCAGCCTGCTTCTTCTCCTGCTTCCTCTGGCCCCATCCTCCTGCAGGTGAGACCTGGCTATCTTCACGGCAGCCAGGAAGGACTCGGACAGGGAGTGGAGAGTGTAAGGCCCTTTGAGGCCAGGCTCAGAACAAGCGATGTCACTTTTGCTGAATTATTTTGTCCAAAGCACATCACAAGGTCCACCCATATTCAAGAGGGAGAAGCTGCCAAGTCACATTGCAAGGGGCGTGTGTGTGTGTGTGTGTGTGTGTGTATGTGTGTCTGTGTGTGTAATATTTGGGCCATTTTTGCAAACCATCTCCCATGGCTTTTGCTGTCCCCTGCAGACACGTGTAGGCAGTGGGTTCTCACAGCCTAGAGAAGGGAACCCCTGGATGCGCCGGCCTGGTCAGGGGTAGCTCCTCAAGGGAAGTGACATCAGGGCCCCTCCAATCTTTAAGTGTGTTTTACAAAGTTCATTTTTTTTTCTTTTTCCTGAAATTCAAGGCTCATTAAACTTTTTTTTTTTTTTTTAAACCCAGCATGGCGGAAAGCAGGCTGCCCCATGTCTCAGATGAGTGTAGGAGCGGGCCAGTTGCAAATTCATAATTAAAGGAATTTGACAAGAATCAAAGAAGACTGGTTTCCACTGGAGGTTTGGGGAGTTAATTACCGGTTCATACCCTGCCATAATGGGTGTGTGTGAGACATTTGAAGTGGGGAGGGCTGGGAATTCGCTGGGAAAATGCAGTGAAAATGTGTGTGCCAATACTGATTGTGTGATTTGTGGGTCCACCCACAAGACATCTTAGAGATGAGGGAAGGAGCTTTGTGCCTGGCTTCTCTTGTTTTCAGAAACATCATTTTCCAAGAGGCCCCGTTGCGTGGCCCTGGAGAGCAGGGTTCACAGAGTGGCCTCCTCCCACCCCACCCCACCAGGTCCCCAGCAGGACCTTGGGGCAAGCGGGATGTTGGAAGGAGTTGATGATGTGGAGTAAAGGTGGCATTGGGCTCTGGGTATGCACAAAAAGGCCTTTCTGCTTTTTGGGTCTCTACGGCCCAGAGACCAGGTGGAACCAACCACTGGGCCCTCTGCTTCCGGAATCTTCCTTCAAAATGGCTCTGCTTGCTCTTAGAGGGAAGCCATGCCTGAGGGCGGGTTACTGGAGGGTGCCAGGCGCCTGCCGACCTTTCTGGGCCACACGTACTCCTGCGCTGTCTTTTATCCTGGGGCTTTCTTCCTGCTGGCTCTGCCGCCTGCCACACTCTGGGAGGCTCATTTGCGTCCCCCCACCCTTCTCCCACCCCAAGACCAGGAGGCTAGCAGTCCTGCCCTGCTCTCCTCTGTGCTCACAGCCCAGGGGACAGGCGCCTGCTTGCACCTCCAGCCTGGGCTGCACGAGGCTTGGCTGATTGGCCGCCTGCCACAGAACCACCCGCAGAACCAGGCGGCCAAGCTGCAGGTGACCAGTTGGCCCAGAAGCATAAGAAACGCATCTAGGCAGAAGCTTCTGGGTTCTGGAGTCATTTGTCACGCAGCTAAGGCTGACGGATATACCTGGTTATGACCTATTCACCCTTTAGGTCTCACCTGGCCCTTGTCCTACTGTCTTCTCAGCACTTTTCTCTGTGTCTGTGTCCCCAGCTCCCCTGCAGTCCCAGTGAGTGAGGACAGCCTCCAGCCTCCTCTTGCGCTTGTGTTCCGTGGCGCCTGGTGCTGCTGGTGGCTTCATGAATGCATGAAGCCAGTGGGTGCGTGAGGGCCCTGGGTGGGAGGAGCCCGGCTTTGGAGTCATCTTGGGTCTGACGTCCACTCTGCCCTTTGCTGTGCGACCGTGGACAAGTCACTTATCCTACCTGAACCTCAGGTTTCTCGTGTGAACATGGGGGTAACCACCCCAGGTTTCGAGGTGAGGTGCTGTGTGCAAAAGGCCAGGCTGAGAGCCGGGCACAGAGCAGGTTCCCGACACGCCATACTCTCCCTCTCTTTGCAACCCTACTCTGCATGAGGCCACCCCTGCCTGTTTGCGCTGTGAACCCACCTGTCCACGTCTCTCTGAGTCTCACTTTCCTCACCTGCCAAGTGTGGGAGTGATGATGACAGCTACTTGTGCTGCTGAGGGTGAAGCAGGGTTCTTGCTACTGCAAGGGAGCCCTGGGCTGCAGGTCACCGGTCTCCAGCCACCTCTGTTGGGCCTTGGTCTTCTGGCTTCACTTCTGTCCTCCCCACCCGCTCTTTCTCTGCTCCAGAGACCCCCATGCCTCGGATGGGCATAACGGAAGCCGTGGGCTGTCCCCTCTCTTGACCGTTCCATCTCCAGCCACCCCTCAGCTCTCACCTGGGCTTTCCTGACCCACTCTTGTGAGGACAAGGATCTGCCAACATTCTGGGGTACATGTGCTTATTCCAACCTTCAGAAGGTGTTTGTTTAGTCACCCCTTCCTCACCAGGTGCATGTGGGGGTGAGGAAGACCACAGCACGTGGAGGGGGACACCAAGCGGCTAGGACCCTGTGGACAGGGTGGCTGGGACAGCTGCCTCTAACTGGGCAGGGCCTGGCGTCCTCCACGGTGGACCTGCCACCTGCCCCAGCCCAGCCTCACCGGGGAAGGGGCCAGCCAACCCCAGCCCCTCTCTTGGGGGCCTCTGCTTTCTCTGGCTGGGTCCAGGGTCCTGTTGCCACCTTTGGCCAGAGCTCCCCTTCATGATGTCCCCTCATCTGGGCCACATGGAAGGAAGGACTGACCACCTGGTCCCATCCAGACCATGTTACTCACCTCTCTGTGCTTCAAGTCTTTCATCTGTAAAGGGAGACCCACAGGTCCTTCCTCAGTGGCGCTGGGAGGCCGATGAGTTAATCAAGGAAGGTACTGGGCACAGAGTGGGCACAGAGCAAGCGTGGTGCATTTGCTGTGATTTTCCTGGTGACATGAGCATCTTCCTTGTATTTCCTGCAAATGGAGGTCTGCACGCTCTGCGCCTGGGGCCTGCCAGCCCTGGGTACCTAGGAATAAGTTGTGATGTGGGGCCTAGACCGGATCCTACTAATTTCTCAAAATAGTTATTTTCTGGATGCAAAGGTAATGCATGCTCCTTATATGATGCCTGGAAAACACAGGGGGCAGCCAAAAGAAAAAAAAGCCTCTTGCATTTTCACTTCCTACTGACAACTGCTAACGTTATCTAAACCTCTTTCTGGTTTTTTCTCAAATGCCTTTGCTTGAGCACGCACTCATGCAATATATACCGATGTTGAAAACTTAATTGCAGGTGATTTGAGATTGCACTTTTCACTTTATTGTATCATATTTTAAAGTTTTCTCATGTCACATGCATTTGTCCACAGCCTGAGTTATGATGGCTGCAGCCATCCGTCTTACGGATGTGCCATTTAAATGACTCCTCCTGTTTTACTCTTATAGAGATAGCTGATGTGACTGCCTTCTAGTACATTTTCATGCAAATTCATGACAGTCTCTCCAGGGTAAATTCTTTAAAGTGGATACACTGGGATGAAAAGTATGTACATTTACAATACTTTTGATACAAACTGCTCAGCTGGTCTCCAGAAAGCAGTAGTGGGGCGGGATGCCCTCTCTCCCTGGCCCCTTCTGCAGTGGGCAGCAGTGTGAACCAGGAAGTCCAAGTATATTACACACAGCATCACTGTGGTAAGCCTGGAAGACGTGGGCTTACTGTGTCTGCAGTCGCTCCTACAAGCTGGAGCTAAGGCCTCAGGCTGCAGCAGGGCCAGGGGGCATAGGGATGGGGACACCGGCCATGGCAGGAGAGGCCTGGAGGAAACGCAGATCTGTGGGTGGAGACAACGATGGAATCCAGGTGGCAGGACGTGCTGGGGCTATTGATGTTTACAGAAAGCTCAAGGGCTGGCTGTTAGAACTGGAGCCCCATGCAGGCTGAGAGCAGGGCACATGATGAGACAGGCAGGGTCACTAGAGGGGCTGGCTTGAGCATTTGGCAGCTGCTGCGCATTCTAGTTCGACCCACTCCCCTTGGGGGCTTTGGGCTCACTGTGGCTTGGGTGTGGAGGGTAAAATATAAAAGGACTTACTGTCTAGACTTCTTGTTTGGATTTAATAATATAACAGGGAGGAGGTCCCTCGCGCTGTGTCTTTCCTGATGTGCGGCTCCTACCCACCGCTTGTCACCAATCTATGGTCATTGGAAGCCCCAATCAGATGCCAGCTCCACCAGCCACCAAAATGGTCCTGGTGAAGTCCTGGGCTATGTCTTCTGTGACTTCCTTTTGGTGGGCAATTGTGAGAGTGCATGCAAAGCCCCCCATTCACTCATCCATCTGTCCATCTACTATTCTTCTATCTATCCATTCATCATCCATCCATCCATCCATCCATCCATCCATCCATCCATCCAGTCATCCATCCACCTGTCCTATCTATCTATCCATCCATCCATCCATCCATCCATCCAATCATCCACTCACCCATCCTATCTATTCATCCATCCATCCATCCATCCATCCATCCATCCATCCAATCATCCACCCACCCATCCTATCTATCCATCCATCCATCCATCCATCCATCCATCCATCCATCCTATCCATCCATTTATCCACCCGTCTACCTTCTATTCATCCATCAATGCACCCATCTATCTATTTTTCCTTCCATCCATCCATCCATCCATCCATCCATACATACATACATACATCCACCCATCCACACATCCATCCATCCACACATTCAATCTCCACGTAGTGGTGCCCACTCTAAGCCAGGGACTGGAAGCCTGGAGATGCCCTCTGGATGTCTTAGAAAACCCAGGACTTGATTCCTGAGAACTGACCTATATATGCTTATGTGGCTTATGGAGCACTGATGCCAGGCCTGAGTAGAGGGTGGGAGGCTGGGTCTTCCTCTGGGAGAACAGGTCCATGGAGGGCAGCACCCTAAGTGTGCACGTGCCTCTCTCTTCCTGCCCTACTTCTCTCGAGGGTGTAGAGTTCCTGTAAAACCAGCAATGGTGAGTTCCATCCTCACGGCCTTCTCCACAAGGCTCCTCTGCCCCAGGGGCACACCCACCTCCTCCCCATCCTGGGGATGGATGAATGCAGCTCCCCCTGCAGCTCAGCTGCCCCAAACCACAGGGGACAGAGGGTGGGAGCAGGTGCCTGCACTCAGGCTGCCTGTCCCCTGGAGGGCCCCTAGTTGTGAGATGCAGACCTTCCAGTTTGCTACTGTCTCTGGGGAGTGGGTGGGGGTGGGAAGGGGAAGGGACATTTTCCCAGGCCCAGGACACTTGGGGACGCCTCTGCAGGCCAAACTCTAAGCTCTGCCACGTGTGGCTGCGGCCGATGATGGAGCTCTAAGGCTTCTCCTGGTGCAGCAGAGACAGTGCCACACACCCGGCAGGCTGGTGGGGCCACCAGGTGAGGCATAGCTCCCAGAGAGGAGAACAGTGTAGGGACCAAGTACAGTGAGGCTCAAAAGGAAGACTAGACAAGGCTGCCTGACTGGGTGAGTGGCCTGTCCAGCTTGTGGGCCGCCCGTGCTGTGCGTCCAGCTCACCTGCCCCTGTCAGACAGGGAGCACCACACGGCTCTTTAGGGATAGGTACGGCCGTGGCTCTGCACAGCCAAGGAAATGCAAGTGGAGACCGTGCGTGGTATGTGGTGTGTGTGGGGAGCATGTGTATATGGGATGTGTGTGGTGTGTGTGTGGGGGGGTATGTGTGCCTGTGATATGGTGTGTGGTATGTGTGTATGGGGTATATGTGCATGTGATGTGATGTGTGTGTGAGGGGTATGTATGCATGTGATGTGTGTGTGGTGTGTGTGTGTACGGGATATGTGTGCATATGATGTGATATGTGTATTGTGTGTGTACCTCTCAGGCCACAGTCCCCTTCCTGGGGGGTGTGTACCTCTCAGCCTCTGTCCCCCACCCCTCCAGGATCAGCAAGGCCCCAGCCTCCCTGCAGGCCCACGCGATGAAAGATGAGCTTTTGTTCTCTAGCCCACGGCCACGTTGGGTGGTGGTCACCGTGGCTTGCCCCCACTGTGGCCTGCCAGCTCAGTGTTCTCCGTGGTGCCTGCTGTACACACCACCCTGGGAGGGACTGGAGGGCGGTGCCTTCTGAGACAGAGGTCCCGACCTGAGTGCTCTAGCGGGCAGCAAGGCCCGGGTGGAATGGGCCTGGCAGGGCCCCTGGAGCTCCTCATCGCATGCTCTGGGGCTCTATGGGGCTGGCTTTGGCCAGAGTGGGGTGAGCGGTGGTGTCACGAGTTGACTGCTGGGAGAGGCAGCTGCCCTGGTGGCCCTGTCTGCACCCCTAATCATCGGACCCAACTACACCTCCAGCCCCATGGTGAGAGTGAGGGGTGACACTCAGCCCAGACCCAGGTGAGCCCGGGCAGAGCCTGGCGAGAGTGGAGAACAGCAGGTTCGGGTGTGTCCTGTGTGGGGTCTGAGCCTGCTGAGGTCACTTCAGACCAGGCCCCGACCCAGCTGCGTCCCCTGGGTCACTGTGGTGTGTGTGGTGGGCCTGGGCCCAATGTCGCTGCCGGAGTGCCCGGTCATGTGGCCTCCCATTTCCTGTGGACGTTGCTTTGGCTAACAGCCTGGGTCTGCCTTCCTTCTACAAAGTGGTTTTGGATGTGGATTGAGTGATCATTTTGGGTCAGAATTTGCCTGTGTAATGTTAACTAAACCCTCTTAGGTTATTTGTCCCATTTTGCACATGAGGAAACTGAGGCTTGGAGTGGCTGGGTCGCTTGCCCGACAGCCTCTGGGTGAAGAGTGGGGTTTTACATCCAGGCTCTGTGTGGCCAGGGCCCACCTTCCTAACCCTCGGCCTGAAACTCAAAAGCTTCTGAGCCTTGCTTACGTCCTGGCAGACATGGAACGTGGCTGGGGCTGTGCACTGCACCAGGACAAACTGCAGGGGACTCGGGTCCCTAAACCTTGGTGAAAATGTCTACAGGTTTTCATATTAGATAATGTTAAGAAAAAAATGCTAAGGAGTAGGGAAGGTATTGAATATTGAATTTATGTAAAGCTTTCAAATAAAACCCTTTCATAAATTTAAAATCAGAGACTGAGCCTGCACCTGAGTTTTCTTTACATCGGCTTATACGTGAAATGGCCTGGGGTAATTTCTGGGTTAATCTTCCCAGATTGAGGATAAGAAACTCTAGCAAGAGCTGAGAACAAATGGCTGGAGAGTATGGTGGCTGCGTTTCAGCCTGGTAAAACCTCCTTTCTCTCCATAAACCAGAATTCGAATAATCCAGTTGCTCTGAATTGAACTCATTCTTCTAATCTAACAACCGTCTTTTTCTTTCATTGACAAATATAATGTTAGAATTTTTTGTGATAATGCAAATGGATTTTGAATCTAATTGAACTTTTTATATCAAATATTTCAAAATAACGATGACTTTTTCCTCACATCCGCAGATGTTCCTCCCAGAACCTTAATGATTCTTCTGTAGGATTCAAATGATAACCCCCTCTAAACACCACTGGTGAGCGGCTTCTGATTTCGCTTTTCTAAAGGTGACGTTTTTGCTTCGAATCCATAAACTTTATCATTAAATGTCACCGTATTTTCATGTGGTTCTTGCAATTTTCAAATAAGTTCATTTCAGTGCTCCAAAATGTCCCTGAAGTAAGCTGTTTTTGAAGCCGGTGACTATGCTTCAATAAATCTGCAAAGTGAGGCTCCTCTTGCATTTCAGGGCTTATACTCCAGCCCGGGCCCTCTCCTGGGCAGCTGCCACTCTGCAGGGGGGAGCAATACTGGGGTTCTGACCCCATTTTCTTCTCAGAAAGCTGAAAATAGCTGGGAGTGCAGCAGCCGGTATTTACCAAGTTCCCTGATTTGATCACTTCAGCTCTACAGGCACTTTGTGTAGAAATTGAACTTGGGGCTTTCAGAATTCATTCTCTTCTCCTTCCTGCCCTCACAGATGTGAGGTACTCAGCGTTTGCCTGATGCCTTCAACGTGAGCATGGGCCGCTTTGAGTATTTAATTCCCAGGAGTTTGCTTGGGTACTTTGTTGGCAACACAGATGATGTTTTTCATGCATTTCTCTCGAGGGATTTTTTTCTGCAGGTTTGGGTGATTGCCCCTACACCCTTGGTCCTGGTGTTAGACATCTTGGCTTCCTTGTGGTCTTTGGTGTGGACCCCTCCAGTTCCCAGAGACGCTGTGGCCACTGGCATTTCAGCAGGCCTGGGTAGGCCTGGTCGACCTGGTCTCAGGACCTGCCCAGTGATGTTGAGAAACCCGGGGGTTCTGGCCGGGCGCGGCGGCTCATGCCTGTAATCCCAGCACTTTGGGAGGCCGAGGCGGGTGGATCACGAGGTCAGGAAATCGAGACCATCCTGGCTAACACAGTGAAACCCTGTCTCTACTAAAAATACAAAAAATTAGCCAGGCATGGTAGTGGGTGCCTGTAATCCCAGCTACTGGGGAGGCTGAGGCAGGAGAATGTCATGAACCCAGGAGGCAGAGCCTGCAGTGAGCCGAGACCATGCCACTGCACTCCATCCTGGGCGACAGAGCGAGACTGTCTCAAAAAAAAAAAAAAAAAAAAAAGAAACCCAGGGGTTCCATAAGCCTTGGCATGATGGGGACACTGACCTAGTGATATGGTTTGGATTTGTGTCCCCACCCAAATCTCATGTAGAATTGGAGGAGGGGCCTGGTAGGAGGTGATTGGATCATGAGGGAATTTCCCCATGGCTGTTCTCGTGAGAGTGGGTGAGTTCTCATGAGCTCTGGTTGTTTAAAAGTATATGGCACTTCCTCCTTCACTCTTTCTCTCTCTCCTGCTCTGCTATGTAAGACGTGCCTGCGTCCCCTTTGCCTTCCCCCATGATTGTAAGTTTCCTGAGGCCTCCCAGCCATACTTCCTGTTAAGCCTGCAGAACTGTGAGTCAATTAAACCTCTTTTCTTCATAAATTACCCCGTTTCAGGTAGTTCTTTATAGCAGCATGAGAATGGACTAATACACCTGGTTTCTTATTTCACTGAAAAAGAAGGGTCCAGCTAGGAAATTGCCCTCATCTCCTTTTCCCTGTATCTGTCAGCTTCTGTCATGGACCTATGTTTTGTTGGATGAACTGCCCGGGTACCTAAGGTCCACCTAAGGTCACCTGAGGTCAGCTAAGGTCCACTTGTGCATGGACTTGTCCCCTGGTGTATGCCTCTTGTCCCCTGCAGGGCATCTCTCCAGCCTCCTTCCCTTCTTGCTGAGTCACCATCTTCGTGTCCTGCTGAGTCATGATCATCAGCCACAGATGGGCTACACCAGCTCCCATCTTAAAAAGGGAACCTTCCTTGACCCTAAGGCACCTCCAGCCAATGCCCATTTTCCCACTTCCAGCCAGCTGCCAGACCCACCCCCAAGTTACTCTTCTTCGTCCGAGCCCCCCACACCCTGACCTTTATGCAATCGCTTCTTTCCTTATACAGCTTATTTTATTTTACAACATTTTATAGCTTTGCCACCTGTGTAGGTATCCTCAAATAATGGCTTAGTTTAACATGTTCTAAGTATTTATGTAAATGAAATGATACAGTACTGATGTTTATGTTTGGCTTGTTTGACTCCACATGGCATTTTGAAGATTAATCCATTCTATTGTGTGCAGCTGCAATGCATCCGTTTTCATTGCTGTGTACCAAGATTTATTTATCCGTTTTGCTGCGAAAGAATGTTTGGGTGCTGGAGCTCTTGTGCAAATCTTTCTGCTGAATACACGTGTACCTCAGAGTGAAACTGTTGGTCATAGCATATGTGCGTCTTTCAATGTCTCAGACAATCGGAGCTCTTTGCTGTGGATTCAGTGTGTACAGTATTGCATGAGGGAGTCCCTTGCTCTGCCCTCCCACTAGTCCTTGTAATTTTAGCTCATTTGGTGGGTGTGCAGTGATTTCTCATTGAGATTGTAATGTGCATTTCCCTGATGACTCTCAGGCACCACCGTCTACATTTACTGGTCAGTTGGAGACCTTCATTTGTGCTGTGCTTATTCCAGTGCTGGATCCATTTTCCTAACGAGTTTGCAGGAGTTTGTTATATGTTTTAGATATGAGGCTGTTGTCAGTTATATGTGTTGCAAATATTTTCTGTCACTGCTGATCTCGCCTTTGGACTCTTTTACTGGTGTTTTTGGATGAGCAGAAATACTTAATTTTTATGTGGCCAAATTCATCCACCTTTTCCTTTATGGTTATTGCATTTTGAATCTTGTTCAAAAATCTTTTCTCAACTGAAGGTCATGGAGAAGTTCTCTCATATCCCTTCTAAAAGCTTTATGAAGTGTTTTGACTTTCACTTTTGGATCTCAGTCTGTCTGGAATTAATTTTTCTGTGCTATGGGAGGTAAGAGGTCAAGTTTCATTTCTTTCCCCATGTGGATAATCAACAGTCCCCAAACCATTTCTCCCTTCTGTTATTGTGCAGAGCTAGGCACGTCTAAATCCAGTGTCCACACATAAATGGCCTGTTTCTGGCTCTTTATTCTCTCTCATTGCACCAAAACCCCACCTTTTTCTTTTCTTTTCTTTTCTTTTCTGAGACAGGGTCTCTGTCGCTCTGTCGCATAGGCTGGAGTGCAGTGGCAAGATCTTGGCTCACTGCAGCCTTAACCTCCTGAGAGTAATCCTCCTATCTCAGTCTCCTGAGAGTAGCTGGACCACAGACATGTGCCACCTTGCCCTGTTAGGTTTTTTATTTTATTTTTGATTTTGGAGAGACAGGGTCTTGCTATATTGCCCAGGCTGGTCTCAAACTCCTGAGCTCAAGCGATCCTCCCACCTCAGCCTCTCAAAGTGCTGGGATTACAGGTGGGTGTCATGGCCCCTGGCCAGCCTTGTCTTAACTACAGGAGCTTTGTAAGAAGTCTTGGTGCCTGGTGGAGCGAATTCTCTCAGGTTTTTCTGGCTTCTCAACAGTGTCTTGTCTATTCTTGCCTTTTGGATTTCTGCATACATTTTAGAACTACCATGCCCAGTTCCACAGAAGTTCTTTTTGGGATTTTGATCGGTATTTTACAGAATCTATAAATGCAGAGAGCACTAACATCTGGGTAATATTGAATCCTCCAATGAATGCAGATTTTTTCCCCATTTTTAAGAGTTTATTTAAAATTCCTCAATAATGTTTTACAGTTTCCTGAATAAAGACCTTTTACAGTTTGTTAGATGTACTTCTTCATCTTTTCAGATGCTATTGTAACTTAGTTTCTGAGCTTTTCTCATTGAGGAACCATTTGTATACAATAAGTTACACAGAATTTGGAGTGCAGTTCCATGAGTTTTGATGTGCGTGTCCACTTGAGTAACAAGATCTCAATCAAGAAAATTCCCTGGTGTCTCTTTCTGGGCAATTGTCCCATTTCTCGTGTTGACACAACTGCTGTTTGGATTTTTGTCACTGTAGATTAGGTTTCCCCATTTGAGAACTCCGTGTAAATGAAATTATCCAGCATTTGTCCTTTGGTATCTGGCGTCTGTCGTTCCACATCATGTTTGTGAGGTATTCATCTGTGCCGTTTTGTGCCTCTGTAGTCATTCCTTTTTATCACAGAATGGTGTTTCATTGCATAAATATACCATCATTTGCTTTCTATCCACCTGTTGGTGGTTATTTGGGATACTTTTAGCTTTTGGCAAGTATGGGTGAAGCTGCTATGAACATTCTGTGCAAGTTCTTTGTGTGGATATGTATTTTCATTTTCTTGAGTAACTTCGAACCAAGTGGAATGTCTGGTTCAAAGAATGGAGAAATGTTTTACTTTGTAAGGAAATGTAAAAGAGTTTTCCAAGTGGGTGACCATTGTATATACCCCTAGAAGCCAGTGTCTGGAATTCCTCATCGTCCACACCCTCGCATTTGCTGCTGTCAGCTATCTTAATTTTGGTCTTTCCAAGTGGGTCTTTCCAAGTGGGTATGAAGTGATGGTCATCGCCATTTTTGTAGGCATCTGCCTGGTAACTAAGGATGCTGAGGACCTCTCACATGTTTACTGGCCACATGTATACCTTCTTGTGTGATGTGTCTGGTCAAGTCTATTATTCCTTTTGAAAGCAACTTTATGAAGATATACTACACATATAATAATGCAGTCACTTTAACTGTACAGTTTGATAAATTCTGACAAATGAGTGTAACCAGCACCACAGTCAAGATATAGAATATTTCTATCACCCCCGATTCCACGATGACCCTTTTCAGCCAGTCCCCAACCTTCTCCCCCAGCCCTACGCCACCAATGGTCTGCTTCCTGTCACTAGAGAATAGTTTGATTTGTTCTAGACTTTTCTATAAATGGAGTCATAGTAGGCATTCTGTGTGTCTGGATTTCTTCATTCATTGTGGTGATTTTTGATCATCATGTTGTTGTATGTTGTATGCTTACTCATTTCGTAGTGAGTAGTATTCCATCAGACATTTATACCAGAATTTTATACATTCACCTGCTGATGTCATTTGGATTGTATTCAGTATTTGGCTCTTATGAGTAAAGCTATAAATTGCCTGAGTCATAGGGTAGGTGTATGACTGAGATTTAAGGAATTTGAAGGTGACTGTAGCATTTTATGTTACTTGAAGTCCCATCTACTCCACATTCTCTCCACTTGGTATGACATTTTTGCCATTTTAGTGAGTGTAGAGTGGTATCTGATTGTGGTTTCATTTTTATTCTTTAAAGAGAAGGTCTTGCTCTGTTGCCCAGGCTAGAGTGCAGTGGTATGAACATAGCTCACTGCAGCCTGAAACTCCTGGGCTCAAGCTATCCTTCCATTTCAGTCTCCTGGGTCGTTGGGACTACAGGTTTGGTTTTCATTTGCATTTCTCTGATGACTAGTGGTGTTCAGGATCTTTTCATGTTCTTATTGACTATGTTTTCTCTTATGAAGAGGCTTTTCAAAGTCCTCATCCATTTTCACTTGTTTTCTTATAATTGAGTTGTAGGAAATCTTTACATGTCTTGATGCCAGGTCTCTGTCAAGCTATATGTGTTGCAGATATCATCCTACAATTTGTAGCTTGCCTTTTCCCTTTCTCCATGATGTTTGGGAAGAGCAGAAGTTTTAAATTTTTATGAAGTCCAATTTATAAGTATTTCCTTTGATGTTTGTGCTTTCTGTGTAACATCTAAGACATCTTTGCTGTCTTAAGCTGCAAAGATATTTTCTGAGAGCTTTTATAGTTTCAGCACTTAATGTAACCCTATGATTCATTTGAGTTAATTATGTCAAGTATGTCACAGACTACTGTCTGTGAAGGGGGACGTTTGCTTCTTCTTTTCCAATCTGGACGCCTTTTGTTTCTTCGTCTTATTATTTTTTGAGACAGGGTCTCCCTCTGTCACCCAGGCTGGAGTGCAGTGTCACGATCACAGCTCACCGCAGCCTCGACCTCCCAGGCTCAAGCGATTCTCCCACCTCAGCCTTCTGAGTACCTGGGATCACAGGCATGTGTCACCACGCCCAGCTATTGTATTTTTTGTAGAGATGGGGTTTCACCATATTGCCCAGGCTGGTCTCTAACTCCTGGGCTCAAGGGATCCTCCTGCCTTGGCCTCCCAAAGTGCTGGGATCACAGGCATAAGCTACCTTGCTTGGTCATGCCTTGTATTTTAATTTCTTGCCTCCTGGTATTGGCATTGGCTAAGACTTTCAGTACAATGCTGAGCATAAATGATGAAAGCAGACATCCTTGATTTGTGCTCAGTCTTGTGGGAAAATATTTGGTCTTTTATTATCAAATTTTAGTGCAAGTTTTTGTTAGGTGCTCTTTATTATTTCGAGGATGTTCTTTCTATTCCTAGTTTACAGAGAATTGTTATTACAAGTGGGTGTTAAATTGGGCCATGTGCTTTTCCTACCTCTATGGAGAAAAGTGTATCATTTTTCTCCTATATGCTGTTGGTGTGATGACTCACCTTGATTTTTTGAATATTAAAACAACCTTGCATTTCTGGGATACACCAACTTTCATATGTTGGTGGACTTGACCCGTTAAGGGTTTTTACAACTATATATATGGGAAATATTGTTGGGTAGTTTTCTTTTGTTGCAATGTCTGTATCAGGTTTTAGTAATGGTTAGTGTTAACTTTATAAAATGAATTGAGAAGTGTTCCTTTTTCCTTCATTTTCTGAAAGTAATTGTATAGAATTCATTTTACTTGTTCCTAGCATGCAATATAATTACTCAGTGAAGACATCTGGGCCTGGAGTTACCTTTGTGGGAAGATTTTTAATTGTGATTTTAATTTCTGTGGTCATTATAGGGCTGTTCATATTTTCCATTTCTTTCTGAGTCAGTTTTGGCAATTTGAATATTTCATGGAATTTGTCTATTTCACTGAAGGGGTTGAATTGAATGGCATAAACACTTTTTCATAATAATCCCATATTATTATTTTAATTATCATGGGATCTATAGTGATGCTATATATTTCATTCCTACAGTGATGTCATATATTTCATTCCTAATATGGTCAATTTGCATCTTTTACCTTATTGTCTTCATCAGCTTAGCTAGTTGATTGTTTCTAAGACACAGATGTCGGTTTCATTGATTTTCTCTAATTTTCTTGTTACTACTTTATTTTTGCTACTAATTATATAATTTCCTTTCTTTTAATTACTTTGCTTTTAATATGCTCTTTTTCTCAGCTTCTTAAGGTACAAAACAGGCTTATCAACATTAGGCCTTTCTAATTTTCCAATATAAACATTTAAAGCTCTTAGTTTTCCTTTACATGCTGCATTAGCTGCAACCCACAAATTTTAATAATTTTCCTTTTTTAAATGTAGCATAAATCATTTTTCAATTTCCCTTGGAATAGTTTCTTTGACCCATGGGTTATTTTGATGTGTATTGTTTAATTTCCAAATATTTGGAGAATTTTTCAAACTTTGTTACTGATTTCTAATTTAATTCTGTGTTTGTAAAATTTTTGTTTTATTATAATTTCAATTTTTAAAAATATATTGAGACTTATTTTATGGTCTGTCTTGGTGAATGTTCCATGTTTATTTGAACAGAATGTGTATTCTCTTGTCATCGGGTAGCGTGTTCTACAAGTGTCAACTGGTGCTTCTTGGTTGATAATGTTATTTGTTTAAATCTTCTGCATCTTCACTGATATTCTGTCTGTTAATTAACATGAGAAGAGTCTTCAATCTCCAAGTATAATTGTGGTTCTGTCTATTTCTCCTTTCAGTTCTGTCATGAATTTTGAGGTTCTGTTATTAGGTATATGTTCATATTTAGAATTATTATAGCTTTCAAATAAATTGACCCATTTATTGTTATAAAGTGTCTCCCTTTATCCCTAGTAGTATCCATATTTCCTATGCATAGGGTTTTGCATGGCATGTATTTTCCAGCCTTCTAATTTTAATCTTTGTGTGTATCTTTTTTTCCTTTCATGTATTAGTTCAGAATTGTATATGTGTGCCCTTTTTTTTTTTTTTTTTTTTTTTTTTTTTTAATGGAGTCTCATTCTGTTGCCCAGGCTGGAGTGCACTGGCGGGATCTCAGCTCACTGCAAACTCCACCTCCCGGGTTCACGCCATTCTCCCGCCTCAGCCTCCCGAGTAGCTGGGACTACAGGCATCTGCTACCACGTGCCCAGCTAATTTTGTTTTTGTATTTGTAGTACAGATGAGGTTTCACTGTGTTAGCCAGGATGGTCTCGATCTCCTGACCTCGTGATCTTCCTGCCTTGGCCTCCATATGTGTGCTTTTGTATTTAAAATAGGTTGTTGTAGACAGAAGCCATCCTGAGTGACAATTACATTTTATGTAATTATCAGTATGGTTGGTTTAAATCTACCACCCTGCTATTTGTTTTGTATTTGTTGTATTTTATTGCTATTATTTTATTTGTTTTTTTAATTGATCCTTTCTTCATTCTTATGGATTATTTTTTATGATTCCGTTTTATCTGCATTATTATTATTATTATTTTGCTACGACTTTAAAAAATTTTAATGGTTGCTTTAGGGTTTACAATATGTGCCTTTGACTCATCAGTCTCTACCTTCAAGTAACATCATTTCACTTTACCTATGGTATAAGAACTTTACAGCCTTCCTCCTTCTGTCCTTTGTGCAATAGTGGGCCTACATATTTTACTTCTACATATGTCATAAATCTCCCAATATGTGCTCTTCCTTTAGACAGCCAGTTTTCTAAAAAAAGAAAACTTTAAAATCAGAAAAAGATATTTTTCTGTCTACCCACCTATTTATCATTTCCACTGCTCTTCATTCTTTGTGTGGATCCATGTTTCTGCCTGGCATCATTATTATTTCACCTAAATAACTTTTTATAACTTTTTAAAAACAGCGCATACCTAGTGGCAACAAATTCTCCCAATTTTTGTCTGTGTGAGGAAGTTTTTATTTAACCTTCATTTATAGGATTTTCTTACTGGGTATAGAATTTTAGGTTGATTTTTTTTTTTTTTTTTAGCACTTTAAAGTTGTCATTCTCGTTCTCTGACTTATGTAGTTTCAGATGATATGTCTCCTATATTTTTTCTCTTTGTTCCTCCATACATAAATATTTCCCTCACCTCCTGAATTTCCTTTAAGATTTTTCTCTTTCTCACTGGTTTTCAGCAATGTTGATTAGGTTGTGCCTTTGCATGATTTTTTCTTTTATATTGAGCTATTTCTTTGTAAATTTATAGTTTTCATTAAGTTTGAAAAATGTTAAGACTGTTATTTCTTTAAGTAAACTTTCTTTTTGTCTCTGTTCCTCTTCCTTCAGGGCTTCCAACTGCTTATGTTTCAGATGATTTGATATTGTCTTACAGATTACTGAGGCTCTGTTCAGTCTTTTTTGTTTGTTTTTAAAATCTTTTTTCCCTCCCTGATTCATACTGTATAGTTCCTATTGCTATGTTTTTGAGTGAATCTTTTGCTCTCCAGTATCTAATAGTTGTTAACCTTATCTTGTGAAAGTTTTATTTTAGAGATTACATTTTTTGGTTCTAGATGTTGCTATTGGCCCTAATTGATACTTTCAATTTTTCTCCATGTTCATATTTTCCTTTAACTATCTGAGCAAATTGGGCCGGGCTCAGTGGCTCATGCCTGTAATCCTAGCACTTTGGGAGGCCGAGGTGGGTGGAGTTCAAGACCAGCCTGGCCAATATGGTGAAACCCCGTCTCTACTAAAAATACAAAAATTAGCTGGGTGTGGTAGCAGGCGCCTGTAATCCCAGCTACTTGGGAGGCTGAGGCAGGAGAATTGATTGAACCCGGGAGGGAGAGGTTGCAGTGAGCCAAGATCATGCCGTTGCACTCCAGCCTGGGTGACAGAGTGAGACTCTGTCTCAAAAAAAAAAAAAAAAAAGAGCACATTTAAATCCTTACAATGGCGATTTTTCAGTTGTGTGAGGGACAGGCATGTTTCTAGGAATTGAATTCTTTGGCTTATTTATGGGTTGTAATTTTTTATTGGATACCAGGCAATTTGCTTTTTCCATCATTGATTGTTTCAGTTTTGTTGTCTTCCGTTTAAGAGCACTGAAGTTTGTTTAGACAGGAAGTTAGTTTCCTGGTGGATCAGGTTGGTCTCTTTGAGGCTGTATTTGTGCTTTGTTAGAAGAGTTCAGTGTAGTTGTTACTCCAGAAACAAATTAGCCCCACACCTGCAGCCTGGCCCTTTCAGGGTCTCTAGGGATTGCCCCATGTGTTCAATAAAGTCTTTCTACTCTCGCAGGATGGAATTAAAATATCTTCCATCCCTGAGTGAGATCTGGGAATTTTTCGCTTTATAGCTCCCAAGCTTACTGGCTTTGTGTTGTTTCCCCTGATGTGTGTGTAGATTAGCATCCAGCCAGGGTCTCAAGGAGAGCTTTTTGAAGGTTTCTGAGCTCTCTCTCTGTGTGGCTACTTCTTCTTGGATCATCCACCTGCAAACTCCAGCTGCTGTGGCCTCCCCAGCCTCCCCCTCCCTCTCCTCCCACCATCGAGACAGCTCTGGTCCACCCTGAGAAAGCCAGAGCGATTGCAGGATTTTCTCTGTGTGTTTGTTTAATCTCACTGATTACCTTCCTGCATCATCGTTTCCCCCAGCACACGGAACAGTTGTTTTCTATATTTAACAGTTTCTAACCGGTTGAGGTGAGAAGACAAATTCTATGTCAGCTAATCTTTCATGACCAAATGGTGAAGTCGCCCTGGAGGATTAAAATTTTATTCATTTATTTCTTTCATCAGTTTGATTAGGAGGTGCTGAAGTGTGGCTTTCTTTGTGTTTATCTTGATTGGGATTTGTTGAGATTCTTGCGGCTGTGGGTTGATGTTTCAAATTGGTAGAAAATTGTCAAATTTTCTACCAATATTTATTCATATGTATGTGTGTGTATATATATAATATATATAATATGTGTGTATATATAATATATGTATAATATGTGTGTGTATATATAATATATATATAATATGTGTGTGTGTGTGTATATATCTATCTCCCTCATTTCCTTGCTTTTCTCCTTCTGGGAGACCAATTCCATGTTAGTTTTTTCCTTTCTGATATTTTCACCCTCAATTTCCAGAGGCCCTGGTGGCCCGAACTCTGACGTCTAAGTCCTGCTCACTAAGATTGCTGTTCTCTGCATGAGATCCGTTTCCCATGTGTCAAACCTTGGAAAAGGCTGGGTACATGTTGGGCTTACCCAGCACGAGTCCATCTTCCACACGCGGGATGCCTATTTAGTTCCTGGCTACTTCTCTTTGCCTTCCTGAGACTTAAAAAAGTTGCTCTTTACATTTTGCGCAGAGTTTATAGTTGTTATCAACAAGATGGTTGGTCTGATCTGAGTGAGTCTAGCACTACCCGAAGCTGAAAAATGTGTATATAATACACATACTCTGTAAAAATTTGCATTTATTTCTTTTATTTCTTGTTTTTAATATTGATAAAAAGCTGGGGTTTTTTTTTTTCCTTTTTTTTGAGACAGAGTTTCGTTCTTGTCACCCAGGCTGGAGTGGAATGGTGTGATCTCGGCTCACTGCAACCTCCACCTCCAGAGTTCAAGCGATTCTCCTGCCTCAGCCTCCCTAGTAGTTGGGATTACAGGTGCTTATGCCACCATGCCTGGCTAATTTTTATATTTTTAGTAGAGACTGGATTTCACCATGTTGGCCAGGCTGGTCTCGAACTCCTGACCTCAGGTGATCCACTTGCCTCAGCCTCCCAGTGTGCTGGGATTAAGGTGTGAGCCACTGCACCTGGCAAAGGCTGGTTTTTAATATTGATTTATATATTCTGCCATATTAGAAAACTTTTATATTCATTCAAATTATATATGTGTAAAATCCTTTGTATTGCCTATGTATTATATCCTCGGCATATAATGACAATTCCATTTATTTACTTATTTATTTTTTGCCAGTTCTCACATGTTATTTCTATTCCTTGACTTAATGCACCAGCTGGTCCTACCGTGAAATGTCAAATGGAATTATGATAACAGGTAGCCTTGCTCTATTTCTAAGCAAAGATTGAAAGAGGTCACCATTAAGAATGATACTTTATGTGTCATTTAAAAAGATACTTCATCAGGTTAAGGTCCTTTTCTTCTATTTATAAATTGATTTAATTCTTTTAAAAAATCATGAATGAATATTTAAAAATTTAAGTCAGAGTGTCTGTATGTATTGAAATGATCATATGAGTTTCCTCCTTTATCTGTTAATATGGCAAATTATATTGATTGATTTTCTAACAATAAAATACATTTTCACTCTTGAGATAAATTTCTTTTATGAATCTTAACTCGGTTTGCCGGTACTTCATTTAGGATTTTGGCATCCGTGTTTATAGTTGAGGTTTGCCTTCTAGTTTCTTTTTTTCAATACTATCCTTGTCAGGTTTTGGCATCAGAATAATACTAGTCTTATACAATCAATTGGGAAATATTTCTTTTTTCCTCTTTTGTCTGAAAAATATTGTGTAAGTTTGGAATTCTTTCTTCATTAAAAGTTTGGTAGAACTTCCGCTGAAAAATCTCTGCCTAAAGTTTTCTTTGTGGGAAGGGTTTGTATGAATGACTCAATAATTTTATCACTTACAGGAAAATTTTGATTTTCTTCTCCTGGCAGTTTTGATAAGCTGTTTAATTTCCTGGAAATTAGTCATTTTTATTCAAATTTTCTCAAATTCTTATTCCAAAGGCAGAGTCTGACTGCAAGCTCTATAGTGTCATCACCCTTTTTGTTCCTGACGTTGGTTTCTCTCTCAGTCTCTCTCTTACCCCATCTCCCTCCCTCCTTCACCCCCTCTCCTCTTTTCTGGATTACTCTCGCCAGACACTTACTGATCAAGGCTTGCAAGCTTATCAACCTAATGCTTCCGTATCAGTCACTTTCCGCCTGTGACTCTCTTCATCATGTGTTCGTCTGCTCTCCCCTCCCTCCTTCACCCCCTCTCCTCTTTTCTGGATTACTGTCACCAGACACTCATCAACCTAATGCTTCCATATCACTCACTTTCCGCCTGTGACCCTCTTCATCGTGTGTTCGTCTGCGCTGCATTGACTTTGCACATCGTGTTGTCCTCACGTCCTCACCAGCCCACCCTCCTTTAGGTATCAATTATAATGTTGAAGGATTTGCCATTTTTGTACATATGTTAATTTTTGCTTTGTTTCTATCGAGGTCATGTTTTTAGGTGCAAACTTAGGAATTATTATATATTCCTGGTGAATTAAAACTTTTATCAATATAAGCAGTCACTATCTCTAGTAGTCTTTTTACCTTGGAACTTACTGCTCAGATAGTGATTTTCATACAGCAGCTTCCTTTTGATTGGTGTTGATGTCAGTATCCTTTACCATTCTTTCCTTTAAACCTTTCTTTTTTCTTACTTTTAGATAGGACTCACAGAAATAGCACATAGATTTTTAAAACTCTTGGTTTTAAAAATTGGCTTTTCATTGAAGGATTAAGACCATTAACATTTATTGTGATTACTGATGTATTCAAAATATATTTTTCTGCTTTACTATGTGATATCTAATTGTAGCCCCTGTTCTGGGTTCCTTTTCTCATTTTCTTGCTTTCCTTTGCAGTAACTGAGTTTTTAAAGTCATTCCACTTTTTCTTCTTTTAGTTCAAAAATATGCACTCTTTTATTCTAGTGGTTACCTTAGAAATTATAATATACATCATTGACACATCAAACTTCAATGTTAATCAATACTTTTACCCACTTTCTGGGAAAATGCAAGAATTCTGGAACACTTTACCTCTGCTAGCATATATTCCAGAGTTGCTGGTTATAGATTATACATTGATATTTATTCTGATATGTTTAAAAACTCACCAGATATTGCATTTTACATTGATATTTATTCTGATATGTTTTACATCAATATTTATTCCAACATATTTTAAATTCTACGTTGATATTTTACATCGATATTTATTGCAATGTATTTCAAATTCTACATTGATATTTATTCTGATATATTTTTAAACTCACCAGGCCTTACATTATTACTTTGCACAGTCATTGTGTATTGAGCCTCTTTCCTCTATTTGCTGCTAATGATCTTCATAACGCTTTGCATCTGGGGTCATTTTCTCCTGTCTGATGAGCCTCTTTGAGAATTTGCTGTTGATGAAATCTCCCTGCTTTTGTTTGAGACTTTCTTTCTCTCACCCTGTTCTTGCAGGACGTGCTGGCTGCGTGTGAATTTCTTGGATGGCAGTTGGCCTTTGGCATGTGGACGTCCTGTCTGTTTCTTTGGGCTTTCTCATCTCTGGAGAGGTCAGCTTGAAGTCTGAGATTGCTCTTTCAAAGGGAATCTATCTTTTTATTTCTCTATTGTTAAAATTTTATTTTTTAAAAAAAATTCTACAGTTTTCTGGGCTGGGCACAGTCATTCATGCCTGTAATCCCAGCACTTTGGGAGGCCAAGGCAGGCCGATCAGCTGAAGTCAGGAGTTTCAGACCAGCCCAGCCAACACGGTGAAACCCCGTCTCTACTAAATATACAAAAATCAGCCAGGCGTGGTGGTGCACATCTGTAATCCTAGCTACTTGGGAGGCTGAGGCAGGAGAATCGCTTGAACCTGGGAGGTGGAGGTTGCAATGAGCCAAGATCCTGCCACTGCATTCCAGCCTGGGCAACAGAGTGAGACTCCTTCTCAAATAAATAAATAAATAAAAATTCTACAGTTTTCAACACGAAATACCTAGGTGCATTTGTTTTTTATGTTCTGCTTGCAATTGGTTGGTTTCTAGAATTTGTATGGTGATGCTCATCAGTTCTAAAAAGTTCTCAGTTTTATTTTCTTCAATATTGCCTCTACTCTGAGCTGCCTTTCCTCTCCTTCTGGCACTCTAATTAGATGCAAGTTAGAGCTACCCCCTTGTATCATCTGTCTTTTACCTTCTTCCTGGCATAGTCCTTGTGTTTTTCTCCCCATAATTTCTTTTGGGTGATTTCTATTAACCTGTCTTCCTTTTCACTAATTTTTTCTTCATTGATGTCTATTTGTTTGTAAAGAAGCCTTTCCACCGAGTCATCAAATACTTAATTTTTGTTTGTTTCTAAATTGGAAAAGTTCCATATGGATTTTCTTTTAAAATCTGTTACAGTTTTTGTTTTGTTTTGTTTTCAAGTTCTTTGCTGAACTTCTCATGCTTAGCTTTTATGTTGAATGTAGAAAGCACAGCTGTTTTACAATCTGTGGCTGGTAATTCTAATACCTGGATGTGATATATGGTTGTTGCTATAAACCGTTGGTTCCAGTGGCTTTTACTCATGATATCTTGTATTTATGTGCCTGGTTGTCTTTGTTAGTTTTCTGGTCATTGTATGTGAACCAACACATTTCTAGAAATAACTTGGGGGTAAGGGATAATGATGTCTTCCTCCAGAGAATGATTTCTTATATTTTCTTCTAGGCTCCCACAAGGGGCCTAGGGATTTCCTTTTGTCGTATTCCCGCCCTTGGAATGTTGGAGCGCTTCAGGACAAGCTCTTTACCCCTCTCTTATTTACCTGTGTTCACACTCTAGGTCACCTCTAGTATCATGGCTTTAAATAATTGGATGTACATATGGCATCCGTATTCCCTGTCCTGACCTCCCCTTTGACGTTCAGACTTGTACATTCATCTTCTCTTTGCAAATCTCTTGAATGTCTAATAGTCATCTCAAACCTAAACTTTTGGACACTGAACTCTTTTTTTTTTTTGAGACGGAGTCTCACTCTTTCACCAGTCTGGGGTGCAGTGGTGTGATCTCGGCTCACTGCAACCTCCACCTCCCGGATTCAAGCGATTCTCCTGCCTTGGCCTCCTGAGTATCTGGGTCTACGGGCATGCACCATCACGCCTGGCTAATTTTTTTTATATTTTTATTAGAGACAGGGTTTCACCCTGTTACCTGGGATGGTCTCTATCTCCTGACCTCATGATCTGCTCACCTCAGCCTCCCAAAGTGCTGGGATTACAGGCGTGAGCCACCGTGCCTGGCCTGGACACTGAACTCTTAATCTCACTTCCTTATTGACCCACTTCTTCCCAAATCATCCTTGTTAAGTCCAAAACATAGTCCTCAATTTCTCTTTCTCTCATACCTTATCTCTTTTCCAGTAGCGAGTGCTGGGTGGTTCAACCTTCAAAATAGCCACCAAGTCGAGACAGCGTTACTTTCTGCTGGCCTGGTACAGATGCCTTTTAGTTGGCCTCCTATCTTTATCTCTTCCCCTGTACAGTCCATTCCCATCCAGCAGCCAAAATTAATATGCCACACCTCTGTTCAAGATGCTCCAACAATTTCAACTTATGCCTAGAATAACATCCAAAATCCCCATTATGGGTCAAAAGGTCCTATGCGAGTTGACCTTTTCTGTCTACCTTTTCCATCTTATCTCCTTTTCTTCCATCCACTCTACTCAAACTGGCTTCCTTGCTATTCATAAAAAGGTCATTTTATGCCCATCTCGGTGCCCAGGCAGGTCCACTTTCCTCTTCCTGGAATGCCCATCTGCACATCTTTACCTGACCTGCTCACTTCATTCAAGTCTCTGCTCAAAAGTCAGCTGCTTAGAAAGGACTTTCTTCATCACCTAATTAAAGTAGCACTATCAGTGTATGAGTTACCTATTGCTGCATAACAAGCAGCCCCAAAACTTAAAACAACAAGCATTTATTATCTCAGTTTCTGTGGGTCAGGAATTTGGGGGTGGCTTAGCTCACTCTCAAGGTCCTTTATGAAATTGTGCTGAAGACATCAGCCAGGTCTTGGGATTGAAAGATCCACTTTGAAGAGGGCCTGCTCCTATAGCTGGCAGGCTGTGGTTGGCAGGAACCCTATCCATAGGGATGCCATGGTGTTCTCATGATGTGGCAGCTGATTTTCCCAGAATTAGTGATATGAGTGGAAGCAACAATGCTATTTATGACCCAGACTCAGAAGCTATATCCTGTCATTTCCACAACATCCAGTTGGCCACATGTGCCATCACTCTTGCTATGGGAGGTGGGTCCACAGGTATGCATTGCAGGAGGAATGTGCATGTCTGACATTCATTGGTCCCTTGCTCATTGCCTGATGCACATGTCAGAATGTTCATTTCTAGAAGGCAGGCTTCTTGTCTTTCATGCTCACTTCAGTGCCTAGGCCAGTGTGTGCCCCATGGCAGGTGTTCGCTAATTATTTACTGAATAAATAAATGGGAGGTTTCCCAGGAGCCTGGAGGACGTCTGTGCAAAAGGATGAAAAGAGTCACGAAAGTGACACCTGGGCAGGGAGCCAGGAGATGAGGTCAGGATGCAGAGCCAGAATGGGTGAGCGAAGAGAGCTGGGACGAGGCTGTGGACAAGGGATTGGGGTCGGGTCCCATCGCCATTTGGGACTGAATGGTTAGCTGAGGCCAGCTATGGGCCAGAAAAGGGATGATCATTATAGAAAAGCTGTGCTGTTTTCTTTAAGACCAAGTCAGAGTTTTTTTTTTTTGTTTTTTTTTTTGCTTCATTGCAATGGTGAAACAGGCAGGTAGGCTGGCATTGGGGCTGGTGGGGAGTGGCTCACGCCTGTAATCCCAGCACTTTGGGAGGCAAAGGTGTGCATATCACCTGAGGTCAGGAGTTCAAGACTAGCCTGATCAACATGATAAAACCTGGTCTCCGCTAAAAATACAAGAAAATTAGCCAGGTGTGGTGGTGCATGCCTGAAATCTCAGCTACTCGGGAGAGTAAGGCACGAGAATTTCTTGAACCTGGGAGGTGGAGGTTGCAGTGAGCTGAGATGGTGCCATTGCACTCCAGCCTGGGCAACAGAGTGAGACACTGACACACACACACACACAGAGAAACAGGCAGAGAAAAATTGGTACAGAAAACTTTACTAATAAAAAAAACCCTCTCGATGAAGCTCACTGTCTGTGACATCCACGCAGAAGGCAGAATAGGGCCAGCGGCTACGCAGAGAATGGGATTTAGAGATTTGTGAGTACTTGATGGGCAGGTGAGATGCTTAAAAATGCAGATTGTAAAGCCAAAGTTGGGATGGCTTTGGCGCTGAGCTGCTGATTGACACAGTGGATTAGTATTTAGTCAATTTTGGTTAAGTGTTTGCTTCTGATTTACGTCTGGGAAGAGCTTTCTGAAAGCCATTCTTCATGATAACATAAATATCTATTTCTCTAATTTCCAGAAATCAGTATTCAGCCTACTTCAGGGGGGCTCCATGCACGTGGCGAGCACTGCCTCAGGAGCATCCCTTGCAGGTGAGAATCCTGACCACCTGGCAAACTGCTTGCAGAGGGCTAAGTGGGTTCACACAGTTTTGTGCATTTTAAACTAGTGACTGAAACGAGACTTTTTTAAAAAAATATTTTTCCCCATTTAACCAGAGAAAAATATGTCTTTGGGGGAGTTATGATGTTACCAGAACTGGTTAAGCACTGTGGAGAGACGACGGAGCCTCGGTTCAGGTTCCAGCTGCTTCGCTTTCTAGCTGTATAAATGTGGGCACGTTTCTTAACCTCTTTTGCCTCAGTTTCCTCACCTGTGAGATGGGATCAACAGATTACCTTGCAGACTTGTTGTGAAGTAAATGAGCTGTATATTTAAAGCTCTTAGGATAGTACCTGACATACGGGAAACATTATAGAACTAGTAAGTATTATACACTTTATCTATTTTTTAGAAATTTACAATTTTCATTGTTTATTTTTTTTTTTGAGTGTCCTCATGGAAGCACTGAGACACCAGATGGAGGGCGTGATCAGGACCAGGACATCATCCATCCTAGTGGTCTTCAAATTACTCACATGATCCCACTTTCTTATCAACAGAACTCGGAGCCTGTTGGGGGCGGGGTGCATCCAGATTGAGAACAGCAGCAGCTAGAGCAGTTTCATTGCCCAGCCCCACCGGACTCAAGTTTTCTCCAGTGAGATGTTCCCAGAAGTTGCTGGCTGGGGCTTTCAGGAAGACGTTTCAGATGGAAGACAGGCTCAGCTAGAAGGTGGGTAGCTTTTGCTCTTTGTTTTCCCTTTCTTCCTACCTTGAAAGCAGAGGCAATGCTGGAGGTGGGGCAGCTGTTTTGTGACCAGTGGACAACAGCCTGTGCTGGGTGCATCCGTCTCCTCGGGCAGCTATAACAAAGCACCACAAACTGTCTGGAAACAACAGACATTTACTCTCTCGCAATTCTAGAGGCCAGACGTCCGAGATCAAGGTGTCAGCAGGGCTGTGCTACCTCCGAAGGCTCTGGGCAAGAGCCGTTCCATGCCTTTCTCTCAGCTCTGGTTCCACCTGTAGTCTTTGGTGTTCTGTGGTTTGCAGCTTCCCAATTTCTGCCTCTATCTTCACAGGGCCTTCTCCTCTCTGTGTGTCTGTGTCTCTTATTCTTTTCTTAAGAGGACACCAGTGATAATGGCTTAGGACCCACCCTACTCCATTCTGACCTCGTCTTAACTAATGACACTGTCAGCAGTGACCGTATTTCTAAATCGAGTCACATTCTAGGTCCTGGGAGTCAGAGCTTCAACATGTCTCTTTGAGGGACACAAACCCACAACACTAAGGATGGCTGAGCAGAAAGGTGGAAGGAGGCAGGGGCCCTGATGGCTTCAGAGTCACCAAGGGAGCCCTGGCCCACCCACCTGCGGGCTTCCAGTCATCCCAGCCACTGTTTTCCATTTCCCAGCAAGCAGCTGTAATTCCTAACAGGTACAACATCTCACTGAAGTACCTGGAGTTTGGAGACCGCAGACACAGTGGAAGGGTGAATGTAAACCCTGGCCAGTTGTCCTCCAGCCTGAGCCCTTCCCTCCAGCAGTCTGTCCCCTGGGAAGCCACATTCCAACCTGAGTTGTTCCCCTCAGTCTCTTGTTTGGAACATTTGGCCTCTCCGAGGCTCTTAGATGGTGAAAGAGTCTCTGCTCTACTTGGTAGACACCTACTGGGCTGTCTTTTGTTTTCTTCTAGGGGACCTTCCACCTTGCTCTTGGCTGTGGCACCTGGAGGCCCTGTTTTCACTTTGTAACTCTGCCCTCTGGACAGAGCGGGTCTGTGCCTGGGTGTTCATCTGACCCAAGCTGGGCCAATTAGACTTTTTTTTTTGTGGTGAATGTTTTATGTTTATTGTTTTTTATTTTATATATATATATTATTTATTATACTTTAAGTTCTAGGGTACATGTGCACAACATGCAGGTTTGTTACATATGTATACCTGTGCCATGTTGGTGTGCTGTACCCATTAACTCGTCATTTACATTAGGTATATCTCTTAACGATATCCCTCCCCACTCCCCCCACCCCACAACAGGCCCCGGTGTGTGATGTTCCCCTTCCTGTGTCCAAGTGTTCTCATTGTTCAATTCCCACCTATGAGTGAGAACATGTGGTGTTTGGTTTTTTGTCCTTGTGATAGTTTGCTGAGAATGATGGTTTCCAGCTTCATCCATGTCCCTACAAAGGACATGAACTCATCATTTTTTATGGCTGCATAGTATTCCATGGTGTATATGTGCTACATTTTCTTAATCCAGTCTATTGTTGTTGGACATTTGGGTTGGTTCCAAGTCTTTGCTATCGTGAGGAGTGCCGCAATAAACATACGTGTGCATGTGTCTTTATAGCAGCATGATTTATAATCCTTTGGGTATATACCCAGTAATGGGATGGCTGGGTCAAATGGTATGTCTAGTTCTAGATCCCTGAGGAATGGCCACACTGTCTTCCACAATGGTTGAACCAGTTTACAGTCCCACCAATAGTGTAAAAGTGTTCCTATTTCTCCACATCCTCTCCAGCACCTGTTATTTCCTGATTTTTTTAATGATCGCCATTTTAACTGGTGTGAGATGATATCTTGTGGTTTTGATTTGCATTTCTCTGATGAGCTGGGCCAATTAGACTCTTTGCGGGGTTTGAAATGTGTGGGAAGGGACATCGTGTCTCGCAGTTATTATCACAGAATCATGTCAGGATGGAGTCTAGTGCAGTGACTTTCAAACTCCAGTGCGCGTCTGGGTCACTTAGGGACTTTGTTACAGGTTTCCAGGTGAGCCACTATCCATTATGGAACACAGTATGGAGGTTCCTCAAAAAATTAAAAATAGAACTACCATATGATCCAGCAATCAGCAATCCCGCTTCTGAGTCTATCCTGTGTTACTTGGGTTTTTCAAGAGAAACAGACCAACAGGATATACACATGATATATACATAGATAGATATCCATCATATATCAGTGGTCCCCAACCTTTTTGGCACCAGGGACAGGTTTTGTGGAAGAAAATTTTTCTGCAGACCGGGGTGGGGGATGGTTTCGGGATGAAACCGTTCCATAAGGAGAGCACAACCTAGACCCCTCGCATGTACAGCTTACAATAGAGTTCATGCTTCGATGAGAATTGAACGCAGCTGCTGATCTGATGGGAGGCAGAGCTCAGGTGGTAATGCTTGCTTGCCCACAACTCACGTCCTGCTGTGCGGCCCGGCTCCTAACAGGCCACGGACTGGAGCTTAGGGATATATGATATATAGAGAGCTTCCTAGAATGAGATGAGTGATAAGAAATTGACTCACAGACTCATGGAGGCTAAGAAATTCCATGATCTGCCATCGGCAAGCTGGAGACCCAGGAAAGCTGGTGGTATAGTTTGAAGGCCTGAGATCCGGAGGGCTGATGGTGTGGATTCCAGTCTAAATCTGAAGGCCTGAGAACCAGAAGCACTGAGGGCAAGAGGACATGGATGTCCCAGCTCAGTCAGGCAGAGAGAATTCAACCCTTTTCTACCTTTTTGTCCTATTTAAGTTCTCAGTGGATTGGCCTTCGCCCACACACATTGGAGAGGGCCACCTGCTTTACTCAGTCCCCCAATGCCAGTGCAAATCTTGTCCAGGAACACTCTCAAACACCCAGAAATCATGTCTAACTGCCATCCGGGCACCCTGTGGCCCAGTCAAGTTGGCACACAAAGTCAACCATCACATAGCCAAAAGAATGAAAAACAGTCTCAAGAAATATTTGCACATCATGTTCATAGCAGCATTATTCACTATAACCCAAAGATGGAAGCAAGCCAGGTGTCCATTGACAAGATGAACAGATAACCAAGATCTGGTCCATCCATCCAGTGGAATGTCACTCAGCCTCAGAAAGGAAGGAAAATCTGACACATGCGACAAAACGGATGAAACCTGAAGACATCATGCTAAGTGAAGTAAAGCAGTCACAAAAAGACAATTATTGTAGTATTCCACACACATGAGAAACCTACAGAAGTAAAATGCATAGAGATGGCCGGGCGCGGTGGCTCATGCCTGTAATCCTAGCACTTTGGGAGGCCGGGGTGGGCGGATCACTTGAGGTCAGGAGTTCGAGACCAGCCTGACCAACACGGTGAAAACCCGTCTCTACTAAAAATACAAAAATTAGCCAGGCATGGTGGCGGGCACCTGTAATCCCAGCTGCTCGGGAGGCTGAGGCATGAGAATCACTTGAACCCAGGTGGCGGAGGTTGCAGTGAGCAAAGATCTCAGCACTGCACTCCAGCCTGGGTGACAGAGCGAGACCCTGTCTCAAAAAAAAAAAAAAAAAAAATGCATAGAGACAGAAAGTGGAATGGTGGGTGCCGGGGGCTGGGGCTGGGGCACAAAGAATTATTGTTTAATGGGGACAGAGTTTCCGTTTGAGACGATGAAAAGATTATGGAGATGGATGGTGGCGATGGTTGCACAATCACGCGAATTTTATTAATGCCACTGACCTGTACACTTAAAAATGGCTACGATGGTAAGTTTTATGTTATGTGTATTTTGCCACAATTTTTAAAAGTTTCCAGGTGATTTTGACGTGGTACATGGAGGCACAGTCCATAGACTGTCATAGTCCTGGCTACTGAGGTGTTGGAAGGTGATCCTGCTTTTCTGCTTCCTGAGGGAGGTGCTTGTTCAGTTCTTCTTGAAGCCTGTGAATTCTTCCAACACCTTCAGTGGCTCCACCCCAGCCGTTACATTCTTTTTCTTTATTTCCCCTCCCCTCCCCTTCTCTCCCTTCTCCCCTCCTACCTCTTTCCTTTTCCTTTTTCTCCCTTCTGCTCAAACTAGCTTAGTTCTATTTCTGTGACTTGTGGCCAAAGCCCCTTCACTGTTGCTCTCACCTCCTGGGTAGGCAGCTCCCTGGGAGTGTGGGCTGGGAGTTAGTCTTCCCCCCTGCCTGGCGCACAGGCCGTGGGCCCGGAGGGACAGCTCGGGGAGTGTGTGTTGACCACATCTGGCCTTCCTCTGGCGTGACTCAGCCTGGAGTCAGCACGTTATCTGTTCAGGGAAATGTGCCTTTGATTCTGTTCCTCGGTGCTTATAATTTCATTATTATTTCCGCAATGACATCCCATTGGTCCTCAGTTCCTCAGTTGGTCCTCAATTCATTCTGACTCATTTCACTTGAGTCATGGCTTAATTAAGTTGTTCTGTAGCACACAACGGCCAGGGGACTTTCCTTCTTTCCATGAGTGACTATTTTTCTCTAGGTTGGGATCGTTCTCTTTTCCATTCATTACTTCTTTTCTCTTGTATAGCATATTTGCCTAGTTGTGCTTTTATTGTTTTCATATTGTTTATGCCTGCACCATTCTGACAGGTAACTTCTTGATCTCTTCCCAACAATTTGTGACCAGGCTATTTTGGGCCCGAGCTTAGGTGAGGAGCTGAGATATCTTATGTTGTCTCTACTTTTCTGCAGCCCGAAGGAACGTCTCTGGGTGGAGAATGAGGAAGTCTCTCTTCCCTGAGATTTCATCAGAAGTCCTGCTTTAGGGTACCCTTCTCCAGGGTTGAGAGTATGGGTACTGCTCAGTAGGAGATTCCCCTGGGATCTTGACTGCTCCTGTAATTCAGAGTATTGTCTTAGAGACTTTGCTTCCATCAGATGGATTCTGCCGATGCTTCAGGTTCCCTGGTTCACCCGCTTCTCTGAGCATCAGTCTCCGTTGTTTTGTTGTGAGACAGAAGAAGGAGAAGGAGGAGGAAGAGAAGGATGAGGAGGAAAGGAGGAGGAAGAGGAGCAGAAGGAGGAAGGGGAGGGGCAGAACAACCATCACCATGGCCATCCCCCGCCAGAGCACCCACCCCACTTGCTTTCTTCTCCTCTTGGTGTCTGTGAGAAAGCCCAGGATTTTGTCACCTCCCAGCCCAGTCTCTGGGACGAGGAGCCTCGGTGGCATGGGTACTCCAGGATCTTCTGAGTCTTTCTTTGATCTTCATTTGGTGTGGTTTACGGCTTTAGGATAAAACCCTTCCCTTTTTTTGGTTGCTGGGGGTGATGGGGGGTGAAATGGCGGTGGGGAGGTTTTTTGCAGCCTTTTACTAGAGTTTCTCACGTGGTTGGTGTTTGCGGCCAAGAACTTCCACAGGGACAGTTCAGTCGGCTGCCTCACTGGGGACTTCCATCCTGGCAGTGCCTGGGCTCCTCAGGAAGACAGTGGTCAGTTGAGTCCTTGCCAAGCCAGGCTGGCTTCGAGGAGGAGTGATTGAGGCGATTGTTTTCAGTGGCTTTGCGACAAGGTAAGCAGCCTGTTCTCAAAAGGGAGGGTGTGCTGAGGCTGCTGAGGCTGCTGGGAGTACTTAAGAGTTTGTGTGTGCATCTGTGCATATGGGTGTATGCACGTGTGTGCATTGTGTGTGCATGTGTGTCTGCACATGTGTGCATTGTGTGTGCATGTGTGCCTTGTGTGTTCATGTGTGTATGCACTGTGCATGTGTGTGTGCACGCTTGTGTGCATGCACGTGCATGACTGTGTGCATTGTGCATGTGTATTCGTGTGCGTGCATGCATGTGTGGGTGCGTGTGCTTGTGTGCTAGAAAGGTTGTCAGAGTGCACTACTGAGCACTTTCAAGCAGGTTCTTGGAGGGCAGCACCAGCCAGTTCTCGGCTGCCCTGTTTCCTCCTTCTATTGCCCCTGCTCCCAGCACAGCTCAGGAACGGGGGCTCTCTGGAGCAGCTTACTCACCTGCTGGGTGGTCTTCCTGCTCTGATATGTTTACCTTGCTTTTCTCCCTTCCATCCCCTCCTTTTCTCCCTCTTCTTCCCCAAACATCAGACTGACGGGCAGAGATCCATAATAATAAACTCTCAGGAATATGGCCTGGTCCCGATGTTGGCAGCTGGCTGACTTCCCCGGACTCTGGCTTTACATGGGTTGGGGAAGGGCGAGCCCCTGGAAATGCAGAGATGGTGGCCACTGAAGTGAAGGCCCCCTGGGTCATCCCTGGACCTCCTCCAGGCATTTGTAAAGACTCCAGACCACTGTGGCTTTCAGGGCCCTTGTTACTTCCTTAGACTTCAGTGTTAAAATCTTTCACTTCCAAGAAGCTGAGTAAGCCCTGACTTGACTTATTTAGTTGGCTAATCTATGTTAAAGCCACCAGAAATGATTTATCGATTTGTTTAAAAGAGAAATCCCAGAAGGAAGATAACTTTCACATTTTTTTCGGCAGATCCCACATTCAGCCTGATAATGCAGACTCTTTCAAGGTAAGATTTGAAAATAAGAATTTAATACTAGAGCCAAACCTTCATTAAGTTTGAGGAATAAAAGCTACTTCATGTAAGTTTCAGTGAGACTAGCACCTTTGTGCCTGCACCCCCATCTGCATCTTGGAGGCCGGGCAGGTCCCAGCCCAGGACTGGGGACAGAGACCCAGAGTAGAAACCCACAGAGACCCTCAGGTCTGGGAGCATAAGGCTGGCCGGCTCCCAGTGACAAGTGTGCTCCGTCATGGCTGTTCATTAAGCACCATGGAAGCCGGGGGAGGGAGAGTGAGCTCAACCTGGGGACTGGGGGCAGCTTCTGCAGGGAGTGACGCTTGACCCAGTCCTGAAATGCACATGGGTACTGGAGTTGTGTTAGTCAGGGTTCTCAGAGAGACAACCAATGGAATATGTGTAAGTATACATAGATAAGTACATATGTGTATGCCACATATACATAGACACATACGCATACACACACACACACACACGCTCCATTCCAGCCCGGCTCTCTCTCTTTATATGTATTTATGTTAAGCAATTGGCTCATTTGATTGTGGAGACTGGCCCGTTTGAACTCTGCAGAGCAGGCGGGCAGGCTGGAGATGCGGGAAAAGCTGATGCTGTGGCCCTGAGTCTGAAGGCAGGGTGCTGGCCAAACTCGCCCTTCCTCAGATGTCAGCCTTGGTCCTGTGCAGGCCTGCACCTGCTTGGTTGAGGCCACATCAAGAGTGTCATCAGCTTTACTCAAAGTCCACTGATTTTAATGTTGATCTCATCCAAAAAACACCATCACAGAAACATCTAGGATGGTGTTTGACCAAACTGGGCATCAGAGGCCACGGCTAAGTTGACACATAAAACTAACTGCCCTGAATGGTAACTGGGAGAGTTTTTGGGACGGGGGTCCGGGCCACATGAGTGTGTTTGTGGGTGAAGGGGCAGAGTCCAGGGAGGGAGCAGAGAAGCGAGAGTCAGGAGGCCTGATTCCAGCCCTGGCTCTGACCCTGGTGGAGGAGAGGGAAGCCAAGGCAGGTCTACAGAGGCCACGGAGAGGGCCATGGCAGTGGCGTTGGTGATGCCCCAAGAGGAAGGGCAGGCAGGGCTGCCGGATGGTGGGGTGCTCAAGGAGGGGCTCCTGGAGGCTGGGGCGCCAGGCATCGTGGGAGGGCTGGGTGGCATGTGGATGGGCTTGGGAGTGGGTGGGAGTCTAGGGTTCCATGGGGAAGGGATGACAGAGCCGCTCCCTCATCTTCTGGGTGCCCTGGCACCGTTCTCTCTCTCCTAGTGCCTGTCCATGCCCTGCCCCACTGCAGTTATTTCTGAGAGTACAGGAGCCCCTCCCCTGGCAGCTGGACTAGAGCAGATCGAGTTCCAGTCTCAGCAAGCCAGCAGGTGTCTGGCACACAAAAGGGGCTTGGGGGCTATTTGCCAATGAATGAGCAATTAAGTAACTAGGTCAATGGATCACTGGGTCTACTGACTCCCTGGTTCGGGACCCTTTCCATGGGTCGGACTCCGATGGGCCTGGTGTGACTGTGCACTGAGCACTGGAATGGGAAGCCTTTGTGAGCCTGACTGCTGGTGCCCTGGTGATGTTCCTGCCTAGTAGATGACATCGAGTATTTAATAATCTGTCCCTGTTTTGTTTTTCAATGGCGATAAGGCTGCAGTGAACACCCTTGAATATTAATCTTGATGCACTTCTCTGATTATGTTCTTAAAATAGAATCCCAGACACATGTAAACAGGATTAAATGTTTTCCTAAGGGATCAAGTTAGGATTTTGGCAGTGTTTGGTAGTGTTGTGGCTAAGAACCGAGGCATGCCTACAGTTCTGCCTGGTCCATCACTCCTCCATTCTGCGGAGATAACTCAGGAGCTCCAGCCAAACAGGAAATGTCTTAAAATAGCTGGCCAGTGCCTGATGTACCAGTGCTAGAGCTCAGGCAGAGCTCTCTGTCCCTCTTCAGTCACTGTTTGGATCTTAGGGTCTTACCACCCACGGTCTGGCTGCTGGATAGATGAACTAGAGGCAGTGGCCTGCATGCTGCAGGCATGTGTTGGGTGTGGACTTGTTGGTTATAAACTGGGCTAAAGAGGTGACTTCTTAGACACAGCCACTCTAGGGCACGGAGGAAGAGGGGATGGGAGATAAAGAAGATGGCCAGCCTGACCCTGGGGCCAGCGTGGGCTCTGCTTTCTTTTCTATGCCTGGAGAAGAAGAAGGAGAGGCAGAGCCAGCATAGGTAAATGTTTTTTAGAAGCAGTGACTTTCCCCACTAGTAATTCCACATGAATCAGTTTGCTTTTTCAGGGTTGCAAACTACCCCAGAACTCGGTGGCTTAAAACAACACCCAGATGTTTAGTTCATGACAGGAAGGGCCAGCAATTTGTGCTGGGCTCAGCTGGGAGGTTCTTCTGGCCTTGATGGGACTCCCTCATGTATTTGTGGCTGGCCTTAGGTCAGCTAGGCAGCTCTGCTTCTGGAGGTTGGCTGGCTGTCAGCAGGAGCAGGCAGTGACTCCTCATGCAACAGGCTGGCCTGGCTTTGTTTGTCTGATGCTGGGCAGGTTTCCAGGAGAACACATGATCTTTTGAGGCCTAGGCTCAGGCAGGCACACGTTCATGCCATTTCTACCACATTCTGTTTGGTCAAAGCAAATCATAAGTCCAGCCCAGATTTAAGGGGTGGGGAAGTAGACTCCACTTCCTGTTGAGAGGAGCTGCAGCTGCCAAGTGACATTGCAAAGGAGCAGGGATACAGGAAGGGGAATAATTGTGGCTCTTTTTGTAGATGGTCTACCATATGGCCTAATATATGGCTTTGAATCTGAGCAGTCAGACTAGCAACTTGTTCTTCTCTGTGAGATGAAAGATATTAAAAAGGGCAGCCCATGCAAGAGACTGGCGGGCACTGTTTCTACCCCTTCCTATAAAATATTCTGGACATTTTTTCTATGAGGAAAGGGGGAACTGTCCTGAAGTCTTTCTGTGCTTGCCTGCTAGTCCTCTCCATGGCACTATCTTTCCACAGGCCCTGCAGAGAAGCTCCTTTCCTCATCAGCACCAATTCTAAAATAAATCAGAGTCACTTAGAAGCCAAGCTGGAAGCACATTCAACCTGCTGGGACCCACCACCCGGGAGCGAGGCTCTTAAATCAATTTGGAAATTGTTTCCATGTAATATGAATGGACTTGGTAAGGGAATAGAAATCCCTGCCAAATCCCTACCTTGAATAGGATGAAAAATTAGATTAATCTGAAAAAAGCAGTCAGCAGGCAGTTACTTACCCTGTTTTAGAGATCTGGGAGGACTGGGAAAATTGCGGCATGGTGTAGCAGAAAGAGCAGGTCTTTAGAGTTAAACAGACTGGGCTTTGCGTCCTGGGTCTGCCACTTAACAGTTGTGAACTTTAAGTGCCTCATCCTGCCTGAACCTCTGTTTCCTTAATTCCGGGGTAGGGATGACAACGCCTGCCTTGCTGGACTGCTGGGAGCATTAGTGACAGCAGATGTGAAGCATCTCACGCAGAGTGGGGATGGATAAACAGCGGCTACAGGCACCTACCTCCTGGAAAAGGGCTGCTGTCATATTTGAGGCACTCTCAGGCCCCTGGGCCAGCTTTTCCAGGGACAAGGGGCATTCCCATGGGTGTTGCACATCGACCTTTGGTCTCATGTAAAACTCATCTTATTCATAGATACAGAGTGTACAGATATTTGGGTGACCTGCTTTATTTTACTTAATGCCGTAGGTATTTTCCACATTGCCAGAGCCTGCATAATTAAAATGTGTGATCGTTGTGAACAGTAAGATGTACATGTCAGGCCATTTTTTTGATATTTAGGTTGTTTCTGGTTGTTTATTGGTAGAGACAATGTTACAGTGGGGCAATGGAGCCCCCCCTCCTCCAGTATTTTAGGTTATGATTATTTTTTATCCTATTTCCAGAAGTGGGATGAAGATCCCCCCAGTTCTTGACTTATTTGTCCACATTGCTCTTCAGATGTCTGTACCATTAATACTGTCACCAACAACATATGACTGCATCGATTGTTATCAAACTCTTGCCAGAATTAAGAATCACTTCTCAATATTTTTAAAGGGGATATAAAATGTGGCTACATTATTCTTTTTTAGAAAGTGTGGTTCCTCTGTGATGTGTCAGAGTGGTCGGTGGACTGTACTTCCCAGGATTCCCTCTGTGTGTTTCTGCCTCTTGTGGCCACGGGAGGGGTTCCTGTGTGGGCCTCAGAGGGCAGAAGTGAAGCCACAGCCCTCGGCCACACACGTGTGTTGTCCTCAGTTCCTGGCCTGTCTCAGGGGCGTGAGGCAGGGCCGGGCCTCAAATTGCAACTTGTTCCCCTGGATCCTCCTACTTCTAGGTAGGGAGTGTGCATTTAAGTCCATGAGGAGGAGCTGGCTTCGAGGACACACAACACCTCAAGGCCAGATGGACAGGGGTTTGTCCATCCTCGTGGGCTCCGTTCATCCTGGGGCTCCAGCCTGTTCTTGCTTTCCCACCTGGCAGCCATCTTCCTGGCCCCACGGACAGCCCTGTGGACTTTAAGCTCCAGTGCCAGATGGAAAGACAACAGCCTTGGGAGACTGCTTAACAAGCTCCCCAAAGTGAGTGAGGTTAAACCCCTGTAACACATTTATCTCCACCTTCATCTCCACCTTCATCTCCATTATCTCCACCTCCATCATCTCCATCTCCATCACTTTCACCACCTGCGTTATCTCCATCATCTTCATCATCTCTATCTCCGTCACCTTAATCATCATCTTTTTTTATCTCCATCTCTATCACCTCCATCATCTTCATCATCTCCATCATTTCCATCACCATCTCCATTATCTTCATCACCTCCATTTCTATTGCCTCCATCACTTCCACCTTCATTACCTCTGCCATTTCCTCCATCATCATCATCTCTATCACCTCCGTCACCATCTCCATCATCTCCTTCTTTATCTCCATCACTATCACCTTCATCACCTCAATCATCTTCATCACCTCCATTTCTATCACCTCCATCCCTCTATCCTCATCTTCATCTCCATCTCCATTATCTTCATCACCATCTCTATCACCTCCATCATGTCCATCACAATCTCTAGCACCTCCATCTCTGTATTTATTTATACCGGTTGTTTCTACTCTGATTGAACCTTCACTGATATGAGTATCACTTATTTGTGATTAGCTAATACATAGAAAACCAAATAATGCATACAGAGAAGGGAGGCCGTCCTGACCAGCCCTGACCCGTTTTCCTCCTCAGAAGCAACTCTACTTGCAGTTTCTTATGGATCTTGGAAAGTGAACCCTGCACAAACAAGCTTATTTATACATGGTTAATTTTAGCTTTTACACAAGTAAATGCTTTTCCTAAGAATGGTAACATGTACATACTGTTTTGCTTTATTCACTTGACAATATATCTTAGAAATGGGACCATAGCTGACATACAGAACTGCCTCATTGTTTTCAGTGCATGCCTAGCATTCCATTATATGCATGCATCGTAACTGACTTTGCCAGTCCTATATTAATGGACATTTATGGTATTTCCAATCTTTTAATATGGCAAACAGTGCTATGAATATTCTGGTGCACATGTCATTTTGCACATGTGCTAAATACCTGTCAGATAAATTCCTATTCCTGGCTGTGTAATTCCTGGGTACAAGGGTAAATCTGATGGATGTCATTACGTACATGGATCGTACCTAGTAGCCCACTTTTCTAGATGATCTGTTACGATCTTCTCTTCATTATTCCTTCTCCCTTTGCTGTGTCCTTCTGTATTGCAGGGGTCAGAGCCTGGAAACAATGTTCCTTCAATCCTTTGCCAGCAGGGATCTTCTTTAGTTTCTGCCAATAAGGGCCACTGGTGTAAAATTTGGAAACCAGACAAAGAGAAGCTGACTTTTGGCAATGGCGTGAGACATGGGCATCAATAAAGGCTGGGTGAGCTCTGCCAGTGGCTTTCAGGCGTGAGTCATCTGTTCACACAGTTGAGATCTGCAGTGGCTGTCCCTGCAGTCTCCACTTCCTGGATTCCTGAATGCTTCCGAAGCTTCCCTGACCTTGACTCTCTCCCCAACAGCTTCGTAAGCCTGTAATCTCCTGCATTAATCTCCTCTCCATTGAAGGACCTGGAGGGTTTCCATTTTCCCAGGCAAACCCTGTCTGAGACGTATCCCCACTAGCACTGCATAAGAGCTCCCAGGGCCCCACCTCCTCACCACACAGTGCTTGTCAACCCTTCGGTCAGTTGCGGAAGTGAACAATAGTATCTCGTTGTAGTTTTAGTTTCAGAATTGTGCGTGTAGAATTGATGTTTTGTTTGTATGTTTAACAGCCATTTGTATTTTCTTTTTTATAAACCAGGTTCGTATCCTTTGATTATTTTTCTGTTGTGTTATTGATGGGTGTTGTCACCTACATGGATCATACCTGTTAGCACACTTAAAAATTTTTTTAAAAAATATCTTTTTAAAAAATTAATAAGAAATAGCACTGTATGACATAAATGGCAAAACTTTTCTCTGGTTTTCAGTTTGTCTTTTGACTTACTTTATATGTACTTCTTGACATGAAGATTAAAACATTTTCATGTAATCCAACGTTTTTTCTTTTATGGATTTCTTTTTTTTTTGGAGACAGAGTCTCACCCTGTGGCCCAGGCTGGAGTGCAGTGGTATGATCTCGGCTCACTGCAACCTCTACTTCCCAGGTTCAAGCGATTCTCATGTCTCAGCCTCTGGGTAGCTGGGATTACAGGCATGTGCCACCATGCCCCGCTAATTTTTGTATTTTTAGTAGAGATGGGGTTTCGCTATGTTGCCCAGGCAGGTCTCGAACTCCTGACCTCAAGTGATCTGCCTACCTCAGCCTCCCAAAGTGTTGGGATTGCAGGCGTGAGCCACTGCGCCCAGCCTGTTTTATGGATTCTGTGTTTTGAGCTGTACTTACCTTGGTGGGGCAGTTACCACTCGCAATTATTCCACGGGCTTCCCTCTGCTTCCCAGGCTCCCTTGGCAACCTGTGAGTCTTTAAATTCTATTTTTAGGCTTCTGTGTTCTTCTCATTTTTCTACCTTGATCCATCATGGCCTGAGAAAGATGAATTAAAATTTCCTACTCTAAAGTATCCCTGCTGCTTCTTGTATTTTCTGAACTTGAGCACTATCGAAGTTGATGTTACATTATGTTGTGCTACTATCTATAATTGCTAGATTTTGTGGATTGCACCCTTTATCATTCTAAAGTGACTTTTTGTTCTATAGAATGCCTTTTGTCCCAAAATACAGCCTGTCTGATATTGATTGTTGGCCCTGCATTTTAAAAATGCATTTGCCTTTCGTGCTTTTATCTTTAACCTCTCTGAGTCGCTTTGTTTTTGATATACCTCTGGGATACAGTTCACAATTGGCCTCTGCCTCCTGAATAAGTTTAACTCCTTAGTGAAGTACAGATATGTTTGAAGTTAGTCCTGTTATTACTACACTACTTGCTACTTTTTTTTTTTTTTTTTTTTTTGAGATAGAGTCTCGCTGTGTCACCCAGGCTGGAGTGCAGTGGCACCATCTTGGGTCACTGCAACCTCCGCCTTCCTGGTTCAAGCACTTTTCCTGCCTCAGATTCCTGAGTAGCTGGGATTACAGGCATGCACCACCATGCCCAGCTAATTTTTGTATTTTTAGTAGACATGGGGTTTCACCATGTTGGCCAGGCTGGTCTTGAACTCCTGACCTCAGGTGATCCGCCCGCTTCGGCCTCCCAAACTGTTGGGATTACAAGCGTGAGCCACCACGCCTGGCCTATACTTTCTACTTTTAATTGTCCTTCAAGAACATCTTTCACTATAGATTCTGTGTATCCTTTACTTTGTTTCATCCGTTTGTTTATTTTTGTCATTTGGCAGGACTGGAAGTTTGCTTTAGTGCCCGTCTTCTAACTCTAACTTTATACACCCTACTCAATCCTCTACTGACTCCACACATTGAACAATGGCAGCGCAAGTCTATCTCAACTTCCTCAGACTGGCTTCCTTGCTCCTCAGCTTGCAGATGGCCTATTGTGGGACTTCATCTTGTGATCGTGTGAGTCAATATTGCTTAATAAACTCCCTTTCATATATACATCTATCCTGTTAGTCCTGTCCTTCTAGAGAACGCTGACCAATACACTGCGTTTCATTGGTGCTTGTATCTGTCTCCGTCCTGCTTTCAGTTGGGTTTACCTTTCGGATATGATTTTCTGGTTTCCTCATATTTTTTCCTGAGCTTTGTCACTTTTTGTTCTACCTCCATTTTCACTCAATGCTTTTTTCTCCACTTTGAGTTCTAAATTTTTCTAATCGTGATGAAATGTTTGGTGTGTGACACTGGCTGTGTTTGCGGTTGTGTTATTTTAGTTTTCCTTCTTCCTGCTCACGCTAGGTCGTCACTGAATTCACAATGCAGCCTCTCTCCTCTGTGTGACCCCTTATAAAACTGCTTCCTGCAAATATGGCTCCTCTGTAGCTCCTGGTTCAGCCCCACCTTTCCTCTCTGGACGCTGCAGACTCGGTCCATGGTTGCTTTTGTCGCACATCTGTGTACCATTTCTCTGGTCTTAATCAGAGATTGTCAGTTTTCATTCTGGTTTTGTCTCTTTCCCCTTGACGTCTGCACCACGGGCATGGTCCCGTGGCCCCTTTCACACCTTTTTCTGGCTTTTATTTTGTATGGTAGCCATTCCTCATACATTGATGTTCAGGGCTATGGATACCTTTCTTGTTATTTTCTTTTCTGCTTTTAGTTAATGTCGAATAGGAGGAGGGAGAAATCACTGCCTTTCTCTTGCCATGTAAAAACTGCTCTAATTGTTTTAATTGGCATTTCTTTATTAGTGAAGCTGAATATTGAAAATATATCCTAAATAAGGAATTTATAATCCAATATAATGCACAGTGTAGCTGGATAGAGATTGACCTTGTTTATGCCCATTATGCAAGTCCTGAAATTATGACCCTGCCTGCTTAGGGAAACAGAATTCTAGTGGGTCTACTCAGACCATGTGATTACTTATAACAAGAAATAGCGTTCATTTAATGGGGAATTTATAAAGTCAACAACACTGGGCTTTGTAACAGTGACTAAGCCACACTTGAATGAATTAAATACAATGTTCTAGCAGTAACTTAACATAATTGTGTATATAAATATACACACACACATATATAATTGTGCATATATACACACATAGATAATTCTGTATTTATATGCACACAATTTGTGTATATTTACATAATTACATACACAAATAGCAAAACAGGACAAAGATGCAGAATTGTGCCTAGAACCTCCTAATTCCTAGGTGTGAAGAAACAAGCGATACCTTGAATGTTGTCGAGGTTGTCACATATATATGTGAGACATAAACAAGGCCACAAACAAGGTCAGTATCCAGCCACACAGTGCATTATCCTGGATTTATTATAGATTCCTTATTTAGGATACTTTTCAATATTCAACTTCACTAATAAAGGAATACAAATAGAAACAATCAGAGCAGTTTTTACATGGCAAGAGAAAGACAATGATTTCTCACATCTATACATGTGGCAGCCTCAACAACATTCAAGGTATTTCCTCTGTTCCTTCTCATCTAGGAATTATGAGGCTACAGGCACAAGTCTGCATCTTTGTCCTGTTTTGCTGTTTCCCTGACCCCACCTTGACTCTGAGTCACAGCTTCCCTCCACTGCAGGCTCTGCCAACCTCTGGCACTGCTCTTCTGAGCCCATGCGTGCTTCTCAGATCTCTGCTGCAGCTGTGGGGAGGGCTTTTAATCTGCCCTAGCTTTGTCTTGGCAGGTGAATCCTAGTGTCCCGCCTTTACATTTCCTGACAAGCCTCAGCGTGGATGCTGCCTCCTGATGGCATTCATGTGTCTCATGGTCTTCACTGCCCCGGGTTGCAGCCATGGGGTTGGTCACTTACCCACCTTGTCTTGAGATGTGAGCCTCACTAGTCATCGGCTGCTACATCACCTAACTGCCTCTTGGTTTCCAACACCTGCCCTAAGTATAATTAGGCAAAGCTAAGTAGTTCCATGCTTTCCTCCCACCCCAAATGCAAGTGTCAAAAATCATCTTCCATAGAAGTCCAGACAGCATGATGCAGACACTATTTTGCAGGATGCTTTCAGGATTTGGAGCCCACCTGTGCTCAGAGCAGAATTCAAGAGCTGGCTGTGCTGGAGGCTGAGATGTAGGACTGAGAGTCACAGGCCCAGTGGACAAGGGGTACCTGCTCTTGGGGAGAGCTCCATCCAGCAAGGGAGGCTGATATCAGAAAGATGATAAAGAGGCTCCTAGTTACATGACACTGTGCAGCCTTGCGGGCATCTACGGACCCGGGATCTATCCCAGGTGATGCGAGAAGCCACCCGGAGTTTTGAGAGGAGGCAAGATTATGGGGCGGTCGCTGTTGCTGGTGACACAGTTGGGCTTCTGGAGAAGGAACTGGAGGGAGCAGGCAGGAGGGAGCTGGTTTTCAGCAGTGTTTGCAGAAACGGAAACCTGAGTCAGGGAGACTCCACTGGAGAAGTGGAGGGGTTGGGGGTGGCAGTGCTGAGGACCCAAGTTGGCAGATCTCACCCTTGGCTGAAGGGGGAGGGAATCAGGTGTAACAGATTCCTTCCGTTTCCTCCCAGCCCCAGGCTTTGAGTAACAGACAAGGATCTGAGCCCCCAGCATCGTCTCTAGCTTGCTCCACCAAAATGGTGCACATGGGAAACTCTGCTAACTTTACAGTGGACAGATTTGAGGACCTCAGTCTTCCGTTAGGTGGTAATGATCTGACAGAACAAGCTGGAAACTTCGTCCTTTGCATTATAAATGTCGTTAGCAGGGAGAGATTCCACAGATTTACTGTAAACCAGGATGAAGAGGGTAAAAGAAACACCCCATTCACATCCTTGTGCCGAGCCCCCTGTCTACTGGGGAGCAGGGCAGGTGGGGGAGAGGTCATGTGGGGCTTGATATTAATGAAAACAAAGGGAGGATTAGGAAGATGTCAATTGAGCTCTTTGAGTAAAAGAAACTCATTTTTCCATCACTGCAGAGCCTTCAACCTAATTTATTACAATTAGAGGGACTGCATCAGTTCTCACACATGTGAGATTTAAGGCTCGGCAGCAACTGCCTGCATAGGGGAGCCCAGGATGGAAAGTAGTGGCACCTGATGGCTTCTGTCCCCGCTGGTGACCACACCTGCTGACGTCCTGATCCTGCTCATTCTCCAAGCCTGGCTCTAATCACGCAGCTGTAGGTTCCGGGCCTGGGGCTTCAGAGGAGCCCCTGTATGGCTGTGGTCAGGCCACGCCATCCGCCGGGCCTGGCTGTCCTCGTTGGTATCACAAATTGTGTGGACTACATTCTTCCACTTGCTTATTCACCAGCTGCATGTTATGTCCGTGTTATGGAGGGGACTGAAAAGAAATATCTCAATCCTTGCCCTACCCAATCCCTGTCCCACCCAATCCCCTCCCTACCCAATCCCTGTCCTACCCAATCCCTGTCCTACCCAATCTATGCCCTACCCAATTCCTGCCCTACTCAACTATGCCCTACCCAATCCTGTCATACCCAATCTATGCCCTACTCAATCTGTGCCCTACCCAATCCTGTCCTACCCAATCCCTGTCCTACCCAATCTATGCCCTACCCAATCTATGCCCTACCCAATCCCTGTCCTACCCAATCCCTGTCCTACCCAATCTATGCCCTACTCAATCTATGCCCTACCCAATCCTGTCCTACCCAATCCCTGTCCTACCCAATCTATGCCCTACTCAATCTATGCCCTACCCAATCCTGTCCTACCCAATCCCTGTCCTACCCAATCTATGCCCTACCCAATCCCTATCCTACCCAATCCCTATCTACCCAATCCCTATCCTACCCAATCTATGCCCTACCCAATCTATGCCCTATTCAATCCCTGCCCTACCCGATCCCTGCCCTACCTGATCCCTGCCCTACCCAGTCCCTGCCCTACTCAATCCCCTCCCTACCCAATCCCTGCCCTACCCGATCCCTGCCCTACCCAATCCCTGCCCTACTCAATCTATGCCCTATTCAATTCCTGCCCTACCCAATCCCTGCGCTACCAATCCCTGTTCTACTCAACCTATGCCCTATCCAATTCCTTTCCTACCGGATCCCTGCCCTACCCGATCCCTTCCTTACCCAGTCCCGGTCCTACCCAATCTCTGCCCTACTCAAAATCTATGCCCTACCCAATCCCTGCTCTATTCAATCCCTGCCTTACCAAGTCCCTGCCCTACCCGCTCCCTGCCCTACCCAATCCCTACCCTACCCAACCCAGTCCCTGCCCTACCCGCTCCCTGCCAATCCCTGCCCTACTCAGTCCCTGCATGCAGGAAGAGTTGCTTGAGGCCAAGCCAGGCTGCCCAGGAAAGAATGAAGGCAGGAGGACCGGGCCCCAGGGGCTCTGCTCTCAGCAGGACCCGCCCTCCGAAGGGCATTTGGAGAGGGGAGGGGAGGATGCCACATGGGGGGCTACAGGTGCACTTGACGATTAGTGCATGGGCCAGAGATAGAAGTGACGTTCGAGCAAGTTTTCTTTCCTAAACCCTAAGTGGGCTCTGCATTGAGAAACCCCATGAGGAAAGGTGATAGGGGCCCAGGGAGCATTGGGAAGAGGGTCAAGGATGACCTCGAGACCCCTGACTTGGAATGGCTTTCACTGATGGGGAGCATGGGCAAAAGAGGTGAGCATATCACTTCACTGGAGGGCATGGGGAAAGCAGGGGGAGGCACTGCGGGCACCTGGGTCTGCAGGGAAAGGGAGGCTGTTGCCTGGGCCCAAGAGGTAGATCGTGTGTGTGTGAGGCTGGGAGAGGGGCCTGGAGTCTCCCCAGCAGACACGTGCTGAGCAGATACCCTCTGTCCTAGATGCCAGGGTCACAGCTGCTCCTGAGTGGCTCACATTCCACTTTGATTCTCCCATGTATTTATTCTGTTGTCATTTAGAATTTTTTTACTCTGTACTTAAAAAGACAGATTGGCCACCATCCCTGTCCTCACAGACATTTGCAGCCCCTTCAGTGATAAGCCCTCAGAATCTGTGAATGTCTAGGGACGCATGTGTAACTGAAGACCACAGGATGCCAGAATCTTCACCCAGGCTTCGGCCATCATCTCGGACCTCTGGGATTTTACAGAGGGAGAACCTGAGTCACACAGAAAGAAGAGGTCGTGCCCAGAGCCATGTGGGGAGACAGCAGCGGTGTGGCTGGGGGAGCCCTGTCCACAACTGCAGGCTCTGCCTTGCTTCTACTGTCCCAGCTTGTGCCCAGGGATGCTCCCTCTGGGATGAGGACCTCTGAGGCTGTGTGCTGATGAGTGGGCATGGCTGCAGGGGTACGTGGCCAAGGGACACAGAGAGGCTTTGCTAAAGGGAAGCAGTGGTGCTTACCTAGCTCTAAACCAATCACTAAATCCTCCTGGAAAACTTCTCCCTGGAAACTGGAGCCTTTTCAGAAGGGACCCTCCATCACCAGTGCTGGGGGGAGCTCCATGCAGAGGTGGGGGGCCCAAGGCCAAGTTGGCTGCATCTGGCCCTTAGCACAGCACTGGTGACAGGAAGTGGAGGGGGAGCTCAATGGGGTCCATGGGCAGGAGACAGAGGCAGATTCTGGAGGGAAGTAGGGGGTGTGGGCCCAGTGGGGTCCACGAGGAAGAGGCAGATTCCAGAGGGATGTGGGAGTGTGAACCCAGCAGGGTCTTCGGGGAGGAGGCAGATTCCAGAGGTGGCCCAGCGGGGTCCATGGGGAGAAGACAGGCAGATTCCAGAGGGAAGTGGGTGTGCTAGGGAGGGACTCAATGCAGAGGCACGGGGCCCAGGGCCAGGTTGGCCACATCTGGGATGTGGGGCCAGCGGGGTCTGTGGGGAGGAGACAGGCAGATTCTGGAGCACTCTGGAGACAACTGTCACGTCTCAGCCATCCACGTGAGAGCCAGATGCTAAACAGCTGGGGAGACCCCCACCTTGGAGGCATGCAGGAGAGGTGGGCACAGCCTGTGGGGGAGGGTGTCCTGCATGAGGAGGGAGCTGGGGCCGCAGGGCTTCAGGGGCTGGGTGAGTGGACTTTTGCTTCTCTAACAAATGACCACACAATGGCGGCTTAGAACAACACACATTGATTCTGTCACAGTTCAGAGACAAGAAGTCCAAAAGCAGGGTGTCGGCAGGGCTGCTCCCTCAGAAGCACCAGGGAGGATCCTTCCTGCCTCTTCCAGCTCCCAGGGGCTCCAGGGGTTCCTTGGCTGGTGACGGCACCATGCCATCCTCTGCCTTCTGTGCACACAGCCTTCTCCTCGACTCTCTCTTCCATTGATAAAAGGTCAGTCATTGGATTTAGGGCCCACCCCTGACCCACAAGGGTTTCATCTGTGATCCTTATCTTTTTTTTTTTCTATTATACTTTAAGTTTTAGGGTACATGTGCACAGCGTGCAGGTTTGTTACATAGGTATACATGTGCCATGTTGGTGTGCTGCACCCATTAACTCGTCATTTACATTAGGTATATCTCCTAATGCTATCCCTCCCCCCTTCCCCCACCTCACAACAGGCCTCGGTGTGTGATGTTCCCCTTCCTGTGTCCAAGTGTTCTCATTGTTCAGTTCCCACCTATGAGTGAGAACATGTGGTGTTTGTTTTGTTGTCCTTGTGATAGTTTGCTGAGAATGATGGTTTCCAGCTTCATCCATGTCCCTACAAAGGACATGAACTCATCCTTTTTTATGGCTGCATAGTATTCCATGGTGTATATGTGCCACATTTTCTTGATCCAGTCTATCATTGTTGGACATTTGGGTTGGTTCCAAGTCTTTGCTATTGTGAATAGTGCCGCAGCAGTAAACATACGTGTGCATATGTCTTTATAGCAGCATGATTTATAATCCTTTGGGTATATACCCAGTAATGGGATGGCTGGGTCAAATGGTATTTCTAGTTCTAGATCCCTGAGGAATCACCACACTGACTTCTACAATGGTTGAACTAGTTTACAGTCCCACCAATAGTGTAAAAGTGTTCCTATTTCTCCACATCCTCTCCAGCACCTGTTGTTTCCTGACTTTTTAATGATCGCCATTCTAACTGGTGTGAGATGGTGATCTCATTGTGGTTTTGATTTGCATTTCTCTGATGGCCAGTGATGATGAGCATTTTTTCATGTGTCTTTTGGCTGCATAAATGTCTTCTTTTGAGAAGTGTCTGTTCATATCCTTCACCCACTTGTTGATGGGGTTGTTTTTTTCTTGTAAATTTGTTTGAGTTCTTTGTAGATTCTGGATATTAGCCCTTTGTCAGATGAGTAGATTGCAGAAATTTTCTCCCATTCTGTAGGTTGCCTGTTCACTCTGATGGTAGTTACTTTTGCTGTGCAGAAGCTCTTTAGTTTAATTAGATCCCATTTGTCAATTTTGGCTTCTGTTGCCATTGCTTTTGGTGTTTTAGACATGAAGTTCTTGCCCATGCCTATGTCCTGAGTGGTATTGCCTAGGTTTTCTTCCAGGGTTTTTATGGTTTCAGGTCTAACATTTAAGTCTTTAATCCATTTTGAATTAATTTTTGTATAAGGTGTAAGGAAGGGATCCAGTTTCAGCTTTCTGCATATGGCTAGCCAGTTTTCCCAGCACCATTTATTAAATAGGGAATCCTTTCCCCATTGCTTGTTTTTGTCAGGTTTGTCAAAGATCAGATAGTTGTAGATGTGTGGCATTATTTCTGAGGGCTCTGTTCTGTTCTATTGGTCTATATCTCTGTTTTGGTACCAGTACCATGCTGTTTTGGTTACTGTAGCTATGTAGTATAGTTTGAAGTCAGGTAGCATGATGCCTCCAGCTTTGTTCTTTTGGCTTAGGATTGACTTGGCAATGTGGGCTCTTTTTTGGTTCTATATGAACTTTAAAGTAGTTTTTTTCCAATTCTGTGAAGAAAGTCATTGGTAGCTTGATGGGGATGGTATTGAATCTATAAATTACCTTGGGCAGTATGGCCATTTTCACGATATTGATTCTTCCTACCTGTGAGCATGGAATGTTCTTCCATTTGTTTGTATCCTCCTTTATTTCGTTGAGCAGTGGTTTGTAGTTCTCCTTGAAGAGGTCCTTCACATCCCTTGTAAGTTGGATTCCTAGGTATTTTATTCTCTTTGAAGCAATTGTGAATGGGAGTTCACTCATGATTTGGCTCTCTGTTTGTCTGTTATTGGTGTATAAGAATGCTTGTGATTTTTGTACATTGATTTTGTATCCTGAGACTTTGCTGAAGTTGCTTATCAGCTTAAGGAGATTTTGGGCTGAGATGATGGGGTTTTCTAGATATACAGTCATGTCATCTGCAAACAGGGACAATTTAACTTCCTCTCTTCCTAATTGAATACCCTTTATTTCCTTCTCCTGCCTGATTGCCCTGGCCAGAACTTTCAACACTATGTTGAATAGGAGTGGTGAGAGAGGGCATCCCTGTCTTGTGCCAGTTTTCAAAGGGAATGCTTCCAGTTTTTGCCCATTCAGTATGATATTGGCTGTGGGTTTGTCATATATAGCTCTTATTATTTTGAGATACGTCCCATCAATACCTAATTTATTGAGAGTTTTTAGCATGAAGGGCTGTTCAATTTTGTCAAAGGCCTTTTCTGCATCTATTGAGATAATCATGTGGTTTTTGTGATTGGTTCTGTTTATATGCTGGATTATGTTTATTGATTTGTGTATGTTGAACCAGCCTTGCATCCCAGGGATGAAGCCCACTTGATCATGGTGGATAAGCTTTTTGATGTGTTGCTGGATTCAGTTTGCCAGTATTTTATTGAGGATTTTTGCATCGATGTTCATCAGGGGTATTGGTCTAAAATTCTCTTTTTTTGTTGTGTCTCTGCCAGGCTTTGGTATCAGGATGATGCTGGCCTCATAAACTGAGTTAGGGAGGATTCCCTCTTTTTCTATTGATTCTAATAGTTTCAGAAGGATTGGTACGAGCTCCTCCTTGTACCTCTGGTAGAATTCGGCTGTGAATCTGTCTGGTCCTGGACTTTTTTTGGTTGGTAAGCTATTAATTATTGCCTCAATTTCAGAGCCTGTTATTGGTCTATTCAGGGATTCAACTTCTTCCTGGTTTAGTCTTGGGAGGGTGTATGTGTCCAGGAATTTATCCATTTCTTCTAGATTTTCTAGTTTATTTCCGTAGAGGTGTTTATAGTATTCTCTGATGGTAGTTTGTATTTCTGTGGGATCGGTGGTGATATCCCCTTTATCATTTTTTATTGTGTCTTTGATTCTTCTCTTCTTCTTTATTATTCTTGCTAGCGGTCTATCAATTTTGTTGATCTTTTCAAAAAACCAGCTCCTGGATTCATGATTTTTTGAAGGATATTTGTGTCTCTATCTCCTTCAGTTCTTCTCTGATCTTAGTTATTTCTTGCTTTCTGCTAGCTTTTGAATGTGTTTGCTCTTGCTTCTCTAGTTCTTTTAATTGTGATGTTAGGGTGTCAATTTTAGACCTTTCCTGCTTTCTCTTGTGGGCATTTAGTGCTATAAATTTCCCTCTACACACTGCTTTGAATGTGTCCCAGAGATTCTGGTATGTTGTGTCTTTGTTCTCATTGTTTTCAAAGAACATCTTTATTTCTGCCTTTATTTCATTATGTACCCAGTAGTCATTCGGGAGCAGGTTGTTCAGTTTCCATGTAGTTGAGCCGTTTTGAGTGAGTTTCTTAATCCTGAGTTCTAGTTTGATTGCACTGTGGCCTGAGAGACAGTTTGTTATAATTTCTGTTCTTTTACATTTGCTGAGGAGTGCTTTACTTCCAACTATGTGGTCAATTTTGGAATAAGTGCGGTATGGTGCTGAGAAGAATGTATATTCTGTTGATTTGGGGTGGAGAGTTCTGTAGATGTCTATTAGGTCCGCTTGGTGCACAGCTGAGTTCAATTCCTGGATATCCATTAACTTTCTGTTTTATCAGAGACTAGGATTGCAACCCCTGCCTTTTTTTGTTTTCCATTTGCTTGGTAGATCTTCCTCCATCCCTTTATTTTGAGCCTATGTGTGTCTCTGCATGTGAGACGGGTTTCCTGAATACAGCACACTGATGGGTCTTGACTCTTTATCCAATTTGCCAGTCTGTGTCTTTTAATTGGAGCATTTAGCCCATTTACATTTAAGGTTAATATTGTTATGTGTGAATTTGATCTTGTCATTATGATGTTAGCTGGTTATTTTGCTCGTTAGTTGATGCAGTTTCTTCCTAGTCTTGGTGGTCTTTACAATTTGGCATGTTTTTGCAGTGGCTGGTACTGGTTGTTCCTTTCCATGTTTAGTGCTTCCTTCAGGAGCTCTTGTAGGGCAGGCCTGGTGGTGACAGAATCTCTCAGCATTTGCTTGTCTGTAAAGTATTTTATTTCTCCTTCACTTATGAAGCTTAGTTTGACTGGATATGAGATTCTGGGTTGAAAATTCTTTTCTTTAAGAATGTTGAGTATTGGCCCCCACTCTCTTCTGACTTGTAGAGTTTCTGCTGAGAGATCAGCTGTTAGTCTGATGGGCTTCCCTTTGTGGGGAACCCAACCTTTGTCTCTCGCTGCCCTTAACATTTTTTCCTTCATTTCAACTTTGGTGAATCTGACAATTATGTGTCTTGGAGTTGCTCTTCTCAAGGAGTTTTTTTGTGGTGTTCTCTGTATTTCCTGAATTTGAATGTTGGCCTGCCTTGCTAGATTGGGGAAGTTCTGGATAATATCCTGCAGAGTGTTTTCCACCTTGGTTGCATTCTCCCCGTCACTTTCAGGTACACCAATCAGACGTAGATTTGGTCTTCTCACATAGTCCCATATTTCTTGGAGGCTTTGTTTGTTTCTTTTTATTTGTTTTTCTCTAAACTTCTCTTCTCACTTCATTCATTTGATCTTCCAACACTGATACCCTTTCTTGCAGTTGGCTGAATTGGCTACTGAAGCTAGCGCATTCATCACGTAGTTCTCGTGCCATGTTTTTCAGCTCCATCAGGTCCTTTAAGGACTTTTCTACATTGGTTATTCTAATTAGCCATTCGTCTAATCTTTTTTCAAGGTTTTTAACTTCTTTGCCATGGGTTCGAACTTCCTCCTTTAGCTCGGAGTAGTTTGATCTTCTGAAGCCTTCTTCTCTCAACTCGTCAAAGTCATTCTCTGTCCAGCTTTGTTCTGTTGCTGGTGAGGAGCTGTGTTCCTTTGGAGGAAAGGTGCTCTGATTTTTAGAATTTTGAGTTTTTCTGCTCTGTTTTTTCCACCTTTGGTCTTTGATGATGGTGACGTACAAATGGGATTTTGGTGTGGATGTCCTTTCTGTTTGTTAGTTTTCCTTCTAACAGTCAGGACCCTCAGCTGCAGGTCTGTCGGAGTTTGCCGGAGGTCCACTCCAGACCCTTTTGCCTGGGTATCAGCAGCGGAGGCTGCAGAACAGTGAATATTGCTGAACAGCAAATGTTGCTGCCTGATCCTTCCTCTGGAAGTTTTGTCTTAGTTTAGTAGGGTACCTGGCCATGTAAGGTGTCAGTCTGCCACTACTGGGGGGCGGTGCCTCCCAGTTAGGCTAACTTGGGGGTCAGGGACCCACTTGAGGAGGCAGTCTGTCCATTCTCAGATCTCAAGCTGTGTGCTGGGAGAACCACTACTGTCTTCCAATCAGTCAGACAGGGACATTTAAGTCTGCAGAGGTTTCTGCTGCCTTTTGTTTGACTATGCCCTGCCCCCAGAGGTGGAGTCTACAGAGGCAGGCAGGCCTCCTTGAGCTGTGGTGGGCTCCACCCAGTTTGAGCTTCCCAGCTGCTTTGTTTACCTGCTCAAGCCTCAGCAATGGTGGGTGCCCCTCCCCCAGCCTCGCTGCCGCCTTGCAGTTTGATCTCAGACTGCTGTGCTAGCAGTGAGTGAGGCTCCGTGGGCGTAGGACCCTCTGAGCCAGGTGCAGGATATAATCTTCTGGTGTGCCGTTTGCTAAGACTATTGGAAAAGCGCAGTATTAGGGTGGGAGTGACCCGATTTTCCAGGTGCCATCTGTCACCCCTTTCTTTGACTTAGGAAAGGGAATTCCCTGACCCCTTGCGCTTCCCAGGTGAGGCAATGCCTCTCCCTGCTTCAGCTCATGCTCGGTGCGCTGCACCCACTGTCCAACAATCCCCTGTGAGATGAAACTCGTACCTCAGTTGGAAATGCAGAAATCATCCGTCTTCTGCATCACTCACGCTGGGAGCTGTAGACTAGAGCTGTTCCTATTTGGCCATTTTGGAACCGCCTCTCTGATCCTTATCTTAATTACCTCTGGAACACACTATTCCCTCATAAAGCCACATTCCAAGTTTCCAACTGGACATGAACTTTTTGGGGGACAATATTTTATCCCTTTGAGCTCTGGGCTTTGCACCTATCAAGTCCTCGGATGTGACTCTGATTCCCCTCATTCCTGCTGCCTCTGCCCGCATTCCAGGGCCTGGCATCCCCTCTGGCACCCACCACAGCCTCCACGACAACCTCCCCGCCTCCAGCCTGTCTCCTCCAGGCCAGCTTCCTACTGGTCAGGGAGAACCTGGGCATGTCACCATCTGTCTTGAAATCACCCGAGACCCCCCTGTCCCCTGGATAGAGCCTGTGTGTGCCACTGTGGTGGGCCAGGTCCTTTGTGCCCAGTGGATGGGCAATGCACCACACCCCCACCCAGCTGGTGACCTCTCTGGGCACCTGGTGTATAGCCTCTTGGAGGATGCCTTCCTCAGGCTGCAGGCTGGAGGACATCCTCTTCCTCTATCTGGAAAGCCCCTCCTTCATGGGCTCTGGTGCATCCTCCAGCCTCTGCTCATCCCCTTTGCAAAGTCCGCTTCTCATCCCTGCCTGGCCTCATCTGTGGAAACACGTCTGCCCCCACCTAGCACTGCTGATGCTGGCTGGAGTTACCTGTTCAGGGTTGGTCTCTCTGGTTGCCTGGTCTCCCATCTCAGCCTCTGGGGTCTGGCTGTGGAGGGAGTGAATGAGGGAGGGGCAAGTGGCCCCAGGGCCCAGCCGGACCGTAAATCCTTACCCTGTCCCCCGTGAGGACTCGTGAAGCCCCCTCCAGTCACTCCCTTCCCTGACAGGGCAGCATCCTCCCCCCACTGCAGAGCAGTTAAATCCCCTCCCGGTGTTCCCTGCAAAATGATGAAAAACTCCAGCAAAGGGTCCCAGGAGCACGAGCAGCCCTATCTCACCATTATCTTTGGAGATAAATCTTTCTCTCCGACGGCAAACGATGTCTGCAGTATTTCATAATTGGTGAGATGAAGAGCCCCTATTTTCCAAGATATTGAAGAATAACTCAGCTTTAAAGACCACGTCCTAACAACTGGAATGGGCCGATTATTCTGAGGGAATCTGCCGAGAATCGTTGCCAGGCGAGGCAGGAGAATGCACCTGAATTATCACTGGAACTTTGCTAAGAGATCCACATTTCCCATCTCCTGGAGAGACGTTAACACCCATTTGTTAAAGATGTTTTTGAGGTTTATTTCTAATAGAAGGATTTGTTTTATTTAAGTGCGTCTTCTGAAATGCTGACGGTGACAGAGCCATGCCTCTGTCCCTTCTCTGACTCTGCAGGGCCTCGGAGGGTCAAGCCCGGAAGTGTGGAGGTCAACAGAGGGCCTGTGGGCTCCCAGCTTCATGTGGGGTGTGGGAAAGAGGGCCGGCCTTGGGCTTGTTGCAGAAGCAAGACACGCAGCACTGGCGAGAAGCAGATCAGCAGCTTTCGGGACGAGAGGAGTCGTTACCAAGTGCCTATGGGCATTTGGGTGGGAGGGACCATTTGTGCTTCCGCCATCTGTGATGTGGAGTATTCACTGTACCTGCCACAGGTCAGTGGGGATCATGGCTTTCACAGATGCAGAGAAGAGTTGGTAGATGAGGAATGTGAGACCCTGAAGGGACCTCTAGGACCATCTGCCATCAACTCATCTTTATGTGGTTCTCTGGAGATGAGCCAGGCTCAGAGGCCACACCATGGCAGCATGAGCTCGGGACATCACACCCAAGCCCACGGCTCTGGGCTCCACGGCCAGTGTCCTTCCTGCCGCAGCAGAAGCTCCTCAGTGCATTGTGTGAGTCCTGGATTTGCAGTGTTGACCGGAACAGCCGGCCTGGCCAAGAAGTTCTCCCATCACATCCACCAGTGGATTCCCCTGCTGGGTGGGTGATATGGTTAGGCTTTGTGTCCCCACCCAAATCTCATCTTGAATCATGATCCCCAGACGTTGAGGGAGAGACCTGGTGGGAGGTGATTGGATCATGGGGGTGGTTTCCCCTATCCTGGGCTTGTGACAATGCGTTCTCACGAGATCTGATGGTTTTATAAGTGCCTGGCATTTCCCCTGCCTACTCTTTTTGGCCTGCCACCATGTCAAGATCCTTGCTTCCCCCCTATACCTTCTGCCATAACTGTAAGTTTTCTGAGGCCTCCCCAGCCATGTGGAACTGTGAGTCCGTTAAACCTCTTTTATTGATAAATTACCTAGTCTTGGGTAATATCTTAATAGCAGTGTGAGAATGAATTAATAGAGTGGGTATCTCCCCTCAGCCTTAAGCCTCCCTCCAATGCCATCCAGGTCCCAGGGTCCCCGCCTCCTTTCCACCCCAGGCAGATAGTGGTGGGTTTTCCCCATGGCCCCCACAGTTCCCTGAGCCGTTGTTTTCTCCCTGCCTGTTAAGAGGCAAAGGGATGACATTTTTCCTCTACGGAGTCCCTGGTGCCTAGCAGGGTGTCTGGGCCTCAGATGCTGAGCACACAGGGTGTTTCAGGATGGGGAGGTGACTGCAGACCCATCTCTCGGTAGCACCTGCACTTCCAGGAGATGCTGCCTCCTGCCTTCCCTCTGCTCGTTGTTTATTGCCTGATTGATTGTGAGACAGACTTCAAGGCATATTGAGGAGGGAGAAAGGAGCAAATGCGTCTCAGGAATCACATCTCCCCTGGCAGACTGGAGTGGCCCCCAGAGCCTCCCTGATGGAGCTGAGCTGATTTCCTGTAAACTTGTTATCCAAAGGATTCTTGCCAGCTCTGAGGCCCCCCCAGCTAAGGCCCAGAAGTGCTGCAGTAATTAACAGCTTTATCTCGAAGCTCCATCCTCTCTTTGTCCAAGCCGGGAGGGCATCTCATGCATTCTTCTCTAGAAAACATGAGCTTTGCCCTTGAAACTGAATGTGATGCTAGAAAGTAGATGGGAAGCCTGGGGAAAAGACTTTCAAAAAATATACAGGAGAAGGAAAGGGCAGGTGAGATGTTCGCTCTGGCCAGCAGTCACTGAGCCCCCGTCTTGCGAGGCCCGTGTGTGCTCACAGCATAGATGCAGTGATCCAATGGCATCCCTCTGCTTAAGGACCTGGGTCAGGGCCTGCCTGTGCCCCCCTGGCCTGGGCACGGCCAGCATCTGCCTGCCTCCCTGGAGCACCTTTCCCTGGCAAAACATCCTTTAGAGAGATGGCACCTTCAGGTCCGGCTTGCTCAGGCATGGCCACCACTCAGTTCTGCACATCACCCTCCATGTTGTTGGCCGACTGACCTGTGTACCATGGAGGCTACACGGACGGCTCCCCTACAGACGACTTTGTGTGACTTGCAAAGTGTTGTAAAAAAACCTCAAAGCAATTTCTAAAACCTAAGAGAAATCCTCTGAACTCTGTATTTATGTTTTTTTTTCTTGGAAACATTATGAGTTGGCCACACTTGGCCTGGATTTCCATGGGGCAACATTCCATTGGAAATAAGCAGGCCCTTCCCAGGAGGAGCTTGTGGTCTCCTGCCCTTCACAATCCCACTGTTCTCTGCACTCCTGGACCTGGGCCGGTCGCTGTGCCGGGCCCCCTGGTCTGCCTGCCCTCCTCGGGGACCTCGGTGGCCAACACCTGAGTCAGTCACTCTGGGATTAGGCAGGTCGAGCCTGGGGCTGCAGAGTAGCCACAGATGGCATTTGGGGGAGGGGGAGAGGGAGTGTGGGGGCTGAGAGGGGGTGGGCTTCTTGGGAGAAGGGAGGCAGTGGCTTCTTGGCAGCTCTGAGGTGTGGCAGGGATGGTCGAGGACAGTGTGACACTCTGATGGGCCGCAGGGACACTGGGTCAGGCCAAGTGCCTGTGTCCATCAGCTTCCCTGATGCACGTTGTCCTGGGAGTCACTGATGTGATGGCAGGAGCATGTCACTGGGGGGTGGGGGGACAGGTGGACCTGGCTGCAAGTCTCTACTAGTTCCTGTCTGCTTGCCGTGGACAGGTATTTCACCTTTCCTGAGTCTCAGCATTGTCATCTATGGCATGGGGTTAAGAGTTCTCTGTAGATTATTGTGAGAATTGAAAGGAGTGGTGTGTGTAAAGCCCCAGGCTGAGTTCCTCAAACAGTCTAAGTGCTCAGAAACAAGCATTTCCTCCCTGTGCCCTCTGTACCTCTGTCACTTCCCTTTATACAGTGAGACCCAGACTGTCTTGTGGTCCTCAGATCATCAGGACAGACACAGCCCCAGGCTGGCCCCAGCATCACCACTCTGGAGCTTCCTAAACCATCTGCTGCATCCATCTGTGTTGATGTGGTGGCCATGATGCTCCTGCAGGCTTGTGCTCACTTTTTTTCTCATTTGAAGCCATGACAGATGCCCCTGCCATGAGTACACCTGAGTGCTGTGGACTCGGAGACTCAGAGAGGTCCATTGCCCCTGCGAAGGCACAGAGCCGGAGGCCAGCAGCGCTGGGACCCAAGCCCTGTGCCCAGGTGTCCTTCCTCAGGCTCCTACCTCGAAAGCACCTTGCGGGCATTGCTGCCCCACCCGCGAGCAGTAGAGTGGAAATGGGAGTGTCACTCCCTGGCTGCTCTAACCCCATGGCTCCTGGACCTGCAGGGGACAGACCCCGCCCCACCAGCTGCCACTTTCTGAGGCTGCCATTTGTCCCTGCATATGGCGCCACTCAGAGATGGATTGGCCCCAAAGCCAGAGCACACAACAAATAAATATTTGTTCCACAAACACTAGTGATGTCGTTTGACTGTAAGTACATTTGGTGCGTGACAGGCTGATAAGTCTTGCCAGCATTAAGATTCTCCCTGCTCCGAGCCCTCACCTCTGACTGACTGTCATTCCACAGTGTGTGGCCCTGTCACTGAGATACTGCCTGCTCCGTCTGTGCTCAACATGCAGCACAAATCTCAGGCCTGGGAGCGACCCATCCCATCTGCCCCCTCCTGCCTCAGCAAAGCCCCCTTTTCTCCACCCCTTTCTGCACAAGAGTGGAGCTGCTTTGGATAAAACACCACCAAGGTGGGGCAGTGTTTGTTTCTGAGCCCCCTTCCAAACCTAAGCTTGAGCTGAGGGCTAAGATGCTGCTAGGCCCTGGGAGAAGGGGCCTTTCCCATGGCGGGCTCTGGGGGTGGTGGGCTTGTGGAATGTCCACTGCTGCAGACATCCACGGTCCTCTGGCCTTCTCTTGGGGATTCCTGGCCCTCATTGCACCCAGCAGGGCTGCAGTTCAGGGAAAACACTTAGGGAAAGGATAGGTTGTGCACCGTTCCTGGCCTGGGGTTTAGGAGAACCACCCTGTAACCTTCAGTGTTGGTTCCCCTCTGGATCTCTTGTTCTTCCTCTGCAGAGTACTCAGGTAAGAGGAGCAGGCCCATTCATCCGTGCTCTGGAAGCATTTATTGTGGGCCCATGAAATTTTGATCCATAGACTTTCATAAGTAGGGGTGATTAATTCAGCAAATGTTTGCTGAGTGCCTATAGTGTGGCTGGCAGGTGCCATCTTGTTGGTCCAGGCTGGGCTCTGCTCCCCTGGAGCTTACATGTATGTGCCCGCCCTATGGCCAGGTGCTGTGCTGGGGTCCGCTTAGGCTGTCCAAATGCTGGACCACTGTGGGCCATGCCTGCCATGCGTGTGGCCGCCCCTGTCCCTGTGAATGTATGCAGTGGAGTTCAGCCATGGGAACATCTGGAAATGGAATGGCTGCCTGTCAGGTCTGTGCCTCTTTGCTAGAGACTGCAGGATGATCCCAGCTCACACTCACTGGGTCCTCTTGACACGTATGACGTGCCTCAGCTCATTAACCTCCCAGCGGTCCCATGACGTATAGATGTATAGACAGTGATTCTCCCCATTTTATGGATGAGGCAGTTGAGGCCCATGGAGGCTAAGCACCTGGCCTGAGGTCACACAGCTGAGAGGCGGCAGAGCCAATATGCAAAACCCTGCCAATCTGGCTCAAAGGCTGAAGTGATAAGCAACAGCATCACCCTCCTGGGAGCTCTCCAGGGTCTCGGACCCATTTTCTGTGCCGCTGGCCAAGAACGCAAAGTCCGATCCCTGGATACCTTCAACAACAGGCGGTGTGGCCAGACTGACCCTCTGCTCATCTGATGCTATGTCACGGTGGATTCGGAGTGCATTTCCCCGACTTGGTAATGGCGAATGTGTTTTCATGCTTGGTGGCTGTGCTGGCCAGTTTTACAGGGCTATGCTGTAGCACCAGTTATGTAATCACATCCTAACCTGGGTGTTGCTGCAAGGGTGTTTCGTGGATGTGGTTAACATCTACAATCAGTTGGCTTTAAGTAAAGAAGATGACCCACACTAGGGTGGGTGGGCCTCACCCACTCAGGTGAAGACATGAGCAAGATGGAGGTTTCCTGGAAAAGAAGAAATGTTGCTTTAAGACGGCAGCACCGACTCCTGCCTGAGTTTCCATCCTGCTGGCATGCCCAATGGATTTCAGACTCACCAGCCTCCTCAATTGTATGAGCCACTTTCTTAAAATAAATCATACCTGTTTCCCTTTGGTTCTGTTTCTCCAGAGGACTCTGGCTGATACAATGGTCACTTATGTTTTCTCTTCTGTGCTTGCCTTTAGATATATTTAAATAGTTCACACACTGATATTTAGTCAGTTACGTTGCTTAAAATATCTTCCCTCCATGCTGTGGTTTACCTCTCTGCTATCTTTTTCATAAACAAAACTCTCTTCCTTTATTGCTTGTGTGTATGCCTGTGTGCGTGTGTGTGCATATGTGCATGCATGTGTATGTGTGGATGCATGTGTGTGCATGCATGCATGTGTGCGTGCGTGTGTTAAGAAATCTCTGCTTTGAAGCCTGAAAGATATTCTCCTGTGTTTTCTTTTAAATAGTCTGTAATTTTATTTTCGCCACATACGCCTTTTATTCAATACAAGTGTGTGTCGAATGGGGTAAGGGGAGTGCTGGGTGCTGGGTGCAGCCCCTCCCCAGTGTAATAGGTGACCCATTCCACATGTCCAGAGTTAGCCATTGAATTGAGGCTGGACACTGTAGATTTGTGGTTGTTATTACATATTCTGTAGAGAATGCAGCCAGGTAGGCATGGTGGTATAGGAAAAATGCTGTACCAATAACAGCATATTAGATTCAGGTATGTGACTTATTACAGATTTTTTTCAACCATATGAAGTATTTATGCTGGAGTTTCAATGTGACATGATGGGAGATACAAGAAGCCTTCAAAGGACTTGACAACATGGTAGGTCTTACCCTGACCCAGAAAAATGCAATCTGCTCCCATCACCACTGGCCCCAAAGCATCCAGGAAGCTGGAGCCTGGAGAAGTTGTGCTTAGCACACACATTACAACCTGACTGGCTAGTAGGCTCAGCTGAGAGTACAGCATTTGAACTTAAGAGAACATCCTGTTACTGCCATAGAACATTTTAGCTGTAGCTCCAGCCCAGTATTCTGCAGGACAACATCAGAGATCAAGTTTTATTTTAGTTTTTTGTACATGGATATTAATTCCAGCAGCAATCAGAGAATAATTTATTCGTTCTCTGTCCATTTTTGTTCTGCCTCTCTGCGTGCTTGGCTGATATGGATTGGATGTTGGAAATTGTATATGAGAAATTGCAGAAATAACTTTAAGCCTAGGGTCTTGTTATCTTCCTCTGGGGAAGGTTTATTTAGTATCTAGCTGGAACCAGGTGCACGAAGAGTCCAGGATCACCTTAATCCACTCTGGAGACTGAGAGGCTCAGAGCTGGCCTTTGACCCTGTGAGGGCTCAGCCTTCTTTACTCTCAGGGATGGGCGGGAAGGAGCTGATTCTTGCGGAATTAATACCACTCTGTGAATAACAGGCTTTTGTTGATGGGTGGATCTGTATCTGCGCTCTGTGTCCTGCTCCATCGGCTTACTTTTCTGTCTCTGTGCTAGTATCACACTCATTGAACTGCTTCTGCCTTTAGGTGGAATAAGTTCCATCCCTTCGTTTTTACTTCAGTATTTTCCTAGCCATTTCTGAGCCTTTGCTCTTCTAGATGGATTTAGGATGAGCTTATCAGGCTTCACAAGGCATGCTGTTGGGGTTTGGCTGGAATTTTGATAAAAGCATAGATTGGCTTTGGAGCAATGGCATTTTCACGAGGTTGGCTCTTCCCTTGCAGGACCGTGGAATACTTCCCAGTTTGATCACATCTTCATATGTATTCTGCGTGTATCTTCCTTTTCTATTAATAGACTTTATTTTTTAGAGCAGTTTTAGACTTACAGAATAATTGAGCAGAAAACAGAGTTCCCATATATCCCTTTCCTCACTTCTCTTATTAACATCTTGCATTAGTGTGGTACCTCTGTTATAATGGATGAACTAATATTGATACATTATCATTAGCTAAAGCCCATAGTTTACATTAAGGTTCACTCTTGGTGTTGTACATTCTCTGGGTTTTGACAAATGCATAATGTTGTGCATCTCCCGTTTCAGAATCATGCAGAATAGTTTCACCACCCTGAAATACCCCCACACTCCCCCTATTTATCCTTTCACCCTCTCCCCCAACCCCTGGCAACCACTGATCATTTTTCTGGTTTTCTGGTTTTGCCTTTTATGGAATGGTATATAGTAGGAATCACTCAACACACTGCTTTTTCAGACTGGCTTCCTTCACTTAGCAATATGCACTTAAGTCTCTTTCATGTCATTTTGCGGCTTGATAGCTCATTTATTTTTATTACTAAGTAAGATTCCATTGTATGGAGGTCCCACAGTTTTTTTTTTTTATACATTAACCTACTAAAATTGGTCACTTCCAGTTTTTGGTGATTATAAATAAAGCTGCTATAAACATTCTTGCATAAGCTTTTGTGTGGATATAAATTTTCAACTCAATTGGGGAAATACTAGGATCACAATGGTTAGATTATATGGTAAGAGTGTGGTTAGCTTTCTATGAAACTGCCACACTGTCTTCCACAGTTGCATTCCCGCCAGCAATGAATGAGAATTTTTGTGGTTCCACGTCTTCACCAGCATTTGGTAGTATCGATGTTTTGGATGTTCATGATTCTGGTAGGTGCGTAGTGATATCTCATGATCATTTTGATGATGTTTTATGGTGTTGTGTATATCTCCATAAGCTTCTGTGCTATTTGTATATCTTCTTTGGTGAAGTGTCTGTTCTTCTGCCCATTTAAAAACTGAGATTTTGTCTATTGTTGATTTTTAAGAGTTCTTTGTACAGTTTGGATACAAGTCCTTTACCAAATATGTCTTTTGAAAGTATTTTATTCACATCTGTGGCTTGTCTTGTGATTCTCTAAACGGTATCTTTCACAGAGCAGAAATTTTCAATTTTAATGAAGTCCAACTCATCAATTTTTATGGGTCATTCTTTTGACGTTGTATCTAAAACTCTTTGCAAATTCAAGGTCACCTAGATTTTCCCCTATGTTACTTCTAGGAGTTTTATAGTTCTGCATTTTACATTTAGATCTATGATCCATTTTGAGGTAATTTTTGTGAAAGGTGCAAGGCCTGTGTCTAGAATATGTTTTCTTTTTTTTTTTTTTTGCATGTGTGTCCACTTGTTCCAGCCATTTGTTGAAAAGACTATCCTTTCTCCATTGAATTTTCTTTGTCAAAGATGGCTGACTATGCTTGTATGGGTCTACTTCTGGGATCACTGTTCTGTTCCATTGGTCTATTTGTGTATTCTTTCATCAGTACCATGCTGTCTTGATTACCGTAGCTTTATAAGTCAGTCTTCCCACTTTGTTCCTCTTCATTATTGCATCACTTCTTCTGCATCTTTCGCCGTTGCATAGAAACTTTATAATTGGTTTGTCCATATCCTTAAAATAACTTGCTGGGATTTTAGTTGAGATTGTGTTGAACCTATAGATAACATTGAGAAGAACTGACATCTTAACAACATTGAATCTTCTTATTCATGAACAAGGAATACTTCCCTATTTAATTATATTTTCTTTGATTTCTTTCATCTGAGTTTTGTTGTTTATCTCATATAGATCCTGTACATACATTGTGAGATCTATAGTGTTTACTTTTTTGGTGCTAATTTTAAATAAAATTGTCTATTGCTGGCATATAAGAAAGCAATAGACTTTTACTTATTAACCTTGTAGCCTGCAATCTTGCTTTATCTATTTATTTATTTAGACAGAATCTCAGTCTGTCGCCCAGGCTGGAGTGCAGTGGTGCAATCTCAGCTCACTGCAACCTCCACTTCCCAGGTTCAAGAGATTCTCATGCCTCAGCCTCCTGAGTAGCTGGGATTATAGGCGCCCACCACACCAGGCTAATTTTTGTACTTTTAATAGAGATGGGGTTTCACCATGTTGGCCAGGCCAATCTCAAACTCCTGACCTCAAGTGATCTGCCTCCCTCAGCCTCCCAAAGTGTTGGGATTATAGGTGTGAGCCACCACACCTGGCCCAATCTTGCTATAATCACTCAGTTCCAGGAGATTTTTGTTGATTCTTTGGAATTTTCTACATAGAAATTATATCATCTGCAAACAAAGACGGTTTTATTTCTAGGAAGAAATTTTGTATACTTTTCATTTCCTTTTCCTGTCTTATTGCATAAGCTAGGACTTCTAGCACAATATTGACTGTCTCCTGTGAGAGGGAACAGTCTTACCTATTTTTTTATCTTAAGGGGAAAGCATCTGGTTTCTCATCATTAATATGTCAGCTGTAGGTTTTTTGTAGATATGTACAAATATTTTTGTAAATGTTTTCAACTTTAACATGTTGAAAACATTTCTTTTTACTCTTTTCTGAAAGTTTTTCTAATAGGTGTTGAATTTTGTCAAATTATTTTTCTGTATTTATTGATAAGATCATTGTAATTTGTCTTCTTTAGCCTGCTAATTTGATAGATTTCATTAACTGAATGTATACCTGGAACAAATCCCACTTTATTGTGGTGTATATTTATTTTTATAGATTGTTGAATTCAATTTGCTAATATTTTGTTGAGGATCTTTGCATCTTCATTAATAAGAAATATTGGCTCATAGTTTTCCTTTCTTGTAATTTCTTTATCTGGTTTTAGTATTAGTAATGATAACCCCTAGAACAAATTAGGAAATTACTCTTCTGCTCTACTTTTGGAAATAAATGGGAGAGAACAGGTATTATATTTGCTTTGTTTGGTAGACTTCACCAGTGAAGTCATCTGGGCCTAGTGCCTTCTGTTTTTCAAAGGTTATTAATTATAGATTCAGTTTATTTAATAGATATAGATCCAGACTTTTTATTTCCCCCAAAGAATTTTTCCATTTCATCTAAGTTATTAAATTTTGGAGCACAGAGTTGTTCATAATATCCCCGTATTATTCTATTATTCATGGTATCAGTAGTGATGGCTTCTCTTTCATTATTGATATTAATAATTTGTATCTCCTCTTTTTTTTTTTTACTTTGTTAGCCTGACTAGAGGCTTTTTAGTTGTAATAATATTTTAAAATAACCAACTTTTGATTTCATTGACTTTTTATATCTATTGAAAATTTTAAGCAATTTCATTGTTATATTCTCTATTATTTTTTTCTTTTGCTTACTCTAGGTCTATATTGCTCTTCACTCCCTAGGTCCTTAAGGTGGAAGCTTAGATGATTGATTTTTAGATTTTTCTTCCTAATATGTACATTCAGTATTATAAATTTCCTTCTAAGCACTGCTTTTGTTGCATCCCATAAATGTTTGATAAGTTGTATTTTCATTTAATTCAAATAGTTTTAAATTTCTCTTGAGACTTCTTCTATGTCCCATGTGTTATATAGAGGTGTTTTATTTAAGTTACTTAATCTCCAAATATTTTGAGATTTTTCAGCTTTCAGACATTGATTTCTAGTTTGATTATATTTTTCAGATTCCTATCGTTTTCTTTTCGAGACAGGGTCTTGCTCTACCACCCAGGCTGGAGTGCAGTGGTGTGATCTCAGCTCGCTGCAACCTCCACCTCCTGGGCTCACACAATCCTTCCACCTCAGCATCTGGAGTAGCTGGGACTACAGCTGTGTGCCACCATGCCTGGCTAATTTTTCTATTTTGTTTTAGTAGAGATGGGGTTTGCGGGGGGGGGGGGGGTCTCACCATTTTGCCCAGGCTGGTCTTGAACTCCTGACCTCAAGTGATCTGCCTGCCTTTGCCCCTGAAAGTGCTGGAATTACAGGTGTGAATCACTGTGCCTGGGCAATTTCTATTCTTTTAAGTTTCTTGAGATGTATTTTATGGCCCAATATGTTGTCCATCTTGGTGAATACTTCATGTGAGTATAAGTAGAGTGTGAATTTGGCTGTTGTTGGTTGACATATTGTATAAATGCCAATTAGATCCAGTTGATTGATGATGCTGCTCAGTTCGACTGTATTCTTACTGATTTTCTGCCTGCTGGATCTGTCCCATTAATGATACAAGAGCACTGGATTTTCCAACTCTAGTAGTGGATTCATCCATTTCTCCTTGCAGTTCTATCAGTTTTTGCTTCACATAATTTGAAGCTTTGTTGTTAGGTGCATACATGTAAAGGCTTGTTATGTCTCCTTGGAAAATTGATCTCTTTATCATTATGTAGTCTCCCTATTTATCCCTGATATTTTCCATGTTCTGAAGTTGCCTTTGTCTGAAATTATATAGTTACTCCAGTTTTCTTTTGATTAGTGTTTGTATTAGTCCATTCTTGCATTGCTATAAAGAAATACCTGAGACTGGGTAGTTTATAAGGAAAAGAGGTTTAATTGGCTCATGGTTGCACAGGCTGTACAGGAAGCATGACGCAGGCATCTGATCAGCCTCTAGGGAGGCCTCAGGAAGCTTACAATCACAATTCGCAGAAGGTGAAGAGGGAGCCAGCACTTCACATGGTCAGAGAAGGAGGAAGAGAGAGATGGGGTAGATGCTACACGCCTTTAAACAACCAGACTTCACGAGAACTCACCATGGTGATGACAGCACCAAGGGGGATGATGTTAAAACATGAGAAACTGCCCCCATGATCCAACCACCTCCCACCAGGCCCCACCTCCAACATTAGGGATTACAATATGACATGAGATTTGGGTAGGGACACAGATCCAAACCATATCAGTGTTAGAATGGGATATCCTTCTCCACCCATTTATTTGTAATCTATCAATGTCTTTATATTTAAAGTGCACTTCTTGTAGATAACGTATCAGTGGGGTTTTTTACGCTCTGAAAGTCTGTCTTTTAATTGGTATATTGAGACCATTTTTGAAGTGATTAGTGATATAGTTGGATGAATATCTACCATTTTTTTAAACTGTTTTCTATTTTCACTTGTACTTTGCTTTTTTTTTTCCTTTTTTCTACATTCTCTGGTTTTAATTTAGCATTTTATATCACTCAATTTTGTTTCTTTCGTATAGCAATTATACTTCTGTTTGAAATTTTTGAGGTGGTTGCCTGTGAGTTTGCAATACTCATTTGCAACTAATCTATGTCTACTTTCAATAACACTAGACTACTTCATGGGTAGTTCAGGTACATTTTAACAGAATCTTTTGAATTACTTCCTCCCATCCCTTATAAAATTGCTGTCATTCACTTAAATTATCCATATGCTATAATTATCCCATATATTTTTGCTATTATTATTTCAAACAGTTATTTTTTTAGCCTAGGTAAGATTAAGAAAAATACAGATTTTATTTTACTTTCATTTATTCCTTCTCTGAAGCTCTTTCTTTCTTTATATGATCCAAATATATGGCCTATATAATTCTCCTTGGTGAAGAACTTCTTTAATATTTCTTGCAAGATGGGTCTATTGGCAACAAATTCCCTCAGTTTCTGTTTGTCTGAGAAAGCCTTTATTTCTGAAGAACAACTTCACTGTATACAGAATTATAGGTTAATGTTTTATTCTTTCAATGCTTTAAATATTTCATTCTCTGCTTGCATGGTTTCTGGTGAGAACTCCAAGGTAATTATTATTCATGTTCTTCTACAGGGTAGGTATATTTACTCTGCTTTCTTTCACAAATTTTCTCCTGTCTTGGTTTTTCTTTTTTGGTAGTTTGAATATCATATGTTCAGGTATAGATATTTTTGATATTTATACCAGAGTATTTTTGAGATAGATCATATAAATTATATTTATATCAATGTTTGTCAACATTTATCCTGCTTGGCATTTTCTGAACTTCCTGAATATGTTTGTTTGGTGTCTGTTAATAATTTTGGAAAACCCTCAGCCATTATTGTTTCCAATATTTCTTTGGCTTTTCTTTCCTTCTTATCCTTCTGGTATTTTCATTACATGTGTTACAACTTTTGGAATTGTCCCACACTTTTTGGATGTTCTGTTCATCTTTTCACCCTTTTTTTCCTCTTCGTATCATTCACATGTCTGTGAACGCAGTGATTCTTTCCTCAGCTGTGTCCAGTTTACCGGTGAGCCCTGAAAGGTGTTCCTCATTTTGGTCTGTGAGTGACAGGAGGGAAACACACAGGCAGGCTGGCAGGGATGAAAGACTGAGTCAGGAGTAAAAAGCAACTGGGGTGTGGGGAAGGCGGTGGGGTGGACGTCTGGGTGGAGTGGGTAGAATGGAGGTTTGCAGACAGATGCACTCCACCTGTCTCCTCTGTGCCCTTGGACTTGGCTGGTTGTCGTGGGTGCCCGCCCTGTAGTGGGGCAGCCATTTCTATGCTGGGGAGGACAGAGATTTTACCTTGTTCTTGGCTGTCTTGCTCAGAGTGTGGGGGACTGCCGCCCTAGCAGGCAGCAGATCTTCAACAGAGCAGTGCTCATGGGGTTGGGGGAGTCCCAGGGGGACAGGCTGCCATGGTGACCTACACGAGGCAGTGCACCATGGAGGTGAAGACGCACCCCTCGAGGGTGGGCTTAGCTGCCCCTGCCCAGTCCCAGCATGGCAGCAACCAGACGGGCCCACGTGGAGTAGGCAGGCTGGGCCAGAGGACGGAGCAGGTGGCTCCTGGAGCACTTAGGCGCCTCATGAATATAAATTCTCTACATTTCTTAATAACTGGAAGTAAAAGTTTGTGTAAACTCAATTGTCAGAGCACTAATAATCCGATTTCTCTCGGCAGGTCAGTCCTCTGGGCTCCATCTATAAAACAAATGTTTGTCATCCTCCGGTAAGCACTTCTTAGGGATAAATAAATAATCAGGGAGCTAATCGAGTGTGCACCTTGCCACGCGTTTATATGTATCCTTTTCTTTGCACATCAATAACCCCATTGGAATTGGATTTATAAATTCAAATTATCTTTCTAAGTCTTTTTTTTCCAATGGCAAGGCCAGCACTGCTGCAGGAGGAGACGCAGATCCTGTGTTTTGCTAATATCTGTGTCCCAGTGCACGCATCTCCTTGCCTGGAGAACAACTTCCATTTGCATTTTTCCCACTTGGGCAGAAGCCTAGGTGGGCGGGAACTCACATTTGTAGAAAGCAGAGGGCACCTGCTACATTGATGGTAGGAGGATTGATGGGTTCCATTTCTCCCAGGGCAGCTTCAATCCCACCACTGGGCGACCTTCCCTGACCACCTGCCCAGAGCCTTCATCCTTCCCTGTACTCTTGCCTGTGGGCAGGTGGAGTCGGTGGATGGGAGTGCCATCAGCACTCACTCTTGGCCCGGGATGCTGGGATAGCCACTATCGCTCCCAGGCATCCACTGGGCTTCCCCTGCAGTGACAACCGAGTTTGTCTGGCACCTGCTCTCTGTCCTCCTCCCCTGCTGGGTGACACACTCCAGGCAGGCAGGGGCCACATTTGCCCTGCTGTCCACCCACCCCTGTGCCTGGTGAAGGGGGTGACCCAGAGCAGGTGCCCTAAAACACTGCTGAATGAGCCCGTGGCCACTGCCACCTCCTAGCCTCCCTCCTCCCCACCTTCCTGCTCCCATTAGCAGAGGAACAATCTGCTTAAACTTTCTAAAATGCCAATCTGACCAAGCCACTCACAACCACCATCCTGGGAGGAGACCATGAGTCTGGGCTGGGGTTCACTGGTGGCAGGGTGGGCCCCCACTGATCCCTAGCCCAGACTCATGCTATCCTCCCAGGAAGCAAGAAGCACTGAGGGAGGTCTGTTCAGTAGAGAAAGGATGGCAGTGTCTCTCTCTCTCTCAATTAAACTGTGAGTTTAATTGACTCGCAGTTCTGCAGGGCTGGGGAGGCCTCAGGAAACTTACAATCATGGTGGATGGAGAAGCAAACATGTTCTTCACATGGCAGCAGTTGAGAGAAGTGCAGAGCAAAAGGGGGGAAAGCCCCTTATAAAGCCATCAGATCTCATGAGAACTCACTCTCAGGAGAACAGCATGAGGTTAACTGCCCCCATGATTCAGTTACCTCCCACTGGGTCCCTCCCATGGCATGTGGGGATTAGACGAACTACAATTCGAGATTTGGGTGGGGTCAGAGCCAAACCACATCAGTCAGCGACCCTGCAAGGCCTCACCTGTTTATTCCTGGACTCCACTTCCCTTGGCAGTGATGTCACTGCCCACAGCAGCCTTGTTTGGGAGGACATAGCCTGTACAGAGCCTGGCTTGGCAGGTGCTGGCCACGTGGAGTGGTCCCTACTGTGGGCATCACGGAACTTTCCACAGCCTCTGTGGTTCACCCTCACTCGGGAGGTTGGTGACAGATGTTACCACTCTCTTGTTCAAGCAGAAGAGGGAGGCTCAGAAAGGACAAATAACAATCCCAAAGACCCCAGCTGGTACGTGGCAGAGCCAGGCCCTAAAGACAGGTGTTCTGAGGCTGAGCTGAGCGCTTCTGACCACTCCAGGATGTGTCCATCCCAGGTACCCACCATTTCTGCAGCCACCCCCGGGCTGGCCCTGTCAGAGGAGCTCTGGGAGACCTCTGGATTCCCACTGGGAAGACCCGTGCGGCTCAGGCACAGATGGCCTGCACTGTGGCCCTCGCCCCTTTCCCTCCATGCCCGCCACAGGTCCTCAGTACCCCAGTTCTGAGAACTTCCCAGGCTGCCCATGCCCTTTGAGACCCCTGCCCATCTCCCAACAAGGGAGGTGGTGAGAGTGGCACCCCTCTCATGTACTGCCCACAAAGAACACTGCATGGCATCTGTGCCCACGGCCGGGGAAGGCGCTCTCAGGCCATGAATTTACCATTTCACTGCACGGCCTCTTTTCCCGATGAAGTAAATAAATAAAGCCGCTGCTCCCCGCCGGCCTGCTCCTGCAGCTGAAATGAAATGGATGATTTTCTTTGCCCTGTGCCCAGTATCTGTGCTTATTGCAAGCATATATCTGCAGTGGTGAGTTTTTAAACTAGTCAGCACACCCGGTGCCCTCAGGAAGCATCTTTCTTCCCTTTGAACGGCCTGGCTCTCCTGGAAGGGGTCTGCTGGGCCTTTTTATAAGCTGCAGGGGCATTTTTCTTCCCTGAAATGAGGGCCTGGCTGGCGCATCTCTGGGAGCTGCCAAGGCTGTTGGAAAGAGCACTTCCAGGCAGATCTGCCGTCCTTGGGCCTGTCCTCCAGCCGAGGCTACACAGACACGGAGTGGAGTCCCCAACCTGGGCTGTGGGTTCCCCTGCTGGGGTCTGCAGGGCTACGGGAGTCAGCTGCCTATGGGGGACAGGAGGGTTGACGGCACTCCAGTCCCTGCAGAGGGAGAGATGAGAGACACGGGGGAAGGCTGCCCCAACCCCTACCATCACCTCTAAAGCAGTGGGAGAATTGGGGCTTCTGCCCCATCTGCCATGGCAGCAGCCTTATCTCTGCAGCAGGCCCCATGAATTGTGTGCCCAGAGTTGAGGTCAAAGCAAGTTCCTGGTTTGTTTTTTAGGGAAACAGAGCACATCTAACAGAGGCAGGCAATTCCTGGAGCTTCTTGATTCTGTTCAGCAGAACCAGGGCCCCAGCGGCAGAGGCCTCCCAGGAGGTCCACATTGTGCAAGACACGAACTCAGGTCCTTTCATCTCATCCATCAACAGCCCAGAACAGAGTTAATTTTGCCCACTGTACAAAGGGTGAAACCCAAATTCAGAGAAATTGACTGGCCTGCCCGTGCCTGCCCAGCTGGGAGGAGTCAGAGCTGGCTTCCATTCACACGTGTCTCACTGAGAACACCAACCCACACCCTGACTGAAGGGCTGGTCCAAGCCTACTTATTGGGTGTTTGCTCACTACCCTCCTTCTCCCTGTCCACCCTTCCCTTCGTGGACAGAAGCCAGAGTTCAGAGAGGATCCCCAGGTCCCCAGGGACACACAGCCAGGCAAGGAGGGAGCTCACCTCAACTGCTGCCTTCTGTCCAGGGCCTCTCCACCCCAACCCCACAGCCCGCCACCTTCATGCAGCCAGGACTGTGGGTAATGCACTAAACACATGATTAGCATTTATTATGGCTTCATTTCATAGACACAGGACAATGAACAGAGCCATAAACAGGGAGAACAACAATGGAATCAAGAAAATATGGCACTTTTAAGAATAGTTTATGAGTTGAACAAAAGGAAAACTCTAGTCTTCCACTCTGGGATATTGAGCAGTGCTCCTAGGGCTCTTTGGACTATAAAGCATTATTGAACTGTTCCTGCAATGCAAAGTGTACAAGATGGTCATAATTAAGAACAATTGATTCAATATTTTTGCCAAACCTCAGGGTAAGAATATAAACTAGTCATAATGGAAAAATGCCAGATCTGAGGTGACCTGAGCCAAGATGATCATTGCAAGAATACAGGAACCATTGCAGTGGAGGTGACACTCTCACAATCGTCACAGCGGAGATGACACAGCATGGAGTGACCATACACAACCATCACAGCGGAGGTGACACACACCGCATGGAGTGATGACACTCACACAACCGTCACAGCGGAGATGACACAGCATGGAGTAACCATACTCACAACCATCACAGCAGAGGTGACGCACACAGCATGGAGTGACTGCACTCACACAACCGTCACAGCGGAGGTGATGCACACAGCACGTTAGAAGACCTCCAGGTGCCGGTTGCTGGGCTCACATCTGATGATCTAATGAAGAGCAAAGCAGACACAGGTCGCTGCCCAGGTTGTTTTGCCACCTAGAGAGAGGTGGACTCTAACCACAAAAGCCACACCTGTGATTCAAAGACACCTGTGTCAGGCTGCACCCACGAGCAGTGTCAGGTGTGGCTGCTGTGGGGGCAGGTGCCAGGTAGTCTGCCTCCAGAGCTAGTGTCAACTGTGTCTGGGTTCAGTGGACGAGCAGATTCAAACCAGGCTATGGAAACCACCAAACAACATGGTGCCTGGAAACAGAAGGGTGTGTTCAGCCGAGGGGCATCTGCCCTGGAGCTCCCCAGACACTCAGGAGCCGACTCTCTGGGAAGTCACAACAGGGGCTCAGAACTCGCTGTGGGGCTAAACCTTGTGCCTGCCTTTCATAGGATGACAAGGCCGCCTCCACCCACTCACCCACTGTCCCTCACAGGGCCACCACAGAGCAAGATGACTGTGCCTTCCACCCTCTGTCCACTGGCTAGGGCCAGCGTGAATGGAGGTGTGGCCACAGGGGGCAAGCTTCTTAGGACACCAAGTGCTGAGAAAATGACTCGCTGAAGACTATTAGGAAAGAGGATCTCTAGAGTCTGGGAGAGAACACAGGGAGCCAGCCGTGGGCCAGGCCGCAGTGTGCTGAGACATGGCTAACAACCAGCTCCTGTGGTGAGGGGTGGATGGTCGTGCAGTCATCACCAATAGCCCTGGTGCAATTGCTCCCACCATGGCTGATTCCCAGCTACAAATGTCACATCAACTGTTGCAGGATTCCAGGATATTTAACAACAGGCTCTCTGGAGCGGTACTAGCTGGCCCCAGCACTGCACCCTCCCAGGACTCTGGCTTCTGAGGAAGCCTGGTCCACAGAAATCTACAGCTGTAATGGAACCTCAAAGCAGGTCCCTCCGCGGGGTAGGGTCTGGTCACTGCAGTCAGCTTGCTGCAGGCCTACAGGAGTTCTGAGCCCCAAAGTGTCCACCCCACCGGTAGGAATCAAGCCTTCCTCCAAACACTTGGTTTATCACATTGCATAGAGAGCACCTGATAGGTTCAAGATCTGTGTTCAACCAGAAAGCTACACACTCAAGCTGAACTCATGCTCCCAGGAGCCCCCAGAGGCCAGGACACGCCCTCCCCACAGTCGGGGGGGACAGGAGAAAGTGCATGCGTGCTGGAACGTCAAACATCACGTGGCACAGGGAGGGGAGAAAGGGGCCAGGGGATGCGGGGCTTGGCCCTGGCCCTGGCCCAGATCTTAGATAATGGGCAGGCACCCGGCAGGGAGGACAAAGCAGAAAGGGCATTTCTAGGTGAATGAGAAGCTGAGCTGGCAAAGATATGACTGGGGGTCCCAGCAAGCGGGAATGAAACTGTAGATTAGTGTGTGGAGCCCCAAACAGGCATGTGGGTGGCCTCGCACACTGGAGACCCTGGTGCCAGAAGAGGCAACTGCCATTGACGGGGCCCTGCTGTGAGCTGCGTGCCAGGCCTTGTGGCTGCACACACAATCCCACACACCCTCAGGGTTTACTGAGACATCCTCCCGGTGTCCCCAGAAAAGGCCCAGCAGTCCAGGAGGTGGAGCTCTCGGGGGACGGGGGACAGAGCCAGGGCTCATGGGCCTGTGGAGCACCTGGGAAGCCGTGAGGAGGACGTGGGGGCTGCAAGTGGAAAGCTTCTGTGGGAGCACAAATCCTTGCCGAGCTCAGTGGAGCCGGGCCGTGAATGTCACCTGTGGGTGGGTGTGTTCCCTGACACAGCCAGCCGCCCTCACTGCTGTCGCCTTGACCCGAAGTCCCCCCAGTTCCTCACCTGCTGCCAGGCTGAGCCTCAAGGACTCTCCTGAGACCTGGCATCATGGGGCAGAAGGCACGTAACCATAACCTCCAGATGCATCATGGATGCTGAACGCACGTCGATTGATTGAGCAAATAAATAACTGCTGCGGCCGCAAAGTACCAGAGAAGGATGGGACTGTGCCCAGACTTTCTGAAATAGATCTAAATTTTGCCAGGTGGCCAAGGCAGGCAGCAGTGGGGCTGTGACAGGAAAGGCCATCCTCGCCACCCAGACCCCACCGGCCTCACGTTCTGTTGTCGAAAGACACCTGCCTGCTTTGCGACTCCATCTCCACCGAAACGGTCTCTGCAGTCATTTGCAGGGATCGGTCCATTTCCCTTGAACACCTCCTTTATCCCTCTCCCCAGAATCATGAAGCCCAGCCCCGATCAATCTTGCCACTTACATCACCCCACTGGTATCTTCACTTTTCAATCTCTTTAACATACATGCAGGAAAAAGACAGCCAGCATGGAATACAGTTCAGCAGGGCCAAAGAGGAGCAGTGGCGTCATCTCAGGATGTGCTGGGCAGGCACCACAGCGCCGGCGTCCCCACGTCCAGGACAAAGCTGAGTGCAAGTGTCACCGTGAGCTGGCCTGTGTGAGCCCGGCCCACTGACCACCCCCCAGATAAAAAAGAGCAGGAGATGCCTCTCAGCCAGGACTCAGACCACCAGCACGCAGCACCCGGCACCCACGGCTGAGCATGTGCCCTCGAGTAGAGAGGAGACCTCGGTATGGAGGGGACAGTGATGTGACAGCCACCAAGTCCATGGTCTGACCCCCAGCAGCAGGGGTGCCAGCCTCATTGTGGAGTGTTGCAGCATGCGGGGAAATGATTTTCCTAATCACTGCTACCAGTTGGGTGCTAATGAGCCCCAGTTCTGGTTCCACTGGTGACATTTCAGTTTACACATCGCTGCCATTTGGGGTGAATAAGTCCAAGCCACTTAAACCTCAGGCTCACATTGATTAGAGACGTCCCCTCCAGGTCCCAATTTCAGGCTTCTGCTCTTTCTTAGATCGTCAGGAGAAACGGCAATGGGAGGAAGCAAAGAGAAGGCGTGGAGCCAGGAGGAGAAGGGAGGCCAGGAGGAGAAGGGAGGCCAGGAGGAGAAGGGAGGCCATGCTCGCCAGCTAGGCTGGGAGCTTCCTGGAGGAGGGACACTCCCTCTTTTTCTTTGCTTTGACCTCTTGGTGATCTGTTACCCACAATGAGGGCACAATCTCCGTGTGGGCAGGGGTGTGGCCCGGGGTGTGGCCCGGGGTTGGGGGGGGGGTCTCAACAATGAATGGGAAGCCCTGGGCCCCACAGTCCTGCCCTGGGCCATGGCACCCATGGCCCTTCCTATGCCCTCAGGACCCCCCACATGTGCCCTTCACAAATGCGGTGCACTCCCCTTCCAGTCTGGGCATCACCCCATCCCCTGCCATCTGTCCCACTCGAGTGGCTATTGCAGTGAGCCTTCTGGAAAACTCTTAATCACCTCCCACTGCTTTGGATACATGGCCAGTGTCTCAATGCAGACAGACTCAGGGTTTCTGGTGGTCAAAGCACTAAGCCCCTCGTGCCCCACCTGCCTCTGCCTGCACCTGCCACCCCCTGGCCCCGTGCAGCCATTCCTGGCGACGCCCTCCTCCTGGGTCTTCGTCCGTCTACCTGGTGTCTGCTCTCTGAGGTGCCCCCCAACTTTTCATCAAGTCCCTGCTCCAATTTCAGGAGCTGCCGGTCCCCACCTCTCCGGGTTAGAGACCCCCAACCCCTCCACACACGCACACACAAAGTCCGTTGCCCTGCACTGTCTCCTGCCTAGAGGGTGGGTGCAGAGCTGGGGCCTTTCTGCTGGATGTTCTGAGGCACCGGGGAGTTTGGGGCACTTGAAGGACACTCGTTCCATGTTAATGAAATGAATGAATCAGTGAACAGAAAGCTGCGCAGCAGAGGCTGCATCTTCCCCCGGCGGGATGCCCTCCCTCAGCCCCCGCCTCCTCAGAGCTCCAGCCCTTGGTGCCTGCAGCCCTGGCAGGGGCCTCCTCAGCACCTTCTCGCTCACTCTTGGTTCTCTCTGAACACACACCACTCCTCCAACGCGTTCACGTCCATCCTGTGCCTCCCCACAGACAGAAGCTTCCCTATATCCCAGACTCCTGAGACCCAAGTCAGCGCAGAGCAGGTGCTCAGTGGATACCTGCTGCATGCGTGGAATGGGAAGGCCTGTCCTCAAGCCTGCACGGAACGTGATGCAGGCCTGGCTCCTCCACCCTCTGTAGGAACAGGGCAGTGCAATAGTGGGACCAGGGCACCCAGAGCATTTGACATGGGATGCAGAGACCAGGTGTGTGTCTGGTCTCCTAGAGCTAGGTGGGAATGGGGGATGACTGGGGAAACTGAGGCCCACCCTAGGCTCGCCTCACCCCCTGCTTATAGAGGAGCAAATCTGGCTCAAAGTGCTATCCTCTTACACCCAGTCCAGCCCTCTGTCCTGTTTCTGAAGCAGGTGAACGACCTTCAGGCTGCAGAGACCCCACTGCACCCACCCCAGCCCCGGCCACAACGATGGGATACAGGGAAGCCCCCTGCAGGCATCTGGGCTCTGACCCAACCAGAGACCAGGCCACGGCAGTCAAGGGTAAAGACGGCCCCACCGAGGCCCCGGAGCAGCGTGGACAGGACTCGTCACTTTTTTTCTTGTGCCTCGCCCTGGGGCCAGAGTGGCCAGCATTGTTTGGTGTGATTTAACTTTATCAGGGGCACCTGGCAGGGAACCCCTGGGAGGGTGATAAAGAGGCAGTTTCCACCCTCAGAGAGCTTGCCCGCTAACAAAGCCCCAGCAGCCAGGCCACCAGCAGCCCAGTCCTCTGCAGGACTTCAGACTTTTGTCACCCTGGGCTCTGTGCCCCAAACACACCTGGACAAAGCCCACCCACTGTCCGGGTCGTGGCTACCTAGCAGCAGGGGAGCACGCGTACTAAACGCCAGCAGAGCCACATGCCAGTCCCCTGAACGGACTTTGCTCAGCACCTCCACCACCCTGGAACCCTTTAGGGAAAGAACAGAGGGTGCTCCCTGGAGGTTGTGGTTCTGCGGGCCACTGTGATCCTAATCAATGCGACCAGTCCTGTGGGGAAGTCTCATTTAAAATCTTAGCGCCTATTTTGGAGGAATGGCAGAGAGTGACCTAGGAGCGTCACATCCTATCTGGATCCTAAGACACTCACAGATGGGGAGGACTGAAGTGCCCGAGGGGCCGGGGGCGCTGCTTACAGAGGGGTCTTAGATTCATCCTGAACCTGTTCCTCACAGCAGAGGATCGGCCAGTGGAGGAAGAAGCTCTGAAATCACAGTAAACGAAGTTAGCCACCTGCAAAATGGACTCCCCAAACACACATGTGCGCGCGCGCGTGCACACACACACACACACACACACACACACAACGTGGAGCACCTCAACATGTGATAGAGATGGGAGGGACCTCAGTAGCCCCAGGCCGACCCCAGAACCTTCTCGGCGCCTACTGTCTGGTCTTGGCATGCCCATCTGAGGGTGGGCTCCCAGCCCGAGCAGCCTGGGCTTCCCGCTGCACCCCTCGGCTACTCTGGGTTGCTGGTGAACCTCAGCCCCCGCGTGCAACCCTGCCTGTGAGTGTTTGGCGAGCCTGGCTCAGGAGCATGGCTGTGGCTCATCCCAGGTGCCAGGCTCTGAGTTACAAACCATGGAACATGGAGTCAGGTCTGAGAGGGCAGGGGTCTCCCTGACCAGCCCCTGCCCCGTAGCCCAGGGACTGTCATTTCTCAGGAGGAAGGTCTGAGAGGGCAGGGGTCTCCCTGACCAGCCCCTGCCCTGCAGCCCAGGGACTGTCATCTCTCGGGAGGAAGGTGTGCATGGCCCCTGAGCTCATCAAGGAAAATCTTTTTCTTTCAGCATCTTTGCCTTTTTTCCCGTTGGGGTACCCAGCCACCGGCAGGGTCCATCCGCAGGGAAGCAGCTGAGGCTCCTCGCGCCAGATGTAGAACCAAGATGACAGAAAGGCCAGACACCGAAAACCCATTTGCATAGTAATTGAAATGTTTTTCCAATTTTTTTTTGAGTTGTTAGAGTTCTGATTCCAGGCTGCAGAAAGGAAAGGCAGATTCTCATTTTCACTTGGCTTATTCCTGATTTGTACCACTGGGGGTTTTAATTTACAAGTCAAAGTTAATAAATTGAGTATGCACTCGATGATTCCAAGCTCCTTCCGACCTCCTTCCCAGCCTGTGAGACCCCGTGGCTCATCTCCTGGGGTTGAGGGGGAATCTCAGTGGACTTTGAAGCTTAGTCTGCAAGGACCTCTCTCCCAAACCCGAGGGCAGCATCCCTGCCCCCGGGAGCCCCTTCAGGGAGCCCGTGGCCTCTGCCTGCCTTCTCACAGATGGGTTTGGGTAAAATAAATAAAACATGGATGGATTAGTTCAGAATAAAAAAGGAGGAATCTGGCTCAAGATGTTATCAACAGTAACAACCACCAGGGCTCTGAGCGCCGTTCATCACTAAGCATGTCCAGTGCTCTATGGCCATTAAAGGAGCCCCCTGGGAGGGAAGGCACCTCGGTTCCAGTCTAGCGAGGGCACTGTGGCCACAGAGCTGCACGAGGCTGAAGCCCATGTCTGCCCAGAGCCAGCCTCCGTTTCCCAGACCCTGAGGACCACTTTCCCAAAAGGCTCCACTGCTGGTGTGTGTGGGGGCAGCCTGAGTCAGTGAGCCTGGAAAGTTCTAGGGACATCTGGAGTCCACCTGTCTCCCAAGAGAGGAGTTCCTCATCCCTCTCCAGTGGCTGCTTGATAAGTCACTCTCTCTTCCTACACGCTGGGTGAATGTGCTGCTTCTGAAAAGAGAATATTTATTTTTTGAGATAGGGTCTCACGCCCTCCTATGTTGCATCATTCCTCAGTGCCCAAAACGGTGCCTGGAACAGAGAGGTGCTCCACAGTTATGGAGGAATTGAATGAATGAATGAAAATTTAAAGAAGAAGGTAGGAGAGGATCCATGCAAGGGGCTGGTGGCTTCTCTGCTTCCTGATTCTGTTTCTTCATCCCCTCCTGGACACCTGGGCTCTTACAGAATTGGTTTGTGCAGTGTGAAAGGAAAATCAATCTTGGGACCCTAAAATCACTAAGGTCCACAAAGGGAAAAGTCAAGCTGGGAACTGCTTAGAGCAAACCTGCCTCCCATTGTAGTCCTAAAAAAGATGGCTACTAAGATAAAAAAGCCACATACCTCCCTCACAAGAAATTTCCTTGTGGACCAAGGACAGACAGAACTCAAAGTCATCCCTCTGTTCACTGAGATGAATGCATATCTGCCTCCTTTGGAGAGGCTCATCAGAAACGGAAAAGAATGCAACCATTTGTGTCTTATCTACCTATGACCTGGAAGCCCCTCCCCGGTTCCAGTTGTCCCACCTTTCTGGACAGAAGCAATGTACATTTTACATATATTGATTGATGTCTCATGTCTCCCTAAAATACATAAAACCAAGCTGTGCCCCAACCACACTGGGCACATGTGGTCAGGACCTCCTGAGGCTGTGTCATGGGCAGGCACCCTTATCTTTGGCAAAATAAACTTTCTAAATTGACTGAGACCTATCTCAAATGTTTGGGATTCACAGCAGGGAATGATGGAGGATTGGAAAGTGCCTCGAGGGGAGGAGGGCTGCTCTTTGCTGTGAGGCTCTGTTCGGGTGCACATTTTGGGAGCTGGCCTGGGGCTTTCCTTTCCTTTGTTTCCGTGGCAGCCAGAGCAAGGTGTGGCCCCTCCCCGTGGAGCTCATGGTGCTGTGGATAAAGGATATGTAGACAGGCAGTCACAGCCTCCCCACTCTGTGATGGGCAGGGCAGGAAAGTTAGAGGGCATGAGGTAGGGTAAGCCCAGGAAGGCTTCCTGGAGGAGGTGGCACTTTGACCTGAGTGGAGACCAGAGTGAGATTCTGAGAGTTTATCAGGTGGACCCAGGGAGGGGGAGGGAGTGGAAGAGCATCCCTGATGGGGACTGGCACATACCAAGACTTGGGGCGAGAGCTGCAGGCTAGAATCTGGGGGCATCATCTTAGACAGAGTCTTTATACGTCCACACAGAGTTCAAGAAAACTGAGAATAGACTCACATAATCCTGAACATAGGTCAATTTTGAATTCCAGATGGCAAGAATAAAGAGAATGAGGCAGACAGTAATGGCTAAGTGATTTCCAGAATTGAAGAAAGGCCCAAGTTCTCCAGCTGAAGATGTTCACTGAGTCCTAAATAGGATCATTAAATAGAAATGCACACCTGGGCCCAATGTTGGACAACAAAAAGGCAAACAAAGCATTTTTAAAGCAAACACAGAGGAAATACAAATTACTACAATAAAGAGAGAGGGGAGGAAGGAAGAATAGGAAGAGAAAGAAGAAGAAATTTAAGAGGAGGAGGAAGAAGAGAAGAAGGAAGAGGAGGAGGAGGAAGAAAAGGAAGAGGAGGAGGAAAAAGAGGAGGAGGCAGAGGAGGAGAAGGCGGAGGAGGAAGAGGAGGAGGAAGAGGGAGCAGAGGAAGAGGCAGAGGAAGAGGAGGAGGACCCGGCGGAGGAGGCGGAGACGGAGGCGGCAGAGGAGGAAAAGGAAGCAGAAGAGGAAGAGGAGGAGGACGCGGCGGAGGAGGCAGAGGAGGCGGAGGCGAAGGAGGCGGCGGCGGAGGAGGCAGCGGAGGAGGAGGCGGAGGAGGCGGAGGCGGAGGAGGCGGAGGCGGAGGCGGCGGCGGAGGAGGCGGCGGCGGAGGAGGCGGCGGCGGAGGAGGCGGCGGCGGCGGAGGCGGCGGCGGCGGAGGAGGACTGACAATAGCAACAATAACTGGCTGAAAGCCAGCTTTGTAATATCCTCAAACTTCTGAAGGAAAATAATGAAGGCTAGAATCCTCTACCAAACTAAAACCAATGAACACCCTTTAAGTCTAATGCAAGAAATTCAGACAAACGGAGCACAAGTTATGACAAGATGGTTCTGTTGAATGGATAAAAATGTGGGCAGCCAGCCCGGCACGGTGGCTCACGCCTGTAATCCCAGCACTTTGGGAGGCCGAGGCAGGCAGATCACTGGAGGTCAGGAGTTCAAGACCAGCCTGACCAACATGGTGAAACCCCATCTCTACCAAAAATACAAAAATTAGCCAGGTGTGGTGGCAGGCACCTGTAATCCCAGCTACTTGGGCAGCTGAGGGAGGAGAATCGCTTGAACCTGGAAGGGGGAGGTTGCAGTGAGCCAAGATCACACCACTGCACTCCAGCCTGGACTATGGAGTGAGATTCTGTCTCAAAAATAAAATAAAATAAAATGTGGGCAGGCTAATACATCTGTGAGTCCAGGAGCAGCTTTTCTCCTAGCACTCGAACCATGAAAGCAAAATGGCTCCCTCTATTTTAGCAGCTGCCATTACTAACAATAAAGTGCTGAATAGAAGTCTGTATAAAAAGAATATTTATAGCACATGTCCTCAAACATGTATCGGGAAATACCAATTTATAATAAAAAGTAAATAAGGGTACTATGGTGAAATGTATTATTTAACCCCGGAGCAGCGCACGTCTTCTGCAAGTTAGATTTTGGAGGTGGGGCACGGTGGCTCATACCTGCAATTCCAGCATTTTAGGAGGTTATTGCCTTTGGAGCTAACACCCCGGTTACTAAGGACTCGGCAGACCCTTCCCTCCTACTGTTCCCTGGGTCAAGATCATTTTCCCCAGGGTTTTAGGATCATTTTCTAAGAGGCCCAGGAGACTGGATTGAAAATGTAAAAAAAAAAATATTTAAGCACATGTCTTCAAACATGTATCAGGAAATATTAATTTATAACAAAATTAAACAAGGTTACTATGATGAAATTTACTGTTTAATCCCTGAGCAGCACGTGGTCTTTTACAAGTTAAACTTTGGAGGCCAGGCGTGGTGGCCCATACCTGTAATTCCAGCACTTTGGGAGGCTGAGGCAGGCAGGTCACTTGAGGCTAGGAGTTTGGGACGAGGCTAGGCAACATGGCAAAACGCCTTCTCTACATAAAAAAATTCAAAAGTTAGCTGGATGTGGTGGTGTGCACCTGTAGTCCCAACTAATCCAGAGGCTGAGGTGGGAGGATCACTTGAGTCTGGGAGGCACAGACCACAGTGAGCTGAGATCCCACCACTGCACTCCAGCCTGGGAGGTAGAGCCAGACCCTGTCTCAAAACAAAAACAAAAAAGTTAGACTTTGGGGTAATAAAGACAGTGCATGCCAATCATAACTGCCTAGAGGAATAGAACACTGCTGTCAAGAGTGGACGGAAAGGGAGAGAAGCCCTGCCTTGCTCCAGGTCAGCATCCTGGACAGTTCTGCAGCAGCTCTGCGGATGGGAGATGCAGCGGTGACTTGCCAGGGCCGCCATGTGTTGCTGTCCGGTGGAAGACAAGCCTGGACTTTGAAATTGTTTTCCCAACAGAAAAGGTCACTGGAAATAAGTGGTGTGTTGTCTCTACTCTGTGAAACATACACTCTGATGGGGAAGCGAAGCGCAGAGATGCTCATCTAGTGTATGTGAATTCAATTCTGTTTGCTGCAGAGAGGGAGTCAGGGAGACAGGGCGAGCCAGGGAGAGGGGGGGAGCCGGGGAGAGGTGGGGAGCCAGGGAGAGGTGGGGAGCCGGGGAGAGGTGGGGAGCCGGGGAGAGGTGGGGAGCCGGGGAGAGGTGGGGAGCCGGGGAGAGAGGGGGAGCCGGGGAGAGGTGGGGAGCCGGGGAGAGGTGGGGAGCCAGGGAGAGAGAAGCCCCATCCGCCATGCACATGAGGAGTGCGTGCCACAGAACATGGCACAGGCAAGCCTGAGATGGCCGAGGCCACCAGCAAGACCCCTGGGCTCTCCAGTGTCCCCTGACCAGTGACCCAGCAGGGGGACAAATGCCTTCGTGGAGGAGGCACGCCGTAGCTTCCTCAACATCCACAAGGAGACAGAAAAATATTCTAGGGTCTTAGCAAACAACTCACCAACCCAGGTCAGAGCGACTGTTGAACCGTCCACAGAGTTATTGACATAAAGCCTCATGTACCGCTCTTTATGGGGAATTTAAGGGAATTTCAGGGGTAATTTTGATTGCTAGCAATTTTCACCTCCTAGATGACTTTAGAACCAGACTCTATACAAGATACAACTCCACTGTAAACAAGTAATTACTGACCAGGATGACACATTGGTGACAACAGGATGTTGGAGGCAGAGAAGAAATATAAAGAGGGGTGATTATCTCTGTTTGGGGCTTTCAGGGGAAACTTCAGACAGAAGATGAGGTCTGAATAGAGTTTTAAAACTGAAAAGAAGCTTTTTAGGTAATGAAATGGAGGAGAACGCATTGCAGGCCAAGGACAGAGTTTTGAAAGCACCAACAGGAAGCTGCGAGGGGTGGCCAGGACCAGAGGTGGCTCGGTATTTATGGAACATTAAGTGTGCGCAGAGCCGTGGGAGAGGAGGGCAGGCAGAACCCCATGCAGCCACACCAAGGAGTTCAGACAGCCCCCTCCAGAGGCACACGGAGAAACAGAAGGCTTCTGAGGGAGCAAGGGGGTGACCAGATTTGCATTCCGTAAACATTTTTATGGCCGCCTGGTAAAGAAAATTATTGAAAGGGCAAGACTTGAAGCAGAGATACACATTAGCAGCTTTGATGGTCTAGGGAGACATGCTGGGCTCCAAAGCGCAGTCATGGTGGTAGGGATGGTCAGGGAGAGGCGAAGCACATGCACCAGTGACCTTGGGGAGTGGCCAGACTCCGGTGCACAGGAAGGAGGACCTGGGGCCAAGGCCTTACATCCTAGGGGCAGAGGGGGCCACTCACCAGCTTGGGCAGCCTGCACTCTCCACCTCCTTAGCTATCACAAAAACAAAGCTGTGCTTTTTTTTTTAATTGTCTTTTTTTCTAGCTCCTCCAGGGCTGGGACCACACCTTTGACACCCCCCTCTCTATGCTGAGCATTAAGAAGACAAGCTCATGATCCTGGCAGTGGCCAACATGCCCCTGCTGAATGAGTGCAGAAGCAGATGTGCAAGGAAGGACATGGAGGGATGCTCTGGATTTCTTGACTGGGAAGTGCACCCTCACCAGGTGTCCCTGGCAGCAGGCTGGCGGACAGTGCCAGTCCAGCCCACATTGGCTCTGAGCCCGCACCTCACAAGACCAGGGAATACTTTGGGAGTATGGCCGGCCCCCTCCAAGGCAGCACCAAAGGAAGTAGGAAATGAAAACCCCAAATGGGCAGAGCTCAGGGCAGCACAGCTCATGGTCCCCTTGCTGTTTAAAAAGGCCTGAGCAGATCCTCCATTGCATGCAACAAGACCCCTGACTAACCCAGGGGTTTACAGGATACCCAGAAGGTAATGTGATTACTGAATAAAGTGAAAGTTACAAGAGAAGTCGAAGCTAGAGATGTGTAAGCCATCTGCAGGAGAGCTGAGTAATGATGTGGCTGTGTCCCCACCCAAACCTCATCTTGAATTATAGTTCCCATAGTCCCCGCATGTCATGGGAGGGATCCAGTGGAAGGTCACTGAATCATGGGAGTGGTTTCCCCCATGCTGTTCTCGTGATAATAAGTCTCATGAGATCTGATGATTTTATAAACACCTGGCATTTCCGCTGCTGGCACTCATTCTCTCTTGCCGCCCTGTGAAGAGGTGCCTTCTGCCATGATTATAAGTTTCCTGGGGCCTCCCCAGCCATGTGGAATTGTGAGTCAATTAAACCTCTTTTCTTTACAAATTGCCCAGTCTTGGGTATTTTTCTTCATAGTAGCATGAGAACAGACTAATACACCAAGGCTATGGGAACAGCTGAAATCTTTCAGGGTGGGGAACTCATGTGCTACCTGGAGAAGGCGGCCAAGAATGGATTGTGCCTACCAAGCTGTTCCAAGAAGCCCACAAAGTGATACTAGTGGAAGGATATGGCAGAAGGTCAGGAACTGGTCCTTTGGAGAGAATGTTTCTGTCTGCCCTTGGCCATCTGAGCCACACAAGAGGTAGATAAGATTTTCAGCACTCAAATGAAAAAAAAGTTGGGGGACAAATATGGTTAAAAGAAAAAAATGTTTTGATCAGTCATTCAGATGAATATATTATGTGGCATGTGGTTCCTGAGCCTCCCTGTACAAGGTTTGTGTTAGGCAAGAACATGAAATGTACAGCACCGCATCCTTGTCCTTGAAGGACTCACACACAGCTGGAGAAGACAGACACCAGCTACCCGGCCATCCAGGCAGAAACCTCAGGCATTATTGGCTCCAGCCTCCCTGGACCTCCCACATTTGCCAAAGATGAATAAACGTGGTCCCTGCCTTAGAGGAGTCACAGACAGCTGATTTAGAAACATGCAGAAATCTCCATGTTTTACGAAGGAAGCAGGAGGCTGACTCCATGTGGACATCCAGACGCCTTCCAGGAGGAGGTAGCAACCTAACTAGGGCTGGAAAGACGAGTGGTAAGAAGAGAATTCCAGGCAGAGGAATGGTTTATGCATGTATGGACCCAGAAGACTCGAGGGCAGCCAAATAATGCTGAGAGGTTAATTGTGGTTCAAGCAGGGCGTGACCTGAGAGTAGAGAGCAGCATGGAGAGTTAGTCCACTCAGGTAAGGAAGCCGAATGTATGGGAAAACATCAAACATGGTCAACTGTAGACATACGAGACAGGAGGGGGTCTCGGTGTTTGGGGAAGATTGCAACATCCCCATAAGAGCAAGGAATGCATGGGGCACGTTAAAGACAGTGGGATGGAGGAAGGAGGAGGCGGCTTATTATTTGCCATGTCTCCTGAACATTTTCCATCTGTCAGTCTGCCTGTTAGGGAAAGTGTCCCATTCTTCTCTATATCCGCAGCACCTAGCACATTCTGGGAGTATGCTTGATGCTCAATAAATGCAAAAGGTCAGTGAACGGAAACAGGGGCAGACTCAACAGAGCATTGTGAAGAGAAGGAGCCAGGAATGATGACCATCGGCAGGCATATGACCACCTCTGGTGCTTTCCAAATGAAACTTTCATTGAATCTACAAAATAATGCTCTTTAATGTATGCATTATGATTCCTCTTTTACAGATGAGGAAGCCAAGACAAAGAAAATGTCCAAAATGACACACACATCTACCGTGTGTGTCTTCCTCTGGGACTCAGACCCAGGTCTACTTGGTTCTAGATCGTGGTGGTCACCCCTGAGGACCAGGCAGTCCAGGCATGGATTCCCACATGGGTGTCTAGGACACAGCAAGTTCACCATCCCCTACCTGAGTGAATCAATGTTCCCCTCAGCCTACCTGTCCTGTATTCTTGTCATGCCAGACAATGGCAACACTTCCACTGCAAAAGCTACAGCCTCCAAAGAAATGAATCAAATTGTCATGAGATGTGGCTATCACCATGGGGCGTGTACAAGAGAAGCAGCCCCAGGGGACTAAGAAGGAGGCGAGGACATGCCATCACAGAAGCCAAGGGTGGAGAAGAAGCAAGGGTGTGGGCAGCTCCGAATGCCGCAGACCCTTCTTTAAGGTCATGTGCTATCATCAGCTCACCCACGGCACTTGCCATTTGCAAAATGGCCTTCCCTCTTCATGACTCTGCATGGAGGAGCTGGGTCAGCCTCTCCAGACAAGGTCAGGTGGTGGGGACTGTTTCGTTGGTCGGTTGGCTGGTTGGTTAGTGGGTCAGTTGATTGGTTGGTGGGTGGATGGGTGAGTTGGTTCATCGGCCTTCTCCCTAAATGATAAAATGTTGCTCCTTGCAGCCAACAGAAAACTTTTTCTGTACCAATTAGATCTAAATTGAGCACTGCTGATGGAATCCTATCCTAGATGAATTTCATATCAATTCAACTCTATTTTCTAGTACAAAAGAGAAAAAAAATAATTTAAGCGGTGTAGTTTATTTTTCCTGCCTTTCCACTCAACCGGTGAGCAAGACACAGAGGACAAAAATGGCCTTTTTCCCCACTCACTTCCAGTCCTTACAGTGCAAGCACCTTGCCAGCCACGTGTGAGTCCAATGTTTTAAAACCGTGTTTTAACACAAAACGGCTCCTCAATGCAAGCCGATGTCTTTATCTAGTTTTCAACCAAAGAAATATCCACCCGTTCCAATGCTGTGAACCCTCTGAGAGATCACACCGCAAAGATGTTTATAGGCGCTTTGAGGAATTATCAAAGGAAAAGTGGCTTTTTCAGGACTTCTGTCATCATAAAGAATTTAAACCCCGCCTGAGAAGCACCTTGACTACAGCGTATGATTGATCTTCTCTCTGCCAGTGTTTATTGAGTGTGTGTGGCACAGAGTGAGGGTGCTGATGAAATCACGGTACCTGGGTGTAGAGCGTGCTCTCACCCTCCAAGATCTCACTGCCTTCCCCAGAGAAATACATCCTCAAGCTGGAGAGTGGTATGACCCAGAGATGACTCCCTTCCTCCTTCCTTCATTTATTCATCCAGTAAACACCTATTGGACACTGTATACCGTGTCCTGTTCTAAGCCTGGAGATGCAGAGATAAACAAGATGCATGCTGGCAGCAGGAGAGGCTGGCTGACCAACCTCATAATCAGCGCCACACAGATGTACATTTCTGGGCTTGGCTTTGCAGCACTCATGGGGGGCTATGGTCTGGCGTGTTTGGGGTCCATGGTGTACTCCAGTGGAGTACATGGGGGCCAGTAGGATGTACTCCAAAGGAGGGGCTGCTCAAGGCATCCTCGCCAGCCAGTAGGGACGGAGCCCCGTTTTGGGCTGGGATGTGGCGTGGGGACCAGAAGGAAGGGGGTGGAGATTTGTCCCCACCCAGGGCTGACAATCTATCAGGATAAACTATAATCAGGACTCTGATCCACTTTCTGGGATTTTTGACATGTTTGACAAACACCATCCCCACGTCTCAAAAGCCATGCAAGATTCTTCTAGGAGACGCAGCCTGGTTCTGAAATGACTTTTGATCCCACATGGCAGAGAGATACTGAGGCTGCGGTGTGTCCTGGGCAGCACCGGCCCCGGAGGCATCTACTGGGGCCTGTGCTGTGGCTCCCAGGCAGCCTCTGACTGCTGCTAACCCTGCTCGTTCAGTGGGTGTGAAGAAGTGGCACCCGTCCCTCCTTATTCACACTCTCTACTCAATTAGCTCAGAAGCAGCTAGAGACCCAGCTTCAGAAGTAAAACGCAGCCCAGTAGTCTTTTAAAAAAAATCCCTCTCCCAGTGGGAGTTTTTCTGGAAACAAAAGAAAACCCATTTAGCTTATTATTAAAATTGATTCTCCATTCTGCAAGACTCTCTGTTGCGGTTTGCCTGGAAAGAAGGCAGCATATGACCGCAGATGCCAGAAGAAAAACGGGACAGAGCCAGGCAAGGGACTCTGCCGGGCGGGAGGCCTCCCCCAGGGACTCACAGCCACTCTCTCTCATTGAACTGAAGCCCAGGGAGTCAGGATATGTGTGACTCAAAACAGCCCTCCCTGCGGGCACAGCCACCCCACAAACACTGAGCTCCCAGGCCACGCTGGAAATAGCAACACTGTGTTGCCAGCAGGAGTCCAGTGCCCCCAGCATCTTCCACGGACAGGGCTGAAAATGTGGGTTCCAGGCATCCTGCTCAATCAAAAGCCAGGGGCATCTCCGGCTGGTGCATTTGGTGGTTTTAATAAGCTCCCAGGTCACTGCACCGGAAGGGGAGGTGACGTTGAAGGGAGATCCTCGTGGAGCCCCCGTCTCAGGGACCTGGGTGGGGACAGCCACGACCACTCGATCCCATGGGCCCTCGAGGCTACAGAAGAAACTTGGGAACCACCGGGCTCCACTCAGTGCTTCTGCCCAGAGGGCTCGAACTGGGGGATGAGATTTCCTCAATACATTGTAAGCGCCTCACACAATGCTCCTTGTGCTCCAAAATTCAGGCAATAAGCAGCGATTGCCATGCCCCGGCCAGTAGGATGTACTCCGAAGGAGGGGCTGCTCAAGGCATCCTCGCCAGCCAGTAGGGACGGAGCCCCGTTTTGGGCTGGGATGTGGCGTGGGGACCAGAAGGAAGGGGGTGGAGATTTGTCCCCACCCAGGGCTGACAATCTATCAGGATAAACTATAATCAGGACTCTGATCCACTTTCTGGGAGAACCAGAATAGAGAGACATTAATTCTAACTTGGAAGTGGGCACTAATTCATCCACCTGTTGTCGTCTATTCTAATGGAGCAGCCCTGTTCTCTGCGGGGCCCTGACATGCACATGTGCACAGCCGCTTACGTGATAGAAGTGCTGTGTCCCTCTGTGTCCTGTAGTGGAGGTTGGAAGAGCATTGCGGCTGGGCCCTGGGGCTTGCAGAAAAACGTTTCCAATCTCTACCTCTCCTCTTACTTGAGCCTCCTATCTCATCTATAAAGTAGGAGTGACGATGGTGCCACCTTGTCACATTGCAGGAAGGGAGGATGGAGAGCCGAAGCCCTCAGCTCTCTGCTGAGCCTCAGGTGTGGGCTCAAAAGCTGGAAAGGGTATTCCCTGGGCCTTGTTGTCAGCCTCTTTCCTGTCTCCAAAGGCCAGCAACGGTCCCTTGCCTCTGCATCCTGGGTGCATGGCAGAGGGTGCGGTGCCCTGTGTGTTGAACAACCCAAGAAAGGTTGCCTTCCACGAGTGAGCAGCCTGCTGGGGGTTTCTTTCCAGCGCAGAGAAATCAGGGAGGTGGAAATGTCAGCCTCACAGATGGAACCAGCCGCTGACCCAGGGCTTCACATCAGCTGAGCATCCCCACAGCCTGTGGCTGGTAGAAAGAAGACGAAGGCGCCCAGGACCTGCCCACCCTCCCCACAAGGTCTCTCGTGATTTTGGAAGGCAGACTTGTAATACTTGGCACTAACACCACTTGGAGAGAGTTTAATTTGACCCCATGTGAAGAAGCAGCTGTTGCCTGCTCAGCATGGATGAGCTCCCTGTGTATGGGACTCCTGCATGCAGACAGGGTGGGCGCTGAGAGGGGAGTAGGGGAGGTAGCCTCAGGGTTCCCATCTACCCCTAAGAGCCTGCTGTTCTGGGTGAAAGGAGAAAATGTGTTGGAAATCTCGGGAGGAGAGGGATTCAGGAGGTCAGAAGGTCAACAGCGTGGCATTCGGCCAAGGGGTCCATGGTGAATACCCCCCAGAAACCCTCCCAGATGCTGCTGCTCCCAGATACTGACCCACAGGCCAGCAATTGTCCTGATGATTTTATAGCTTTAAGGTAATAAGACAGTGGGCTTAATGACTCCAATGCCAAGTTAGAGAATGGTTTCATTCCAATGATCCCATCTAGGGCAGGGCCAGTGCACCCAGGGTTGACACTGAGGCCAGGTGGTGAGCCCCCAGGGCAGCAGGCCCGGGGCTCAAGGACCCCCACTGAGGGATGGGCCCTGGGGAGGCTCACGGTGTGGCATCCGCCAGTGGCTTGGGAGTCCTGGGAAGGCTGGGTGTGGATGGGTGTGGGAAAAACACTTTCTGCAGGAGCAGCATCCAAAACCAGGCCAGGACAGAAGGGCTGGTGAGCAGAATGGAAGAGAGACGATGTCCTTTTAGTAATTAAACGCACCAAATTAATCATGATGCCACTTTGGGAAAATCAGTTTGCCAGCAGGAACCAGATTTTCACTCAGAGGCTGAGCCGGAGAATTAATGAAGGCTATTTCCAGCATCAAGGGCAGGGCGGAGGAACACCCTGGAGACAGGACCACCGTGCTAGCAGCAGCCACAGCCACCCCCGGAGAGTAGGGGCAAGTAGGGGAGACCCTAGGAGCCCCAGGAGCTCGAGGGAGGGATACACAAGAACCGGTGCCCACGGAAGGGCAAGAAGGCCAGCCACGTTCTGCTCCTGCCTCCATCTCCTGCCAGAAGTTTCCATGGGCTGCACCAACTGGGGGATGCTGCCCACGGGGCCCAGGCTTCTGGGGCTCAGAGCAGGGCAGGAATGGATCTGGGGATGGGGAGTCACCAGCTCACCTGGAGAAACGTCAGAGATGCCAGGGCAACCAAGGGGATGCTGACGCCCCAAACAGAGACACCAGCAGTCCCCACTCCCATCCCCAGACCCTTGGAGCTCAGGGGGCAGCAACGGGCCTGCGTGCCTCCTTCTCTGTCCCTTCCTGAGACCGTTCCCCCCTCCCCTCCCCCACCCAGGACAAGGCCTGTGGAAGGAAGACCCCAGAGTTGCCACTGGGGAAGGGAAGTGTGACTGTCCCAGCCCAAGCCTGGCAGGAGGGGTAGGGAAGGGAAGAGCAGAGGCTGGGCTGATCCCACAGAACCCTCCCAGCAGCTCCGGGAGGGACGGGCTTTGTTTCCCCAGGTTTACAGCTGGCCCGTGATTGCAGCTGTCAATCAAATATTCTTCACCCCGCTGACCTCCATCTTCCTGCACCGGGCATCCTGTGCACCAAGATGAGTAAAGTACAGCCACCTCCCCCAGGAGGACCCAGCTCCACGCACACCCACTGACTGCCCGGGGAGGGGGGCAGGCAGCCAGTCCCAAGGCAGAAGACAGCGTCCTGGAGAAGAGGACGATGCAGGCCTAAGGCTTCACCGTGAGTCCTAAATTCAGCAGGCAGGCCCTTCCCCTCACCGAGCCTCGGCCTTCTCATCTGGAAAATGGGGCAGTAAAGGCCCCAGGGAGCAGGGGAGCCTCCAATGCGTGGGCCTGGCCCTTAGTGGAGGCGGGCTCCTCTTCACTCTCGGCGGGGAGGCAGGCAAGTCTTGGGCTGAGGTTCAAGGACACCGCTGAGGGATGGGCCGTAAGCCAGGCCGTACCGCGTGGTCCAGCCTGCATGCCTTGGGCGATGGACCAGGGGGCTGCCTCCACCTCTGCCATACATGTGAGGCCAAGCAAAGAATAGTTCAAAGCTCAATAGCCTGGACGGCATCCCCGCCTCCAAATGGTGTAATGAAGGCCCAGAGGGACCTGCAGAGGACGCTGCGGGCGGATGTGCCTCTCCACACGCCGTTCCGTCGTTTCTCAGGGGCAGTGGTTTATTAAAAATGCAACTCGCCTGCCCTGATGATTTTTGTTTTCCTCCTTTCCTGAACATCCACCTGGTCTTAAACTCGCCGCGTCCTCCTCCAGATTCTTCAATGCCGGCTTGCTCCTGGGTGGCTTCTCCCTGCTCCTTCTCTGCGCCCCGCTCTGCGCCGCATTCCCTCCACCTGCTGCTCAGCAGGTCAACGCAGTGGCCATGAGATGGAACCAAACTGAACGAAAGCAGCGGGAGGCGGGAGGAGGCAGGTCACGCTCCGGGCCAGAGTTAGAAATCCAGGTGTGCAGACGCCCTTGGGACACTCCCATGGCCCGGGGCAGCCAATTCACCACGTGGCCTGGGACAGAGTTGGGGTGACAAGGTCAGAAGACTTCATTAAGGCATCCCCTATCCATCCTATCTCTGGGAAACAGCATGGAAACCTCATCAGGTGTTTTGTGGGAACGATTCTTCATATACTGAGTATTTACTAGAAATTCTTTACTATGCCTGACAATAATGGAGAATGCTGTTAATTACAGCCCAAAGTAAGTGAATTTGTAAGCACCCAAGTAAATGAATTTGTAAGCTCCAGATAAAAAAATCTCAAACACGATACAACATCCAGAGATGAGAAACATCTGGAAGATAAGGTGGACACATGCAGCTGTCAATCAAATATGCTTCACCACGCTGACCTCCATCTTCCTGCACGGGGCGTCCTGTGCACCAAGATGAGTAAAGTGCAGCCACCTCCCCCCGGAGGACCCAGCTCCACACACACCCACTGACCACCAGGCGGGCAGTGAGCCAGTCCCAGTCCATCCGCGTGGCTTTCTGGCATGGACACACGCTCGTCACAAACCCATCTCACAAGGGCTGGCTTAAGATCACGAAACCCCAGCCTGCCTGGGACTCTCAGCTGCATCCACCCCTGCAGGACGGAGGACCATGTGTGAGGCTGAGAGCTAGGGAAGCCCAGGTTCTGGCCCACCTCTGCCCACACCGACTGTGGGATTTAGGGGAGGGCCCTTCCTCTCTTGAAGCCTCAAGTCCCCACCTGTACACTGCCAGGTGCTCCCACCCTGAATGGTACTGTGGGCTGGGGTGCTGGGGACACCTGGGTTTCTGCGCCATGACCCAGGCAAAGCTGCCTTGGGCTGTGCTGACAGATCCCCTGTGGCCCTGTTGGCGATGGGGACACTGTGCCATGGCGACCTTCCCAAACACCGGAGCAACAAACAGGTCGGCTTTGTTAGTCAGCTCCTCCATCTCACAGTGGCCAAAATGTGGCGCCCGGATACAGGGCTGCCTGCATGGGTGACCTGTGACCCTCAGCACTGCCCAGGGCTTGTCAGGGGTGGGTGGGGCAATGTGGGTGGGTGGGGCAGCTCTGCCCAACTGGGGCAGGAGCAGCGGGCAGCCTGCTGGTGTAGACGGCACAGCCACAGGCTTCTCAGGGGCGGCCAACAAGCAGGAGAGCAGGAGAGCTCTCCTCCTTTCGGAGAAGGCCCACCTCATTCCCAGGCCTGACCTCCCCAACTCCATTAACCCCGACACCTCCTTCATCAATACCCGACATACCTTCCTCTCTCCTCCCTGCCCTGCAGCACAAGTGCAGGCCTGCCTGCAAATCCGCCAAACACACATATGCACTCCACACCATGCACACACGCCACACCACGCACGCACGCGCTCCACACCACGCATGCACGCACTCCACACCACACATGCACACACACAAACACATCATCTTCTACATACCACACAACACACACTGCACACACATGAATGGGGGCTTTGACACACACCCACTGCACACAGCACAGACCACACATGCACAAACAGGCACTGCACACATATGCACACACACGTGTACACACTATTCACATACACAATCACACACATCATACACCACACACAGGATACACAGGTACCCCACACACGTGTACACACCACTCATACACAATCACACACAAACACATCATATACCACACAGGATACACAGGTACCCCACACACGTGTGTATACACCACTCATACACAATCACACACAAACACATCATACACCCACACACACACACACACGCGATACACAGGTATCACACACACCACACACTCCCTTTGTGCATGTGCTCTGTAGGCCCCCGAGGCAGCACCTCCAGAGAGGGACTCAGGTTAGGGACATCAGTGAGGGTCATGGTACTGGCTCCCTCCTGGGACAGACCCCGGGAGGGAAACTGTCCACTGGGAGTCAGCGTCAGGTCAGGATGCAGCGCTCAAGCTCTGCAATGGGCTACATGGAGCCCGTGACCGGGCAGCCCCCAGCCTCCTCTGTAAGTGGGAGGAGTGTGTGCCTGTACCCGGGCTGTGGGGAGACTGGTGGGCTCCTGGGTGTCCGGTGCCCTCTGTGGCCTGGCCCCAGGACTCTCACACACACCTGCTGGCATTGCTGCTGCTGCCGTTGCAGCTGTGGGCTGTTGCATGCCAGCCAGGACAGTAGCTCACATGAGCACAAGCCATGCTGACTGAGAGTGAGCCAGGACCACAGGTGACAGGCAGAAAAGCAGGGGGATCACACTCAGTCCTGAGCCAGAGACCTGCAAACACCTTCCCCTTGGCTCTGGGTACCCATTGCTGTGAAATAAACCACCCCAACTCAGTAGCACAAAGCAAACCTGTTTAATTGCTCATCACCCTGTGCACCAGGGGCTGGAGCAGGGCCCAGCACTCTGCGGCCTCAGCCAAGGGGTAAGAACAGCTGGAGGTGGAAGGCATGGGGGCATCATGGTCTCTTGCCCTGGGGCTGGGGCTGCATTCCACCATCAGCGGGGCGCCTCTGTTCCACAGCAGCCTCTGCGTGTAGCCACCCTGGGCTCCTCACAGCACGGCAGTCTCAGGCAGCTTCAGCTCGCAAGGCTCCAAGAGACCAAGGCCGAGCCACCAGTCCACTCACAGACGAGGTGCAGGACCTGCTCAGAATCTCATCTGCCATCCCCACTGCACAGAGTGGCCGAGGCCAGCCCAGACTCACGCACCAGGAGGAATGAGCCCCTCTCCACGGGAGACGTGTCAGGGACCTGTGGCATCTTCCATCCACCAATCCGCTGTCAATCCATACCCCTTCCCAAGGTCAGAGCAGCCCCTCCAAGGATGGAATTGCCCCTAACCCCCACCCCTCCTCTGTCCAAGGAGACAGGTGGCACCTCTCAGGCACCTGCCATATATGTTCTAGGCTCCCCCTAGGCACAGTTCTCCAACTCATGCCTCTCCACCAGGCTCTGGCAGGAGCAAGTAGAGGCCATGATTCTCACTTAATAGATGTGGAAATCACATCCAAATCACAAAGCCTCGACAGGTCAATGACAGTCACCAAGAGGCCAGGCTGGGTGTGCAGCTCTATCTGGTCCTGAAAGCCCAGCTGGGCAGCTTCTCTAAGACCCGTGTTTGTTTCTCTAGACCCCAACATGCTGCCACACAGCCACACTCTCTCCAGGCTGTCCCTGGCATCCTTCCTCTGTTGAGACTGGGGAGAAGCAAGGGGCTTCATTTCATGTAAGGGTCAAGCAAATCAGGCTGGGAAGCTGCCCATGGTGGAGCCCCTGGCATTGGGGCAGCAAAGAGCCACATCTGTAATTGCCGGCTTCATCCTCTCTCCCTCCCTCGGGCATGGGGGGGACAGACACTGCCAGCTGTGGTTGTGGAAGTCCTAGAAAGCTCCTCATAAATGTTCATTGCTTGAATAGATGGCAATTGAATGGATATAGATCAGGTCATGGGCCTCCTGAAAGCCTCACCGAAAGGACCACCTGCTGCCATGACACCTGGACTCAACTCTCCAGCAGGGAAGGACACAGGGCGTCAACCTGCCTTCCCCACCTGGAGCAGGTTGGATGGTGACCCCAAAAAAGCTATGTCCGTGCCCCAGAACCTGTGGATGTAACCTTATTTGGAAAATGGGCCTTTGCAGATGTAATGAAGTTAAGGATCTTGAGATGAGATCATTCTGTATTCTCCAGGTGGGCCTAAAGCCAATGGTAAGTGTCCTCATAACAGACAGAGGAGGAGAAGACAGGCTCCGAGGAGGCGGCCAGGTGACCACAGGAGTAGAGATGCAGCCAAGCCACAAGCCAAGGAATGCAGGGAGAGGCGAGGAGATGGGAGAGGCAGGAAGAAATCCCCCCTAGAGCCTGCAGAGAGCGTGAGCTTCTGATGATACCTTAAGTTAGGACTTCCAGCCTCAAGAACTGGTGGAGAATGAATCTCAGCTGTTGAAAGCCACCCAATTTGTGGTAAGTTATTATGGCAGTTGTGGGGAGCTGATATAGCATCTCAAACGTCCCAGGGCCACTGGGATGCTTGAAGTCATCCCCAGCTAGAAACTGGCTGGGCTGGGCCTTCCCAGAAGCCATTGCAAGAACATCAGCCCTTCCCAATGTCTTGAGTGCTGGGGGCTCTGCAGAAAAGCAGCTGGGGACAGGGCCTGGTTCCTGCCTTGCCAGGTTCTTTGACCTTGAGCAAGTCCTTTGACCTCTCTAACCCAGAACACAGGCTTTGTGAGGCCTAAACATGATTAGGAGTTGAAAGTGCTAACACTGCTCCTAACAGGCAGTAGATGCTCAATGTACAGCCTGTGTCATTGCCAGAGATTTAAAACAGAAACAAGGGAGAGGGGAAGGGAGCCCAGGGCCACGGCGAGGATGGCTGAGAGCAGAGGACCGCTCGATATGCTGGAAAACATCTGAGCTGTAAACAAAGCCAACGCCAATCAAGGGATCGAAGGAGGCAGCTGGCCCGTTTAGTATTGATAAATGGCTCATTAATATGAAACTGTGCTCCATTTACCATTTCTTATTGCCAATTAGCAGTAATGTCTCCACCACACTTGAGACGACTGCAAATTGATGGTCTCTAGTTTTCTAGGACAAGCATGGCAAAGGTTAGAGTTAGCCACTGGGTAGCTCTGAGCTGACCGTCGGAAGTTTGCAGAACACTCCTCATGGGCTGGAGAGACCTGGAAAACCGCCAAGCCTGGGGTAGAAAGGCAACAGACACAGGAAATCCCCCAAGTCCTCAAACTCTCCACAAAGCAAGATGCAGCTGCAGGAACGTCACCCTGCCCAGGCCCCAAGTGAGTTCCCAGCCCGCTTTTCAAGCCAGCCAGAGACTCCCATCCCTCTCCCCTGGTGATTAATGACGGCCCATTGTGTCACAAAGTAAACAATGGAATTGTGCTATCAAGACTTATGGGGGAAATACAGCCATCTCTCTCCTGGCCCAAACAAATAGCGCGAGTTATGGCAGGGCATTAAGCATTCTTTGCGGGGCAGAAGTACATTGATTTTTGTTTAATGCATTAGTCTGTTTACGTGGTTGGTTATTGGAAAATCTGACCCCAAAAAATGGAGCATTCATTTGTGCAGCTTGTCTCTAAACGGCATTTCTGGGAATGTTTCCTGGATGGTAGGAGAGGACTGTGGCGCCTGGACATGCCATCAGACAGACCTGGGTTCCAGCTCCCGACTCCAGCCCCGAGAGACGAACCACCACAGCCAAAGCTGTGTCACCTCTCTGAGCCTCAGTTTCCCCATCTCTATAATGGGGTTCTAGCTGATGTAAAGTCCTCCAGTAAGATGAAAGCAGTTCTTCATCGCAGGAGGGGCTGGTAGACCAGTGGGAGGCCCTTCACCAAGGCCCCCGACACTCAGCTTGCACCTGTGCATGTCCAGCCAGAGCCTGCAGTCGCGCTCGTGCACTCAAGCGTGTGCTTGCAGGAGGACGGGTATGCGCGCAGAGGTGTAGACAGATTCTGACGCCCTTGACCTTCAGTTTCCACAGCATAGGACTCATGATCCCAAGGGTCTCCCTGTTAGTCGACCTCACCCCAGGGACCCTGAACCATTGGAAGCGAGGGTGTCCCAGGGCTCATCTCTGAGCCCAGCTCCAGCCCAGGGCCTGGGCAAAACACACACTTGCTAGGTGAATAGACAAACCCTCAAGTACATGCCTCACACTCAGCTTCCAGGGCCGTGCCCATACACGCATGCACACATGTACAGCCTGGCCTTTCTCCAGCCCGGTCAGTGGCTCCGAGAGCCTCACTCTCCCTGCCCCAGCCCACCTCTGGCCCGTGCCTCCTCTGTGACTGTCCCCATTTCCACCCTCCTGGCTTCCTGATCACACACTGGGAGGCTGAGCATCTCCCACCACCTCGTGCAGACTCCCCGGGTGACCCCGCAGCCCACACACCCTTCCCGTCCGCTCCTCCGCAGAATTGTCTGTCTCAGCATCAGGCCATTCTCCTATGGGCAGAGCAAGAATTAGGATCCCAAATCCACCAGGATGGCTCCGCTCCACCCCGCTGCCCCAAGCAATGGGGTCTATGTGAGCTTCCTGTGGCCGCTGTCACAAAGGATAAGCCTAGTGGCTTTAGTGAGTCTCATTTATTCTCTTCCTGATTTTGGAGGTCAGAAGCCAGAATTGGTCTCACCAGGCTGAAGTCATGGTGCTTGCAGCCCTGGCTCCTTCTGGAGGCTCCCAGGGAGCACCCGTCTCCTGCCTTCAGCTCCCAGAGGCACCCGCGCTCTCACACTCTTTGGCTCCCAGCCCCATCCCCATCTCAAAGCCCACCACGTGCGTCTCCATGTTTCTCCCCGCTTCCAATGTCAAGTGGCCTTCTTCTCTTCTAAAGCCTGAGCTCCCTCTGACCCTCTTATAAGGCCCCTTTGATGACACTGGGCACCCCCCTTCATCTGAGGGTCTCCCCATCTCTAGATCTGTAAGTGAACCACATCCAAAGTCTGTTTAGCCATGTGAGGCCACAGGTTCTGTGATTAGGACGTGGACATCTTTGGAGACCAAAGTTCTACAAAAACAGAGAGGGAGTCCTCAGATCTGGGAAGCCAGAGCCCATTCTGCCAGTGAGGTTTGGAAGGGGGCTGGGGTTTCAGGGCCTCCAGATCCTAGCTGTGAAGTAGGAGGATGCCTGTAGGAACCTCCGGTGCAGACGCACTTTTGCACAGCTATGTGTCAAGCAGGGAATGCTTGAGCCTCCTTGTGGTCCCCTGCTCTCCCTCACCTGGCCACCAGGCCTTCACACTCTGGCCTCTGCGGGCTCCCAGCCTCAACTCCCACCCTCTGCTGGCTGCACACACCCACGTGGCATCCAAGTGTGCCCACTCTAGCTCCAGTGCAGTGCAGACAAACACCCTCGAGGCCTAGCCCCAGGGCTGCCTTCCAGGCCCAGGCTAATGATTTCCTCCCCTGGCTGGGCCTCAGCTGCTCTAAGGTGAAGCACCCATTTGCTGTCGGGAGCCTCTTGGATGCCACTGGACGGTGGGCCTCGGGGCAGGGCTCAGGGTAATGTCCCCTGCCTCCTGGCACTGGTGGTGCACAGCACAGGGCCTGACCCGTGGAGGCACTGGAGCCTGTGCACTGAAAGCATGCAAACATCCCCGGTGCATGGAGGTCGGAATTTCTTTAAGACAGTGTCTCGCTCTGTTGCCCAGGCTGGAGTGCAGTGGCACAATCTCGGCTCACCATAACCTCCGCCTCCCGGATTCAAGCGATTCTTCTGCCTCAGCCTCCCAAGTAGCTGGGACTACAGGCATGTGCCACCATTTCTGTATTTTTTTTTTTTTTTTTTAGTAGAGACAGGGTTTCACCACGTTGACCAAGCTGGTCTCGACCTCCTGACCTCGTGATCCGCCTGCCTTGGCCTCCCAAAGTGCTGGGATTACAGGCATGAGCCATCGCGCCCAGACGAGGTCAGAATTTCTAAAACACATCCCCAAAGATGTCTTGCTCAAATCCCCAGAACCTGTGAAAATAGTGTCATCTCTCCCTTACAACAACATCCATGGTGCCTTTAAGACAGAGGGATTATTTGGGTGATCCTGACCCGAATAATCCTCTGGCTGAGGCCGAAGGCAGAGAGGTGTTGAAAGCCTGAGAAAGACTCAGCACTCACCTCTGGCTCGGAGGTGGCAGGGACCACGTGAGAAGGAAAGCGGGTGGCCTCTAACAACTCTGAGTGGCCAAACGAGACTTCCCACTACAGCCACAAGGAACTTGATTTGACCAACAACCTAAACGACATTGGGAGCAAATCCTTTCCTTAAGCCTCGGATAAGAGCTTTCCCCAGCTGGCGCCGTGATCTCAGCCTTGTGAGACCCTAAGCAGAAAGCCCAGTTGAGCTTTGCCAAGTATCTAAGCCACAGAGCTCAGAGCTCATGAATCTGTGCCACCCTAAGCCACCGCCTGCATCCATTTGTGACAACAATAAAAACCGACAGCATACGCTTGTGCACCCTGAAGGCACCTGCATCCATGCACATTCTAAGTCTGTACACAGAGAAAGCTATGTACCCCCAGCTTGAGCCGTGTACACACACACGCCCCAGGTCCGTACAGAGAAAGCCACGTACCCCCAGGTTGAGCCATATACATACACACACCCCAAGTCTGCACACAGAAAATCATGTACCCCCAGACCAAGCCGTGTGCACACACACACCCCAAGTCTGCACACACGGAAAGCCGTGTACCCCCAGGCCAAGCCATGTAAACACACATGCCCCAGGGCCTTCACAGACCTGACACTGTGGGGACCATGGCAACCAGACTTGGGAGCAGCCAGGCCACAGTGACAGCCTAGGCCAAGCCCAGTATCCCTACTGGGAGCCTCCATCTCTGCCCACCAAGGGGAGAAGTGTGGCCTTTGGAGCCTGTCATGTGTCCTAAGGACAGCCTGAGACAGAGCCCCCTGGAGAATCCCATGGCCACCAAGAGCCCACCTGGCCAGCAGGGTCACCAGACGTTGCCTCCACTCCGTCCAGGGCCCCAGAAGTCTGAAAGGCCCTGCCCGTCCCACTGAGGTCAGAAGGTAGCACCCACACCACATCAGGGCATGCGTCCTTCCACTGCCCCCTCCACTGGCCCCACCGCCTGAATAGGGCAAGCACATGGGAAGGACGTTTTTGGGGGGATTGGAATCAGGAATCCAGGCAAAGTCCCGTGTTAGCTCTTGCTGGCCCAGGGCCTCGGGCGGGGCTGCGGCTCTTTTCCTGTGTGTTACTGTGGGGGCCAACAAGACAGCCCTGTGTGGGTCCGTTCTCACACTGCTATGAAAAAAATACCCGAGACTGGGTAATTTATAAAGGAACAGGCTTTGACTCACAGTTCTGCATGGCTGGAGAGACCTTAGGAAACTAACAGTCATGGCGGAAGGCGAAGGAGAAGCAGGCATCTTCTTCACAGGGTGGCAGGACGGAGTGAGTGCCAGCAGGGGAAATGCCAGATGCTTATAAAACCATCGGACAGTGAGACTCACTCACTATCATGAGCACAGCATGGGGGAAACCGCCCCCATGACCCAACCACCTCCACCTGGTCCCACGGAAAATGCCCCCGTGATCCAACCACCTCCACCTGGTCCCACAGAAAATGCCCCCGTGATCCAACCACCTCCACCTGGTCCCACGGAAACCACCCCCGTGATCCAACCACCTCCACCTGGTCCCACGGAAAATGCCCCCGTGATCCAACCACCTCCACCTGGTCCCACGGAAACCACCCCCGTGATCCAACCACCTCCACCTGGTCCCACGGAAAATGCCCCCGTGATCCAACCACCTCCACCTGGTCCCACAGAAACCACCCCCGTGATCCAACCACCTCCACCTGGTCCCACGGAAAATGCCCCCGTGATCCAACCACCTCCACCTGGTCCCACCCTTGACATGTGGGGATTATGGGGATTACAGTTCGAGGTGGGATTTCGATGGGGACACCTAGAAACCATATCAAGTCCCCACAGAGCCCTGGCCTGGGCCTGACACCAGACACACAGCTCATGCTCAGTGCACACTGGCGTCGTGATCATAGCAGCTTCAGACTTGAGGATCCTGGGCCCTGACTTTGCTCACCAGGTCCCAGAATCAGGGCCACTTAGCAATGCACATCTGCCCCAAGATTCAGTCACATCCACAAGGAAGACCCATGTCTGTAATCAGTGAAGCCTCTGGGTGACCTGTGAGGTAGGGGAGGAGCCACCCACACTCCCAATTTACAGATGAGGAAACTGAGGCCCAAAAATGTCTCAGCAACATCTCAGAATCATAGCCTGTCCTGAGTTGGTGGAGTCCGCCCAGGACGTGGGTGTAGATGGTGTGGATTCAAATCTACATCCAGGATGTGGGTGTAGATGGTGTGAATTCAAATCCACGTCCTGCCTTTACAGCTGCCTGCCCTCCCTGGGCTCTGCCTCCTGCCTGGCCGACCCCTCCCGACCTCCACAGCCTGGAGTGCATGGGCACAGGCCGCAGGTTCGGGTGGGTACCACCACGAGCTCCCTGAACCCCAGATTCTCTCACATTTCAACACCGGTCACATCCACTGCTGGGCGGTGCCTGTGTCCCCCTCGCCGAGGGCCATACCCTTCCGCCTCTCACCTCGATTCCTAGTGCATGGCGCAGCAGCTTCTCGGTCGGTGTGCCAGGTGGATGATGTCTCAGATGCAGACACTGCATTTTACCAGGAGAATTCACTATCTGCTGAGCGTGGCTGGAATCACAGGTGCCTTCACGGTGGCTTTAGAGGGACTTTCCTCCCAGAGCTGCAGGGCAGCCACCAACAAGGCCAAGGGGCAGCCATGCCCAGCACCTACAGCAGAGCCCTGCGGGTTAGCTCCCCAAGGCCAGCATGGCCCCGTGGAAGGCACACATGGTGGGTGAGGGCGGAGGGGGCCACCTCACTGAGGAGCCCGCCCACTGGTGACGGCTGTCACCTCCCCTGGGTGGCCCTATTCCAGGCCCTGCAGAATGGCCTCTGAGCAGGGTAACTGGAAGCAAGAGGATGTGGCCAAACCCAGGCCCACCATGACCTCGAGGGCCCATGGCATGGAGCAGGCATTGAGGGCTCAGGGCCCGGGGAAGCACAGGATTTGCTCACAGGGAGGTCTTCACCCTCTGCGGTCTGGAGGGTGGAGCTTTGACGCCTGCACTTGCCAAGTTAGTGGCCCAGCTCAGCAAGGCACAACAGGATGAAGAAGGCCTCCGGTACTGCAGGTGTCACCGGGCACCTTGGCCGGCAGCCCAGACCCATCCTCCCGTCTGAGACGGAAACCAGGATCTTCCATCACCCACACTCCTGACCCTGCTCCCTCTACAGCCCCTCAAGTCCAGGTGAGTGAAGCCGCCTGGGGCAGGGCAGGGGACAGACGGGCCAGGATGAGATGAAGCGGCTTCCGAAATCAGGTTCGACATCGCACCCACCAGTTTCATTGCAGGCCTGGCTAAAAGCTGCCCCCTAGATATTCCGTCCAATTATTTAAATCCCAGCCTCTCCACTCACTATAAAGATTGGACAGGATTGGACATTTATTAGCTAACTGAATGGCTGTAATAAGATAGGAAATCCAAAGGAGCAGAAAATTAAATGTTCCTGAGTTATCTTATTGAAATTTCCCTTCCATGGCTTTTATTGGAGGCGACAGTGCCAGAATTTCAAAGACGCATTTTAAGAGACTCCTTTATGGGGTTCCCCAGCAAACGCTGAAGCCATCAACGTGAAACCAGCCAGTGAGTGTCGGGATGGACGGCCCGGGGCCGGGCAGAAACTCCAGCTCAGCTGTGTGGCTCTGCAGGCAGCAGATCGGCCCCCACTGCACCGTCTCCAGAGAACCAGAGCAAACGCCCATGTGCCCCGTTGACAGTACCGCGGATGAAGACACTGCATTGTACCAGGAGAGTTCACTGTTTTATTCATTGAATTTTGATTACGTGTTATCCTAAGGAGATACACTGATTTCATAAGCAAGGCAGGAAGAATAAACCGCAGGAGGAAGCTGCTGTCATTTCTCAGGCCCGGCTTCGTTTCAGGAAACAAGGGTTCTGCTCAAGCACAAGCACCGTTCCTGAAGTAGATGCATGGAAGTCATTAGGGGAGATGTCTGCAGCCCCTGAGATGGAAGAAGCCTGTCGGGAGCGGCCGCCGGGCTGAGGAGGGGCCTGGCCGCAGGCTGTGGGACTGTTTGAGGCCCTATGCAAAGGCAATGCTCCCCCTTGGAACAGGGCTTCTCGTGGGTGGGCGGGTGGTCCCTGCCAGGCTCCTGCGCCCCCCACCCACCCTTTCCAGGAAACTTGGCCCTATCCGTCATGACTGTTCCACATCCCCCGCAGACCATGTGCTATGAAAGATTTGAGCCCAGGTGTTCATTTATAAAGGTGACTGTGGAGAGAGAGGAAGGGTCAATGCTGTGGAGAGAGAAGGCCTTGTTACTCACAGATCCTCTAGAAACAATGGGCACAGCCCTCCCCACAGGGCCTCGGGGGAGGCACAGGGTCTGCAGGAGGCAGGAAGGAAGAGGAGAAGGCCCTGGCCACAGCCTTCAGTGGGGTTTTCTCAGGAGGCAGCTTATCTTTGGCTAGTTTGAATAATTGCGGCAGACCCTCAGGCATGGGGGCTGTCCCTAGTTGTCTGGTACCTGGTTCTGGAGAATGCGGGCTTGGTGTGTGACAGAGGAGGCAGGAGGGGTGCGGGCTCGGGAATGGTTGGTGTGCGTGTGAAAGGCAGACAGCCGAGCTCTATGGCTCATGCCTGTAGTCCTGGATACTCAGGAGGCCAAGGCAGGAGAATGGCTTGAGCCCAGGAGTTCAAGAACAGACTGGGCAACACAGTAAGATCCTGTCTCAAAAAAAGAAAGGCGGGCCAGTGCTTCACAGCGGGGGCAGAGCCCACCAACCTTGGGGGCACACCAGGTATGGCAGGAGAATGGAACATGGTCCCGGATTTTGTACTTGGTGTGGACAGCAGGTGCCTCTGTCCATTTCCCGTTGCTGTGATGACAAATTCCCACAAGCTGAGTGTCCTGACACAGAACTCTCACCTCACAGGGCAGATGGCCAGAGGGCCAAAGCAGCACCGGGCAGGTTCCTCTGGAGGCTCCGGGGAGCAGCGCTTCCCTGCCTTCCCCAGCTTCTGTGTTCCTGGGCTTGTAGCCCCTTCCCCATCTCTCAAGGTCATCCTCCTGGCTCTGCTTTTGTCTCCCGTAGCTCCTCCCCTGCCCCTCTATTTTTTTTTTTTGAGATGGAGTCTTGCTCTGTCGCCAGGCTGGAGTGCTGTGGTGTGATCTCGGCTCACTGTAAGCTCCGACTCCCGAGTTCAAGCGATTCTCCTGTTTCAACCTCCTGAGTAGCTGGGATTACAGGCACTCGCCACCACACCTGGCTAATTTTTGTAATTTTAGTAGAGACAGAATTTCACTATGTTGGCCAGGATGGTCTCAATCTCCTGACCTTGTGATCTGCCCACCTCAGCCTCCCAAAGTGCCGGGATTACAGGCATGAGCCACCACGCCCGGCACCCCGTCCCCTCCTTAAGGACCCCTGTGAACACATCAAGCCCATCTGGGTAATCCCGGACCACCTCCCATCTCAAGGTCCTCAACTAAGGCACTTCCACAAAGTCCCTTTTGCCTCATAAGGTAGCGTGGTCACAGGTTTTGGGAGTCACAATGTGGACAGCTTTGGTGAGCTATTATTCTGCCAGGCATTGGGCCGCACTGCAGTAAGGGCTGGGGCTGGAGAAATGTTTCAGAGAACAAGGCCCCTGAACAGCCTGTTTGAGGAAGGTCCAGGTGCTGGATACATGTGGAAGGGACCTAGAAACCCGTGTCTGTGTGTCTGCATTTAGGAAACTGTCCCAGCCAGCCCAGCAACTGTCTGTGTGTCTGCATTTAGGAAGACTGTCCCGGCCAGCCCAGCAAGAGAGAGAAAGTGAAATCCACAGAGGGTCGGAGCCTCAGGGGCCCACCCAGGGCCTGAGTACCCACTGCAGGAAGGTCTTCCCAGCTCTGCTGCCTCAGCCCTCAATGCCTTCTCCCCACCTGAACCCCCCAGAGCCCCTTAGTACATGACCTCACCTGACCACTTGTCCCTGAGGGAGGGGCCAGCCACATTGCATTCATTCTACCCCCAGTTCCCGGCACAGAGGAGCAGCCCGAGACATGTGTGTTCATTTGTGAGATGACTGACAGCCAAGTTTATTGTGGTCCAATTAGGTAAGACTCTGAATGCCGAGCTAAAGATTCAGGGATCTGTTTTGCGTGCAGTGCAGGGGCCACAGATGCTGTGTCAGCAGGAAAGCAACATGGCTTTCCAAAGCGAATTGGGAAACATGGATGCAGTCGGCTCCAAAGATGTGTGTAGTGTGTATGTGATAAGCATGGGATGTAGCCAGGGACAGACCCACAATCACAAGCAGTAACCAATTGTAACTGAGCACAAAGTTTCTGAGGCCAGCCCGGTGTGGTGGCTCACGCCTGTAATCCCAGCACTTTGGGAGGCCAAGGCTGGCGGATCGTGGGGTCAGGAGATCGAGACCATCCTGGCTAACACGGCAAAACCCCGTCTCTACTAAAAATACAAAAAATTAGCCGGGCATGGTGGTGGGCGCCTGTAGTCCCAGCTACTCGGGAGGCTGAGGCAGCAGAATGGTGTGAACCCGGGAGTCAGAGCTTGCAGTGAGCCAAGATCACACCACTGCACTCCAGCCTGGGCAACAGAGCGAGACTCCATCTCAAAAAAAAAAAAAAAGTTTCTGTGGCCACCTGAGGTCTGCAGGGGGACCACTGCCCAGGGAGCAGTGGTGGCCAGGGCGTGAGGATGGCCAGGGTGTGATGGTGGCCAGGGTTTGAGGGTGGCCAGGGCGTGACAGTGGCCAGGTTATTAGGTTGGCCAGGGCATAACGTTGGCCAGGGCATGACAGTGGCCACGGTGTGACAGTGGCCAGAGCATGATAGTGGCCAGGGTGTGACGGTGGCCAGGGCGTGACGGTGGCCAGGGCATGACGGTGGCCAGTGTGTGACGACGGTGGCCGGGGCGTGAGGGTGGTCAGGGTGTGAGGGTGGCCAGGGTGTGACGGTGGCCAGGGTGTGAGGGTTGCCAGGGTGTGACAGTGGCCAGGTTATTAGGTTGGCCAGGGCATAACGTTGGCCAGGGCATGACAGTGGCCACGGTGTGACAGTGGCCAGAGCATGATAGTGGCCAGGGTGTGACGGTGGCCAGGGTGTGAGGGTGGCCAGGGTGTGACAGTGGCCAGGGTGTGACGACGGTGGCCAGGGTGTGAGGGTGGCCAGGGCGTGAGGATGGCCAGGGTGTGATGGTGGCCAGGGTTTGAGGGTGGCCAGGGCGTGACAGTGGCCAGGTTATTAGGTTGGCCAGGGCATAACGTTGGCCAGGGCATGACAGTGGCCACAGTGTGACAGTGGCCAGAGCATGATAGTGGCCAGAGTGTGACGGTGGCCAGGGTGTGAGGGTGGCCAGGGTGTGACGGTGGCCAGGGTGTGACGACGGTGGCCAAGGTGTGACGGTGGCCAGGGTTTGAGGGTGGCCAGGATGTGACAGTGTCCCTGGTGTCTTATGAGGCCTCCCCACTCTGTCCCTGCATGGCCTCCTCCCTCTGCTTCTTGGTGTCTTCTCTTCTTCTTAGCAGGACATCAGTCATTGGATTTACAGTCCACCCTAAATCTGGGATGATTTCATCTCAAGATCTTGAACTAAACTAATTATATCTCAAATATTTCCAAGCGCAAATCCCGAGGTTTCTGATGGTTTCTGATGCTATTTTGTACAACACTATTCCGCCTGGCTATGTGACAAATAATAAGTCTAAGACCCTCCCCTCACTGACTGCACAGACCCCCCTCTTGACCAAGGGGACCCCAGAGGAACCTCAGCAGCCAAGCTCTTGGCCATGATGGGAGAGGTGGGACACACCCTGTTTTAACCTCTCCTTTGCTGACTGCCACTAGACTTCCTTCACTAAGGGCCAAGCAGAAGCCAGCCCCTTTGAAAGACTCCACCCCTGATATGAACCAACCTCCTGACGCTGCCCCAAAACAACCAGCCAGCGTTCCTTTCAAAGAGACTGACAACCACGGGGTGGCTCTGGCTGGTCTATGGAGGGTGTGCAGTGCGGGTTTCCGTGTCCTCTGCTTCCCTTTTACGTGTCAGTGGCCGAAAACTCCACCCTCGGATCACGCTAACATCATCACTTTGTGCACATGTGACTTGCGATGGGGCATGAAGTGCAATTGCACATATGCGTGTTTCTATTCTCATCAATATTCATGACTCCTCCTGTAGCTCATTGAATATGTATATTTGACCACCTTGGTCAACATAAATCCCTGTCTTATTCTTTTAATCCTCAAAGTGCCTGTTTCCAGCTTCTGGACAGAGGCTATGCTTCCCAGCCTTTCAGAATGGCTGCCTGCAGGCTGCAAGCCCTTAGAAGAGATACAATTCTCCTTGCCAAATGTATGAACCTCGTCATTCTTCAGTCATTAAACAGCTGACACTTACTGCTGCACCAAACAGCACTAAGAGTATGGTGTATCCAGGCAAGGAGAGGCCATTCGGTGCCCCCAGGTTACTCCGGAAAGGGTGAGAACTCCTTGTTCTCAACCCTCACACCCTGGCCACCATCACACCCTGGCCACTGTCACACCCTGGCCACCGTCACACTCTGGCCACCGCCACGCCCTGGCCACTGTTATACCCTGGCCACCGTCACACCCTGGCCACCGTCACACCCTGGCCACTGTTATACCCTGGCCACCCTCGTGCCCTGTAAGGGAAGGAGGAGGATGCAGTGCCCCGAATTCAATGCAACAGCCGCTAACTGCATGAGTTCTACCGAGAACTTTTATGAAGAAGTTGCCTCCATCTGACACCCACTCCAGCATTCTGTTGACGCCTGCTAAACCTGTCCACACTCTGGGCCAGGAAGAGTCATTCTTGCTTCGTGCACTACACAAGACATCTGTAAACCGGATACTCTTTTCCTCCCTTTAAAAAATAATTTCCCTCAACCGCCATACACAGACAATTTTACATTGAGGAGTGCCGGCCGTGAGGCAAGAAATGCTGAGTGTGAGTAGAAAAGGCAGATGTGAAATGATCCCCCAGCCACTGAGGTGCTTTCTGGAAAATGCAATCAAATACTTGATAACTTGCTAATAGTATGCTTATTAAACAAGCTGCCTTCATGTTTCTCAGAGAGCAAGAAAATGTACAAGAATTTGCAACACAATGGAAAATGGGAGATTATGAAAGCAGGCTGCTTGTTGTTAATATTTACAGCGCTTTACATTTCTAAAGGGTTCATGATCCTCTTTGAGCTCCTGCCCGCCCCTCCAGTGGCTGCAAAGCTTCCACTCTGAGGGTTTGAGTACTGATTATCCTCTTGCAGGAGCTCAGTTCTTACTCGCCCCGTCCCTGCCCAATCAGGACAATCCTGGGAGCCCAGGATCCCTGCCCTTGACTCTGACACTTGCCAGCAAGTTAGCCTCTGTGTACCTCAGTTTCCCTGTCCTAGAATTGGGAATGAAAATGGTGCTACTTCCTAAAGCTGTAAGGATGAGGCAGTGAGATCCTAAAAATGGGGAGAGCTCAGAAGAGCCTCTGACATGCAGTGAGCCTCCTCCATCAATGGTAGCAGGGAACTTTGCAGCTATGATGCACTGGGAAGAGGGCAGGCCATCGCCATTGGGCTGGGGTGCTCCCTGCAGTGTGGACAGCTGTGCTGTCCATCTGAGTGGGGGGTTACTGGCAGGAATCAGGTGCTGGGAATTGGCAAAGGGAGGGGCCAGTGCAACCAAAGGGATGATTGGCTGGGATCAGGGCCTCCAGGCTCTATCATTCACTCACTCATTTATTCACTCATTCATTTATTCACTCTTTCTGTTGTCTGAAAAAATGAGGGTTTTTTCACCTGCTGAGTAACAAATGACTCCACAAGGATGCAGGTTTTAATCAACAGGCACTTTGTTAACTCATAGCAAGGAAGGAGAGCCCTAGGTGTGTTCTCCACAGCAGTGTCTCCTGGAGGGACAGTGACAGGAGGGTTTTATGGGGCGATGGAGGGGACAGAGTGTGGTACGGCATTCAGAGGAGGGGTCCCAGTGGCACAGATGCAGCCAGTCCTCCTGCCAGCACACAGGTCCTATGTGGTGGTTATGATGCTGCAGCCCCCGCCAGGTGGAGACGTTGGCATGGCCATGAGCAAGGTTCCCTCGAGTTTGTCTGCAAGTTGCCTACATCTCTCAGGAGCTGCTTCCAACTGAGTAGGTGACCGCATTCCATGCAGGGTCTGGGAAGAAATGGGCTGCAAAGCAGAAGGCTGTAGAGCAGGCAGATTGCTCCAGTGGATTAAATTCCTATGGTGCCGGTGTCAGAGGCATGTGAACCAGAGCAACTCTATCTTAACAGGAGCTGGATAAAATGAGGCTGAAACCTCCTGGGCTGCATTCCCAGGTGGTGAAGGCATTCTAAGTCACAGGATGAGATAGGAGGTCAGCACAAAATACAGGTCATAAAGACCTTGCTGATAAAACAGTTTGCAGTAAAGGAGCCAGCTAAAACCCACCAAAACCAAAATGGCCACAAAAGTGACCTGTCATTGTCCTCACTGCTACACTCCCACCAGCACCATGACAGTTTACACATGCCATGGCAACATCTGGAAGTTACCCCATATGGTCTAAAAAGGGGAGGTATGAATGATTCACCTGTTGTTTAGCATATCATCAAAAAATAACCATAAAAATGGGCAACCAGCAGCCCTTGGGTCTGCTCTATGGAGTAGCCATTATTTATTCCTCTACTTTCTTAATCAACTTGCTTTCACTTTGCACTTCAGACTCGCCCTGAATTCTTTCTTATGTGAGATCCAAGAACCCTCCCTTGGGGTCTGGATCAGGACCTTTTCCTGAAACACCTGCAGACCCTCCCTGTCTGCTTATAATTCATCAGATATGCCAGGCACTCTACTAGACACACAATGTTAGAGGCGGAAAGCCCTCCATAGCCCAGCGGGTCCAGCCTCCCTCCCCTGAGCTGAGCCTTCCCCTCCCCCAAATTGCCAGCATTTTATAGATAGTAAATTGAGACTCACAGAAGCAGGTGACTGTCCCATGGCCAGATGTGGCAAGGTCAGCATGGGCCGAATCTTTACTGCTCTCTCCACCCACTGCCACCCCAAATGCAAGCCCCTGGTTATTCCATCCCACCAACGGAGGCTTTCTTTCAGAACCTATGTAAGCAAAGCTCCCTGGAACCTTTCCACCCTGCAACCTGCCCGTCACTGCCACCCCAACACGCATGCCCCACCCCCTAGACAGGAAGCCTCCATGATGAGCAGGGTCATGTCCTCAGGACCAGCACAGGGCCTGGAGCAGAGTGGACAGGCAAGGGGTGCCTATAAGATAAACACACAGAGGAACCAGTGCTCCTTATCTGCGTCTTCCTCCTCCTTGGGATTATTCTGAGCCAGGGTGTCACTGAGCTCTTAATAGGAGATTATCCCTCCTCCATTCTCATGTTTGACCCCCCTGAGTTGTGATGCCCCAAGCTGTGGCCCTCACTCAAGGTCATCCTCCCCGCTGACAGCAGCAACAGCAGCCGCCCACACCAGCCCTTTCAAGCTTCACAGCTGCCCGCTGCCCTCACAGGGGCGCCCTGATGCAATCAGAACTACTGTTGTTATCTCTGCTTTGTGGATGAGGAAACTGACACTCAGCCAGTCGCCTGTCCTAGGTTCACGCAGCAGCAGCCTCGACTCCAGCCTGGACCCACTGCCTCTGAATGCCCCCCTCCCTGCAGCCAATGGCTGCCTTTCCTACCTGATGCAAGGTCAGGACACACACCAGATCTAGCCGAAGGATTCAAATACCACGGCAGGTAATTTGATGTCCGCTGCCCTGTTTTAAGGCAATGCTATAAATTTCACACGGAAGCACAGACAGGAAGTGCAAATACGGAAAGAGGAAAGTTGCACCTGGTCTCAGGTGTTGGGTAGGAGTTGCAGGTAATGATGTGAGCTCATGGTTTTCAATCTACAGACATGCAAACAAATACACAGGTAAATGTGTGTGTGTCCATGCATACAGGTATCTCCAAACTTTTCTCACCAAGAAGTTCTGACAACAGTGACATCTCAGCAAAAATAAGCACACACATTGCCCACATTGTATCCGATTGCCATTTTCCACTAGCAATACCAGGGCTCCTTGGAGAAATAGTTAATTCCGGGGCTGAGGCAGGGAAAGAACAAGATGAGGCTGGATGGGTCAGAAAGCAATTACTCAGTGAATGATGGGAACATGTCAGAAAGACACATAAAAGAACTCTGTCTCCAGGGACTGAATTTATACATGGAGGCTTCCTGTCTAGGGGATGGGGTGTGCATGTTGGGGTGGCAGTGATGGGCAGCTTGAAGGGTGGGAAGGTGCCAGGGAAGTTTGCTTACATAGTCTCTGAAAGAAAGCCTCCATCTATGGGATGGAGTAACCGGGGGTTTGCATTAGAGGTGGGTGGCATAAAACAATTTTTTAAATGACAAAATATGTGAAACAATGCTTTGTAGAACGCTTGACATTGGCCAACAAGAGAGTGATCCCGAGCAATGGGAAACAGATGAGGAGGCCCTGGGATTGCTCCAGCTTACAGGTCAGAGAGTTGCCAGGCCACAGTTCAGGGAGGAGGAGCCCAGTCACAGCCCAGTGGGCTCCTGAATTGAGGAGACAGCGCAGAGTCTGGGGAACCAAGGGTGGCTGGTGTTCACTGGAAGAGCGACAGAGAGGAGAGAGCTGCCCAGAGAGCATTGCAGATACCTGCAGGGGCCCCGGACTACCTGGTTGGATCAGCATCGGCCTGTGAATAGGAGGACACAGTCAGAGGCCAGGGAAAGAGGCACCAAGGGGATTAAAGGTGACCATGACCTGTGCACACGCAGAACCATGAAGAGTGCCCGTCCCACCAGCCCAGCTGGGAAAACTCGTTTTTCACCACACATGGGGTTAATACGCAGAAGGCTCTTAGCTCACTAGTGGAGGATAATTAGCTCTGGACCAAGCACTATTCTGATTCCCAGCTAACAAATCTTAAAAGCAAGACTTGAAAGGTTCAGGCTGTTTCAAGTAACTTAACTGCATCCCAGAAAAAAAAAAAAAAAAGAAAGCGCAAGAACATTTCTAGGAATACAAAATATTCAGCATCAAACAAGGTAAAATCCACAATGCTTGGCATTCAACCAAAAATTACCAGGTGTGCAAAGAACTGGGAAAATATGACCCAGGATGAGGAGCTAAACAGCCAAAACTAACACTCAAAACGACACAGATATTAGAATTAGAGAGAAAAACATTGAAAGAGTTACTGTAACTGCATTCCATATGTTCAAGAAGATAATTACATATGTTCATGGAAGATGAAAAACATAAAGTTCCCAAATTGAACATCTAGAGATGAAAACTACATCACTTGAGAGGAAACAATAGTGGGTGAGATTAAAGGTAGAAGGAAAAGTGAGTAAGCATGAAGACATGGCAATGGAAGCTATCCAAAATAAAACACAGAGGAAAAAATAATTTAAAAATGAACAGAGCATCAGTGAGCTATGAAACAGCTTCAAGCAACCTCATATAGGCATAATTTGAGTCCCTGAAGGAGAAGAGGATTATGTGGGACAAAGAGAAAGAAAAGATGTTTGATGAAATCTTCCAAATGTGATGGCAACTGTAAACCCACAGATCCAAGAAGCTCGGTGAACCCTAAGCACAAGAGAGATGAAGAAAACTGCCCAGGCACAGTGGCTCCTATCTGTAATCCCAGGGCTTTGGGAGGCCGAGGCAGGAGGATTGCTTGAGTCCAGGGGCTTGAGACCAGCCTGGACAACATAGCAAGACCCCATCTCTATAAAAAGTTAAAAAATTAGGCTGGGGTGGTGGTGTGCACCCGTAGTCCCAGCTACTCAGGAGGCAGAGGCAGGAGGATCCCTCAAGCACAGGAACTCGAGGCTATAGTGAGTTTTAATCGTGCTACTTCACTCTAGCTTGGATGGCAGAACAAGACCCTGTCTCTAAAATAAATTTTTTTTTAAATAACACCAAGGCACACCATAATCAATTTTCTCAAAGTCAGTAATAAAGAAAAAACCTTAAGAGCAGGCAGAGGAAAAAAAGACATGTTTTACACAAAGGACCAAAAAGTAATATAAAGCAAATTTCTTATCCCAAATGATGCAAGCTGGCAATTTCTCATCAGAAATAATCTAAACAAGAAGCTATGTCCTCAAAGTACTGAAAGAAAAATGGCCAGTCCAGAATTTTATACCCATTAAGTATACCATTAGTACCAATATTTCTGCTCTTACCTCTTCTATTCAACTTTTTACTAGCTAATGAAATAAGCCAATGAAAAGAAACAAATAGTACCCCAGGTTGAATAGGAAGATATAACACTGTCTTCACACACAGACAACATGATTGTCTTCTGTAGAAAATCCAGTGAAATCTCCAAAAATGACCCTACTAGAATTAGAGAGTGTAGCAAGGTTTCAAGATGATTGTAGGTATGCACATTAGTAACAATCAAATTTTGAAATAAAAAAATGCTGTTTACAATAGTATAAAAAGTATCAGAAACTTCGAGGTAAATCTGACAAAAGATGTGAAATACCTACAAACTGAAAACTACAAAACATTGCTGAAAGAAATTAAAGGAGACATAAATAAATGGAGAGATAAAGCATGATCATTTATTGAAAGACTCAATATTGTTCAGATGTCAATTCTTCCCAAATTGACACATAGATTATATACAATACCAATCAAATATTCCAGCAGATTTTTTGTAGACATTGACAAACTACTTTTAAAATTCCTATGGAAATGCAAGAGACTAGAACAACTCAACAACTTCACAAAAGAATCACATGGCAGGACAACTAGCATCTTCTGATTGCAAGAATTAGGATAAAGCTATGGTAAATAAGACAATGTGGTATTGGCATAAAGTTGGACAAATCTATCATGAAACAGAATGGAGAATCTAGAAGAGACACACAAATATGTGAACAATTGGTTTTTTACGAAGATGTAAAAGCAATTCAATGCAAAGGGATAATCTTCTTCACAAATGGTGCTGGAAAAACTGGATATGCATTGCAAAGAAATGTACTTCAATCCATACCTCTCATGATAGAAAAGGTTAATTCAATACACAGCTGTAAATTGAAAAACTTCTAGAAGAAAACAAAGAAGACGTTTGTGACCCCGAGTTAGGCTAAATGTTCTTAGACATGAAGCCAAAAGCATAATCTAAAAAAAGTTAAACTAAAATGTCTGATTTTGTGAATCCACTATTAAGAGAATGAAAAGGCAAGCCACGAACTGGGAGAAAATATTTGCAAATCATATATCAGACAAAAGACATGTCTCCGGAATCCACGAAGAACTATCAAAAATCAAGAAAATGAACTAATTTTTTTAGAGGCCAAAAACTTCAACCACAAATACTTCACAAAGAAGCTATACAGAAGAAAAGTACGTACAAATGTGCTCAGCACCACTGTCATTAGGGAAATGCAAATTAACAACTAAAAGATCCTCCTGCATACATACTAAAATAGCCAAAATTTAAAAGACTGAGGCAGGCATGGTGGTTCACGCCTGTAATCCCAGCACTTTGGGAGGCCGAGGCGGGCAAATCACTTGAACCCAGGAGTTCCAAACCAGCCTGGGCAACATGGTGAAACCCCATCTCTACAAAAAATACAAAAATTAGCCAGGCATGGTGGCGTGCACCTGTAGTCCCAGCTACTCAGGAGGCAGAAGTGGGAGGCTCACCTGGGCCTGGGTGGTTGAGGCTGCAGTGAGCTGTGATCACACCACTGCACTCCAGCCTGGACAACAGAGTGAGACCCTGTCTCAAAAAAAAAAAAAAAAAAAAAGAATAACCTTACCAAATGCTGAGGATGATGTGGAAAAACTGGAACTGATGGAAACTAGAACTAGAAACTCTTGGAAACAGTTTTGTTGGTTTTTTAAATGGTAAACTCACACCTTCCGTACTGTCACTGAATGACAAAGGATCCTGTCATTCCACTCCGAGGTACTTATTTGCCAAAAAATAATGTAGCCTATCTCCTTCAGAGACTTGTACATGGATATTCACAGTAGCTTTATTTCATAATACTCGGTCCTACTTCAATCAAGCTGGGGTTTTTTAAATCATTTTTAAGAGATGAGGTCTCACTGTGCTGCCCAGGCTGGTCTTGAACTCAGGCAAGCTGTTATTTTTGCAGAAAGACACAAAAGTCAGCTTGAGGGATCTCCCACCAGCCAGATTTGGGACAATATGAGCATCAAAGTAAATTGTGATAGTGGTTTATTAGAGTCCTTTGAATAACACCTCAAACCCTGAGCCCATACTGATATAAATAAATAAATAAATAGCAGAGAATTTTATTTATATAAATAGCAGATAAATTTATATAAATAGATAAATTTATATAAATAAATAGCAGAGAAACTTATTTATATAAATAAATAAATAGCTGAGAAATTTATTCCTTATAGAAAGATGTCAAATAATAAATATAAAAGAAATGATAAAATTAGAAAATCACTATCGGGCCAGGCATGGTGTAGCTCACGCCTGCAATTCCAGCACTTTGGGAGGCCAAGGCAGGTGGATCACCTGAGTTCAGCAGTTTGAGACCAGCCTGGCCAACATGGTGAAACCCTGTCTCTACTAAACATACAAAAACTTAGCCAGGCACAGTGGTGGGCTGTAATCCCAGCTACTAGGGACGCTGAGGCATGAGAAACACTTGAACCCAGGGGGCGGAGATTGCAGTGAGCCGAGATTTCACCATTGCACTCCAGCCTGGGCGACAAGGAGACTCTGTCTCAAAAAAAAAAAAAAAAAAAAAATATATATATATATATATATATGTATATATATACATTAAAAAATTAAAATAAAATCACTATTTATTAACCTATATAGCAACAAGCAACTCAAGCAAGAATTATCACAGGATGGCAAAACGAATGGGTGAAAGAGAGATAGGAAATAGCATTCCCTGTGCTCTCATGGTTATCTCCCCCCAGAATACTTATAATTTGCCAAACAAACAAACAAAACACCCAATAACCTTATAGGAGAGAAACCTGGCAGACATTATCAAGATTAAATAATGCAACAGATTACCCATTCAGTGGTGAGATATTCACCCTCCCTTTGAACATGGATTGGTCTGTGTGACTACCTGGACCAATAGAGTGTGGTGCAAGGAACACCAGAGGGTAGGCCATAAAAATGTCTGGCACTTCCCCTTCATTTTCCTAGGACATAGACTCCAGGGAAGCCAGCTGCCAGGCAAGGAGGCCAGCAAACCTGAAGATGTTTTCCCACATGCTACAAGAAAGCCCAAACTGATCTACATGGGAGAGATCCTAAGACTAAGAAGAGAAAACCATCTAGCCACCAGTTCCAGTCTCTATCTCACTGTAACCATGCGTGTGATCCTGCATCTGAACTCACAGCCATTACTGAATTCTTGACACATTGAAACCATCATGATCATAAAATGGTTGTTTTATGCTGTTAAGTGTTGAAATGGTTTTGTTGAACAGCAATAGCTAACTGGAACAGTGACAAAAGTTAACATAACTAATAATAGGAAAAATCAACCTCTCATGACACCTGATGGGATGCAATGACAACCATATATCACAGAATACTGAGTATTCTGTCCAAAGATACATAACCTGGGCCCACTCAGGAGGAAGTATCAGACAATCCCAAATGAACCTTCAAAAATACCAAAGACATGAAAGTCAAGGAAAAACTGAGAAACTGAGAAAGATACTAAAGAAGACAAGAAACTCAGTGCATCATCCTGAATTAGATCCTTTTGCCATAAGGAACATCATTGGGACAACTGGTGAGGCATGAATAGGGTCTCCGAGTGAAGGGTACTATTTTTTGCAGCTTTTTCTCTAAGTTTGAAGTTGTTTCAAAATAGAAAAAAAAATACATGGCCATATGCTATGCTTTAAACATGTCCCATCCAAAACTTAGATGTTGCCCATATGATATTTTCACAGGGTGGGGCCCCTAAGAGGTGATGAGGCTGTGAGGGCTTCTCCTTTGTGATGAGTGAGATTAAGGCCTTTATAAAAAATGGCTCATACAGCATTCAGACATTTTCTCTTCCACTTTCTGCCATGTGAGGAACACAGAGTTATTTCCCTCCAGAAGATGCAGCTCTCACCAGACAACCTACTAGCACCTTGATCATGGACTTCTCAGCCTCTGGAATGGTGAGAAACAAATTTTTCTTATAAAATGCCTAGTCTCAGGTATTCTGTTATAGCAGCACAAACAACCTGAGACAGAAATTGTTACCAAGAGTGGGGTGTTCCTATAACAAATAACTAAAACTGTGGAATGGCTTTGGAACTTGGTAATGGGTAGAGGCTGGAACAGTTTTGAAGCCATTGCTGAAAAAGTCTATATTACTGTGAACAGAACATTAAGGGCAATTCTGATGAGGGCTCAGAAGAATAGGAGAGCTATAAGGAAAGCTTCATTCTTCTTAGAGACCACTTAAATAGTAGTGAACAGAATATTGGTAGTAATCATGACAGTAAAGGTCATTCTGATGAGGTCCTAGGTGGAAATGAGGACTAGCTTATTGGAAATGGGAAGAAAGGGCATTCTTATTATAAAGTGACAAAGAACTTGGCTGAATTATGTTCATGTTTTAGGACTCTGCGGAAGGCAAAACTTAAAAGCAACAAACTAGGATATTTGATGGAAGAAATCTCTAAGCAGCAAAGTGTTCAGGAATCTGCATGGCTTCTCTTAACTTCTTATAGTAAAATGTGAGAAGATAAATCATTTAAAAATTGAATTTATGGTTAAAAGGGAAGCAGAATGCAAAAATTTGGAAAATTCTCAGCCTGCCCATGTAAAGAATAAAAAGTGTGTTTAGGAGAGAAAATCAAGGGTGTGGCCTAGCAACTGTTTGATAAGGAGATTAGGAAAAGGAAGCCAAGTGCTGCTATTCATCAAGGCAATGGGAGAATGACCCTGAAGGCATTTCAGAGAGCTTCAAGGCTACCATGCCCGTCAGGCTGCCATGCCATGCCTGAAGGCATTTCAGAGAGCTTCAAGGCTGCCATACCCTTAATACCAGGGTCTTAAGGGCAGAAGAGTTTCCAGGCAAGGACACCTCATCTGCTCCCTGCTCTTCAGCTGCTCAGCAATGGCTCAAGCGGACCTAAGTACACTAGGGCCATGGCTCCAGAAGTTATAAGCTTCTGGTGGCAGTGTCCACATGCTACTAATGCTGTATGTGTGCAGAGTGCAGGAGCTATGGCAGCATGGCCTCCACAGAGTCCCAACCAGGGCAATGTTCAACCAAACTGTTGAGTCAGGGCTGCTGCAGAGAGCCCCTACTCAAGCAATGCTTAGTGGAGCCATGGGGCCAGGGTTGCCCACAAGATCCCAGACCTGTGGAGCCACCAGCAGGCAACTAACTCTAGCCTGGGAGTGCTGCCAGCACCTGACACCAACCCGTGAGGCCTGCTATATGGGCTTTGCCCAGCAAAGCCATGAGGGTGTGGCTGCCTGAGGCCTTCAGGGTTCAACTCCCACCCCCGTGCATCCAAAAAGTGGGACAGGGAGTTAAAGATTATTCTCCAGCCTCAAGATTTAATGTTGTTTGCCTTGTTTGGTTTTGGATTTACTTGAGCCCCATTATTCCTTACTTCCTGCCTATTTCTTCCTTGTGCGATGGAAATATTTATCCTATGCCTGTCCCTACACCATTGTATTTCAGAAGCACATAACTTGTTTGATTTCACAGGTTCACAGCTGGAGAGCAGTTTTCCTTGAGGTGATGTCTAGATGAGACTCTGGGCTTGAGGCTTTAAAGTAGATGCTGGAATAAGTTAAGACTCTGAGGGCTATTGAGATGGAATGATTATATTTTGCATGTGAGAATATGAATTTGGTGGGGGGAGAGGGATAGAATGCTATTGTTTGAATGTGTTTCTTCCAAAATTCAGGTGTTGGCCATGTGATAGTATGAGAAGGCAGGGCTTTTAAGAGGTAATTAGGCCATGAGGGCTGCTCTCTCATGAAACGGATTAAGGCCCTTCTAAAAAAAGCTTCATGCAGCATTCACTGTCCCTACCACTTTCCGCCACGTGAGGATGCAGTGTTCCTCCTTTCCAGAAGATGCAGCCCTCACCAGATGGCCTGCCAGCACCTTGACCTTGGACTTCCCAGCCTCCAGAGTTGTGAAATATAAATTTCTGTTGTTTATAGGTTATCCAGCCTCAGGTCTTCCATTACATGAACTAGGATGCCTCATTTTGCTAAATTTTGATAGAAGGGCTTGTGTGTGCTCAAGGCTCAGAAAAGAAGGTCATTTCTACCTCACTCAGGGTTCTTTCTCCCAGCCTTGGGTATTCATCAGGCAACAAGGCTCCATTTAGACACTGGGACAGAAGAAATGCCACAGCTCCATTAGGAAGCTGGCTCGGCCACAAAGGTCACAGGTGGCTAATCAGGGAAAAAGGCATGTTTGGGGGAAAGGAGCCTTCTGAGGTCATCATTTTGCATATGGTTGTTAATAATGCAAGAGTGAGTCTATTAAACTGAGTAAAAGGTAACTTTGGCCCATGGGAAAGGACCATTATGCAAATTCAGGCAGAGAAAAGCTTTTTAAAATGCACATATTTAACTAAAGCATCCAGAGCTCTGGTCATTAGTTTCTTTTAAAAATGTCCCCAAGAAAGCATTGTTTGCACCAGTTGCCACTGAACAGAAAGCCAGGATTTGGATTCCAACGAACCAGGGCACTGGCTCTAAATTGTTGGTGTATCCACTGTGGGACATTGAGGATGCTTCTCAAAGTCTCTGAGACACAGTGTTCTCACCAGTGAAACATATTTTTCAGACTTAATGTTCTTTCGGAATTGTAGTTAGCACAGGCCTCAGGATGGAGCTGTCCACAGATGTGCAGTGCTGAGGCCCTGGCATAAATGGGCCCTCTCGAAACCTCATCTCTGGTATCCACCTGCACCATCCTAGCTGTGGGTAGCAGGATGTCTGTTCTGCAGCCATGGAAACAGCCCTCAGAAAAGCAATTAGTGCACAGGTGTGCACTTTAGATCTGCGATATTATGAAATTATTTATAACTGTAAAAGCAATTAGTCTACATAATGGACTAATCACTTACTGGAATTTGGGATTCTTTTGGATTTCTATGTAACACGCATGTATCCAGCACAATCTAGTTTTATAAATGCCAATAATTAAATCAACTCCAATTTTATTTCAATTAGATTGAGTACAACTATCATAGTAGATTTGGAAATTGCCGTGTGTGTGTGTGGAGTGGGGTGTGTGTTTCTTCCTTCTATCTGCTAGTTCAAAAAAGTGAAGTTAAATGAGAATATACTGAGGTAAATAATATTGTTGTTGGTAACTTTTCATAGGACTGGTATTATCTTCATTTTACAAACAAGGGCCTATTTTAGAAAGGTCAAGGCTAACCTTAAAAATTGTTGAGTGCCTCCTATGAACCAGAAAATGTGTACTGTATCACCTAATTTATATGACAGCAAAAATACATATTTATATATTTACCGATAAAGAAACCTGGTCACAGAGAGGAAAATGAGAGCTAACAAAAAATCGTGACTGGTCACTACGTAAAGTGAATATGTTACTTTTTAACATCTGTAACAATTCTAGGAGAAAAGTTATTTCCCAATGTCAGATGAAAAACCAGAGGGTCAGAGATGTTGAGTAACTCACCCAGATTTATCCACAGTAAGTGAGAGATCCAGGTTTTAGACCCAAACCTGTCTGGCTTGAAAGCTGAGAATCTTCCTGAGTTGCTACAGCAACTCCAGGCTGCCCCAGGAAGCGGCCTCCCCTGAGCTGTCCTTCCATGTGGACACCACTCTGTCCACTCAAAGAACTCAGACTCCCCCAGCATTCGGCTCCCATAACATCATGGCTTCCCTAGCCCTTCACGCAGGTAAAATATGATAACCTCATAGCCACTGGGCCTGAACAGAGTGCAGGTGTCATTCTTGCCTGTCATTCCTGCATCAGCCCACTCTTCCTCCTCCATTAAATACCCCAGTTTTGAATTCCATGTATCTGACTCCTTCTCCTGCCACCATTCCTTGCAGCTATCTACTACTCCCTCACTCCCTCTCTCGTCTTTCTCAAAGACCTTAGGTCCTCTCTCACTCCCACTCTCCACAATTACTCCTGCTGTTATTCTTGGTCATATCAATGCCCAGACAAGCGACCTGCCAACACCCTCCTGGGTCCTTGTTCTCAACCTGTCTGGTCTTCTGCTCTCCTTGGTCCTTCTGAGTCCATGTAATGACAATATCTGCAATACCTCCTTAACAGCCATGTTATAGATCCTGCTCTCAGAGTACAATCTACAGTTCTGCCTGCTTGTTCCCCTTCACATCTCTAATCTAACAGTCGTCAGTCTCACTGGGACCTTGACTCATGATACCTCTCCTTTTGTCTTTCCTCTGCCCCCTCAGGTCTTCACTTTCCTCGTTGCACAGCTGATATTTCATGTCAGACAGTGTAACCATTCCCTGGCTGCTTCCCCTGCCTAGAAGACTGACATCCCCCAATACCCCCACATCTCACTTCCTTCAGGTCTTTGCTCATAGATCATATTTCAGAGAAACCATCCCAGCCACCCCACCCAAAACTCAGCCCAACAGCTCCTGCTCACCTTCCATACTTTCCATCTCCTGAAATGTACATCCACCTCACACTATATTATATTCTCTTAGCACACAGTGGGCACCCAATAATTCTTGAATAAACTCCCTGCACTTTGTGCCCACATCGTTGGCACCTGTTTATAAATTGTTCGGAACATTTCTCTGATTTTATTGAAACTATTAACTCACATAGCCAATGACCCATGTCCCATTCATCTCTGTATCCCATGGGCTAGCAGTGACCAGGCAGAGTAAGAACCCAGCCAATATTTGTTAAGTGAATGAATGAAGGAAGGCTGGCTGAAAGCTGCTATGTTGCTTAGCACAGCACATGAGGTGCCTGAGAAACTGATGTCTTATACTGCTTAGGGACTTTGTGTAGAGCTTGGGCATGGAGCAATTTGTTTTATTCTAAAATATATGGTCAAAAGCCCACTTGTCTCCTTCTGGTACCACTCTCTACTCTGACACGTCCTTCTCACAGTCTCAGCATCCCCCACACAAGCTCGTCACCACCCCATAATATCCCCTCTTCTTCCTTAATCACCTCCAAATCTAGCCCACCCTCTCAGGATCATGATGCCTCTCCTGACATAATAAATGGGAGGGCTGCTAACAAGAATGGAGAACAGTGGAGCTTTGCGTGTTTCTGTTTTATAGATTTCATCTGGAGCCCTTATTCCCTGTGTGCAGGTAGGTCTCAGCATGCTACGGAGCCCTTAAATTGCTCTGTGTCCCGAGTGGATGATGGTCCTCCGACATCTTGGACCTAAGTTCACTATTCAGGCCTCCCAGGATTATCATCAGCACATCCAAACAAGACACGCACTCCAGATCCAGAGTCAGCAAAGACCATGAACGCAACCTCTCTCTCCCACCCAGGCTAAGGGGGATCAAAGAGGGCTATCGCTGGGAGGACGGGAGGGCGGGTGTTATCACCAAAGGCTTCAAAGAGAGAGAACAGGGGAGAAAAGCAGAGAACAGCAAACCAGGAAACATGGAAGTTTCCCTGCTTTTAAATCTAGGCATCTGGCGTGCTTGCCCCCAATCCCATCACTCGCCTCTTCCTGAGCCTACTCAACAAGTGTTACTATTGATAAGGAAAATGATACATTCACACTTTAAATAATAACTGAAATTTGTATTTATTGTCAAGGCAGTTTTACACTCACGATCGCATTGACCTGTCATAACACACCAGAGGACGGGTACCACCCTCATTCCAATCGCACAAATGAGAAACTGAGGCTTGGATACATCATCCAGTGGTTTGCTCTGTGTCATCCAGGTGGTAGCTGGAATTAGAACCCCAGTTTTGCAGGCTGCGTATGGTGGCTCATGTCTGTAATCCCAGTACTTTGGGAGGCTGAGGTGGGTGGATCACCTGAGGTCAGGAGTTCAAGACCAGCATGGTGAAACTCCATCTCTACTAAAAATACAAAAATTAGCCAGGCATGGTGGTATGTGCCTGTAATCCCAGCTACTCGGGAAGATGAGGCACGAGAGTCGCTTGAACCTGGGAGGTGGAGGTTGCAGTAAGCTGAGATTGCGCCACTGCACTCCAGGCTGGGTGACAGAGTGAGACTCCCTCTCAAAAAAAAAAAAAAAAAAAAAAAACAGGTTAGTGACACCTGACCCGGCGCCCTTTCCCCAGCAGGCTGTAGCCACATAGCCCACTCAGTGCCATCTGCAAAAAACAGGCTGTGCCCCACTGAAAGCAGGCTCTGCCCCGCAGCCCCCCCCCGGAAAATCACTGGATGCCCCTGGCCAGCCACTGCGGACCAACGTGCAGCTTCCTCGTATGGATCCCCTCTTTGTTCACAAGTTACTCCATTAAAGGGAAAGGTTAGATAAATGCTGTGCTTTGAGTCAATGGAGCCAATCTTTCTTTTCCCACTGGCTCTGAGCTTTGCCGCTTGCCCCATGAGTGCTCTAAACGCCTTTTACTACTTCATAATCACCCGCATTGTGCTCCATGCTCACCTTGTTATTTAAACTCCCATAAAAGGTAAAATTAAAAAAAGTTAATAGCCTAAAACTTGCTTCTTCGAACAACCTAAGAGGACATTTTACTCATAAATGTAAGCAAGGAAACAGGATTCCATTTCTCTGGTTATGAGACAAATAAATATCTTCCCAAGGCTCCAAAGCCATAGTACCCAGCGACAGCCTGCTCACCGCCTCGTGCTCAGTGGCTCTGGGGAGAGCCCCCTGCGCCTTGGACTCCAGTGCCCTCACAGCCCCTGGAAACCCTGCTCTTCTGGGAGCGAGGACAGCATAATGGGGACAGTGATGGATTCCAGCGTCCCCACCTCCTGCCCTTCTGAGGACACAGCAAGCCTTTCACTCTCCAACCAGAGAGCACAGACTGAGTGCCTGTGATGTGGCAGACCTAGGAACAGACATGCAGAGCCAGGAATCCCATTCCCATCCTCCCGAACCGCACAGGTGACGAGGCAGGTGAACAGAGAGAAAATACAGCACGTTCAGTGACTGTGGAGGAAGGAGAGGGTGTTACAGGGCTCAGACAAAGACACTCAACTCAGCTGAGCATTCACAGAAAGCTTCCAGGAGGAGACAGTTCATCCCGAGAAATGAACAGAATTTTGCCAGGTGAAGAAAAGCAGAGAATCCCAGACCAAAAGAAGAGCGTGGCCAAAACTGGGGAGAAGCAGGAAAGACAGTCGGTTTGGAGGTGGAGAGCAGTACATGGCTGAAGCAAGAGAGCCAAGAAGCAGCTTGAGGGGGAGTGGACAGCAGGCCTCTTGGATAGCGAAGGTCGGTGATTCCCCGCCAGGCCTGGAGACTTCTCTGCTCCTCCCATCGCATGCAGGGAGCAGCATGGAGCAGATCTGATCACGGGTGAGACTGTGAACGTCACCTGATGGGAAACCCAAATGCACCCTCCCTGCTTTTCCCCCACAACGTGGGGATGGATGCAAATGGACAAAAGTGGGTGTCTCCCCCAGGAGTGTGGCTCCTGCCACATGGCAAAGCTGGCAGTGCACAGAGGAGGGACAGAGGGGGAGCTGGGGTGTCCAGAGGCAGGGAAGGCATGAAGAGCCACCAGCACAAGCCCCGACCCGCCCTCATGCTCCCAGCACTGGTGCCATTCAGAGTGTGAGTGAGCCCTCCCCTCCCTTGAGGCCTGACCCAGCATCTTGCACGGACTGTGTGCTCAGCAGATGTGTGTACAGCAAACAGAGAAGCAGGTCGAGGGCATGGCTAGTAAGCTCTCTTAGCACCTGGAAGGCCGGACAATCTAGCCCAGAAAATCCACATTTAAGTTTAACAAAATTAGATGGAGCGAGCCCGTGCAGGACCCCCTGGAGGAGTGGTGTACCCTCTCCCCTCCGAGGCTCTTGGTCTGCAGAGCAGAAAGACCAGGAGCACAGGCAGCCATGAGATGCTCCAATGTGCCCACATGCCCCTCGCTTCCAGGTGTCACCTGCTCATGATAAACATCTCGATTCCCAACCAACCTTTCTTGGCATCCATGAATATAATGGCGACCTTTATGGGTCAACTTGGCTGGGCCACGGTGCCCAGATATTTTGTCAAACATTATTCTGGATATTCCTGTGACGGTGTTTTTGGATAAGATTAACATTTAAATCTGGGGACTTTGAGTAAAGCAGATTGTTCTCTGTAACGTGGGTGGGCCTCATCCAATCAGGTGAAAGCCTTCAGGAAACAGAGACTGACCCCTCCTCAATAAGAAAGAATCCGGCCAGCACGTGGTCTTCAGGCTTGAACTGCACATCAGCTCTTCCCCGGTCTCCAGCCTGCTGGCCTAGCCTTGCCAGACTCTATAATTGTGTGAGCCAATTCTTTAAAATCTCAATCTCACTATCTCTCTCTCTCTCTCTCTCTCTCTCTGCCTCCCTCCCCCCTTCCCTCTATGTCTTGGGAGATCCCTGAATAATGGAAGGAACCAGGACAAGCTACCCCTCAAGGCTGTGTTTGGCCCCAAGCCCCCAACACCTGCCCCCACCGCCTTTCTGAGACAGATCTCCCGTCATGTCCACCTCTGCTGTGATGTCACTGTTGAGCCAACTCTTGGGAAGAAAATCTTTGCTCTGAGTTAGGTTTCATTGGGAGGATTCCAAGGCAAGGGTGCCTGGGCTCCAAAATGTGACAGGGCCTCTTCAAGTAGCCCTTCCAGCTGACAAAGCCAGCCCCTTTAGTGAGTCCTCACAATCTCACCTCTGGTGCTTGACATCCCCACCCCCTCACACCCCCACTGGATCCATCAGACATAGCTCTGGATGCCTGGCAGAGCATCCTCTGAGAACATCTTCAGGTCCAGTGCACATCAACAAGTGCTAGTGGATAAAGAATGGAAGGAGAGGTACCTACGTCCATGCTGGGGCTTCCCTAGGATGATGGATACAACCACATCATGAAGTTGAGTGCTCAGTGCCCCAGGAGAGAGGTAAATGACAGTCACAGGCATTAGACGAGAAGGAAGCCTTCATCAGGGTTGCTGCTCATTCAGCTGGCCCAGAAGCTCAACTGGTAATTAATAAACTTAACAATGAACTGGAGTGAAGCTTCCCTGTTTCCAGGCACTACCCCATCAAAACCAACCTTCATCCCATCTCGAAAGAACAGCTTTTAAATGCCAATGTAACTTTTTCACCATCCCATCCAAGTGCCCATGCGTAGGGGATGGATGGATAACAGGAGGTGGAAGCTCTGAATGAAATCACAGGCAGGAGTAAGAGGGAATGAACCAGGTGAACATCCACCATGGATAGACCCTTCAGACTCAGAGTCAGGTGGAGGGAGGTGGGAAGAGAAGAACGGCATCTGGTAAAATACTCATGTAAAGTTAGAGAAATACTTCTCCAACACGACACTCAATATTTTGCAGAGATGTCACCATATGCAAAGAATTACTCCAAATCTATTATAATGGGTGCTTATGAGGCTTTGAGGCAGAATGGAAGTGGGAATAGAGAATAAAGGGAAAAATGCAGTAATAAAACAAAAGAAATGGTTACAAAAAATATAGAAAATGAACAACCCTTCTGAAAGCAACTCAACATGCCCAATAAAATATTGTTCTAAATATCCCTTTTCAAATGTGTTGTGAGTGGGCCAGAAACAATAAACCCCCAGGACCAATCAACATATGAAAGCAGGATCCTCCATCTGCAAACTCCAGAAGATCCTGACCTTCTGACTGACAGCTGCATAGACCCAGGGTACACAGGACAAGACGAAGTCAACTCAGTGAAGAGTGTCTCATGAGATGGCCCCCCAGGAAGCAGGGACCTCCAAGAGCTACCCCTCCGTATAACAGTAACCTAGAAAGACCTCATGAAAAGACAATAAAGACCCTACGTTGGCTCAAACTTATTGCTGAGTAGATAGAAAATAAAAAAAAATTATCCTGATAATGTGAAACCCTAAACCAATGCTCATGTGGTTTTGCATTCTGAACTCATATCCACTGTGATAAAAAGGAGAAAAAAAACAAAACCTCAAGGGAGAAATTATTTTAAAGTTGTCTATCCTGAGCTGGTAGCAACCCAAGAGAATACAGATTCCCTTCAACAGAATACAACTTCAATACAAGCCTCAAATAATTCCCACATACAAAGTTATAAGGAAAAAATGAGCCATGGTCAAAAACCACAAAATACACAAAAGGCAGGCTACGTGCATGACAGCCCGCAGAAACAACCGGCTTCAGGAACAACAGGCTGCAAAGCCAGCAGCCACTGCATTTCTAGAAGCTGGAATATAAAATATATATTTTTATAGATGTGAAATATGCTTTAAGAAACAAAATTTTTTAACATGTAAAAAAAAAATCCAAGAGACCACAAGAAATGAAGGAGATTTGAAAAATAACTGAGTAGAAGTCTAGAAATAAAATTAAAAATATAACCAAAATTAAAAACTCAACAGACGTGGTACAGCAGATTATGCACAGCTGACGAAACAATTACTGAAGTGAAAGGTAGGATACAGCACAGACACGAACACATGTGACAGATGCAAAAGATGGATGGGCTAAGAGGGAAAGAGGAGCTGGGGTACATTTCATTCGAATTCTAAAAGGAGGTAACACAGACAGTGGAGCAGAGGCCACACTTATTAGATGGTGGATAAGTATTTTCAGAAACAGAAGAAAGGCTCCAAATCTCAAACTCAGGCAACTGGACAAAACACAAAGAGAATGCATGTTTTAAAAAGAAAGAAATCGGCCAGGCATGGTGGCTCACACCTGTAATCCCAGCACTTTGGAAGGCTGAGGCAGGTGGATCACTTGAGGTCAGGAATTCAAGACCAGCCTGGTCAACATGGTGAAACCTTGTCTCTACTAAAAATACAAAAGATTAGCCAGGCGTGGTGGTGCACACCTATAATCCCAGCTACTGGGGAGGCTGAGGCAGGAGAATCACTTGAACCCAGGAGGCGGAGGTTGCAGTGAGCGGAGATTGCACCACTGCACTCCAGCCTGGGAGACAGAATAAGACCCTGTCTCAAAAGAAGAAGAAGAAAAAAAAAGAACAGAAAGAAATCCACACTGAGTTAAACTATCGAATAAGCAAGAAAAGTATCATAAAAAAGAGAAATATGAAAAGAAAATATCATAAAAAGAGAAAGAAAACAAATATTGTCCATCAGGGAGCAAAAGTCAGATTGAGGATTGATTGACTTCTCAACAGCAGTAGAGAATGCGACAAAAAAAAGGCAATAATATCTTCAGTGTGTTTCAGAGAGGATAAAAGAATTGTATACTCAGAAAAACTATCGTTTAATGATGGAGGTAAAATATACATATTTTCAGATAAAAATAACTTAATAAGATAATTTGCCATCAACTGACCATACCACAGAAAATTCTAAAGAATCTACTTCAGACAGAAGTAAAGCCACGCCCAGAAGAAATTGGGGAATACAAGAAGGAGTAGTAAGCAAAGAGAATGGTATTTATTTGGTTAAATCTAAATAAAGGTAAGCTGAATGGAATCAAAGCAACAACACAATCAACAAGAACAACAACAACAGACCCCAACTTGGGGGGGATTAAGAAACAAAATTTAAAAATTGATAAAATATAATAAAATCGGGCAAAATGGCACATAGTAGAGAAGGGGAATTCTGAGAGTTAAATTATCTTAAGATCCTTGTGCTTTGGGGAGGACGATGAATATCTTTTACTTTGTTGGTTTAAAAGTAAACTTTTCTAAAGTAACAACTAAAATAAAATAAGAGTGCAAAAACCTCCAAAATGGTCGTGGGGAAAAAGTGGAATGAATAAATCAAACTCAGTGAATATAGAGAAAGACAACTGGAGGGAACACAGAAAGCATGAAAGATGATAAACATGAATCATAATTTTTCACTAGTTACAATAGATATAAATAGTCTAATCTCATTAGTTAAAAGACAAAGATTGCTCAACTAGATTTTAAGAAGATAATTAATCTATACACTATTTATAAGAAACATACAACTTTAGAGTGCAGGAAGATCAAAGAAAAGGATGAAGAAAGATTAGGCAATATTTATTCAAATATTAATCAAAAGAAAAAACCCGAGAGAGAGAGAGAGAGAGAGTGTGTGTGTGTGTGTGTGTGTGTGTAAGAGAGAGAGAGAGAGTCAGAATTTAAGGCAAAATACATAGAGAAAAGAAGGTTACTATAAAAACGCCAAATAGTTAAATATACCAAGTATAGAATAATTTCAAATCGTAATTAATCTAACAACAGCTTCAAAATATGTAAAACTAAAATTGACTACTATATTCTATCATAGAAGGAAATCTTGTTGTATTTTGTAATTATTAGTAGATGAAAAGGATAATTTTAAATATTGGGATATTGTAATTAACAAGCTTAGTCCACTCTAAAAATAAAAATAACTGGAGAATGCATATTATTTCCAAGCACACATGGAACATTTATAAAAATTAGCACATCCTAGGCCATACAGCAGTACTAATACATTTCAAAGCATTATGATTATACAGATCAATTTTTCAGACAAAACTTTAATTAAATTAGAAATTAATAAAAATATCATTAGAAAGACTGCATGTATTTGGAAAAATCCTTTTAAAGCACACTTCTAAATTAATCATTGAGAAGGTTATAATGGAAATTAAAGATTTGTTTAATTTGAAATTTCAAAACTTATAGGATGCAGCCAAATCAGTTCATAAAAGGAAATTTATAGCCTTAATTGCTTAGGTTAGAAAAGAAGAAAGATTGGAAATCAATGAGACAAGCATATAACATAAGAAGTTGCAAAAAGACAGTAAAATACCTCAAAGAAAATAGAAGGAAGAAAATGATTTTCAAACATTAAATACATGAATAAACAACAGACAAATTAAAGCTTTGAACATACCAATTAACTTGACAACATTCTAGTAAGAGAATGAGAGAGACTAGCATAAAAGGGTAAGAAGGAAACATTTGGGTGGAGTGTTGGAGGAGGTGGGATGGTGGCCATGAGGCTGTCTAGGAGGAGAGGGGTCCAGGCAGAGGGAGGGGTTGTAGAAAGGCAGGAATCTGGAGCACATGCTCTTAACACCCTACCTTCTTAGTCATGATAAACATGAATCATATTTTTTCACTGGTTACAATAGATATAAATAGTCTAATCTCATTAGTTAAAAGACAAAGATTGCTCAACTAGATTTTAAGAAGAAAATTGATCTATACACTATAAGAAACACATAACTTCAGAATGCAGGAAGATCAAAGAAAAGGATGAAGAAAGATCAGGCAATATTTATTCACATATCAATCAAAAGAAAAAACTGAAGAGGTGTGTGTTTGTATTGTATGTAGTTCAAAAGCATGCAAAACTAAATGATACATTATTTATGTATTCCTGACAGCAGGATTAAAAACTGCCATGCCAGCACTCCCCTCCACTCCTTCTTCTCAATAACACTTCTAACATAATTAGGGGCATACCAATATGTAATTATAACACTTCTAATAGAATTAGTACACTTCATTTTCTAACATATTTTTTGTTTTAATCATTGTTTGCCTCCCTCCATAAGAATTTAAGCTCCATAAGGACCGTGGGTGTTGTCACTTTTGTTCACTGCTACATCCCCAAGATGTAGAGCAGAATCTGGCACTTAGAAAGTGCTCCATAAAAAAAATTTTTGATGAATCCATCCAAGAAACTAATAGAAAAATGAGCGACAGACTTGACTGGGCACTCTACAGAAGAGGAAATGTCAATGGCCCATAAACATGACAAGATGCTCAACCTCTTTAGTAATTAGTTGCTATTTATTAGTCTTGTGCAATCTAGTCCATGCACCTTCCATGAGATGCCATTTCACACCCATTGATATGCAAACCCTAAGAAGTCAGACAGTGCCAGATGCTTGTGTGGTTAGGGAGCAGCCACAGCTCCTAGATTCTGCTGCTGGGAGCATAAGTTGGTTTAACCACTTTGAGTAATCATTTGACACTACCTAGTACCCTTAAGTATGTGTGTGCTGGCTCCTCTCCACTCCAAGACCCATGTCTATCCATTGCTGCCCTGCTCTGAGCTTCCGGGGACCAACCTCTCCATCATCCAGGGAGCATCTCCCAGAGCTCCTTGCCCCTGGACTCCAACTGGGTTCAGCCAATGAGAAGCACTGGAGGAAGTCGGGGGCAGGATGAGAGAACAATCAGGGTATTTCTTCTTACCAGCCCACTTCCCCTCTGCACTGGCATCACGTGTCCAGCAGGGGCTGCGAACTCTACAGCTCCGCCTGCTGCAACATGGAGAAAAATGCAAACTACTTAGGAATTTAGCAGCATAGGTGGGACGCGGTGGCTTACGCCTGTAATCCCAGCACTTTGGGAGGCCGAGGCGGGCAGATCACGAGGTCAGGAGATCGAGACCATCCTGGCTAACACAGTGAAACCCCGTCTCTACTAAAAGTACAAAAAAATTAGCCGGGTGTGGTGGCCGGCGCCTGTAGTCCCAGCTACTAGGGAGGCTGAGGCAGGAGAATGGTGTGAACCTGGGAGGCAGAGCTTGCAGTGAGCCGACATCGCGCCACTGCACTCCAGCCTGGGTGACAGAGCGAGAGTCCGTCTCAAAAAACAAAAAACAAAAAACAAAAAGGATTTAGCAGCATAGGCTGGGCGTGGTGGCTCACGCCTATAATCCCACCACTTTGGGAGGCCGAGGCAGGCAGATCACTTGAGGTCAGGAGTTCGAGACCAGCCTGACCAACATGTTGAAACCCCGTCTCTACTAAAAATACAAAAATTAGCTGGGCATGGTGGTGGGTGCCTGTAATCCCAGCTACTTTGGAGGGTGAGGCTGGAAAAATGCTTGAATCCCAGGAGGCGGAGGTTGTGGTGAGCCGAGATCATGCCACTGCACTCCAGCCTGGGTGACAGAGGGAGACTCTGTCTCAAAAAAATAAAATAAAAAAAAAAAAAAATAATAATAATAATAATAATTTAGCAGCAGAGTTCTATAGTTCAAAAGCATGCAAAACTAAACGATACATTATTTATGTATTAAAGGGCCAACACAGGAATGATTAATACCTAATTCAAGATCATGAATGCACCTGCTAGAAGGAGAAAGAAAAGGGGAGCACGAAATGACAAGCAGGCGGTTCTCAACTTCCCAGGCATCTCTTCGTAAACTGCATGGTGCATACAGAGCTGCTGCCTTTTATTTTATTTTTTATGCTTCCTCATATATTGTGTATGCCTGTTGTATGTATTTGTTATTTAATAAAAACTAATTTTAAAAAGATAATCAAGGTTTTTCCAGAACAAAAACTCATTTAAATGGCCATCATGCTAAAATTTTTAAATATGCTATTTTAAATTTTAAATATGTATATTTATGCAGAATTATGATTTTGCAGAACTTCCGGAAATTAAAAATAGCAAACAGAAGAAGAAAATTAGCCAACATCGAAACATTTTTATGATTATATTTAGTAGAGTAATATTTATTTATTTATTTATTTATTTTTTAAGACAGAGTCTCACTCTTTTGCCCAGGCTGGAGGGCAGTGGCATGATCTCGGCTCACTGCAACCTCTGCCTCCCGGATTCAAGTGATTCTCCCGCCTCAGCCTCCTGAGTAGCTAGGATTACAGGCAACTGCCATGAGGCCCAGCTAATTTTTGTATTTTTGTAGAGATGGGGTTTCACCATGTTGGCCAGGCTGGTCTTGGACTCCTGACCTCAGGTGATCCGCCCACCTCAGCTTCCCAAAGTGCTGGAATTATAGACGTGAGCCACCGCACCCGGCCGAGTAACATTTATTAAAAAATAATTAAGCCAATATATTACAAAATTTTAAATAAGATCTCATGAATGAGTATTAAGGACCCAAAAAAAGTATTAATTTTTTTTTCTTTTTTAGAAAAGTGGAGCCCTATCTTTCATGTTAGAAACTGGAGAATGTGATTAACCCAACTCTCTGCACCTGAAGTCAGAAGGGAAAAAGGAAGAAAAGAGGAAAGAGAAGAAGGAAAAGGAAGGAGAGGAGGAGGAGGGAGGGGCCCAGGGGGAGGGGGGCAGAGGAGGTTGGGCCAAGGTTGCCTGCAGACGTTGGGCCAAGGTTGCCTGCAGAGTGTGGGAACACACAGAGGACGAGGGAAGGCTTGAATGGAGACCCAGAGGACCCGCGGTGGACAGGCATAGATGGGGAATTCCAGAAGAATCAAAAGCAGAAGCAAGACGTGAGCTTGAGAGTGCATCGCCTGTTGCAGGAAGTAGAAATATCTGGAGAAGTGGGTATCTCAGGGACCCATCAGAGAAGAATAGGAGTTAAGAGTCCCCCAGATGTGACTGTCCAGGTTTTGCATATGGACTCTTGGAGTCACTAGCGGTGTGGCCTGCAAAAGGCACACTTTCCTTTGGCAAATATCATTTTCTTTTCTCTTTTTTTTTTGAGACGGATTCTCACTCTGTCACCCAGGCTGGAGTGCAGTGGCACGATCTCGACTCACTGCAAGCTCCGCCTCCCGGGTTCACACCATTCTCCTGCCTCAGCCTCCCTAGTAGCTGGGACTACAGGCGCCCACCACCACGCCTGGCTAATTTTTTGTATTTTGTTTAGTAGAGACGGGGTTTCACCGTGTCAGCCAGGATGGTCTCGGTCTCCTGACCTTGTGATCCACCCGCCTCAGCCTCCCAAAGGGCTGGGATTACAGGCGTGAGCCACCGCGCCCGGCCGCAAATATCATTTTCAAGTCACCCAAACTCCCTATGCCTCCATTTCCTCTCCCAGGAAAGCAGCTTGGTAGTCAGGGGGTAGATGATCTGCCCAAGGTTGTTGTGGAGTCGAGGAGATGGTGCGTGTACTACACAACACCTGCACACGGTGAAGAGTCCAATAAAATGTTTTCTATTTTTATAAAACGGGGATGCTGAGCAGAGACAGTGGAAACAGGCTGTGCAGAGCCCCCATGTGTCATTAAAAGGCATTTGGATATTATCCTGCAAGCAATAAGCGCCCTCTTAAGAATTCTTAGTAGGTTAAACATGGGTTTCTGGCTGGTCACTCTGGCTGGCCAGCAGTGGATGGGGCAGGTTTGGAGATCAGTTATGCGACATGGGCAGCAGTCAGACAGAGAGGGAGGGTTGGGCCGGGGACACAGGAGAGAGAGCCAGCTGTGCCAAGCGAGCGGGTGTGTGGATTGAGCCTGAGGGTGGTGATCCCCCAGTTTCTGACCAGGAAAACTCCTACAGCAGTTGAACTACACCCTGCCCACCTGTCCTGGGTTGAATTGTGCTCCCTAAAGAGATATATGAAGTCATAATGGCTAATGCCTCCCCATGTGACCTAATTTGAAAATAGGGTGAGTGCAGGTGTAATCCGTTGAGATGAGGTCACTCTGGAATAGGGTGTGCTCTTCATCCAATACAGTGTCCTTATGAGACCAGGAGAGAGGCCCACAGGGAGATGGCCGTGTGACAATGACTGCAGAGAATGAAGTGATGCAGCTACAAGCCAAGGAATCCCATGGAATGCCAGTCAACAGCAGAAGCTGGAAGGGGCCAGGAAGGTCCTTCCCGAGAGACTTCAGAGAAGCGTGGTCCTGCCAACACCCCTAGTCTCCAGACTGGAAGAGAACCAATGCCTGTTGTCCAAGGCTGCCCGGTGTAAGGCACTTTGTTCCAGCTGCCCCAGAGCACTCAGCCACCACCCTGGCCCCAACTCAAAGGCAACCTCTTCTCAGAAGGCCTTCCTCTATCTTCAGAAAACTCAAGTCACGCTGCAAGTGTAGCCTTTCCAAAATGAATTTCAACCATGCTTTTTATTTCCCTGACTTTCCCACCAGACAGTGAACCCCATGAGGACAGCCTGAGGTCCCACACATCTCTGAATCCCCAACTCTCAGCCAGAGGGTGAGTGGGAAGAAATGAAGCCACCCGGCACAGCCTGGCCCCGCTGCGGCCGTCGGTGCAGCCCCTGGATCTCTTGGTACCTCCTGCGTTCCTCCTCTCTTGGCCCCATGCTCTGTCCCTCCACCTTCAATGGATGGGGTCCTCCAGCTTTGCTCTGGAATTTATCAGGCACTGGATGGTACACAATGAGGAATTCATTAGCTGGGCTCGTCCTGCTTTCGCCATGTGGACAGCTTCTTCCATGCTTCACTTGCAGACTGAGGACTGCCTATTCCAGCATCGCCAACTAAGGACACCTTGTGTTCAGATCTCGCTCTGCTGCCCCTGCCACCTAGAGGACCTCCTCGCTCATCGCCGATGCCTGGCTGGGGGACAATCTTCCTAAGACGCTCCATTTCATTCATTTTGTAATGCAAACCTCTCCACTCAACTGTTTCTGCTCCTGTTTAAACAGTTTGCACATCTCCTCCGTTCTTATCATAGCAACCAGAAGCTGTTGCAGTTCCCTGTTTCTGCTTAATTTTGAAATGCAGTTGATGTCAAAGTCTGTGTGTGTATGAATGAATCCATGTTGCTGCAATACGGTGCTGTGGGTGAGGGTGTAATTTAGCAACATCTGGAAGCAGCTCCCTGAGATTTCTGTTCCCAGATCTCACAGATGCAGGATTTCTCAGTCACAAGGAGGAGACAGAGCCAGGCAGCTGCTCACGCTTCCTTCTTCCATCTCACTGTTCCACCCTCGGCCATCGGCGAGGACACAAGGAAGCCACCAGGAGTACCTATGACTCACTTCCCTATGATAGTGTTTCCTGAAGAAATCACAAGCCACCTAATGTGACCTCCTCCCCAAACAAGCATCTCTGCCGTCTGTGGAAGGTCTTTTTTAGGAAGCTCAGGGAGCTGTTTCCAGACATTGCTAAATGATACCTAACCCATGGTATCATATTGCAACAACATGGATTCATTTCTGTGCACACAGATGTTGACGTCCAGTGCACGTCCACCATATGGCGTTCTACTGGACCTTCTGGGACACTCTAGTACTGCCCAGTGAGGGAAATGTTCTCTCTGGTCTAGCAGCCACTGGCAGATTGAGCACATAAGGAACTGAATTTAATTTCATGTCATTTTAGTTCATTTACATTTGAATGTGGCTAGCAGCTACTGTATTGGACAGTTCAGTCCTCGAGTACTTCTACTAGGAAATACATGATAAAGTGAGCTAACAGCTTCCTTCCTACTGCAAACATACAGAAATGCAGAAGAAGTCCTAACTACAAAAAATATTTTCTAAAACCAAGCAAAACTCAAAGCAAGAAAGAAAATCCTTCTGTGCCAGACCACAGGGGAAATGCAGTCAGGGTACGCAGCTGAGGGTTGGGGACCACAGGGGCGGGCACACGAATTATGGATAAACCTTGGGACTGAGCTTGCAGGAAGGGGAGGAGCCCCAGGAAGCTTGAGAGAGAGCTGGTTGTATGGGATCCCACGCGTCCTTGTTCCTCCCCTCTGAACTGCATGCACTCTGGGCCTCCCATGTCCATCAGTACCTTCCAAATATATTTCTCTCCATGGAAGCGTAAAGTTTTGCATATAAAATCTCTATCGGGAGATTTTTAAATTATTGTCCTTTGGCTAGATTTTCCAACTCTATAATTTCAATTAGCTTTTACTTTTAATAAGGTCTTTTGGTTTTTAACAACACCCTTCTCTTTTTATGAATTTCATCTCTTTATCTCTTGGATGATTCTCATTGTGCTTGTGCTAAAGCCTTGTTAGGACACTCCATCATTTCTAGTTCTTCGGGGCTGAATTCTCTACATGCTGTGCTGGCAGCCCCTCACTATGGTGCCTTTTCCTTGTGCTTTATACATTCTTTTATCGGCTCATTTCCCTTGAAGTTGTCCTCACTTGTAGTCCTGCCAGTTCCCTAGAATGTGAAGGTGTTTCTATGGGACAGAATTGTAGAAGTGTTTCATGTGTTCATTAGTGATATTGCTTGGATGTCTGTCCCCTTCAAATCTCATGTTGAAATGTCATCCCCATTGTTGGAGGTGGGCCTGATGGGAGGTGTTTGGGTCCTGGGGGCAGATTCCCTCATGAATGGCTTGCTGCCCTCCCCTGGGTGATTAGTGAGTTCTCATTCTATCATTTCACATGAGAACTCATTTTTTAAAGAGCCCGGCACCTCCTCTCTCTCCCTTCCTCCCTCTTTTGCCATGTGACACCACTGCTCCTCCTTCACCTTCTGCCTTGAGTAAAAGTTTCCTGAGGCCTCACCAGAAGCCAAGCAGATGCTAGTGCCATGCCTGTACAGCTTGCAGAGCTGTGAGCCAAATAAAGCTCTTTGCTTTATAAATTACCCAGTCTCAGGTATTCCTTTATAGCAATGCAAAACGGACTAATACACTGGTTTTAAATCCACTTGGGCCCTAATTTCTACTTTCAGAGTTTTCCACCATAGCACTGTGTAGATTTAGAGTCCACACAGTCTGGGCTTGGAGTTCTCACTACCTGGGAGAAACCGTTTCTGCCCAAGGCAGCTTGTTTCCTGTCTGTTTCCTAAGGTTCGGGGAAAGTTGTACTATTTCCTCTCATAAATCAGATCAATCCTTCCCTGCTCTAAGCTTTTTGCAGAGAGCCCACATCTATCTCTCTTTTAAATATTGGACCCTCCAATCTTCACTCAAGACCTAATGCAGTCATTGACACACAGCCTTAAGTCACAAGTCTGTTCTAGCACTCCCGAAGCACAGGGTTTCATTTCCCCATTGCTAACCCACATGTTCTCTTGTACTGACTGGCACCTGAGATTTCCCAGGACTGCTTCTAAATCTGCTATTTACTTTTTTTTTTTAAAAAAAGCTTTGTTTATTAAATAGTACATAATTAAATATTAAAATTTAAATGTTGGAAAATTATTTTAATTAACATTAAATTAATAAAGAAAAATAACTTGTCTTTTTTGTTGTTTTAACACATTTATGTATTGTGTTTGGAGCAGAAAAGGAATTTGTCACATAGCTCATTTCACTGTTTTTCCAACTATCTATTGTGGCTGCCTAAGAAACCACCACAAAACTTAGTGGCTTATACCACTAACAAACTTTGCCCTTGCTTACATGTCCATAATTTGGGCAGGACCCAGCAAGGATGGCTCATGTCTGTTCCATGTAGTCACTAAGGGCAGCCTGATGGGGCTAGAGAACCCACTTCCAGGACAGCTCAGTCCGTGCTGGAGCTCAGTGGGTACTGTCAACTGGGGCCTCAGCTCTTCTCCATAAGGGGTCCCTCTGCGTGGTTGATTGTACTTCCTCACAACATGGTTGCTTGGTGCCAAAAGCCAGTATTCCAAGACACAAGAAGTGACAGATTCCAGCCTCTTAAGGACTGTGACTGAAAACCAGCATAGTGTGGTGGCTGCTGTATTTTAGTGTCAGGTATCACAGAGGTCGCCCAGATTTAAGGGGAAGGGGGCATAAATTGTTCCTCTAAATGGGAGGACTAGCAAAAGACTTGCAGCCATCTTTAATCTACCATATCATAGTAGTGGAGGTCTCCAATCTTCTTTTCTTTCAAGCTCTAGATTTTTAAAACACTTATCACTGGAAATTGCCAACCTAAATAACAAACAGAGAAAGGCTCTCTAAAATAAAATGATATTTCTTCAGGAATTGGGCATTGCAATGAGAATGCACATTCCATAGTAAGCGATGCACATATTCAGAAAAGTAAAGGAAGGCAAAGCTTTCTAAGGAAAAAGTGAGGAGGATTGTATAATTGTTCTGAGATCGTTATCCTTGGCTAAGAGAGTAATGACAAGGGTGAGACCAGTCTAAGACTGAACATGCAGTTGCTAGGCAGATGTCTTGAAGAAGTATGTTTTGTGTAAGGTTGCAATGGCCTTTGTGCAAGGTTGGGTGTTTCTCAGTCTTTTGTGATAGTTTGTGTTATCCGGCATTTATGGGTGAGAACCCTCCCTGCATGGCCTTCCCCAGCTCTATCTGTCAGGGTTTCTTTAAACCCAAGTGACTTCATTTTTACTCTGACAACTTTCACAAAATGTATCTGAGTATGCCCGCAATCCAAGATTCCTCTACATTCCAAATTCTCTTTTTCCTTTTCAAAATAAGGTATTCAGCATAGTTAGGATGGGAGCCTACCACTTTACCTAAAATCAGCAAACTTAAAGCAATTTGCCTGATGATCAATTACCTAATTCCCAGCTAACTTAAACGTCAACATATTTTATAACCTGTTTGTATGCACCACTAAATCTTATGTTTTTTCCCCTTTTGGTGGGAAGGGGGTTGTACTTTGAGATATTTTAAGAACACATTTCACTTATTCTTCCAAAAGACATGTCATAAAAATTACACTTCTGATAAACATTTATTAAGTGCAAAGAGGGTTAGACCTGCTTTGTATCCTTACCTGTGTCTTTTTTAATTAATTTTGATTTTTTTTTTTTGAGATGGAGTCTCACTCTGTCGCCCAAGCTGGAGTGCAGTGGCACAATCTCGACTCACTACAACCTCTGCCTCCTGGGTTCAAGCAATTCTCCTGCCTCAGCCTCCTGAGTGGCTGGGATTACAGGCACGTGACACCACACCTGGCTAATTTTTTGTATTTTTAGTAGAGACAGGGTTTCACCATGTTAGCCAGGATGGTCTTGATCTCCTGACCTCGTGATCTGACCATCTCAGCCTCCCAAAATGCTGGGATTACAGGCGTGAGACACTGTGCCCGGCCCAATTTTGAATTTTTAAAGGGCTTCTTGATCCATTCCCTGAAGCCTGATCTGTCGGCACCGTGGATAGCACATGCTGTGTGTATCACTAGGGCCCGGTGGTCAACAGCCCAGTAATCCCAGGAGTCCCAGGCACCCCCAGGAGCTGTTGCTGGACTTGAATTTTTGTCCTAGAATTTGCCCTTAGCAATCAAGCTTCTCATAGAAAGTCACGCTACCACCCAAATGGATGCTTGGAGATAGGAAGGATGCCAGAGTTGCCAGGGCCAAGCGCAAGGGCTACCAGAGACGAGCAGGTGCATTAGTAGAGTTGGGATAATCCAATAAATGTCAAAAACCAAAAAATTTAAATCCACATCAACTGACTGTTAGCAAATTAATTACTAAGGAAAATGATTTTAAAGCTTTTGGAAACTGAGCCAGATGGGGATGTGAGACGCGGTCATGGTCAGCGTGGAAGCTGACTGTGTGGATGGGTTCCTTTGTTCTTTCATTGCATGAGTCTCTGTCGTGTAATCTCTGTTCAGTGATGACATCATCCGGCTTTGAAGTCCACAGCCCCAGGTTTGGACACAGCACCACCCATGACACACGATGGAATTGTGAACAGATCCTCACCCTCCTGAGCCTTAGGTAATAACAGGGCTCCTTGAAAAGGTTGTTGTTAGAATTAAATAAGCTAATGCTTGTAAAGGCTTAGCCATTTACAAACATGTCCTCACCTCCAGACAGGGTGGCGGCCGGGCAGAGGTGCTCCTCACCTCCCAGACGGGGCGGCCGGGCAGAGGCGCTCCTCACTTCCCAGACGGGGTGGCCGGGCAGAGGCGCTCCTCACATCCCAGATGATGGGTGGCCAGGCAGAGACGCTCCTCACTTCCTAGACGGGGTTTACAAGCCATTTACAAGTATGTCTGTGCCAGGACATAGTAAGAAATGAATAAATGCTCCATGCTATTTTTGTTTTCTCTGACCTATCTCTCTCAATAGGTTATAAATCCTCAGTGGAGAGGGTATGTGAGAACTTGGTCACCTCTAACTTCCTTGCCATATTCCAAAGACTGGAAGGAGCAAAGCTTAAGACAATTGCCTTAGGAATAGCAACATGGGTTATAAAACCTTTCTTTCAATGACCATATTTTTATATTGTCAGAATTTCCTTCTGGTTCTTTTTTTAAGCCACCTGTTCATTTTCTTCATAATGTCCTACTTTTGTCTATGCACTCTATTTCTTTGACTCACTGAAAAACTTAAACATACTCATTTTAACATCTTCACATTGCTCTGTCATCTGCAGTTCTGGAATGCCAGTTCTTTTGTGTGCTGAGTGTTCTCTGTATTTTCTTACTCTAAGTGCGTATTTCATGAGAACTGGTTTTCATAGGCGTTCTGAGCACCATTGGTGGTGAAAATCTCCCTGTGCAGTGATTTTGCATTTGCATCTGTTAAAGCCAAGTTGGTCTGCTTTCTCACTTCAGGGTTTTTTTGACACAAACATGGACCCTATGCATCACAGAATTGGCATTCCAAAATCAGTGACCCATGGCAGGGAGCAGGTTCCCATTTGGTGGTCCCATTCCCTGAAGTTTCAGACCCCATATTTATGCAGGAAACTCCATTCCAGATCTCCCCAATCCTGGGGCCAAGAGCTGCAGGTCAGCCTTGTATCTACTGCTGACATTGCACTTAAACTCCCACTCTTGCCTCTGGTTTTGAGCCCCATCTTCTTCTGGTATCTGAGGCTTTCCCTTGCTTTAAAGTTCTACTATGGCTGGGCACCATGGCTCATGCCTGTAATCCCAACACTTTAGGAGGCCGAGGTGGGTGGACCACGAGGTCAGAAGTTCATGACCAGCCTGGCCAACACGGTGAAACCCCATCTGTACTAAAAATACAAAAATTAGCCAGGTGTGGTGGTGTGTGCCTGTAATCCCAGGTACTTAGGAGGGTGAGGCAAGAGAAACGCTTGAACCTGGGAGGCTGCAGTCAGCCGAGATTGCGCCACTGCACTCCAGCCTGGGTGACAGAGCGAGACTCCATCTCAAAATAAATAAATAAAGTTCTACTACGTATTTACAATGTTTTGTTATATTATGTCCATCATTTCTGCATGTTTGATGCAAGGGGAAGCATCCTATGTCAATTCATTTTGGCTTATTGACTATAATTTATAAGAAATATACCTGATGCATTTAGCTGGTAAGAGTGCTAACAAAACTAGCAATGGCCATTTGATGTATGCATCACCCTCGTGTTTGAAGCTCCTTTGTTGGCTGTTATATAGATTAGTCCTCACAACCGTTCTGTGGGTTAGATATTCTTATCCCCATTTTATACATAAAGAATTATGGTTCATAGAATAGAATCAGAACTCAGAATGAACACTTGCTTGCTTTTCAAAAAGGAAAGGGCATAATTGGCTCTGTTCCATCCACAACTGTAGAGAAGCTTCTGGAACCCAGGGCTTCCAGGAAGACCAGCAATAGTGAGATGCAGGCTACTTATGCAGCTTACAAAATACAGGATGGGGTTAAAGATGGCAGGCAGTGAGCAAGCATGGCAGAGACAAATGCAATTGTGCCACGTCTTTTGTGAGCCCACTCAGTTAAATAGTCTTTAGGGAAATCTGAGGGTTTCTGTGTCTAAGGTAAGGCCTGCTAAGAACAACTTGAGGCTGTTATAAACCAAGGAAGTGACACTGCTTAGAAAGCGTCACTGCCAGTCCCAAGTAAAGCACTCAGGAGTGGAGGGAAAAGGAGAGAGTGTGGCTTTTTGAAGGAAGATGTCCATCACGGCATTATTTATAACAGAACTACAGCAATGCCGACAACATCCCAGGCCCCCCATGCCAGGACTCTGAGGACCACAAGGCTGCAAGGATGTGTCTCCATCATGGAAGAGCCTCCTGGCCCCTTATGGGGCAGAATGCAGTGGGCTCAGGACCTTGGCAGACACACTCAGGGCAACAGGCAGTAGCCCAATCCCCCCTCTCCCCCGCCACCAAATAGGCACATGGCCAATCTCTGCAGTAATTTAAAACAATCACTGAAGACACTGGCAAAATGGAGAAAAGGCTTATGGTGAGGGGAAATGATAGGCTCAAGTGGAAACCAGCCCAATTGCCCTGCAGAACTAATGTTTATGTTTTGTTTTTTTTAATAAACCTAGAAATTGCCCCTTAGGTCTTAAAACTTGAGAAATTTACATGTGTCCTATCTGAGTTCCTTTCTCAAGAAACCAACCCTCAGGCCTCCCAGAGAGAATCAAGGAAATGAAACTCACAAAATCACCGCAGCCAGACAATGAGACTCCAGACCCCTCACCCATGATGATTTCCTTACCCTCTCTCATTCCTGTTTTTCTGCACATAGTTAGATTTCTTCCCTGCTATATAAATCCCTGGTTTTAGTTGATCAGGGAGATGGATTTGAGGCTGATCTCCCATCTCTTCATCTGCAGCACTGGATTAAAGCCTTCTTCCTCGGCAATACCTGTTGTCTCAGTGACTGGCTTCCTGCACGGTAAGCAGCCGAACCGAAACCTGACCCCTGGCATTTCAGTAACAAAATGGATCATATACCAATTACAACTGTGTAAAATTTGCTTATTTACCAAGCTGTATGAGAAAATGGAAAAGTCCCCCAGCCAGGACAGAGCTGGACAGAGGCAGCCTGTGTCACTCATCTAGACAATGCCCCTGAAAGGCCAGACATCCTGGGTCACCAACAGGCGAGGGCTGAGTGGTGTGATAGTGACTCAGGGCAGGCTGTTTTTGAGGCCTCTCCAGAGTCCCCTGGGAGCTGAGAGACCTAGAATCTGTCAGGCTCCCAGTGTGAGTCCCGTGCTGTCCTCCAGTGAGCCAAGAAGCTGGCCCTGCAAGATGCCTTCCCAATTCGTATCATTCCATGCACACCCCTTGTCCTCAAGATCTAAGCAGACTGACATTTCTTTTAAAAAAAAAAGAGTGCTTTATCCTCTGAGACTTTTTCCTCCCTGGGGGAAGGCTGCCCTTTTCTCTGTGTTCCTTTAACCCCCCGATTGCACCCTGAATCCCAGGTAATTGATGAGTCTATTGTCTTGCAACACCAGCACCCAGAAAGCAGAACATAAACCCCAGCCAGAGCTGGCAGAAACAAGGGGATACCCAGCCAGGTGGAGGCATATCCCACCACTGCCACCACCAACAATTAGTAATGATAACAATGATAATAGGTGCCCTGTTTTGAGTCCCAGCTCTGTGACCACTGTCCCAGGAGGCTGGCATGCATTATTTCACTAAAGTTTCATGATGATACCACTAGGTGAATGTTACAATCCAAAATTATAATAGCAAGGAAACAAACTCAGAGGGGTCAGTAACTTGTCCAAAGGCACTCAGGTAGGAAGAGGCAGAGGTAAGAACTGACGCCTGCTGGCTATGATGGCAGGGCCAGGCCCTGTGCTCCATGTGGTGAGGGCTCTGGAGCAGGGACCAGGTAGAAATAATCCCTTTTCTCTGTGCAGTTGGGGTCAGGAAGCCCCAAGGCCCAAGACAGAGCCCAGCTCTAGTCACGCTTAAGGATGGAGCAGTGAAGGGGTTGGGTCTCACACAAGGCAGGGGGCTGAGAGCAGGTACGGGGGCTTAGTGGAGTCCATGGTGAAGCAAGGCAGGACTCAAACCCACCCATGGGGTCGGGTCAAGTTAGGGGCCTACAGAGACCTCACAAGCGGGGTTAGGTGAAAGAGACCCAGCCAGAACTGGCAAGTGGCCACCCCACACCCAGCCCTGGCTGTCATGGCCACACCCTGGCAGAGGGGGAGGGAGGGGACGCCTACCTACCACCGTCACCAGAATCTCAGGTTCATGTGCAGAACCATCACTGTTCAGACCATGAGCAAAAGTGAGTGAGGACACATCCAGAGCCCCTGACTATCCCCAGCCAAATGGAAACCTCCCTTGGTCCCGGACCAGCTGGGCCAGCCCACAGGGGTTACACGTCACCAGCAGCTGGGATGTGGCTAGTGCAGGCAGGGACATGTGGGAGCCCCTATGGCAAGGACAGCATCCACTCTGGTTCTTCTTGTACCCCCTGAGTCAGAGCTGAGGCTGGTAGAGAGAGGGTGTCACTGTATGTCTGATGGGCAGGTGGGTGGGTGGATGAATGAATGAATGAATGAGTGGATGTATTATTTAATGAATGAATGAATGAATGGCTTCCCAACAGATAATGCCAAGCGACCCCATCCAGAGCTTAACCAATGAGTAAGTGAGCCAAGGAATGAATTCACTTCCCCTCACCCCGCCCCTGCCTTCTCCGGGTCTGGCCTGGGACATGGCTAGGCGGCTTCTCCATGGCAGGCCCCCAGTAGAAGCAGCCACTCAGCGAGGCCAGAGAGGTCATATAGGCACATCTCCCTGGCTCTCCCTCTCTCCCTGCTTCCCCGTGTGCGCCTCACTCCCGCCCACCGGGGCTGGACCCTCTCATAAAACAGCACGTCAGGGTTCTGCCTCGGGATCCACTTTCTAGAGAAGTCAGGCTGAGGCCAACAATCCCTCTGCAGGAACACAAGACTGTGAGCTCCGTGCTGGCAGGGGCTGCGTCCCAGCTGTGGAGAGCCTCCTAGCACCCAACAGGGAGCAAGTCCATGCCTGGCAAGTGCCGGAGCAGGCTGGGCAGCATCCACAGCAGGAAAGTGTCAGGTGGGAAGCCACAGACAGCACAGGGTGGGAAAGCAAAGGGCAGGAAGCCCCTGTATCCCATGGATTAACTGTGGTAGCTGCTATAATTATCTCCATTTCATAAAGGAGGCTTGGAAGGGTTAGCCTTGGTCAAGGGTCACAGTTAGTAAGACAGCAACGAAGCTGCAACCCTGGCCGTGCCTGTCTGCCTGCCTGTCCACCTATCCTCCTGTCCTCCTGTTCACCTGCCCTCCTGTCTGCCTGTCCACCTGTCCTCCTGTCCACCTGTTTTCCTGTCCACCTGTCCTTTCTGCCTGCCCTCCTGTCCACTTGTCTGCCTGTCCGCCTGTCCTTCTATCCACCTATCCTCCTGACCGCCCATCCTCCTGCCTGTCCACCTGTCCACCTGTCCTCCTGTTCACCTGCCCTCCTGTCTGTCTGTCCACCTGTCTGCCTGTTTTCCTGTCCACCTGTCCTGTTTGCCTGCCCTCCTGTACACTTGTCTGCCTGTCCGCCTGTCCTTCTGTCCACCTATCCTCCTGACCGTCTGTCCTCCTGTCTGCCTGTCCACCTGTCCTCCTGTCCACCTGTTTTCCTGTCCACCTGTCCGCCTGTCCTCCTGTCTACTTGTCTGCCTGTCTACCTGTCCTTCTGTCCACCTATCCTCCTGACCTCCTGTCCTCCTGTCTGCTTGTCCACCTATCCACCTGTTCTTCTGTCCGCCTGTCCGCTTGCACATCCCACACTTTCAGCCATGACATCTCACCAGGCGCCTTGCCTGCTCTCTTCTGATTGGCTGGCATTGCCCACAAGGTGGGGCTTCTTGGTTCTGGGCACCTTCTCTCAGCTCCCCCAGTGGGGTGGCAGTGAAGTCAGCTGGAGGAGGAGAGCCTGGATGCAGGGGTGGTGGCCACAGGCAGTGTCTGTGGGGCAGATGGTTACTGAGACCCACTGGCAAATGACAGTCGAAGACACACACGAAAGGAGCCTCCACACAGAGTGTGGAACCGGCCTGTGTTCCAGGTGCATCTTAGAAGGCCAACCACACAGGCCCCATGGCCACTGGCAGGTGTTTGTGCATCACGGCCCCTTTGGTGGGGAGGAAACAGGGCCAAGAAACAGAACACATGGAGTCAATAACACAGCAGGGCTGCACCAACGAGGGGCCTAGCCAGACAGGCAGCCTCGGCCTCAGGAAAATGAATCGTTTTAGCAGAGCAAACAGGCCCCCAGAGCTCCTTGGCAGGACAAGGGATGTGAGGGCGGGATAGGCCCTCACTCCCACCCCTGAAGTGTTCTTTGGGTCACATTGATCCTGACTGCCGGGGACAGTGTGCTGTTGATTCTGAAAGAAACACAACATTCTCAGCCAAAATCACAGGCAATAAAGACAACAGTGGAGTAAGCTGATGCCTCACCTGCATACGCAAAAAATAACATCCAAGCCCCAGAATTGCAGGGAGGCGGGGGAGAGGGCCCAGGCAGTGCTCAGAGGCAGTGCTTCCAGAACACCGCCTCCGCTCCTGGAGCTACGCCCCCGGGGAAGAACGGGACCCTGAATCCAGCTCAAATCAGAAAGGAGTTCTCCAGACAGAACAGATGGGACAAGTGGACGAAAACCCCAGTGATGCCAGGAGGAAGGCACTTATCAAAGCTTCAGACTCTAGAGCTGAGATTGGCAAACCATGACCTGCCCAGCAGACACAGCCCATGAGCTAAGAGTTGTGTTCACATCTTTACAGGGTTGGAAAGAGAAGATGGAAAATGAGAACGATAGAAAGAGGGAGAGAGACAGGAAAAAGGAGAGGGAGAAGGAGGAGGAGAGAAAGAAGAGACAAAGCCCAAATGTGGCCTGCAAAGCCTGTCTAGCCCTGTACAAAACAAAAACACAAAGGTTTCTGTCTGTGATGCGGAAGGTAAGATGAGGCCAGAAACAGGTGCTGTCGAAGTCAGCAGTTTACAGGATAAAGAGCAAGAAAACTCGGGAATATTGAAGCGAGGGGCTCACTCCCAAGTCCAGGAGCTCCAGAGAGGCCGGAGAGCCCCTTGTGGAGTGTGGGAAGAGAGTGGGGTGAGGTGCTTGGAAGCCCTGTTTCTCCATTCCACTGGGAAATGCTTGGGGGCTGTCCACATCCAGCCGTAGACACAAACTCTAGAGGTGATGCCACCTAGCAAAGCCTCCTGCGATGATGGAAATGAGCCAAATCTACCCAATATGGCGGACACAAGCCACACGTGGATACCAAGCACCTGAAAGGCGGCTCATGCACCTGAGAAACTGAATTTTATTTTCATTTCATTTTCACTCATTTAATCTCTACGAGCTATGCGTGGCTGGAGGCTCCTGTATGGGAAAGTGCCACGCAGAGCCAGCTTGCCCAGACTTTGAAGTCCAGTTGTGACATGTCACTGTGTGGCCTTAGACATACTGGCTCGCCTCGCTGTGCCTCAGTTTCCCCTTCTGTAGAATGTAGATAGTAACAGCGCCTGCCCAGGGTTGCTCTGAAGACATGAGGGTCACTTCGCATGGACCACTCAGGGCAGGCGGCACTTGGGGCACTCTGCGGCGCCACGCGCTGTCCCTGCCCTCGGCTCAGAGATGCAAGGGTCAAACTAACAAGCAAGCCAGGTCCTTGTCCTCAGGTAACTCCACAGTCTAGCAGAGGAAATGGATGCCAATCAGATCACCGGGCAAATGTCAAATCATGACCGAGGCAGGGGCGCTGGGAAGGACATGAGGATTGGCCAAGTCTGGGAGGGAGAGGTGCTGGGAAGGATACGGGGATTGGCCAAGTCAGGGAGGGAGAAGCAGGCACGCCTGAGGTAGCAGTGCTTGGGTGGAGCCAGGAGGAGTTGCAGACAAAGGAGAAAGGGAAGATTATTCAGCAGAACCACAGCAGGTGCAAAGGCCCTGTGGTGGGAGGGACCATGACCAGCACAGGGAAGGCTGCCTGAGGGCAGATCACATGGAGTGGGGTGGGTTGGAGGCCAGAGATGGGGCTACAGTTACACCCTGCAGGGTCTCAGGGCCGTGACAGGGTGTTTTCCTTCATCCTAAGTGTGGTGGGAAGACACTGAGAGGTCTCTCAACCCCAGCACACTTTTTATTGATGTGCTGGGAGTCCCTTCTCCTGGTGGACAGCATTAGGGTCTGTTCTTGTCCCTTCCCCAAACTGCACCTCTGCTCTTGACCACCAAGGCTGAGAACACACAGAGAGCACAGAGGGCCGACACCCAGCAGGAGCCCCCAGTCACAGCCTTGTCTCATCCTCCCCACACCCCTTGGACCGCTGTGGACCCAGCATCTCCGAGCACTGCTCTCCTCCTGCACCTGGGGCTCGGACTGAAGGTTCTTCTGAGCATGGCCTGAAGGAAATTGAGGACCACCAGAGCAGAGGGGACCCCACAGGGAGATGTGCACAGGCCCCTGCATGCCCAGCCAGTGCCAAGGCACCCAGGGCCCTACCTCATTCACCTGAACAATGCCTGCTCTGCCCCCAGCTCGGCTGCCGTCCCCCACCTGGCTCAGGTGGTCTCCTCCACACTGCCTCTCCCAACATCTCTGGCTCTGCAGTGCATCTTTGGGCTCTGAAAACAGAACTGAAGGGTTAATGACATGGAGTCCCCAGAGCCAGGAGTCCAGAGTAACTGCACCCAATGAGCTGCCGCCCACCTCCCAGAAGCTCCCCCTGGGCCCTTGGCACGAGCAGAGGGTTGGGAGCAGCAGCGAGAGCAGTGAGGATCCGGAACTGCACGCTGGCTGCTGAAGCTGTGACTGGCCCAGAGCACTCAGGGAGGGACCCTGTGGCTGCTGCAGGGCACCCATGCAGGGATCCAGGCCAAGACCATGCAGAGGAGTGCGGCCGTGGGCCTGCCCCAGCGGAGGCTTGCTCCAGAGTCCACACTTGAGGATGGTGGTCTACGGGCCACCTCAGCGCCTTCACTCCCACCCTGGGGCCGGCAGCCCACATGGTGCAATGCACTGTGCCAGCCTAAGTGCCCTTGGAAAGGCCTCTGCTGGGTCAAAACCAGCCTCACACTCAGGCTGTGTCTGTGCATATGAGTGTGTGCTTAAGGCATGGACACCGTATGTGCATTATGTTTGGGGTGTGATATGGTTTGGCTCTGTGGCCCCACCCAAATCTCATCTCAAATTGTAATACCTATGTATCGGGGGACGGGCTTGATGGGAGGTGATTGAATCCTGGGGGCAGACTTCCCCCTTGCTGGGAGTTCTCACAAGATCTGATGGTTTAAAAGTGTTTGGCAGTTATCCCTCACACTCTCTCTCTTGCTGCCATGAAAGACGTGCCTTGCTTCCCCTCTGCCTTCCACTGTGGTTGTAAGTTTCCCGAGGCTTCCCCAGCCATGTGGAACTGTGAGTCAATTAACCCTCTTTCCTTTATAAACCACCCAGTCTCAGGTGTTTCTTTAGAGCAGTGTGAAAATGGACTAATGCAGGGTGCATGTGAGTGTGTGTATTGGCTTGGTTTGGATTAGGGAGGAAATGTAAGGAAATCTATTCAGAAAATGTTTCTAAACATTCTTGTCACCTGGTGCCCCTGGTCATCACAGTCCTCTTAAAAGTCACTGTAGGTAAAAAGTTCCTCCCCATGAATAGTTGTTTAATGTTATCAAATAAGAAGGGAGACACTGGGAGCTTGCTGGGCTGGGGCCAGCATAGAGCAGCTTCCTGGCAAGCCTGTGAGTGCTGAGAGCACCACACACACGTGCCCACCACACCGCAGCCCAGCTCCCAGCGCCAGCCACCTGCACTCGAAGCCACCTGCTGCAGTAAGACTTACAGTGATTATCCTAGCACTCTGGAGGCCAGAAGTCTAAGGAGTTTCCCTGGGCCAAAATCAAGGTGTGGGCAGAGCTGCTTCCTTCTGAAGGCTTCGGGGAGAATTGGTTCCGATGAGGTTTTCTTGCTTCCGGAGGCTGCGGCCTTCCTTGCCTGGGGGCCCCTTCCATTTTCAAAACCAGCACCCAGCAGGTTTAGTCTCTCTCACCCCTCCCTCCTGTGAAAACGCTTGTGATTATGTTGGACCCACCCAGATAATCCAGGAGAACCTCACACTCAAGGCCAGCTGATGAGTAACCTGATTCCACCTGTGACCTCAACTCCCTGTAAGCCGTGTAACCAAACATGCTCACAGGTTCTAGGGATCAGGACAGGGCTGTCTTGGGGGTTGTTACTCTACTGACCGCACCAACATTCACCCCTCCCTATCAGGACATTTCTCTTTTGCAGCCAGTAGTCTTAAAAAATGGCTGAAGAGCAGAGCTTTGAATCTCGATGATCTTCTAGGTCTCTCAGCACCTGCTACGTACACTGAGCTCAGCGATCCCCTCAAAATCTTCCATCTAATCCAACAGGCCCATGCTGCACACACACACAGGCGGGGTCCCAGCAGGTACAGGAGAAGAAGACAGCCCACCTGCCTCTGGGGGGCCGTGAGTCAGAGCCCTGGGTGTGAACCATGCTCAGATCCCTACCATGGGCAAAGGCCGCCACCCTATGCCCCGCTTGTTTGTCTTCAGAGTGGTGGTGACAACCATGTGTGCCAGGCCGAGCTGTCAAAAGCATCAGGTGAGAACACACCCACAGGCTGCCGGGCCAGACAGCGGTTTTGGAAATGTTTCTATTTCCCTATAGTTTATGAATCCGGTTGGGAAGGGCCTTTGGGTGGTCGAGTTCTGGTCCAGGGCGGTGGAAGAAGAGGTGAGCACCAGCCTTTGCAGCCTCCCCAGTTCATCCTCCTCACGCCCGATGAGGTTCAGAGAGGTTGGGTTGCTGCCTCCAACCACCCAGGCCACAGGTGGAGACTTGGATTGGAAAGAGCACTGCTTCCCTCCAGCATGCAGACACTGCTGGGTAAGGAGATGAGAGCTTGCAGGAGCTCCAGGGTCCCGGGGCTGAAGGGTCTTTTTTCTTGTTCCTGGGATGCACTCTAGTTACAGAAGTGATGTTGTCAGCCTTTGCCCCACGCTCCCTCATCACCTACTGGCTGGATTCCCGGGGACTTTGTCTGTGAAATAGAATCACACCGCACTTATTTGGATGAGCTGAAAGGTACAGCCAGACTGTGATGTGATTAATGCCTTAATCTACAGACTCCAGACTGGGAGCAGGAAGCCTTCAACCCAGAGAGGGCTCTGCCTGAGGATGCTGGGAGCCTTCTGCAAGACTGAAATCCTGGGATCAGAGCTTCAGGCCAGGCTCCGTCTCATAGGAGATATTTTGGACACCTAAATCCCAGCTACATCCCAATGTCCCCAAAATAACCACCAGCTAGCACTTCTGAAAGTGCTGGCTGTTCTGTTTCCAATCAAACTGCCGCCATCTGACAGCTGTCCTGGAGGAGGAGGCTGTGGGAGCGTTCCGGGTCTCGTGGATCCAGGTCCACTTGCCACAAATCCCTGGATGCCTTTGAGCCCCATTTTCCACATCAGATGTGTAATGACCCCAATGGTACAATGGGGTTTCTGACAATTGAATTAAATAAAATAGTCAAGACCTTTTTGAACAGCTTTGCCATTTAAACGTTCCAATGAATGATGCACTGTGATGGGGGAAGGGAAGGTGGGGCTGCCAGGAGCACCCACCCACCTCTGAAGGCCAGGCTTGCCCTGGTCCATCTGGGCACCAGCTGCCCCCTGACCTGGGATGTTCCTTTTCTCCCCTACCCACCCGCCCCCCCTCCACTGGGCAGCTTTCAAGATAAGCCTCAGCCCTCAACTGCAAATTCACCTCCTCGGGGAATCTGCCTTGACTCCCTGGCCAACAGATGCTGCGTCCCTTCTCTGTGTTAATATCTGCAATTCAGGGCCAGGCTCATGCCTGTGATCCCAGGACTTTGGAAGGCTTAGGCAGGAGGATTGCTTGAGCCCAGGAGTTTGAGATCACCTGGGTAACACAGAGACCTCATCTCTAAAAAAAAGAAAAAATAATCTGCAATTCATCCATCATATCTTACTCCATAATTTCTTATTCTGTTCATTCTCTGTGTTCTCTCCTCTGCTAGGTATGTCCCACCCCTCACCTGTCTTCACCTCCCTCTCTCCTCCCATCCTCGTCCCCCTTCTCCCCTTCTAATCTCTCTGTTTCTCTTTCTCTCTCTGGCCATCTCTCTCTGTTTCTCTATTTCTCTCTCTCTACACACACACACACACACACACACAGCACTGGGCTTTGCATGGACAGCTTAAGAGGCTGACACAGCTCCAGTTACCCCTTCCCCAGGACTCACCCAGCTTCCCTTACCCCCAGCCCTGTGGGCACTTCCCATGTGGTAGCATGGAATATCAGAACAATGAGTACTCAAGGGTTGAGACTAAATAAAATTAACTGTTGCAACTGCTCCCATCAGGGGCGCTCCTGAGTGAAACTGAGTTTTGTCTTCCTGTGAATGTGTTCAGGTGCAGAACACACAATGACCACTAGTGGGGGTGTAGAGTCACCACCAGCATCTGTTCTGGGGCACCCACAGTATTATCCACCATTGCTATTGTACATCAGGGCAAATACGGCACAGTGAAGAAGGAAAATAATACCTTAAATAATACCTGAGTATTAGTATAGTAGCATACCTAAGTATACTATATAGTAGTATACAGTAGTAGTAGCATACCTAAGGTATTATTTGAGTATTTTTGAGCACATGGACACGTAAGCAACGTCCTGGGGACCGCTGGGGTCAGCCGACCAGACTCAGAAAGTTGCTGCCCTAAAGAGAGGGTTGGTTTCTCTACTTTCACACGGGCCCTCTCCAGTTCATTTCCCCCTGGAAATATGCCACAGGCTTCGTATCCGGGGAGAATAAAGTGCCACAGCACTGTGTCCAGGCAGCTCTCATGCCTTCCCACCCCAGCATCCTGTCACCACTGTACTCGTCTCTCTCCAACACCAGACACTGGTGTTCCTTCAGCCCCTTCGGCATGCTGCGTTTGCTCTGGGGGAAGACCCTTGCCCTGCTATTCTCTAACCAAGCATGCTTTGCCCTCAGACTTTTCCCCATTTGGCTCCTCCTTCCACATAGAAGCCTTTCCTGCCCTTGCATGTTCCTCCCACCCAGTCTCATTACCTGATTTTGTTGTCTTTGCAGCTCTTGTCGCCATGAGAACTTTAGTATTGGTTTGTGAGCATGTTGACTTTCCGTCTGTCCACTAAAATATAAGGTCCGTGAGGGCAGGGATTCCTTCTCTCCAGATAATTCCTGAATCCCCAGTGCTGCAAACTTTGGGAGACCCTATTTGGTCCTCAGCAGACTTCTATGTTGTCATCATTAGCCAAGACGTAGGCTGGAGGTGGGGAGCCGAGTGGAGGGGAAGGGACAATGTGCCACCATCCCCTCATCCCTCCCTTCTTCCTGCTGACACCTGAGTGGGAGTGGTCGGGCCAGTCCAAGCAGATCTTACAGCCTAGGGGATGTGGAGCCCAGGGCATGAGAAGCAGGATGCTGGAAGTTCTGGCCAGTGGCAATAGTTTAAATAGTTCAAAGTGAAGGTGCAAGTTAAGTCAGGATTTCCTCTTCTGGTAAGGACAGACTAGGCAATTATGACCAGTTCTCCAACTGAACACAATTAAAATATCTAGGCAAAAATATCTTCTTAAAAATTGTTACAGAACTAATAAGATAGTGAAAAATGTACAGGCCAGAATCACAGGAAAATGGGGCCAAGCCTTCCCATGTGTGGCTGCTTTACTCCTGGGGGCACTGTGCTGATACCATGGGGATCAATAGAGAGGCCAAAATACAGCAGTGCTTTCACAGCCATGTGGGGTCCCAGACAACAGGGAAGGCCCCAGTGAGGCCCCCTCATTTTAGTTGAGACACCAAAGGGCTGAATGTGAGGAGTGGTGAGGGACTAGAGCAGACAAACCTTCCCAGGAAATGGAAGTGACTTCTTATCATCTCAACACCTGGGGTTGAGTTGAGATGATTTAGACCTCAAGTGCTAAAAAGCAATGGAAAGAAATGTAAGTCATCTCTGAAAGAAGATAGTATCATTGTAAGGCTTAATTTAGTCTTCCAAACAACTTTTAAAACACATCAGGCACAATAACCATGCATACATGGAGTCAAAACGATATGAATGAAACCAGCAGAAACAACAGACAATAGAAGTAATCACAGGGACTCTAGCTATTGGAGTCATCAACACATACTTCTAAATAACTATGTTTATAATGTTCAAGGAGATAAAGGAAAAATTAGAAATTTCAGTACATAAATGAAAATTCCTTTTTTAAGTGGAAACTGTAATACTGAAAAATCAAATTAGCAAAATAAAATTAAGTGGATGGATTTAAAAGCAGATTAGACATAGCTGAAGAGAAAATCAATGAAATAGAAAGTCAAAATAAAATGTCTGGAATAAAAAAAATAGAGCTACAACATGATGGAAAACATAGAAGAATGGGTATGAAATAGAACATAAGGAACAGGTTTAAGATCCTTGTAATTGCAGTCCCAAAAGGAGCTGGGAGACTAGGTAGGTCAGAAAGAAAATTTGAAAAGTTAATGGCTGAGAAATTTTTAAAGCTGATGAAAGACTTCAAGTACAGAAGCAAGGAATCTTATAACCCCTATCAAAATGCAAACAAATAAATAAATAAAAGAAAATCCTCACCAAGCTATGTCAGAGCAAAACTGCTGATAACCATAAGCAAAGAGGATTTTTTTTTAATTAGAGAAAAAGACACATTACCTTCAAAGAGCAACTATTAAAATAATAGCTACTTCTCAACAGCAACAATAAAAACTAAAACACAATGAATGATATCAAGTGCTGAAAAGGAAATAAGTGCCAACCAAGAATGTTATATCCAGTGAAAATATTCTTTAAAAATTAAGGTTAAATAAAGAGAATTTTCATACAAACAAAACAGAGAATTTATCACCAATAGATCACACTAAAGGAAATACTAAAGATTGTTCTATAGGCAGAACAAAAATGATCTCAGGTGAAAGGTAAGAGATGCAAAATATATAAGGAACAAAAAGAGTTTGTGTGTGTGTGTGTGTGTGTGTGTGTGTGTGTGTGTGAAAATAATGCCTCATTGGGCTTAAAACAGAGAATTAAAATATACAACAGCAATGCTATACAAGAAGGAATGTGATAAATGGACCTTATGTGTTTTTAAGCCCTTAATTGTCCAGAAAGAGGGTAAAATAACAAAAAATACTAAACTTTAATAAGCCAAGAATGCTTATTGCAATATTCGGGGCAACCACTAAAAGAATATTCAAATAGTCTAAAACTTTGAAGTTAATGGTGGTAAATAATAAAATAGATAACCCATGAAATGCAATATGGGATAGAAAGCGAAAACAAAAAAGGGAAAATTGAGACAAATAGGCAACACTTCATATATTTAAACCCAAATGGTCATTCACGACATCAAGTCATTCCATCAAATGCATAAGCACTCACCTCTCCAGTTAAATATGAAGACTGCTGCATTTAAAAAAAATAAAGAGTCAACTATACACTGTTGACAAAAGACATATCTATGACATTGTGACAAAGGTAAAGGGAAAAATGCACACACATATATATAAAATGTAAACACCTACCAAAGTTGGTTTTTCTTTTAGCTGTGTAACTATGTTGATATTAGATAAAATACGTTTTGGGGGCATAAAAAAGAACATTTCATAATAAAGTTTTCAATGCATCGAGAAGGTTTTAAAAATATAAATTTATGTGCACTAGTAACAGATGCTCGAAACATTTAAAACAAAAATTGATAGAACTACAAGGAGAGATAAACAAACCCACAGTCAATTGGGATACGTTAATACATGTCTTAGTAACTGAGATAACAAGCAGAAAAATAAAATCAGTCAAGATAGAGGAAATCTGAAGAACATGAATAACAAAATGGAACTAAGAAATATATATAGAATACAGTACCTAACGAATAAACTCTATTTTCAGGAACTCACATCAAACACTTGCAAACTGCCTGACAAGTTGGAGCACCAACAAAGCCTTCACAGCTCTCAAAGGAAAGAAAAGATGACAAGTCTTTTCCACTATGACTGTTCTAGAAAATGAGAATCAACCATCCCACCTTTGGCAGAGCCTGGGAGGAAGCTGTGGCCACCCTAGGATGGGATGGGGAGAAATCCGCCAAAGGCTGCATGTGGCCTGCAGGATCCCTGCAGAACTGCTGGGCACTCCAGATGCAGATGGCGCCTGCGCTCAGTCATAAGCTCTTCCCTGCCTGGGTGCCAGCAAGAAGGGCAGGGCCGAGGGGAGTCACCTCGATGGTGCAGCCCAGTGATGGACAGCTGGAGAGGACGAGCACAAAATGCAGTCGCCTCCCCAGGCCTCTGCGCACGAGAATCAAGAGTGCCCTTCCCATTCTCAAGACAAGGTAAGAAACCACTGACTGGGGAAAGGGGAGGAACGGAGGCCATCTGCCATTGGCTGAGGGGCAGGAAAATTCCTCGGCCCAGAATTCCACAAGGCAAAGATGTGATCCCCCTTCCTGGAGGAGAGAAAGAAAACTTTCTCCTTCCTAAGACCTGTCACAGATACCAGGTAGAGTTAGCCTGCCACAGGGGAGGGGCCAGAGGGCCAGAATACGTCAAGGGCCTCACCCCAAGCTCTCTCCAGTGGTCAGCAGGGATGACCCAAGCAGAGGGACAGGGCGGTGGCAACCATACCTCTTTGGGGTCTCAGATTCAGGGCTATCTCCTTAGAGTTCTCTCTCCGAGCCCTCAAAATAGCCCTCGGTCCCCTGACTCCCTTCTGTCCCTACAATGACATGAAATCATTCTGACCATTCACCTGTTGCCCCTTTCCTGTCCACAGCCTCCGCTGGAACAAGACCCAGAGTGCAAGGACTCACCTGGAGTCCCGTCTGTTCCGAGACAGGCTCTACAACCTCCTCACGAATGAAGGCCTGGGAACTGCCACTACCTATCATGAAAGGGCCAGTTATTAACTGCCTACTGTTTGCCAGGCATTGGATTTGGCCCTTAACCCACACAAGGGCCCCATGAGATCAATATTTTTATTTGAATTTGTAGAAGAAGGAACTGGGGCTCAGGGGGGCTGGCACAGCTGCTGTGTGGAGAACTGAGCCCTGCACCTGGCCTCGCCTCTGGCCCCGCAGACCTGCAGAAGCTCGCATGTTGCCCTGCCTCCCAGAGGAGAGGACCTGGGTGGGGCTCATCATTCATCGCACTAAGAGTCATCGCCGTGGCTCCCCCAGGCTGGGCCTGCCACACACACCTTGGGCATGAGGGCGAGACAGCCCTGGGGAGTTCCCGGCCCAGGCCAGCCCCAGCACCCCCGCCTCCTCACTGTGGTTCTGGGCCCGTTCCCAGCCTCACAGAGTGGCTGCTTCCTGAGAGAGCACACACAGCCCCTCGTGTTTCCACACCGAGGCCCTGCCCCAGTGCCCTTAAAAGCGCCCCCTCCTTGCACCCAGTCGGAGCCAGGGTGAGCGTTCACCGCCACTGCCTCTCCATGAGCCACAACAGACAGCCTCACTGGGATCCTGGCATTAGGCCACAATTAGAAGACCCGAGTTTATAATCCAAATAAACTCCTCTTTAATGAGAATACTTTTCCTTTCATTATTTTATGGGCAGCCAGTTAGAGCCGCTTAGTAAAAATTATTTAAAATAGCAATAAGGCTACCGTTGCTGGTGGGGGGTGATGAAGGCGGTGGGCCCTGAGCATCCTGTCAACGCTTTGAACTTGACGGGAAGATCCAGGCCACCTTGAGCAGCCCCCTGGGTGCTGGGGAGGGTCTAAGGCCAAGGATGCCAGCAGAGGCGACCCAGTGAAAGGGGGGAGCCCAGGAACAACATGGCCGGAAGCGCAGAGGACAGCCGACCCGTCTTCTACCCCCACAGTCCAGCTGGGGAGAGAGGCTTGGGGAACGGAAGGGCCCCATAGGTGACCACGTCAGAGCCAAGGCCTGGGAAAAGCAGGAGGAGGAGGAAGGGGACAGCGGCCTCTCCAGCGGCCTCGTTGGTGGTGACAGTGTCCTGTGGCAGGGCACTTCCTCACCCCAACTACAGTAGCAACGTAACGGCCCCAGCGGTCATGGGTGCTCACATTCAGGTACCCCTTCTCTGCACCAGGCGGGCTCTGAGCCCTTCATGCAACACCTCCTTTGATGCCTGCAACAACCCTTTGAGGTGCCAGGTGGTCTGAGCGCTCCATGCAGCACCTCATTTGATGCAATAACCCTTTGAGGTGGGGAGTGAGAAGATTTCCCTCTCACGAAGGAGGAAATGAGGCACAGAGAAGCATTAAAGTGGAACGTTAAATCCACCCCAAGGGCATGTTAAGGTGGAAGAGGGTCTTGGATCTCTACGTCCTGCCCTGCCTCAGTGTCCAGAGGACCCTGGGGACCCCAGAGAGACCACACCGTCCACAGGGACAAGCCAGGCAAAGGGACGCTTGACCAAAGCTAGGAGTTCACGCCAAGTTTCACCTGATCTTCTGTGGAGCCTGCCCTTTACAGACTTGAGGTAGGATTGTGGGGGTTAGAGCTTCAGACACTCTTAACTCCCTCCTCCCAGCCCCATCTGCAGAAGCAGCGCCACGGCCAGAATCCAGAAAAGTGGGCTTGAAGTGGGAGCTTGGACAGCCCTGGGCAGGCAGTACCTTGAGGACCCAGGACAGGCAGGAACTCGGGCCCAAGTGGGAATGAGTTACTGCCCATGGAAGGGGAACCCAGGACCACTCTCAGCGGCCACTGCTTCCTCACTGGCCCCCCTTTCCTCAAGCCACGGAACCCTGGTTTGAAAGCAGCGCCCAGGCCAGGTATGGTAGCCCATGCCTATAATCCCATTTTGAGAGGCTGAGGCAGGTGGATCACTTGAGGTCAAGAGTTCAAGACCAGCCTGGCCAACATGGTGAAACCCCGTCTCTACTAAAAATACAAAAATTAGCCGGGCATGGTGGCTCATGCTTATAATCCCAGCTACTCAGGAGGCTAAGGCAGGAGAATCACTTGAACCCAGGAGGCGGAGGTTGCAGTGAGCCAAGACCATGCCACTGTACCCCAGCCTGGGCAACAGAGCGAGACCCTGTCTCAAAAAAAGAAAAGAAAAGAAATAAGGCAGTGCCCACTCTCAAAGTGCAGCCAGGAAAGGGGACAGGCGAATTGGAACCCAGTGAAGTGTGCTGGCCACAATATGCTTCTCAGTGACCTTCAGTGCCAAAATCATGGAGAGGAGACAGACGCAGGTTCTGACCCACAGATTCCATGACGATTACAAGGTGGTTCTTGCCAAATGCCAGGATGATCAGGGCTTTCTGTTACGTAACAGCAGATAACCAGAAAAGTCACCAACTATGTGATGATTTCTGGTATGGTTTGGCTCTGTGTCCCTGTCCAAATCTCACCTTGAATTGTAATAATCCCCATGTGTTGTGGGAGGGACCTGGTGGGAGGTAATTGAATCGTGGGGGCAGGTTTTTCCAGTGCTGTTCTCATGTTAGTGAATAAGTCTCACCAGATCTGATGGTTTTTTACAGAGGGGAGTTCCCCTGCATATGCTCTCTCTTGCCTGCCGCTATGTAAGACTTCCCTTTGCTCTTCATCTTCTGCCACGATTGTGA